>NC_000023.11:69962542-71212542 GCF_000001405.40 Homo sapiens
TGCCTCAGCCTCCCAAGTAGCTGGGATTACAGGCACCCGCCACCACACCTGGCTAACTTTTATATTTTAGTAGAGGCAGGGTTTCACCTTGTTGGCCAGGCTGATCTCAAACTCCTGACCTCAAATGATCCTCACGCCTCGGCCTCCCAAAGTGCTGGGATCACAGGCACGAGCCACTGCACCTGGCCTACAAAAATACTTCAAAAATTATTAAGTGCTATTACTATGCTCTCTCTGGAAAATGAACACACTAGTATGGTGTGCCAGGCATTTGGGGCATTCACATTCCCTAATTTATGGACAACAATTATAATTTCTTCAGAAATGCTCTCTATCAGCCAAATTGCCCATTTTTGTTCTCACTCATGCTATCCAAGCCCATAGGAAGAAGACTCCAAGCCTCACACTATGGCCTACCTCATCACAGCAAATGATCACATCTGCACATTGCTCTGTGGCACTATCTCACTCTGGCTGGCTGGCTGTATATATGTATCCCTTTTTGTTAGTATTTCAGAAATTTCTCTTCCTTGTAGTTTACTTTTGGACATATCAAAAAACTTAGTATTCTTTTCTACTATTATAAAAGAGTAGAGGGAAAAACAAGATTGAAATATATCCTTTGTACTTCAATTTTTAAAAATAATAATGGAATGGGGCATAGCTACTATTAAATTGATACAGATGAACATGAGAGTCTATGATGTCAAAGAAAACAGACTTTCTGCCCGTACAAATGTTAGCTAGAATTAAGAATTGCCCTCATTTTAGTACTGCTCTTGTATTTATTGCTTTCAGTGAGCCATCACTGTGGATTATCAAATGAGAGAGTAAAATCATTTTGAGAGCGATAGAGTTTCAGGGGCTTGTTCACAAGACAAAAGTAAAGCTTTTGAAGGCTCACCATGTGTGTGGACTCGAAGAGGATTGTTGATTTCACATGTAGAATCCCCAAGGTTGCCTGCTGGTAGTGGGTGCCAACAGCTTAAGTGCCCACAGCAGAACACTCTGGAGAGTGGCTTTGTATCAAATAAGACATTAAGTAAGCTAAAATATCTAGCTTGCTCATACTCCAAAATATCCTTTAAAACTGTATTTTCATTGATGGAACTAGCCCTGCAGTAAATGATCTCAACAGGCCATCACCACTAACACTTGGTTAACAAGCATTTTTAGAATACCAACTGCTTGTAAGACGTTGTACCAGGTTCTGTAATTGGTATAGCTACCAAACTCCTGTACTTAGTATGTAAGGCCTAAATTGAATTGGGTATAGAGGTTAAAGATTAAGATGCTTAAAATATTTATGGGATTTTTTAAATTACAAAAATGATACATATATTATAACAAATATGAGCAATACAGAATCAGGAAAGGTATAATGTGAACATGCCCTCCCCACCCACTGCCCCGCTACAATACTGCTTATAAAGTTAAGACATCTTTGAGGAATATCTCACTTGCCTAAAGGAAGTCATAGGCCCACCTGACCTGATGTTCTCTAAAGGTCCTTCCTGTCTACTCAGTCTCTCTAAAGTTCCTTCTAGTTATTTTTTTCTCAATATTAGGGAAATTGGTGAACTCTAAGCCAGGAGATCTAGATTCTAATTCCAGCTCTGCCATTAGTAGTTATAGTAGCAGGATGACCTTAGGAAAGTCTTACTTCACTTCTCTGATCTTAGTCTCTTCTAAAGGGTTAAACTAGAATCAGTGATTCTCAACTGGATTGTAAGAGATCCAAAAGCATATAAGGAGTTTTTTTTTGAAGCATGCATACTCCTGGGAATTCTGACCACTCTACACCCCATTAAGAAAACTATACTGAGGAAGGTACTATTACTGATGAGAGCATATCATATCCTTCAGATGTATTAGGATAAGAAAAGATGTTGAACTACTAGAATAGATGGTTGAATTGTTTCCTTCCAACTCTGATATAACTTGTTACTAACTATTCCTGACTTCTATAATATAATGATAATAGCTAGGCTAGTTTTAGCCAATCAGATGATGTCTATGTCTAGATGATTAAATACTAAGGGTTTCAATTTGGATGGTCAGTGAGCCTTTTCATTAGCATCCCTGAGAACGCTCAATAAGGATTAAGTGCATGCAAATGGTTTCATGAAGTGAAGGCTAAGAAGGTTAATCTGTTGGCTGAGTGGTGAACTGCTAGCTCACTTCTGTATGGCTCCTCAAAATATCACAGGCAGATATAGATGTGCGGTCAGAAGGCACCTGTTGGCTCTGTAGTGTATTACTTACACAACCCTGCCTTACCCTAGATTCTACTCCTTGACCTGTAGGGCCTCTTCAGTCTCAAAGATAAGGAACTACTACAGCTTCCTTTTTTAAAAAACTCATTCATTCAGTAAATGTTTATTAAGTACCAAACTAGTTGTTAAATCAATGTTTATTGATCACCCTTCCAGACACTAAGGGCACAGTAGTGAACAAGATAAGACCCTACCCTAATCAAACTCACTGTGGATGATTTCAATACAGTGTAGTGACCATATAATGGGGTAAGCACAGGGTGCTATGGGACACACTGGCACCTGATCTAGACTTGGGAGGACAGGGAATGTCTCCTAATAAGTGTAACATCTGAGCTGCAAACTGATGGATGCTATAGTTAGCCAAATGAAGATTTGAGGGAAGTGTGCACCAGGCAGAGAGAATATACATGTTGGAAGGCTTAGAGTAAAGAGGGAGCATGGCTCATTTAAGGAACTAAAAGAAGTTTGTAAGGGTGTAGGATAAAGATCTAAAGTGAAAATGATCATAAATGAGCTGGCCAAGAGGGGTCAAATCACGCAGGGCTTTGGAATCCATTTTATGGAATTTAGAAACTATCCTAAAGGCAATGGGGAAGTACAGGATCAATGTCAAGAATAGATTATATGGCAAATATCTTCAAATGCTAAACACACATACTGTAATCCAGCAATTCCACTTCTATTTATAGATATACTAACATACTGGAAATCATTTATCAATGAAGATATTCTTTGCTGTACTATTTATAATAGCAGAGAATTAGAAATACATGTCCATTATTTAGGAACTCATTAAATATGATAAATCTGTAACTGGTCATCATGGTTGCTCTGAGGAAGAAAACTGAGTGTTTGGGGCTGAGGTGAGGAGGGAGTTGACTAGTTGAACATGTGCATGTTCTACCAGTTTAAAATAAACAGATAAAATTTAATTTTAAAAATAGTCTGGACACGGTGGCTTACGCCTGTAATCCCAGCACTTTGGGAGGCCAAGGTGAGAAGATGGCTTGAGGCCAGGAGTTTGAAACCAGTCTGGACAACATAGTGAGACTGCATCTCTACAAAAATTTTTTTTATTAGCGAATTGTGGTGGCATGCACCTGTAGTCCCAGCTGCATGGGAGGCTAAGGTGGGAGGATTGCTTGAGCCTAGGAGTTCAAGGCTGCAGTGAGCTATGATTGAGCCTCTGCTCTCCAGCCTGGGTGACAGTACAAGACCGTTTCTCAAAAAAATAAAAATAAATAAAATGGTCATGATATGCCATTTTCTACTCATTACCTAAATACATTAGCAACAATTTTATAATACATTAACATCCTATTATAATTAGGGGTGGAAAAACTCATATATTGCTGGAAAGAATGTAAATTGTTATAACCATTTTGGATTTTAATCTCTCTGGTAAAGTTAAACATTAGGATACCTGTGATCCAGCATTCACTGTCTTGGGAATCTAGCCTACAAAAATAAGAATTCAGCCGGGTGCAGTGGCTCACGCCTGTAATCCCAACACTTTGGGAGGCCGAGGCAGGTGGATCACCTGAGGTCAGGAGTTCGAGACCAGCCTGGCTAACATGGTGAAACCCCGTCTCTACTAAAAATACAAAAATTAGCCAGGTGTGGTGGCATGGCCTGTAACCCCAGCTACTAGGGAGGCTGAGGCAGGAGAATTGCTTGTACCCGGGAGGTGGAGGTTGCAGTGAGCCAAGATCGCACCACTGCAGCCTGGGCGAAAGAGTGAGACTCCATCTCAAAAAAAAAAAAAAAAATGAGAATTCTAGTATATAGGTCATACATAAAAGGATATTTATTATATCACTGTTTTGTTGCCAAAAGGAGGGATAACTCTAATATCTATGAATAAGAAAATGGTAAAATAAACTACGACATAGACATACTATTGAATATTATGTATATTATTATTCAGTGTAATAATAATGGTAATATTATTACTATTAAAAGGAATGAGTTCTATGTAGTTCTGTGTAATGGTCTGAAGTAGCCATGTTCTATTGCTAGGTTTAAAAATGCAAGTTTTAGAGTAATGTGTATAATATGATCCCATTTTCATAGAGAAAGATTTTAACATATATTTTTTATTTTATATGTAAACATATATAAAATATTTTATAAATATTATAGGTGTGTGTGTGTATATATATATATATAAACATAGGAACAGATGTGGGAAAGGGAAGCATCAGTGAATATCGATTACCTTGGGTGGAAGAGGGTTGGATGGGAAGGGAATAACTATTAAATGGTTCTTTATGTAGTTCTATATGTTTGATTTGTTACAATAACATGTGTAACTGTAATTTATAAGAATATAAAAAGTGGTTAAAGTGGATAGAAAATAATGGACGTGAGAGGGCATAATGAAGACAAAGAAGGGAGGAGATTGCTGTAATGATACACAAAAGGAATGACAGTGGCTGAATTAAAGTAACAGCAATAAAGACAGAAGTAGATAGATTTGAGTTCCTAGGTAGAAAAAATAGGACTTGGTGATTTGATTGAAGGGAGAAAAAGAAGAGTCAAGGAAGCCACCCAGGTTTCTGGCAAGGTACTATACTAGTCACTGATATAATGATCGGGGAAGAAGATGTGTGGTTTTGGACAGGTTGAGTTTCAGGTACCAGTGGGAAATTCAAGGAGGAGAAACCTGTAAGCAGTCCAAGATATGCATCTGAAGCTCAAGAGAGATAGCTGGTCTGAAAATATAGATATGGAGATAATTAGCTACATTAGGACTCTCTCAGTTACAAGTGACAGATAGCTGGCCTAAATTGGCTTAAGATTTTAGAAAAGAAGGAGGGGGAGGATTTATTGCCTCATTTAACTGCAAAGTCCTTCATGAAGCTGGCTTAAAACATGGCTTAACCTTAGGGCTTAAATGATATCATCAGGACTTTCTCCGCTCTGCTTTCCTTTGTATTGGCCTCATTCTTCATGTAGGTTCTCACTATGAGGTGACAAAAATAGCTACTAGAAGCTCTAGACTTACATCTTACCAATTCAACAAGCCCAGTGGAAAGAGGATGCCTTATTCAGTAAGAAAGATGTTGGCAACGCTGGTGAGAGCAGTTTTAGTACAGTAGTTGGGGCAGAAGGGTTCATGATGAAACCAGATGAGGAATTAGAAAACAGCAAATATAAACAAAAGAGAGGAGGAGAAGAGAGGAATAGCTAGAGATTCATTAAGCATCTATTATGTGGAAGACACTGTGTTATATTACACCCGGGGACACAAAGATGCATAAAATATGGGGTTTTTTTTAAGCTCTGGAAGCCCACAGCCTTCAGAAAAGAGAAAATCTTATAAGTAATTCACAAAGGTGATAGATAAGTACTTACATAGAAGTATGATAAGACTGTCATGGGAGCATAGAGGAGGGAACCACAGAATGGTCAACCAAATACATTAAATACATCTCTGAGGAGAAGTGCATAATGGCTGGCACATACTAGGCATGCATATATGACGAATTAGGTGACAATTATGTTTTGGAAGGTGAATGGGACTTTGATGAAGAAAGCTAGACAACCCATTTCTAACAAAGGGAACAGCAAGTACAAAGCTAACCAATCCCCTAGGTTTGCTGGCTTTCCTCTCGGCATGAGGCTTAGAATAAGGGCTGAGAGAAAGCCAAAACTGTTGGGCAGAGAAAATGTGACAAGAGGCCAAAATAGCCTAAGGGGGCCTTCAAATGCCCATTCAGGTACTTAATAAGTGGCCTTTCAATCCCAAATTATCTTAGCATCTTCCCTACCTCACTATTTCTCTCCGCTAGCCTCCATACACAGAAATAAATGTTAGCAAGGCAAGCACAATTCTTCCTTGCTAATAAATATAAAATGTAAGCCATGTATAATGGTTCTTAACACTGGTAGCAGTTTTAATTTCTCTGATCTTCTACTATACCAATATCTGGTGCAAGGCAGCAAAATACATTTAGTACCTTGATGTAATTTAGAAGCAATGATTGATCCTACCTTCCTTGTGTAAGACTCTTAGCTGACTTAGAGAACATAAGTCCTATGTAATTAACATGTTCACAAATGTAGAGAGAGCTGTTTTTGAAATGGTGAAGTACCAAGGACGCTTTGCTGTAAGCTTATGAATCTTGGCTGCATTTTACCACTGCTTCCAGCATGTAGCTCCTTTAATGAACCTAGTACTCTGGTGCATTAAGTCACTTGTTTAGGGTCTAGTCACGCTGAATTCTATATACTGCGAGCCAGAGGTCTAATCAACCTATGCTCTTTGTCACATGGTATACTGGAAAGAAGAGGTCTTTGTGCAGATCTATTCTCCCTATAGCACAACAAGTCGTGGGCCTGGCCTGCTGCCAGAAAGTTAGTAGTGTCATCTGTGTAGATGAAATTCAGCAACTCATTATCTTACATTGTGCCAGAAGAGTGGGAAGAAGATTGACTTGGTAATTTGCTATGTTTCGATCCTAATCTGTTTAGAAATATGATTTCTTTAAAAGGAAATGGAAAAGAATGTGTTTCTCATGATAGCTTCACAGTATCTCCTGAGAGGATGTTCAGTTATTGTAAATACAGCAATTTAATTCTCTCCTTGAATTTCAGATGTATTTCATCTCTTTAAAAAATAAATGTGTTGAAATGATCAGATTATAAAGTATGAATTGTATACTTCCAAAAGTGGAATTTTATATTTCAGATTACACAAAAAAACTTTTTTCATGAGTCATAAAGTTATTGGTTTGTATACTATGTTATTTTTATACATCATCTCCAAAACTCTTTAAAAATAAGTTTACATTGTAACCTATTTAAAGGAGAAAGGCATATTTGCGGTACACATATTTTATCTCAGAGTCATTTCAGCATTTTGAGTCTAATTCATTCTTCCCACCCTGTAGCATAGTATGCAAAATCCAGAAGCTATCAGAAGCAAGGCCCAAATTTAGTGTAGTAAAGCTTCTAGTACATGGGTGAAATACACACATAAGAAAGAAAAAAGAACAAGGCCAGGTGTGGTGGCTCACACCTGTATTCCCAGTACTTTGGGAGACCAAGGCAGGAGGATCTCTTGAGGCCAGGAACTTGAGACCAGCCGGGGAACATAGCAAGACCCCCATCTCAAAAAAAATTTTTTTTAATTGGCCAAGCTGGGTGGTACACATGTGTAGTCCCAGCTACTTGAGAGGTTGAGGCAGGAGGATCACTTGAGCCCAGGAGTTTGAGGCTGCAGTGAGCTATGACTGCACCACTGCACTTGAACTTGGGCAACAAAGTGATGACCTGTCTCAAAAAGAAAAAGAAAGAAAGAAAAAATTCAGTTGATATCAAGTTTCTGACCCTTAGTTTCTCTCTGAGACAGTTTGGAGTAAGGAAAGAGCATAAGATTTAAAATCACACAAATCCTAGCTCTACTACTTTTAGCTTTGTGGCCTTGGCCAAGTCATGTAACCTCTCTCAAGCTAACTTTTCTCATTATATAATGATAGTAATGATACTTCCTTTGATAAGACTTTATAAGGACTAGAGATAAATTAAAATGCCTAAACCATTGCAGGCAACATAACAGGTGCTCAATAATTGGTAATTATTAGTATCAACTGTAAAATGAGAATAGTACTAATTTATTTCTCAGGTTATGAGTCGAATGAATGAGAATGCTTTTTTTTTCAAGCACCTTAATCTCTTAGCTATTTCGTAGTTGAAAAGAAGTTATCCTGCTTATCTCACAGGATTGTGATGATCAAAAAGGATAATAAATGCTAAAACACCTAGAAAAACATAAAGTGCTGCTCAACATTGGGACCAAGCTTCCCTGTATACTGAACATCTCACTATATGGTCCAGAACGGGATCTTCATGGTGATTCTTAGTCCTCAATAGACAGCTGTATCTAGCGTGATAAGACAGGGAAGTCTCAAAACACTTTACAAAGATTTCTGTCAGGTTTCAAAGTTTGCTGTCAACGAAGTAGACCTTAATTACCCAGAAAACTCATTTCTGTGGAACTCCTTATATGGAGCCAAGGAAGCAAGGTGTTAAACTGTGCATAACTCTTATTAGGTGAGGACTATATAGCATTGTAATTAGAAAGAAATCTGAGGTATAGTGTTCAAGCCAACTCTATAAATGCCGTCTTAAAGATTATATAATGTATTCTAAAATATTTCATATGGATTTCTAAAGAATTGAATAACAATCAAATATGCTAAACATAAAAATGACTCAGGACACAGTTTAATAATTCCTGATGCCAAATATATATCAGAATCTGTAGGACCTTAACAATATTATTTATGAATATAAATTATTGATCAAAACTGTACAAGTAAATGTTGAAGACTGGACCAAACCTGATCTGGGTTGAAGTCCTGAGCTCCCTCACTCACTCGTCCTCTAATTTGGAACTAGTCAGCCTCCATGTCATTTCACTGATTGCTGTAGAAGGTCAAATGAATTGATGTCTGTGCAAATGCTATGCAAACTGTAAAATGATGTACAAATGTGAAGTATTATTTATCATAAAAGTTGAATACAGAAAAATGGTTTGAAACAGTTTATTAATTTGGGAATGTCAAAGAAATAAGAGATTATGAGAAAACCAAAGTCCTGGTTATGTTTAGTATATCATGCAACATTGCCATGGGGTGGCAACCATAGCAACAAAGTAAGTAATCTTTTCCACCAGACATTTCTGGTTACAGCCTCTTGTTTGACTCAAGCCAGTCCCCCTCCTTGACTGCCTTTTTACCTCCTCACTTTTGATCCTTATTCATCCTTCCAAGATCCAGCTGTAGGCTTCATAGCCTTTAAGAGGCCTTGATAAACCTCTATCCAGATAGCTCATCTTAGTTTACATTCTTCCACGTGCATGCTTAAGATACTTATAATTTCTAGGCCTTTTTCATGTGCTTCTCGCGTCTTCACAGCTATGTAACAAGCCAAAAGAGGTTAGAGATTCCTTCTATCTCGGTGTGGCAACTAGCATAATGCAAACAGTTAAGTACTTAATGAATATTTGTAGATTGAAAGAAAACATGCTGCAGGCCCAATGCTAAAGCATACCCTTCTTTCAAAAAAGAAAACTATATTTGAAAGAGCTTAAGAGATGGTCAGTAGACAATGCAGTTGTCTATGAAGCCACAGTGAGTTATATATATAAAATGGCAACTAATTGGTAACTTATTGGGAGATCAAGGGAAGAAGTTGTTGTAAATATTTGTTCATGAGGGAGAAGCCTTCAGGCTCTTTCCAGTTCTATCCCTGTACCACAGTAATGATACTGTGCACAAATGGCTTCCTCAAAGGGCTATACTGTGTAATATACATAATGTTCCATTTTCACATTTAAATGTAAGTTAAGAAACAAAATTACATTGTAATTTATCATCACATATTTATTATCTCCCCTTCTTCTCCCAAATTTTATGATTTTTCTGATTGCTAAGGTATAGTGTGGCACTCTTCACCATTTATTGGCATAATACAGAGCTTAGATAACATTCACATGCAGAACACCCTCCCTGGAGCCCTTGGGGTTCTGTAGATTTTTCTAGCACGATGGCTGTAACTAGGCCCCCTTTTCTTCTTGCTCAAGAAAGCCTATCAGAATGTGAATAAGAGTGACACTATCATAGAAATAACATTTGTTCCAGTTTTTATTTAAGTAAATTATTAATGACCTTCAGGACTTCGTTAGTAACAAAATGTTTGCAGTACACTTCAATACCACAGTTGCAGTCACTGGGGCAGTAAAATGGACTTTGGTTTCACATTTAAGGACCTGGGTTCAAGTTGTAAGTCTGCCACTTATTTTCTATGAAACTTTGAACATGCTTCTTGATCTCTCAGCCTCAGTTCCTATAAAATGGCAATAACAGTAATACATCACTGGGATGATATGGGGATTAAATACAATGTTATTTGAAAAACCAATTTTTAAAATGTAAAGCCCTGGGCAAATCTGAGTTCTGTATCCCCTTATGCACCCATGTAATTCTCCTTTCTGTCATTGCCATGCCCTTGGTTTAGGCCTTCCAACTACCTATTGCTTTGTCTCCTTCCTTACCTTATATGAATTCCTCATCCCCTTTTCCTTCAAAATCATTCTCTTGTAGTTGATCCAACTAACAGTCACAGATTCATTTTCTTTTCCATTTGAATTAGCTATAACTAACTAAGCTAATCTAAGCTAATCTAAGCTAATCTAAGCCCTAACTCCTAGAGGTTGTTCTTAATTATGAACTTGCATGCAGTCTGGGACAGAAAAACAGAAAACTCCTTACTTATTTTAGAGTTTTCAATCTTTTCCTCCACCCCCAGATAATGTTTTTATATACACCAAAAGTCAAGCTCTTCTCTTGCCTTCCCAATACCTCCAGTGTATACCCACACATAGCCCAGTGCTGAAAGACAGCTTAGGGAATGCAGAGGAAAGGGACTGACCACCAAAAACAAGACAAGGATCTTGTGGGAAGACAGGACCCAAGTTCTCTAGATGGCTGAACTACAACCTCAAATGTCTTAGCATTCTCAAAATTTGTATGGGAACCTTCAGCAGTAGGGCCTGGCTATACCTACTGCTACTGTTCCAAGCTCTAACACCACGTGGTCCAGTCCAGTAGAGCAAACAAAGATTGTAAAACTAGGACCAGCTGCCACTTACAGTGTTTCTTGGGCCTTCACAAGCAGCTCCACTCCTTGCCCATTGCTCCTCCTACTGGTTCTGATCCATATTGGAACTCCCTCTAACTTGCATTGCCTTCTCCCTCATTCCCTAGTTGTCCCAGTTGGATGAGAATTGTGAGTTCCTAGATCTCTCTCAAAAGACATTCTTCCATATATACGACAGGAGACTTATACAGCGTCAAAATCTAACAACCCAAATGCCCATCAACAGAATAGTGTATGGATAAACTACGATATATTCATACAATGAAATATTAAACAGCAACCAAACCAATGAACTGTAGCAACAGTTATGAATATGAGTGAATCTTACCAATATAATGTTAAGCTTATAAAAAGTAAATCCCCTATGTTGAATTTGCCAACAAAAGAAAAAACTATGTTTGTATTAAACGTATTTAAGAAGCAAGTCATCTCGGACCTGTAATAAAGACAAACCTAATTTAATATTGAAAAGACTAAGTCCTAAAATATTAAATGTAGCATAATAACCTTTGTAAGTTACAAACAACTAACTTTAAATATATATATATATATTAGGAATATATACAAATGTGATATAATTATATGAAAAGGAAATTGAGGGAATGAATGAACACAGGATTCAGGATAAAGATTACTTGAAAAAAAAAGATTACTTGAGTGGGTAAATTGTAGGGAGATGAGAGTGAGAAGGAAATATATGGTTGAATGTAAGTTTTTAACAAAGTCCTAGCTTTTGCTTTGGGTGACTGTTTTACAAGTGCTTATTACATTATTTTATTAAAGCTAAATAAATACAAAAATAAGCAATGGGGGAAAGGAGTCACTATTCAATAATAATGCTGGGATAACTGACTGTCCAAAATAATGAAATATGTAGAAGAATGAAACTGGACCCCTACCCATCACCATATACAAAAATTAACTCAAGATTGATTAAAGACTTAAATATAAGACCTCAGACTGTAAGAATCCTAAACAAAAACCGAGGAAACACCATTCTGGACATCAGCTTTGGGAAAGAATGTATGACTAAGTTATCAAAAACAATTGTAACAAAAACAAAAATTAAGTGGGACCTAATTAAACTAAAGAGCTTCTGCACAGCAAAATAAATTTCAACAGAGCAAACAGACAACCTACAAATATTTGCAAACTATACATCTGACAAAGGTCTGATATCCAGAATCTATAAGGAACTTAAGTTTGTCTTTATTACAGGTCCAAGATGACTTGCTTCTTAAATACGTTTAATACAAACATAGAACAAGGAAATTGAACAAGCAGAAAACAAATAACCCCCTTTAAAAATGGGCAAAAGATATGAACAGACACTTCTCAAAAGAAGATATACAAGTGGCCAAGAAACATGAAAAAATGTTCGGCATCACTAATCATTAGAGAAATGCAAATCAAAATCACAATGAGAAACCATCTCACACCAGTCAGAATGGCTTTTATTAAAAAGTCAAAAAATAACAAATGCTAGTGAGGTTGTGGAGAAAATGGAACACTTATGCACTGTTGGTGGGAATGTAAACTAGTTCAACCACTGTGGAAAGCAGTTTGGAGATTGCTCAAAGAACTAAAAGTAGAACTACCATTTGACCCAACAATCCCGTTACTGGGTATATATCCAAAAGAAAATAAACCATTCTACCAAAAAGATGTATGCACTCATATGTTCATGGCAGCACTCTTCACAATAGCAAAGACATGGAATCAACCTAGGTGCACATCAATGGCAGATTGGATAAAGAAAATGTGGTTCATATACACCGTGGAATATAACGCAGCTATAAAAAAGAATAAAAGTATGGCCTGTACAGGTACATGGATACAGCTGGAGGCCATTATCCTAAGCGAATTAACACAGAAACAGAAAACCAAATACCAGGTGTTCTCACTTGTAAGTGGGAGCTAAACATCGGGTACATATGGACATAAAGATGGCAACAATAGACACTGGGGACTACATGTGGAGGGAGGGAAGGAGGGAGGGAGAGGGCAAGGGTTGAAAAACTACATTTTGGGTACTATGCTCACTATCTGGTGATGGAATCAATTTTGCTACAAACCTCGGCATCACACAACATACCCATATAACAAACCTGCACATGTACTCCCTGAATCTAAAATAAAAGTTGAAATTTTTAAAAAACTAAATAAATAAAAGTGGGCTACACATAGACCAATGTGAATGTGCTATAAATGTAAAATAGATTTCATAATAGATTTCAAAGACTTAGTACCAAAAAAGCAATGTAAAATATCTCATTAATACACATCTATATTGATTACATGCTGAAATTAAAATAGTTTAGGTTTATTGGGTTACATAAAAAAAATCTATTAAAAATTAATTTCACCTGATTCTTTTTACTTTTTTAATATGGTTAATAGAAATTTTTAAATTACCTATGTGGCTCACATTTGTGACTCACATTATGTTTCTATCAGACATAGAAACGTGTCATGGTGGTATAAGAATTCTAGAGCACTGCTCTTTATGTGTAAACCCAGCTGTTTTCAGGCTTAAAGCTATTTAGTTTGTCTTTTTAGGTTTAATAATTCTAATTTATTTTTTTTCAGGGCTTCTGAAACCTTAATTGAAAGTTTTAATAAATACAAAAGTAATACATGCTCCTTTTAAAACAAAATTAAATATCAGAGAAATTTATGATGTAACAGAAGGAATGTAACACCACAATCTTAGCTCCCAGATATAGACACGGTTAAGAATTAAGAAGACTTTCTAGGTATATGTGTTTTTAAAGTATTAGAATGTGAACATCAAAGTTATCCCTATTCTTTCTCATTTTTTCTGACACCAGAGAGGCAACGGAAGATCATGGCTCAATGTTTGTGCCAAGCAGAGAACTAAAGTAGTGGTTCCCACCTCTGGAGTTACAGTCCTCTATCGTTAGCTGGAGTTTGGAATTTTTTTCCTGGCCAAATCTCTTCCCCTCACCCCAAAAAAGTGCCATTTGGCATATGTTTACACTAAAAGCTGAAGTGAACTAAAATTAGTGTTTTGAGAATTTCCTAATACCCCTTGGGAAAATATCAGAGACCCAATGGGATATTGTAAGACCAGAACTAACAATCACTATTTCAGGGTATTGATTTCCAACAAAGTACCTGATCATTTCTCTCAGTGGGTATGAACCAGGCTTCTGATGGGAGTGTAATGATTTGGAGAAAACAAGGTGGATCTATTTCTCTATAGGTTTCTCTCTGTTCTTAGGAAGAAATTCAATGGAGGTAGCTGTGACAGGGGGAGGGGGGGTGGAAAAGGGGTCCAAAGGTCAGATCTTGATTATGTGCTAGATCTTGAAACTTTTCTTTTCAAATTGCCTGAGGCCCTATAAAAATCATTAATATAGAAATAGCTATTTTTTCAAGCCTTGGACTAAGTGCCATGGAAATTACAGAAGTTATTTTCTTTGTTCACATTATTGATTGACAAGTTCAAAGATTTTGGATACATTTCTTGGAACAGACATCAAACAGTTTGACATTTTTCCTTTTCTATTCAATGAAATGAATCCTTCATTCAACATCATATGCTTAGGAAACACACCAATGAATTTTTAAATCATATTCTATATTACCCCTGTTCCTGCACTGGTTGAGACCTGTGAGAGAAAAATAATACAAACTGCTCTTTTACTGCTATTCTGATTAGAATCTCTTTCCTCTCCTTTTGCAGGGAAATGGCAGACTTGAACTAGGCATTCCAACGAAGGCTTTTCTGAAACACTTTTTAAGTCATTGTTCTCAGCCATCCTATCTATTCTAAAGTCCATTATCATTTTTCTTCTAGCCTGAACCCCTTGACACCACAATTCTAATGTATTTGTCTGTTTCTTTTTTGGTCACATGTTCATTTGTCTTGCTTCTGCCTTCTCTTAGATTGGCAGTTCCTTGAGGTGAGAGACCATGTCTAGGTCTAATTCCAAAGTAATATAAATCTACATGGTCAGAAAATACTTATTAACAAAATTATTACCTAGAACCCATTTGCCCCAAACTCTACCTAGGTTTATTTTATGAAATTAATGCTTTCATTTAAAACCATTAAGTTCACATAACAGTAAACTTCTTCAAAGATCACACAAAAAGATAAATTGGAGCTAGAAACACAAATGAACAGCATGGAAGAGTTTTGGATATTAATGGCCCATGTATATATTTTTCACATTTTTAGTTTGCTTTTGCTATACAAAAATGTGTCCTGTTTATGGAGTACTGTGTGATCTTATTTATTAAACAGAACAGTATATTAGACAGATCATTCAGTTGGAAATACATCTGGAATTCAGATCTAGTTCAAACACGAACTAGCTATGGGACTTACGTGCTCAGTTTTTTGGGCAGAGGAAGGAAATGACCTAACACTGATCCTGATAACCTCACAAGGGTATTGACAAGATCAATGCATCAGAAATATATCAGAAAGTGTTTTGTAAACTAAATACCATATAAATATGTGGGATGTCCTTACGTTTGCAGTTTCAACATTCAAGAAGACCATTCATTTCCTGTTAGCATCCCTTGTACTTTGAGGATGTGGCCACAAGGTCCTTTGGCCTTTGTCAGTATCATCAAAAATGCCAGCTTTTAGACACAGATGTGATTTATTTGAAAGAATTATATTAGCTCACTTTTATCTTTTAAAAAATTAAGACAATATTTTATTAAAATAACTAAACAGGCCCAGCCCAGTGAGGCACGCCTGTAATTCCAGCACTTTGGGAGACCAAGGTGGAAGGATTGCCTGAGTTCAGGAGTTCGAGACCAGCCTGGCCAATGTAGTGAAACTCCATCTCTAAAAAAAAAAAAAAAAAAAAAAAAAAAAAAAAAAATTAGCTGGGTGTGGTGGTACACGTCTGTAATCCCAGCTATTTGGGTGGCTGAGGCACAAGAATTGCTTGAACCCGGGAGGCGGAGGTTGCAGTGAGCTGAAGTTGCATCACTGCACTCCATCCTGGGTGACAGAGCCAGAATCTGTCTCAAAAAAAAAAAAAAAAAAGAAAGAAAGAAAAAAAGCAGCTTTCTCGAGATATAATTCACATATCATACACTTCACCCATTTATACAATTCAGTGGTTTTTAGAATGTTCTCAGACTTGTGCAATCATCACCACAATTTATTCTAGAACAATTTCATCACCTCAAAAAGAAACCCTTTAGCTATTATCCCTCAATTCCCCTATTCCCTCTCCCAGTCATAGGCAACCAGCAATCTACTTTCTATCTCAATAAGTTTGCCTATTCGAGACATTTCATATCAATGGATTCATACACTACGTGGTATTTTGTGTCTGGCTTCTTTCTCTTAGCATAATTTTTTCAAGGTTTATCCAGGTTGTAACATATATCAATACTTCATTCCTTTTTTATCATGGTAAAATATACATAACAAAATTTACCATTTTAACCATTTTTAAGTATACAATTCAGTGTCACTGAGTATATTCATAATGTTGTGCAACCATTGCCACTGTACATTTCCAGAACTTTTTCCTCCTTCCAAAAAGAAACTCTGTGTCCATCAAACAATAACTCCCCATGACCCTGCTCCCTGCAGCCCCTGGTCACCTCTATTGTACTTTCTGTATCTATGACTACCTATTCTAGTTCCCTCAGATAAGTGGAATCATACAATATTTGTCCCTTTGTGTCTGGCTTACTTTCCTTAGCATATAAGTCAAGGTCCATCTGCGTTATAGCATATACAGTACTTCATTCCTTTTTGTGGATGAATCATATTCCATTTATGAATATACTATATTTTATCCACTCATCAGTTGATGAACACAGGTTGTTCCTGCTTTGGGATATTATGAATAATGCTACTGTGAACATTCATTTACAAGATTTTTATGGAAATATGTTTTTATTTATCTTAGCTATGTACCTAGAAGTGGAATTGCTGGGCCAAATGTTAACTTTGTGTCAGCTTTTTAAGGAAATACCAGACTGTTTTCCAAAGTAGCTACATCATTTTATAATCCCACCAGTAGCAGATAAGGGTTCTAATTTGTTTGTCTTCTCATCAACACTTGTTACTATTTATCTTTTTGATTATATCATAGTGGGTGTGAAGTGGTATCTCACTGTAGTTTTCATTTACATTTCCCTGATGACCGATGATGTCAAGCATCTTTTCATGTGATTATTGGCCATTTGTATATTTTCTTTAGAGGAATGTCTATTTAGATATTTTGCCTAGTCTTCAAGCAGATTATTTGTCTTTTTATTATTAAGTTATTTATATATTCTGGATCCCATCTCTTATAAGATATATTATTTGCCAATATTTTGTCTCATTCTGTGGATGGCCTTTTCACTTTATTGTTGGTTTCATTTGCAGCACAGAGTTTTTAATTTTGATAAAGTTCAATTCATCTATTTTTTTTCTTTTATCACTTATATTTCTCATTTTTTAGTGTTTCTATTTTCTATTTTTTAGTGTTTCTATTATAACTTAGAAAAGTCCAGGATCTGTTTTTTTTACTGAGAAAACTTAGAAAAGGCCAGGGTATGTTTTTCACTGAGATTTTATATCAGTCACAACTCAAGTGGCTCTGTGATTTCACTGTGATTTCAGGGCTTTATAGCTTCTTTGACCACAATAGTCTGCCTAGCTTTGCCATCTTAGTTTCTCTCATATTTGACTCTCTGAAAAATGGTATGGTCTAATCTGGGTGACAAGGAGTCAATATTTCTTCTCCCTCACCCTCCTGTAAAGACCTTCCTTCCCATCTTACAGTTGGCAGAAATGGAGTGAGACTATATCATATAGGTATGTCTGTGCCTTAACATCGAACTAACCTGTACATGGTCTCTCCAATAACAGACTGCATTTTGCCTACAGAGATCTACTATAGTAAGTATTCTGTAACACTTAGCTATGATGTTGGCTGTTAGGCCCTAGCAACCTGTGCTTTTTCTGAATAGCTTAGTTACAAAATACTGTAGCAAAAGAATTCGTCGGAGCTGATTACTATAACAATGTGCCAGAATAATACTTTTACATTTAAAAAATCTAGACCTCTAAGATTCCTCTCAGCCATGAAATTATGTTAACTTTGAGCAGTTAAAATTATTTTATAAAAACTAACATCTGATTTACTTATTCTAGACTAAATAAGCCAAGTGCTGTAATAAAGATCTCAAGCTATATTCTAAAAAATTATCATTGATTACATTCCTACTATGTTCCAGGCACTATGGTAGGCACTCTAATCCTCCCATCATCTCTGCACATGAAGTGGAAGTTACTCTCATTTTACATATAGACACAGATAACAACCTCAGATATGTTAAATAACTTGAGTAGAGTTACAGGTGGTGTGGAAAGATAAGAACAAAAATAAAGTCTTCCTTGTCTTATTTTGCCCCTCTGGGCAGGTGTTCATTTTGTCTTTTTGATGCTTCCAGTATCTGTGTTGACCTTTTCTTGCCTGAGCCTTGGGCAGGCTGGGCTTTCTGTAGAGCTACTTGACTGGAAGCTTTTTCTAGCCACAAGCATTCCACTGGGGTTGTGGGGGCATCTGCTCACTTTACTGTCTCTTGGTAGAAAAGCTTAAAGTGAATTTTTAAAGTGAAAGTTTAGAATCTTAGTAAAGCTATAAGACATAGACCCAACCCCAAACTGCTGTCTCAGTGGGGTTCATCTCTCTTTACCGCTAGATCCTTTTATGTCAGTAGGATAGGACCTTGGACATTATTGCCAGTGGTATACAGTATCACTATGGTATGACTGAAAGTTTGAGTACTATTTCTACACTCCTGTACCACAAAAGCAATCTCATACTATAGAAACAAACCTGTACTGTAGAATAGAAGAGAATTGAGCAGGAAATGTTTAGTTTGCATTGCAAACTTTTTTATTTTTTGTTTTTTTCTCACTTTTAGCATCTTGGGCTTCTATTCTGGGGATTAGAGATAGTAAGTAATTATAATATCAAGATGAGATGACAATATCATTCTTTTTCTGTTCCAAGTGAATGATGGCTCTTTGGCCCATAAGCTGTAACACACATAAGTAAAGGGGTTAAATTGAAGGCATGCAAGAAGCAGGAAACAACCACTACATGGTCACGTGGGAGAAACATTAGTTGAATACAGATATAATTGTTAGAAGTCAGTCACGTTCTCTAGAAGCTTTTTCAGACTTACTGAATACCAACTTTGTGCCCTCACTTTATGTGCTTTACATCATTGAATTCTCATAACAATCCTGTGAAGTTAGTATTATTATTCTCATTTTATAGACAAGAAAACTATGGCTCAGAAAGATTAGGTAATTTGCCCAAAGCCACACAACTAGTGAGTGGCAAATGCAGAGACTGAACCAAAGTCTTTTTGACTCCAAAGTTCTTTCAACTACACTGCCTCCAAATGACTTAGCATGGTCAGATACTTGCTTTTTTCCTTGTAGTATCCACTGTTATGATCAGCCTGGTGCTAGTAATGCAGCAGCATCTGAAGCATAGTGGTTGGAGGAGAGGGGAAGGGGGCGTTTAAGGACCAGAAAATGGCATCTAAGATAGGACTTGTCAAGTGGAGACATGGGACCTCTCTCCTGAAACCATGAATTTAAAATTGTATTCTTTACACTAAGAATCCCAACAAGTAAAAGTCACTAATACTTACAGTTGAGAGTGTGCGTGTGGGGAAAATGTTGCTGCCGTTACTTTTGAGACTTAGAGCAGCTGCTATTGCAACCTCCAGGGTACCCTACTCCCACCAGTCTTACTTTTACTTTACAGTAACTGTGAATGTCAAATCTTGTTTTAGGCACAAGGAACAAAGTTTCCCTGCCGCTTACATCTTTCCCCCCAAGAAACACAAAGGGCTTTACAAACCCACAAAGGAGCGTTGCATAGAAAGAGAACTTGGACCATACCAAGAGTGATTGGTTTAACACTCCACACATTTCCAGTGAAATTGGGAAAGGCATCTTGCATGCCTTTCCATAAACCTACTAAATCTCCATCTCTTCAAGTTTCCTTAGACTCTCTTTTACTATGGTTTATTCCCTAAATTATTGCTACTGTCAGAAATCCTGTTAGATATCCAGAAATTCACTTTTGAGGATATTGTGTGCTCTGCAGATTTTTTTTCTTAAAAATAAAACAGAGTTCTTTTACATTTGCTGAGGAGAGCTTTACTTCCAACTATGTGGTCAATTTTGGAATAGGTGTGGTGTGGTGCTGAAAAAAATGTATATTCTGTTGATTTGGGGTGGAGAGTTCTGTAGATGTCTATTAGGTCCCCTTGGTGCAGAGCTGAGTTCAATTCCTGGGTATCCTTGTTGACTTTCTGTCTCGTTGATCTGTCTAATGTTGACAGTGGGGTGTTAAAGTCTCCCATTATTAATGTGTGGGAGTCTAAGTCTCTTTGTAGGTCACTCAGGACTTGCTTTATGAATCTGGGTGCTCCTGTATTGGGTGCATAAATATTTAGGATAGTTAGCTCCTCTTGTTGAATTGATCCCTTTACCATTATGTAATGGCCTTCTTTGTCTCTTTTGATCTTTGTTGGTTTAAAGTCTGTTTTATCAGAGACTAGGATTGCAACCCCTGCCTTTTTTTGTTTTCCATTGGCTTGGTAGATCTTTCTCCATCCTTTTATTTTGAGCCTATGTGTGTCTCTGCACGTGAGATGAGTTTCCTGAATACAGCACACTGATGGGTCTTGACTCTTTATCCAACTTGCCAGTCTGTGTCTTTTAATTGCAGAATTTAGTCCATTTATATTTAAAGTTAATATTGTTATGTGTGAATTTGATCCTGTCATTATGATGTTAGCTGGTGATTTTGCTCGTTAGTTGATGCAGTTTCTTCCTAGTCTCGATGGTCTTTACATTTTGGCATGATTTTGCAGCGGCTGGTACCGGTTGTTCCTTTCCATGTTTAGCGCTTCCTTCAGGAGCTCTTTTAGGGCAGGCCTGGTGGTGACAAAATCTCTCAGCATTTGCTTGTCTATAAAGTATTTTATTTCTCCTTCACTTATGAAGCTTAGTTTGGCTGGATATGAAATTCTGGGTTGAAAATTCTTTTCTTTAAGAATGTTGAATATTGGCCCCCACTCTCTTCTGGCTTGTAGGGTTTCTGCCGAGAGATCCGCTGTTAGTCTGATGGGCTTTCCTTTGAGGGTAACCCGACGTTTCTCTCTGGCTGCCCTTAACATTTTTTCCTTCATTTCAACTTTGGTGAATCTGACAATTATGTGTCTTGGAGTTGCTCTTCTCGAGGAGTATCTTTGTGGCGTTCTCTGTATTTCCTGAATCTGAACGTTGGCCTGCCTTGCTAGATTGGGGAAGTTCTCCTGGATAATATCCTGCAGAGTGTTTTCCAACTTGGTTCCATTCTCCACATCCTCAGCAAATGTAAAAGAACAGAAATTATAACAAACTATCTCTCAGACCACAGTGCAATCAAACTAGAACTCAGGATTAAGAATCTCACTCAAAGCCGCTCCACTACATGGAAACTGAACAACCTGCTCCTGAATGACTACTGGGTACATAACGAAATGAAGGCAGACATAAAGATGTTCTTTGAAACCAACGAGAACAAAGACACCACATACCAGAATCTCTGGGACGCATTCAAAGCAGTGTGTAGAGGGAAATTTATAGCACTAAATGCCTACAAGAGAAAGCAGGAAAGATCCAAAATTGACACCCTAACATCACAATTAAAAGAACTAGAAAAGCAAGAGCAAACACATTCAAAAGCTAGCAGAAGGCAAGAAATAACTAAAATCAGAGCAGAACTGAAGGAAATAGAGACACAAAAAACCCTTCAAAAAATCAATGAATCCAGGAGCTGGTTTTTTGAAAGGATCAACAAAATTGATAGACCGCTAGCAAGACTAATAAAGAAAAAAAGAGAGAAGAATCAAATAGACACAATAAAAAATGATAAAGGGGATATCACCACCGATCCCACAGAAATACAAACTACCATCAGAGAATACTACAAACACCTCTACGCAAACAAACTAGAAAATCTAGAAGAAATGGATACATTCCTCGACACATACACTCTCCCAAGACTAAACCAGGAAGAAGTTGAATCTCTGAATAGACCAATAACAGGCTCTGAAATTGTGGCAATAATCAATAGTTTACCAACCAAAAAGAGTCCAGGACCAGATGGATTCACAGCCGAATTCTACCAGAGGTACAAGGAGGAACTGGTACCATTCCTTCTGAAACTATTCCAATCAACAGAAAAAGAGGGAATCCTCCCTAACTCATTTTATGAGGCCAGCATCATTCTGATACCAAAGCCGGGCAGAGACACAACCAAAAAAGAGAATTTTAGACCAATATCCTTGATGAACATTGATGCAAAAATCCTCAATAAAATACTGGCAAACCGAATCCAGCAGCACATCAAAAAGCTTATCCACCATGATCAAGTGGACTTCATCCCTGGGATGCAAGGCTGGTTCAATATACGCAAATCAATAAATGTAATCCAGCATATAAACAGAGCCAAAGACAAAAACCACATGATTATCTCAATAGATGCAGAAAAAGCCTTTGACAAAATTCAACAACCCTTCATGCTAAAAACTCTCAATAAATTAGGTATTCATGGGACGTATTTCAAAATAATAAGAGCTATCTATGACAAACCCACAGCCAATATCATACTGAATGGGCAAAAACTGGAAGCATTCCCTTTGAAAACTGGCACAAGACAGGGATGCCCTCTCTCACCGCTCCTATTCAACATAGTGTTGGAAGTTCTGGCCAGGGCAATCAGGCAGGAGAAGGAAATAAAGGGTATTCAATTAGGAAAAGAGGAAGTCAAATTGTCCCTGTTTGCAGACGACATGATTGTTTATCTAGAAAACCCCATCGTCTCAGCCCAAAATCTCCTTAAGCTGATAAGCAACTTCAGCAAAGTCTCAGGATACAAAATCAATGTACAAAAATCACAAGCATTCTTATACACCAACAACAGACAAACAGAGAGCCAAATCATGAGTGAACTCCCATTCACAATTGCTTCAAAGAGAATAAAATACCTAGGAATCCAACTTACAAGGGATGTGAAGGACCTCTTCAAGGAGAACTACAAACCACTGCTCAAGGAAATAAAAGAGGACACAAGCAAATGGAAGAACATTCCATGCTCATGGGTAGGAAGAATCAATATCGTGAAAATGGCCATACTGCCCAAGGTAATTTACAGATTCAATGCCATCCCCATCAAGCTACCAATGACTTTCTTCACAGAATTGGAAAAAACTACTTTAAAGTTCATATGGAACCAAAAAAGAGCCCGCATCGCCAAGTCAATCCTAAGCCAAAAGAACAAAGCTGGAGGCATCACACTACCTGACTTCAAACTATACTACAAGGCTACAGTAACCAAAACAGCATGGTACTGGTACCAAAACAGAGATATAGATCAATGGAACAGAACAGAGCCCTCAGAAATAACGCCGCATATCTACAACTATCTGATCTTTGACAAACCTGAGAAAAACAAGCAATGGGGAAAGGATTCCCTATTTAATAAATGGTGCTGGGAAAACTGGCTAGCCATATGTAGAAAGCTGAAACTGGATCCCTTCCTTACACCTTATACAAAAATCAATTCAAGATGGATTAAAGATTTAAACGTTAGACCTAAAACCATAAAAACCCTAGAAGAAAACCTAGGCATTACCATTCAGGACATAGGCGTGGGCAAGGACTTCATGTCCAAAACACCAAAAGCAATGGCAACAAAAGCCAAAATTGACAAATGGGATCTAATTAAACTAAAGAGCTTCTGCACAGCAAAAGAAACTACCATCAGAGTGAACAGGCAACCTGCAACATGGGAGAAAATTTTCGCAACCTACTCATCTGACAAAGGGCTAATATCCAGAATCTACAATGAACTCAAACAAATTTACAAGAAAAAAACAAACAACCCCATCAAAAAGTGGGCAAAGGACATGAACAGACACTTCTCAAAAGAAGACATTTATGCAGCCAAAAAACACATGAAAAAATGCTCATCATCACTGGCCATCAGAGAAATGCAAATCAAAACCACTATGAGATATCATCTCACACCAGTTAGAATGGCAATCATTAAAAAGTCAGGAAACAACAGGTGCTGGAGAGGATGTGGAGAAGTAGGAACACTTTTACACTGTTGGTGGGACTGTAAACTAGTTCAACCATTGTGGAAGTCAGTGTGGCGATTCCTCAGGGATCTAGAACTAGAAATACCATTTGACCCAGCCATCCCATTACTGGGTATATACCCAAATGACTATAAATCATGCTGCTATAAAGACACATGCACACGTATGTTTATTGCGGCATTATTCACAATAGCAAAGACTTGGAACCAACCCAAATGTCCAACAATGATAGACTGGATTAAGAAAATGTGGCACATATACACCATGGAATACTATGCAGCCATAAAAAATGATGAGTTCATGTCCTTTGTAGGGACATGGATGAAATTGGAAACCATTATTCTCAGTAAACTATCGCAAGAACAAAAAACCAAACACCGCATATTCTCACTCATAGGTGGGAATTGAACAATGAGATCACATGGACACAGGAAGGGGAATATCACACTCTGGGGACTGTGGTGGGGTCGGGGGAGGGAGGAGGGATAGCATTGGGAGATATACCTAATGATAGATGACATGTTAGTGGGTGCAGCGCACCAGCATGGCACATGTATACATATGTAACTAACCTGCACAATGTGCACATGTACCCTAAAACTTAAAGTATAATAAAAAAAAAAAAATTAAAAAAAAAAATTTTTTTTTTTAAAAATAAATAAATAAAAAAAAAATAAAACAGAGTGACTTCCATTTCCACCAAGGTGGAGAAACCCCATTCCTCCTATGTCCTCCCTCTTACAACTAAAATACCCTGGGTATAACACAACAAACAAAACTGAGTGGTGGGAAGAAAAATGAAGACTGTCTTGGAACTTGAAGAACAAGTGGTCAGCTCCCTGGGTTTCCTTTTTGCCTCTCACATATCCCAGACAGGGCACTACAGAAGCCTCCAATTCATAACTGCCACTAAGCACAGACAAAAAAACACTCTAAGAAAAGCCTGTTTCCTGTATCCAAAAAAAAAGAGGTAAAGGGTCACTTTACAGCAGAAAACTTTTTGACCATACTTTTCCTACTCCAGTGTAACAATAACGGAAAAAGTTTTACCCTCCCCACCAGCCTACAGCTTCAGTGGGACCTACCCAGAAGTTAAGATTCTATTCCATTTCTTCCCCCCACAAAAGCAGACAGCTTGCTCTTAATCCACTACTAGAGCATTGTTGGCAGGACTGAGCAGACAGCTCATCGTCTCTCCCCCATCTGTCAGAAGCAGATGGTGCTCCTATTCTCCTGCCAGAGTAGTGTCAACCCAGTCCAGTGGCAACCTAAGCCACCACACCCACCAAGCAGCAAGGAGAATTAATGGCTCAGTATAAGGTAGGGCTAATTGCCAGTAGATTTAACCCCCCACCATCTCATGTCATTGCTGCCCAATGGGGGTAAGAGGTTGAGCTTCCACCCCTACCTAGTATCAAAAAGACTGAACAAGGAACTGCATGTCAAGACTAGTAAGCTCATTATGTTAAGTGAATTAAGCCAGGCACAGAAAGACAAACTTCACGTGTCCTCACTTATTTGTGGGAGCTAAAAATCAAGACAGTTGAACTAATGGAGATAGAGAATAGAAGGACAGTTACCAGAGGCTGGAAAGGATAATGAAGGGCTGAGAGGAGAGTGGGGATGGTTAATGGGTACAAAAAATAGTTAGAAGAATAAGACCTAGTATTTAATCATACAACAGAGGGACTATAGTCAATAATAATTTAACTGTACATTTTTAAATAACCAAAAGAGTATAAGTGGATTGTAACACAAAGGATAAATGCCTGAGGGGATGGATACGCCATGTTCCATGACATGATTGTTTCACATTGCGTGCCTGTATCAAAGTACCTCATGTACCCCATAAATATATACACCTACTGTGTACCCACAAAAATTAAAAATAAAAATTTTAAAGACTAGTAAGGGCCAGTCGCGGTGGCTCATGCCTGTAATCCCAGCACTTTGGGAGGCCGAGGCGGGTGGACCACCTGAAGTCAGGGATTCGAGACCAGCCTGGCCAACATGGTGAAACCCCGTCT
This sequence comes from Homo sapiens, assembly GCF_000001405.40. Taxonomy (NCBI): domain Eukaryota; kingdom Metazoa; phylum Chordata; class Mammalia; order Primates; family Hominidae; genus Homo; species Homo sapiens. The sequence continues at coordinate 69,988,689 of NC_000023.11, forward strand.
CTACTAAAAATACAAAAATTAGCCGGGCGTGGTGGCAGGCACCTGTAATCCCAGCTGTTCAGGAGGCTGAGGCAGGAGAATTGCTTGAACCCGGGAGGTGGCGGTTGCAGTGAGCCAAGATTGCGCCACTGCACTCCAGCCTGGGCAAGAGAGCGAGACTCCATCTCAAAAAGAAAAAAAATTGTTTAATTTAAAATAAAATAAAATAAAAATAAGGACTTTACTTTTCCCTCAGCCCCTGGTGCTAGGGAGGCCCGGTGGAAAGCTGAACCCCCACACCCACCTGACAGTAATGAGACTGAAAGAGGCAGCGTGAAGCAAGGCTAGTCACCACTCCTATTCCCACTGCCCTGATGTCAGCAAGGCCCAGTGAGGAACTGAACCACCACCTCCAATCAGCATCAGTGAGGCTTAACAAGGTGGTGAAAGGTAAAGCTAATTGGCAATCCGCTTCTCCCCCTCCCATCCCCTGATGCCAGCAGGGCCTGGCAGGGAGCTGACCTTACACCTCCATTCAGAGGCAACAAAATCCAGAAGCCTTGTCAGTCATTGCCCCACTTTCACTTGGATAGTATCAGTGAGGCCAAGGGGGTAGCCGAACTTTCACTCCACCCATTTGCAACAGGAAAGTGTGAGTCAGTGCCCCACTTTGTTGCCAGGGTCATGTCAGCAGGGCACATCAGGAAGCTGAACATACTTGGCCCTCACATTATACCTCACATAGGGGTTTCCTGCTTTAAAAAGATTAAATAGAATCCAGAGTTTCATAATATATAATAATATCCACAATTTCAAGATTAAAGTTGAAACTCACTAATCAGAAAAGACAATCCAATGGACACCAACACCAAGATAAATCAGATTTTATCTGACAATTATAAAACAGCTGTAGTAAAATCCATAATAAAAATTATCTAACAAGCAATTACAAATCCTCCTGAAACACAGAAATATATATATAATCTCAGCAAAGAAATAGAAGTTATAAAAATAAGCAAATAGAAATTATAGAACTGAAAATTACAATAACTGCAATTTTAAAAGTTGGCAAATGAGCTCAATAGTAGAGTGGAGATAGCAGAAAACAGAATCCATAAACTTGAGGACAGATGAATACAATTACTTTATCTGAACAACAGGAAAAAAAAAGATCAGAGCCTCAGGGAACCCGTGGGACAATAACAAAAGATCTAGTATTCGTATCATCAGTGTCTAAAAGGAGGGGAGAGAGAAAGAGGTTAGGCTTTCTTTTTTTTTTTTTTTTTTCATTTTTTGTGTGTTCATAGTTATTCATTGAAGCATTCTTATGATGGCTACTTTAAAAATATTTGTCATATAATTCTATCATCTCTGTCATCTCACTGTTGGCTGTTGGCTTCTACTGATTATCTTTTCTTCATTCAGTTCGACATATTCTTGGTTCTTAGTATGATGGGTAACATTTTATTGAAACCTTAACATTTTTCTATTTTGTTTTAATGTTCTCAATCTTATTTAAACCCGCTTTAGTTAAAGCTTTTTGTGACACTGTCTGGTAGGCGTAGAGGGGCTGCCACCTCATTACTGCCTGGTAGAAGTGGAAGTGTAGGTCCCACACTTGGTCTCCTCTGACACCTGAAGGATAAAGAGCTTCTCGTTACTGCTAGATTGGGGTAGGACTTCCAGCTACCTGTAACTAGCTATCTACTGATAGCTATCTACTGATTGATAGCTATCTACTGATAGCTATCTACTGATTGATAGCTATCTACTGATAGCTAGACCAGTTCCAACTGCCGGAGTCTAGTTATCTGCCAGGGGGGATGAAAGTGTCAGCTCTCTTCTTGGCCTTCTCTGATACCACATCAGCAGGGTACCTTGTTACAGCCTCATGAAGGTGGAATTCTAGGCTCCCCACTCGGCTTTTGTTGGTTGTTTGTGTGAATGGGGTGGGGCCACAGGTTTTTTTTCTGTAGTGTTTGACTAAAGCGGATATTATCGAAAAGTTTTCTCTCATGCTGGGTTGCTCCTTTTTTGGTCCTTTGGCTCAAGAGAGCAGGATTTTGCTAGGGCTTTTTTTTTTTTTTTTCTGTCTGTTCTTGTTGGCATTTCTAGGTTGCTGACTTCTTCACTTCCAAGTCTGGGATTTATGAGGCAGAAAGAAAACCAGGAGAACTTATTACCCTGTTGCTCCCTGGGTCCCAATGGTCAGTCCATTTTTCTCTGTTCTTCAGATTGAGTAAACTATATTCATCTGTCTTTGAGTTTGTTGTTTCTATATTTTGTCATCTCCACTCTATATTTTAGCCCATTTAGCAAGTTGGCTTATTTTGGTCATTTTAAATTTTAGTTATATAATTTCTATTTTTATTTTTTTAACTTCTATTTTTTTGTTTTGTATTTGTTCATTAGTTTCAAGGGAATTCATAATTATTGAAGCAGTTTTTGATGTCTATTTTAAAACTTCTGTCAAATAGCTCAAAAATCTGATTCATCCCTGTATTATATCAGTTGATTTTTTGATTCACATTATTACTCCTGGTTCTCATTATGATGCGTGATTTTTTTATTGTATTCTGGACATTTTTAATATTATGTTAGGAGATTTTTGACCCTACTTACATCTTCTATTTAAGCACTTTTTAAGTACAGTGTGTCAGCTCTGGCCTACTTCTGTGGGCTGTAATTCCAATGACAATTTTGTTTTCTAAGCCCTTGCAATGCCTCTATTCTGGTCTGCTTCATGCTCTGGCTCTACTTGAGCTCCTGCTTGACTCCTACTGGTGTTACCTATGGGAACAGAAGGTGCTTCCATGGACCATCCAGTTTCACTACTAGAAGGTCAGGAATACTAGACCTGCGGGACAGAGAAGGTTTTCTCTTAACTATTCTCCAGCCACCCAGAGCTTGTGGGCTTTCCACTCCATCTCTGCTAGTGCCTGCAGAGGAAGAAATTACCTAATTGGGCTCCCTTCTGCTGGGTAGAGGGACAGCAGGTACAGATTCTGTATGAGTCTTTGCCACTAGGTGGAGGTTCAGAAATCTCCTAGCCGGAGATCATTTTCTGTCATTTTTTGCCACTCTTTGGAGGGCCAGGAGGCACCAAGGCCTGTGTTGCCTTCTGCCATTGGGTAAATGTCTGTTGGCAGACGCCTGGCCTGGATTATCTTCTGTTGCTAGGTAAAGGGCTAGGAGCCACTGCATCTGGGGAGAGAGGGTTGGGAAGCACCTGGCCAGCTGGCACTGCTGCTGCAAGAGAAGTGCCTGCCACCCACTGGTGTGGGGCAGAGGATGGGTTAGCCTGCTCCGGTTCCACTGTTGTATTAATAGTTACTTTAAGAAGATTGGGTCCCCTGCCACTGGGTAAGGGTTTCCCTGCTAAGTCCTTGTTGGGCTTTCCTTTTTCCAATCCTTTGGCCAGAGACAGCAGGCTTTTATTTTTTTCATTTTTGTCTATGCATGTTGGTGATTCCAGGTTGCAGGACTCGCTAGCACTGGGATATATGAGAGACAGAGGGAAAACCCAGGGAACTCACCGCCATGTAGTTTCTCAAGTTGTGATGTCCCTAGCCAGTCCACTTTCTCTTTTCCACTTTTCAAAGCTTTTGTGATTGTCCATTGAATTGTTTCCAGGGTATTTAGTTGTAGTTAAAAGGAAGAAGGCATCTTGTCCCAGAACCAGAACCCTGACTTACATATATTTTCAATTGTAATAAGTGGCATCCTATTGTCTTTATGTTTCTTCAATGTGCTTTTTTCACAGAATATCATGTTTTTGAGATCCACTCATTTTGGTAAACATACATGTATAATTTATTCATTTTAAATGCTATAAAATTTGCTCTTATATGAATATGCCACAAGTTATTTATTCATTCTCCTGTTGGTGGACAATGAGGTTTCCATTTCTCTCTATTACAAACAATGCTGCAGTAAATGTTCTCATACATGTCTCCTTGTGCACATGTGAGGGAGTTTATTTGGGTCTATATCCAGAGTGAAATTACTAGGTCCCAGGATATATACAGCATGAACTTTGTCAAATATTGCCTAATTGCTCTCCAAAATCATACCAGTCTATACTCTTGCCAAAAATGTGTGAGATGTTTCATTTTGCCACATTTTCACCAAAATTTGTATTAATGTAGTCAACTTTATTCAGCTCTTTTCCTATGAGTCTGCTTTTGTGTCTTCTTTATGAAATCTTTCCCTACACTAAAGTCATAAAAATATTCTTCAATATGTTTTCAAATACTTTAAAAATGTTTTTTCTCCAATTTAGGCCTTTAGTCTGTGTCTGTGACTTATTTTTGTGTGTGGTCTGATAAAAGAATCTTATTCTACTTTTTCTAATATGGATAGCCAATTGCTCCAACACCATTCATTGAAGAGTCCTTTCTTTCCCCATTTATAATGCCACTTCAATCATGTTTCACGTTCCCATAGAGTCTAGGTTGACTCTGAAGTTTAAAAAAACCCTTAAAAAACCCTTAATAAAACAAAAATAAATAAATAATATAAAAAAGTAAAATAATAAATAAAATAAAATAAAAATAACCCCCCAAAATGAGGGTTAAGTACAATATTGAGTTTAAAATGAGAAACTTTTTATTACAGGTACCCCAAATAAAACCTTAACCTTAAACTAACTTTCTACTAGTAAAGGAACTTTGAGGATCAGGGGTAGGGATTAACACTGATTAAGTACCTGTTAACATTGATTAAGCACCTATGATGTATCAGATACTGCTGGTCAATTTACTGCCATGGTCATTTTATTTATCCTTTGCAATAACTTTGAGAAAGAAATTATGTTATTACCATTTTAGAGGTAAGAATGCTAAAACTTTGAAAGGTTAAGTTGCCTAGGCCACACAGCAGGTTGGACAGAGCTTAAATTCAGGTCTGTCTGATTCAAAAGAGCTTGATTTTGTCAGTCTACTACACTGCTTCCAAGGAAAGCTCACAGCCCTGAACTGAGGAAGATGTGACTTGCCCACTAGGAGTAGAATATGTGTTACAATGCACTGTTGTGCATTGAATGACCAAGTATTCTCAGAATGACTGCTTTACTTGTTTGCACTCCTGACTAGTGCAAAACATCAGTCTAAGATGAGCTCCTGCTTCCTCTCTCATCCTCTTCTAGTTTATTTATATCTCTATCTCATATTTCTTCAACTTGAGGTACAAATTTGGTTGTCAGAGACTTTCCTGCTAAGCTCTAGGTAGCATGGGGGAAGAAAAAGTAAACAAGGGGTGGTTAAGGGAGGGCTAAATCACTTATTCTTGTTAACAATTTTGGATTGGATTTCATATATTAAAGGAACCAAATGTAACGCTGATGTGATATCAGCCCTTGCATTATTTTATCATGTTATCACAATTGGATATTGACTTCTTATTAAACTATCATTTTTTCCTCCTTTGAACTCGGTGCTCATTGCTCCCTAAGACTGTTATGAAGAAGTTGTAGTAAGTGGCAAAAGCAAGAGATTTGGTATCAGATAACATAAGTTTGAGTCCTAACTCTGCTTTTGGCTCTGGGATCCTACACAAGTGATATTTTCTTCCTTGAGCTTCAGGTTTCTTCTCTGTAAAATGGACATTAACATGAGTTAATGTGAGGATTAAATAAAATAACAATTGCAAATTTACCTTGTAAAATAATGTGCAAAGGGAGGTTCTTATTCATCTGCCATTCTCTATAATCATTTCTGTTCTTTTCACATCTATACCAACAGCTCCCTGCTAGATGACCCTGATGCAGCAACCCTAATGCCATTGTTCTCAAATTCATAAGAATCACCTAGGACTTGCTTTGTAAATACAGATTTCCTGGCTCTACCCTCAGATTTTATTAATAGATCTGAGTTGAGGCCCAGAAATCTGTACTTTTAAAATTCTTTCCAGACAATTCTTTAAACACAGCCAGATAGAAGACATACTTTGCCTAAAACACTTACCACCATATATACAAAGAATTTCTTGGCCCTGAGTGGGATTCAAGGTTAAAGCAGCTTACAGTGAGAGGTTATAATCCCCAGCCTTCCCTAATGTTCCAAACTCCTATTCCGCCTAGGTCAAAGAGGACCCAGCCACATGATATCTTAACATTCCCTTCCACTGCTGTGATTGCAGCTGCATTGTGAGTCCCTAGAAGCAAAGCCTAGTAAATTAAACCAGCAATTATTGCTGTTTAAAATGGTAGTGATTTTAAGAGTTTTCTTTGAAAAGTCTGTCAATAGGAGCAGAAGACTATGAATAACACCAAAATATTTAGCTGTCTATTGAAATTTCTTTACAGTATCAAATAAAATGGGAACAGATGCAACTAGACCAGAACTTGGTTAGTAGGTAACAGATTTATTGGGCTTGCTCATTTTAAAAATTAAGGTTATAAACAACACATGTCAAAAATCCTATAAAACTGCTGTGGAAATCATCTTCCTGGAAAGCCAAAATCCCTGCTAATATTCTGAATTTGCTTTTCAGAACTGAAAATGGCATTGTATACATCTGCCCCACTATTTGAAACAATGTTTCCTTGAGACAGAGCTCACTCTGCCCTGAGTGTGCATTCAGTAGCTACCCCAAAGTTTCAAATACCTGCTCTCTTCCCAGAATGTAATCCATCCAATCCCTTGAGAGAAGACAAATTCTGTATTTACAAATACAGGTGGAGTTGCTATGAGTTACAGTTTTCTGGAAGTTTTCATATATAGCTCATGATTTGAAAGTAAAAGGAAGTCATATGACAGTGAAGTCACCAGGTCTTCCATCTATCCTGAAGGATAGAGAGAGACCTGATGAGAATCTCAATTGGCTGTTTTTCTTTTTACTGTCACATATGCAGGTTTCCTGTTGAATCTCTCTGGTCCACTGTTCCCTCTAATGAAGTCATGTTCTGTGCTCAGGGCAGTAATATCTTCAGAAGCAGATGTCTCCCATAAAGCATGACTTCATTCCTTGGAATGGGAAGAGCCAGCAGTAGACTGTTGGGCTAATGGGTGGGGAGGGCTTTATTTAAAAATAGTTTTCTAAAATAATGTGTTTAACTTTTTAATACATTTCTATAAAAAGGCAAATTAGTTTGTTGCTGTTTTTTGTTGTTGTTGTTTTTGTTTTTGTTTTTGTTAACCTCACTCCGTACTTCCAGAAGGGGCAACCACTAGACCAGAAGGAATGGAGTCCTCGCAGAGCACAGGCACTTCCATCCAGTTGTTTGTACAGATGGGTGAAAATTAGGATTTTCCAGATGCTGAATCTAGGCTCTGTATCAGACCCCACTGAATCACAGCCTAGATTTCAACAAGCCTTTTTATAACAGCCCTGGAGCTTAGAGGAAATAAACTGAAGTGCCCAAGGAAAGTTACTGACCCAGATGCTCCAGCAAATTAGGCAAGTGGGAATATTGCTAGAGAAGGGAAGAGTAGAGAAAAAGGGTGGACCAATTAGAAGGATGCAGTTTGAAGTCAATCCAAACTTGCTAAAGAGAATGGGCTTTCCAGGCTATTCCTGTTCCTTTAGAAAAGTACATGTAGGGCAGTTCCTGAACACTGACTTCTCAAATTATTAGGAATAACCAAGATGAATGGCATCCTGTACTCTCTGACATCCTATCATCAGGGCTTACAGGCACTGCCCATGTGTTCTAGTGTGTTACTCACTTCTATTTCTGTCTATGCAGAAGGTGATCACTAAACAAGGTCCAAAGAGCTAATTTCCTAAACATGGAGGGCAAAGACCTTTTCCATAAACAAGATCCATAAACAAGGAAACATGATAAGGTAGTTACCATCTGAGCTTGGTACCTTCAATTTGTAAATTTAATCACTACATCCCCATAAGAGGTCCATTTCAGTTACAGCTATGCATTAAAAATGAAGATATGCCAATAATTCTGTAAATATTGATTGATGGCAGTAAATACTGAAATTAAATTTCCTTTCCCAACTCCCACATTAGTCACCTTGGCCAGCAACCGGTCCTCCTCCAGATAACTCTTTAAGCTTCATCTCCACCATAAAGCCTGATACAGTTTGGCTCTGTGTCCCCACCCAAATCTCATCTTGAATTGTACTCCCATAATTCCCACATGTGAGTGGGAGATAACTGAATCATGGGAGCAGTTTCCCCCATACTGTTCTCATGATAGTGAATAAGTCTCACAAGATCTAATAGTTTGATAAGGGCAAACATGTTTCGCTTGACTGTCATTCTTTCTCTTGTCTGCTGCCATGTGAGACGTGCCTTTCACCTTCCACCATGATTGTGAGGCCTCCCCGGCCACGTGGACCTGTAAGTCCATTAAACCTCTTTTTCTTCCTAGTCTCAGGTATGTCTTTATCAGCACCATGAAATGGACTAATACAGTAAACTGGTACCAGCAGAATGGGGTGTTGCTGAAAAGATACCCAAAAAAGTGGAAGCAACTTTGGAAGTAGGTAACAGGCAGAAGTTGGAACAGTTTGGAGGGCTCAGAAGAAGACAGGAAAATGTGGGAAAGTTTGGAACTTCCTAGAGACGTGTTGAATGGTTTTGACAAAAATGCTGATAGTGATATAAACAATAAGGTCCAGGCTGAGGTGGTCTCAGATAGAGATGAGGAACTTGTTGAGAACTGGAGCAAAGGTGATTCTTGTTATGTTTTAGCAAAGAGACTGGCAGCATTTTGTCCCACCCTAGAGATTTATAGAACTTTGAACTTGTGAGAGATGATTTAGGGTATCTGGTGGAAGAAATTTCTAGGCAGCAAATCACTCAAGAGGTGACTTGGGTGCTGTTAAAAGCATTTAGTTTTAAAAGGGAAACAGAGCATAAAAGTTTGGAAAATTAACCTGACAATGGGATAGAAAAGAAAATTCCATTTTCTGAGGAGAAATTCAAGCCAGCTGCAGAAATTTGCATAAGTAATCAGAAGCCAAATGTTAATCCCCAAGACAATGGGGAAAATGTCTCCAGGGCATCTCAGAGGTCTTCACTGCAGCCCCTCCCATCACAGGCCTGGAGGCCTAGGAGGGAAAAGTGGTTTCGTGGGCCAGGCCCAGGGTCCCTGTGCTGTGTGCAGCCTAGGGACTTGGTGCCCTGCGTCCCAGCCACTCTAGCAGTGGCTAAAAGGAGCCAACATAGAGCTTAGGCCATAGCTTCAGAGGTTGCAAGCCCCAAGCCATGGCAACTTCCACTTGGTTTTGAGCCTGCAAGTGTACAGAAGTCAAGAATTGGGGTTTAGGAACCTCCGCCTAGATTTCAGAAGATGTATGGAAATGCCTGGATTCCCAGGCAGAAGTTTGCTGCAGGGGCAGGATCCTCATGGAGAACCTCTGCTAGGGCAATGCAGAAGGGAAAAGAGGGGTCAGAGTCCCCATACAGAGTCCTTACTGGGGCACTGCCTAGTGGAGCTGTGAAAAGAGGGCCACCATCCTCCAGACCCCAGAATGGTAGATCCACTGACTGCTTGCACCATGCACCTGGAAAAGCCACAGACACTCAACACCAGCCCATGAAGGCAGCTGAGAGGGAAGCTGTACCGTGCAAAGCCACAGGGGTGGAGCTGCCCAAGACCATGGGAACCCACTTCTTGCATCAGCTGGATATGAGACATGGAGTCAAAGGAGATCATTTCGGTACTTTAAGATTTGACTGCCCTGCTGGATTTCAGACTTGCATGGGGCCTGTAGCCCCTTTGTTCCAGCCAATTCCTCCCATTTGGAATGGCTGTATTTACCCAATGCCTGTACTGTACACTTATTGTATCTAGGAAGTAACTAACTTGCTTTTGGTTTTACAGGCTCATAGGCAGAAGGGACTTGCCTTGTCTCAGATGAGACTTTGGACTGTTGACTTTTGAGTTAATGCTGAAATGAGTTAAGACTTTGGAGGACTGTTGGGAAGGCATGATTGGTTTTGAAATGTGAGGACATGTGATATGGGAGGGATCAGGGGCAGAATGATATGGTTTGTCTTTGTGTCCTCACCCAAATCTCATCTTGAATTGTACTCCCATAATTCCCATGTTGTGGGAGGGACCTGGTGGGAGATAATTGAATCATGGGGGCAGTTTCCCCCATACTGTTCTCATGGTAGTGAATAAGTCTCACAAGATCTGATGGTTTGATAAGGGGAAACATGTGTTGCTTGGCTCTCATTCTTTCTCTTGTCTGCCACCATGTGAGATGTGCCTTTCACCTTCCACCATGACTGTGAGGCCTCCCCAGCCACGTGGAACTGTAAGTCCATTAAACCTCTTTTTCTTCCCAGTCTCGGGTATGTCTTTATCAACAGTGTAAAAACAGACTAATACAAAGCCTTCCTAGGGCAACCTCCCAGACTTTGTTTCTTATCTCCTTGAGTCCATCCTTCCTGTCTCCTCCTTCTGTACCTTTGTCTTTCATCCTTCCCACCTCTGATGCCTCTAGAGACAATAACATTGGTGCCTGAAATAAAAATAAATGGAAAACAGATAAGAAGAGATTATGAACTTTTAAAAAATCATTGTAGCTGAGTGGACTGAGAAAAATAAACTGAGGTCGTGTATGAGTTGTTGTCTCTCAAGAAAGTGTCACACACTAGGAATAACCATATTATTTTTAATGAAGGATACTGGACTTTTTTTCTACCAGGGAGAAAAAAGTCACCCAATGATATCCTAGAAAAAGGGAGTTAGGGCTAAGTATAGTGGCTCACGCCTGTAATCCCAGTACTTTGGGAGGCCAAGGTGGGTGGATCACTTGAGGTCAGGAGTTCAAAACCAGCCTGGCCAATATGGTGAAACCCCATCTCTACTAAAAATACAAAAAAAATTAGCTGGGCACAGTGGCAGGTGCCTGTAATCCCACCTACTCGGGAGGCTGAGGCAGGAGAATTGCTTCAACCCAGGAGGCAGAGGTTGCAGTGAGCTGAGATGGCGCCATTGCACTCCAGCCTGGGCTACAAGAGTGAGACTCTGTCTCAGAGAAAAAAAAAAAAAAAGGAAAAAAAGAAAAAGAGAAAATGGGAGTTAGGCCCAAATCGAGATATTACAGAACAAAACAGTTCCCATGTTCCTTAAACTGTTACAAAGCATAGAAAGAGAAATAATTCCTCTCAGTTCATGTTATAAAATTGGTATAACCTTGATAACAAACTCTTCCAAAGCAGCACCAGAAAGACAACTAAAGATATCTCACATAAAAATCTTAGGTAACTACTAGCAAATCAAACCATGCAATATATTTATAGTGTGTCATGACCAAGTAGGGTTTGTCCTAGGAATGCAAAGATTATTCAATAATAGGAAATCTCTTAATATTATATTATATCATCAACTCAAAGGATATAAATCATTTGATCACCTCAGATGTCACAAAGGCATTTAATAAAAATCTAACACTCTTTCCTGATTATTCTTAGTAAACGAGGAATAAAAGGGCATTCTCTAATATGATAAAGAATATCTTGGCCTAATAAACAGCATAGTACTTAATGGTAAATATATTAGAGGCATTTCTGCTAGAATTGGGAATAAGACAAAGATGCTCATTGTAACTGCTGATGTTCAACATTATTCTTGAAGTTCTTACCAATGTAATGGGGCAAGAAATTGAAATAAGAGATATCACTGTTGGGGAATTATACAAAGTACCATTATTTACAGATATTGTTCTATAGCTAGAAAACCCAAGAGAATGGATTAAAAAGATATTATAAATAGCAATCACCGAGGTGGCCAGGTCTTATATTATCTGTTTGTAGTACAAATATGGTACTAGCATATCTTGTGTTCAAACAACATTTATAAGTTGAATATAATTGAAAGAATTAACTGAAAAAGAACTTTCTACAGGCAGTTAAATCCTTCAAGGCCATTTCAGAATCTTGCTGTGTCTTGGGATAATTATTGTGAACACCAATTTATATTGGATAAAGAGGTTCAGTTAATTGAGATTTCTGTTTGCTTGAGTTTGGGACAAATGAAGTTTATATGGTTATAGAATTTTGCAAAAAGATGAATTTGTCTTTATTGAGTGCCTAGAGAATATCTTACACTTGCTTTTCATGTTATCTTGTATAAACCTCATAACAACTCTATAAGGTAAGTAATAGTATCCCCATTTTATAAATGAGAATGTACTCAGAGAGATGAAGCAATTTGCTCAGTGTCATGCAGCACTTACTAAGTAGTGGAGCTGGGCTTGAATGCAGTTCTGTGACTTCAAAGACCATGCCTTTTCCACTAGTGACTTTCAATTATGTGTTCAATTTCCCTGGAAGAGAAATGTATTTCCTGGGACAAAGTTCTGCTGAGTATAATGTATAGAGGATGGCCAACACACAGCTACCAAAACAGACACTGCCTTTATGGAGAAGGGGGTGGCAATAATGAAAATATTAAAGGCAAGATAAATACTTACCATGTTGAAGGATAATCCCAGAAGAATCCAGGTAGTATACCCTTCTTGGGGAAAAAAATTGGATTGGCTCTTTCTAAATCAAAGTATTAGCAGCACCTCCATCCTAGGGCAGGCACTAATGTAAATGACTGGAGTACATACAAACTGAACATCAGAAATCCTTAGTTTGTCCCATCAGAAGAAGAATCTAGTGTGACTCAGGATAAGCTCCATTCCTGATTAAAGGGACACAACATGCACAATAGCACAATAGCTAGCCATCTTGAACTGTTCTGGGACCCAATCTAGAGCCATGTTGCATATGTGTGGTTCTCAATGTAATCGCTGTTTGTGGTTTGGTTTGGCTGGCCAGCTGCCATGGTAGCACTCCTCCTCAGTGAAGAGGAGCCAGCCAAATGGCTGTCATCATATGCTTCTGGGAACAGCACATTGATGCCAGCCATTTGGGCCCCTTCAGCCCATTGATGGGGTTAATCTGCCGACAGTAAGACAGGGTAGCTCTGATGATTTATGTCACATCCCAAAAGTAGATTCCCTTCTGACTCCTATGTTCTGCTGAACAAAAAGGTTGGATGATAAATTGCCAGTGTAGCCTTTACTATGTTTAGTGAGTTAACACATCTCAACTACTGAAGCAATCCATTTGATTCATGTGCATACTGCTTAAAATAATTTTTTGCATTTCCTTAGCACTTCATACTTTCCAAAGCTGTTTTTGCTTCTATTATCTCATTAATCCCAAGAGCTGGAGATGGAATACTCTGGAATATTCTTAACCTCAGACTTCTGTTGAGCCCAAGTGAAGGAGAAATGGTGTTCAGGGCTTGTCCTAGAGTAGTGGTTCTCAACCTTGGTCACACATTAGACTCCCCTGGGAAGGTTTGAAAAATCCTCATGCCCAGGTCTGACCCCACACCAATTGCATCAGAATTCCTAGGGCTGGGGTCCAAGCATTGAGAGTTTTTGAAACTCCACAGGTGATTACAATGTATAGACAGATGTGAGAACCACTAAGAAGATAAATTCAATCTGAGGCATGAGAGTTCCCGGTAACAGGAATGCGTTCAAGTGGCAATGTCACAGTGGTATTAGAGACACGGGCTGTATCATTCTCCATGAGGGTTGAAGTCCTGGAACAAAATGTGCTCATGAAAGAGTGTGTAGATAAAGAAAAGCAGGGGCCTGAAAACTAACTTTTGATATTCATAGTGTTAAGGTTTCTATCTGTGTTAACCTAGTTTTTTTTTCAAAGGCAACATGATTTCATAATGAAAAAAAAAAACATGACTAATCAGAGGCCTTTGTGGAAGGAACTGTGCATATATCTAAAGGGATCAATGGGTGTAATTTATTTAGACTTTCAAAAAATCTCTAACTGACGTTCTGCAGCAAAGGTTATTATGCTTTAAGTTATGTCACCATGAACCATGGAATTAGAGGGGCCATCCTATGAAGAGGGCTTGAATGCAGGGATAAAGGGGAGTGATAAATGCTGTTTCTGGTTTTATTAAACATTTTTGTATATAGTCTAGGTGAAAGAGTTTGCAGTGGAATCTCTAAGTTTGCAGATGATGAATCATTTAGTCCAAACACCCATTCAAAGTTCTGCCACTTACTAGCTGTGTGACCCTTGAAAAGTTACTTAACCTCTCTTGTCCTGTTTCCTCAACTGTAAGATAATGGAATTGGACATGAACATCTCAGCTAGAAATTCTGTAGATTAGCTTAACTCAGCTCCCCTCTTTGTGTTGATAATGAAAACAACACATAATCAAGTTCTTTGGTTGATTAGGGCAATGTTAGAGAGTGACAATTATGGGGTCAAGGACCAGAGAAAGCAATTGTTATACAGAATTATTCACTATACAGAGTTCATTGTAACCAGATTGACAAAGCACTATTTCTGCCAGCCATCTGCTGGAACACAAAAATAGCTTTGTTATACAGGACCGTCCTTTATAATTGGATTTAACCTGTATGACAGATTTCTTCAACAATAAATTTATAAATCCTTGTATAGCATTTTAGACCTGAGGTTCATAAAATTTTGGAGTAAGAGGTCACCTAGTCCATACCTATATTTGGCAGGAGGAGAGAGAAATGCAGACAGGTGAAGTGATTCGCCCAAGGTCAGACAGCAAATAAGTCATAGAGCTGTATCTCTGGACAACTACTCCGGTTTTCTTCTCCCTACACTCAGTTCTCAAAGCAGTCAGGAATATAGCCATTTGAGTCCCAGGCCAGACCTATTTTGAAGCTGTTTGGTTAGCCCTGCCAGGTAGGTATGTGGCTTGATAATGATGGTGATAGAAAATGAATGTGATGATGATAGCTGCTATTTATTGAGTGCCTATATGTGCTAGGCCTTGTGTTAAGTACTGTAAATTATCTAATTCAATCCTCCTGACATCCCTTTTGAGGTAGATATTATTGTCCCAATTTTCATAAATGAAAAAACTGATTGAGAGGTGAAGTAACTTGCCCAAGGTTACATAGCTATTGAATATTATTATAGAACTAGAATTCAAACCCAGTTCTGAAAAGTTAACAAAGTTCATGCTGTTTCCACAACCCCAGTATTTCCCAAACAGTACAATACAGAACATTAAGTCAACAAGAGATAGGTATTTCTTTAAAAAGCTTCTATAACCAAATAAGTTTGGGAAATGCTGCATTTCATATCCCCTTTTTGAAGAGTCACATTTCTAAGTAGTATATTAAAGGATATGAGAAATCTTCAATGAAGAAATCTGTTTTTCCTTAACCATGTGTTTCCCAGACTCTTTTTTGACCAAGGAGCCCCATTTCCAATAACATCCGTTGATGTCACACAGGACCCTGGTGCTCTCTAGAACACAGTGTGAAAAACACTGCATGATCTCCCATTCATCTTTCTGATTATCTTCAGAGATTGTTACCCTTAGGCCTGGCTTTCTCCATCCTAACCACTAAAGTGACCAAAGACTAAGTGTTGCAGAATACTTATTTAGCAAAGAAACACGCTTATGACTTTGGGAACATATTTGGTACCTATACCTCATGAAACTTTGAGGGACCATTATGCTTCTGAAATGTCAGTAGTTGGTAGGACTCTTTTAGTACTGTCTTAACCACAGTAATATTTTTTAGTCTTTTCCAAACTAAGCCAGAACTGAGCCAGAGAAGTTTCACAGCTGATCATAACTTAAGTTTGTGGAGCCTGAAGCCCCAGAGATGGGCCCCTGCTGCAAGGGCTAGAGAGGAAATCCTTGGATGAGGAATGTAAGCCATCTCGCCTAAGAAATACTTGAGATTGGGATGGGATGGGGCGGGATGAAAATCAACTTGCAAACCCCTACCTTTTCTTGCCTTTTTGTCACGCTTTACAGCAGATGCTGAAACTGTAATCTGGGTTCTGAACATGGGCATTCCATGTGGTTCTCATTCAAAATTCTCACTCTTCTTTGAAGCTAATGGCTTCTATCTTCTTCATATATATTGAGCTTGCCACGCATATTTGCACATTTCCTCTGTTTACAATTCTAATAGTGTGAGATAGAAGATAAACTCTTAAGATGCCAAGATTTGAAGATACAAACTGTATTGAAGAATGGTTTTCTTTTTCTTGAATAAAATGTCCATTCCTGTACCTCCCTGGTTGCTAGCCATTGCCTTCTCTTTATTCCTTTACTAACTGGTACTGAATAAATGTTGACAATGTCCAGTTCTCTGGTATTGTTCTCAACATAAAGGGAGAAAAGCATGAAAGCTAGAAGCCTGGGCCAGGAGCAGTGACTCACACCTGTAATCCCAGAGAGGCCAACGAAGGAGGATTGCTTGAGGCCAAGATTTCGAGACCAGCCTGGGCAACATAGTGAGACCCTATTGCTACAAAAAATAGTTTTAAAAAGCTAGCTGGGTGTGGTGGCACATGTCTGTAGTCCTAGCTACTTGGGAGGCTGAGGCAGGAGGATTGCGTGAGCCCAGGAGGTTAAGGCTGCAATGGGCCATGATTGTGCCACTGCACTCCAGCCTGAGCCACAGAGCAAGACCATGTATCAGGAAAAAAAGGTGGGGGAAAGCTGGAGCCTACTACCTGTATAACCAGAGAACAAATAAAATTAAATTAAAATTTATGAATACCTACTCTATGCACATGACTTTCATTTATTTAGGCCATAAAATAACTATAAATTGATAGAATTATGCCCATTTTACAAATGGACAGTTTTTTGAAACTATTATCGTTAATACTTTAAGCTTAGCATGACTGTGATTCAATGGAAGGTACAATGAGCTTGGAGTCAGAATCTTGGTTTACTTCCCAGGTTTACCACTTTCTTCGTCATTCGTTTGTTCATTCAACAAACATTTTTATTGAACAGCTACTATAAAAGAAATGCTTTAGGAGCTGGAGATACAGAGATGAGTAATTCACAGCCCTTGCCCTCAAGGAGTTAACAATGTATTAAGTAGAACGATCACATATCAGAAAATTATAATTTGATAAATGCAACAGTGTGTTAATGGAACACAGAGGAATTAGTGTCTGACTTTTAAAGTTTTAAAGGATGTGTAGGTATTGAGGGAAAGTGGGACTGGAGAAGGGCACTTCAAGCAGAGGGAATGGCATGAAGAAAGGTACAGAGGCAAGAGGTATGTGAAAGGTGTGGTGGATGTAGAGCCAGGGCTTGGAGATTCATGTTGAACTACATGCCATGCAGTGTTGCTTTTAAACTAGTGGATGTTTTATAAATTTATTTTTATAATTACAGACTATTTTTAGAACAGTTTTTGTATACAGGAATATTGAACAGAAACAGAGAGTTCCTGTATACAAAGAGTTCCTCTTCCCACCCTTGGCAACCACTGATCTTTTTACTATCTCTGTAGTTTTTCCTTTTCCAGACTGCCATATGGTTGGAATTATACAGTATGTAGCATTTTCAAACTGACTTCTTTCACTTAGCAATATGCATTTAAGGTTCCTCTGTGTCTTTTTCTGGATTGATAGCTTATTTATTTTTATTGCTGAATAATATTCCATTATATGGATGTCCACAGTTTATTTAACCATTTACCTATGAAATGACATCTTAGTTGCTTCCAATTTGAGGCAATGATGAATAAAGCTGCTATAAACATTGGTATGAAGGTTTTTGTGTGGACATAAGTTTTCAGCACATTTGGGTAAATAAACACCTAGGAGCACAATTTATGGGTCATATGGTAAGACTATGTTTAGCTTTGTAAGAAACTGCCAACCTGACTTCCAAAGTGGCTGTAACATTTTGCATTCCCACCAGCAATAAGTGAGAGTTCTTTTTGTTCCATATTCTCTCAAGCATTTAATGTTGTCAGTATTTTGAATTTTAGCCCTTCTAAGAGATGTTTGGTGCTATCTCATTGTTTTAAGTTGCAATTCCCTGATGACAATGGTGTTGAGCATATTTTTCTATGCTTATTTGCCATCTGTATATCTTCTTTGTTGAGGTGTCTATGCAAGTCTTTTGCCCATTTCTTAATTGGATCATTTTTTTCTGATTTTTGAGTTTTCTGTTCAGATCTTTGCCCATTTCTTAATTGGGTTAACTGTTTTCTTATTGTTATAAGAGTTCTTTATGTATTTTGGATAAGTCCTTTATCAGATACATGTTTTACAAATATTTTCTCCCAGTCTGTGGCTTGTCTCTTGATTCACTTCACAGTATCTTTCTCAGAAATTTTTAATTTTAATGAAGTTCAACTTATCAGTTTTTTTTCTTTCACAGATTGTGCTTTTGGTGTTCTATCTAAAAATTTATTGCCAAGCCCAAGGTCATCTAGATTTCTCCTATGTTATCTTATAAGAGTTTTATGGTTTTGTGCTTTGCATTTGGATCTATGATCCATTTTGAGTTAATTTTTGTCAAAGTTGTCTAGATTTTTTTGTATAAATGTCCAGTTATCCCAGCACCATTTGTTGAAAAAAAAACTATCCCTTCTCCATTAGGTTGCCTTTGCTCCTTTGTCAAAAATTTATTGACTGTATTTGTGTGGGTCTATTTCTGTTCCATTAATTTGTGGTATTTCACAAATACCACTGTCTTGATTACTGTAGCTTTATAGTAAGTATTGAATCAAGTAGTGTCATTCTTCAACTTTGTTGTTATTCTTCAATATTGTGTTGGCTGTTCTGAGTCTTTTGCCTTTCCATATAAACTTTAGAATCAGTTTGTTGATACCCACAAGGCAACTTGCTGAGATCTTGATATTGTTTGGCTGTGTCCCCACCTAAATCTCATCTTGAATTGTGGTTCCCATAATCCATACATGTTGTGGAGGGGCCTGGTGGGAAGTAATTGAATCATAAAGGCAGTTACTCCCATGCTGTTCTGGTGATGCTGAGTGAGTTCTAGTGAGATCTGATGGTTTTATGAGGGGCTTTTTCCCCTTTGCTCGGCACTCCTTTCGCCTGCCTCCATGTAAGACATGCCTGTTTTGCCTTCTGCTATGATGGTAAGTTTCCTGAGGCCTCCCCAACCATGTGGAACTGTGGGTCAATTAAACCTCTTTTCTTTATAAATTACCCAGTCTTGGGTATGTCTTCATAGCAGCATGAAAATGGACTAATGCAGATCTTAATTGGGATTGCTATAGACAAAGTTGGGAAAAAGTGACATCTTAACAATATTGAGTCTTCCTATCCACGAACATTGATCATGGATAGGAAGACACAACATTATTAAGATGTCCATTGATTTAGATCTTTATTTTCTTTCATTGAAGTTTTGTATTTTTCCTCATATAGATATTCATATTTTGTTAGATTTATACCTAAGTATTTCTCTATATATTATGTTAATATAAATAGTGTTTGTTTTTAATTTCTAAATTCCAGTTGGTCACTGCTGGTATGTAGGAAAGCAATTGATTTTTATATATTAGGTGTGTATCCTGCAACCTTATTATAATTGCTACTTAGTTCTAGAAGATTTTTGTTGATTCCTTGGGATTTTCACATAGACAATCATGTAATCTGTGAACAAAGACAGTTTTGTCTCTTACTTCTCAATCTTTATGCCTCTTATTTCCTGTTCTTGCCTATTGCATCAGCTAGCATTTCCAGTATTATGTTCAGTAGGAGTGGTGAATGGGAACATCCTTGCCTTGTTCCCAATCTTAAAGGGAAAGCATCTAGTTCCTCACCATTAAATTAGCTGTATGGTATATGGATGTCCAATATTCCAGGATCATAAATATTCTGAATGTTATAGATGTTCTCTATCAAATTGTGGAAGTGCCCTTTGATTCATAATTGGCTGAGAGTTTTTATCATGAAGTGATGTTGCATTTTGTCAAAAATCCTTTTTTGGATCTATTGACATGATCATATGATTCTTCTTTAACCTTTTGATGAGTAATGGGATTCAATTGATTTTTGAATGGTTAACCAGCCTTGCATACCAGGAATAAATCCCATTTGGTTGTGGTATATAATTATTTTAATACATTGTTGGCTTTGATTAGCTAATATTTTATTGAGGATTTTTGCATCTATATTCAAGAGATAGCAGTGGTAGTTTTCCTTTCTTGTAGTGCCTCTGTCTGTTTGGTATATCAGGGTAATGCTGACCTCATAGAATGAGGTAGGAAGTGTTCCCCCTGCTTCTATTTCCTTTTTTATATAATTTCAACTTTTATTTTAGATTTGGGGGTACATGTGCAGGTTTGCTATATGGGTATATTGCACAGTGCTGATGTTTGGAGTATAGATGATCTCATCACCCAGGTAGTGCCTCTGATTTTAGTTTTTGAAACAGACTGTAGGGAATTAGTATGATTTCATCTTTCAATATTTGATTAAATTCACCAGTGAAACCACTGGGGCCTGGTGCTTTCCCTTTTGGAAGGTTACAAATTGTCAATTCAATTTTTTTATTACATATAGGCCTACACAGATTACCTGTTTCTCCTTGTGTGAGTTATGGTAGATTGTGTCTTTTAAGGAATTAGCCCATTTTACCTAAGTGATCAAATTTGTGGGCATAGAGTTATTCATAATATTCTTTTATTGTTCTTTTAATGTCCATGGGATCAATAGTGATGGCAGCCCCTCTGTCATTTCTGATATTAGTAAAATTTGTGTCTTCTCACTCTTTCTTGGTAGGAGTTTGTCAATTTTTTTGATCTGGGAACCAGCTTTCAATTTCATTGATTTTCTCTATTGCTTTCCTGTTTTTACTTTCATTTATTTTTGCTCTCATTTTTATTACTTCCTTTCTTCTGCTTACTTTACATTTAATTTGTTCTTTACTTCTAGTTTCTTAAGGTAGAAGCTTAGATATTGATTTTATATCTTTCTCCTATTCTAATATATGTATCCAATACTATAAATTTCCCTCTCAGCACTGCTTTTGCTCCATCCCACAAATTTTGATAGGTTTCATTTTAATTGTCATCTTGTTCAAAATATATTTTTAATTTTCCTTGAGACTTTTCCTTTGACCCATGTCTTATTTAGAAGGGTGGATTTGTTTGTTTGTTTGGGTTTTGTTTTGTTTTGTTTTGTTTTGTTTTGTTTTGTTTTGATGCGGAGTCTCGCTCTGTCTCCCAGGCTGGAATGTAGTGGCTCAGTCTTGGCTCACTGCAACGTCCGCCTCCCAGGTTCAAGTGATTCTCCTGCCTTAGCCTCCAGAGTAGCTGGGATTACAGGCATGCACCACCATGCCCAGCTAATTTTTGTATTTTTAGTAGAGACAGGGTTTCACCAGGTTGGCCAGGCTGGTCTCAAACTCCTGACCTCAGGTGATCTGCCCGTCTCAGCTTCCCGAAGTGCTACGATTACAGATATGAGCCACTGCACCCAACCTAGAAGGGTGTTTTTAAATCACCAAGTAGTTTGGGATTTTTCCAACTATCTTGTTATTAATTTTTAGTGTAATTCCATTGTGATATAAGAGCATACTTTGTATGATATCTCTTTTTAATTTTTAAGGTGTGTTTTATGGCACAGAATATGGTCTGCCTTGTTCAGTGTTCCATGTGAATCTGAGAAGAATGTGTATCCTACTATTGTTAGATGAAGTATTCTATAAACGTCAGTTAGATCTAGTTGATTGATGGTACTATTCAGCTCAACTATATTGTCACTGATTTTCTGCCTGCTAGATCTGGCAATTACTGAGGACATATTGAAGTCTCCAACTAATAGTAGATTCCTCTATTTCTCCTTGCAGTTATTTTGCCTTATGTATTTTGATGTTCTGTTGTCAGGCACGCATACATTAAAGATTGTTATGTTTTCCTGGAGTACTGACTCTTTTTTATCATAATGTAATACCCATCTTTTTCCCTAATCATTTTCCTTGCTCTGAAGTCGGCTTTGTCTGAAATTAATACAGCTATCCCAGCCTTCTTTTGATTAGGAGTTAGCATGATATATCTTTCTCCATCCCTATACTTTAATCTACCTGTGTCTTTATATTTAAAGTGGATTTTTTTATAGACAACATATAGTTGGGTCTTGTTTCTTCATTCACTCTGGCAGTCTTTATCTTTTAACTGGTGTGTTCAGAGCATTCACATTTAAATTGATTATTGATATAGCTGGATTAATATCTATCATTGTATTAGTCTGTTTTCACACTGCTGATAAAGACATACCCGAGACTGGGTAATTTATAAAGAAAAAAGGTTTAATGGACCTACAGTTCCACATGGCTAAGGAGGCCTCATGATCATGGTGGAAGGCAAACGGCACGTGTTACATGATGTCAAACAAGAGAGAATGAGAGCCAAGCAAAAAGGGGTTTCTCCTTATAAAACCATCAGATCTCGTGAGACTTATTCACTACCACGAGAACAGTGTGGAGGAAACTGCCTCCATGACTCAGTTATCTCTACCGGGTCCCTCCCACAACATGTGGGAATTATGGGAGCTACAATTCAAGATGAGATTTGGATTGGGGACGCAGCCAAACTATATCAACCATATTTGTAATTATTTTCTATTTGTTGCCATTTTTCTTTGTTTCTTTTTTTTGGCTTCCACTTTTTCTGCCTTCCCTGATTTTAATTAAGCATTTTATATGATTCCATTTTCTCTTCTCTCAGCATGTCAATTACACTTTGTTTAAAGAAAAGTTTAGTGGTTACCCTACAGTTTGATACATACATTTGCAACTAATCCAAGTCCATTTTGAAATAACACTATACTACTTCTCCCAATCCTTCCCTTTCATCCCTTAAAATACTGCTGTGATTTGTTTCACATATCCACATACTACAATCACAGAAAGCATTTTTGCATTTTCGCTTTTTTTTTTTTTTTGGAGACAGGGTCTCACTCTGTCACCCAAGCTGGAGCGTAGTGGAATGATCTCGGCTCACTGCAACCTCTGCCTCCCGGGTTCAAGCAATTCTCGTGCCTCAGCCTCCCGAGTAGCTGGGACTACAGGCATGAGCCACCATGCCTGGCTAATTTTTGTATTTTTGGTAGAGACAGGGTTTCACCATGTTGGCCAGGCTGGTTATTATTTTGAACAAACTGTTATCTAGTAAATCTATTAAGAACAAGTAAAATGTTTTATTTTACCGTCATTTATTTGTTATCTAATGTGCTTTCCTTCTTTATGTAGATCTAAGTTTCTGACCTATGTCATTTGCCCTCACCGAAGAACTTCTGTTAACATTTCTTGCAAGGCCGATCTACTAGCAACAAGCTCCTTCTTTTTTGTTTGTCTGAGGAAGTCTTTATTTCTCCTTCATTTTGAAGGATGGTTTCACTGGATACAAAATTCTAGCTTGCTATTTTGTATGATTGATCCTCATCGGAACCCTGGGCTTTGAGTAGAGACAGAGTATGTAGTGTCCCCTAATTTAGCAGTTGAAGAACCAGAAGAAAAGTCACTTGCCCTATGGTCATTTTGTGGTTGAGTAAGCACTAGAATCTGGCTAGACCTGCTGCTGCTGGCCTCCATGGCCCTGATTCCATCACAAGATCCCCTTTTCTTATTGTCAGATAGGCAAACTACCTGCCCATATTGATCAAAATTTGTCCAATCCCAATTTTACTCCTATCAAAGCAGTCCCCCGTACTGCATAGCTATATGTCCCCCTCTGATGCAGGTGGGTTTTGTCGAAAGAAAACATATGGTTACAAATAGGGGGAATTGGAATGATATAAAAATGTAGCTTATTACACTAGAAATAGATATGTAATAGTGATAGTGCTCTGAATAGGTATGAATAAGGTTCTGAAGCATATAGAGAAAACAAATAGATGTATCTAAAAGATTATAGAACTCATCAGGGATTACTGCTTTTGCTCTGAGTCAAGATGCTCGCGTCTAGTATGGGACAGCTCTAGCTCCCTGACATTTTCTCTCTAGAAGCTGCAACTACAGTAGCCTCAAGTGAAAGCAGTGAACATGGTAGAGACAGAGCCAAATCTTAAAGGTCCGTGTTGAAAATAATAAGAATTACTTACTGGTCATGGTGAGCTATCTTAGAACAAGAAGAAACTCCTATACTGCTGAAATGATGTACTTATTAGCACTTGTGGGAAATGTGATACTGTCTAATGACAATCTTGTGAATACTTTTACATCTTTGTTTTTTCCCAAGGGATATGCCAAATGTTCACTAAGCAGGAGCTCTCTGAGAGCCCTTCTATGACCCAAACTATAGTGGAAGAAGACTTTGTGAGCCCCGAGCCCAGCAAAGCTGCCTTACGGAAAAGCAGCCAGACTGTTTTCCACGTGGATCTGTGTCCCTGCTATTCCTCACTGAGCAAGGCCTCCCGACCTGAGACCCCAGCCACCCCACCGCTACCTGGGCTCTTGGGCCAGTAGCAGCTCTGCACCTCCCTGGGACAGAGCTCCCAGTGGAAGCAGGCAGGCCTGCCACTTTTGCTGCTTCACAGCTCCCTCCTCTAATGCCCTCAGGCTCAGGAGAGAGCAAGGTGATTAAGGACTATCATGGACCTCCAGCACAGTGCAGATGCCTTACAGAAAAGCAGCCAGACTGTTTTCCATGCAGGTCTCTGACCTTGTTACTCCTCACTGGGCAACGCCTCTCCACCTGGGCCCCCAGCACAACCACCCTGCCCCTGCCTGAACACTTGTCAGTGGTGGCTCTGCATTTCTCTGGGAAAAGAAATCCCAGAGACAACCTACAGCCCCTCTCCCATTGCAGCTGCAGCGGTATCGCCCTTACTGCCCATGGGCTGGGGAAGGAACAAAGGGCCTGGTTGTGTCACTGTACCTCCAGCACACTGCAGCAACCACAGGGAGAAGAGCACAGTAGCTCTTCCCTGTGAGTCCTTACCCCCTACACTTCACCAGATAGGGCCCCCAACTTGGGATCTCAGAGTAGCTGCCCCAACCCTGACTGAGCATTCCCGCTGGTAGTGGCTGTGTTCCCCTGAGGTGGAACTTATGAGGAAACTGACAGCCCCTCTGCCACTGCCACTGCAGTGGTTCTGCTCTTGCTGCCTTCAGACTGAGGAAGAAACAAAGAGCCTAAGGGCTTTACTTATACTTCCAGCACACCACAGTTGCCATATGGAAAGGAGCCCAGTCTCTCTTCCCAGTGAGCCTCTGACCCCCTGCTCTTCACCAAGCAGGGCCCCAGCTCAGGCCCATAGTGCAGCTGCCCCACCCTCTGGCTGAACATTCCCATTGGCAGCAGCTCTGCATTTCTCTGGGGTGGAGCTCCCAGAGACGACTGAAAGCCCTTCTGCCACTGCCACTGCATTGATACTGCCCTTGCTGCTCTCTGACTGGAAAAGGAACTAAGATCCTGAGTGCTTTACTCACACCTCCAGCATACCACAGCTGCCCTAAGGAGAAGAGGCCAGTCTGTCTTCCCCTACAATACCCCTGCCTCCCTACTCATTACCAGGCAGGGTGCCCTGGCTTGGGCCCACGGCACAGCTGCCCTACCCCAGGCTGATTGCTCCAATCGGTAGTGGCTCTATATTTATCTGGGGTGGAGCTCCAAGATACAAGTGGCAGGCCCTCTGCCATTGCCACTGCCAAGGTCCTGGCCCTTTCAGTCCCCAAGCTGGGGAGGGAACATAATGCCTGAGCACAGCCCAGGAGTGCCAAGTGGAGAGCTGAGAGCTGAGATCTACAGCCAGCACTCATGTAGGAAGGGAGCCCACACCCTCAGATCACTGAGAGGGAGCACAGCTGAAGACACAAGGAAATACAGAGGAACCACATGGCTGGGCAAGAGCCTGCCTACTGGCCATTATGCCTAAGTGCTATCTACTGGATCACAGCTCAAATTTCAACAACAAAAATACTTTGCTAGCGTACCCCCCGATAAAATCAAGGACAAGAGTTCAGCTACAAATGAAGACCTAGCGCAAAGCCTCAGCCCTCTGATACATCCAAAAACAAAGTCAACTGACCATAACTGAAATTATACCACAGTTAAAGGAACATCAGCCCACGCAGATGAGAAAGAACCAGCATGAGAACTCTGGCAATTCAAAAAGCCAGAGTTCTCCTTACATCCAAATGAATGTACCGGTATCCAGCAAGAGTTCTTAGCCAGGCTGAAATGGCTGGAATGATAGTCATAAAATTCAGAATAAGATTCAGGAGAAAGTCAAAACCCAATCCAAGGAATCTAAGGACTACAATAAAATGATACAGGAGCTGAAAGATGAAATAGACATTTTAAGAAAGAACCAAACTGATGTGATAGAACTGCAAAATACACTATAAAAATCTCATAATGCAATTGCAAGTATTACCAGCAGAATAGACTAAGCTAAGGAAGAACCTCAGATCTCACAGACTGGTTCTCCAAACTAAATCAGTCAGACAAAAATAAAGAAAAAAAGAATTTTAAAAGAACGAGCAAAACCTCTGAGAAATAGGGAATTATGTAAAGACATCAAATCTAACACTCATTGGCATCTCTTGAAAGAGAGGGAGGGAATACGAGCAACTTGGAAAACCTACTTGAGGATATTATCCATGAAAATTTCCCCAAACTCGCTAGAGAGGCCAACATTCAAAGCCAGGAAATGCAGAAAACCCCTATGAGATACTGTACAAGACAACCATCCCCAAGACACATAGTCATCAGATTCTCCAAGGTCAACATGAAAGAACAAGTATTAAAGGCATCTAGAGAGAAGGGGCAGGCTACCTACAAAGGTAACCCCATCAGGCTAACAGTGGACCTTTCAGCAGAAACCCTACAAGCCAAAAGAGATTGGGAGCCTATATTCAGCATTCTTAAAGAAAAGAAACTCCGGCCAGGCACAGTGGCTCACGTCTGTAATCTCAGCGCTTTGGGAGGCCAACGCGGGTGGATCACCTGAGGTCAGGAGTTTGAGACCACCCTGGCCAACATGGCAAAACTCTGTCTCTACTAAAAATACAAAAATTAGTCGGGCATGGTGGTGCATGCCTGTAATCCCAGCTACTCGGGAGGCTGAGGCAGGAGAATCACTTGAACCCAGGAGGCGGAGGTTGCAGTGAGCCGAGATCACGCCTTTGCACTCCAGCCTGGGCAACAGAGTGAGACTCCATCTAAACAACAATAAAAAAAAGAAACTCCAACCAAGAATTTCATGTCCAGCCAAACTAAGCTTCATAAGCAGAGGAGAAATAAGATCCTTTTCAGGCAAGCAAATGCTAAGGAAATTCATTACCACCAGACCTTACAAGAGGTCCTTAAGGGAGTGGTAAATATGGAAATGAAAGACCATTACTGGCTACCACAAAAGCACAATTAGGTACATAGACCATTGACACTATAAAGCAACTATACAATCAAGTCTACATAATAACCAGCTAACAACACAATGACAAGATCAAATTTGCACATATCAATATTACCCTTGAATGTAAATGGGACAAATGCACCAATTAAAAGTCACATAGTGGCAAGTTGGATAAAGAAGCAAGACCCAACTTCTTTCTTCAAGAGACCCATCTCACATACAGTGACACTCATAGGCCCAAAGTAAAGGGATGGAGAAAATCTGCCAAGCAAATGGAGAAAGAAAAAAAAAAACAAAAAAAAACAGGGATTGCTATTTTAACTTCAGACAAAACAGCCTTTAAACCAACAACAATTTTAAAAGACAAAGAAGGGCATTACATAATGGTAAATGGTTCAATTCAACAAGAAGACCTAGCTATCCTAAATATATATGTACCCAACACAGGAGTACCCACATTTATAAAACAAGCTCTGAGAGACCTACAGAGAGACTTAGATAACCGTACAGTAATAGTGGGAGACTTCAACACCCCACTGACAGTATTAGAAAGATCATTGAGGCAGAAAACTAATATAGATATTTCAGACCTGAACTTGATACTTGACCAAATGAGCCTAACAGACATCTACAGAACTCTCTACCAATTAAAAAAAAACCCAGAATATACATTCTTCTTATCTGCACATAGCATATGCTCTAAAATTGACCACACAATTGGCCATAAAACAATTCTCAGCAAATTAAAAAAGAAAAACAGAAATCATACCAACCACACTGTCAAACCACAGCACAATAAAAATAGAAATCAATACCAAGAAGATCACTCAAAACCATACAAATAACCTGCTCCTGAATGACTTCTGGGAAAATAATGAAATTAAGCAGAAACCAAGAAATTCTTTGAAACTAATGAAAACAAAGATACAACTTACCAGAATCTCTCGGGCACTGCTAAAGCAGTGCTAAGTACTAGATGCCCACATCAAAAAGTTAGAAAGATCTCAGATTAACAACCTAACATCACACTTTGAGGAACTAGAAAAACAAGAGCAAACCAACCCCATACTAGCGGAAGACAAGAAATAACCAAAATCAAAGCTGAACTGAATGTATTTGAGATGTGAAAAAACATACAAAAGATCAATGAAATCATACTTGGTTTTTTGAAAGAATAAATAAGATAGACCACTAGCTAGAGTAATAAAGAAAAAAAGAGAGAAGATCAAAATAAACACAGTCAGAAATGACAAAAGGGGCATTACCATCAATACAACAGAAATGCAAAAAAAAAAATCAGAGACTATCAAAAACACCTCTATGCACACAAACTAGAAAACCTAGAAGAAACTGATAAATTCCTGGAAACATACAACCTCCTGAGACTGAGCCAGGAAGAAATTGAATCCCTGAACAGACCAATAATGAGCTCCAAAATTGACTCAGTAATAAATAGCCTGCTAAGAAACTAAAAAGCACAGGACCAGGTGGATTCACAGCCAAATTCTACCAGATGTACATAGAAGAGTTGGTACCATTCCTACTGAACCTATTCCAAAAAGTTGAGGAGGAGGGGCTTCCCCCTAACTCACTCTGAGGCCAGCATCATCCTGCTACCAAAACTTGGCAGAGACAAAAAAAACTTCAGGCCAATATCCTTGTTGAACATAAAAGCAAAAATCCTCAACACAATACTAGCAAACTGAATCTAGCAGCACCTCAAAAAAGCTAAGCCACCACAATCAAGTAGGCTTTATCCCTGGAATGCAAGGTTTGTTCAATGTACGTAAATCAATAAAAATTATTCACCACCTAAACAAAACTAAAAACAACAACCACATAATCATCTCAATAGATGCAGAAAAGGCTTTCAAGAAAATACAGCACCACTTCATGTTAAAAATCCTCAACAAACTAGGCATTGAAGGAACGTACTTTAAAATAATAAGAGCCATTTATGACAAACCCACAGCCAACATCATACTGAATGGGCAAAAGCTGGAAGCATTCTTATTGAGAACCAGAACAAGACAAGGATGCCCTCTCTCACCACTCCCATTCAACACAGTATTGGAACTACTAGCCACAGCAATCGAGCAAGAGAAAGAAATAAAAGGCATCCAAATAGGAAGAGAAGAAGTCAAACTATCCCTCTTTGCAGACAATATGATTCTATACCTAGAAAACCCCCATAGTCTCTGCCCAAAAGCTCCTTGATCTGATAAACAACTCCAGCAAGTTTCAGGATATAAAATCAATGTACAAAAATTAGTAGCATTCCTATACACCAGCAACATCCAAGCTGAGAGCCAAAACAAGAATGCAGTCCCATTCACAACAGCCCAAAAAGAATAAAATACCTAGGAATACAGCTAAACAAGGGGTGAAAGACCTCTACACTGAGAATTACAAAGCACTGCTCACAGAAATCAGAGATGACACAAACAAATGGAAAAAACATTCCATGTTTATGCGTCAGAAGAATCAATATTGTCAAAATGGTCATAATACCCAAAGAAATTTACAGATTCAATGCTATTGTTATCAAACTACCAATGACATTCTTCACAAAACTAGAAAAAACTATTTTAAAATTCATATGGAACCAAAAAAGAGCCTGAATAGCCAAGGCAATCCAAAGCAAGTAGAACAAAGCTGGAGGCATCATATTACCTGACTTCAAACTATATGTTAAGGCTGCAATACCCAAAACAGTATGGTACAGATCGAACAATGGAATAGAATAGGTAGCCCAGAAATAATGTCACACACCTATGACCATCTGATCTTTGACAAAATTAACAAAAACAAACGATCTAGAAAGGACTTACTATTCAATAAATGGTGCTGGGATAGCTGGCTAGCCATAAGCAGAGATAATTGAAACTGGGCCCCTTCCTTACACCATATACAAAAATTAACTCAAGGTGGATTAAATCCTTAAATTTAAAACCCAAAACTATAAAAACCCTTGAGGAAAATCTAGGAAATACCATTCTAGACATAGACCCTGGAAAAAAATTTATGACAGAGACATGAAAAGCAATTGCAACAAAAACAAAAATTGACAAATGGGACCTAATTAAACTAAAGAGCTCCTGCATAGCAAAACAGCAAAAGAAGCTATCAACAGAGTAAACAGACAACCCAAAGAATGGAGAAAATATTTGCAAACAATGTATCTGACAAAGATATATCCAGTATCTATAAGAAACTTAAACAAATATACAAGCAAAAAAACAAGCAACCCCATTAAAGAGTGGGCAAAGGACATAAACAGACACTTTTCAAAAGAAGACATATACATGAGCAGTAAGCACATGAAAAAATGCTCAGCATCACTGATCATTAGAGAAATATAAATCAAAACTAAATGAGATACCATCTCACACCAGTCAGAATGGCTATTACTAAAAAAATCAAAAAATAAGAGATGCTGGTGAAATTGTGGAGAAAAAGGAACACTTATATACTTCTGGTGGGAGTGTAAATTAGTCCAGCCATTGTGGAAAGCAGTGCGGTGATTCCTCAAAGAACTTAAAGCAGAATTAGCATGCAACCCAGCAATCTCATTATTGGGTATATACACAAAAGAATATAAATTGTTCTACCATAAAGACACATGCACATGTATGTTCATGGCAGCACTCTTCACAATAGCAAAGATGTGGAATCAGCCTAGATGACCATCAACGGTAGACTGGATAAAGAAAATGTACGTACATGTCATGGAATACTATGCAGCACAGTAGACTGGATAAAGAAAATGTACATACATGTCATGGAATAATATGCAGCCATAAAAAAGAATGAGATCATGTTCTTTGCAGCAACATGGATGGACCTGGAGGCTGTAATCCCAAGCAAACTAATGCAGGGACAGAAAACCAAATGCTACATCTTCTCACTTATAAGTGGGAGCTACACATTGAATACATATGGACACAAAGAGGGGAACAATAGACACCAGGGCCTTCTTGCGAGTGGAGAGTGGGAGGAGGGTGAAGATCAAAAAACTACTTATTGGGTACTACGTTTATTACCTGGGTGATGAAATAATATATACACCAAACCCCTGTGACACACAGTTTATCTATAGGACCAACCTGCACATGTACCCCAGAAACTAAAATAAAAGTTTAAGAAATGACTTTGAGCCCTGTTTCTGTTGGTACTCTTCATGTCATGGGCATTTTAGGGAAAAAATATAAAAATTTTAGTTAACTCTTTGTCTTACACTGTATGCCAAAATCTATACCAGATTAATTGTAGATTTAAAAATAAAAATGAAACCATAAAAGAACTAGAAAATATATAAAGAGTTACCTATAATATCACATTAGGGAAGGCCTAAGTAAGCATGACACTGAAGGCAGTAACCATATAGGAAAAGATTATTAGGTTTAACTACATGTAAGGAAAGCTTTTCACACCCTTTGACCCAACAGTGTCATTTCTAATGACACATCCTAAAAAACCTTTGGACAAGTGTATAAAAATGTACATATGTGGGGCCGGGTGCAGTGGCTCACGCCTGTAATCCCAGCACTTTGGGAGGCCGAGGCAGGCGGATCACGAGGTCAGGAGATAGAGACCATCCTGGCTAACACAGTGAAACCCCATCTCTACTAAAAAAATACAAAAAATTAGCCGGGCGTGGTGGCGGGTGCCTGTAGTCCCAGCTACTCGGGAGGCTGAGACAGGAGAATGGCGTGAACCCGGGAGGCAGAGTTTGCAGTGAGCCAAGATCGCACCACTACACTCCAGCCTGCGCGACAGAGCGAGACTCCGTCTCAAAAAAAAAAAAAAAGTACATCATTGTTTATAAATGTACATAACATATAAATTGTTTATAAATGTACATATAAATTGTTTATAAAATGTACATATAAATTGCTTATAAACATACATTGTTTATAAATGTACATCATTGTTTATAATAGTGAAAAACTGGACCCAATCTAAATATTTATCAAAGATGATTAAACGCTGATGCATCCATATTAAAAATTACAATGTAAAAATGTAGTTATTGACATAAAAAAGGTTATCAAATGACATTTTTCATCTGATCCCATTTTGTAAAAATACCTATTTATATACATAGAAGACTTCTAGATGTGCATGAAATGTTAGTAGTGATTATTTGGGGGTGCTTTAATAAGCTCTTTTTCCTTTTGCTCCTCTTTTGTATGTATATACGTATGTATGCATGCGTTTATGTATGTGTAAGGAGTAGGTATATTTTGTATGAAAATAATAGAAGCTTAAAAAGATTTTAAAATTTCCATTTCTCTCTTTTCACTTGTGGATTTAAGTCAGACCTTCTCCAGGAAGCTATTTGTTCCCCTTAAGTGGCCAGTATAATTCCTGAAGCCACTCCCTCATCTTTTGTATTTCCCTATTCAACTGTAAGTTCTTGAAGGTAGAGTTGTGAGTTGCGTTTCATTATTTACTGCCTTCCATACACATACTCTGTAAGGACTGGTTGGCTGGTGATGGCCTGATTTCTTCAAAGTCTGCTTTTGAAGTCTGATATAACAGTGCTTACCCTTAACCAGCTGAAACGGTCAAAAACTTGGTCCGGGCCAGCACACCTTTGCAAAGAGGGCAGGGTAGCCATAATGGCTGTCTTCCTACTACTCTCCTAGGCTGTGGTGGCTAGCTGGCTGATAGAGCTGAGCCCTTTCTGTGTAAATCTTTCCCCAAACAGCTTTCTTGTTCAAGAAAAAGGCGTTTCTCAGGTTGAGTCGCTGCCTCATATCATTAATGTCTATGTAGTTGTGCTTTCCTCTCAGAACTTCCAAGCACATTTTCAAGAACTCGCAATGCTGTTAAAAAAAAAATTCATAAAGGATGGGTAACAAAGAAAGAAGACAAAGAACTGGGAGGAGAGGAGAGGAGAAGAGAGAAGGAAAAGAGAATTGAGATTCATGACCTTAAGTACAGCAGGTTGCTCCAATCTAAAACATCCCCTGGACATAACAATAGCTACTGTTGCACATGAAATTACTTTGCCAGAAAAGTCTACACAGACATTGGTTTTTCAAGGGACCTGTGAAAGCTCTGATGGCCACTCTGGCAGCCCTCCAGGTTAGAGACTTTACTGATCTCTAATAGGGCCTGCTCTTATAGTTAGAGATCATTCCACGTTTGTTGCAAATATCAAATGAGATGATAAATGGAAATATGTTTTATAAACTATAATATTGAAATGCTTGGTGTTCCTTTTGTAAGCTCTTGAGGGCACTGACAGTGGTTTAATGTATAACTGTGTCTTCATGGCAGTTTGGAACAGATTTTAAATACCTGTATTTAAAGAAAGTCAAATCCGTATACAGAATGAAGAGAATTTATTTCCTAGAAGGGAAAAAAAAAATGACTGTCTGGGAGCGACCTAAACTGTTTGGGGAGTTGCGGTCACCTAACTATGTTAGAAACACCTTGGGTTTTCTAAGTACCTTCAATTGATTAGAATTATTTTCCTTAGAAGTAATTTCCAATAAAATGCTTGTGATTTCACTGCCAATGAAATGGTTGACATGTCTTATTTTATTTTATTTTATTTTATTTTATTTATTTATTTATTTTTGAGATGGAGTCTCGCTCTGTCACCCAGGCTGGAGTGTAGAGCGTGATCTTGGTTCACTGCAAGCTCCACCTCCCAGGTTCACGCCATTCTCCTGGCTCAGCCTTCCAAGTAGCTGGGACTACAGGCGCCCACCACCACGCCCAGCTAATTTTTTGTGTTTTTAGTAGAGACGAGGTTTCACTGTGTTAGCCAGGATGGTCTTGATCTCCTGACCTCGTGATCCACCCGCCTCGGCCTCCCAAAGTGCTGGGATTACAGGTGTGAGCCACCACCCCCGGCCGACATTTCTTTTAAAGTGTCCATTAACTTATAGTAAATTACAATGGAAATGCATGTGGCCCTCAAGAGTGTATTATGGTCAAACTTTTAATAAGTAACAAATTAAATCATGATAAGGAAGTGACTAAAAGTTAAACACTGCTGCTCTGCTCTTTCCATGAAAATGACCCTTTGCTCCTTCCAAGTTCAACACGAGACTTCATATCAGATTCTCACCTGAACGCATGACTCTTCAACCTCAGGACTTGCAGAATTAATGGAATGCTGTCCTAAGGTTGTTGAGTTGTGCATTTCTGGGCATTTCATCTCTATGGGGAAGTACCCATTCCCTCACCCCAAAGACTGAAGTAGAGAGATTTTTCTCCCTAGGGAAGAATCTTCCTTGAAACTTTTGTGGCCTCAGGAGTCAGAAGACAGAATGGGGAGGTTTGATAGTTGGATCCTTGCCAAAAGCCTGACCCTTGGCTGTGAGACTCCCTCAAATTTGCAGTGTCTTGGGGATCCCTCCTAGTGACTATCTTAGAAAATAAACATTTTCTGTTCATTTCCAATGACTTAATTATCTATTTTATTTTTCTTATAGGCCCAGTTAAAAACAAGAAAAAGGGTAAGTTCCTGACTTTATAAAATTGCTGTCTTGTCATATATTTTCTAAAGTTAGAAGAAAAAAATCAAGAGTGCGATTTTTGTATTATATTCTTTCAGCATTGTCTGTCTGTTATTTTATTCAATCATATGTTATCTTCTTGAGTATTGTAGTTTCTGAAGAACAAGAAATCATTCTTCAGTGATGATTCACCTCTTTCATTCTTCCTTGTTCTTCTCCCTGCCCTTCTTTTTATTCTTTTTTTTTTTTTTTTTTTTTTTTTTTTGAGACGGAGTTTCACTCTTGTTGCCCAGGCTGGAATGTAATGATGCAATCTTAGCTCACTGAAACCTCCACCTTTGGGGTTCAAGCGATTCTCTTGCCTCAGCCTCCTGAGTAGCTGGGATTACAGGCACTCGCTTTTATCCTTTTTTTCCTCCTTTATCAAATCAGTGATTGAGTGTGAATGAAATCCTGTGTCACCATGTAGGAACTAGATACGCTACCTATCAAAAGATGTCAGTACCCTATTTCTTGGACTTAAAGCTTCCCTGATTTGATTTCCCAAAGAGTCAGGGAAGGTATTTCTTGCTTTGAGGATTCAATATCATTTTCTCTGTAATGAAAAAGCTATTCTGGAGTAGTACCCTGACCATTTAGTCTTTTCAAAGCAGCTTCCATTGT
The DNA here is from genome assembly GCF_000001405.40 of Homo sapiens. Taxonomy (NCBI): domain Eukaryota; kingdom Metazoa; phylum Chordata; class Mammalia; order Primates; family Hominidae; genus Homo; species Homo sapiens. The sequence goes on from NC_000023.11 coordinate 70,023,905, forward strand.
GCCGTTGTTGGGTCAGTAAGTCCCCAGTGTACTTGCAATGAAACTGGCCCTAGGGCATCTACAAGTGCTCACTTACTAAAAGAGGAGAATCAATCCAAAGACAGAACAGTCTCCAAAGACAGGGCCAGGCAATATGGTCTACTTCTTAGGACTGAAAGAACCAATTATGAAACTAGTTAAAGCACCTGTTTGTTTCTGGGTTCTGACCTGGGAGGAAGACAGAGTAAAACTAATGATTGTTCATTAAAATGCTTTAAGTGAAATGATGCTGTGTGATAAGATTTATGGAGCTTTATAGAATAGATTGTCAACCCCGGACTAGGCCAAAAAGACTGGCTTCAGCTGCAGTCTGCCACTTCTTTGAACACTAGGGTACTCTGGTGCCTTGAGGTATCATAGTCCACATGGAAAAGTTGTGTGCCTGTTGTAAAGAAGCTGAGGAATGGCCTGGCCTCCTGAGGGCCTGAACTGAGCAAGGCTGGAAAACAGCCAGGGAGCTGGAGTCAGTGAGGAAACCTTTCCCTGTGGGGCCTGGGCACTTACCACCAAGATATTCTGTCTTTTAAGAAAGTAGATTTGATTTTCAAACATGTAGTTCTTAACTCTTGTCATATCCCTTTAAAACAGAAATTATAACTCAGATCATTGCCTGGCACTGCTACCTTGTGTACGGGACATTATTGAGAAGACAGTGCACATAGGCTTTAAACATTTACTTTGGCTGAAAGTTATTTAGAAGCCATTTAATATGGATTTCCTTGGACATGGTGAATAGGCACATGCTTGAAGAGGTAAATTGAATTGTTCTCTTAATTTTCACCCTTTAATGGAATTTTCCTCCTTCCACAACTCTCTCTCACTCACTCATTCACTCACTTTTGGTTGTTCTTTGATTTTGGGCTTAGCTAAAAGGTTAAGGAAATACTCCTTTGATGAAGTTTAGCTTTGAAAGGAATGTGTATATTCTTTCATCTAACACTACATAGGGTATGTTTCTAAGTACAAACGTCTCTGGGCTTTTATATCATGAGGTGTTCTGTTAAAGTAAGGAAATCGAGAGAAGGGAGTCAATCCTCTGAAGTTATCCTCTTGCTCCAGGGGTCATTTTGTACATTCTCTTCTCTGGGCCCAACTTTGTGTAAGTATGCAAGTGTGAGAAGCTCACTTGCCTAACCCTTGTTGCAGAGAAGCAGAGGACCAGCTGCAGAACTGGAACAAAGCAGGAGTTTTTTTTTTTCTCAAATGCCTTCTAACATTTTCATAAGTGAACATTCTCTGTTTTCACTGCAACCATTAGTCTCTTGGACTGGAGGAGTTTCTGGCTCTAATTCTTCCAAAATTACATTAGCAATTACAGGAGACTCACATTCTTGAAGGTGAAGTTTGTGCTACCCACAGAACACCCTCTAGCTTGAAAATCACTGTTAGGCTTGGAAATCTTGGAACACAGGACAGCCTAATATGCACCAACTTCTGTGTCTGTGCCACCTAGAAAATAAGGAGGGAGAAGCAAACCTTACAACCAGGCTAAGAAAGCTTCCTGACTGCAAGGGGTAAGCCACCCCTCCTTATAGAAACTCAGTCTCATGAGGAAACAGAGAAATCATTGAGGCCAAGCTCCTTGTTTCACAGATGTAGAAACTAAGGCTCAAGGAGAGGAAGGGATTTGCCCAAAGTGTGTCTGTGGCAGAGCTGGGGCTTACATCCTTATCTCCTGAGTACAGATTTTGTGTTCTTTCCACTACACTAGCTGGAATTGAAACTTGGGCTCTGAATAAGCCTGATTTGGAAGCTGCCCAAATCTGAAAGGAGATGGTTTTCCTGTTCAGCATCTTGAAATTGGCTAGATCTAGAAACGGGGCAGATCCAATCTTTTGCTGCTAAGTGCAGAGAAACCTCTAAAGCTCATGCCTCTAGGTCTTTAAGGCTACAGGGACTCTTCTGGGAGAGATGTTCTCTGGACCTTCCTTTCCTTCCTTTCTGAGGAAGAGACCCCACGATGACCCCATGGTTTCATTCCAAATGCAGATGTGGTTAGACATAGACAAATGGCCTCTTGAGTGGCATTGCCATGAGGATTGGGTTTCTTGGCCATGAGGCATTGTTCTTAAGGGAGGACCTGATAAATCAGGACAAGATTCTCCTGCCTAAGTGTCTGGGGAGCAAGAAGTCAGAGTCAGTAAGAAGGTTTTTAGTGAGACTAGAGAAGGTTGTATTTAAAACTAAGAAACTACCTCAGGTGAAGACATTGTGATGAAGTCTGGAAACAGGCTTCCATTCCTGAAACTTTCCATAAAATTGTGAGAAGGTGGTGAAGGAAGGAAGAAGACCTGTGCCTACATGTAGTCTTTGAGTGGAGCTGCACAGAGCAGAGGAAGTCAACAGGAAGAGCTGGAGGTTTTGGTTCAAGACCACAGTTATGACTCATTTAAGATAACTACATCCTGGTGGGAATGTTGAAAGGACTGGAATATGAAATAGGAGGGTCGAGATTGTTCTAGAAGGATAGCAAGGAGGAAAGGGGGAAGAGTTGGTGGGCATGATTAATAATACATTTGAGAATGGGACTTCTGAGGAAAGACTTTGGGAAGCTGGATTATTTAGCCTATAGAAATAGGGGTTGGTGGGTAACTTAATTTCTTTTCATATATAAGGATTATTATGTATATGTATATTCTTCTCTGTCTACACAAATAGAATAAGAGCTTAAACTGCCACAAGAGGGACATCATTTAATATACCAGAGAACTTCCTAACAGTGAGCAGTGAGGGGCAATAAACATTGGAACATGTTACTATGGAGTTTGCAGAATTTCCTTTCCCAGAGATCTTTTAAAATAGAGTTTACAGAGGTCAGCTGAGAGAGTGAAACTTGCTGCCTCCTCCTCAGCTCCCTCTACTCTCTGTCTCTGCTTCTTTCCTGTTTCTCAATATCTCTCTCTCTCCCTCCTCCTCTTTCCGTGCCCCTCTTCCTCCTTCTCCATTCCCCCATCTCCAAAACTCCTTCCCATTCCTCATTCCCGACTAGCACTGTCCCCATCCCAACCCCCATTTCCTGTACATCCTGACTCCTGGAGGAACCTTCCTGGAGCTGATACTGTTCCTAAGGCCAGGCTGTACGGCTTCCTCTTGTTATCGACATCAAGTCCACCAAACTGGGCAGTAAACATAAAAGCTCCACATTCTTCAACAATAGCCCTTTCTAAAAAGAACCACAAAGTGACCCATAGGTCTAATCACTTGGTAGAGAAATTCTCATCCTTTGGACTCAGCTGAAATGTAACCTCCTTTTTGAAACCTTCTCTGACCTCTTCAGCATTTGGTCCCTACCCACTAAGGTAGCACTTCTACTATCCCATGACTGTGTCTGTTTCCCCACAGACACAGACTGATCTCCTGGAGGGCCACTTATTTCTATATGCTCAAACCTAGCTTTGTAAATGCATATTCACAAAAGGGAGTGGGGGGAGGGGAGAGAAAGCATAAGACAGACGGAGACAGGGAGACAGAGATGTGTGATAAAGGTATCCAACTCTTTAGCAGGGCCTCCCAGAGAGCTGACTTTGTGTCCTCAGAAGTCTGTAGAACTCCTGACAGTACACTCATCACAGGAAATAACTACAAATGTAACACTGAGGCCAGGCGCGGTGGCTCACGCCTGTAATCCCAGCATTTTGGGAGGCTGAGGCAGGCAGATCACCCGAAGTCAGGAGTTTGAGACCAACCTGGCCGACATGGTGAAACCCCGTCTCTACTAAAAATACAAAAATTAGCAGGTCGCGGTGGCACGCGCCTGTAATCCCAGTTACTCCAGAGGCTGAGGCAGGAGAATCGCTTGAACCCGGGAGGTGGAGGTTGCAGTGAGCCGAGATCGTGCCACTGAACTCCAGCCTGGGCAACAGAGCAGGACTCCGTCTCAAAAAAAAAAGTAACACTGAATCCTATTTTTCAGGAAAGAAAGCAGGACCTCCTGGACCCAATGGCCCTCCAGGACCCCCAGGACCTCCAGGACCCCAGGGACCCCCAGGAATTCCAGGGATTCCTGGAATTCCAGGAACAACTGTTATGGGACCACCTGGTCCTCCAGGTCCTCCTGGTCCTCAAGGACCCCCTGGCCTCCAGGGACCTTCTGGTGAGTTCCCCTGTCTCTCCACCCCACCAGGTGCCTTTAAAGTACTTTAGGAGAGCAGGAGTGGGTGATCCTGAGAGCAGTTTCAAACGGTGGAGATGGGGTTGGTGTGCAATAAGGGATGCAGATCTCCTAGCCCAGTGTAAAACTAGGAATTGGACAAGCCAGTAGGGCCTGGCCTGCTCTAGCTTCTTATATCTACCAAACTGTCAAGGACAGGCCACCTGTTCTTGCCCCATCTCAACCCTTCTGTTACAAGCCCTCCCTGACTCTTGGCCTCCCTGTAGTGGACCAGTAAAACTCATATGAGCCAGAGACAGAGGCCCTGGTGGTTCACAGGAGTTCCAGTGGGGAATAGATGTAATCTTCTGTGATTCCCAGCATCTAGCTCCACATGCTGATGTTTGCATAGAAATAGGCTATGGAGTAGAAAGTTGAGGACTGAACAAAATGACAAGCCCTAGGATAGTTTCATCTTGTGAAGTCTGAAGTGCTTTTCCCATAGCAAGTAGTCACTAATGGTCAAGAAGTTAGAAACTTAAGAGTCACTCAGGCTGTGGATGAAGCAAACCCAGGCACCAAGGCTGTCCTGTCCGGGAACCAAGTGCTTCTTGCACTAGATCCTTACCCTACCACACTTGCCATTCAAATGTCATTTCATCCCTTTGCATCTTTCTCCTTAAGCCCTGAAGGGCATCCGAAAGGTATGAATGCAGATCCAAACCTGCCTAATTGGAGTTGACAAGAGTCAGACTGCCTGGGCTAATGTCAGTTGTTATTTCTTTCTCCTGCTCCTCACTCCCCTGCCCTGTATCTTGGGGCTTTAAAGAAATGGACCCTTACAGCTGATTTCTCCAGGGGCAAGAATTCTGCAGCAGGATTCAGATTCTTTAACTTGTACTTCACACAGGGCTCAGCAGTGTTACCATGGCCACAAGAGATGGAGTTAGAGATTTTTTTTCAACCAATCATTCCTTAAATATTGAGCACTTTCTGTATACAAAGAGATATATTGATACATGGTCCCTTTTCTTATAGAGTTTATCTCCTAGAGGAAGAGAGAACAAAGAAACAAGATATTTACAAATAGCAGTGGGCTCTATGAAGAAAATTAATAGAAAGGGAGCAAAACACTAGAGAAGCCAATGCCATTGCCTCAGGGTCACACAGTGATGGGAATGCTCTCTCATTGTTCTCCATGGGTGCCCGGTGGGGCTTGCCTTGGGCTAATATTGGCCAGAGGCAATACTCAGAAGTTTCCCTGCTGGGTGCTGGGCCCACTGAAGATGAAGGTCAGGGCAGGAAACAGAAGGGGTGCACTCTGACTCTTCCTCCAGCTCTGAGCCCTGGAGAATAAAGCTCAGACAGGGCTGGCTGCAGGGAGCATGGCTCACCACCACTAGCTGCTCAGGTGAGGGGAAAAGGAAGTCAAAAGATTATGCCCTCTGATTGTCCTATCCTATTTTGCAGGTGCTGCTGATAAAGCTGGAACTCGAGAAAACCAGGTTGGCTGGGGATTGCTCTCTTCCTGGGTAGGAGGGAAAGCCACAGGCTAGAGCCACCTTTAAATTAGCTTCTTATTAGATTTCCTGAGGCTTTATTTCATGAGAACACCCCGGAGATTCTGACGGTTTTCACTCACAGCCCCCTCCCATCTCTATGAATAGAAAAGCTTTGCCCCAGGGCATGTTTTTAGCTAAGGAAAGGGTGTCTTGCCAGGATCATTTTTCCTCATTCCACAGGAGACCCCAGGTTCACCATAGCCAGGCCCAGTAGTCAGCTGAAATAAGCTGCCAGTCAGACCTATTCACCTGAGCCTCCAACTCCCCAACCACCCCAGACACCTTGCCGGCTCTCAGACCACCTGGGATCCGGAGCTGAAGAGTTGAAGAGTATGTCCTTGAAAAACAGCCAACCAGCTCCAGGCCCAGCCTAGCCTGGGCGTCTGCCTTAATGGCCTGAAGAGCTCCTCCCAGTCTTTGAGCTTCCTAATCTGTCTCTATTGGCAGGTTCTACTGCCTTGCCTTGTCTCATCTCAGCCTCCCTTGCTACAGCTGTGTGGCCACAGTGATAAATCTACACAGCTGCACAGTGCTTGACGGCTTGCAGGGCAATTTTATATCCATCACCTCATTTGATCTTCAGACATCCCTGTGAGAGAGGCCAGACATTCTTATAATCCCCATTTTACAGTTAGGGAAATGAGGCTCAGAGGCATTACATTTGGTTGAGGTCACATAGCTAGGAAGCGGTAGAGCTACAAAATCATATTACCCTCTAGTAGAAATGTAGTCAGTAACATCCCAAGACAGGGGAGAGGGATCAGAATTGGATTACAATAGAAGACTAGAAACCAGGATGGAAACATGGGACTGGTGGCTGAGCAAGCAGCCATTACTCATAGTGACTACTCTCTATCCTTCTCATCCTGCCAGCCAGCTGTGGTGCATCTACAGGGCCAAGGGTCAGCAATTCAAGTCAAGAATGGTAAGAATCAAAATAGGCTCTCTCCCAAAGAGGAGCTTCTCCCCTGCCTCCTCCCCAGCCTCCAAATAATCACCCAGCCTAGTTCCTCCCAGGCCGCTGAGGTACCGTTGGCATACGAAGTCATTCTTTGCTCCATCATGCCCTCTACTGGCTGTCCTGAGCAATTGCTGGCATCAAGACCAGTTGCTACACCCAAATTGCTTTAGAATCACTGATGACGGAGCTGAAAGGGACTTGAGACATCATCTAGCCCAGGCATTCTCAGGGGATGGAGGTTATATCAGAGCCACCATGGAGATATGTGTAGTTAGATTAATATTTTCACAATACAAATTATAGAAAGTAAAACTATGTAAAATTAAATTTTTCTTGTCTGATCTACACAGGTGGGCAGACAGGCTGCATCTCTCAGGGAAGGTGGGGCATGTTAGAATCTCCAGGGAATTTAAGATGCTAGTGTCTATCAAAAAGGAGAACATGTTTAATGGGGTTAAGAAACACTGATTTGTTGTAATCCCTGCATTTAAAAGATGGGGAAACAGAGTCCCAGAGAGATTGGATAATACCATAATAAATCATGCTGTCTCATATTTGTACGATACTTTAGAGTTCTCAGCATACTTTCTTTGTCTTTAATTTCATTCAGTCCTCACAACCACCCTATGAGGTAGGTATGAGCTCCTTTTTACAAGACAGAAAGTGAAGTTCAGAGAGATTAATTAAGTTTCCCAATATTTCTTAGTCAAGTTAGTTTAGGAGCCAGGATTCAAAACTACATCTTTCTGACTCTTTCCTCTCCCCTGTGCTACTTCAGTGATATGTATGTACACTCCACTGAATGATTAGGTTCATTTTCTTCCCCCAAAGAAACATGAACATTCATGAAAGAACAGCACTTTGGAATAATGTCCAGTCCCCAGAGTGCACAAAGCCTAAAATGCGTGAACCCCCAGGAGCCTTGGGAAGCAGCAAGCTAGCCAAGATGCCAGATGCTTACAGAGCTTGGGGTGGAAGGGAGGGGTTGTGAGTACAGAAACGGTAAAGGAAGGTTAAAAAAAACAGCTACATGGGGACAGTTTCTAAGAACTCAGTCAGTCCTGAACTGGCTGTGCTGAGTTTCCTTAATGACTGTATTTAGCTACTTCCCTGACTGCCACCTCCATGTCTGACTTAGTAGCCTCAGAAGTGTAAATAGGAACACAATGGCACCAAAACCCAATTGGTCCTGCTGGGGACCCCAAGGCCCTGAGTGGGCCATGATCCCCACCTGTCCAGGGAGGCCAGAGACAGGCCAAAATAGATTTGTTTGGATATCTAGATGGATAGTGTTTATTCTGTGCTAGCAGCCACTGATTTTGCTCCCACTGCCACATAATAAGATTGTTTCCAGCCCCTCTGGGCCAATCCTCAGAGGTGGTCTGTGCTGACCTTTAGTACTACCAGAAGAAGTGATGGGGGTGGGGTGCAGTGACTCACACCTGTAATCCCAGCACTTTGGGAGGCCGAGGCTGGCGGATCACATGAGGCCAAAAGTTTGAGACCAGCCTGGCCAACATGGTGAAACCCCGTCTCCACAAAAAATACAAAAATTAGCTGGGCATAGTGGCACACACCTGTAATCCCAGCTGCTCGGGAGGCTGAGGCAGGAGAATCACTTGAACCCGGGAGGTGGAGGTTGCAGTGAGCCAAGATCACACCACTGCACTCCAGCCTTGGTGACAGAGTGAGTGACAGTCCATCTCAGAAAAAAAAAAAAAAGAAGAAGAAGTGATGGGGTCAGGGGTTGGAGGACGTCATGCAGAGTGGTCCATTGATGGGACAGAGCCAGGGCAGCTCCTAGCCCATCTACTTACCACCTCAAGGAAAGATGGTCACCTTTTCCAGAAAGGCTGTTTCCTCACCCCTCAGACAGGCAGGCCTACTGAAACTGGCCAAAGATGGACTTATAAAATATAATTTCTTGGGTGCAGGATGGATGGCTTAGAGGGGAAAAGGCTCCCTGGGCTTGGATGTCCTCCTCTCATGGTGGGAAGGAACATTCCTCTTTCTGCAGGATGGAAAGAGAAGTTTTTCCTCCATCCTCACACACTGGCTTCCGCTGTCCAAAGGAGTGTGACTGCCCCCTCCACCCCTGCCTGGGGTGGGGCTGAGACAGATGCTTTGCCAAGGGTGGCTCGGCTCCTATCCTCCCAGCTGGCTCTATTGCAGCCTGCCAGTCTATCCTTCACTCTCATAAGGATCCCTCTCACCTATGGGGCCCTGGTACTAGTGGTCAGTAGCCCCAGTTACCATGGAGTCTGAATCATCTCTAATCCCTAAGGTTCTCCAGATAGACAGTGGGCTGAGTGGTTTCCTCCCAGGGAGGCTTTCCAGAAAGCTGTGGGTGTGGAAGAACCGTAAAAAAGAATCTCTTAAGGAGAAAGAGAAAACCCATGAACCTATGAGATGAGAGGGATTCAGGAGCTCTGGCTGGGAAAGTAAAATTGAATAATAAGACCTAGCCTGCCACTCAGTGTCTGAATTTTGCCTGTGCAGGCCCCATAACAACAAAGAAAATAGGGCAGCATGCCCACTCTCATCCTCCACCGGCAAATTCCAGCTAGAAGGTATTGGTTAAAGACCCTTCCAGATGCAAGGGTCAAGAAAGGAAGGATAAAGACAGACAGGCAGAGCCCAGGAGCCCTGAAGCAGGCCTGGCAGCTGCTTTACAAACAGAACAGCTTCTCTGCTTTCAAATGCTCTTCTTAAAGTTTGGCCTTCTAGGCTACCCTGGTTGCACTGGGATAGGGGTGGGGGTTGTGAACTCCTTGGTATTTATTTTCTGTTGCCTCGATTATTCTGACATGTACTGAGTGACTGCCCTTCTCTCATACTGAGATCTTTCAGGTGGAGTGCTCAATGACTGGTCTCGCATCACTATGAACCCCAAGGTGTTTAAGCTACATCCCCGCAGCGGGGAGCTGGAGGTACTGGTGGACGGCACCTACTTCATCTATAGTCAGGTAGAAGTGAGTACGGTCTTAGGCCTAACTCTTCTTATATCCAGAATGCAGATCCGGTGCAGGCCACATAGGGGCACTGTGGAGCCAGCCAAGACCATCCAATGGCTAACTTCCTGCTTTGGGTGAGGGGGTGGGGGGACCGCACTGGGAGGGAGTTGAAAGGAGGAAAGAGAGAGGGGGCCAGCTTCTTTTGTTTTGTTTTGTTTTGTTTTTCCTTAGCCAAATATTATTGAAAAACTGTGAAAAAGACCCCTCCCACACCCTGCCATCTGATTCCCTCCTGCAGGGCCTCAGGCCCCTGTTTACCCTCTGAGCTGTTTGGCTGCACTGCCAAACTTGAACTTGGTCTCAGTACATTCTTTGAAAGTCAGTTCCAGGGTTACTGAGAACCCTTTCCCTCAACACTGCTGGCTCGGACGTTGTAATGAATAGTGCTCCTGCAGACTTTCTTTCCACCTCAAAAAGATTTCTGACTGTCTTTCCTTCCTCTTTCTCCCATTTGTTTCCCTATCTTTCTATTCCTCTATTCTTGCCTCCTTCCTGCTGTCATTCTCCCAGCCCTTTCTCCCTCTGCTTTTGTCCTCTTCCTGCCCTGGGCCCGCTCCCCAAGTCCACCAGTGTCCATCTACTTCCGTTCCCCCATTGTTTGCCTCCATGGGAGTGGCTCCTTGGAGATAAAGGAAGATGAGCCATGAGGTTGGGATTTTTGTGGGATGGGCAGCAAGCAGGCAGGTGGACAGAAGGACTATGGAGCCAACAGATGGGTGTCACATGAGAGCGGCCAGAGAAGGTGGGCTAACAAGCATCTGCTAGGCACACTGAGCACCCCGCTGTAGCTTGGGTCCTGACCCGTATATGGCACCCAAATATGCTGTTCCCACCTGAAGAGCTGATAGAGGGAGTGACCTTTCATAAAATGATTTACGGTGATATCTGAGAGTCCCAACACCCATGGGGCACATGGGCATAACCCTGATGTCCTGTGAGCCAAGTTCCACGTGGTGGGGGTGGGCGGCAGATCAAAACTTGGTGTGAGGTATGATGGATAAGGGTAGTGAAGGATGGAAAAATTAATTTTCTGAGCCTAGGAGAGAATTGAGAGTGGCCCATGCAGGCTGGGAAAATCCCCATGACATTAGGCCACTGAGCATAAGTTAGTGCTTCCTTCTGGCCACAAAGTTAGGGGCCTGGGCTTTTCCAAATTCTTTGTCTTGTTTGTGGTAGCTAGCTCTCGATCTCTCTGGACCTGTTTCCTCAATCATCAGATGGGAGGCCCAAGGGGCACTGTGAATCAGTGAGGGGAGTCCAGGCCCAGGGGAGGGGTGGTGCAAGCTGAATAAGCTTCTGTTAAGGAGCTCAAGAAATCACAAGTTGTTACATGCCCTCTCTGGGGAATCAGTGACTTCTAAGTTTCTCCACAAATAGTCCGTGGGGCTCAAGAATGGAAGTCAGTTTGTGTCCACGGCACTGTGTACACACCTGCTACGTGCAGAGCACTCTGCTTCATGTCAGGGCTGGGGCAGGGGTGGGCGGGGGAACAGGGGCACGGTGAAGCTGCAAATAGGGCATGGTTCTTAGCCTTACAGAGTTTGCGACAAGTGTGCTGTTGTAAGAAAAGTTTGCTCAGCCAGCTGAGCCCCATGGACTAGGGGAAGAACAATGCCTGTCACCTGTCCTTTCCTGTTGGCCAGCTAGCACGCCTTCACATGGCACTGCCCCATCCATGGGGTATACTAACAGCTCATCTGAGAAGATTCTGTCAATTCACCACAGGGAGGGCCCCCCACCCTCTCTTTCCTCTCTTCCCCAATCCCTTCTTGTTGCCTCTCACTCAGGTATACTACATCAACTTCACTGACTTTGCCAGCTATGAGGTGGTGGTGGATGAGAAGCCCTTCCTGCAGTGCACACGCAGCATCGAGACGGGCAAGACCAACTACAACACTTGCTATACCGCAGGCGTCTGCCTCCTCAAGGCCCGGCAGAAGATCGCCGTCAAGATGGTGCACGCTGACATCTCCATCAACATGAGCAAGCACACCACGTTCTTTGGGGCCATCAGGCTGGGTGAAGCCCCTGCATCCTAGATTCCCCCCATTTTGCCTCTGTCCGTGCCCCTTCCCTGGGTTTGGGAGCCAGGACTCCCAGAACCTCTAAGTGCTGCTGTGGAGTGAGGTGTATTGGTGTTGCAGCCGCAGAGAAATGCCCCAGTGTTATTTATTCCCCAGTGACTCCAGGGTGACAAGGCCTGCTTGACTTTCCAGAATGACCTTGAGTTAACAGGACAGTTGATGGAGCCCCAGGGTTTACATGAAGCAGAACCTTCTTTGGTTCCATGTTGACTGACTTATGGCATGACTCTTCAACCCCGAGGTCCCTGTTGTCAGATCTATTGTTTGTTGCACTAAAATGAGGATCCAGGGCAGCAGGCCAGAGAAAGCAAAGGTGCACTCCAGACTCTGGGGGTGGACATCTGACCCCAAGGGGGCTGCTGCTCCTCTCTTGGGTAGGGTAGTGGCTGGGGTGGAGTGGGAAGGGAGCATTGCAGCCTAAGAAGAAGGCCAGAGAGGGAAAAGGCAGGTGCTTTTGGCAGAGACCATAAGAGAAACCTGCCAAGGAGCATCCTTGGCAGTGGGAATGTTCTTTCTGCTCTATACTGTGGCCTGCAGGAGGGTTGGAGTGCTCTTCCCACTCCAGCTGACAGCCACACCGTGGCAGCTTGCTGGGCTTTGGGAAGTTTGCTGTGCTTTGGAACAATCACAGGGAATGGCCACAAACCTGCCCGCCTAAGACCCTGAATCCGTACTTGGGTCACATGACTCTCATTTTATTTACAGCTGTGCTCCACACTCAGAAAATTCCCTGGGGTCACCTTCTAGTTGCCCCCATTCCCAGCCTGACTAGAACTCCTGTCTTCTTTCTCCATGGAGCCTACCTCTGTCTGAGACAGGTGCCTAACCTGGGACCTGTGGTCATGTGAGTCTGGGATATTCTTTAGCTTACCTGGGCACAAACAGAATTTTCCATTTATTAAGCAGTACAAATGTTTTTCATCCATTCCTAATCAAATTCTGTCTGGGGACGAAGGGTTGGACGGGATGACCTCCAGAAGTCCCTTCAATTTCTAGTACCTGTGACTCTTAGCCCTCACCACAGCCTTCTAAATTCCCAAATCCTAGACTGCTCCTGGGCATTAGCAAGGCAGAGCCTTTTTACCTGGCCTAGAAAGGGCAAGGGGTGAGGATAGGACAGAGGGATTTTGTTCAAGTTTGCTGCAACCCAAGTGGACGTTAGGCCAGGCCTTATCTGAAAGGCCAGCAGCTGATGCTGTACTAACCCAGTCTTTCTTCACTCTGGCTTCAAAAAGCCACAGCAGAGCATTGTCACCGCAGGTGCTCATGCTGCTCCCCTAAAGCCAGGCTCAGGAGAAGCCAGTGTCTAGGCACTGAGCAGGGATCTGCCCCCTAGTTCAGGTCCAAATTCACCTTCCCCTAAACCCCAAGCTTCCCAACAGATCATATGGTAGGACCCTCGAGAGCCTTACTTCAAAGTGCCTGGGCTCAGCCTGGTTTCTGGGTGCTAGATCCAGCCCAAACCTGGGAAGGCCAGCCTTGTACAGTCTGCTCCTCTTGTTCCTGAAATGTGTTTCCTTTTCAGGAGATGGGGAATAATTTCCTTCAGGCAGCTGAAATTCACCAAGAACAGCGGGTACTTATTTCTCAGCTGTGCCTTCCCTTTCTAAGCAACCACACTGCTTGGCCCTTCAAGGGTCAGGGTGAGACGTGATGGGCTAGGCCTCCGTTGTCTGGTTGCTAATGACAGCCTTGCAACCCAAGGTGAGGTGAACTCCAGGCATGTGTCTGGCCCTAACTCCTATAAAGTGCCTCGGACAGTCCGCAGTTGTAGCAGAAACCAACAAGAACCACTCCTTCATGTTTGGAAAATAATTTCTCTTGTATTATCTCCTTTGAAGAAGGCAAGGCTGATAATATGACAAACATCATTGTTTAGATGAGGCTCAGAGAGGTAGCACTCTCAGAGTGTTTTGACCAGTTTAAGCCGCAGACCTGGAGCTTCAGCCAGGTCTGACTCCAAAGCTGTTCCATTACACCACAGCATTGTGTGGAATTTGAGGTCTAGAGAGAACCAATAAAAGTGGTAATTGGGAACTGAAATCCTTGAGAGTTCCGGGGAGAAACCCAGAGATGCCTGATTTCATTCCTCGATGGTAATACCCGTCCTCTCGGCTGCCAGGGGCTCTGTGGCAAAAAGAGTCAGACATTTCTTTGGAAAACAGCGAACAGCCTTAGAGCTCTTGTGTTCAGAAGAATCTTCCTGGCACAATGTTGGAGCAGCAGGCCTCTGGGACCCACAGAACTTGTGGCCTTTATGTTCTTTCACCCATCCTAGGAACCAGCCAACCATCATGTGTAGAGCCCCTACTGTGGGCAAAGTCCTCCTTTCATTACCCTACAGACAGCTTACAGGAGCCAGCCTGCTTCCCACAACTACTAGTGTGACTCCTTATCTCTTTCCACCATACCTTAGAGACTTTGATACTACCAGGGTCTCTCAGGGATGGAGGGAAGACCTGAAAGAGAGGACTGGTTCTGAGGCCAGAAAGGTGTGAGGAGAGAGGAGGAAAAGTCTTCCTAATTGTGCCCCTAAAGAGCATCCTGATACCATTCTATTCTCCAGACATGGAGGGGATGATAAAGGAAATAGGATCTCCACTGGACCCTTGATTCATTCTGAACCCTCCAAAGGAACTCTAGAGGGCGAGGGATGATGAGGGAAGCAATAGGTAGCTGGGGAGCCCTATTGCTGCTAAGTCATTGGCAAAGTGACAAAGCAATTTACTGATGAGAGAATGTGGAAATAGATGTGCAGTTTGGAATTATGTTGGTGTGAATTTGCCAGAGGACCAATGCTTGCATGGAGAATGGGACGAGGACATTTGTGGGCAAGCAGATGACAGAGGTTTGAAGGAGAATGGCATGGCAGGAGTCTCTGCCAGTTACTTGGGCTTCAACAGCCAAGCTGGCACAAAAGACAGCTGGCGGAGGCTGCTCGGCTACTGGTTACCTGGAGAAGTAGTATTTGCCTATTTCCCCCTTCATCCATCCTGAGCCAAATTTCTTTTGCTGAACAGGAAAGAGCTAGGAACCCTGGAGGTAAACAAAGACTTTGATCCATGTATGAGTGTATGTGTTTATGTAACTTCCTGTGGATGCAAATAGATTCAGAGAAATTTAGAGCTAAAAAGGCCCTTAGAGGGAATCTAGCCCAACCTACATTCCACCCTGTTACTTATGTAGAAACTGAGGCCCAGAGAGGGAAGATGACCTGCCCCAAGTGGTGAGCAAGCACCAACCTCCAGACTCAGCAGAGTGAGGGGGTAAAGCAGTTCCTGTCCCACATGGCCATCTTCTTTCTTCCACCCACAAACTCCAGGCTGGAAGTACTTGGCCCCCTTCAGGAGCCTGGCCAGGCAGGGAGAGAGTAGCTGCAGCCTTCATCAGAACTCTTCCTCCTCCCAAGGCATTCTCCCAGCTCTAGCCTCTGGACTGGAAAGCACAAGACTGGCCCAGTGCCAGCAAGTCCTTAGGCTACTGTAATGCTGCCTCAGGACCCATCCCTGCCTGGAGGCTCCTCTAGGCCCTGTGAGCACAAAGAAGAAAGCTGATTTTTGTCTTTTAATCCATTTCAGGACTCTCTCCAGGAGGGCTCGGGGTGTGTCATTTCTATATTCCTCCAGCTGGGATTGGGGGGTGGGCTTTGTTGTGAGAATGGCCTGGAGCAGGCCCAATGCTGCTTTTGGGGGTCAGCATCCAGTGTGAGATACTGTGTATATAAACTATATATAATGTATATAAACTGGGATGTAAGTTTGTGTAAATTAATGGTTTATTCTTTGCAAATAAAACGCTTTCCCCGTCTGTTCTTGAAATCGGCGTGAGTACTTCCTACATGTTAGGTGCTTCTTTGCAAATGACGCCACACATGAGCTAGGGGAAGGACTAAGGCACCCATTTCAGAGGCAGCAACAGAAGGAAGATGGTCTGAATTTCCTGTTGGAACATCCCACATTCTCTCCATGCCTCAGACCACACTCCCACATCCCCATTACCTTAGGTCAGGGTGTCCAGTCTTTTGGCTTCCCTGGGCCACATTGGAAGAATTGTCTTGGGCCACACATAAAATACACTAACACTAACAATAGCTGATGAGCTAAAAAAAAAAAAAAAAAAAAAAGTCACAAAAAATTCTCATCATGTTTTAAGAAAGTTTATGAATTTGTGTTGGGCCCCATTCAAAGCCATCCTGGCCCACATGTGGCCCGCAGGCCACAGGTTAGACAACCTTGCCTTAGGTCTTCTGTGACTGTGACCACATGACCGGTAGGCTAGATGTCCTGCCAAAAGGAACATTGTCCTGGGGCAGCAATACACAGAACTGACTCACTCTCAGCTTAAGAATGTGGCATCTACAAAAGATACTTCAGGCCTGGGCCCCAAATAGCCTGGGTAGACCCAGCCTCCAGCTCATTTTGCAGATGAGGAAACCAACACTTTAATTTGAATTTAAGTGGCTCACCCAGAGTTACCCAACTAGTAAGTGTGTCAACCTGGTCTGATTCCTTCCCAGCCGAGGCTGCTGTTACCTGGGAAAGTAGTATTTGCCTATTTTCCCCTCCATCCATCCTGAGCCAAAATCAATAAGGAAGAGGCTCACATGAAAAAGACCAGATTGCAGCTCAAGAACACGTAGCTCAAGAGAGGTCTTGCGCTTTTCACAACCCCAGCAGCCTTTCCCCCAGCCCCCCGCCAATCTTTTGGCTTCCCTGGGCCCGCCCCTGTGCCATCGTATAGGTGGAACAATGTGCACACAGCAGACCACGACAAACCTGCAATGGCCAGGTGTGCATGGGCTGGGTGTTGGAGCCCAGGCTGGTCCTATGGCCACCTTAGAGGTTTGTTTGTTTGTTTTTTAAGGAAACCAGTCACAGGAAAGCTACAGACTGTTTAAAAACACTTTATGGAAGCTCAGGGAAAACGTAATCTCTGGCACAAGAAGTAACAAAGACAGCAGAAAAGCAGAAGCATGTCTTTGGCCACTGTATACAAATCATCACATGAGGCAGGCACCCAGGATAGAGGCAGCAGCTCACACTGCAGTAAACACGCAGGATGTTGTAGACCAAATTGACCAACGTAATGCAGGTAAATCACTGGACCAAATGGCACCCACCCAAGAGGGATGGAATGAGAGGGATGTGAGCCAAATTTTGTAGCCTGTCATTGCAACAGCCATTAGACCAAGAGTCTGAGAGACTTGCCATTCAGAAGGAGAGTTCTTTATGGCTGCTAAAAGCCAGGCGCCTCATTTTCATCCTGAGCAGGCTGGCTGACTCTCAAACAAAGGCCAGAATTATAGGGCCACACAAGTATAGGCAAGTTGCTGAGGGAATGACAGAGAAAATTAGGCCTGAGCCCAACCCATTCTGTTACAGCTTTGTGAGGCAGAAACTGAGTGAGGGCTAGTGGGTAGCAGAGGGTATTTCGGGCGTTGTTTGCTCAGGGACAGGAAATGGGTAAAATGGTTGGAGAAGAAAATGGTGTAGCTCTCCAGTTTATAAAGTTCAATCACATCCAATATTGTTTGATCTTCCCAACGGCCTTTGAGGTAAGCAAGAGACAGATTGTTAGTCTCATTTTATAGAAGAAGAAAGGAGGCTCAGAGGTGACTGATTGCCCCAAAGTCACATGGCTTGAAGTTGGTGGAGCTTAAACTCAAAGCCCACTGGCTCTCAAGGCCCCAGTCCTACTCCTGTAGGAAGCAGGACTCAATGCCAGAAGATGGGGCTCAATGCCGGGAGATGGGGCTGTTTGACAGCTAGAGAAGGAGAGACATGCATCCCAGAGCCTTCAAAACAGAGTAGTTGGTGCACACGCAGTTATCAGAAGATGGGCTTTTTATTTTGTCCATTGTTTTCCTCAATGCTGGCACCAAAGTGCCGTCAGGGCACCTCTCCCCTAGGCTCTTCCCTGTTTCTTGGGACTATCTCACCAGTAGCTGCAAAGAAAGGGCAGAAAAGAGCTGGAAGGAAAAAAAAGGAGGTGGGAAAAGGAGTGCAGAAAACAAGCAAATGAACAAACAGCCCCTCCCCATAAGGAGGACTGGTCAAATCAGGAGCGGGAGCCTGATAGGTGACTTTTGTCCTCCTGTTCTCACTGGGTCCATCCATACCTTCCAGCCAGGGTGAAGGCTACTGGGGATGTCTGTCAAATTATCTCCAGCTCCTGGGTCTCTGAGATACCAAACTTGGTCTTATGCTGGTCAAACAGTTTACGTAGGGCATCAATATAGAGTGTGTGATATTTAGCCACGATCTCCTGGCTTGGATTCTCAATCTTGGGCATTGGTAGAGGCTCCCCGACTGCCAGGGGAGACAGTGAAGGAAAAGGGAAAAGCATCAGAATAGCTCATTCCTCAGAATGGGCCCCAGGCTTCAAGCCCAGACTCTTCCCCATCCTCACCTCAAAAAGCTGCCACTCATCCCAGCCAGCCTCCCTGCCTCTGAGCAGAGTCAGAGCTGAGGTTCAGCCTCAGAGCTAGATCCTGTGTCCTAGACTCAGGCTGCCAGCAGAAACGCCCACTCACCGATGGTGGTTACAGGCCGACTATAGGGCAGAAGGCCCCAGGAGTTCTTGGTGAAGCCACGTCCATAGAAAGCACAAGGGTAGATGTGTACCATGCTCTGGAACCACTTCTGGAAGCGGTTGACAAAGCCACCAGGAGTGAAAATGTGCTGATCATAGAGGTCCGTCTCCCCAAAGGCATAGGCAGGTATTAGAGGCACCCTGCAGAGCAAAAGCATATCTTCTGAAGCCCAGAAAGGTAGGGACCTTGTCGAATGCCAGACACGCTGACGGCGCATGATCCCTGGGTCTGCCTACAGGCTTCTCAGACCCCAGTCCAGCTGTGCCTAGGTCCAAGTTGAGTGTGGGGGCTCCATGGCCTACCCCTGGCTGCCTGTGGGAGCAAAGTAGCAGTAAGCTAAAGAAGGAGGCAAGCCCAGACCCTCCTGGGAACCCCTGGGTCTGAAACGCTGGAAAGTAAGACCCAAGGGCCATGCCAGTTGATTTTCTTCACTTTAACACAAGCTAAGCTTGGCTCTCTCTGAGACAGGGTTGTTGCCAGTCCCCTTGTATAGAGGGGCCGGCCCAGATGAGAGGCTGGTGTGAGGGAGAACAGGCTCAGGGCTGGCCCTCTGCCCATTCTGCTTCAGCAGAAATGCCTCCAGGACCTGGCCCCAGCTCTTCAACCCAGAGGTGGCTTTCCTCCTCCCTCTTTTTTTTTTTTAACTTATTTATTTTTTTAATTGACAAATAAAACTTATCTTTCTGATGACCATAGTTCGTAAGAATGTATTGTATACTTCCTCCTCTCTCTGTGGATGTCCTTTCATCAAAACCCCCTCTTCTTCTTTCCCTGCAACACTTTTGGATCCCTTCCGCCAGCCTGGACTGGAGCTGTCCTTACCCATGCTGAAGGGCCATGCGCACAAAGCCAGACCGGTTCTTCAACACCAGGGTAGAAGAACCTGGCAGGCTGTATCTGCACTCAGCCAGTCCACCAATCACCACAATGACCATGTTGCCTGTGCCTTTATGAGTCAGCAGAAAGTCAATGGAGGATCGACTCACAGAGCAGGCCCCTGGTGGATAGAAAAAGCCAAACAGCCACTGGTCACTTCCCAAACCCCTACATTTCCTTTCTACTGCTTCAAAGGAGGGGGAGTGCAAGGAGCCTAACATCAGGCAGGTGAGCCTATGATAGCTGTTTCACACCAGAGGGGATTGGGAGCTGGCCTTGCTCTCACGCATCCCCCTACAATTCTCCCTTGGGGAGCCATTTTTTCTTTGGCTTTGTGTCCTAGGAGCCAACTTACCTGTAGACATTACATATTCTCTGAGGAAAGGCATCCAGAAAAAGGCTCCCAGTGTGAGTATGTAAGGGGTGATGCCAGGAAATATCTTGGAGAAGCCTGAGGCCTCTGTGGCAAAGTGGCCAAACCATCCATGGGCAAAGAGCCCATGAGGGTGGCAGACGAGGATGTAGTTGCGGCTGGGGCAGATGTCATGAGTCTTCAGAAGCTGCGGAAGAAAGTAGAATCAGGAGGGCTATTCCCAGGGTAGAGAACTTCTCTTTTGGGCAGAGATCTGAAAGGAAAAGGACTGCTAGGTCTAGCCATGCAGGTTGCCCAATGTGCAACTCCAGGGGGCGTCATTCTCAAGAGGCTCAATGTGGATGGCGCCCTCCACCCCTAGCCTGACCCAACTGCTAGCACTGAAGTCGGGGCTGGACCTGGGCCTGAGTGGGGACCTGGGGCTACTGACCTTGAGAGGGAAATAATCGCTGTAGTGTTTCCACAGGCGCCAGTGCCTCACACAGGTAAACCGGCGGCCGCCTGAAAACAGAGGCAATGCAGCCAAGCTTTGTCCATTCCCACTGTGGGCCTGCCCCAGGGTGCTCTCACCCCCTGCTGTTTCCTGGCCTCTTAAGTGGCAACCAAGGTGGGCATATCAGGGCAATTTAGGACAGGCCTAGCTTCTGCTTCACTAGCTGCCCCTCCCCTAACCCACTCCAGTTCTGATCTGGGCCTTTCTACCACCTTAAAAGGACCCCTTCCCTCAGCCTCTCTAGCCCAGGGAGGGACAGGCTAAAGGGCTGTCTGGGAATTGGCCAGAGCCTCTCAGGATTGTGATGAGAGAAGGGGAAAGAGCATGTGGCATGTGGCAACACAGCACCAGCAGGATGCTTACCTCGCTGAGGGGTCTTCCAGTCAAAAGCCAGCCAGGTAAGAATAAGCACAGTGACAGGCCAGTATGGTGTGAACACCACCAGGTAGAGGTTGACAGCAATCACAGTGGTTGCTGCAGGAAGCCCAGACCAGAGTTAATGAATTTCAAGCAGTCCCTCACACTTACCCTCTCTCCGGAGTTCTGTCCACCCCAAGGTCACGTGCACTCTCTCTCACCCATACCCACTCAACACTCTCACTTCTTCACCCCAGCACCTGGCCCATCTGCCCATGTTCCCAGCCCCCTCTTCTATCTGGCCTTGGGAACCCGATTCAGGTCTAGAAGGGAAGGTGTCTTCTTCCCCAGCTGAGCTGAATTCACACTGTAAGCCCTCTCCTCTCTGGGCCCTGCTCCAGCACTGCACTGGGCTCTGCCTGCAGTGTGGTCAATGGCAGTGAGCCAGCGGTGGGCCACCAGAGGTGGGGAATCCTGGAACAGTTTTCCTCCAATTCACGTCCTCCTCTCCAAATCTTCTCTCTGAGGCATTAGTTAAGGGAATACCAGGGAAAGCAAAGACCCATCTTCAGCCCAGTTGGGAGCACACCAGATGGCAAACAAAGAAAAATACAAACCAGAATAGAATAAGGTACTGGGCTGTATTAAGTTCCAGTAAGATAGGAACACTGTAGGTTAGCATGGTTAGGAAGAGTTACTAGAGATGAGTCATAGGGAGCCACACTCAGAATTACTACTGGACTCAGTTTTTAAGGCAGCTGTAGTAAGATTATTTGGGAAAGTGGGTCAGTAAAAGGTTAGAAAAGACAGAGAACATTTCTAATTGAACATTGCAGATTGAACACAAGGTTTTGCCTTGACTTCTTGCTGGAGCTCCATGAAAATTATCATTAAAATGTTTTTTAAAGTGTAGATCCACAAGGAGAAAGAGAATTAATGAGATGCCAACAGCAGATAAGAGATATTAGCAAAACATTTCCATGTAGGAAAGCAGATGGAAGAGTGGGTAACTGACTTAGAACAAAAAAATTAAAATCTAGTTACCTGCAAGGGGGATGCCTACAAGATGTGAGCCTATTTGCACTGGAGGATCTAGGAAAGACTCAGAATTTGGAGGCATCAGGTGCCACAAGAGGCAGGGATGAGGCACAGGGCTAGAAAAACTGGAGGATTGGTTGAAAGTCTGCCAAGGAATTAGAACCCCAGGTTCCCTCTCCTCCCCTACACAACTGGATGATGGGAGGATTGTTCCCCAAAAAATTGAACCAAACAGACTCTAGACTCAAATACTTACACTAGACACAGCTAAGATATTATATATGCAGCCAAATTATTAATCAAGTATAGAAGTGGAATAAAGGTAATTTCAGATGCACACCGTCTCAGATAATTGGTCTCCCATGCTCCTGTCTCAGAAAACTACTGGAGAATGTGCTTCACCAAAATGAGGGAGTAAACCAAGAAAGAGGAAGGCATAGAATCCAGGAAAAAAAGGACCCAACAAAGGAGGGCAGCAAGCAGGGCCAGGGATAGGGAGAGGTGAGCAAGGTGCCCAGGGCACAACATTGAGCAAGACACTAACTCTCAGGTCATGCATGTACTGGCCCATCACTTGCACAGCCCTGAGAGTGAGCAGCTTCTTAAATTTTGCACCCAAGGTGTCTCAAGGGCCCTGGAGGTGACAGCTGTGCATGAGGCCAAATTGTAACAGGAAGATACCAGGCTCCAGCAGCGATGTTCTAAAGGAAATAAAAGGATGGGGGGACTTAGATTCTTGTTGCATTTGCCCGTACTGAGAGATTGACAGGTCTGCACAGATTCAGAGGGTGAATTCATGATAACTAATAGATTTCTAATAGATAATAAAAGAAATGTAAAATGAAGCAATTAACTACAATTCATTTCAGTTTACGGTATGAGTAAGGCTACAACTAGACTTTCTGAATGAAATGAATGATTTTTCTAATACTTTGTGGTAAGAAACCCACCCCCTATATGGCTTTAGGATGCTTCACTATGAAATGTTAAATTTGTGTGTCTGTTTCAAGACCACTGTACTCAATTTTTTTTTTTTTTTTGGACAGGGTCTCACTCTGTCACCTAGGTTGGAGTGCAGTGCCATGATCTCAGCTCACTGCAACTTCCGCCTCCCGGGTTCAAGCAGTTCTTGTGCCTCAACCTCCCCAGTAGCTAGGATTACAGGTGCACGCCACCATGCCTGGCTGATTTTTGTATCTTTAGCAGAGATGGGGTTTCACCATGTTGGCCAGGCTGGTCTCAAACTCCTGACCTCAAGTGATCCACCCACCTCAGCCTCCCAAAGTGCTAGGATTATAGACGTGAGCCGCCGCCACCGACCTGTACTCAATAATTTTATCTGTGAATTCTAGAGTCTGTGAAGCTTTTTATGTAACAGTTTTCTACCCAATATTTAATAGGGAGCATTCACAACTGTGCTTCCTCTTTTCTAGTCTCAACGGTTTCTTTTTCCAGAAAAACTTTGAAATTATTTTGTCAAATTGCAATGATGATACTTCTAGGATTGGAATTAGGTATTTTTAATCCTTATGTTAAGTAGAAAAAGTTTTATTTCTATAAAATATTTAGTACTTAAGATTCAAAAATTGATTTTAAAATATTACACTAAAAAATAAAATAATAAAATAAAATGAGGCAATTATTAACTTCAGGGAAAACAGGAAATTCCATGGGAAAGGAAATATAATCTTGGTGACTAAATAGCTCAATTATGAATCATATTTTCTAGTCATAGGCATTTAACCAAAACCTGTGCTATAACAATTTTGGGAGGATGGGGGAAGAGGAAGTTCTAGTGATAGTGTGCACAGCCAAATTCTCATCTTCCATATTAGGAAGTCAATAGACAATGTCTAAAATTGTTACATCAGCAAATAATAAGATTTAGAAATATGGAAGTAAATTCCAGAAGAAAGAACCAACAAAGTTGAAAAGCACTGCCTTGGGAAAGAGAATTAAGGGTAGAGCAAAGGCCAGCAGTTCTAGGGTTTTGATAAGTGCCATATGACACTACTGACTTCTTTGAGAAGTAAAGAGAGGCATTGGGTCTGATCCAGAGGACACCTCCCAGTTTCCTTTAGGCTCTGCTCAAACCTAGGCAGTGCTGGGGACATCTTGTAAGCGTGGCCTCAGGTGGGGTGCCCTGTGATGTGATGAATCTTGGATCTGCCACTTACTGTGTGTGACCAAAGACGTTGCTGAACCTCAGTTCCTCATCTGCAAGATGGGAACTAAAATACCAATATCTGCACTATTTCCCTCACTTATTGGGAGGGCCTTCTCTCAAGGCCTTTAGGGTCCGGATGGATTCAATTGCACTCCTAGAGTGAAGAGCTGAGAGGCCTCCGAAGGGCCATTGCCCCACTTGCCCTATGTGAACTAGTGAGGAAGGGGCAAACGCCTGCAGCCCATATCTGCTGCCAGGACCGAGAGCTCTTCTGCCTGCCCTCTCTGTACCTCTTAGTATACCCCGAAGTCAAACTCCAGTTAAGAGTCCTCTGAGTCCATTTTGTCCCTGGACTCATCCCCTTTCAGCCACTCTCCTCCTTAACCCTTCTCTGCCCCACCTGCCCCCCTGCCAGCTCACACTGGGACCTGATCCCTCAGTCTTGCTTCCTCCATTTCTCCCGTGCCCCCACCCCCCATCTTCAAGTCCTATTCATTCTACTCCAATTTCTTGAATCTCCCCTCTTCTTTCCTCTTCTCTGCATCACCATCACTACCGGCCTGGTCCAAATTACCGCCATCTGGATTATTGCAACAGCCTCCTACCTGGCATTGCCCCTTCCACTTCTATCTTCCTATAATCAGTTGACTTCACAGAGCTAGAGTAATCTCTGATGCCATCACCCTGTGTCAGTCTCCCTCATGGCTCCACATGGCTCTCAAAAAAAGTCCAAACTCCTTCCCATGGTTTACAAAGCCCTACACAATCTGTCCCCTGCCTGTTTCTCCAGTCTCTTCCTTCTTCCCTCTCTTGTTTGTTCATTCATTCATTCAATAAATATATATCGAGCACCAATTCTGTGCTTCTCACCCTCCACCTCACTTAACCACTGGCAGCTCCTTGAATGCATTATGTGCCCTTTGCCATCCTAGCTTTTCCATGTGTTGCCCACTCTCTGCCCCAAATGCTCTTCCTTTCTTCACCTATTTCCTATTTGTCCTTCAAGAGTCAACTCAAATTCAAGAGAAAAATGGGCAGAGGTCATAAATGGGCAGTTAACAGAAAAAGAAATACTAATTGCTGATAAACATGAAAAGATGCTCAAACTCATCAGTAATTAAGGACGTTCAAAATGAGGCGACAGCTCATGGTTTCTTGCCTATCACTTCTGGGTGGAGGTAGTAAGGACTGTGAATGAGTTCTCCATTCACTTTCCCTCCCATGCTGTGGTAATCCCTCAAGCCCCATTTTGCAGCGACACAATTTGGTGGTGCCTCCGTCAGCCTGAATATCAATGTCCACAGTGAGCGGTGACTCCCACCAACCTATGTTGGACATTCAGCATGAACAAGAAATAAACATTTGCTGGGTTAAGCCACTGAGATTTCAGGGTGAATTTATCAGCACGGCATACCTAGACCATCCTGATTAATACACCCTGAATGCTCCCACTTTGCAAATGAGGAAAACAAGACTCAGAAAGGATAAATACCTTGCTAAGAATTACACAGATAGTAAGTAGTAGAACTGGAATTTGAAAACAGGTGAGGTGAGGTAAGGAATGCCCACCCTTCCTATTCACTGGCGTGCCTCTGTGCCAGCTCTGTGCACCAAGGCCTATCTGCATTCTTTATTCCTAGATAGCTTGCAAGGTCACTTAATTCATTTCCCTGACTCCAGCCAGTACTCACCTGAACCACTGGAAAGGCAAGAATGTTTTCCAGGACCCCTTCCCACAGTGATGATTTGTTTCAGCATTTAGAACACAGTGGCCAGCATAGAAATAACTTTCACAAAGTGTTTGTAGTGTAAGCGTTGGAAGACATGGATGGATAAATTGTCGAATTCCTCAGGATGAGGTTTCCAGAGCCTCGGTCTGCCACCTGACCCAACTATCTCTAATTGGTGGTTTGCTTGAGTCCCTGTGATTGCAGCCAAGCCCTTTTCCTTGGCTAGCCTCAGTGGAACTGCTCCTCATCTTCCCAAAGAATGCCCTCTACACCCCAATGTAGACCGAGAAGGGCTCACACCTGCAGCAAAGTCCATGTGCATAGACGTGCATATACACACCCCTGCATAGGCACACACCCATATGCACACACACATGCCCACAGGGACACTCACAGATCCCACAAATACCATGGCCAGGTGGGTCAGGCCAGAGGCTGGTGTTACCAACCTTCCTGGTTTTACTGGAACAACCCTAGTTTGACCATTGAACATCCTGCAACCCTAAAATCCTTCAGTCTCAGGCAAGCCAGGATGGTTGGTCACCCTACCAAAGGCTGAAGACTCACTGATAAGCAAGGCACTGAAGGACCACTGGAAAACAGCAAAGACATCCAGGGCAGTCTTGAGGTCCTTCTTAGAGGGCAAGAGCATTGTGCCCAGCGTCCCAGTGGCTCCAGGTAAGCACTGTTCAGCTGCCCAGCCCTGATTGCTCAGGAGTCTGTGATGTTTCCTCTCTTAATGTTTTCTTCCCCAGCCTCTGGCTAGCCTCCGCCCCTGTACCACCCCTCCACAGAATTACAGGACCATATAATGCCTCTGCTTATCCAGTTCCTTCCAGCTGCCCACTCACCTGTACTTTTACCCACTTGGGTATTGCCTGGACTGAGATTGTGACACTCCTTTGCGCACTTGGCTAGAGAAATGTGATGAAACCCTGGTGTGAAAGTTAGTGTGGGCGTGCAGCTGACAAGAGGCCTCCAGGGCCAGTCTGGATGGTGGAGAGTGATGGGCAGGAAGGAGCCCAGGGCTCAAATGGGACACAGGGCTTGCATTTCTGTTTCTGAGGCCCAACTGTCTATGGTCTCTCAGTGACAATGGGATTGGAGGGCAGAGGGAAGGAGGTCACAGGCAAGGCCTTAGAAATACCTTCAGCCTTTTAGTCAGTCTGGGAGAACTCATTACTCACATTGAAGAGACATCACATGTATGTCTGTGAGCTATCATAGGTACTGAATAAACCTATTATTGAATGAAGAAACAAATATTGGTGTATATTATTCTGTGTACATGAAATTTTAGAATAGGCAAAACCAATCTATAGTGAAACAAATCACAGCAGTGGTTACCTGTGCTTGGGGATTGACTAGGAAGGGGCATGATGGAAACCTTTAGGGGTAACAGTGACGTTCTCTGTCTTGATAGGACTGTGAGTTACACAGATCAAAACCTCATTACTCAGTGAGTATACACTTAAAATGTGTACGTTTCACTGCCTGTGGATTTTACCTCGAAAGTAAAAAAAAAAAGTTGAACTCTCATTAATTCTGAAGTGTTTAGGGGTGAAGAATACTAGGCTGGGCATGGTAGCTCACACCTGTAATCCCAGCACTTTGGGAGGCCAAGGCAGGAGGATCACTTGAGGCCAGGAATTAGAGATTACAGTGAGCTATGACCGTGCCACTGCACTCCAGCCTGGATGACAGAGTGAGACACTGTCTCTAAAAAAACAAAACAAAAAAGAGTGCTGATGTCTGCAATTTACTTTGAAATGCATGTAAAATATATTGATGGATGGATACAGGGATGTACTGATGGATAAATATGTAATAAATCAAACAAAGATTGATTTATTAAATCTAGTAAAATATATAAATATTTTATATTTTTAATATTTTAATATTTTTTATATTTTAATATATTTTTATATATTAATATTTATATATAATATATTAAATATATTTTTATATTTTAATATTTTATATTTTATATTTCTGTACAGATAACATAAAATATTATCTGTACAATCTAGGTGGTGGGTATTCACTGTACAATTCTTTCAACTACTCGGTAGGTTTGAATTTTTTTATAATAGAATTTTGAAAAAAGAGTTCCCTCAAGGTCATACTTTGGGAGGCCGAGGCAGGCAGATCACCTGAGGTCGGGAGTTCGAAACCAGCCTGACCAACATGGAGAAACCCCATCTCTACTGAAAAATACACAATTAGCCGGGCGTGGTGGCACATGCCTGTAATCCCAGCTACTCAGGAGGCTGAGGCAGGAGAATCGCTTGAACCCAGGAGATGGAAGCTGTGGTGAGCTGAGATCGCACCATTGCACTCCAGCCTAGGCAACGGGAGCAAAACTCTGTCTCAAAAAAAAAAAGTAGTGGCTCGCTCCTGTAATCCCAGCATTTTGGGAGGCCAAGGTGGGTGGATCACATGAGGCCAGGAATTCGAGACCAGCCTGGCCAATATGGCGACACCCCATCTCTACTAAAAATACAAAAAATTAGCCGGACATGGTGGCGTGTGCCTATAATCCCAACTACTCTGGAGGATGAGGCATGAGAATCACTTGAACCCGGGAGGCAGAGGTTGCAGTAAGCTGAGATCATGCCACTGCACTCCAGCCTGGGCAACAGAGCAAGACTCTGTCTCAAACAAACAAAAAAAGAAGAAATTTTACAAATATGATTTTTTTCATGCACATACATGTGCACATGTGGTCTTTGCCTGTGAGTATATATGTACAAAGGGAAATACGTATCTAGTTGTCAACACATATTTATATATGCACATTAGTAGGTGGCACCTCCAAGTCTGTGTGTGATGGGAGATATGCGAGTGTGAAAGATACCAAGTCCAGCCAGGTGTGTCCTATGGGCCAAATACATGGAAGGGTGGAAGACTGGAAGGGTGGAAGACTGGAAGGGTGTCTTAACACAACATCTAATTATTATGAGGACATAATATATGCCAGGCACTCTTCTGGGCAGCAAAACAAACTAAAAAAAAATCATGCTTTTGTGAAGTTTATATTCTGGTGGAGGAAGACAAATGATAGAAATTAATTAATTAACTAATTCTATAGTGCATTCTAAGGTGATAAAACCTACGGGGAAAAAACATTTGAGCAGAGTAAGAAGAACGCAGAGTGCTGGGAGGTGGGAAGGGATCAGGCAGGGAGAGCAGGCTTTACAATTTTAAAAGGAGTGATCAGGGAAGGCCACGCTGAGAAGGTGGCATTTGAGCAAAGGCTTGAAGGAGATGAGGAAGCAAGCAGTGTGGCAATTTGGATTGAGAATGTTCTAGGCAATAGAAACAGTAAGGGCACACAATCCCTGGAATAAGGTGTCCCTGGCAGGTCACGAGGAGCAGCAAGAAGGCTTGAATCAAGTGAATGAGAAGAACTGAGTAGGTGAGGGCAGAGAGCAGAGAGCCTGGCAAAGACCTTCTACTCTGACCGAAATGGAGAGCCCCTGTAGGGCTTTGAGCAGAGAAGAGCCAGAATGACTTAAGTTGCTAAAGGGTAGGGAAGAAGGAGGAGACCTTTGAGGGGCTATGACAATAATCCCCTGTGAGAGATAACAGTGCCTCACACCAGGCTGGGTGGCAGTGGAGATGGAGAGAAGTAGTTGGATTCTCCGTGAACACAGAATTCCACAAAAGACCGTTTGGCAGAAGGGTTGGAGTTGGGGGTGAGGCAGAGGAAGAACATTCTGTATGGCCCTGTGGGAAGGATCTGCACTTCCCTGCCAAGGAGAAGCCACCTCAGCACAGCTGGGCTTGGGCTGTGGGCCAAGTGCATGGAGTCCCAGGACACTTCCAGGGGCCAGCACCCAAGCAGCGAGTGAAGACCGCAGCAGCCTGAAAAGAGAGGAAGAGCTGCCTACCAAAGAAGAAAGCCTGGGGCTGAAAGGCCACTTCACTCCCTCCACTGAGACACTCCTGAGACAGGCCTCATTCGTATCAAGCCTGGCCTTGCGGAACTGTGTTGTCCCCACCTCTTCACACATCTGTCCCCTGCCCCTGATGCCTCACTCTCCCGTCTTGGTCTGGGAGCTCTCAGGGGCAGGAATTGGGTGGTTCTGGGTCTGACTGTTCTCACGTGCCCAGCCCCTAACACAGGCCACACAGTAGCCACTCACTGACAATTGTTATGAAGATGCCTGAGTGGATGGAGGCCTGGCCCGTATGGCACTGGGCAAGTCTCTGAGGCTTGGTTTCCTCACTTCTAAATAGGAGATAACTAGTGGTCACTCAGACATGTGAGAATCCAGAGAAGTAACAGATGGCCGATCACTTTGTGAACCGTGAAATGGTGTCCAAACATAGGTTGCCACCATTGCTGCCATTGAGAGAAGGGGTGGGAAGGATACAGTGGGGCACTGAGAAGTGAAGGCCCAGAGCTAAACTGAATTTGTCCCAGAATGGGCTTCCCTCCAACAGCGTCGCTGTGGAGAAAGAATGGCAGAAATTCTGGAGCAGAAGCCATGGCAGTGTGAACGTTTTGGACATTTTGGAAGCCCTGCCTTCTCGTCCACAGAAAGAAGGCCGTGTACCTAGCTGATGCATCTGCATGCATCCCCTCATCCTAATACCAAACAGAGAAGTGGTCAAGATTGTGTGGGTGCTTCCAGTCCTCAGTCTTATCCCCCTCCACCATCTCTCCACTCTATCCTTACAACATGCCTGGACTTTCTGAGGCTCACAGATGGTCAGAGCTGGAAAGGTTCTTGGAGTTTTCCATTAATAATAATTCCAAGCAACTCAGGGGAAGACTCTCCATAGCTTTCATTGAGCCCCCTGCCAGTGAAATATTTCTTCATGCTCTCAGACCCAGGCTCAAACCCCACTGGTCCTACTCTCTAGGCTCCTGGAAACAGATGAAAAATAAAGCCAGTCATTCTTCCTTTACATAGCAGTTTTTACTCTGCCCAGGTAGAGTTGTCGGATAAAATAACAGGATGCCAGTTAAATTGGAATTTCAGATAAACCATGAACAATGTTTGAGTGTAATATTTGGGACATACTTACACTAAAACATTATTGCATGGGACATACTTCTACTCAAATATTATTTGTTGTCCATCTGAAACTCAAATTTAACCAGGTTCTGTACTTTTATTTGCTAAATCTGGCAACCCTAGGATCAGACCAGGATCATGTGGTCAAAGCAGTTGGCACACCCTGGCAGCCACAGCCAGGCCTTGTCTGGCACATCCAGATAGCAGACCCCATTCAGTGGCTCACGAAGTCTGAATGTCACCCCCAGTTTCTCAGCTGCCCCAGAAATCAGGCTAGCCTCCATCCCCTGCACTTAACGGCTTACTCAGATTCTTCCAGCAGAGTCCCCACTGTGCTGAGGGATATTTCCTGCATGCCCGGCACCCACTGCCAGCCCACCCATCTCTTCTGAAGGGAGGTGGCCTGCTGGTCAGCGATTTTATGTATTCTGGCTCAAGTTCCAGTTCTCGCTTTCTCTCATTTAGCAAACTAAGAATGATCAGGGGATGAGAGCCTGCCTAAGAAACCAAAGCAGGACATTAGTGATGGAAGGCAAAAAAAAAATCAAGCATGATAGTTTGAAAGTGCCAGAGTGGGCCTCTTCTGACTCAGAGGATTGGAGATGGTCACTGTCCTCTGCTCTGGTGGGTAACATGTACCTTTCCTGTTTCCAAAGGACTCCTGGGATTGGCAGCTTTCACATGGCCACTTTTTCCCAAACATTGACATTCACCTCCAACCTCATGCCACTGGCGACAGTAACAAGTCTCAAACTCTCCCAGGAATGCTTATATAATCCTTCAGCAGATGTGGAAAGGGAACAGAAGAAGCTTCTGTGTGTACATGGACCATTGCTGAGGAGGGACAGAGGGAGAAAAGAGGCTAGAACGCTAATCAAGAGCAAGACTAGGAATCTCTCTTCCAAAGGTCAGCTTCAATTTTGTATGTAGTTCTGTAGTTGCTTCTTTTTTTTTTTTTTTTTTTTTTGAGACGGAATCTCTCTCTGTCACCCAGGCTGGAGTGCAGTGGCGCGATCTCGGCTCACTGCAACCTCCGCCTCCCGGGTTCACGCCATTCTCCTGCCTCAGCCTCCGGAGTAGCTGGGACTACAGGTGCCCCCCACCACACCCGGCCAATTTTTTGTATTTTTAGTAGAGACGGGGTTTCACCATGTTAGCCAGGATGGTCTCAATCTCCTGACCTTGTGATCCGCCCGCCTCGGCCTCCCAAATGTAGTTGTTTCTTTTTAATCTGTCTTCTCCTACTTGGCTGTATGCTCCTTGAGATTAGGAGTCTCTATTTTGTTCATTGTTACATCCTAAGTGCCTAGAACAGTGCCTGGAACATTGCAGGGCTGATAAATGGTGGCTGAATGACTGATTGAATGAATGAGCAAAGGGGGTTGGCGTAGGAGGAGGATCAGCGTAGGAGGAGGGTCAGGAACAAGGTTAAAGCAGCACAGAAACCAGGCCTGAACAGAGCAGGAAGCTCATGTGGCCCCAGAGCCTTAAAGGACAGTGGGAGGATGAAGAAAGAGTAAATCCACAGTGATCTACTCAAAAGCCTTCAGTGAGGTTGCCTCCTTGTTGCCCAGTCTGCTGTATCGCCTGACTCACACTCCAACACCTACAATCCGGTGATATAATCCTTCATAGGCAAGTTCTAGGAAGACAGTTATTCTCTAGATGCCCAGGAACTGTAAGCCCAGGACAAGATGGGATGATTTCCTCACATCCTCTCTCTTTAGACTGAAATAACACCATGTGCTATTGTGTCTAGTTAGGAGAACTTGGTTATATTGTCTTATGTTTGACAATTTCTCAACAGCCCTTGAGCTCACTGGAAACTTCCCTCTGATGTAGGCTAGAAACTCAATCCAGACAGACACTTAGGGACCATTAAGCTCTGAACTAATGAGGGTCCTGATTACCATGGAAACTGCCATCTCTGGTTACCTGTGAAGGGGAGAAGAAATAAGGGTAAAGGGTGGATGTGGGGATACAGAATGGGGAACAGGAGTTGGGAGGTAGGGACTGAGGTATGGTAGAGTGAAGAAACTGCAATTTATTCCTGGCCTCTGGTGCCAGGCACTGAGCACTGCATTTCACATGCATTTGATCATCACACCCCCCGGGAAGTTACGCACTCATTCTCTTCTCCACCCACCTCGCTGACTGGCAAAGCATAACCATTAATTAACAAGATGGCCTATCACCATTCCTAGTGCTTATTATTGGAAGAGGTAACCTTGAACTCCCTGCCATCTAATCCTCATCAAAAGCCACTTGTGAGAAATGATATTCATAGAGAGATGCTTGAAGAGCAGGCAGCTCATCTATTGCTGGAGACACGTGACTTTAAAAGGCAAGGCCTGTGCTTCGGAAGTTGGATCATAATCTCCAGATGGGAAAGTGTGTGTTGGGGGAGTAGGCTTCAGTTCAGAGCTGGAAAAGGCACATTCGATATTATAATAACTATGGTTTCCTTAACACAAACTACAGACAGGAAAGCTCAACATTTGCAAAGCTGGTTTTTCTGCACTTCAGGCCACAAAAACAAACCCACACAATGGGATTTGACATTCAGAGGGACCTGTCATTCCTTCTGCAGAATCTGAAAAAGCTATCTTGATTGCAGCAAACAAGCAGACTCTACATGACCATTGCTATCACACTATCAAAGTCCAAAAGATGTCTCTTTCAGGATCAGCATAATGGTTTTCTAAAATTATAATTGCTTTGATTCATTTTAAGTCACAGTATTTAATTTCTTTGAAACATGCAAATGCCAGTAAGGGAGAGTGTGAAATAGTTCCATTTATTTCAAATAAGATAGGAGAAGATAGAATAGACATCCTTTGCCCTATTCCTCTTGCTATTACAACTAAAAACTCTGGATATCATATACAAAACAAACACAAGACTCCAAAAAGTGGAAAGAAGGCAGACCACATAGGGTCTTCAGGACAGGAGGAATGACATGAATTTTCTTTTTGATTCATATATCTTAGACTTGAAGTTAAAGAAGCCAACAACCAAAAATACACTAACAGCCATAGACAAAAAGAGTCCCTATAAAAGCCTGTTTTCTCCAGCCAAGGGATTAGGAATGAATTAGCCTAGCAAGACAGAAAAGTTTTAGACAATAATCACTCTATGCCAGCCATAACCAGAGAAAAAAACAACTGTGGCCCCACCCCCACCAGCAAAGACTGAGTGGGGAGACTAGACTTCCAATAATGATCAAAGGATGGATATACCAAGAAGATACAAAGATCCTAAAATGTGTAGGATTTGCAACAGAGGTGCAAAATATGAAAAGCTAAGCCTGATAGAGCTGAAAGGAGAAATAGAAAAGGCTACAATTACAGTCAGAGACTTCAAAACTCCTCTCTCAACAATAAACATAAGAATTAGACAGAAAATCAGCAAGATATAAAAGAATTGAACAACATCATGAACCACTGGGATCTAAACAACATTTTTAGAGCACTCCACCCAACAGGAGCAAAACATGAATTCTTTAAAGTGCCCATGGAACATATATTAAGATAGGCCATACTCTGGGCCATAAACTAAACAAACCCTAACAAATTTAAATGAATTGAAATCATATACAAATGTGTTCTCTAACCACAAAGGAATCTGTGTTAGGCTATTCTTGCATAGCTATATATAAAGAAATACCGGCTGGGCCAGGAGCGGTAGCTCATGCCTGTAATCCCAGCACCTTGGGAGGCGGAGGCGGGTGGATTACTTGAGGTCAGGAGCTCAAGACCAGCCTGGCCAACATGGCGAAAACCTATCTCTACTAAAAATACAAAAATTAGCTGCTAGAGGCTGAGGCAGGAGAATCACTTGAAGCCAGGACGCAGAGGTTGCAGTGAGCCGAGATCACGCCATTGCACTCTAGCCTGGGTGACAGAGCGAGACTGTCTCAAAAAGAAAAAAAAAGGAAAAATACCTGAGATTGGGTAAGTTATAAACAAAAGAGAAAAGAGGTTTAATTGGCTCATGGTTCTGATGGCTGTACAGGAAGCATAGCAGCTTCTGCTTTTTAGGGAGATCTCAGGACACTTCCAATCATGGAGGAAGGAGCAAGAAAGAGATGAGGGGAGGTGCCACACACTTTTGAACAACTAGATTTCACAGGAACTCACTCACAATCTCAAGGACAGTACCAAGAGGATGGTGCTAAACCACTCATGAGAAATCTGCCCCCCATGATCCAATCACCTCCCACAGGCCCCGCCTCCAACAGAGGGTATTACAATTCAACATGAGGTTTGGGCAGGGACACAGACCCAAACCATATCAGAATCAAAGTAGAAATCATTAATAGATAACAGGAAAACCTACAAACACTTGGAAGCTAATAACTCACTTGTAAATAATCCATGGGCCAAAAAGTCTCAAGGAAAACCAAAAAGTACATTGAACTGAAGGATAATGAAAACTAAACATATCAAAACATGGGAGAACCAGTTAAAGTAGTACTGAGAAGGAAGTTTATATCACTAAGCGTATACTTTGGAAAAAGAGAAAAAGTCTGAAAGCAATTATTCAAGCTCCCACCTCAAGAACCTAGCAAAAGAAGAGCAAACTAAACCCAAAGCAAGCAGAAGGAAGAATATAATAAATAGCATAAACTAATGAAATCTAAAACAGAAAATCAATGGGGAAAATCAATAAGACAACATGCTAGTTCTTTGAAAAGATCAATAAAATTGACAAATCTTTAGCAAGACTGACAAAGAACAAAAGAGGAAACACAAATTACCAATAAAGCAGGGAATACCACTATAAATCCTCCCAACATCAAACAATAAAAATGGAATACTACAAATAATTCTGCACACATAAATTTGACTACTCAGAATAAATGGACCAATTCCTCAAAAAACACAAGCTACCAAAATTCACTCAATATGAAATATATAATTTGATTAGTCCTATTAAGGAAAACTTTTTTTTAATTTTAAAACTCCCAAGAAAGTGATCTCTTGGCCCTGATGGTTTCACTGGAGAATCCTATCAAATGTTTAAAGAAGAATTATTACTGATTTTACACAATCTCTTTCCAAAAAAATAGAAGAGGAAGGAACACTTCCCTCCTCTTCTTGTGAAGTTAGTATTTACCCTGACACTAAAACTAAACAAAACAGTACCAAAAAAGAAAACTGCAGACCAATACCTCTCATGAACATAGATTTTTTTTAATCCTTTTTTAAATTACCAAAAGAATTCCTCAACATATAAAAATAATGATAAACTATGACCAAATCAGGTTGATTTCTGAAATGCAAGACTAGCTTAATACTTAAAAATCAATCACTATAGTCTATCATATTAATAGGTTATAGAAGAAAAATCATATTGGCATATCAATACAGAAAAAACATTGACAACATTTAATACCCATTCATGTCAAAAACTCTCAGAAAAATAGGAATAGATGGGAAAGGCCTCAACTAGATAAATAACATTTACAAAATCCTACAGCTAACATCATACTTATCAGTGAAAGATGAAATTCTTTTCCTCCTAAAATCAAGATCAAAACAAGGATGTCTGCCCTTGCCACTCTTATCCAACATAGTGCTGGAAGTTCTAATCAGCACTATAAGGCAAGAAAAGGAAATAAAAGACATACTTACTGGAAAGGATGAAATAAAACTGTCCCTATTCACAGATGACATGATTGCCTACATAGAAAATTCCAAGGAATCAAGGGGGGAAAAAACCTCCTAGAAATAATTAGCTAGTTAAGCAAGGTCACAGAACACAAGATAAACAAAAAAAGTCAATTGTATTTTTATATACTAGCAATGACCATGTGAACATTGTAAATGTTCACATTATAAAAATACAATACCATTTACAATCACTCAAAAAAAGAGAAATGCTTAAGTGTAAATCTAACAAAATATGCACAGGATTTATATGCTGAAAATCATGCAGTGTCACTGAAAGAAATCAATGAAGATCTACGTAAATGGAGATACATACCCAGGTGTTCAAGGACTGGAAGACTCAACATAGTAAAGATGTCAATTCTCCCCAAATTGATATTCAGCTTGAACACGATTCCTACAAAAATCCTGGCCAGGCGCGGTGGCTCACGCCTGTAATCTCAGCATTTTGGGAGGCTGAGGTGAGAGGCTCGCTTGAGCCCAGGAGTTCGAAACCAGCCTGAGCAACATAGTGAGGCCCCGTTTCTACAAAAAGTAAAAAAAAAAAAAAAAAAAAAAAAGTTAGCTGGATATGGTGGTGTGTGTAGTCATCCCGGCACTTTGAGAGGCCAAGGCAGGGGGATCGCTTGAACTCAGGAGTTCAAGACCAGCCTGGCCAACATGGTGAAACCCTGTCTCTACTAAAAATACAAAAAGTATCCGGGTGTGGTGGTGTGCGCCTGTAGTCCCAGCTACTCAGGAGGCTGAGACATGAGACTTGCTTGAACCCAGAAGCTGGAGGCTGCAGTGAGCCGAGATCATGCCACTGCACTCCAGCCTGGGTGACAGAGCAAGACTCCGTCTCAAAAAAAAAAAGAAAAAAAAAGGAAGGAAGGAAACCAAGGAAGGAAGAAGAAAGAGAGTAAGAGAGAGAGAGAGAGGAAGAAAGAGAGTGAGAGAGAGAGAAAGAAAATAGGCAAATGAAGGGCTGAGCATGGTGTCTCACATCTGTAATCCCAGCACTTTGGAAGGCAGAGGTGGAGGACCACTTGAGCCCAGACTGGAGTGCAGTGCCGCTATCTTGGCTCACTACAACTTCTGCTTCCCAGGCTCAAGCTATCCTCCCACCTCAGCCCCCAGGAGTAGTTGGGACTACAGGCACACACCACCACACCTGGCTAATTTTTGTATTTCTAGTAGAGTTAGGGCTTCACCATGTTGCCCAGGCTGGTCTGGAACTCCTGACCTCAAGACATCCTCCCACCTTGGCCTCCCAAAGTGCTGGGATTACAGGCGTGAGCCACCGCATCTGGCAAAAAAAAAAAAAAAAAAAAAATTCCCCAAAATTAGCCAAGTATGGTGGTGCCTGTAGTCCCAGCTACTCAGGATGTTGAGGCAGGAGGATCACCTGAGCCTGAGCCCAGGAGTTTGAGGCTGCAATGAGCCATGATCACGCCACTGCATTCCACCCTCGGTGACAGAGCTAGACTCCACCCCCCCCAAAAAAAAGAGAGAGAAAATAGGCAAATGACATAAACATTTTACTGAAAAGGATATGGCATAGATGACAAATGAGCACATGAAAAAAGGAACATCATTAGCCATCAGGGAACTTCACACTTATCAAAATGGCTAAAATAAAAACTTGTGACTGGGCACAGTGGCTCATGCCAGCACTTTGGGAGGCCGAGGCGAGTAAATCACCTGAGGTCAGGAGTTCCAAGACCAGCCTGGCCAACACGGCGAAACCTCGTCTCTACTAAAAATACAAAAATTAGCCGGGCGTGGTGGCAGGCGCCTGTAGTCCCGGCTACCCGGGAGGCTGAGGCAGGAGAATCGCTTGGACCTGGGAGGCAGAGGTTGCAGTGAGCTGAGATTGCACCATTGCACTCCAGCCTGGGCGACAGAGCGAGACTCCGTTCCCCGCGCCCCCCCCTCAAAAAAAGAGTAAACTGAAAGGACTGTGTTTGCAGGAATGTAAGGAAATGTCCTTGTTCTGATGCACAAGTTAATGGTTCCCTGGTGAAGGGACCTGAAAGACTGGAGAAAAACGCACTGCTTCCTCAACAGTAGGGGCAATGCCAAGTCCAGGGTTAGAGCACATTCAGCGGTGTAGTATCTGTCATGTGGCTGTCAGGCATGGCTACTGCCTGCATTGTGTGCAGACTTGGAAATGAAGTCGGCTCTCAATCAGCGAAAGACTCTACAGGCCCAACTGCCACACACATTGCAGGAAGGCCATATTTGAATCCCGCCAAAAACCTTTGCTGTGGGGTCCAATGGGCTCATACTTCCGGTCTCCCAACAGCCAATCCTAGCACTGGGCATTTGCGGGTGGCCCAGCAAGTGGCCTAGCACTTGCGGGGGCGTGGCCATGGAGACACAGTGACCAAAGGCAGAGAAGAATGCGAATGGGGGAGGGGAAGCGGAGGCTGAGGTGAGCCTAGAGCGGCGGTTAGAGCCGGTGAGGTGAAAGAGAGCGACCGTTAGGACAGGCTGAGGACTTCTGGTCTGTTCGGTACTTGAACTGCCAGCAAATTTCAACTCCCGCTTGCCATTCAACATCATGGATGATCCGAAGAGTGAACAGCAGCGCATACTGCGCCGCCACCAACGCGAGAGGCAGGAGCTGCAGGCCCAGATCCGGAGCTTAAAAAACTCGGTCCCCAAGACCGACAAGACGAAAAGAAAGCAGTTGCTCCAAGACGTGGCCCGCATGGAGGCCGAGATGGCTCAGAAGCACCGGCAGGAGCTGGAGAAGTTCCAAGACGACAGTAGCATTGAATCTGTCGTCGAAGACCTGGCCAAGATGAATCTGGAAAACCGGCCTCCCCGCTCCTCCAAAGCCCACAGAAAGAGAGAAAGAATGGAGTCCGAGGAGAGGGAGCGCCAGGAGAGCATCTTCCAGGCTGAGATGTCGGAGCACCTGGCCGGCTTCAAGCGCGAGGAGGAGGAGAAGCTCGCCGCCATCCTGGGAGCCAGGGGTCTGGAGATGAAAGCGATCCCGGCCGACGGCCACTGCATGTACCGCGCCATCCAAGACCAGCTGGTGTTCAGCGTGTCTGTGGAGATGCTGCGCTGCCGCACCGCCAGCTACATGAAGAAGCACGTCGACGAGTTCCTGCCCTTCTTCAGCAACCCCGAGACCAGCGACTCCTTCGGCTACGACGACTTCATGATCTACTGCGACAACATCGTGCGCACCACGGCATGGGGAGGCCAGCTGGAGCTGAGGGCCCTGTCGCACGTCCTGAAGACCCCCATCGAGGTGATCCAGGCCGACTCGCCCACCTTGATCATCGGGGAGGAGTACGTCAAGAAGCCGATCATCCTGGTCTACCTGCGCTATGCCTACAGCCTCGGCGAGCACTACAACTCCGTGACACCGCTCGAGGCCGGCGCCGCCGGGGGCGTGCTCCCGCGTCTCCTGTAGGCCCCAAGGCGCTGAGCAGCCCCGGGAAACTGTCGCCGTCGCCGCATCTCCTCAGTAGGCTCAGTTTATTTTCCCCTTTTGCTTTTCTCTGTTTTTCTTTTCCTTCCTTTTAATCAAAACTACCCGCCCCCGCCCCGCCCCCGCTTTCCTAACCTTGCTGCTTTCACAGGGTGGGAAACGAAATTCGAGGGAAATTCCCCGGAAATATGAGGGAAATCTCTGCATTGCACCACCAGAGGGGCATAAATTTGAAAGTTCTAACCTCTTCTTGCCCTTAAGGGTCTTTTACCTCCCTCACCAACTAAGATTTGGTCATGTTGCGTATAACTTCACCACAAAAATGGAAATATTGGCCGGGCGCGGTGGCTCACGCCTGTAATCCCAGCACTTTGGGAGGCCGAGGCGGGCGGATCACGAGGTCAGGAGTTCGAGACCAGCCTGGCCAACATGGTGAAACCCCACCTCTACAAAAAATACAAAAATTAGCCGGGCGTGGTGGCAGGCACCTGTAGTCCCAGATACTCGGGAGGCTAAGGCAGGAGAATCGCTTGACGGGAAGCGGAGGTTGCAGTGAGCCGAGATCGTGCCTTTGCACTCCAGCGTGGAAGACAGTGAGACTCCGTCTCAAAAAAATGAAAAATTAGCCAGGCAGGTTGGCGGGGGCCTGTAATCCTAGCTACTTGGGGTGCTGAGGCAGGAGAATCAACTGAACCCGGGAGGCGGAGGCTGCAGTGGGCCGGGATCGTACTACTGCACTCCAGCATGGAAGACAGCGAGACTCCGTCTCCAAAAAAAAAAAAAGAAAAAAAGGAAATGTTAAGTTTCATGTGTTCTGGGAAAAATAAATCTAGTAGACTAGCTCGGGGAGTCTTCAGGTTTTCCTATGAATGTCTTGGATTACTTAGACAAAATTGGAGTTTATGTGATCAAAATGCCTTGTGAAGGCCTTTTGCTGAGTTTTGGGGGGAAAGATTGCCATGGTTTGCTATTTACTTAAGCTAGACTACTCAGGAGATGTCTCAAGTTATGAACAAGAGATCCGCTAGTACTTTGTTTTGTTTTCTTTTCATCAAAACTTGTGTGGTTCCTAATTAATTTTAGTTTCTCCCATGTTTGCTAATTCTAAATAACAGCATTTGTTAAAACATGTAAGGTAAATCTGTTAAATAGATAAAGTAAATTTAGATAAACTGATAGGCTAGATAAGGTTTACTCTAAGATGTGAAAGATCTGAACTTAATTTCCTTTACTAAAGGTAGGAAGAGATAGGACTTTATTCAAATAGTTGATACGTTTCATTATCTTTACAACTGGTATAAAGAAAAAAGAGACACATTGATAGGTAATTTACTTACTCTAAGGGGTGAAGATCTGAATCGAGTAAGTTTCCTTTATTCTTAGAGATATAAAGGTGTATGAATTTATTCAAGTACTTGATTGACCTTGTTATATCATCTGGTATGAAGTGTGAAAGATATGAATGTAACAACTTTCCTTATTTCTTAGAGATACAGAAATATCTAAAAAGATTCTTTAAAATATTAAAGTTTTATTCTATTTTGTTACATCAAAAGTGAACAATATACTTTTGTTATTTGAGACTTGTTAATATCCTTGAATTTTCCAAAAGAATATAAAATGAAATGATTTACAGTCAACAACTTATGAAAATTTTAATCTTTACTTTCTGTAATTCAGTGAGATTAATTTTGGAAATTCTTTCTACATTCCAAATGCTCTAAGATAAAATATATATGTTTTTGAAAGTTTTTAAACATGTAGTTTGTTCAAAAATAAAAACCATTTAAAAAATACCTGCTTCTCTGTTTTTGTGTAGCTAACTTCATATAGAGTTTATATCCCAGGATCTACTTAAGCAAAGGAATCCTGGAGGGTTAGGGAGCATAGGCCTGTTGCGGGTGGCGGGGTGGTGGTTGCTGACTGGGGACAGGGGCAAAGACTGCTGAAGGGCTCTAGAAATGGGAAAGGTGCTCTACTTCAGTGGGCTGCATAGGGTCAGGGAAGGGGGTGACAAGCTAAAAGAAGAGGCCTGGCTAGGGTAGGGGACCTTCATGGACAAAGAGGCCCAGCTGGGTAGCGGGGGCACAGGCTAGGAAAGAAGTCCTGGCTGAGGGAGGATGCCTGCAAAGGGTCCAGGCTGGAGGCTGGGGCATGGACTGGTGAAGGGTTCCTGGTAGGAGAAGGTGGCCCAGCTGGGGCAGGCTGGAGAAGGAGAGGAAGGGGGCCTGGCTTGGGAAGGGAAGCTGTTTGGGAACTGGGCTACAGTCTGGGGAAGGGGTCCTGGCAGGGGTGGAGTTGGGTGGAGAGAAGGGCAGGAAAGGGGGCTGGGTCAAGAAAGAGTCACTGTCTATACAAGGAGGAATAGGCTGACCAGGGGGCAACTCAAAGGGACAAGATGCCTCGTAGCAACGGGTCTTTGGCTATTGAATGGGGAAATGGCTCTGGCAAACTGCCTGGCCAGGGGAATTGAAGGGAATTGGGAAATTGGGCCTGGATAGGGAAGGGAGCCTCACTGGGGAGGGCACACAGGCTGAAGAAGTGCCATATGG
This sequence comes from Homo sapiens, assembly GCF_000001405.40. Taxonomy (NCBI): domain Eukaryota; kingdom Metazoa; phylum Chordata; class Mammalia; order Primates; family Hominidae; genus Homo; species Homo sapiens. Next base: position 70,065,962 of record NC_000023.11, read on the forward strand.
TGTGGAGGGGTCATTGAAGAAGGAAGCCTGGCTGGGATGGGGGGAGGGGGGACCTGGCTGCAAGGGTGGGGGAATGCTGGCTGGGAAAGGTGGCCCGGCTGATGATGCAGGCTTAGGTGACCAAAGGGGCCAAGCATGGGAGTGGCCTTGGCAGGGCAAGGAGGAAGATCTTGGGGAAGAGGTAACAGGCTAGGGAGGCACTGGCAGAGGAAGGGGACAAGGCTGGGCAAGGGAACCTGGCTGTGGACTGGGACACGGGGTGGGGAAGGAAGCCTGGCTGGGAGGGACATAATAGGGTGAGCGGGGGTGGGGGGAGCAGGTTAGGGAAGAACTGGCTGGTCAAGGGAAGGAGGCCCAGTTGAGTTAGGAGCCAAAGGATGAGAAAGGTGTTCCTAGCTGTTAATGAGAGGAAAGGCTGGGGAAGAACGCCTGGCCGGCGGAGGGGACATGGGCTGTCCAGTGGAGTCCAGGCTGGAGAAGGCACTGGACCAGGGAAGGAGATCTAGCAGGAAAGTAAGCATAAGCTGGGGAGGAGGACATAGACTCGGGGAGAAGGACATAGATTGGCGGAGAGGGCGAGACTGAGGAAGGGTCCCAGACATGGGGATGTGCCTGTCTTGTAAAGGGACCACAGTCTTGAGAGGCTGGCACAATCTATGGAAGACAGATGGGTGTGGGGTAGGGAGGATTGTGGGGTAAAAAGACCCCTTAGGGAAAGGTTGCCTAACTGGAGAGCGACTCTGACAGCGGAAGGGGCTGGGGAGGGAGGCACAGACTAGGAAAGGGAACCTGGTGGTGGGAAAGGTTTGAATACCGAGAAGGACATAGGCTAGAGATGGGATCATAGGCAGGTTAGTGGGCCCGGCTGGGAGAGGGGGCCTACCAGGTGGAGAGAGCTTGCTAGGAAAGAAATCATGCCTGGGAATGAGGGCCTCTCCCCCTGACAGGAACTTGGCTGAGGAAGGGCACGTGGTTGAGAAAACGGGCTTAGTTGTAGAGGGGCACACAGGATAGGAATGGGGTCTGGCTGGGGTAGGGGCAATAGGCTGGACAAGGGGCCTAGGCAGGCGAAGGCTGTGGAAGGAGGCCTGCCTGGAAAAAGGAGCACAGACTGGGGCAGAGGGCACGTTGGGTGAGGAGAGCTTGGCTGCAGGAGGGGCATGGCTAGGAACCCTTTCCTAGCCGGGGAAGCAGACTTGGCTTAGCACGGGGCACATGTGGGTGAAGGGATCCTGGTGGGAAAGATTGCATGGCTGGGGAGGCCACTGGGTAGGTGAGGGAGAGCTGAGAGAAGATGCCTGACTGCGGAAGGAGGTGCTGGCTGGGAAAGGCCAGCAAAGGGGCAACTCCTTGGAAAAGTGGTCCCGTTGAAAAGGGGAAAGGCTGGGGATGGGTGCCCGGCTGTGGGAAGGGGACATAGAGTTGAAAAAAGGCCTGGGCTGGGGAAGGGCAGACTGGCTAAGGAGGTTGGGGAATAGGCTCTGGCTGGGGTTGAGTCTGTCCTGGGAGAGAAAGGAAGGAGGGGCATCTGGTTGGGGGTACAGGATGAGGAGGAAGCCCCACCGAGACACAGACTGGGAACCCAGCAGTAAGTGGTTAGAGGGCAGAGAGGTGCGCACAGGCTGGTCAGATGGCTAAGAAAGGGGCCAATCTAAAGAGGACACAGCTTGAGGAAGAGGGTCTGGCTGGGGAAAGGGGCCCTGGGCAAGGGGACATAGGCTAAGCAAGGAAAATAAAGTTGGGTCGTGGAGCCTGCCTGGAGATAGGGATATTGGGCAAAGGGGACCTGGAAGGAGAAGGGGCTCTGGCTGGGGTAGAATTCCTTCATGGTCCAGGACAGGCTAGAGACAAGAGTTCAGGCTCGGGAAGTCTGCCTGGTTGCCAAAGAAGGCCTACCTGTCCAGGGGGCACAGGCTGGGGAGGGGCAACAAGCTGGGGCAGAGAGCCTGGGTAGGGTTGCTGCAGAAGGCAGTACTGGCTGGGAAATGGGGCCTGACTGGGGAGGCCGTATCAGTAGGTATAGGGGAAGCATGTCTAGCAGGGCAAGGTGACGTGACTGGAGAAGTGGCCTTGGCTGGGGAAGGAAGCCTAGCTGGGAGGAAAGGTATATAAATGGATGAAGGGGGCCTGGCTAAGTGAGGTGGCCTGACTGAGAAAGCGGGCATGACTGGGTTCCAGGGAACAGGCAGAATCAGGGCTCCTGATGAGAGAAGGGCAGGCAGCACAGGGTGGGGATCGGGTGGGGAAGGGGGACTCCCTGAGAAAGGAGGCCTAGGTCTAGAAAGGAAATAGACTGAGGAGCAAGGTTAAGGAAGCGCAGCTGCGCAAGGAAGGGAGAATAGGCTGGTGACAAGGACACTCATTGCTGAAGGGAGCCTAGTTGGCATAGGGTATAAGTTGGTATAGGATGAAAAAGAGATTCCTGGCTTTTGAAGAGGGGAGGCCACCTGCCTGGGGGCAGAGGAACTTGCTAGGCAAGGGGTTCACAGGGTATGGGGGGATGGCTGGGGAATGGGCACAGCTGTGGAAGGGTGCACTGGCTGGGAAAGGGGGCATAGGCTGGGCAGGGGTCTTAAGTGGAGAAGAGGCATAGGTTGCTTTAGAGGGCACTGCCTGGATAATGTGAGCCTTGCTGGGGGTGGGGCTGGTACAGCCCAAAAAATTCTGTGACAGATGGCACCAAAGATGGTAAAGTCCCATTTTACAGGCTTGTCCCTGAATACAAGAGAAATAGCTATTCCTATTTTGGGAACCTTTAAGATCTCACTCGGCCCGTCCCCAGCTGCCCCCATTGGGTCTGCCTTCAGCAGGAAGGAGAGGGAAGTGTTAACCCAGGCCAGATCCTAACCATGCCCAGAACACAAAGAGGGGGGTCTCCACTGTGGGATCTGGCAGGACACAAGGGATTTGCAGTTTGTTCCATTCTATAACAATGACTACAGTCACTGAGGACAGGCTATTCTGGGCAAGTTCATGAAAGCCATGGGGTACTGTTCTCAAAAGGATCTAATTCCAGAAGCAACTTTCATTCATTTCCTTACTGTTTTTTATTTATTCATTATCATTCCCTCTCCCCTCTTGCCATAGCAATAAAAAATAAGATGCTTCTTGTATGCAAATTTAGGCTCTGGAGTCAGACATCTATCTGGGTTTAAAGCCGAAATTGCCCACCTACTTCCTAGCTTTGCGACCTTGGATAAGTCACCTAAACTTTCTGGGCCTCAGTTTCCTCATGGATAACATAGGGAGATTAATACTTGTCTTAGAGATATTTCTTCAGGATGTTAAGAACATTAAATGAAAATGCCTCCGGGCGTGATGGCTCACACCTGTAATCCCAGCACTTTGGGGGCCAAGGCGTGTGGATTATTTAAGGCCAGGAGTTCGAGACCAGCCTGAACAAAAAGATGAAACCCCATCTCTACTAAAAATACAAAAATTAGCTGGGCATGGTGGCACACGCCTGTGGACCCAGCTACTTGGGAGGCTGAGGCAGGAGAATCGCTTGAAACCGCAAGGCAGAGGTTGCAGTGAGCCGAGATCGCGTCATTGCGCTCCAGCCTGGGCAACAAGAGCGAAACTCCATCTCAAAAAAAAAAAAAAGGAAAAGAAAATACATATCAAGTGTCCAGTAAATAAGTGCCCAACAAATGTTAGCTACTATTAATATTATCTAGGAGCCCATGAACATGACATTATTGGCTCTGGCAGCAGCCACTTCTTGATTTTGTCTACAGTGACTTTTGGGGCCACTTGGCCTCTTCCCACAGGTCCTGCAGGGGAAGCAGAGACTCTCCCAGGGCTGTCTGCCCCAGCTGTTGCTATCAGAGCTTCTACTGGAGCTCACCAAAAGTGCCCCTCTGGGGACAGGGTGACCTGCATGGAGGAACTCCTCAGGCTCTTCTTTTCAGGACTTTTCTACACAAACACATAATAGACTCACATGTTTTGAAAAACAATATTGGTGTCATTCTATTGAAATTGGCTTTTAAACTTAACAATACATTATAAACACTTTCTTGTGTCCTTAACAGTCTTCAATATGATGATTTTAAAGCCTGCCTTCTAGCCAATGAATGTGCCATAATTTATTTATTCAATTTTATTGTTGGACGTTTAGATTGCTTTCAATTTCTCACCACTATAAATATGCCACTGTAATATCCTTGCAGCTGAATCTTTGTCTATATTTCTGATTATTTCCTTTTGATAAGATTTGTAGACGTGATCTAGGTCAAAAAGGAGGGGCTCTTAATGCGTACTGGGAAAGACTGCATGAATTTACACTCCCAGGCTATGAGGCTGTTATATTCCCACATAATTGCCAACACGGAAAATTATCATTGTTGCTAATTTGTCAGATGAAAAATGTTGTATTAGTGGATGTTTCATTGATTACTAGTGAGATTGAATATTCCTCTATGTGTTTATTTCATTCATGCAGGAATAAGTATTTCTCTTTTTTTGAATTTCAACTTTATTTTAGATTCAGGAGACACATGTGTAGATTTGTTATGTGGGCATATTGCATGACACTTAGGTTTGGAGTACAAATGATCCCATCACCTAGGCAATGAGTATAGTAGTCAACAGGTAGTTTTTCAGCCCTCGCCCCTTCCGCCTCCACCTCCCCCATAGTAGTCCCAGGTGTCTATTGTATCCATCTTTAGGTCCTTGTTTACCCAAAGTTTAGCACCCACTTATAAGTGAGAACATACGGTATTTTGTTTTCCAGGAACAAATATTTCTTATTTTGTTGCCTATTCCTGAACTTCACTTAATTTTCTCTGAATAAGTTTGTCTTTTTCTTTTTTTTGTTTGTTTGTTTGTTTTTGTTTTTGTTTTTTGAGACAGAGGCTCACTCTGTCGCCCAGGCTGGAGTGCAATGGCACAATCTCGGCTCACTGCAACCTCTGCCTCCTGGGTTCAAGCGTTTCTCCTGTCTCAGCCTCTCAAGTAGCTGGGATTACAGGCACACGCCACCACACCTGGCTAATTTTTTGTATTTTAGTAGAGACAGGGTTTCACCGTGTTGCCCAGGCTGATCTTGAACTCCTGAGCTCAGGCGATCCACCCATCTCAGACTCCCAAAGTGCTAAGATTACAGGCGTGAGCCACAGCACCCGGCCTTCTTCTGCATTTTTAATAGGACCTTCCATATTAATAAATCTGATCACTTGTCATTTGAATATTTTAAAAAATAGTTGGCCAGGCGTGGTGGTTCATGCCTGTAATCCCAGCACTTTGGGAGGCCAAGGCAGGCAGATCATGAGGTCAGGAGATCGAAACCATCCTGGCTACTAAAAATACAAAAATTAGCTGGGCGTGATGGCGCATGCCTCTAATCCCAGCTACTCAGAAGGCTGAGGCAGGAGAACCACTTGAACCAGGGAGACAGAGCTTGCAGTGAGCCAAGATTGTGCCACTGCACTCCACCCTGGGCAACAGAGTCAGACTCTGTCTCAAAAAAAAAAAATAGTTTTTCCTGTGCATTAATTAGCCTTTCAGTTTTGTTTCTTTCTTTTTGCATATGTGTAAGTTTAAAATCATAATGTAAGTTTAAAATCTATTAATCTTTTTCATTATGGTTTCTGTCTTGGTGTCAGTCTTAGAAAAGTCTTCCTTATCCTGAAAATGGATCGATACTTGTGCATAATTTATTTCGATTTTTTAATGCTTTCTCTTTATATTTATATTTAATATATCCACCTGGAAATTACATGGGTGTAAGATAAGGACATAAAGTGATTTTCCTCAATTATGATAGTTAACCAATTAGCTCAACACTATTTATTGAATAATCCACCATTTCACCACTGATTTGAATTGCCACCTTCCATATATATTACATTCTTATACTATAAAAAGGTGAATCTCTTTTAATCAGTGATACAGAAAACCTATATTTTTTTACCTCAGTTTGAAACTGTCAGCTATCCATTCATCCACTCTTTTCATATTTACCGATGATAACAGTGATAAACCATAGCTTAAGAGAGAGAAAAGATGTAGTCCCAGTGCTCACCGTCTAGAGGTGGCAGACAGGAAAACAGAAATAGACAGAAAGCAACATGACCAATGCTGTGATGAGAGGAAGCACAGAGGAAGAAAGGACACTGAATCCGACTTGCTGTGTCAGGAGGCTTAGCAGGAGCTCCCAGAGAACACAACCAGAGCAGAGACAAGAAGGAGTGAAAGAACGGGTGTCTCCTGTTCAGCCTAGCTGAAGGGTAGTTGTGAGAGAGTTGTGGAAAAGAAGCTGAAGAGGGAGGCAGGAGAAGTAACCCAGCTTAAGTAAACATCTGTTTTACTCATAATATTACAAATTAAATGAGATACCATGTTTCATCAGTCAGATTAGCAAAGAAGTAAAGTTTGTTCGTATGCTGTGTTGATGAGGGAATGCAGAAACAGGCACTCTCAAACATTGCTGATGGATGGTGTATAAATGGGTACAATCTCTTTGGAGGGCTATTTGGCAATAGCTATCAAATTTAAAGTGCATAAACCACTATCATTTGTATTTTTAGCAGTTTCCCTTGCACATGATTAGAATATATATTTAAAAGGATATAACTGGTCACTTTTGAGGAGGGGAACCAGGTTCCTAGGGGAAAGGATGGGAGGGGGCTTCTCACTGTGTAATCTCTTGAACTTCTGGTATTTTGAACTATATGAATTAAAAATTTAAACCTAACCTACTTAATAAAATGCACATAGCTTTTGACCTCGCAATATATTGAGGGTATACATATTGTGGCAGGCCAGATCTCACTAACACAGACCTCCATAACAAATGTTTCAGTACTGACTGACGTGGTTAAGTATTAAAAGCCAGTGCCCTTATATAAAGGCTGGGATGTAACAAAAGCTCACCAAGAGTTTTGCCTAGGCCTTTCCTGGGAGTTAAACCATGAAAAAATAATGAAGGAATTTTTTTTTTTTTTTTTTAGATGGAGACTTGCTCTGTCACCCAGGCTGGAATGCAGTGGCACGATCTTGGCTCACTGCTACCTCTGCCTCCCAAGTTCAAGTGATTCTCCTTTCTCAGCCTCCCGAGTAGCTGGGACTACAGGCGCCCGCCACCACACCCTGCTAATTTTTGTATTTTTAGTAGACACGAAGTTTCACCATATTGGTTAGGCTGGTCTCGAACTCCTGACCTCATGTGATCCACCCACCTTGGCCTCCCAAAGTGCTGGGATTACAGGCGGCATGAGCCACTGCGCCCGGCCATAACGAAGGAATCCTTAACAGGAAGCTATTTAGGATTAAAAGAGTTTTATCAGGGGCCTGAAGAAACTCCCCAGGCCTCCACAAACAAGTTTATTGGAGGTCTGAGGGAACTCCCCAAACCTCCATGATTTAGCAGGAGACAAGATAAGGGTAATCACCCCAGCACCTAGACCCATTTAGATTAAGTAAATTTACTGAGGCTCCAGAGGAAGGTCTTCAGGACTCAGACCTTAGTTATAGATTAAAAGCAGTTAATTACCAGGCGCAATGGCTCATGCCTGTAATCCCAGCACTTTGGGAGGCCAAGGCGGGCGGACCACGAGGTCAGGAGTTCGAGACCAGCCTGACCAACGTGGTGAAACCCCGTCTCTACTAAAAATACAAAAATCAGCTGGGCATGATGGGGCATGCCTGTAATCCCAGCTACTCAGGAGGCTGAGGCAAGAGAATCGCTTGAACCAGGAGGCAGAGGTTGCAGTGAGCAGAGATCGTGCCACTGCACTCCCCGCTTGGTGACAAAGCGAGACTCTGTCTCAAAAAAAGAAGAAGTTAATCATTTATGTCTTTAGATGAATGCACACTTACATGTAGACATATAGCTTAGAAGGTATATAAGCTCTGGAAAACTTTGTAATTTTGAGTTGATCTGGTGATAATTTCCAGGCCTTCTCCCTGTGACTGGTTACAGAAATAAAAACTCTCTTCCTCCCCAGTTCATCTGCATCTTGTTATTGGGCCATAAGAAATAGCAGCCCAATCCTCGGTTTGGTCCGGGAACAACATTACACAAAGTCTATTTTTAGGATGTTCATTACAGCATTATTTGTCAATGCAAACATCTAGACACACCTTAATATCCTCAGTAAAGTCTAATTAAATAAATTTTGGTATATCTATATTAATTATTACCTCTAGGGAGAGGAATAGAAATGAGTGAGTGAAAGGAAGAAGATGGTGAATTTTCACTTTGAAACTACGTACTTCTATATAGCTGATTTTTTTTTTCTTTTGAGACAGAGTCCTGCTCTGTCGCCCAGGCCGGAGTGCAGTGGTGCGACCTCAGCACACTGCAACCTCTGCCTCCTGGGTTCAAGTGATTCTCTTGCCTCAGCCTCCCAAGTAGCTGGGATTACAGGCACACACCACCATGCCTAGCTAACTTTTTTGTATTTTTAATAGAGATGGGATTTTGCCATGTTGTCCAGGCTGGTCTCGAACTCCTGACCTCAGGTGATCTGCCCACCTCGGCTTCCCAAAGTGCTGGGATTACAGGTGTGAGCCACTGTGCCCAGCCTATATAGCTGAATTTTTGTATTGTGGTGGTATATACATAACAAAATCTACTACTTTAGCTGTTTTTAAGTGTACCCTTCAATGGCACTAAGTACATTCATATTGATTTGCAACCATCAGCAACATCTGTCTAGAATTTTCTCATCTTCCCAAACTGAAACTTCATACCCATTAAACATTAACTCCCCATTCCCACTCCCCTCAGCCCATCAACCAATATTCTTTTTTTTTTTTTTTGAGATGGAGTCTTGCTCTGTCACCCAGGCTGGAGTGCAGTGGCGGGATCTCAGCTCACTGCAACCTCCACCTCCTGGGTTCAAGCGATTCTCCTGCCTCAGCCTCCTGAGTAGCTGGGATTACGGGCACCTGCCACCACGCCCAGCTAATTTTTGTATTTTTAATAGAGACGGGGTTTCACCATGTTGGTCAGGCTGCTCTCAAACTCCTGACCTCATGATCCGCCTGCCTCAGTCCCCCAAAGTGCTGGGATTACAGGCGTGAGCCACTATGCCCGGCCCATCAACCAATATTCTACTTTATGTCTCTGTGAATTTAACTACTCTGGGTACCTCATACAAGTGTAATCATACAGTGTTTGTCCTTTTGTGTCTGGCTTATTAGCATCATGTTTTCAATCCTTATCTGTGTTGTGGCACGTGTGAGAATTTCCTTCTTTTGTAAGGCTGAATAATATTTCGTGGTGTGTATGTACCACATTGTGTTTATCCATTATATTGTTGAATTTTTAAATAGAAAATGTTATCTATGTATTATCTAAACACTAGAAAAAATATTTTTTTAAACTGGATGGTTTCCTCTTTTTTTTTTCTCTGAAATAATTTAAATAGCATAGGAATTATTTGCTCCTTGAAACTTTGAAATAATCCATTCACTTGTGAAACTGGGCCTGGGCCTTTGAGGTAAGACTCTTGACAGATACAATTCTTGAAAGAAAAGCTATGTAGTGTAAAAACAATAATAATTTATCTAAAATACATAGGGACAAAAATTGAAGAACAAAAAATCAGGAGGTAAAAAGGAAAGGTGACAATTTTCTCATCTCTCAGAGGGTGAATCAGACACAATTTCACTTTAGAAGCTGAAATATTGAGAATTATAGGCATAGGCATGGTGTTTAACATCATAAAAATAACCACCAGTAGAACTAAAAACAGATTGCCTATCTTCCCATTTAGAAGATCTTTTTTAAAAAAAGAAAAGAAAACCCAGCCCTTGGAGCAACACATAGAAAACCTAGGTAATTGGCCTTTTTGTGGGGGTGGGGAGGGGGTGTAGTTGTGCATTTCTTTTGGTATCTTCATTTTTCCTTGGGTTTACATTATTTTGCATATGGAGATAATGAGATTGTGGTAGGCTAGTGTGGCCTGAACCTAGTTTAAGACAGAAGATAATAGAAGATATCTACTTTTCTGGTTTTGGTTCCTTTTCATTTCAGTGGGTCTTAACCTAAGGGAATTATGCAAATATGCATTTACCCAACCATCAAGTCCCATCTTCACTGTGAATGTGAAAAATGCATCCCCTAAATATGTTTATTGTTCCTGAATATCTTGAAAAAAAGAAAAAAGAAACCTTGTTAACAGCCATTGACCTAGATTGATCACTATAGGTCTTCCCAGCTGTCTTTCTCTCTCTCTCTCTCTCCCCTGCCCCACCACGCACACACAAAAGACCTGAGACCTGTCTCAATGTTGTGCATGACTCCACAACACAAGGCAGAAGTGATAGGAAAGCAGTCATGGTTTGGTGTAAGAATGTTTTGATAATCAGAGGTATTCAAAAATATAAAGGACCATCTCACAAGGAGGCTTGTAAGCCAGGCTGGATAACCACTACCTACCACCTCATAAAGAGGTTTTCAGGCCATTCAAGCACCTGATGGTAATTTAGAAGCTTTCCACCTCACCTGAGGATTTAGAAAACAAAAGAGATTTCTTTTGCATGGAGGTGAGGAGTGAACCAGAGGAAGCAGACAGCCCTAAGTAATGGGGAAGGCTAGCTTGGGAGGTGGAGGACCACTGACAGAGGTTTGCTTTGGCCCAGTTGAGTCCTCTTTCTAGAACCACATAAATGTTAATCCGCAACCAGGCCCTGATCAGTCTTGAGTTTGTTGAGCTGAAGAAGCAGCCTGAGGTGGAGACACCACGACTACAATGTTGATTCCAATCCCCCTTCCTAAGTGCAAATCAGCTACTTCAGCCCAACTTGGAGAGTTGCTTAAGGGACCTATTCTAATGAATAGCCTAGAGTGACTGGAACACATTCTCAAGTGTGTAAATAGTGCTTTTGAAATATTTGAGGGGGCTTAAAAACAGCTTGTTCTCTTTAAGTAGCCTATTCAGTTAAACAAAATGTATCAAGTATCTCCAATGACAGGCACTGCTTGCTGGGTTGGGGCCCAGGAAGGCCTCAAAACAGTTAAGACTGCCTTGGTGCTCTCCAAGGAGGCCTAGCCTCAGAGGTGAGACCAACATAAATCCAAGTGACCCCCAATCCAAGGCCCAACAGTAAGTGCTGTGGTCCAATAAGAAGATGAGGAAATGAAGTGGGGATGCCCTGGGCCAGCTTGGGGTGGAGGAATCACAGAGCAAGGGAAATGGGGAGACTTGAAAGGCCAGCTTAGATTTAGGTGGGCAATGCTGAAGGCAAGGGCATTCCAGGTAGAGGGAACCCCATTAGGCAAACACACAAAGATGACAGTCTGCGAGACACATGTAGAGAACAGTTGTTCACATTTCCAGCATCCATTGCCCACTATTCCTGCAAAAGCCCCCACTTATCCTTTGGTGCACCAACTCTCTCCCACCCTCTTAAGTTGAAAGGGGTTCACCAGGGCCCTCCCCCTTAGGCCTGCCAATTAAAATACCTCTTCTCCCTGGCCACAGTGACTGGTTCACGATGTTATATGTAAAAATGTTTATTTAGAAATAGAATGTTTGTTCCCCAGTGCCACAAAGAAATAGCACTTGAACATAAATTTAATTCTCTCAGCAAGGCCATTTTTACTTTCTGCAGAAAGGGCACACTCGCCAGCAGTTTTGCCACAAGAGTATACCGAACAAAAGAGACAGGGTCATTTATAACCTGACGCATTCACCCTACTGCTGTCACCGGTTTCCACTGGCTGCAACAGGACCTCACATTCTGTATTTGTCCCAATTGGCTAGCAACTTAGAACTTTTTAAAAGAGGCAAAGGCAGAAGAGAACAAAGGAAGGAAGAGGTAACTTGCGGAATGCTGAGAAAGGTAAAAAACTCCTCCAAATAAGGAAGGGGAACGGGCTATGACCTAATGCTTGCTTGGACCAGTATAAGCATGCCAGGGCAAATATTTAGGCTAAATTGTGGGAGCTAAGAACACAAAGTACATTGATTTCTGTATTACGGCTAGCGGATATTTTAAAACGTTAGCACAGTTATTTGAATAAATTTCGCTTCTAAGAGAAGTTACTATTTATTCCTAATTAGACGGAGAGGAAAGTCTCTTTGAAGAGGAACCTCTACTTCACTTTTTACAAAGATGAGCTCGTGGCCTGGGCTCATCCAATCAGAGGAAAAGTCAGGATATGATGGGTGCATGAGCTTTGTTGCTTTTTTGTTTTGAGATGGGGTCTCGCTCTGTCGCCCAGGCTGGAATGCAGTGGTGCGATCTCAGCTCACTGCAGCCTCCGCCTCTTGGGTTCAAGCAATTCTCTCACCTCAGCCTCCTGAGTAGGGAGGGATTACAGGCGCCTGCCACCATGCCCAGGAAACTTTTGCATTTTTTGGTAGAGACGGGGTTTCCCCCTGTTGGCCAGGCTGGTCTCAAACTTCTGACCTCAGGTGATCCACCCGCCTTGGCCTCCCAAAGTGCTATTACAGGCGTGAGCCACCGCACCCGGATGCTTCATTGCTTTTTTTTTTTTTTTTGAACCTTGGTCCATCTTAACCTTCGGATCAGGACTGCTGCAATTGCTACAGGCTGTTCCCTTTGAAGCCACCTTGGAAAATCACCATATTGAATCAGTTCCTCGGAAGAGGCTATTAAGGCCTTCCTGGAATTGCAGGTGAGTTCACAGTTCTTGGAAAATCCCAATCAGAATTTTGTTTGAAAGGAGGAAGGAAATGGGTAGCAACAACAGCATTTTCCAATGTTCCAAATCTATGTGCACGAAGCAACTTTTTCTAGAATTCTCAGCCACCTGGAAACCAAGAAGAGGTTACTCAGGGTATATTCTAGCCCTCAATCATTACTGAGGGTACACAGAGTACTCAGTTTTTTATCATAAGGACCAGCCCCCACAGCAACTTCTTGAGCTACCTTTTCTGTAGAGCCTTGACTCAGCGACCACCCCATACCTGAGATAAGAGATAATGTTTTTTCTGCAACTTGCTCACCCTTCCAGGAAAAACTCTTCTTTACTGACGATTTAGAATGTTACAATATAGGCAATGGAATCCATTAAGTTAATGTTTTCAGAAGAAATGAGACATCAGAGCTATGCTTTAGGAATGACACAAAGGATGACATTTGGGGGAAATAATGAATTGCAAGGAGAGATTGAAGAGAAGAAGATGAATTGAGGGTTTCTCTTTTAATTCATGACAGATGATGCTGACCTGGATTGGGGCAGTGGCAGCAGGGAGAGAGGAGGGGACCAAAGTCGTGAACATTAGGAATAGAATTAGCATTTATGTGGAGATTAAGGGTAAAGCCAGGATCAGAGGTGATCCTGGTGATTCCCTGGTTTCTAAGTAATTCTGGAAATGGTTCACTGAAACTTAGGCCCTTAAAAATCCCTTAAATCAGGGCCGGACACGGTGACTCACGCCTGTAATCCTGGCACATTGGAAGGCTGAGATAGGAAGACTGCTTGAGCTCAGGGATTCAAGACCAGCCTGGGCAACACAGTGAGATCCCGTCTCTACAAAAAAAATCTAAAAATTAGCCAGGTGTGGTGGTATGTCCCTATAGTCCCAGCTATTTGGAGAGCTGAGGAGCTGAGGTGGGAGGATAGCTTGAGCCTGGGAGGTTGAGGCTGCAGTGAACCGTGATTGCACCACTGCATTTCAGCCTGGGCAACAGAGCAAGACCCTTCCCCTCAACCCTTAAATTGTCCATTCCTCCCAATAAAATCCCTTAAATTGTCTATCAAGTAGAGTATATCCAGTTTCATGTATACAACCTTTGTACACTAAAGGTTTTTGGTACCTCTGAGCTAAACTAAAAAGAGGTGTGCGTGTGTGTGTGTGTGTGTGTGCGCAAGCGAGAGAGAGAGAGAGAGAGAGAGAATGTGAGAGAGAGAGAGAGAGAGAACAGACTATCTTAGAAAAGATAAGAAAGTACAAGAAGACAAACTCAGTGGCTAAGGGGCAGGGTGTGAATGTATTGCTTATTCAAAATAATAAATATGGTTAAAATTTAAAATATATATAATTAAAATTAATAAAGTTAGTAGCAAGCCAAGCATGTGTCAAGAGTCATCCAGCAGTAACCCTCAGCAAACAATATTGCCGCCAAACTCAGAATGATTCACTTGATAACAGTAAGACAAGAGCTTCAGCAGGACAGTGCAGGGAGGGCTCTGGCACTCTGGCTGTAATGAGTTCTGCATCCTTCTTCCTGTAGTTCTCCAGTAAGTAACTATTTGGCTGGATTTCGTAGCCTATCTTTTTATCGTATGTACATCCCACCCCTTTCAAGGAAAGCAGTGATTCTCAGAAATAATAAAGTCACATTTTAAAAAGCAATAATTTCTTTCCTGAATTCAGACCCATGATGGATTTTGGGTTTTACATCATTTTGCAAAGCAGTTTCTGTTCTTTCTGTTTCTACTGGTGGAGAGACCTGAGGCCCATACAATGCTTTGTCTAAAAACAGATCCATTAAACCCTAGTGACACAAAGAAACTGCAGCAGAAGCTTTGAAATTCAAGAACTTTTCGCAGGCTTTTTTTGTTGTTTTGTTTTTGTTTTTTACTTTGGGCCAGGTCAAATTTTTAGCTTTGGTGTATTCCCCTCTCTGATCTTTGAAGATAGTCCCCCAAAAGCCAGGTGAGGAGAGTGCAGGAAAGAAAGGATGGTGGGGAGTAACCCTTAAGATTCCATAGAATAAGCAATAGAATAAGCACCACGAGAATAGACATCAAACATTATCAGAGCTTTGTTTTTTCCCCAGTGGAGTAATAGGTGAATTTAATTTCTGCAGATTATCAGCTGTGAGCATATGTTACATTTTATTTTACATTGTATTTCAACAAAAACAAATCAGTATAAACACTCCTAAATAGTATAAGAGACTCATTAAATGATTTTATAGTATTTTTTCTGCAAACAAAATGCCTTTCTGTAAATAAGAAAAAAATCATTTTAAATTGCAAATGTTTTCCCTTTTTTTAATGGAAAAATAATCAGGCGCAATTTTTTTCAATGAATAAAGATTTCCCCAGACAGACTTGTACTAAATGTTAACATTTTAAACATTTCAGTGATGTAGTATGCTAACTACATACACATACACAATAGCTAACATGAAGAAAAGTTAAAATCTCCCTTAAAAAACTGAAAATTGATCAAACTAATAATTCAAATTTTTAAAAAATTCAATGTTTTCCTAAAAATAGCTTTATATTTTAAGGACTTACTAGAAAAATGAAGCTGCAAAGTAACTTATAGAATAAAACCATACAAGCAAGTAGGTAATTTACTATAAAATTCATTGTCATCCTCCTAAGTTTTTCAGTATTATATAAAAACTATAAATGTTAAAATAAATGTTTACAAAGGAGGATGTGACTAAGGCAACAGGAGGATGGGGGTTGGGGAGACACTTCTGGGGTAATCATAAATGTGTTATTTCTGGATCTGAGCACTGGTAATACAGCTGTATTCATTTGGGAGCACTCGTGGAGATGGACCATTATGAAATGGGAACTTTTCTGCATATGTGTTATACTTCTATTTTAATAAATAACATTAAAAGCAAAAAAGAGGGGAAAGTCAAACAGAGGAGTTGAATGTTACAGAATTTTAGGATGGTGACCGAGACTAGGTTGGATATTGTGAATAACAATAGTGACAATAACTACCATGTATATGGCTAATAATTATTTCAGTGAACACTTATCCTGTGCCAAATATTGCTATAAGTACTTTACATATATTGACAAATTTAATTCTCCCCAACCCACTGAAGTATGCACTATTATAGTCTCCATTCTACAAATGAGGAAACTGATAAACAGAGTGGTTAAGTAACTTGCCCAAGGAGGTTATAGACTACTATTTCAAGAAGTTTATAGTGAATGAAAAAAGAGAACAGTAAATCATGCAGAAAACAGGGAGGTTTGTTTTTTGTTCTGTTGTATAGGCAGGGGTTGAGCGCATTTATGTTTCAGGAGAGAAGCCAGGGAAAGGGGAGTGAAAGTGCTTGATCCCTCCCTCAGGCGACCAGAAAGGATGGATCAAGAACCCAAGTATGTACAGCTTTGCCCAAGGGAATGGCCTCCCCTAAGATCTGAAAAGCCAAGAGTTCTGTGCACTAGAGAGCAGAGAGAACACACCTTAGGTAAAGTAGATTGTTGAGGACCTTGCTGAACGATGAGGAGGCCAGGAGTGGGTAAAGAAAGCTGGAGAAAATATGCAGTGAGGATTCCTCAATGTCTATCACAGTTAAAGCAATTGCACATGTCTGAATCCCACCCCAGGCCTACTGAATGGCATTCTCTGGAGGTGGATTCCCCGTGACAGCATTTTTAACCAGCTCTAAAGGTGCTTCCGATGTCCCTTAAGTTTAAGAGACATAGTGGCATGTGAGATCCACAGACAGAGGATGAAGTGAAGAAGGATCCACCCTCTAAGACGGAGCATGGAGGGACAGTTTCCCCAGAAACTGGGACTTTTTAAATAAGTTCTTCAAATGATTCTAATGTAGGTAGTCTGTGGGCCACACTGAGGAAGTTTTGCCTGTAGGGTGACAGTGGCTAAGCATGTAGACTCTGGAGCCAGATTCTGAATACTGTACTACTATTACCTGTGCAACCTTTGGCAAGTGAGTTAACCTCTCTGTGCCTCAATTTTCTCATCTGAAAAATGGGGCTAATAATAGATAGTACCCATTTCATAAGGTTGTTGTATTAAATAAGTTGATATATGTAAAGTGCTTGAAACATAATAAACATCCAATACTCAGTAAATATTAGCTATCAGTGTTGCTTTGTTTTTATCATTCACCATAGTTGGGGGGTGCAGGACCACTGAAAGTATGACCTGAAAAGTAGGTTAGGCAATGGAATGTTCAAGTAGACTCATGAAAATCACCCGAAAAGTCTTGTGACCAGCTCAGGAGGAGAAAGGGGGACTAAAACCTAATAATGAGGCAAAGTGAGAGTTGTACTCCTTTATGACTCGTCTGACTAGGGTCCCTCGTTGGTGAAGACAGTCATTGACAGGGGAAGTGTCACGCAGTATAGAGCTACATCTGGCAAAGTGAGAGTGGCAGGGAGATGGACATAAAACTGCTGCTAGGCCCTCCCTAGATGGAGAGCATACTGGTTATTGAAAGAGGCTAATGTATTCAAGAAAGACTTGATAAAAAGAGTAGCTTGGGAACCAGTACTGCAAGGATGGCCAACTGCTTAAAATCTGCCTTGTTCTGTCCCTGGTGGGAAACACCAGGCTCTAAAAGTGCTCTCAAATCAACTAAAGTCCTTTATTACCATCTGACTAAAGGCCTTAGATTCTAAGCTAAGCCTCCTTGGCAAGCATTTGGAGACCTGTCACCAGCCACAGGGCCAGGCTGCTGCTTAGCCTCTTGGTGTGTCTTTTGCTCCTTTGCAACTTAATCCTGTTTTGGATGTCAGTTACGCGGGACACAGAGAGGCTAGAGAGAAAGCTGGAACCCAGGTCCCAAGAGAAACAGTTGAAGGAGCTGGGGCTGCTTAGCTTGAAGAAGAGAAGACTTGAGTGTTTTGAATGAACTTCTTCAAGTTGGTTTTTGTTTGTTTGTTTTGTTTTTTGTTGTTGTTGTTGTTGTTGTTTTTGAGATGGATTCTTGCTCTGTCTCCCAGGCTGGAGTGCAGTGGCACGATCTCGGCTCACTGCAACCTCCACCTCCTGGGTACAAGCGATTCTCTGCCTCAGCCTCCCAAATAGCTGGGATTACAGGCACCCGCTACCATGCCCAGCTGATTTTTGTATTTTTAGTAGAGAAGGGGTTTCACCATGTTGGCCAGGCTGGTCTTGAACTCCTGACCTCGTGATCCACCTGCCTCGGCCTCCCAAAGTGCTGGGATTACAGGTGTGAGCCACCGCGCCCGGCCCAAGTTTTTTTAAAATCAATTTAGCTGGTAGCAACTGTCCCTCGCAGCCACCAGAGGCCCTGTCAAAAGAACATCAGCAGGGGACCAACTTGCATGGGTCCCTTTTGGCAGGCAGCCTCAGGGTCAGGGGTCAGACTGCGGGCACTGCTTCAATGACACAACTACAATGTGAAAGTCTAAGAGTTCTTATTAGCACTTACCCACCCTGGGGTGTACACGGCATGCCCTGGAGGCCGCATGCACACAGGCACACACACAAGGTCAGGGAGCACGTGAGAGAGAAGAGAGCATGTCAACTAGCAGCATATATTGGAGAATAGGGTGTGTGGGGGTCGCTTTTAATTTCACAGGCAAATGCTTGAATGGTCCTGCACCAGAGATGTCTCTAAGTTCTTATCTCCAAACACCTACTGGAGCCATTTGGGTGTGGTGTCGAACTGGAAACGGTACTGGAAACGGTGTCAAGGGTGATTGAATGAGACCTGCCTCTGGCACGAGAAAGCTAAACCTGCATTCAAAATGAATGCCGAGGCAACATAAAATTATAAGCATTCACTACATCAACGCAGTGTGGGTTCTGTACCTCTGAAGGGCTATTATAAAGCTGCAAGAGCAGGTGGGATGTGAGGGGTGGTGCCCAAGGGGCAGAACTAGGATTCATAAGTGGGTAGAAATTTCAGGGAGGCATCTTTCAGCTCAATACAAGGAATTAACTTTCTAAGAGAACTGATCGACCATGAATCAGAATGGATACCTTGTGAGGTACTGGGTAATGAGTTCCCTGTCACTGGAGGAGTGCAAGCTCAGGTTGTATGACAAGTTTACAGGAGAGCACATTTAAGCATCCAGTTAAACTTTACAGCTAAAACGCTTGTTCTCTGTTTGTGTTCAGCAGCCTGGTTTCATTTCATAACCCTTGGCTTCTTAGCCCTGGGCTTTAACAGGCTGATTTAACATCTGGCAACCAGGTCACATCTAAATATAACTAGGAAATGGATGTTGGGTAGCACTTTGATTCTCTCATAAGCCCCAATTAGGTCCATGAGCGTCTCTCCTTTCTAGCTACCGTCACCTCTCCTCTCTCAGACTGCCTACAAAGTAGGATACATTTCTCTGGTTCCCTGATTTCTTGCTGTCTTTGAAACAAACCCATAGGCCCTTTAGGATTTAGGATAGGAGGTGACAAAACAGCAAACATGGGCAAGTAATCCAGAGGCCCAGGAACTTTGTCCAAGTTTCCAGAGCAGATGTCCATTGTCTACTAAACAAGTGCTTCTCAAACTTTCATGTGCATTGAATCACCCCGGGATCTTGTTACAATGAAGATTCTGATTTAGGATCCTGAGAGTCTGCATTTCTAACAAACGCCTGATGATGCTAATGCTGCTGGTCCATGAATCTAAGACATTATGTAAATGGCAGGTAACTCACATGCCTACAGGATTAGCATAAATAGTTGAGCGAAGCCCAGGGGTTCTGAGAAGGTAGCAAATGGATAAACCAGTTGCTCTTCAAATATCCCTGGACTCCCTGGGCCCTAGATCTCGTTACCTACCCCATCCCCCTGCCCAGGTGAAGGCCTCCTTGGCATTTTCTTCAGATTTCTTCCTTCAAAACAAAGGGCTTGGAATCCACAAAGGGCGCCGCCCACCACCAGGTACAACGTTTAAAAAAGTTTTTAATTTAAAAAATTTTATTTTTGGCTAGGCGCAGTGGCTCATGCCTGTAATCCCAGCACTTTGGGAGGCTGAGGCAGGCGGATCATGAGGCTAGGAGTTCGAGACTAGCCTGGCCTACATGGTGAAACCCCATCTCTACTAAAAATACAAAAAAATTAGCTGGGTGTGGTGGCAGGCACCTGTAATCCCAGCTACTCGGGAGGCTGAGGCAGGAGAATCGCTTGAACCCAGGAAGCGGTTGCAGTGAGCTGAGATCACGCCAATGCACTCCAGCCTGGGTGACAGAGCAAGACTCTGTCTTGCGGGGGGAATGGGGGGGTGCTCTTTTTTTTCATTCAATACAATGCTCAATGGATGTCTCCATCTTGAGCTCTCCCACCTCACACACACGCTATTTTTTTTTTTTTGAGACAGAGTCTCACTCTGTGACCCAGGCTGGAGTGCAGTGGCATGATCACAGCTCACTGCAGCCTCGATCTCCCCAGGCTCAGGTGATCTTCCCACCTCAGCCTCCCAATTAGCTGGGACTACAGGTGCAAGCCACCACGCCTGGGTAATTTTTGTATTTTTAGTAGAGACGGGATTTCGCCATGTTGCCCAGGCTGGTCTCAAACTCCTGGGCTCAAGTGATCCACCTGCCTCGGCCACTCAAAGTGCTGGGATTACAGGCGTGAGCTACTGCACCCAGCCTGACTTTTGTTTTGTTTTGTTTTTTTAATACAGACGGGGTCTCATGTTGCCCAGGCTGCTCCTGTGCTCAAGCAATCCTCCCGCCTCGGCCTCCCAAAGTGCTGAGATTACAGGTGTGAACCACTGCACCTGGCCACACACACACTTTAAACAGAAGGTTTGCTGCAGTTGTTTTTTGCCAGTAGACTCCAGGACAAACCCCAAGTTGGAGGGCAAAGACTTTCACCTCTGTAAAAGAATTGTTCCTTCCATAAGAGGTTCATCCAGTAAGAAAAATGGTAGTAGAGAAAGAGACTTAAGCCTGGGTTTATAATCATTGAAGAAGACCCTACCCCACCACCTTGGTCCCTCAGGGAAGTAGCAGTGGAGAGCAAAACCCAGCTCATTCTACAGAAGCCCTCTTTCATAATGGAAGCACAAATACCTCCCCAAAAGGAGCTGTGCTAACTTTCAAGAGTGGTGGGCATCCTGTCATGAAACAGCCTGGGCACACAGCTATATGAGTCAGATATGGTAAACACCAAGCATCCCAAGGAGGGAAAGGTTCTCAGAACTAGCTGCCTCCCCAAGGGAAGGAAGAGTTGTGTTCAAGGCTCCAGGACATCATCCCTCTCACACCACACTATGCTCTGGGCGCATGGAGGGGTGGTGGACCTCATACCTCAGGGGCATGTTCTGTTGGAAGTGGCTCAAACGAGACACTTACAAACCTGTCTCAGCAGCCTGCCTGTCAAATTATACCTCTGTGCTGGGTCAAACTTTTGGCCAATTAGAACTTAGAAGAGCAGACCAGTGCGGTGGCTCACGCCTGTAATCACACCACTTTGGCAGGCTGAGGTGGGAGGATTGCTGGAGCCCAGGAGTTCGAGACCAGCCTGGGCAACATGGTGAAACCCCTTCTCTACAAAAAAATAGAAAAATTAGCAGGGCATGATGGCGTGCGTCTATAATCTCAGCTACTCAGGAGGATGAGTTGAGGCCACATGGAGTGGCTCACACCTGTAATCCCAGCACTTTGGGAGGATGAGGCAGGCAGATCACTTGAAGTCACAAGTTCAGGACCAGCCTGGCCAACACGGTGAAACCCCTTCTTTACTAAAAATACAAAAATTAGCCGGGTGTGGTGGCAGACGCCTGTAATCCCAGCTACTCGGAAGGCTGAGCCATGAGAATCGCTTGAACCCGGGAGGTGGAAGTTGCAGTGAGCTAAGATCATGCTACTGCTCTCCAGCCTGGGTGACAGAGCGAGACTCCATCTCAAAAAAAAAAAAAAGAGGCTGAGGTGGGAGGATCACTTGAGCCCAAAAGGTCGAGGCTGCAGTGGACTGTGATCACACCACTGCACTCCAGCCTGGGTGACAGAGTGAGACCCTGACTCAAAAAGAAAAACAAAAAAGAATTTAGAGGAGCAAAGGCCACTATCAGCTGGCCCTTCACAGGTGTGGTGAGAATGGTGGTGGTGGCCCCAGTTGGGCACAAAGGTAAGCCCTGGGATGGAGAACTGACAGGGCCTAATAGTGTCTGCTCCCAGACAGACAGACTGCTACTTGGTAGGAATGCCACAGTTGTTGCAGAGAAGCTGTGTTAAACTGGGAAAAGCTTGCTTTGAGAATCGATCCAATTAGACTGCAATTCTAGCTCCCCCACTTTCTAGCACTGAGACCTTGGAGCAAGTTACTTCACTGCTCTGTGCCTCCGTTTCCCCCTTGCAAAAACAAAGCAAGACCTACCTCTTCAGTGTATTGTGAGGATTTAACGAGGCATTTGTGAAAGCACTTGACACAGAGCATGTGCTCTAAAAATGTTTCTTTCCTTCCTTTGGCCTGGCAGCATATGTTTACTAAGGAAAGCTGAGACATAGAGAGGCCAGCCCTATCCCTTGGACTGATGCCAAATTGGAGGCCTCTACATGCCATGCCCAGGAAACAAATATAAGACCAGAAGAAGATTAGATAAAGCTGCTGTCTGCCTGCCTGCCAATGTGACAGCTCTTTTGGGTTCTGACAAAGGAGAGCAAGCCAGTCTGAACAGAGTACCAGCTCTGGGAGTTTCGGATCCCAGAAAAAGGTCCTAAGTCCTGGGTGACAAAGACAAGGTCTCTAACTGCCCCAGTCTGGCATACATAGTCGGAGGCTGGCAGATGCATAGAAGAGGCCTAGACGGGGAAATCAAGATGGCTCCAACTCTGACTGCCACGAAAAATGTGGTTTCTGGAGTCCCGGGTCAAGAAGCTTCCCTCTTTCTGAGCGCCAGAGAAGAGTTCCAGAATGAACAGGAAGTGCAAAGAGAGAGCCAGCCGAGAGGCAACCCTAAAAGAACTATCCATCAGAGGCTCAGATCACAACTGCTCTTCTATGCATTGGCTTAAAAATCAAATTCCATTCTGGACAAATTTCCTTATTGCACGCAAGCTGCTCTAATTTCAAGAATGTCAAATACGCAGCCAAATGCAATTACATTTTAAGCACAGCACTCACTTGAAATATAGCACAAATTTCTAAACCAATTTTAATCAAATTACAGAGAGGGCAGACATGCTCAGCAACCTGAAATTCCACCTGATCCAGAGAGCCTTTCCTGATTAGTTAGAAGAGTGGCCAGTTCACTGGCTCTCCCCTGCCTGTTGTGTTCACTGTCTGCTCTCAGGTATGTCTTTATCCTTATTCTTGTACACTGTGTAGATGTGTTTGTTGATTATGCATTTCTGCCCTGGTTACCTGTTTGCTTGGTTAATCACATGTCCTTTATGCCTGAGCAGTCTTTTGGCTATTTCCTTCTGGTGCCTCTCTGTGGGCATGGGCCTGGCCTTGGAATCCTCCCATGCAGGGCTTCTGCCCAGGTGCTTAATAAGGGTTCTTTGAGAATGAAAGCTCAAAAAGTCTTAGGCCAAACCAGGTGGCTGCTGGGACATTATGTGACAGCAAGTCTAAGCCCTCCCCCAGAATTTAGGCAATAACTCATTTATTATCTGGGCAATGGGTCTAAGTGCCTTAGTGTCACTCTGGTCTAGAAGACTGGCCTACCCCTCACAGCCAAGCATCACCAGAGATGCCTGCATGTATATTCCTGCCACAGGTGGCTGGAGGAAGAGCTGCCTGTGTGCTCCCTCTAATGCTCAGCCCACTGACCAAGACCTGAGGGAATCATATCCAGGGGGCAGCTGACAGAAAGGAGATCAGAAGTTAGCTAATGAAGAGGTCTGTGACTGGCTTTGGGAGTTCTTCCATTGGGAAACCCACATTGTTGATTTCTGGATTGCCCCAAAAGGCTTCAGGACCGTCATTCAGGCACAAAAGGGCTCTGGGCTCCATGGACTGCCTGTAGCTCACACCCACTTCTTGGTTCTCTCTCTCTCTCTCTCTCTCTTCTTCCCTCTCTCCTTCTGCCTCCCTCTCCCTCTTCTTCCCTCTCTCCTTCTGCCTCCCTCTCCCTCTTTTCTTCTCCTCTCCCTCTCTCTGACTCTTTCCATCTTTGACAGTGTGTGTTTGTCTCAGTCTTTTTCTCCTCCATCTCCATCTCTCTGTTCTCTCTGTCTCTGTCTCTTTCTCTTTCTCTTCCACTCCCACTCCTCTCTCTGTCTCTGTCTCTGTGTCTCCACTCTCACTCTTGCTCTCTCCCCCTTCTCTCTCCTCTCTCTTACTCTCACTGTCTCATCACTACACACTCCATATGTCCATATACAGAAACACCCATTTTTCCCTTTAACAAGCCCACAAATTAAAAAAGGTAATTTCACTTAGAAACTAAGAGAAAGGAAGTAGCCCAGAGCACAGATGTCAGCCTCAGTCAGGATGTTAAACCAACCCCCCTTAACTCTTTTTCTGTTGTGTGATGAGGTCTCAGGGCTCCAGCCCCCACAGGAACTGTCGTCCTGCCAGAATTTAACTCACTGGAACCCAAGAGTGACTCACTGGGATGGACAGTCATGAGTTGGATGACAACTTGCTGGGATCTCTAGCATCAGATTGAGGAATGAGGGTGGACTAGATGGAGCAGATAAATGACTTTTAAAGTCTGTCCTTAATGCAAGATTCTGAGATTTTTACAGTTGTGACATACTTGAGACTGAAATGACCAGATAGTATTGAGTTCTGGGCTTTATACATTAAGAGGAACAAACTAGAATATGTCCAGGGGAGTGTTAGTAGGATGGAGCAGGGACTGGAGACCGTGTCACTGTCTCAAAACCAACGTGAACTAAGTGCCTACTGCATGCCAGACACTGGACTCAGCACTAGGCATCCAGATTAATGAGGTACAGCCTTTTGACTTCAAGAACTCACTTGAGTGATCAAATCTAGAAATAGGAGTTTAATAATAACAACATTCATTGAATGCTTGCAATACATCACACACTGTTCAAAGCTTTGTGCTTGTATTATCTGATTTAATCCCTATTTCACAGGTGAGGAAACTGGGACACAGAGAGGTTACATGTGGTGACAGTTTGGTGCCATGAAGATTGATTGAAAGATCTAGGGCTGTCTAGCCTGAAGAAGATTCAAGGGAATGTGGGCCTCTTGTCTTCAGACTTCTCTCAGAGTCCAAGAGAACAGGTGTATTTGTACATGGCCACTGAGGGCAGAGCTGGAACCCAAGAGTGGAAGCATATCTGGACTTAATGAAAGGAAAAAATCTGCCTTAGGAGTCAGAGTTGTCTGTGGGTAAAACAGGTTGCCTGGAGAGGAAGGGAGATGTCTAAGCAGAGGCTGGATGATCACTCAAGAAGGGAGGAGGTGAAGAAGATGTTCCTAAAGGTTTCTTGTAGTTCTGAGGGGCTAGACATCTCTATTTTCTGGCTGCACACTAGCTTGAGGACCCAAATATGTCCCTTTAAAGTCCTATGGATATCCATACTTCAGCTGTCAGAGATAAATATGCCCATCTCTGTATGTAGGAAGCCCCTGTGGCCTGCTTTTATGCTCATCCTTCTGCACAGAGTCCCTAATTATCTTCTTTTGTCCCATGCCGAAGGGGTTTGGGGCCATGCTTTGAAAAGAATCCCACCACAGTCCTCTACCTCAAGTTTCCTGCTCAGGTCTAAGGCTGATCTTATTGCAGTGGAACTGCAGACAAGAGCTAAACAATGCTTCTTCTTCAGTAGGGTGGTCAGACCACAGCAGATGACCAGCAGGCCAGTCACCATCAGCAAAGTCCAGGTAGCCCAAGGCCCCCACGCCTCATACATGGTGGACTGTGGTCACCCATTACTGCCAAGATATATGCTCTGTCCTTCCTCTAAGTCTAGCACACTCACATTGGCCCTTAGCAAAGCATCCAGCAGTGGAGAAGATTGCTAGAGATAGCTAAGTTAGTGAGGTGGCCAGGTATGGCTTTCAGGGTCCCTCCTTCCAGGGCTTGCAGCCTATTGTAGTGGAGGCCCAGACTAGCCAGGGGGAACCAGCCAAGGCCCTCAGGAAGGCTTCTCACCTTATCAGGGCTGTCCAAAACATGGAGCTTCTGCAGGCAGAGGGGCCATGCCTGGGAGCGCTTCATCCCATTGGCCTACAGAGAAAGCTTCTGCAAGGAGAACTGCAAGCCTCAAAAGGTCCCTGGGGTTAAAAACCATCCTCATGTTGCCAGAGAGATCCAGGCAGTGGAGAGTGGCAGGGGCAGACTCCTAAACGTAGGACCCTGGCTCATTCTTTCGAAGGCTCAGATTCTTCACTAGGAAAGCTGTCCTGGTGAAGGCTGGGGCCGGGGGTCAATGGTGCTTCTGAGGGAGGGGCTCTTTCCCGATGCTCCATGCCCCCAAAACAGGTACAATATGTTGTCCTCCAAGTCTACAGCTTTCAGCCTGGGCATAATCTCAAAAAACCAGACAGGCGCACACTGAATCAGATTCCATGGAAATCCAGAGATGTCATGGGCAGAAGGACAGTGGAGAAGTAGGGAATGGCCTTGGAACTGGTGACGCCATGGGCAGTGGGCTGTCACATTTCAGAGACAGTTCTAGGCCATGCTGAGGTGCTGAAGGGCAGGAAGCCTACCAAGGAAGTCTCTTGGGAATGATACCAGTCAGTTTCTACTTAGGTCAAGTGGGATATGCCAAGATAATGTCACTCAGGTTGGATGTTACGTCATGGCTGCTCCGAGTCAGATTCCACTAGTCACCTCTTAGTACCAACTGGCAACCCCCCATACTGGAGATAGGGGATTTGGTTCTAGAGACATCAGGTAGTTGTCAAAGAAGGGAAACTGTCAGAGATGGTTTGGGGTAGGGAGAAGTGGGAAGGTGCTCAGAAGCCAGTTATGACTCGGGTCTAATACCTGAAACTAGTATGCCCCATCTCACTCCTCAGCTGCAAATAACTGCAGGGCACTGGGCCTCTAGTGGAGCTGCCACAGGTTGGGGAGGCTAAAGGCAGAGATGCAGTGAAGATAATTGCTGGCCGAGCTGAGCTCCTACAGCAGGGGCAAGCCAGCCAAGGCCCCTGACTCAATTTCCAGAATGTACTTGCTGCTCAGGTTGATCCAACAGCAAAGGGGAGCCCAAGAAGGTGCCCCAGGCCAGGCGAGTCATGTAGTTATCTGAGAGATTTAGGCTCTCCAAGAAGCTGAGTTTGACCACCTATGGCACCATTGAGGCAGTTGGCCGAGAGATATGGAACCCAAAAGCGACACAAGAACTGGAGTGCTCTGTCATTAGCCAGATGGTTATGGTCCAGGAGGTTGGAAGCCAGGATGAGGGAGCAGAGCCAGTGAAGCTGGTGGAGGGCTTCTGAGACCAAAACCTTCAGCTGGTTGCCCCAAAAGTCCAAGTGTTGAAGCCTTGGTCTGGCCTCAGTTGCACCATCCCCCCTAGAACTTTTAGAAGAAGGTTGTGAGAGAGGTCAAGTTGTTCCACACTACATGGGAGCCCTGCCAGAAACATTTGGAAGCAGAAGCCCTGGCAGAAAACACTCGGCCTGGCCATCAGGGTTGGGGAGAGAGAAGAGTATCTTGGGAGCTAGTGAAAGAGTAGGGTGGAGTTGGGGAGGAAGAGATGAACCCCATACCCTCAAAACAAAAGATCTTGAGCACCAAGATCTGTGTAATGTAATGCCAAATACATTACCTCACTCCAAGAAGTAGGGGTGGTTGTTCCTGTCTTACTAGATAATGAGAGAAGCTCAAAAAAGTGAAGTGACCTGCCCAGCGTACAGGATTTTAACCCAAGTCTGGCTGACTCAAAGCCCATGCTCTTTCAGTTTATCTTACCTCCTTGAGTGTATCTTTTTCTACTTCAAAAACCCCTTGTTCCCTATGGCAACAGGAAATTTGTTTCTATCCATGAATGAATCAGGCGGTCTTACGGTACAATGCAATCAATATGATCCTCGAATGTTAGAGCTGGAAGAGACCTTAGAGAGCATTTCTCTCTGACAACCCTCTCATTTTATAACTAGCACAACAAAAGGCTCAGAGATGGGAAGAGGCTTGTTGAAGGGAACAGCAAATCCGAGCCTGCCTGCTCAGCCCCTGCCCCAGGAGCTCACCAGATAGTGACCAAGAAAGGAGGGAGAGGCAACAATGAATCTATTTCTGGATGCCATAGGGTGGATGCTGCCCACCCACAGTTACTCTTCCTTGGAGATGAAGCACCCACCAAGGACAGGAGGAACCAACTTCTAGCCCTTTCCCTTGGAAAAAGAGTCAACCAGGAAGGTTCTCCACTCCCCAACCCCCACCCCCAACCCTACTCCCTGGAGAATATAACTTACGGGGTAAAAAGGGGTTTTGAGGTTAAAAAAAAAAAAAACAAAAACATGAGTTGGCTGGGCATGGTGGCTCACGCCTGTAATCCCAGCACTTTAGGAGGCCAAGGTAGGCGGATCACCTGAGGTCGGGAGTTCAAGACCAGCCTGATCAACATGGAGAAACCCCGTCTCTACTAAAAAAAAATACAAAATTAGCCAGGCGTGGTGGTGCGTGCCTGTAATCCCAGCTATTCGGGAGGCTGAGGCAGGAGAACCGCTTGAACCTGGGAGGTGGAGGTTGCGGTGAGTCAAGATCACGCTACTGCACTCCAGCCTGGGCAACAAGAGTGAAACTCCATCTCAAAAAACAAACAAACAAAAAAACACATGAGTTCAATTCCCAAGCTCACCATTAACTAGTCTAATAATCTCGGGCAAATGCTGTGACTTCCCTGAGCCTCTTTCCTCATCTGTAAAATAATGATACCTCTCTCACAGGGTTGTTTTGGAGATTCAATGCAATGACAAATGTAAAGCACTTAACGCAAAGTATGCATCTATAACTATTCATTTGTCTCTTATCTACCAAGGACTCCCTTTTTTTTTTTTTTTTTTTTTTGAGACAAGAGTCTTGCTCCGTCACCCAGGCTGGAGTGCAGTGGTGCAACCTCGGCTCACTGCAACCTCCACCTCCTGGGTTCAAGAGATTCTCCTGCCTCAGCCTCCTGAATAGCTGGGATTACAGGCACACGCCACCACGCCCGGCTAATTTTTTGTAATTTTAGTAGTGACAAGGTGTCACCATGTTGGCCAGGCTGGTCTCAAATTCCTAACCTCAGGTAATCCACCAGCCTCGGCCTCCCAAAGTACTCGGATTGCAGGCATGAGCCACCGCGCCTGGCCTCTGGCTAATTTTTGTATTTTTAGTAGAGACAGGGTTTCACCATGTTGGCCAGGCTGGTCTCGAACACCTGACCTCAAGTGATCCACCCACCTCGGCCTACCAAAGTGCTGGGACTACAGTCGTGAGCCACCGCGCCGGGCCAGCTCCCATATTTTCATCCAAGACTGGGCCAGGAAGGCAAAAGTCCCCAGCATGGGGAAGATAGCAGCCTCAGGGCAGAGGTAGCCTTGCAACAAGGAGGCAGAATGATTTATTCTGCTGCTTTTGCAGAAACAGCAAGGCCAGGAGTAGGCTGAGATCTGGTTGGGCCATGCTGTTGGGGTCCTTCAATTTGCCCCAAAACCATGAACCTGGGCTAGGCCTTGGAAACTTTTAAGTAGGCCCATGCTAGGGCAGGAAGTATTGATACAGGATGGGAAAAGTAGGGACCAATATTCTCCCTGGGGGAAAGATGAAAAAGAGAAGTTGGGGAGGGAGTGAACGCTTTTGAAATAGGTAGAGGAAAACTGCTGGGCTTTTCTTGAAAGGAGTCACATCTTGGGGTACCAGGAAATGAACGCTTTCCCTAGCTGGCCTATAAGTTTCCCTCAGCCCTTGGGGGCCATTTTAGGGAAACTCCTCCATTAGAAGGGAAATCCAAGCTCTGAGTAAAAAGACCAGCCTCTCACCCCCTGTATTGTAGGGCTCTGTCTCAGAGACAACAGGAAAGTCAGAGGGTGGGGACCAGGGTGAAATTGGGATAGGGCCCTGCTTCTTGGCAAGTATTGTTCTGGGTGCCCCTCCCTCCACTCATTCAATTACTTAGTGCCAGGCCCTGTGGGGAATAGAAGAATCTCAAGTCTCACCCATATTCAAAACAAAAAACAAAAAAAAACTGTACTGGCCGGGCATGGTGGATGGTGGCTCACACCTGTAATCCCAACACTTTGGGAGGCCGAGGCGGGTGGATTACCTGAGGTCAGGAGTTCGAGACCAGCCTGACCAACATGATGAAACCTTGTCTCTACTAAAAATACAAAAATTAGCCGGGTGTGGTGGCACGCACCTGTAGTCCCAACAACTCGGGAGGGTGAGGCAGGAGAATCGCTTGAATCTGAGAGGCGGAGGTTGCAGTGAGCTGAAATCGTGCCGCTGCACTCCAGCCTGGGCAACAGAGTGAGACTCCGTCTCAAAAAACAAACAAACAGACAAACACACAAACAAAAAACAAAAGCAAAAAATAACTGTACCATGATGCTACTTCCTTCTCTGTCCCTGGATCTTCTTTCTTTTTCAGGCAAGCTCTTGGCAGTTTCTTCCTCTGAAAAAAAAATCCGTGGACTTCATCCCTTTATCTCCATCCCAAATACAACTTCTCCAGTCTAAGCTCAGCTCATCTTTCACCTGCCTCCAGTTTCTGTCTTCCTTCAAGGCAGCTGGACTGCCAGGTCATCAGTTGCATCCATCCAATTCCTTGCTTAGAACTCTTTGATGGCTCTCCACTGCCCCCACCAGATCAAGTCCAGTCTCCTTCACCTGGCACATGAGGTCCTTTGTGATCTGGTCCCTGCTTATCTGTCTGTATTTCTTGTCACTTCTCCCACAAGAAACATGCAATTCATACTTACTTACAGTTCCTGGAATGACTGTGAGTAGCTACCATTTCACACCTCTCTTTATTTGCACATACCATTATTCCTGCAACGCTCTTTCCAGCTTGACTAGCGTAATTTGACCTGTCTTACAACCTGTGGCTGAACCGTGATCTTTTTTGTGAAGCTTTCCTTGATCTCCCATCTTTTCTTGGCTTCAGCCTTCTAGCCATCTAGTCGGCGCCCTCCTCAAACTCCCTGGCAAGTTCCTGCTATGCCTGGTCTTGTTTATTCCCACTTTTGCCCTTCATTTTTCTTCAAGTGAGCTTTATTCTACACCAAACACTCTACTTATGTTGTATGCGTGTTATCACATTGAATCTTCACATCCACCCGGTGAGTTTGATGCCATTATTATCCCCATTTTACAGCTGACAAAACCGAGGCTTGAATATCTATGTTAGTTGCTCAACATCACCCAAGATACAAGGTTAATAAGTGGCATAGTGGAGATCAAACCCAGGTTGACACAAAAGGCTTAATCATGGTGCTAGAGTCCCTAGCCTTTACCGAGTTGAGGGGTGCAGTAACCCTGGGAGAGGCTTGCTGAAGCTGGGCAGAAGTGGAGGTGAAATCTCCTTAGGGCCATGTGTCCTGATGTCCTAGAGGCTACAGTTACTTTGGGGCAGCCCAATGGCCAGTATATGGCTTCTTCCATCTGAGACAGAGAGCAGGCTGTGGCAGGAACAAGGTAGTACCTTTCTAAGGATAAAAAGATGCAAAGTTGGTCCAGTCGCAGTGGCTCATGCCTGTAATCCCATCACTTTGGGAGGCGGAAGTGGGTGGATCACTTGAGGTCAGGCGTTCGAGACCAGTCTGGCCAACATGGTGAAACCCCATCTCTAATGAAAATACAAAAATTAGCTGGGTGTGGTGGGACGCACCTGTAGTCCCAGCTACTCAGAAGCCTGAGGCACAAGAATCGCTTAAACCCAGGAGGCAGAGGTTGCAGTGAGCTGAGATCGCACCACTGTACTCCAGCCTGGGCAACAGAGTGAGACTCCGTCTCAAAAAAAAAAAAAAAAGTTTTAAATACTGAAGCTGCCTACTTTAAGAGCTCTCACAAAATCCTCTAGCCATGCCTAGGCAGAGAAGGTCAAAATGTCCTGGGCAAGACTGACAGGCAGCAAAGAGAAGGCAAAGGGAAGCAAATGAGACAGAAGTTAGGCTCCAACTGCCACCTGGTGGCCAGCCTTAGAGAAGCAAGTGGATGGTTCTAGGGTCGCAAGCTTAGGACACAAGCCAAGGGCCAGAGAGGCTGCTCAGGTGAGCTGGGCCTTGGCTCACGGCATTCATTCATTCATTCACTCACTCACATATTCATCCATCCATCTATCTATTCATTTCTTCATTCATTTAAAAAGGTATATTATACTAGACAGACACAGCACTGGGAATACAGCAGTGAACAAAAACAAAAATTCCTGCTCTCATTGAGCTCATACTGCAGTGGTAGGAGACAGAGCAAAAAAGTCCATGACATTGTGTTTTAGATGGTGATGAGTGCCATGGAGAGAAAGTGGGGAAAGGGGAGGAGCAGAGGCTTTGCCATTTTAAATAAAGCCTCACTCAGAAGGTGAAATTTGATAAAAGACTTGAAGGAAGAAGGAAGGGAGGTAGCCATGAGGATGTCTGTGCGAAGCAGATTCTGGGTTAAAGAAACAGTCTGTGAAAGCCCCAAAAGTAGGAGCATGTGTTATGTGACTGAGGATCGGTCAGGCCAGTGTGGCTGGAGCAGAGTGAACAAGGAGGAGAGTAATAGGAGACAGTCACGGGGAAGCAGGCAGGAGTTCAATCATGTGGGGCTCAGGAGGCATATTTTATATACTGAGTGACAGATAGGAAGCCAGGGGAGGGTGACTTGCCCAGGGTCACCCAAGCTAGCAAGTGGTACTAGGCATTCTGTCTCAAAGGCCTGAGCTCTGTGGTTCTCACAGGGATAGACAAACAGACCAGTGGGACAGAAAAGAGAACTCAGAAATAGACGTATACATATCTGCCCAACTGATTTTTTGACAAAGGTACAAAAGCAATTCAATGGAGGAGAAGGATATTCTTTCCAGCCATTAAATTGTCTAGTGGTTTATTTTTTTATTTTGTTTTATTTTATTTTTTTTTTTGCCTAGGGTTGTCTAATGCTCTAGAGCTGGGCAGAAGTGGAGGTGAAATCTCTTTGGGGCCATGTGTCCTGATGTCCTAGAGACTACAGTTACCTTGGGGCAGCCCAGTGGCCAGTATCTGGCTATCTAATTGCTCTAGAGCATTAGACAACCATAGGTAAAAAAATAAACCCTGAACTAAACCTCATACCTTATACAAAAATGAACTCAACATGGATCACAGGCTTAAAAGTAAAATACAGAACTATAAAACTTTTAGTTTTTAGAAAAAAATAAGAGAAAAGCTTTGGGACCCCGGGCTAGGCAAAAACTTTCTAGGCTTGTCACCAAAAGCATAATCTATAACAGAAAAAATTGATAAATTGACTTCATCAAAATAAAAAATTTTTGCTCTGTGAAAGACATGTTTTAGTCACACAAAACCATGAATTTTCATAACAGCTTTATTCATAATAGCCAAAATGTGCAAGCAACCCGACGTTCTTCATCAAATGACTAGTTAAACAAACTGTGGTACATCTCTACCATGGAATACTACTCACCAATAAAAAGGAATAAATTATTGGTACATTCAACAACTTGGATGAATCTCTAGGGAATTATGCTGAGTGAAAAAAAGCTACTTCCAAAAGGTTATATACCGTATGATTACACTTTTATAACATTCTTGAAATAGCAAAACTATAGCGATGGAGAACAGATTTCGGGTTGCCAGGGATTAAGAATGGGGAGAGGGAAGCTGGTGGATGTGGTTCTAAAAGGACACCATGAAGAATCCTTGTGATGATTGAACAATTCTATACCTTGACTGAGGTTGTGGATACATGAAACTTCACATGTGATAAAAGTGCATAGAACTACACACACACACACACACACACACACATATACAGATGAGGTCATATAAAACATGAAGTCTGACTAAGCTCTGTAGACTGTATCAATGTCGGTGGACTTGTGCTTTGCTTGTTTTTGTTTTTGTTTTGAAACAGGGTTGAAACTGAACAATCTGCTCCTGAATGACTACTGGGTACATAACGAAACGAAGACAGAAATAAAGATGTTCTTTGAAACCAACGAGAACAAAGACACAACATACCAGAATCTCTGGGACACATTCAAAGCAGTGTGTAGAGGGAAATTTATAGCACTAAATACCCACAAGAGAAAGCAGGAAAGATCCAAAATTGACACCCTAACATCACAATTAAAAGAACTAGAAAAGCAAGAGCAAACACATTCAAAAGCTAGCAGAAGGCAAGAAATAACTAAAATCAGAGCAGAACTGAAGGAAATAGAGACACAAAAAACCCTTCAAAAAATTAATGAATCCAGGAGCTGGTTTTTTGAAAGGATCAACAAAATTGATAGACCACTAGCAAGAGTAATAAAGAAGAAAAGAGAGAAGAATCAAATAGACACAATAAAAAATGATAAAGGGGATATCACCACCGATCCCACAGAAATACGAACTACCATCACAGAATACTACAAACACCTCTACGCAAATAAACTAGAAAATCTAGAAGAAATGGATAAATTCCTCGACAAATACACCCTCCCAAGACTAAACCAGGAAGAATTTGAATCTCTGAATAGACCAATAACAGGCCGCTACAAAATCATGCCAAAATGTAAAGACCATCGAGACTAGGAAGAAACTGCATCAACTAACGAGCAAAATCACCAGCTAACATCATAATGACAGGATCAAATTCACACATAACAATATTAACTTTAAATATAAATGGACTAAATTCTGCAATTAAAAGACACAGACTGGCAAGTTGGATAAAGAGTCAAGACACATCAGTGTGCTGTATTCAGGAAACCCATCTCACGTGCAGAGACACACATAGGCTCAAAATAAAAGGATGGAGGAAGATCTACCAAGCCAATGGAAAACAAAAAAAGGCAGGGGTTGCAATCCTAGTCTCTGATAAAACAGACTTTAAACCAACAAAGATCAAAAGAGACAAAGAAGGCCATTACATAATGGTAAAGGGATCAATTCAACAAGAGGAGCTAACTATCCTAAATATTTATGCACCCAATACAGGAGCACCCAGATTCATAAAGCAAGTCCTGAGTGACCTACAAAGAGACTTAGACTCCCACACATTAATAATGGGAGATTTTAACACCCCACTGTCAACATTAGACAGATCAACGAGACAGAAAGTCAACAAGGATACCCAGGAATTGAACTCAGCTCTGCACCAAGCGGACCTAATAGACATCTACAGAACTCTCCACCCCAAATCAACAGAATATACATTTTTTTCAGCACCACACCACACCTATTCCAAAATTGACCACATAGTTGGAAGTAAAGCTCTCCTCAGCAAATGTAAAAGAACAGAAATTATAACAAACTATCTCTCAGACCACAGTGCAATCAAACTAGAACTCAGGATTAAGAATCTCACTCAAAGCCGCTCCACTACATGGAAACTGAACAACCTGCTCCTGAATGACTACTGGGTACATAACGAAATGAAGGCAGAAATAAAGATGTTCTTTGAAACCAACGAGAACAAAGACACCACATACCAGAATCTCTGGGACGCATTCAAAGCAGTGTGTAGAGGGAAATTTATAGCACTAAATGCCCACAAGAGAAAGCAGGAAAGATCCAAAATTGACACCCTAACATCACAATTAAAAGAACTAGAAAAGCAAGAGCAAACACATTCAAAAGCTAGCAGAAGGCAAGAAATAACTAAAATC
Source organism: Homo sapiens (assembly GCF_000001405.40). NCBI lineage: Eukaryota > Metazoa > Chordata > Mammalia > Primates > Hominidae > Homo > Homo sapiens. The sequence continues at coordinate 70,101,243 of NC_000023.11, forward strand.
AGAGCAGAACTGAAGGAAATAGAGACACAAAAAACCCTTCAAAAAATCAATGAATCCAGGAGGTGGTTTTTTGAAAGGATCAACAAAATTGATAGACCGCTAGCAAGACTAATAAAGAAAAAAAGAGAGAAGAATCAAATAGACACAATAAAAAATGATAAAGGGGATATCACCACCGATCCCACAGAAATACAAACTACCATCAGAGAATACTACAAACACCTCTATGCAAATAAACTAGAAAATCTAGAAGAAATGGATACATTCCTCGACACATACACTCTCCCAAGACTAAACCAGGAAGAAGTTGAATCTCTGAATAGACCAATAACAGGCTCTGAAATTGTGGCAATAATCAATAGTTTACCAACCAAAAAGAGTCCAGGACCAGATGGATTCACAGCCGAATTCTACCAGAGGTACAAGGAGGAACTGGTACCATTCCTTCTGAAACTATTCCAATCAATAGAAAAAGAGGGAATCCTCCCTAACTCATTTTATGAGGCCAGCATCATTCTGATACCAAAGCCGGGCAGAGACACAACCAAAAAAGAGAATTTTAGACCAATATCCTTGATGAACATTGATGCAAAAATCCTCAATAAAATACTGGCAAACCGAATCCAGCAGCACATCAAAAAGCTTATCCACCATGATCAAGTGGGCTTCATTCCTGGGATGCAAGGCTGGTTCAATATACGCAAATCAATAAATGTAATCCAGCATATAAACAGAGCCAAAGACAAAAACCACATGATTATCTCAATAGAAGCAGAAAAAGCCTTTGACAAAATTCAACAACCCTTCATGCTAAAAACTCTCAATAAATTAGGTATTGATGGGACGTATTTCAAAATAATAAGAGCTATCTATGACAAACCCACAGCCAATATCATACTGAATGGGCAAAAACTGGAAGCATTCCCTTTGAAAACTGGCACAAGACAGGGATGCCCTTTCTCACCGCTCCTATTCAACATAGTGTTGGAAGTTCTGGCCAGGGCAATCAGGCAGGAGAAGGAAATAAAGGGTATTCAATTAGGAAAAGAGGAAGTCAAATTGTCCCTGTTTGCAGACGACATGATTGTTTATCTAGAAAACCCCATCGTCTCAGCCCAAAATCTCCTTAAGCTGATAAGCAACTTCAGCAAAGTCTCAGGATACAAAATCAATGTACAAACATCACAAGCATTCTTATACACCAACAACAGACAAACAGAGAGCCAAATCATGAGTGAACTCCCATTCACAATTGCTTCAAAGAGAATAAAATACCTAGGAATCCAACTTACAAGGGATGTGAAGGACCTCTTCAAGGAGAACTACAAACCACTGCTCAAGGAAATAAAAGAGGACACAAACAAATGGAAGAACATTCCATGCTCATGGGTAGGAAGAATCAATATCATGAAAATGGCCATACTGCCCAAGGTAATTTACAGATTCAATGCCATCCCCATCAAGCTACCAATGACTTTCTTCACAGAATTGGAAAAAACTACTTTAAAGTTCATATGGAACCAAAAAAGAGCCCGCATCGCCAAGTCAATCCTAAGCCAAAAGAACAAAGCTGGAGGCATCACACTACCTGACTTCAAACTATACTACAAGGCTACAGTAACCAAAACAGCATGGTACTGGTACCAAAACAGAGATATAGATCAATGGAACAGAACAGAGCCCTCAGAAATAATGCCGCATATCTACAACTATCTGATCTTTGACAAACCTGAGAAAAACAAGCAATGGGGAAAGGATTCCCTATTTAATAAATGGTGCTGGGAAAACTGGCTAGCCATATGTAAAAAGCTGAAACTGGATCCCTTCCTTACACCTTACACAAAAATCAATTCAAGATGGATTAAAGATTTAAACGTTAGACCTAAAACCATAAAAACCCTAGAAGAAAACCTAGGCATTACCATTCAGGACATAGGCGTGGGCAAGGACTTCATGTCCAAAACACCAAAAGCAATGGCAACAAAAGCCAAAATTGACAAATGGGATCTAATTAAACTAAAGAGCTTCTCCACAGCAAAAGAAACTACCATCAGAGTGAACAGGCAACCTACAACATGGGAGAAAATTTTCGCAACCTACTCATCTGACAAAGGGCTAATATCCAGAATCTACAATGAACTCAAACAAATTTACAAGAAAAAACAAACAACCCCATCAAAAAGTGGGTGAAGGACATGAACAGACACTTCTCAAAAGAAGACATTTATGCAGCCAAAAAACACATGAAAAAATGCTCATCATCACTGGCCATCAGAGAAATGCAAATCAAAACCACTATGAGATATCATCTCACACCAGTTAGAATGGCAATCATTAAAAAGTCAGGAAACAACAGGTGCTGGAGAGGATGTGGAGAAATAGGAACACTTTTACACTGTTGGTGGGACTGTAAACTAGTTCAACCATTGTGGAAGTCAGTGTGGCGATTCCTCAGGGATCTAGAACTAGAAATACCATTTGACCCAGCCATCCCATTACTGGGTATATACCCAAACGACTATAAATCATGCTGCTATAAAGACACATGCACACGTATGTTTATTGCGGCATTATTCACAATAGCAAAGACTTGGAACCAACCCAAATGTCCAACAATGATAGACTGGATTAAGAAAATGTGGCACATATACACCATGGAATACTATGCAGCCATAAAAAATGATGAGTTCATGTCCTTTGTAGGGACATGGATGAAATTGGAAATCATCATTCTCAGTAAACTATCGCAAGAACAAAAAACCAAACACCGCATATTCTCACTCATAGGTGGGAATTGAACAATGAGAACACATGGACACAGGAAGGGGAACATCACACTCTGGGGACTGTTGTGGGGTCGGGGGAGGGGGGAGGGATAGCATTAGGAGATATACCTAATGCTAAATAACGAGTTAATGGGTGCAGCACACCAGCATGGCACATGTATACATTTGTAAGTAACCTGCACATTGTGCACATGTACCCTAAAACTTAAAGTATAATAATAATAATAAAAATAAATTAATTAATTAATTAAAAAAAAAAGAAACAGGGTTGCCCAGGCTGAAGTGCAGTGGCATGATCACAGCTCACTGTAGCCTCAACCTCCCAGACTCAAGTGATCCTCCCGCCCCAGCCTCCCAGTTAGTTGGGACTAAAGGCGTGCACAACCAAGTGGGCTAATTTTATTTTTTTGTAGGGACAAGGTTTTGATGGGTTGCCCAGGCTGGTCTCACACTCCTGGTCTCAAGCAATCCACCCACCTCAGCCTCCCAAAGTGCTGAGATTACATGCGTGAGCCACCGCGCCAGGCCAGTTGACTGGTTTTGATATTGTACTATAGTTATGCAAGATACCTGCGTTGCCAGAGGTGAGGTAGAGACTACACAGGATCTCACTGCAACTTTCTGTGAACTATTTCAAAACAGAAATGTAAAACCAAAACATAAAACTCTGCAAGAAACCAGGAGAGATTCTAAACAATAAACTTAAGATGTTAGATCAAAAGTTTGGAGACCTCCACTGTCAGTTAAACAAAGAAACAAAAAACCTTAATGTATTTACTGTTAATAATATTCATAACTGAAAAACCAGCTCCTCGGCAAGATTAGAACTACTTCTGATCTGACCTTATGTAAGGGGATATTCAGGAAGATACTTAGTCCAACACTCTTATTTTAATGTTGGGGAAAATGAAGCTCAGAGAGAACTTGTCCACAGTCACACAGCAAAAGAGAATGGTGGAAATAAAATCCTGTTGGTTTTCCGTTTCAGTGAGGATTATAAGAAGCTTGGGGGAAAATAAGGCCAAGTACCTTCGCTTCTCTGAGCCTTTCTTCCTTAAATTCTGTAAAATGGCCAGTTATGAGTTTAAGTATGTAAAGTAACTAGCTTAGTGCCTGGCATGTAGAAAGTACTCTATAAACCATAGTTCCTTTACCCCCTTTGTTGAGAGAAGGACTGCTATGCCTTCAAAGCCAGAAGGGACAGAGAAGAAGACAGCAGCTACTGCAGGGAGTCACCCTCCCCTTCCAGCCCTCCCTGAGTTCTAGACCTCCAGTAGAAATTGATCCTAGTGATATCCTGGGGATAGTCACCATGGAAATGACTAGGGAGAGGGGCGTTCAGTCTCTATGGTGACAGCCCAAGAAACAGGGATGTGACTTGAAAAAAAAAACGCTGGGGATCATGGAGTTCTTTCCATGGAGATGGGAAGGGGGCTTTCTGAGGCTCACATAGGGGGCAGGGGGTAGGGAAATTGGAAAAATGAAGCCATTCATCTCTATGGCAACAGATGGAAAAGGAGTGGAGTCACTGAAAGAACAGTTGACAGTGAAGCTTTCTATCTCTGATGCTAGAGGGCTGTTACAAGTTCACTTAGACCTATTTAAATTTTTTAAATGTCCCCCCATGTGCCATATAAATTCATCTTTCATGTCACCAGTATGCCTCTACACTTTGGGAAAACTAGACCACTGTATCTACTATAGTCTCTCTTCAAACAGTTACGGGGAGGAGTTAAGACATTGTTTATCTGAATTCTTTGGAAATAAGTGCTTTATAAATGGGGGGCATGGAGCAGCCCCAGCTTACCTTTCATGATTCATGAGGGCAGGGAGTTTGTCTGTCTCATTCACTCCAGCACTTTAGAACGGTGTCTCACACATAGCAGGCATTCAGTAAATGTATGTGGAATAAATTAACCATCCTCTTCTTGTTGCCCCCAACTGGAAGTTCCAAGAATATAAAAGTGCTTCAAGTTCCCTGCATATGCTATCACCATTTAAGACTCAGTTTAGGAGCTAGGCACTGTGGCTCACATCTGTAATCCCAACACTTTGGGAGGCGGAGGCAAGAGGATCGCTTGAGGCTAGGAGTTTGAGAGCAGCTTGGGCAACATATTGAGACCCCTGTCTCTACAAAAAAATAAAAAAATAGCCAGGCAGGGTGGCACACGCTTGTGGTCCCAGCTACTTGGGAGGCTGAGGTGGGAGAATCACTTGAGCCCCAGAAGATTGAGCTGCAGTGAGCCAGGATCACACCACTGCATTCCAGCCTGGGTAACAGAGCTATGAAGTCCCTAGCTAGGCTCTCCTCCTGGATGTTTCTGTCAGTCATACCCTCCAGGTATCACGATAACAGCATTTGCTTCATTACATTGAATTCATGCGTTTGTTTGTCTCTGTCCTCACCTAGCTGTTAGAGCCTCAGGAGCAATGACTATGCATATTTATATCCCAGCAGTTAGCACAGTGCCTGGCACTCCAAAGGTCCTCAATAAATATTTAATTAACATAAATGCCTTTCTCTTACTTATCAAGTCTGCACTCTCCTGGCAGACTGTACATCCTCCATAATATGAGCCAGCCTACTGATTCAATCTTTCTTCCATTTACTTTCTAGCACATATGTGTTACATTTTCATTTCTTTTATTCTTCACTAGGTCTATAATTCACCCCTCTTCTGTAGTAGAGTGTGGTGGTTAAAAGCATGGGCTCTGGAATCAGATCTGGATCCAACAGAGTTGGGTTCAAATCTCAGCTGAATGTAACACTATTGGGCCAGTTACTTTAACCTCTATGAGCCACAATTTCCTCATCTGTAAAACAAGATGCTGTGGTTTGAATGTTCCTTCCAAAGCTCATGTTGAAATTTAATGGCCAATGTAACAGTATTGGAAGATGTGGCATTTAAGAGGTGAACAGATGAATGCTGTTTTCATGGGGGTGGGTTAGTCATTGAGGGAGTGGGCTCCTGAGAAAAGGATGAGTTCAGCCCAATTTCCTCTGTCTTCTGCACACACTCACCATGTGATGCTTTCCTACATGGGATGAGGCCCTTACCAGGTGCCAGCAGCATGCTCTTGGACTTCCCTGCTTCCAGAACAATGAGCCAAATAAATCTTTTCTTTATAAATTACCCATTGGTAGTATTCTGTTATAGCAGCAAAAAAAAAAAAAAAAAAAAAGGACCAAGAAACTGCGGTATAACAGCACCTATTTCTTATGGCACTTCACTTGTGAGGTTTTTTTTATTTTTCTATTTGTTTATTTATTTATTTATTTTTTTTTTTGAGATGGAGTCTGGCTCTTGTCACCCAGGCTGGAGTGCAATGGCGCAATCTTGGCTCACTGCAACCTCCACCTCCCAGGTTGGAGCGATTCTCCTGCCTGAGCCTCTCAAGTAGCTGGGATTACAGGCACCTGCCACCACGCCCGGCTAATTTTTTTTTGTATTTTCAGTAGAGACGGGGTTTCACCATGTTGGCCAGGCTGGTCTTGAACTCCTGACCTCAGGTGATCCGCTCACCTTGGCCTCCCAAAGTGCTGGGATTACAGGTGTGAGCCACCTCACCTGGCCACTTGTAAGGATTAATTAAGAAAATGCATGTGGAGGGAGTGAAAGATGGCTTCCCTCCACTCTTCCAGGTTCTGTAGGTGGCCTATGAATTAAATGGACATAAGACAGATTAACAGTAGAAGAAACATTAATTACATACATATGCACAGGAATCCCACAAACTATGAGACTTCAAGAAGGGTCAGATGATTGAAGCTTATCCTGAGCTATAGGAAGGAATAAGGGCTTGAGGTTTCTAGGGAGTGGTGGCAACACAAGTTAGGGGAGGGTAAGGGAAGGAAATGTTTGGTGAATAAATGTTGTTTTGTTAGGCAGACAAAAAGTCTCTCAGCTAATAAAAGTCATTCCAGAGCAGCCCTCAGAAAAATAGGTGATAGTCGGCCTGGGTGTGGTGTCAACCTCCAGTCTCCTGTGATCGTGGTTGAACCCTCCCTGGGTTTCATGACAATTAAGTTCCTTTTGGAGGAGCCAGCTTTAGGCAGATAAGGGGAGCTCAGAGACAGCCTCTGCCTGTATCCACTGTTCCCCAAGTGCCCTCAGTTCAAATAATCAGTATACCAAAGCAACATATTTTGAGGTGGCATTTCCTGAACTCCTCCATTTCCCCTGTCTGAAACTTCCCTGGAAGTTTCACACACTAACAGCTGAGTTAATGGCTGAGAGAAAAATTGAGTTAGTAGCTGAGTGGTAAGAGACCTGAGAACAGGTCAGTCCACCTAAACAGTTGTGTCTCATTTCAGGAGGTTTGTTGCAGGTGAGTTCCCATCAAAGTTAGGCCTCTAGATGATGCAAACAGGTATTTAATAAGAGACATTTCTATGGAAACAAAAGAAATACAAAGGTTAATGTTTGAAGCAGTCTATAAAGTAGTTTTTTCTTTTCTTTCTTCTTTTTTTTTTTTTTTTTTTTTGAGACAGGGTCTCACTCTGTCGCCCAGGCTGGAGTGCAGTGGTGAGATCTCAGCTCACTGCAACCTCCGCCTCCTGGGTTCAAGCGATTCTCATGCCTCAGCCTCCCAAGTAGCTGGGATTACAGGCGCCTGCCACCACACCTGGCTAATTTTTTTGTTTTTTTTGTTTTTATTTTTAGTAGAGATGGGGTTTCACCATTTTGGCCAGGCTGGTTTCGAACTCCTGACCTCAATTGACCTGCCCGCCTCCGCCTCCCAAAGTGCTAGGATTACAGGCATGAGCCACTGCACCCAGCCTCTATAAAGTAGTTTCTGAGTCTGGAGGGCAACCAGTTGAGAAGATTTCTAGATATTAAACTTCAAGCATTTTCAGTTGGAGTAGGGGCAGGCAGTGGCAATATGACCTATTTTCCTGGTTTGCAGTTGGCATCAAGTGTTACAGTGAACTTTCCGAGTAGTCCATACATCAACAGGCACAATGCTTATCCATGTGTAAGTTGTGGTGATTTCTCTGACATTTATATCAAGTCATACAGCTTCAGCTTTCAGGGCTTCAGGAAAGGGCAGTTTTAATTTCAGAAATTACAAGTCATCAGGGTAGGAGAAAAATTGGAAATATTAGTTTGCAGAGTCATAGCCAGACACTGGAGAAACTAGAAGAATTTAAAATGTAGTCTAGTTTACAGGTAAATAATAAATCCTCAAAAAGAATGAACTAAGATCTAATAATGGGTGCACTGTAATTTTCTTTTGAAACATAATTTTTCTCTCTACAGTCACCCCCATTTCTACCAAAGATAATCACAGTAAGACCAATTTATTTACAAAATAACTTATTTTCATAAAATTTGGCCTGATTATTTACATAAGTGCTTCAAGAATGGTGATTGAATTAGCCAGGCATGGTGGTACGTGCCTGTAGTCCCAGCTACTCAGGAGGCTGGGGTGGGAGAATCATTGAACCCGGGAGGCGGAGGTTGCAGTGAGCCAAGATCGCGCCACTGCACTCCAGCCTGGGTGACAGTGAGAACCTGTCTCAAAAAAAAAAAAAAAAAAAAAAAAAAACAGTAATTGATCTTACAGTCTCTTTTAAGTCTGGAACTTTTAATAAGGAATTACAGATTGGACTTTTGGAAGCCTCTTGAGGCTATAAAGCCAAACTGAAGACTCATCATCAAACTTTGCCTGTAATATTTGTAGATTTGTATGAATTCCTCTCTTCTCAAGGTCCCCAAAATATTTTGAGGTTCCTGGGCTTGCCAGGAAATAACCTACCTGTAAGGCAGCAAGATGAATTGTGTGTTCAAGATACCAGGCCAGTTTTTTTCCCCAAGGGCTTTATTGGTTCTATAAAGTCAACCTTAGTTCCCTAAAGTTATCTAGTCATATCAGAAAATATGACATTTCCATCAAGCCTTGATAATATAACCAGTGTCTCCAATTGTGTCCTATTACAAAGAAAACAGACTCTTATTGAACTTATGCAAATAATTATACTGCCATAAAAAATAAGAATATTCAAAAATAGTTTCCAAATTCTGGAAGGATCAGGTATGGAGAAAAAGGTAAATGTTGCAATTCTATTTACAAAAGTATAATTTGCCAAATTTTGTAAGTTATAGATAGCTTAAAAATGTTTAAGTTTCTTTAAATTCAGTAAACAAAATATAAAAAGAATCAGCAATTTTTTTTTTTCTTGAGACAGAGTCTTGCTCTGTCACCCGGCTAGAGTGCCGTGGCGCAATCTCAGCTCACTGCAACCTCCGCCTCCCCAGGTTCAAGTGGTTCTCCTGCCTCAACCTCCCCAGTAGCTGGAATTACAGGCACCCGCCACCACGCCCAGCTAATTTTTGTATTTTTAGTAGAGATGGGGTTTCACCATGCTGGCCAGGCTGGTCTCAAACTCCTGACTTCAGGTGATCCACCTGCCTCGGCCTCCCAAAGTGCTGGGATTACAGGCGTGAGCCACCACATCCAGCCAAGACTCAGCAATGTTTTAAACAAAAAGTCATTTTAAAAAATTTAATCTTTTTGTCAGTTCAGTTCCATGTAATTAATTCTCATTCTGCTTGATGTTAAGTTACTAGTTTCATGAGCCCATCAGTTTCTTCGTTACAGTTCTGGAAATTCTTACCCAGTCCAATGGTATGATCGTAAAGTTATCATAAACCTGTATCCCAGAGTACAGAGTACTGTATCATTCATTTAACAAGAGTCATAATTAAGACTTCAAAGGCAAATAAAGAATAGCCTTAGCTCTTATAATAGATAGGACTCTGTTTTCTTTTAAGTAGTCAAAGACCTGATAAAAGACAACATGAAGCACAGGAAATTATTTTGATAAGTAACAAAAATCTTTTCATTTAGGCAGATCACTCAAAAGGTAAAAACAAATCTTTCACTGTCTCTCATCACTACTATAAGAAAATCTTGTCATTTTAAAGGAGAAGACCAATTCTAGTTTTGCCATCAGTGTACTTTTGATATTAAGGCTCATTTTTAAAACGCTTATAACAAATTCATTAAATTTTAGTCAGTTTGACCACACAAGATTCTCCCTCACTTACTCTCTCTCTTCCCAATTTTACATCCATTAAATTTTTGTCCATCTTTTCTTCATTTGTTCTGAAACAATCTTTAAATAACCTCCCAACTGAACAAAATTATCTTTCTGTAGAAAGTAGAAAAGTTCGTCTTCAAAGCTTATCTTGGTTTAAAAATAAAATAATAGACACTAGGAATAATAGCTTCTTACTCTAAAGCCTCCTATCAACTATCAGTTCTTATACTTTAGCCCCGTTAGCTGCTTTGGCTTACCCGGGCATGTCTGGACAGGCCCAGGCAAGTCTTAGCTTATAGCTTACAGCCCTTCCTCATTTGGAAATGTTATTGCTTCCTTAAACCTTTCATAAGCAACTTCCTCTCCTTCTTTGTTCCCCCTTGCACTTACCTATTTAGGAAAGATTTAGGCTATCAGCAAATCGGGTATCAGTTTAAGACTGTGAGGTCCAGCTCCAGCCAATGGATGCAGGACACAGCAGTAAGGACAACCCAAATGTGTAAGGGATAAATATGTCTTCTTTTCCTTTGTTCAAGTGTGCTATCACCATTGTTCCATCTGTGAGAGGCACCCTTTCTGCAGAAAGTAAAAATGGCCTTGCTGAGAGAATTAAATTTATGTTCAAGTGCTATTTCTTTGCAGCACCAGGGAACAAGCATTTCTAACGCTTTCCCTCAACAACAAAAAAACACATTCACATACCGTAGATCATCTTTCTTTGTACATTTTGTATACAATGTTCTCTTATTTCTAGTAGTTTTGATTACATGTTAGGATTTTAAGTCTTAGTAACCGATATAGTTTGACCCTGTCCCCACCCAAATCTCATCTGGAACTGTAATCCCCATGGTGTCAGGGGAGGGACCTGTAATCCCCATGTGTCCAGGGAGGGAAGTGATTGGATTATGGGGGCAGTTTCCCCTATGCTGTTCTTGTGATAGTGAGTGAATTCTCACAAGATCTGATTTTTTTTGTTTTGTTTTGAGTCTTGCTCTGTCACCCAGGCTGGAGTGCAGTGGCTCAATCTAGGCTCACTGCAACCTCCACCTCCCAGGCTCAAGTGATTCTCCTGCTTCCAACTCCCAAGGTGCTGGGATTACAGGCACATACCACCATGCCTGGCTAATTTTTGTATTTTTTTAGTGTTGACAGGGTTTCGCCATGTTGGCCGGGCTGGTCTCGAACTCCTGGTCTCAAGTGATCTGCCCACCTTGGCCTCCCAAAGTGCTGGAATTACAGGCGTGAGCCACTGCATCCAGCCTCGAGATCTGATGGCTTTTAGAGTGGCAGTTTTTCCTGCACTCTCACTTCTTCCTTCTGCCACCTTATGAAGAAGGTGCCTCATTGTAAGTTTCCTGAGGACTCCCCGGCCATGTGGAATTGTTGAGTCAATTAAATCTCTTTCCTTTATAAATTGCCCAGCCTCAGGGAAGTTCTTTAGAGCAGTGTGAAAACAGACTAATACAGTAACCCTAATTCCTAGTGTAAACCTAGGAAGTAAGCAATGTTGAACTGTCATGTACTAGCACTTTATTAATACACATTTCATAATTTTTGCAAACATGTTTTCTGCTAGAACAATTTTTCATTGTGGAACAGGACATACTTACTAACAGATCCAAAATATATTTTGTACTTCTATAGAATTCAAGAAGCCGAAAGTAAATAAACTTATGTTCAGAAATTAATGTTTTAGTATTTTATCTTATTTGGAAATGATCTGGATGTTCAGTGAATAGCCACCATTCAATTTAACTTAGCAAAACTCTGTAGGTAGGAGTTACCAAAGAGATTTGGGAAACTTTTTAAGTAAACATATAATAAAACATAATTATTGTTTAAGTTTATTTATAAATTTTATTTACATCTTATTTAATTTACTCATTCTTAACAATCATGTTTGGATTACTCATGAAAATTTCATGAGACATTAGACAAAACTAGCCATCAACTCAAGTTATTTCACTATTAACTTTTTCTTTTTTTGTTTTTGAGACAGAGTCTCACTCTGTAGCCCAGGCTGGAGTGCAGTGGTGCAATCTTGGCTCACTGCAACCTCCACCTCCTGGGTTCAAGCAATTCTCCTGCCTCAGCCTCCCTGGTAGCTGGGATTACAGGTGTGCGCCACCACACTCAGCTAATTTTTGTATTTTAGTAGAGACGGGGTTTCACCATGTTGGCCAGGCTGATCTCAAACTCCTGACCTCAAGCAATCCACCAGCCTCAGCCTCCCAAAGTGCTGGGATTACAGGCATGAGCCACTGTGCCTGGGCACTATTAACTATTTTTACAGCATATGCATGTCAGGCAGTCATCACCAAAGCAAATTACATGGGTGTTTTTTTAATTTGTTTGTTGGTTTGTTTCTTGTTGACAGCTCAGAAGATGCAGCTGTTTTCATTAAACCAACAGTAACAAGCTAGTCTTATTTACCAAAGATTTACCCAAGTCACATAAACTTGAAAAATATTTGAGTTAGTTATCATATTTCTAGCAGTTTTAGTTTTTCATTTATATAAGCACTCATTTACCTCTAAGCCAATTTGGTTTTTGGTTTGTTTGAGACATGGTTTTGCTCTCTCAGCTAGGCTGGATGTACTGCAGTGGTGCGATCACAGCTCACTGCAGCCTCATCTGCCAAGCTCAAGCGACTCTCCCACCTCAGCCTCCCAAGCAGCTGGCACTTGCAGACACACACGACCATGCCCTGTTAATTTTTTTTTTAAGTAGACACAAGGTCTCACTATGTTGCACAGGCTGGTCTTGAATTCTAGAGCTCAAACAATCCTCACATCTCAGCCTCCCAAAAGAGTTGGGATTACAGGCATGGGCCACCATTCCCAACCAATGTCTACAGCCAATTTGAATAGAACTCCTTTAAGAGATTTTATACCATGGGCCTGGTGCGATGGCTCATGCCTGTAATCTCAGCACTTTGGGAGGTTGAGGTGGGCAGATCACTTGAGCTTAGGAGTTCAAGACCAGCCTGGCCAACATGGCGAAACCCAGTCTCTACTAAAAGTACAAAAATTAGCCAGGACTGGTGGCAGGCCCCTGTAACCCCAGCACCTTGGGAGACCAAGGCGGGTGGATCACCTGAGGTCAGGAGTTTGAGACCAGCCTGGCCAACATGGCAAAACCCTATCTCTACTAAAAATACAAAAGTTAGCCGAGCGTGGTGGCATGCACCTGTAATCCCAGCTACTCTGGAGGCTGGGGCAGGAGAATCGCTTGAACCTGGGAGGCGGAGGTTGCAGTGAGCCGAGGTCACACCACTGCACTCCAGCCTGGGTGATAGAGCAAGACTCCATCTCAAACAAAAAATTAAGAGATTTTTATATCATGTAGACATAACATGCAAACATGCTTGTATACACACATCCATAAGCATACATAGACATACAAACAAACACAAATAAAGATCTTATGGCATTTTACTTTAAAAGTTTTAGTCATGAGGCAGTAAAATATAGTAATATAAACTCACTGGTTTATCCCCTCATATATTTTTATGTAAATTGTGTTTCTGACCCCCAAAATTAGAACAAATTAAGGTTACCTGCTCACATGGCTGAAGCTTTTTTTTTTTTTTTTTTTTTTTTAAGATGGAGTTTCACTCTGTCACCCATGCTGGAGTGCAATGATGCAATCTCGGCTCACTGCAACCTCTGCCTCCTCGGTTCAAGGGATTCTTCTGCCTCAGCCTCCCAAGTAGCTGGGATTACAGGCACCCACCACCACGCCCAGCTAATTTTTGTAGTTTTTAGTAGAGATGGGGTTTCCCATGTTGGCCAGGTTGGTCTCCAACTCCTGACCTCAGATAATCCGCCCGCCTCAGCCTCCCAAAGTGCTGGGATTACAGACATGAGCCACAGCACCCAGCCAGCTAAAGCTTTTTACTGTTAATAGAAAAGACTTTTAAGATTTTTTTTCAGGCCAGGCACGGTGGTGCACACCTGTAATCCCAGCACTTTGGGAAACCGAGGCAGGTGGATCACCTGAGGTCAGGAGTTTGAGACCAGCCTAACATGGTGAAACCCTGTCTCTAACAAATACAAAACAAATAGCCAGGCGTGGTGGCACATGCCTGTAATCCGAGCTACCTGGGAGGCTGAGACAGGAGACTCGCTTGTACCTGGGAGGTGGAGGTTGCAGTGAGCCGAGATCGTGCCATTGCACTCCAGCCTGGGCAACAACTCCGTCTCAAAAAAAAAAAACAAAAACAAAAAAAAAAAGATTTTTCAGGTTTTTGTTGTTGTTGTTGTTTGTTTATTGCTGAGAATCATCTTCCTAAAGTTTGCATTTCAAAAGGGATAGTTCTTGGATAAGACAGAGTAGAAAATTACATCTCAAAGGCACAGAGAAAGAATGTAAGTTTTCACCAAGAAGGAGGGGGCATATTTGCCTATTAGAGGTCTAGTTTAGTTACTTTTTACAGTTTTCTTTCCTTTTCTTAAATGTAGAACTGTTCTGTTTCCAATGTTCTAATTTTTTAAAGTATCTGCAGACATCTTGAGATGAATAGGTGAAGTTTGGAGATTGATAATAAGGATAGGTGGGCTTTGAATTGCTTCTAGAGGCACATTCATGTTTTTGTAAGGACTCAATTTGTAAGACAAGGACAGTTGTTTTTAATTCCCCCCAAAATTAGGTTGCAGGCTGAATTATATCAAGGGGTTGACCAATCCATCTAATTACATTATCTATAATTTGCTCCTTTATATCAGGGAGATTTCCAACTAAGATGGAAATTAAAAGATTCCTCTGTTCTAGATTTACAGCTGTTCATCTTTGGAATGTTTTAATAATCTGTTTTCTTTCTTTCTGAGTATATAGTTCCATTTTAGCTCAAGAGAGAAGGCCAGAAAAAAAAAAGTTCCTCTTATGCTCTGGATATATATAAACCAATGTTCTAAACCAAAGGTATACCTAATAGATCACTCAAACCAAAACTAATAAGCCTCTTTTGGCTTTAACCATGGACATATGAGGCATCTCCAGAGAGGGAGCAAGAAGATGCAGCCCTTCCAAGACACAAAGCCACTCCCAAAGACAGCCAGAAGAAAACCTTAAGACGATGATCCTGAGAGCCGGCAACAGTAGGTACATTAGCCTCAAATGGGGCACAACCCACATTCCTGTCCAGCCATATTTTGGGGTGCTCCCAACCTTTTGGTTGGCTGCCTGTACATGCAAGCCTGATAACCCATGTGCCCCTAATAAGCAGAAAGTTAAACCAAGTTCTCAAGACACAAAAATGAGACAAACAGGAAAACAATAGCTGTTCACGAGAGAGAAAGGATCACTAACAAATGGGTACTCCAAAACCAAAAGTCATAATTCAAAGCAATTCTTACAAATGTTTCTCTCCTTAGCTAAAGGAATGTAATGAGGAAATGGAGCCAGATTTGAAGGAGGGGAGTTTTAAATTAGGACCATGAGATCCAAAAGATATTTTGAAGGGTGAGGGACAGGGAATTGGGGAAGTATAAGAGGGCAGAGAAGTAAAATTTACAATGAGTTAAAAGGATTTTAACTTTGTTCTAATCTGATTTCTGCTTTTTGATCTTGCTAAGGGTGTCTCTAAAGTTAGCTGTTATACCTCTTTATGTCCTTTTTTCAATTTGACCTTCTCATAGGTACCAATAAATAGTTGTTTAGAACAGCCCTCTGAAAATACATTTTTTTAATATAGCCAATTCATTTATCCTAAAAGTGACTCAACCAATAACTCTTTTCACAGAAACATGTAGAGTTAAACCAAAAGTTATTCTAACTCTCCAGATTTAGAATATGTGACCTGAGAGACCAAAATAGATTCCCTTTTATCAACTAAGATGTACCCTAAGGTTAAGAAAATAAAACTTACCTGTATTAGTCTGTTCTCGCATTGCTATAAAGAACTACCTGAGACTGGGTAATTTATAAAGACGTTTAATTGGCTCACGATTCTGCTGGCAGTACAGGAAACATGATGCTGGTATCAGTCTGGCTTCTGGTGAGGCCTCAGGAAACTTACTATCATGTCAGAAGGCAAAGGGGTAGCAGGCATGTCACATGGTGAAAGCAAGAGCAAGAAAGCGAGGGGGAGGTGCCACACACTTTTAAATGTTCAGATCTCACTTGCTATCATGAGGAAAATACCAAGGGGGATGATGTTAAACTATTCATGAGAAATTCACCCCCATAATCCAATCACCTCCCTCCAGTCCCCACCTCCAGCAATGGGGATTACATTTCTTTATTTTATTTATTTTTATTATTTTATTTTATTTATTTATTTATTTATTTTTTGAGATGGAGTGTTGCTCTGTTGCCCAGGCTGGAGTGCAGTGGCACAATCTCGGCTCACCGCAACCTCTGCCTCCGAGGTTCAAGCAATTCTCCTGCCTCAGTCTTCCAAGTGGCTGGGATTACAGGCACCTGCCAACACATCCGGCTAATTTTTGTATTTTTAGTAGAGACGGGGTCTCACCATGTTGGCCAGGCTGGTCTAGAACTCCTGACATCAAGTGATCCACCTGCCTCGGCCTCCCAAAGTGATGGGGTTACAGGCGTGAGCCACCACCCCCGGCTGGGATTACATTTCAATATTAGATTTGGGTGGGGACACACATCCAAACTATATCACCCACAGAATGTGGGATGCCTCCAGTCACAAACCTCCTGGTCTGTAACACTAGGCAAGTGATATTGGGATGGGAATTTCCAAGCACTAACCAAGCAATGAAGATTAAAACAACAAAAGCCCCTTATGGACTGGGACTGCTTATTGTGACAGACTCCCCTGAAAGCTGACATGGCCAGTCAAAGAAAATGCTGCTTGCCACTTCTTGTCTCAGGTTCCAACCTGTTTGACTGGCTGCCTGATGCAAGCCCATACTTGAGCCCCACTCCAGCAGATGGCAGATATCAGAGAGAGTGTTCTCTGGTCAGAAAGCCAAGCTCTCAGGACATAAAACAAGATGAAAGGAGAACCTCATCAGTTTATTTGTCTCTGGGACCCACACCAAAGTTTGTCTAAACTGACACCACTTTGGTGAGAACCTTAAACTCACCAATCTGTGAGGCCAGCTTGAACAACAGGTTTATAAGGGCCTGTGCCCATGTTCTGCCCTATGATTCTACTCCTCATGACACATGACATGAAAGACAAAATAAATGAAAAACAAAGACCATATCTGGGAAGAAAGGGATCAGAAAACAAGAATATTCATAATCCCCTCCCCCAAATACTAGAATCCATATGCAGGAACTACTTCAGTGGCCAGGCACAGTGGCACATATCTGTAATCCCAGCACTTTAAGAGGCTGAGGTGGGCAGATCACTTGATGCCAGGAGTTTGAGACCAGCCTGACCAACAAGGCAAAACCCCATCTCTATTAAAAATACAAAAATTGGCAGGATGTGGTGGTGCACACCTGTAATCTCAGCTACTGGGGAGGCTGAGGCATGAGAATTGCTTGAACCCAGGAGGCGGAGGTTGTAGTGAGTCAAGATCATGCCACTGCACTCCAGCCTAGGTGACAGAGGGAGACTCTTATCAAAAAAATAAAAAGAAAGAAAGAACTAGTTCCTACACATTTCTTCTGCTAATCCAAATTTAGAAAGGGTAAGACAAAGGGACTCTTAACACTCTTGCTTCAACCAGACTCTGAAGGAAGAGACCTGAAAACCTGCTGTGGTCAGAAATCTTACCTGTGGCTAGCATTTTCGTCAGGGGTCTCAGGATCCTATAGTTTCAGCATTTGTGGAGTGAGCTGGTCCCTGCCAGTGAGGCCCTGGGTTGGGTGCCAACTATAGGGGAGCAAAAATAGGCTTTCCTCCACCCTTCTAGGTTCCTTGGCTGGGCTATGAATTAAATGGATATAAGACAGATTAACTGGATTTTGAAAACCTATTTCATTACATACATATGTATGGGAATCCCACAAATTATGAGACTTGTAGAAGGGTCAGATTATTGTGTTATAGGACCAACAGGTTTGTATGCCCACTGTGCAGTAACATACCAATACACTGAAACAGAAGGGTTTGCAGCAGAGAAAGAGTCTAGTGATTGCATGGCACCAAGTGAGGAGATGGGAGGAGACCCTCAAATCAATCCTCTCAAGGAGTTCTGGGCTGGGGTTTCTAAGGGGATCATGGAGGGTGAGGGGGCTGGAAAATTGGGGCCATTGATTGCTTGGGGTAAGGGGGATGAAATAATCAGGATGTGTAAACTGCATTCTTTGGTGAGTCAGCTTCTTGTGGGGTTCTTCACCCCAGCTGATGTTAGTAGTTTCACTGGCATACAGGACCTGAAAGAATATCTCAAATGGAAAACTTAATACTTTATAATGTTCAAGTTGTGCACTGTATTATCATTATGTTCATCAAGCATGAGTGAATTAGCACCTTATGGTTATAAATGTTGACTCATAATATTCAATTTAATCCAGCTACAATTGACTTGGCTGGGTTCAGGCTCCCACCGTGCTGGATCATAGCATCCCCAAATTTTAAAAATACCAAATGCATGACAGTGCTCCCATGAGTGATCATGAGGTGATTAGTTATTGTTCCATTGAGATGTCTTATTTAAGGGGAACAAGCTGGCAATCTTAGTGTCCATGGCCCTGAAGAACCAGATGCCAGGTTTAATTTCAGTATAAGTCACACCTAAGTGTTATGGGCCTGGAGCAAGGAAGGTAGAACTTCCCGAGTGGGTTTCTAATTTCTCAAAGCTTGGTAGTTTAAGAAGGTGAATTGGAGGTGATAAGCGTGTTAACAAGGAATTATTTGACTTGGATGTGCTATGTACCATAAATGACTGAACGTCTTATGTAATATTAAGGATTTGCTGTACTGGACAATGGGCGTGTATGCAAATCTGTCCTTGTGGTATGTTCAATAAATGTATGATAGGTTATTATGGCATTATTGTTCTTGCTGGATATTCATGGAAGTAGGAATTTAATGTATGATAATACATCAATGTACAATGTATGATTAAGCATATATGATACTGGTACATTAATTCTTGGGGTCGAGCAGGAATGCACAATGTACATAGTTGTACTATTAATTTTTGTGGATTCTTCAATACTGACATAGCAGTTAAAATAAAATTACTGTACTCCCAAGTAGAGAAATCAGGGGATAGTTAAGGTACAACTTAAGCTTTGGGTGCTAGTGGTGAAGCAGGAAGCTTCCTCCTTGAAATTGTCCTGGGGAGGAGGGCCCTCCATTTTTGGTTTACAAGACCAAAGTAATTTAATTATACTACAAGGACTTCTTCATTTGGGTAACTTGTTTTCTATTAGACTAGTGAGTGACATGAAAACAAGGATGAGGGAAAAATATGCAATAGATGCTGCTTAGCCGATGATGATGAAGGGGTGTTGGACAGCTTGGCCTCTGATTCATGTAAGCTTAAGAAGGTCTGCTACTAAAACTCAGCATAAGCATTGACTTAATGGTTGAAATATCATGCTTCGCTGCTTGGATATGTGAAGTATTGGAAAAATAGTTAGGATACGAATGAAGAGGACAAAGGCCAGTACCCCTCTTACTTTGTTAGGGACAGAATGTAGAATTGTGTAGGCAAACAAAAAGTATCACTCTGGTTTATTGTAGGATGGTGTATTGAGGGTATTTGCCAGAGTCTAGTTGGTCAGGTGAGAATAAATAGGTCAGATGAGAATAAAGTAGTAATAGAAGAAAGGGGATCAGGCTTAAGATGTCTTTGTATAGTAGGGGTGAAATGGAATTTTGTTAGAATCTGATGAAACTCCTGACAGATTGTTAGATGCTGTCTTGTGGAGAAATAAAAGGTGGACAGCTACTAGGGCTACAATAACAAAGGGTAAGATGAAGTGAAGGCGAAGAATCGTGTGAGGGTGGCCTTGTCAACTGAAAAGCCCCGACAAATTCACTGCACAAGGTCAGTGCCAGTATATGGAATAACGGATACGAGGTTGTGATTTCTGTTGTACCTTAGAAGTTTATCTATCCTCATAGCAGGACATAACCTATAAATGCTGTACTATTATGGCAAATAATAAACTAATACCAATGTTTCAGGTTTCTAGGCAAGTATAAGACCCGTAATATAAGCCTCATCCTACATGTAAGAAGAAGAAGATGAAGAATATTGATGCTCCATTGGCATGTAGATATTGGATAAATCAGCCATAATTTACATCTCAACAGATGTGGGTGATGGAGGAGAATGCAGCTATTATATCTGGTATATAGTGTATGGCTAGGAACAGTCCTGTAATAATTTGTAGGGCCAGGCAGTCACCTAGAAGAGAGCCAAAATTTCATCATGCAGAAATGTTTGGTAGTGCTAATAGGTCAATAAATGAGTGATTAATAATTTTTATTAAGCAGTGGGTTTTTTGGATGTTGGTCACTAGAGTTCTTATAGTCGAAGTACTGTATTAGGGCTCTCTAGAGGGACAGAGCTAATGGAATATATATATATATATTTCATTATATATACTCCCTTTATATATATATATATATATTTATATGAGAGTTTATTAAGTATGAACTCACACGATCACAATGTCCCACAATAGGCTGTCTGCAGGCTGAGGAGCAAGGAGAGCCAGTCCAAGTTCCAAAACTGATGATCTTGGAGTCCAATGTTTGAGAGCAGGAAGCGTCCAGCATGGGAGAAAGATGTAGGCTGGGAGGCTAGGCCAGTCTCTCCTTTCACATTTTTCTGCCTGCTTGTATTCTAGATGCACTGGCAGCTGATTAGATGGTGCCCACCCAGATTAAGGGTGGGTCTGCTTTTCCCAGCCTGCGGACTCAAATGTTAATCTCCTTTGGTAGCACTCTCACAGGCACACCCAGGATCAATACTTTGTTTCCTTCAATCCAATCAAGTTGACGCTCACTATTAAGCATCACAAGTACAACGATGATTTTTCATGTCATTGGTCATGGCTAAATTCCATGTGAAAATTATGACATCGACTGTGTAGGAGTTAAAGAGGAGCTGGGCATGGTGGCTCAAGCCTGTAATCCCAGCACTTTGGGGGGCCAAGGCGGGTGGATCCTGAGATCAGGAGATCAAGACCAGCCTGGCCAACATGGCAAAACCCCATCTCTACTAAAAATACAAAAATTAGCCGGGGCGGGGGGGTGGTGGCGGATGCTTGTAATCCCAGCTACTCAGGAGGCTGAGGTCGGAAAATTGTTTGAACCTAGGAGGTGGAGGTTGCGGTGAGCCAAGATTGCACCATTGCACTCCAGCCTGGGCAACAAGGGTGAAACTCCATCTCAAAAAAAAAAAAAAAAAAAAAAAAGAACGGAAGAGCTCTCCCTCTCCCTCTCCCTCTCCGTCTCCCTCTCCCTCTCCCTTCCCCTCCCCCTCCCCCCTCCCGTCTCTGTCTCCCTTTGCACGGTCTCCCTCTGATGCCGAGCGGAGGCTGGATTGTACTGCCGCCATCTCGACTCACTGCAACCTCCCTGCCTGATTCTCCTGCCTCAGCCTGCAGAGTGCCTGGGATTGCAGGCAGGCGCCGCCACGCCTGACTGGTTTCCGTATTTTTTGGTGGAGACGGGGTTTCGCTGTGTTGGCCGGGCTGGTCTCCAGCTCTTGACTGCGAGTGATCTGCCAGCCTCGGCCTCCCGAGGTGCCGGGATTGCAGACGGAGTCTCGCTCACTCAGTGCTCAGTGTTGCCCAGGCTGGAGTGCAGTGGCCTGATCTCGGCTCGCTACAACCTCCACCTCCCAGCTGCCTGCCTTGGCCTCCCAAAGTGTCCAGATTGCAGCCTCTGCCTGGCCGCCACCCCGTCTAGGAAGTGAGGAGCGTCTCTGCCTGGCCGCCCATCATCTGGGATGTGAGGAGCCCCTCTGCCCGGCTGCCCAGTCTGGGAAGTGAGGAGCGCCTCTTCCCGGCCGTCATCCCATCTAGGAAGTGAGGAGCATCTCTGCCCGGCCGCCCATCGTCTGGGATGTGGGGAGCGCCTCTGCCCCGCCACCGTCTGAGATGTGAAGAGCGCCTCTGCCTGGCCGCGACCCCATCTGGGAACTGAGGAGTGTCTCTGCCCCGCTGCCACCCCGTCTGGGAGGTGAGGAGCGTCTCTGACCGGCTGCCCAGTCTGAGAAGTGAGGAGCCCCTCCGCCTGGCAGTCACCCCATCTGGGAAGTGAGGAGCGTCTCCGCCTGGCAGCCGCCCCGTCCGGGAAGTGGGGGGCAGCCCCCGCCCGGCCGCCACCCCGTCTGGGAGGTGGGGGGCGCCTCTGCCCGGCCGCCCCGTCTGGGAAGTGAGGAGCCCCTCTGCCCGGCCGCCACCCCGTCTGGGAGGTGTACCCAACAGCTCATTGAGAACGGGCCATGATGATGATGGCGGTTTTGTCGAATAGAAAAGGGGGAAATGTGGGGAAAAGAAAGAGAGATCAGATTGTTACTGTGTCTGTGTAGAAAGAAGTAGACATAGGAGACTCCATTTTGTTCTGTACTAAGAAAAATTCTTCTGCCTTGGGATGCTCTTAATCCATAACCTTACCCCCAACCCCGTGCTCTCTGAAACATGTGCTGTGTCCACTAAGGGTTAAATGGATTAAGGGCAGTGCAATATGTGCTTTGTTAAACAGATGCTAGAAGGTAGCATACTCGTTAAGAGTCATCACCACTCCCTAATCTCAAGTACCCAGGGACACAAACACTGCGGAAGGCGGCAGGGCCCTCTGCCTAGGAAAACCAGAGACCTTTGTTCACATGTTTATCTGCTGACCTTCCCTCCACTATTGTCCTATGACCCTGCCAAATCCCCCTCTCCAAGAAACACCCAAGAATGATCAATAAATACTAAAAAAATTAAAAAAAAAAAAGAACGGAAGAAAGAGGAGACAAACACGAAACGCTGCTTGCAGTTAAAGACAGGTTTACTTTAGATAAAACCTGAGAGGCGCTCCTGGCTGATTTTGGTCAGGAGCGCTTTCTCTTATGGACTAAGAGTATATATTGGTTTTAGGGTGAGGGGGCTTATCACAAGCTTGGAATGTTTCTGTGTGGAGAGAAGTTTCTGGCAGAGTTGGAATGTCTCTGGGAGGAGGCAAGACAAAGATGTCTTGGGGCAGACATCTTTCCTGCCAGAGGGGGCTTATCTCGAGGCTGGCATCTTCCTGGCTGGAGGGGTGTTTATCTCAGGGCTAGCATGTCTCTGGTCGAGCAGGAGTTTGGAATGTTTCTGGTTGGAGATGCTATTTGTGGTTTATGGTCATGCTGACCTTAGCCATTAGGCTGATGCCCTTTGGATTTAGGCGGTTTTTTACTAAGGTGAACTTTAGAATGAGGGGCTCATCCAAGATGGCAATGTTCCTGCTCTGTCAGACTGTATTTTTATTAAGTGCAATTTTTGTTGTGGGCTTTGTGGGTTCTTCTTCAAAGCCTTCACCTATTTATGGAGGTTTAGGGTTGATCATTAGTCGACGAGTAGGTTGTGGTATTGTGTTAAATTTTGGTGGTGCTTTTCTGGGGTTAATCTTTTTTTTAATTTACTTGGGGTGAATGATAGTGGTTTTGGAATGTACTACAGCAATGGCTACTGAGGAGTACTCTGAAGCTTGGGGCTCAAGTGTTGTTATGGGGTGCCCTGTTGTTAGGGTTATTGTTAGAATTATTTATGGTTATGTGAATAGTGCATTATGATGAGGTAGAAATTATTACTGATTATTAAAATATGGAAAATTGGGTGATTTTTAAGGGTGAGGAAGTAGGGCTTTGTGAAGATTCTGTAGGTATTGCTGCATTGTACAGTTATGGTAGTTGATTAATGGTGGTTTCCGGTTTATCTTTGTCAGCATTTTTATTGTGATTGAGATTACTTGGGGAAACAGGGTTATATGATTAAGAATAAGATTAGAAATATTGGGATAAGAAAGGAGAGAAAATAGAGTTTGGTTAGGCCTTTTTGGCTGGATACAGTGATCGAGGCTAGTTTTTAGAGCTGGGCTATATTTTTTGGTGTTGCTTTTTCTTTTCTTTTTTTTTTTTCTTTTGTTCTTCAGACGGAGTTTCACTCTTGTCGCCCAGGCTGGAGTGCAATGGTGTGATCTTGGCTCACCGCAACCTCTGCCTCAGCCTCCTGAGTAGCTGGGATTACAGACATGTGCCACCATGCTTGGCTAATTTTGTATTTTTAGTAGAGATGGGGTTTCTCCATGTTGGTCAGGCTAGTCTCGAACTCCCGACCTCAGGTGATCCACCTGCCTCGGCCTCCCAAAGTGTTGGGATTACAGGCGTGAGCCACCACACCTGACGAAGATTAAGTTCTATTGCTACTGAAAATCCTAGAATAGTTATGCCAAGGGCTGTAAGTTTTAGGAAGAGGGGCATAGTTATTTGGGGAATAGGTATAGGAGTAATATTGCTGGAGATGAAAAATCCAGCAAAAATACTACCAATTGCTAGGCATTTAATTTAGTTTATTAGAAGGGGGTTACTTTTTGTTTTTTGTTTGTTTGTTTGCTTTTGAGATGCAGTCTTGCTCTGTCACCCAGGCTGGAGTGCAGTGGCGCGATCTTGGTTCACTGCAACCACTGCCTCTTGGGTTCAAGCGATTTTGCTGTCTCAGCCTCCCAAGTAGCTGTGATTACAGGCGAGTGCCACCACGCCCAGCTGATTTTTTGTATTTTTAGTAGAGGTGGGCTTTCACCATGTTGGCCAGGCTGGTCTCGAACTCCTGGCCTCAAGTGATCTGCCCACGTCAGCCTCCCAGAGTGCTGAGATTACAGGTGTGAGCCACTGCGCCTGGCCTGAGTTATTTTTGTTGATGACAGCTAAGGTTGTAAAGCAAGGCTGTCCTAGCAGTGTGAAGAAAATAACTCGGGTACTGTATACAGCCTTTAGGGAGGTGGTGATGAGTGTAATTAAGAGGGCTCAGCCATTGGTATATGATGTGCTTGTGGTTTCAATGATGAGATCGTTGGAGTAGAAGCCTGTAAGGCATGGTATACCTGCGAGGCTGCCAATGATAAGTGAGGAGGAAGTGAAGATGTCTTGTTCATTATTTAGATTATGAATAATAGATCCAGAGCATATACACTATGGCTTTAAGAAAGTGTGAGTATAGATATGAAGAAATGCTAGGTGAAGTTGATTAATGCCAGTTGTAACTACTGAGACCTAGTTGACTCGAGGTAGAAAATGCTACAATTTTTTTGATATCATTTTGTGTTAGAGCTCAGATCGCTGTGAATAAAGTGGTGATGGCACCTAAGCATAGTGTAAGTGCCTGAATGATTATATTATTTTGTATTAAGGGGTAAAAGCAAATTAGTAGGCAGATACCTGCTACTACTATTATGCTAGAATGAAGGAGGGCAGAGATGGAAGTTGGGCCTTCCATGGCTGATGGAAGTCATGGATGAAGTCCAAATGGAACTGATTTGCCAGTTGCTGCTACTAGGAGCCCAATTAGTAGGAGGATATTGGGGTTGGGGTTAAGAATAAATATCTGTTGAAATTCTCATGTATTAGAGAATGATAGGAACCATGCTATTGCTAAGATGAAGCCAATGTCTCCAATGCGATTATGTAGAATTGCTTATAGGGCTGCTGTGTTAGCATCTGTTCAGCCACATCATCAGCTGATTAGTAGTAAAGATACGATACCTGCTCCCTCTCATCCAATGAAAAGTTGGTAGTGACTAGAATTAGTATGGTGATGAGAAATGTGAGTAAATATTTGAAGAATGATTGATATTAGGGCCTGAGTGTATATATAATATTTATTTATTTATTTATTTATTTATTTATTTTTATTTATTTTGAGATGGAGTCTCACTCTGTTGCCCAGGCTGGAGTGCAGTGGCATGATATTGACTCACTGCAACCTCCACCTCCTGGGTTCAAGTGATTCCCCTGCCTCAGCCTCCTGAGTAGCTGGGACTACAGGTACACACCACCACGCCTGGCTAATTTTTGTATTTTCAGCATGTTGGCCAGGCTGGTCTCAAACTCCTGACGTCAGGTGATCCACCCACCTCAGCTTCCCAAAGTGCTGGGATTATAGGCGTGAGCCACTGTGCCAAGCCATCATATTTAAATTCTATAACCAACCATGTGATGAAGAGTGCTACCGGTATAAATACTATTGAAAAATAATCTAGTTTAAAGCTAAGTGAGAGTTTTAGGGTTTGGGTGGTCTTTCAGTGTCATTTTGAGATGATGGTTTCCTGAAGTGGGTAAATAAATGTAGTAGTTGGAATGAGACTGGTAATGAAGTGCTCATGTGATGGAGGTTTTTATGTAGGTGAGGTAGGAGTTACTTTTGTAAATATTAGTTGAAGTAATAATAATTGGAAAAGTTAAGGTAAAGGAGGAGAATATATGTATTACTTTTATTTGGAGTTGCACCAATCTTTTTGGCTCCTAAGGCCAATGAATAGCTTCTATCCTTTAAAAGCTGAGCCTTATTGTTAGATATGGGGACATGAATTAGCAGTTCTTGCATGCTTTCTTGGTAAATAAGAAGTTGGAGGCTTCTATTATTAGACTCACAATCTAATGTTTTGGTTCAACTGTATTTACAATATATGAAGCCCAAAATCATTTTGGGGTTCAGTGACAGGAAGAGGAGAGGTAAAAGATGTATGGACATTAAGGTGTTTTCTCATGTAAAGGAAGGTTTAATGCTATTAACGTAATAGGTAAATATCCCTCATTGTGTTATAATTAATATATATATAGTGAATAGAGGGCTGTGATTAACATGTTAAGTCCTATTAACACATACTGAAGTTACATCAGGAGAATGAAGCTATAGTTACAAAAAATTCTCCAATTTGGTTGATGGTTGTGGGGAGAGGGAGATTAGTAAGACTAGCTAAAAGCCATCACACACCTATTAGGGGAGTGTTTGGAGACCTCAGTGCTGCTTGGCCCACTGGAGACCTCTGTGGCTGGCAATGCCCCTGGCTGGGCCTCACTCAGCCCTGGGCTTGCCACAGGAGGCACCCTGCTCACTCGGCCCAGTGGGCTGCACTTGGCTTGTGCTCCGGCCTGGATCCCCCACTCACTGTGGGATCCATGCTCAGCCCTCAGCTGGGCCAAGTGTGCCACGACCTGCTTCCACCTTGGGCTTAGGCGTCTGGATGAAGGGACTGTGGTGGTGCCTGAACAGGGATGCCAGTGACCTCGAAGCCGCAAAGGGGGTGTTGCAGCATGCTAACAGCTCTTTCAGTCCCACTGTCCACAGCCTGACAAAGGAGGGCATGTGGCGCTCAGCGGCTCCCTCTCCTGCTTGCTCAGCAAGCCAGAGGCGAGTGCTACAGTTACAGTTCTGTTCGCACACACCACTCAGGGGGTCCCAAGTTCTTCTCCCACATCCAAGAAGAATGAGGTTATGCTGACAGACAGTGGGTGAGCAAGGCAAACTGAGTGATGAAACAGCTCTCAGTGGAGAGGGGGACCCAAGTTGGGCAGCCCTTTTACCCAAAGTCAGGTAGGCTCCCCACAACCTGCAGGCGGGTAGTCCCAAAGTGTGAATGAGTCTGGGGCTTTTATGGACTCAGAATGGGGAAGTGTGTGCTGATTAGTTTGAGTGTGCAAAAAAAAGGCTAAAAAAAAGACACCACTCAAAGATGGGCACAACGGTGTAAAAAACTAATTAGGGAAGGGTAGGTATATGTAAAATAGGTGAAGGGTGGGGATCAATCAGAGGAAAGCACGCCAAACAGGAAGAGAGGTTCTCAATCCGGTCTGTGGATTTATTCGAGACTTGTAGCTTGGTTTTCAGACTTTAAACTGTCTTTGGTTTGAAGGTCAGGTTTCACAGGGGACCCGCCCCTGTCTGCCTAGGGATTTGTCTGCCTCCTGCTGCTATCATCAGGCTAATAGTATTGTTCAACTATGGATTCGTTCATAATTTGAGTTTGCAAGGCAAAACAGTATAGATGATGTGAGTCCATGGGCAATTATTAGGACAACTGCACCCATAAAACTTCAGGGTATTTGGATGAGGATGGCTACAGTAAAAAGTGCCATGTGGCTGCTTACAGAAGAATAGGCAATGAGATATAGAACAGTTAAGGGGAACTATAATCTTGTAACAGGGTCTACATGATTTTGAAGCAGTAGGCAGCAAACAACTATGAGGAATCAGGTCAGAGGGCAAGCTGACCTCATGAATTCAGCATGAAGCTGAATTTGCTGCGAGTTTGGTTTATTTTTTTTCTCTCCCTCCCTTCTTCCCTGATTAATTTTATGAAGTTTATAGGGATTGTTTCAATTGAAGCTTACACAGCATCCTGAACTACAGAAAGGAATAGGGGCTTGGGGCTTCCTGGGGGCTGGTGGCAACACAAGAGTTATGGGAGAGCAAGGGAAGGAAATGTGTGGTAACAGAGGTTGTCTTGTTATGCAGATAAAAAGTCTTTCAGGTAATAAAACTTCTCTCAAAGCAGCTCTCAGAAGAATAGGTGATTGTCTGGGTGTGGTGTCAGCCTCCGATCTCCTCTCCTGTGATCCAAGTTAATCTTCCCTGGTTGGTAAGATTCCTAGAGAGGGGATTCATGACAATTACATTCCTTTTGGAGGAGCCAGCTTTAGGCAGATAAGGGGAGCTCAGAGACAGCCTCTGCCTGTATCCACTGTTCCCCAAGTGCCCTTGGTTCAAATAATCAGCATACCAAAGTGGCATATTTTGGGATGGCATCTCCTGAACTCCTTCACATGTAAAGTACTTAGCATAGTCACTTGGCAGGATGTGAGCGCTCAGAGAAGGTTAGGTATTATTATGATACAAAGTTATTCATTTAACATTGAGTCTCTCCTACCTACTGGGTGGCAGGTTCTGTGCTAGAGTGAACAAAGATGAGTAAGACACTCTCCCTGGCCTTAAAGAGCTCTCAGTTTAGTGAGAGACAGGTGTGGATAAAGATAACCACAGTACAGTACTATCACAGGGGGATGAATCAAATGCTATAAGAGCTAAGAAGGAGGTAGCCTCGCCTACAGGGGAAAATCAGGAAGTGCTTCCCAGAGCAAGTGATCTTTGAGCCAAGTTATGAGTAATGAATAGAAATTTGCCAGGCACAGACAAGGAAGATGACATTCCAGGCAGAAGGTACCACCTATGTGAATGCATGAAGGCCTAAGAGAACATGATAGGTTTGGAGAACTAGGAGAGTTTGCTAAAGATTCAGCTTAGGATCCACGAAGGAACAAAATGAAAAGGATGTCAGCAGGCAGATTAGAAAGGATCTTAAAGTCATGTTATTGAGTTTGACCTTTAACAGAATGCCCCTCCGGGCCAAAGTTATTCTCTCCATTCCTCTAACACCTTGAACACACCTTTATCAAAATATTTATCAAATTAACATTTGATTATTTGTTTACCTGTCTCTTCCGTGGAACTATGGACCCCTTAAGAGCTTAAACCTCGGGTAGTGTTCGAATTCTCAATGCCTAGCATTCAGGTAGCACACAGCATGTATGGAAAGAGCAAAGGAAGGAATTTCTCCAAGGTCCCACAGCTATTCAGTAGCAGAGTTGGGCTAAAGGGATCCTCCCACCTCAGCCTCCCAAAGTGTTGGGATTACAGGCGGGAGCCACTGCACCTGGCCAGATTAATGCTTTTTATATTGTGTTACTTAGAGCCCTTGAGTCCCTCACCTGGAGTGCCACTCACTGAGCAGGTTGAGGAAGATGGGCCAGTGGCTGAGTTGGCAGGCTTCTTTGTATCCTCTTCAAATACATCAGTCCTTTTAGAAATTACAGGCTCTCTAAAACTTGTTTTGGAAAAAGAATTATGCTACTACAAAAAGTTTAAGTACCGTTATACTTTCATGATTGTTAAGTGCCCTAAACTAGGATTTTAAAAAGTCTCCCATGCACAACAGGAGTTTAATATGATAAAGTGTTTACACACAAAACACAGCAAACGACTCGTTTTTATTATTCCTTTTTTTCTTTCTTTTTTGTGAGACAGAGTCTCGCTCTGTCGCCCAGGCTGGAGTGCAGTGGTGTGATCTCGGCTCGCTGCAGCCTCTGCCTCCCGGCTCACTGCCTCAGCCTCCGGAGTAGCTGGGGTTACAGGCCCGCGCCACCATGCCCAGCTAATTTTTGTATGTTTAGTAGAGACAGGGTTTCACCATGTTGGCCAGGCTGGTCTTGAACTCCTGACCTCAGGTGAGCTGCCCACCTCGGCCTCCCAAAGTGCTGGGATCACAGGCATGAGCCACCACGCCCGGCCATTATTCCTTTTTTTCTAACCACTTTTTAATCTTGGTATTCTTTCAGAATAAGATGAAATGCAATGCTTAAAATGACAACTCTAATATATAACAGGCACTCTGAAAGTAATTGGCATCTCCCATAAAGACCGTCATTTTGGCTGGGCACACTGAATCACGTCTGTAATCCCAACACTTTGGGACGGTGAAGCGGGTGGATCACTTGACCTCAGGAGTTTGAGATCAGCCTGGGCAACATGGCGAAACCCCGCCTCTACAAAAAAATACAAAAATTAGCCAGGAGTGGTGACTTGCACCTGTAGTCCCAGCTAATTGGGGGGCTTGAGGGTAGAGGATCACTTGAGTCCAGGAGGCGGAGTTTGCAGTGAGCTAAGATCGTGCCAATGCATTCCAGCACTCCAGCCTGGGTGGCAGAGTGAGACCCTGTCTCAAAAAAAAAAAAAAAAAAAGACTAATTTTGAAAGCCATAAAAAATGACTTACAAAGTTTAAGACCAAATTAAGACTGTGCACATTTTTTTCCTCTTAAGTAACAGTAAAGACATGTTTTAATCCAAGCAAATGCAGAGAAGCAAATTATCTTTACTCTCACAATTACTACATTTCTAAGTCTCCTCCACAAGTACTATCTTTTTCTTTATATTCCCTGCCAAGCCTGACCCTGAAAGGTCAGTTTACTAGAGGTGCCAGATAAACCAAATAGGTAATTCGCCAAAGCCTCACTTCCTTCTTAGTTTATAAAGCAGGGGTTGCAAGGGAAGGTTTATTAGAATCACCTGGGAAGCTTTTTCAACCTACATGTGTGCCACAGCCTCCTCTCCCTCTTAGGAAGCACTGTTCTAGTTTGGGGCTTCAATCTGTCCCACATTAAAGGTCTTCATCTTTCTAAATCCTACCCAACTGAAGGTTAATGGAGTAGAAACAATTGAACGCAGAAGTCACTGACTTTGTCACAAACTGGCTGGACAAGTCCCTTAACCTTTCTGGTCTCAAGTTTTTCCTCCGATTTTGGGGGTTCCCTTTAAACTTTGACATTCTTCTATGTGACCGCATGTCATGTCTAAGAAGCCTTCTGAACTACTCCTAGCATGGGATGACTTGCCCTTTCTTGCTTTTCCAACAGCCTGTGCAATACAACATATCACCTATTTTATACTGTCCTATATTGCCCTCTAGTTGTTTTTTAATGAAGCTTTTTTTCTTCTCAACGATATGTAGTTTAAAATACTAGTTTAAAAGTTTATTTTCAGGGGTAGACAGTGTGCCTGCTACTTAAATCTCCTAGGACAATTCAGGCTGCGTCCTAAGGTAATCAGTATGTATTTATATTGCTTTGTTCAAAACAATGACGTCCCTTCTTTGAAGTCCTGAAATTATGTTTTCCATCAGTTCTGTCCAGTAGAAATATAATGGGAGCTACAAATATAGTTTTAAATTATCTGGCAGGCACATTTACAAAGTGAAAAGAAAGAAGTACAATTAATTCTAATAATATATTTAATCCAACATATCCAAAAGACTATCATTTCAACATGTAGTCCATGTAAAAAGTATTTACATTTTTCATTCTTTTTTTTTTAAATGTCTTTGAAATCTGGGGTGTTTTTTACACTTGCAGCACATCTCGATTCAAAATAGCCACTTTCAAGTGCTTAGTAACCACATGTAGCTAGTAACTACCTACTGAACAATGCTGTTCTGCATAAGTTGGCTGCTTTCCAAACTGATCACTTTTTTTTTTTATTCAGATAATGACTGATACTGAGTACTCAGGCTAGCCAGAGTGGTGCAAAGATGAGTCAAATTCATTCTGATAAGAGAGATTTGTAAGTCACTAGCAATTATACAGCGTGGTAGGTGCCATGATAGAGATGCATAGGAGAAACCCAGACTTGGCGGCTGAAGGGCACAGGGTGGAAGGCGGTAGAGAGACAAGGAAGGTTGCACAGAAATAACATTTGATGTAGGAACTAAGTGCACGAAGGGAAGCCGGCTGTGCGGTGACCGGAGTTGCAGGTTGCCAATCTTGCTGAGGGGGGCTCCACCGGACGCCGGCCTACGGGTCGTAGGCGTGTGTGGGGTGAAGGGGGAAGAGGACGGGAGAGGATTGGCTGGGAGGAACCCGGAGCTCCATCTGGTGGGTGGACGGAAACCGCAGGGGGGCGCTACTTGCACTTCGCGCTCAAGCGACCGGATCTTCAAACCGTGGGAGTGGTGCGGCGGCTAGAGTCCCTGGACTCCTCAACCTAGGGAGCTACTCGCGAGGTAAGGGGCGCGCCAGACTGGCTCCTAAAACGCACTCGCTCGTCCGCACTCCTCGCGCTCCGAATTCAGCCTCGCCTCACCCGGGCTTCAGAGCCCACAGAACTTCTCAGCCCCGTGTCGGCGACGAGGAGCTCATGGTAAAACAGCGCCTAGGGTTTTGCTTGTTTGTTTGCTTTTAACAGATGCCTACGACTTGTAACGGGCTGCCTGGTAAAATGAGTCTATGGAAACGGTTGCCAGGGCCGGCTAACAGCGGCTCCCGGAAGTCCTTTGATGCTTTGTTAACAGTGAAGCTACTGGACCAATGAGGTGCTTCTTCCGGTTTTGTCCGCGCTCGCCTAATTCTTCTTTATCAAGGTTGCCTTTGACCCCGGAAAAGAGATCTTCCGGGTTCCTCTCTCCCCAAGATGGCTGCTGAGGACGAGTTACAGCTGCCGCGGCTCCCCGAGCTGTTCGAAACTGGTAGACAGTTACTGGACGAAGTAGAAGTGGCGACTGAACCCGCCGGTTCCCGGATAGTCCAGGAGAAGGTGTTCAAGGGCTTGGACCTCCTTGAGAAGGCTGCCGAAATGTTATCGCAGCTCGACTTGTTCAGGTATGGGGGAAGATAGTAATAATGGCTGAGAACGAAGGTAATAATGGTTACCAAGGGTGGAGCCATTGCGCCTGAGTGGAGGGGACCTTTAGTGGTGAGAACGTTTCGTTCCTACTTACCACTGCGATCTTGTGTACATTGTTTACATTCCCCACCTCTCTTCCCAGATGGTTGATATCTTACGACTCTGCTTCCTAGCGTCTGCTGATTGCATAGGCATTGGGTGTGAGCCCTCAGCCACTTTCATTGAGTGAAACTGGCCGCTGTTCCCCGTGCCTCCTCCCTCTGGTCCACTCCCAGCCCAGCCTCCCACTCCGTCCCCCAGAAAGCAAGGGCCACAATTTGAATGCCTAGTCAGGCTTCACTGCCTCCTTTTTGCTCTTCCAGCCGAAATGAAGATTTGGAAGAGATTGCTTCCACCGACCTGAAGTACCTTTTGGTGCCAGCGTTTCAAGGAGCCCTCACCATGAAACAAGTCAACCCCAGCAAGCGTCTAGATCATTTGCAGCGGGCTCGAGAACACTTTATAAACTACTTAACTCAGTGCCATTGCTATCATGTGGCAGAGTTTGAGCTGCCCAAAACCATGAACAACTCTGCTGAAAATCACACTGCCAATTCCTCCATGGCTTATCCTAGTCTCGTTGCTATGGCATCTCAAAGACAGGCTAAAATACAGAGGTGGGTCAATAGCTATAATATGAGGCCTGCCCAATGGCGGTGCTTTTCAGGGGCATGCTTTCTTGGCGGGTGGTGGGGGGCCAGAATGGTATGTGTCACTTTCTTGGTTCTTATTGAGCATAGGCCCTAGGGAGAGCAAACTTTCCTGAGTTTTTCCAAGAAGCCTCTGCTTTTGTTGAGATGATTATACCTACTTATCAGACCCTTACTACCTTATGGTTGGCAACAGCAGCAATGTAGTTTAGCAGAGTGTCTCCCAACCTTTTCCACATCACATCATAGCAATGTTCATATGGTACAGTGGGGTAGATGTCTCTGAAAGGCAAAGCTAGGCCATTTTATGGTCCACTGATTGAGGAGCTCTGTTCAGACTACTGGAGTAGATGTGTAACATCCTGAACTGATCTTAGTCCTGGCACAGCTTCATTGTGTGACCTTGGAAAAGTTGCTTACTTTCTTAGGTTTTTTTTGTTGTTGTTGTTTGTTTTTTAAACAACATTTAATGGGTGGTCATGATGTCTAGGAACTATGCTAGGCACTGGGGATACAAACTGTATAGGTATTTGTGTGAGTATGAGTGGTCCCTGCCTTGGAGGAGCATACAATCTGGTGAGGAAAACGGGCATAGAAACAGAATATCAATATAAACTGATGTTGTGGAGGGATGCACAAGGTACTATGAGAGCAGACAGGAAGGGCACCTAACCAAAGGGAGCAGGAGAGAGGAGAAAGCTCCCTGGAAGAGGTGACTCCTGTGCTGAGTTCTTTAAGGGTAAATAGGAATATCCAGGGGAAGAGGAGAGGAGGGCATTAGCCGGCAGAGTATGTAAAGCCTTAGTAAAGCCACAGAGGCATTAAAGAAACAGTGGTGGGTGGAGATGTGTAGACCAAAAACAGCAGCTATGAGCAATTAGGTGATGGTAGAACACAAAGAGGGTGGTGGTAAGGGGGAAGGAATGATACTGAAGAATGTTGTAGGGTCCACATCAAGGAGAGCCTGGGATGTGAGGAACGTGAAGAGAAACTTGTTGCTGAGAACTTGGTAAGGTGTTTGAATCCCAGCTCGACGACTGTGATTAATCACTGTGATTTGTGGTAAGTTATTTAATCTTTCAGTACCTTAATTTCCCCAGCTGCAAAATTCAGATAATAATAGGTTCTTCCTCATAAAGTAGTTTATGAGGATTAAAAGAGAAATATATATAAAGCAGTTAGCCCAATGTTTGACACAGTAAACACTCAAAGTCAACTATTATTATTTGTGGCTAAGAGTATGGGTCATAGAGTCAGAGACCTGGGTTTGAGATCCAGCTTTACTTATAATCTGTTGGACTTTGGGGAAGTTATTTAACCTAACTGAGCCTCAGCTTTCCTCATATGTGAAATCTAAGTAATAATGGTACAGATGGTCCCCGATTTGCGATGGCTTGTCTTAGAATTTTTTAACTTTATATTGGTGCAGAAGCAATACACAGTCAGGGGAACATCAATAAATTACATGAGTTATTCAACACTTTATTATAAAATAGGCCTTGTGTTAGATGATTTTGCCCAACTGTAGGCTAATATAAGTGTTCTGAGCATGTTGAAGGTAAACTAGGCTAAGCTATGATGTTCAATAAGGTGTATTAAATGCGTTTTCAACTTACCATATTTTCCATTTATGATGGATTTATTGAGATGCAGCCCTATTGTAAGTTGAGATGCATGTGTACCTATCTCAGGGTTAATAAGCACAAATGGGAAAAATCACATAAAACAGCACAATATCTGGCATGTGGTGAGTATTCTGTAAATGTCAGCTGCTATTAGGTAGGACACGCCAAAGAGCTTACTCTGGTTGGTGACTGAGATCCACTGAAGAGTTCTGTTTCTTTTTTCTTTATTATTATTATTATTATTATTATTATTATACAGAGTTTCACCCTTGTCACCCAGGCTGGAGTGCAATGGTGTGATCTTGGCTCGCTGCAACCTCCACCTCCTGGGTTCAAGCAATTCTGCCTCAGCCTCTCAAGTAGCTGGGATTACAGGCACCTGCCACCACGCCCGGCTAGTTTTTGTATTTTTAGTAGAGATGGGGTTTTGCCGTGCTGGCCAGGCTGGTCTCGAACTCCTGATCTCAGGTGATCTACCCACCTCGGGCTCCCAAAGTGCTGGGATTACAGGTGTGAGCCGCTGTGCCCTGGCTGTTTCTTTTCAAATAGTAGCATGATCACATTTGCATTTTAGCTAGTACACTGTACCAGCAGTTAGGAAACAGTGAGGGAAAAGATTAGACCCAGTTAAGTCACAAAGGTGACTAGGGTTTACTATTGCAATGGTAGAGGGATGGGGGAGTACATTTAGGAGGGTTGAATCTACAGGAAACCTGGTGATCAATTGGTTGTGGGAGGTGAGATAGAAGGAAGCAGCAAGGAAAGATGTCCATGTTTCTGATTTAGGTGGATGGCTGTGAAATTTATTGAGAAGGGGAAAGAGGAAGAAGAGAAGATCGGGGAAGGGGAGAGTATGAATTTAGTATAGAAACATGTTGAGGTTAAGGTGCCTAGGAGATAAGTAGAGGTGTCTGTTAGTCTGAAGCTCAGAGGAGAGGCTTGGTCTAGAGAGCTGAAGATGATTCATTTATTCAGAAATATTTATTAATTGCTTCCTGTGGGGCTGTTCTAGGTGTTAGAGAACCAGATGAAGTCAGTGCTGCTATGGAGCTTTTATTCTGGTGGTAGAGACAAACAGTAAGCTAGTAAATAATGTAATTTCCGCTGGTAAGGACCATGAGGAATAATAAAGTTAGGGGATAGTGAGTGACTGAGGATATGGGCTAGACTGATACGAAATGGAATTTAACATCCTGTCCTTTGTAAGAAGTTGAGGGCGGCCTGTCAGCAGATAATAGGTAGTTTAAACAGTGAGTTTGGTATCCAAATAATTATACAAAAAAAAAAAAAAAAAAAAACTGCAAGAGAAAGATGAGGGAGTGGTCACATCTGGTTGGAGGGATGAAGAAAAGGTTTCAGAACATAATGGCATTTGACACCAGGCGCGGTGGCTTATGCCTGTAATCCCAACACTTCGGGAGGCTGAGGCAGGTGGATCCCTTGAGGTCAGGAGTTCAAGACCAGCCTGGTCAACATGGCAAAACGCCATCTCTGCAAAAAAAAAAAAAAAAATTATCCGGGGGTGGTGATGCACTCCTGTAATCCCAGGTACTCGGGAGGCTGAGGCAGCAGAATCGCCTGAGCCCGGGAGTCGGAGGCTGCAGTGAGCCGAGACTGCGCCATTGCACTCCAGCCTCAGTAATGGAATGAGACTGTGTCTCAAAAAAAAAGAACATAAATGGTATTTGAGATGAGTCTTAAAGGATGGTTAAAAATAGAAATTAGGCTGAGTGCGGTGGCTCATGCCTGTAATCCCAACTCTTTGGGAGGCCAAGGCGGGAGGATTACTTGAGCCCAGGAGTTCAAGACCAGCCTAGGCAACAAAGTAAGACTCTGTCTGTACCAAAAAATAAAAATAAAAAACTAGCCAGGTATGGTGGCACAGGCCTGTAGTCCCAGCTACTCCAGAGGCTGAGCTGAGCTGGGAGGATCACTTGTTGAGGCTGCAGTGAGCTGTGATCGCACCATTGTATTCCAGCCTAGGTGACAGAGCGAGACCCTGTCTCAAAAAAAAAAAAAAAAAAAAGATTTTTCTGAATGTAAAAGTCATAGTGCTCATTGTAGAAAGTTTGCAAAACAGAAGAATATTTTTTAAATAAAAAATAAGCCTCAATCCTAGCACTCATAGATGATCATTGTTAACTTTCTGATGTGTTTCCTTTCAGTTACATAGTTATTTAAGCTAATAAATTTGGAATGCTGTAACTATAGCTTTTTATCCTGTTTTTTTAACCTAACATTATACCATGAGCATTTCCTCGTGTCTTTTGAAACCATGATATTGAATGTTCCATGCTCTAGTTGTACCATAATTATTTAATCTGTTATTGTCAAATATTTAGACACTGGTTTTTTGCTATTCTGAGTAATGCCATAAACAAACATCTTTAAATGTATCTGTCACTGTTTCCTTA
Source organism: Homo sapiens (assembly GCF_000001405.40). Lineage (NCBI taxonomy): Eukaryota > Metazoa > Chordata > Mammalia > Primates > Hominidae > Homo > Homo sapiens. Next base: position 70,138,889 of record NC_000023.11, read on the forward strand.
GGGTAGATTTCTAGAGCCGGTGACTGGGTCAAAGTGTTTGAATATTTTGAGGCTCTTGATATGTGGTAAAAGTGTTGCTTTCTACAATAACAGAGTTTCAGAATATGTTCCACTGCATTTGTCTTGGGTGTTAATACTTAGAAAATCCAATTGGGTGGCCGGGTGCGGTGGCTCACTTTGGGAGCCTGAGGCAGGTGGATCACCTGAGGTCAGGAGTTCGAGACCAGCCTGGCCAACATGGCGAAACCCCATCTCTACTAAAAATACAAAAATTAGCCAGGCATGGTGGCGGGTGCCTGTAATCTCAGGTACTTGGGAGGCTGAGGCAGGAGAATTGCTGGAACCCAGGAGGTGGAGGTTGCAGTGAGCCGAGATCGCACCATTGCACTCCAGCCTGGGCTGGCAACAGCGAGACTCCGTCTCAAAAAAAAAAAAAAAAAGAAAAGAAAAGAAAAAAGAAAATCCAATTGGGCAAACAGAAAGTATCTATTGTTTTGATTTGCATTTCTTTGGCCTGCCGCTTTGAACGTTTTTCTTAAATGCCTGACAGATATCAACACTTAACTTTATACTAATGTCTCCCACATTCGTATTACTAGCCCAGACCCCTCCTGACCTTCAGACCCATACTTGCAACACCCTTCCTTCATGGGTGTTTCACAGACATGTCATACCTTGAACCCTTGGCTTTTTAACCCCCAAATGTGCCTCCTCACCCATCTCAGTAAGTGTACCACCATTGACTTAGGTTTTTAAACCAGAAACCTAGGATTTAGCTTCAATTCCTCACTTTTTCTGAATTTTCACATCCAGTCCATCAGCAAAGGCCTTTCCATTCCAGCTACAAAAGGTATCTTCTATCCTTCTATTTCTCTCCATCTCCACTATCATACCTCAGTCTAGGCTACCAGCATTTCTCAGCTGAGATAGACAAATCAGCTCCAAGGCCTTGTGTGATCTGCTGCCTGCCTCTTTTCAGTCTCACCATGTATCATTCTCCCCTCGTTCACTAGACTTCAGCCACAATGACCGTCTTTCAGTTCTTTGAATAGACCCAGCTCTGTCCCTCTATAGAATGTCTGTGTGTGCAGTTCTCTTTGCATGGAATGCTCGTCATATGGCTAATTCTTCATCCTCTAGGTCTCAGCTTAAATGTCACTCCTCAGGCCTTTCCAGATCAGTCTCTTTAAGTAGTTAACAACTATTATTCTCTCTTTGCTTCATGTTTGTTTCCTTCTTGGCACTTGTGTGCAGTCATTTCATGTGTCTTTCTGAGTTTTGTCTCTCTCCCCTACTACAGTATATACTCTATGAGGGCACAAGCCATTTCTTGTTCACTATGTTATGCCTGCCATAGAGCTTGGCATATAGAAGTTCCTCAAGCAATGCTTATTATTGACAAGCAGGAGAAACAAGATGAACAAAAGCCCAAAGCCAGGGTATATTTAGGTATGTTCAAAGACTACATAATAGTCTGGTTTGGCAGAAGCTAAGAGGAGTATGGTTGCAGCTCTGCATGAAGAAGTGATGTGTATATAAAATACTGAAAAAGAAGAGAGGCAGAGGGAGAAATACAAGTTAGCATGTTATAATAGTACTTTAAATAGGAAGAAGTGATAAAAAATGAAGTTATAGCTATCAGAGATACTACTTTTGCAAGAATAGTTTACATGGTTAGAAAACAAATTACTCAGATCCTTATTTACTTTCCAGAAGTCCCCCAACCCATGCCTTTAGATACTGAGGCCATCTTACATAAAACAGCTGAATGGTATGTCCTCTGTCTCAAAACCTGTTTCTTCATGTATGTCCTCTATTTCCCATATTTGAGGAGTATGAGTCTGCTTGAGTAACAGCACCTCCATCCTTTTGAGAGAAATAGAGAAGTGGACGCTGGGTAAGTAATGAGTCTAGTTTTGGATTTACTGAATTTAGGTCCTAAAGTGACAACTGGATAGTCATTTCCATAGACACATTTACTTGAAATGTGCAAGTAAAATTTATGAGACTGTTTTGTGACTGATGTGAAAAATTTAGGAGGCCTGTGCTTTCGTTGGTGTAGATGAGTTTGCCAAGGAAAAACATGTAGACAGAAAAAAAGTCAAGGATAAAACTTTGGGGCAAGTTAAGGGAGAAGGAAGAGGAAGGAAAGAGCAATCAGAAACTCAGTAAGGTGGCTGGGTGCGGTCTCTCACACCTGTAATCCCAGCACTTTGGGAGACTGAGGTGGGTAGATCACAAGGTCAGGAGTTCAAGACCAGCCTGGCCAAGGTGGCGAAACCCCGTCTGTACTAAAAATACAAAAAAATTTAGCTGGGCCTGGTGGTAGGCACCTGTAATCCCAGCTACTCGGGAGGCTGTGGCAGGAGAATCGCTTGAACCCGGGAGGTGGAGGTTGCCATGAGCCAAGATTGCGCCACTGCACTCTAGCCTGGGCGACAGAGCAAGACCCTGTTGCAAAAAAAAAAAAGAAACTCAGTAAGGTACAGGTACTTAAAGGAGCCTGGAAAAGAGAAAACAAATGTTATGTCCTCCTTGAAGCCTTTCCCTAATTATCTTCCCTCCCAGATACCATGGCATTTAGTTCATGTTACTTATCACAGTATAACTATCTGTCAGTCTCTAGACTTGAAACTCCTCAAGGTCAGAGACCTTGACTGATTGTATCTCAGTATACTAATTATGTCGTTGTATATAATTGCATCCCCTTGGTGCTTAACCCAGTAATTGGATCATAGTGGGTACTTGGAGGTGTCTTTGGGAGAGACAGAGTGGTCATAAAAAAGATGGAAGCAAAATGCTGTAGCGGAAAAAGCCTAGACTTAGGATTCAGACCTGGGGTAACTAATCCAATTTCTACCACTTAATAGATGTGGCATCATTTAGCAACCCCCCACCAGCCTCAATTTCTTTATCAGCTAACAGTGTATTGCTGCTCACAAAGCACTCTGATGTGTGTTTTTCCATTTGATCCTTTTAACAACCCCATGAAATAGACATTCTTATCCCCATTTTAGAGATTAAAAAAAAGGGGGGGGGCTCTGAGAATTGAATTGCCCAAAGTTACATAGCTAGTAAGTGGCTAGGTTAGGATTTAAACCCAGGTCTTCAAATTCCCAGTTCTAGTATCATTCCCACTGTAGCACAGAAAAGAGAAGAGTAGGCCAGGTGTGGTGGCTCATTCCTGCAATCCCAGCACTTTGGGAGGACAAGGCGGGCAGATTGTTTGAGTCTAGAAGTTCGAGACCAGCCTGGGCAATATGGTGAAACCCTGTCTCTACAAGAAATACAAAAATTAGCTGGGTGGTGGTGCACACCTGTAGTCCCAGCCACTCAGGAGGCTGAGGTTGGAGGATGGCTTGAGTCTGAGAGGTTGAGGCTGCAGTGAGCTGTGATCACACCACTGTACTCAAGCCTGGGTGACAGAGTAGAGACCCTGTCTCAAAAATAAAGAGAAGAGTGATCATTTGAAAGGGTAGAAAAATGAGTTGAGGGAAAGTGTTTCTAAGACAGGGGAAAGGCACCAGTAGAGTGAAAAACTAGCTGCTAATGACCAGGAGGATGATCAATAAATAGAGTGAGGCCCGGAAGAATGTGTGGGGGGTACTAGATTGATAACAAAAGTGGAGTGGTAAAGACATTACCTTTGGTTGGGCACAGTGGCTTGTGCCTTTAATCGCAGCACTTTGGGAGGCTGAGGCAGGAGGGTCATTTGAGGCAGGAGTTCAAGATCAGCCTGGGCAACGTAGTGAGACCCCCGTCTCTACAAAAAAATTAAAAATTAGCTGGGCATGGTGATGTGTGCCTGTAGTCTTAGCTACTCGGGAGGCTGAGGTGAGAGGATCACTTGAGCCCAGGAGCTAGAGGCCAAAGTGAGCTGTCATCACACCACTGCACTCCAGCCTGCGCAACGAAGTGAGACCAAAACAAAAAAAACACAAAGATATTACCTTGGAAATGGCTTGGTAGAGACAGAATCAGCTCCTTAAAGACAACAGTAAAAGAGGAAGAGTGAAGTTATCGAGTTGTTTTTTTTTTTTTTTTTTTTTTGTGAGACAGAGTTTCACTCTTGTTGCCCAGGCTGGAGTGCCGTGGCGCGACCTCGGCTCACTGCAAGCTCCGCCTCCCGGGTTCAAGCCATTCTCCTGCCTCAGCCTCCGAGTAGCTGGGACTACAGGCGCCCACCACCAAACCCGGCTAATTTTTTGTACTTTCAGTAGAGGTGGGGTTTCACCGTGTTAGCCAGGATGGTCTCGATCTCCTGACCTTGTGATCCACCCACCTCAGCCTCCCAAAGTGCTGGGATTACAGGCGTGAGCCACTGCGCCCGGCCGAGATGGAGTTTTTCCTTGTTAGGCCGGTCTCGAACTCCCGACCTCAGGCAATCCGCCTGCCTCGGCCTCCCAAAGTGCTGGGATTACAGGCGTGAGCCACCATTCCCGGCCAGTTACAGAGATTTTATGGTGAAGAGGGAAATTGAATTCTACATTGGCTGGCCATCTGGTGAGTGTGATGGTGATAATAGTCTTCACAAAAGATGAACGAAAGGATGGCTGAGCAAGGGTGACCACTCAGCCAAAGTTTGACAATAGTGATTTGTAGTTGACCCATTTGATACAAGTTTCTAATTCCTTAACTCTCTTCAACAGCTTGGGAACAGAGAAAGGAAATGGAAGTTGCCCAGGGTCAGAAGGGTTACAAGGATAGGGGATTCTAGGGTAACAGGGAGTATTTCCATGTAATGGCCCACCATGGAGAATCCATAACAGTGATGAAGGTCTAAGACAGTAGTTTTCCATATGTTCCTTGGAGCCCTAAAATTTCACTGCAATGCCTGGGGGTTGGGGGGGCGGGTGTTGACAGCCCTCCTGATTTAACCAAGGTAAATTTTACTTGTTTATTAATTATGGGAGTTCCGTGGCATCTCTCATTAGAAGAAAAGGTTCTTTTACTAAAACAGTTTTAAAAACACTGGCCCAAATGAACAAGTGTTGAGTTAGAAGTTTAAAAGATGATGAGCAGGCTGGGCGCGGTGGCTCACGCCTGGAACGCACTTTGAGAGGCTAAGGCAGGCAGATCATCTGACGTCAGGAGTTCAAGACCAGCCTGGCCAACATGGCAAAACCCCATCTCTACTAAAAATACAAAAATTAGCTGGGTGTGGTGGTGCACACCTATAATCCCAGCTACTTGGGAGGCTGAGGCAGGAGAATCACTTGAACCCAGGAGGTGGAGGTTGCAGTGAGCTGAAATTGTGCGGCTGCACTCCAGCCTGGGTGACAGAACAAGACTCTATCTCAAAAACAAACAAACAAACAAAGATGATGAGCAAAGTCATAGAAGCTAGGAAGTAGAAGAAAAGGAAGGAGCAGAGTGCAGTAGTTAGGCCTTAAGCATGCAGAGAATGGGAAAAGAAACAAAAGAACCTTATTCAGAGGACTACTAGACTAACCCTGAATTTACCCTGAATTATATCACCCTAAGGTCCTCGTATGTTATTTTTTTCCCGTGACTTAGGTACATCCAGGAAAGAGGGTTGGGGATAGGAGTGAGATTGGAGTTAAACATTCTCAAGTAATATCTCTGATAGCATTCATGAACTAGGAATTGTAGTTCTTTGTAGTGTTTTACTCAAAAAGCTTCTTAGGATGATGATGTGTCAGTTATTCGTAACATTATAGTAAATGTCCACTTGTTAGGTAAAAGGAACAGAAGAGCCTAAACATTTTTATAATAGCCTTTTCAGAACAGTGGTTCTTGACTTTTTTTTTTTTTTTTTTTTTTTTTTTTGAGATGGAGTCTCACTCTGTTGCCAGGCTGGAATGCAGTGGCACGATCTCGGCTCACTGCAACCTCTCACTCCCTGGTTCAAGCGATTTTCCTGCCTCAGCCTCCTGAGTAGCTGGAATTACAGGCGCCTGCCACCACATCCAGCTAATTTTTGTATTTTTAGTAGAGATGGGGTTTCACCATGTTGGCCAGGGTGGTCTTGATCTCCTGACCTCATGATGCACCCACCTCAGCCTCCCAAAGTCCTGGGATTACAGGGCTGAGCCACTGTGCCCGGCCGGTTCTTGACTTTTCATGGGTCATGGACCCCTTGCCCCTTTGACAATTTGATAAAATCTATAAAAATTTCTCAGCCAAAAAAAAAAAGAAGAAAGAAAAAGAAAGCATACAGGTAGAGTTCTGTATAAAATTTGTGGGAGTTCAAGGACCACCCCCACCACACTGAACTCTCTGTGGACTTCAGCTTAAGACCCCCTGATTTGGGTGAAGACCTACTGAGGAACATCTGATTCTGGAGAGTCTAAAGTGGGATTTCAAGCAGAGATATTTCAAGATACGTCTCTTGGAAATCTTGATGTTTTTCCTTGACTTCTCTCTTTCCTTCAGGCTCTTACATCCAATAAATCAACAAATCCTATCTATTTTATATTTTAAATATACCCACATCCCACTATCTCCATCACTACCTTCCTATTTCAGGTCACCATCTCTCACTTGGATTGTGGCAGTATCCTCTTAGTTGCTTTCCCTGCTTATATCCTTGCCTCATAGCCCCCACAGCCCATACTCCACACAACAGCCAGAGTGGCCCATATTTTTAAAAGTGTTTTTATGTCACTCTATTCATGTCATGTATTCAAAAGCCTCCAGTGGCTTTCCCATTCAAAATACCATGATATTTGATATTTGGTTATTGTGACCTACCAGGTTCTACACATTATGGCCCTGGCTATGTCTGACCTCATTTTCTATCACTCTTTTTTATCTCAGCCATACTGGCCACCTTGTTATTTCTCAGCCATGTCAGGCCAGGCACGCTCCCACCTCACAGCCCTCGTATTTGCTTTTATTCCTTAGCATACTCTTCTAGATATTGGCTTAGTTATTTTCCTGAAGTCTTTGTTCACTGTCATCTCTTCAGAGAGTTCTCTTCTGACTACCTTGTATATAATAGCACCGCTACTTTTCCACCATCACTGTATGCATTTGACCTTACTTTTTGCTCTTTCATAGCACTTATCACGACCTAACTCATCTATTTCTTTTTGTCTACTCCCACTGGAATGAATGCTTCATGAGACCAAGGACTTTTATATGCTGCTGTGTCTCCAGCACTGAGAATGGTGCCTGTCACACAATAGGTACTCAGTAGACATTTGTCAGATGACATACTAGAATGCATCCTGAAAAAGAAAGGCAGCCAGGGTGGTTATGAGTCTTCAGATGATAAAAGGATGAGCCAGAAGAGCTGCGAAAGTTTTGCCCAGAAGAAAAAAAGAGTTGATCATTTTTTAGGCTGTTTCACAAGGCATTCCTGCATCAGTGGCAGGTAAATGACCCCTAAGATTCTATGATTTTTTTGAAGGTGTAGTTCCCAAAATGGAAGCATCACAGGAAGCACTGTGTTGCGATACTAAGCACCCACCCTAGTAAAGGCCAGTATAATCAAATGACTAAGGTACTCATCTTCCCTAAAGGACTTGCTGAGATCCGGTTACTTCTGTATTTTTCTGGCTTCAGAAGGTACTCCTCAGCCCCTGCTGGGCCCTAACTTGTCATCTGAGGGAACTGCCTGGTGGCTAATTCTGGGGTATAGAATCTATATCCCTGCCAAGGTGGAAATTGGTATGCTTACTACCCTATCATTTGCAAAGGTAAAATCTTATTGAGGCCTTCTTTTGAAGGAATACCTCTTCATTTGTAAGTTCATGGGTAATGCTTTTCTGTGGAACAGATACAAGCAGAAGAAGGAGTTGGAGCATAGGTTGTCTGCAATGAAATCTGCTGTGGAAAGTGGTCAAGCAGATGATGAGCGTGTTCGTGAATATTATCTTCTTCACCTTCAGAGGTGGATTGATATCAGCTTAGAAGAGATTGAGAGCATTGACCAGGAAATAAAGATCCTGAGAGAAAGAGACTCTTCAAGAGAGGTAAGCCTGGCCAGAGAAATCTACTGCCAGAGATTTGAGTATTCTACAGGAGATCAAATTAAGATCCTTTTAAGTCTCCATAAAATCACTGTTTTTATCAAGATGAGTATAGAAAGGCCGAAGGGTCACTAAGGTAGCTTTCTCTTTAATTTAATGTGTTCCCCAGTGCTTTTTAATCTGTAACACACTTGTAGTCATTTGTAATTTTGTGGTATACCATGGGGGACAGAAATGTCTCTGAAATAAAAATTGGTTTTGGTTGTGGAAAGCTGTGGCTGCTGAGGGAAGGCATAGGGAGTTAAACCTTTAAAATCTGTGCTAACTGGCCACCACGGTGGCTCATGCCTGTAATCCCAGCACTTTGGAATGCCGAGGCGGGTAGATCACTTGAGGCCCGGAGTTTGAGACCAGCCTGGCCAACATGGCGAAACCCCCTCTACTAAAAATAGCCGGGTGTGGTGGTGCGCGTCTGTGATCCCAGCTACTCGGGAGGCTGAGGCAGGAGAATTGCTTGAACCTGGGAGGCAGAGGTTGCAGTGAGCTGAGATCATGCCACTGCACTCCAGCCTGGGTGACAGAATGAGACTCCATCTCAAAAAAAAAAATTGTGCTGACTATAATGAAGGGGAAGAGAGGAAGAGGATGGGAATGGAGAAGAAAGGTAGAACTGGAGGAGAGGGAGAAAAGAGTAGGAAGAGTGAAATAAAAGACCAGGGGGATATGCTTAGGTTGGAGGAGGAATTAGAATTTAACCTTGCCACAATGATGCACTGTCACACCTTTAGATTACCCACGTAGGAGACACAGCAAGGGCATTTCCATGCACAGAATGTCCAGTAAACTGGTAAAGAAACCTGGTGTAACAGCTTTGGCTATCTTTGAACATCATAACCCTGTTTTGGAGCTGCTGCTTCAAAAGAATAGGCTCTGCTGCCACTTGTTCTTTGGTTCAGGACACAACATGAATTGGGTTGAATTTATCAGCAAGTCACAGGCATTTATTTAAGTCCTCAGAGAAACCTCTTCCTAATTTGATTTGTACTAATTAGCCCAGGAGCTCTTGCCTCAGGATAACATCAACCTAGTTCTTCATGTTAAGAGATCAAAGAATGAACAATTAATATTCTAAGGTTATAAGGCCCCTTGAGCATGTCTAGATGAGTGCTTTTCAAGCATTTTGAGGCTGGACTTTTCTGGGTCCTGCCCTGTCCCTTTCTTTGTGTGTGAGTTTTTTGTTTTTTCTTGTTCATTTGTTTGTTTGTTGTAATCGTTGTGTTGTTGTTGTTTTAATGTGCTTTCATGTGGTATTGGAATTGGTTCTGAAAGTGATCGAGCTAGAACTAAGTGAGCACCTTTTCTTTAACCATCCTTTGTTTCAGCATGCCCCTAGAAAGCCAAGGTTCCTTGAAACTTTTCTATATACGTCTATATGGAAACTACTAACCAATCCTTCTCCCTTTCCTTTGGGAACATTGACTTCTAAAGCACCGTAGAAGTTCTTGACAATTAAGTGCATAAGTACATTGGAAGAGGTTTTAGAAGGGTCGTAGTGATTCAACTTTTTAACTGAAGGCCAGGCTGAAGAAAGGGGCTTCAAGTTCAGCTCAAGGGATTTAGATGGAACATGGAAGAGGGCTTTGGAATCTCCTTCTTTGGACAGGGTATTTTAAAGCCGAGTAATTTTTTACTTCTAGTGACATGATTCCTGGGAGAACTTTCTCTTTCTTTCTTTTTTGCAAGGTACTCAGGCCCCCTCAGGAGAGCTAAGGAATCTCTACCGTTAGTGTTCTGCTGCTATATCTTAGAGACTGATAAATAGAAAGTGAGTGAATTTTGAATCCAGAGCTTTTCAAGCACCTGAAGACTTAAGAGCCCGTATGGTATGTTGGGTAAAATGGCAAATTCACCTCTCATAATTAATTTCCTTCTTAGGCATCAACTTCTAACTCATCTCGCCAGGAGAGGCCTCCAGTGAAACCCTTCATTCTCACTCGGAACATGGCTCAAGCCAAGTAGGTAGTACTAGAAAGTTTGCTTTGCAGCCCTCTGCTTTTATGGTTCAATGTGGCAATTCATTAGTGACCCACAGACTGAGTGGTGTTGAAAAGTCATGATCTTGGGTGGGCGAGGTGGCTCGTGCCTGTAATCCCAGCACTTTGGGAGGCTGAGGTGGGTGGATCACCTGAGGTCGGGAGTTCGAGACCAGCCTGACCAACATGGAGAAACCCTGTCTCTACTAAAAATACAAAATTAGCCGGACATGATGGCACATGCCTGTAATCCCGGCTACTGGGGAGGCTGAGGCAGGAGAATCACTTGAACCTGGGAGGGGGAGGTTGTGGTGAGCCGAGATCGCGCCATTGCACTCCAGCCTGGGCAACAAGAGCGAGACTCCGTCTCAAAAAAAAAAAAAAAAAGTCATGATCTCACTTACGGAAGTTGTTCTTTTATCTAAGGGATATTATCTTTCCTGAAACTTTCTCCATGTCTGTGTTCCTCAGACACTTCCTTCACAAACTCAAGCTTAAAAATAGGCACACATGGGCCAGGCGTGGTGGCTCACGCCTGTAATCCCAGCCCTTTGGGAGGTCGAGGCAGGTGGATCACCTGAGGTCAGGAGTTCGAGACCAGCCTGACCAACATGGCAAAACCCCGTCTCTACTAAAAGTAGGAAAATAAGCCAGGCGTATTGGCAGGCACCTGTAATCCCAGCTACTCGGGAGGCTGAGGCAGGAGAATTGCATGAACCCAGGAGGTGGAGGTTACAATGAGCTGAGATCACCCCACTACCCTCCAGCCTGGTCGACAGAGCAAGACTCCATCTCAAAAAAAAAAAAAAAAAGCACACATGTAAACAAGCAAATAAAACAAAAAAGGAAAATAATTGAATGGAGAATTGTATACTTTAAAGTTTTTTTTTATTATTACATTATTGGCACTCTTCCTGCCTTCAGCTACGATTCTCAAAAGGACATATTTGCCTCCCTATGATTTAATTCTGAGTTCTTGAGATATGTTTCCCTAGGGTGGCGGGAGTCTCCTTGTTTTCTGTACCTTTCAGAGTCACCAACTATAAATACCCATTCCACGGTGTCTTCACTGCTTTGTGGAGCATTGCCCTCTGGGATTGCTTAATGGGAGATGATCCTGGGCTATTTATCTTCTCATGAAAGCTCTTGACTTTAATGCCCCTTTCTGGATGCCCCTTTTTACATATCCTCCCATGAGTTTGTACAACTCCTCAGAAGTTGACTGGGTAGGGAACAAGGCTGAAACGGACACAGACTTTGTTGTTAGAGAGACTTTTTGTAGTACTGGGTTTTTTTTGTTATTTTTGTTTTTTTGTTTTTTTGTTTTCTAAATGCAGCGTAATTTTTGCAGAGTATTTGGAGCTGGTTATCCAAGTCTGCCAACTATGACGGTGAGTGACTGGTATGAGCAACATCGGAAATATGGAGCATTACCGGATCAGGGAATAGCCAAGGCAGCACCAGGTATGACGGGGTAGGAGGGAAATAGTTGTACCACTGGTCTTTTACTCCCTGGCAATTAAGTTCTTACCAAGTATAGTTGCCCTTTAGGAACAGAAATAGTGGGGACAAAGATTCTGAGTAATAGAAAGATTCTAGACAGTACTATGTTTATTATTAAATAGCAAATGGTTATGGGAGGATGGGGTCAGTGATAGCATAGTTTGTAAATCTCTCCAAATGTCATGACATAAAAACAGAGCAGCTGTGTAGAAAACTCAATCTATGGATAGCAGTTCCGCATCTGGTAATGGCAGAGTAGGTTGTATCAGGCCAGCCCCTCATACAGGATAACAATTACAAACTGAACAAAATATTTTAAAAACCAACTACCTGAAGGTACTGGCAAGTCACCAAAAGCAGGTGTAAGCTGAAGGGCAGTCAACACTTAGAAGGAGGAAATGATACTTGGAATTCATTGAGGGCAGGGACTTTGACTTACTGTACCTTTAGTGCCCAACTTGGTAATTGGATCATAGTGGGTACTTGGAATTGTCTTTGGAAGGGGAAGATGAAGAGGGTGGCCACCAAAAAGGTGGAAGCAATAGGGTATAACCGAAAAAGTATGGACAGACCTGGGTGAACAGTCCAACTCCTGTCACTTTTTTTTTTTTTTTTTGAGACGAAGTCTCGCTCTTGCCCTCCAGGCTGGAGTGCAATGGCGCGATCTTGGCTCACTGCAACCTATGCCTCCCGGGTTCAAGCAGTTCTCCTGCCTCAGCCTCCCGAGTAGCTGGGAATACAGGCGCCTGCCACCACGCCTGGCTAATTTTTGTATTTTTAGTAGAGATGGGGTTTCACCATGTTGGCCAGGCTGGTCTCGAACTCCTGACCTCAGGTGATCGGCCCACCTCGGCCTCCCAAAGTGCTGGGATTACAGGCGTGAACCACCGCGCCTGGCCCTCCTATCACTTAATAGATGGAATATCTTAGTCCCTCTGAGCTTCAGTTTCCTTATCTCATATATTATCCCATTTGATCCTTTTCAAAAAGGAAAAATAGAGACAGGGTCTCACTGTGTTTTCCAAGCTGGTCTCAAACTCCTGGGCTCAAGCAATCCTTCTGCCTCAGCCTCCCAAAGCATTGGGATTACAGGCATCAGCCACCGCGCTCAGCTTCATTTGATCCTCTTAACAACTTCATGAAGCAGACATTCTTATTCTCATTTCAAGATGAGAAAGTGCTCTGGGACAAATAGGTGAAAACAAAAAGAAAAAAAATAAAAATAAATAAGATGCGCTAGGCACAGTGGCTCACACCTGTAGTCCCAGCACTTTGGGAGGCCGAGGCAGGCGGATTGCTTGAGCTCAGGAATTCGAGACCAGCCTGAGCAATATGGCGAAACCCCGTCGCTACCAAAAATACAAAAACCAGCCGAGCGTAGTGGTATGCACCTGTAGTCCCATCTTCTCGGGAGGCTGAGGTGGTAGGATCATGTGAGCCTGGGAGGCAGAAGTTGTAGTGAGCCAAGATCACGCCACTGCACTCCAGCCTGGGTGACAGAGTGAGACCCTGTCTCAAATAAATAAATAAAATGAGGAAGTAGTCACTGGGAGCTGACTTAAAGTGGCCTGGCTAGGATTTAAAATCAGACCTTCAAATTCCCAGGTTCAGTTCTGTTTCTACTATAGCACCAAAAAGAGAAGAGTGGTAATTTGAAAGGATTAGCTTTTCACCTGTGGGCAGACTGCAGTTACTATGATGTAACTGCATGTAACTTGGATAGGAACTTGCAGTCTTACTGTTTGAGGAATGAGAGAACTGAGATCAGGGTGAATAGCAACTGAAAAATGAAGGAGGTTATCCCAGAAAAGAGAGAACCACAGAGAAGATGCCCTGATTCTGTATATAAACCCTACTGAAATCTCTGGCTGACTATGCATGCACAGAATGGACTCTTAAGCACCTCAACTAAGGCTAAAATAACTGAATGGAGAATTCAGCTGTTGCCCAATGCAAGGGAGATAGAATTTGGTATTTTGGTTTTAGACGAGTTAATTGCCTGCTAAAATGAAAAATCAGTACTCTTTAGAGGAATGAAACAGAATTCGGAATCTCTACAATATATCATTTGTCACGTTTAGAATTCAATCCTAAGCTATTAGACATGAAAAAAAACAAACAGGAAAATGTGACTCATAACTCAAAAGAAAAGGCAATCAATGGATACCAACCCCAAGATAACTCAGATGTTGGAATTAGCAGACAGGGACTTTAAAGCAGCTATTATTTTTATCCTCAAGGGCAGAGAGCAAAATATGTTTGTAATTAATGAAAAGATAAGAAATCTCAGCAGAGAAATAGAAACTATACACACAAATTCTGGAATGGAAAAATACAATATCTGAAAATGTAAAGTCACTGGATGAGCTTAATACCAGATTGTTGCTGACAGAAGAGCCTGTCGGTTAACTTGAAGATCAATAGAAATTATCCAATTTGAAAAAAAAGATTGGATAAAAGTAAGCAGTATCTCAGTGGCCTGCGGAATTATGTACAAAGGTCTCATGTATGCGCAATTGGAATGCCAGTACCAGAGGAGAAAGAAGGGAACAGAAAAACTTGAAGAAATGATGACTAAAGATTTCCCAAGATTCAGAAATGTCAGCAAACCCCAACAGTTTAAATACAAACAAAATCACACATAGGCACATTATAGTCAAACTGCAGAACACCAGAGAGAAAGAGGAAATTTTGAAATCATCCAAAGATAAAGTACACATTACACATAGGAGAACAAGGATATACATTATTGCTGAATTTCCATTAAAAACTGTGGGCGCCAGAGATGGTGGAACAGCTTCAAAGTGGTGGGGGGAGGAACCTGTCAACGTATAATTTTATACCCAGTGAAAAATATCCATAAAATGAAGATGAAATTAAGACATTTTCAGATAAATGAGAGCTAAAAGAATTCTTCACCAGAAAATTGGCATTAGAGAAATGCTGAAGGAAATTCCTCAGGCTGAGGGGAATGGTATCAGATAGAAATGTAAATACTCAAGTAGTGAAGAGCAGCAGAAATGGTAATTATGTGGGTAAATACAAAGGACTGTCTTCCTCAACCCAGTTTTTAAAAACTATACGTAGCTTCTCAAAGCAAAAATTACAATATTGACTTGTGAGGTTTATAATGTATTAGGTGTAATATATGTGACAGCCATCGCAAAAAGGACAGGGTAAATGGAACTATTTTGTTTGTGAGATTCTCCTGTTTTATGTGAACCGATACATGTCTATTGCTGTATAACAAATTACTCTAAAACTTAGCAATTTAAAATAATCAGCATTTATTGTATCATAGTTTCTGAGGGTGAGGAATTCAGAAGCAACTGGGTGGTCCTAGCTCAGAAACATTCATGAGGTTGCAGTCAAGCTGTCAGCTGGGGCTGCAGTCTTCTGGAAGCTTGGATGGGACTAGATAATTCACTGCCAAGCTCATCGATGTAGCTGAGGACAGGAGGCTCACATAGGGTTGCTCACAACAGCTTCCGCTCCCCAAAGTGAATGATCTGAGAATGACCAAAATCAAAAGGCTCAATATCTTTTATAACCTAATGTTGGAATATGACTTCTGCCCTATTCTATTAGTCATATAGACCAACCCTGATAGAGTATGAGAGGAGACTCCATAAAAGCATGAATACCAAGAGGCTGGGATTGTTGTGCACCATCCTTGAGGCCCCCCATCACATAATTTTTTTTTTTTTTTTTTTTGAGACGGAGTCTTGCTCTGTCGCCCAGGCTGGAGGGCAGTGGCGCGATCTCGGCTCACTGCAAGCTCCGCCTCCCGGGTTCACGCCATTCACGCCATTCTCCTGCCCCAGCCTCCTGAGTAGCTGGGACTACAGGCGCCCGCCATCACACCCGGCTAATTTTTTTTTTTTGTATTTTTAGTAGAGATGAGGTTTCATTGTGTTAGCCAGGATAGTCTCGATCTCCTGACCTTGTGATCCGCCCGCCTCGGCCTCCCAAAGTGCTGGGATTACAGGTGTGAGCCACTGCGCCTGGCCCCCATCACATAATTTTAACTCTTAAGTAGGCTGGGAAGTTAAAGATGAACATTGTATTTCCTAGAGCAGCCACTTAAAAAATAATTTATCAAGAGAATGAGAAAACAAGCCACAACCTGGGAGAAGATACTTGCAAAAGACTTATCTGATGAAGGACTTTGTATATTTTACCCAAAATATACAAAGAACTCTTAAAACCCAACAATAAGAAAAGGAGCAGTTTTAGGCCAGGTGTGGTGGCTCACACCGGTAATCCCAATACTTTGGGAGGCCAAAGTGGGAGGATCCCTTGAGCCGAGGAGTTCAAGATCAGCTTGAGCAACATGGTAAGACCCCTCTCCACAAAAAAAAAAAAAAAAAAAAAAGTTTTAAAAAACTAGCCAAGTGTGATGGTTCGTGCCTGTAGTCCCAGATACTCAGGAGGCTGAGGTGGGAGGATTGCTTGAGCCTGTGAGGTCGAGGCTGCAGTGAGCTATTATCGTGCCCCTGCACTCCAGCCTGCGTGATAGAGCAAGACCGTGTCTCAAAAAAAAAAGGGAGCAGCCTGATTAAGAAGTGGGCCAAAAACCTTAACAGATAACCTCACCAAAGAAAGTATACAGATGACAGATAAGCATGTGACAAGATACTCTACATCATGTCATTAGGGCAATGCAAATTAAACAACACTGAGATACCACTATACACCTGATAGAATGGCCAAATCCAGAGCACCTCAAATGTAAATAGAATAAACCTTCGAATTAGAAGTCAGGGATCGATTATCAGGTCTAGCTGCATGCTGTCTATAAAAGATACATTTTAAATACAAAGACACAGATTGGTTACAAATAAAAAGAAGAAAAGATATATAGGTGGCTCACGCCTGTAATCCCAACACTTTGGGAGGCCAAGGCAGGCGGATCATGAGGTCAGGAGTTCAAGACCAGCATGACCAACATGGTGAAACCCCATCTATACTAAAAATAGAAAAATTAGCCGGGTGTGGTGGCACACGCCTGTAATCCCAGCTACTCAGGAGGCTGAGGCAGGAGAATCGCTTGAACCCAGGAGGCTGAGGTTGCAGTGAGCCGAGACCACACCACTGCACTCCAGCCTGGGTGACAGAGTGAGACTCTGTCTCAAAAAAAAAAAAAAAAAAAAAGATATATAGGTTGAGCATCCTAAATCTGAAAATGAAAAACCTGAAATGCTCCAAAATCCGAAACTTCTTAAGGCTAATGTGATGCTTAAAGGAAATGCTCACTGAAGCATTTTGGATTTTCAGATTTGGGATGCTCAACCAGATATGATGCAGATATTCCAAAATAAAAAACAAATCTGAAATACTTCTGGTCCCATGCATTTCAGATAAGGGATACTCAACCTCTACCATGCTAACAGTAAGCATAAGAAAGCTGCAGTAGCTATAGTAATATCAGATAAAGTAGATTTCAAGACAAAAAGGTATTATCAGAGATTTTAAAAGGGCATTTCCTACTGATAAAGTGGCAATTTATCAGGGAGACATAGCAGTCAT
Source organism: Homo sapiens (assembly GCF_000001405.40). Classification (NCBI taxonomy): domain Eukaryota; kingdom Metazoa; phylum Chordata; class Mammalia; order Primates; family Hominidae; genus Homo; species Homo sapiens. Next base: position 70,155,891 of record NC_000023.11, read on the forward strand.
AAATGCATTTGTGCCTAATAATTTTCAAATTATTTACTTGAATACTTACAGGCTACTGTAGGGTTATTCATTGGCCCAATTTCAATATTGTTGTGTCTCAAGGAACAGAGAGGCCTGGAGCAGGGTTGGGACAGCCAGTCAGTGGAGCAGTCAGAACATAACACATTTACCCATTAAGTTCTCTGTCTTCTGTGGGCATGGTTTGTGGTGCCCCAGAACAATTACACTGGTAATACCAAAGACCACAGATCACCATAACAAATGAAATAATGAAAAAGTTTGAGAAACTGAGAATTACCAAAATGTGGCACAGTGACACAAAGTGAGCAAATGCTCTTAGAAAAAGGGCACCAATAGACTTGCTCGCTGCAGGGTTGCCACAAACCTTCAATTTGTTAAAAAAAAAAAAAAAAAAAAAAGTCTCTGCAAAGCACAATAGAGTGAAGCACAATAAAACGAGGTATGCCTTCACCTTCTTTTCAGATACCCATGGAACATTCACCAAGGTAGATCATATACTGGTCCATGAAATAAGTCTCAATAAATTTTCAAAAATTGAAATCACACTGAATATGTCCTCAGACCACAATGGAATTAAATTAGAAATCAATAATGTACCTAGAAAATTCTCAAATATTTGAAAATTAAACAGTACACTTCTAAATAACCTATAGGTCTAAGAAGAAATTAGAAAGAAAATTAGAAAATACTTCTAACTGGGAATAAGTTCAAGAGATCTGTTATACAGCATGGTGACTATCGTTAATGGCTGGGTGCGGTGGCTCACGCCTGTAATCCTAGCACTTTGGGAGGCCGAGGCGGGTGGATCACCTGAGGTTGGGAGTTCAAGACTAACCTGGCCAACATGGTGAAACCTCGTCTCTAATAAAAATAGAAAAATTAGCCGGGCGTGGTGGCGGGCGCCTGTAATCCCAGCTATTCGGGAGGCCGAGGCAGGAGAATCGGTTGAGTCTGGGAGGCAGAGGTTGCAGTGAGTCAAGATCACACCATTGCACTCCAGCCTGGGCAACAGAGCAAAACTCCATCTCAAAAAAAATGAAAATAAAATACAGAGTAGATGTTAAGTGTTCTTACTGCAAAAATAACAATGTGTAAGGTACTGCATCTTTTAATTAGCTAGATTTAGCTATCCCATAATATATACTTCAAAACATACTGTACACAATAAATATGTTTGCCCATTTAAAAATAAATAAAAGAGAATACTTTGAACAGAATTACAGTGAAAGTACAGCATCAGAATTTATGGGATACAACTCGAGCAATGCTGAGATGGAAATGTGTGTAACTTTCAACACTTATGTTAGAAAAAAGGAAGATAAAATCAATTACCTAAGGTTTTACCTTAACAAGGGTGGGGGTGGGGGCATAGGGAACAAAGAAAGCCCAAAGTAAATAGATGAAAGGAAATAAAGGCAGGGAAACTAGGGGTGGTCATGGTTCTGGTAGTAATGCACAAAAATTGGACACGTGTATACTCCCATGACCTGGCAGTTTCACTACTCGGTATATACCTAAGAGGAGTGAGACCATATGTCCACAAAAGACCTGTACAAGATTGAACATAGCAGCATTATTTGTAATAGTCCACACTGAATACACACCACTCAAATGCCCATAAATAATAGAATGAAGAATAAATTTTGGTATATTCACACAATGGAAAACTATGTAGCAATAAGGTTAAACTATAGTTTGTTTGCTATAAGTGACAAATATAGCTGAATCGTGTGAAAAAAGCCAGACGCAAAAGAGTATATACTGTATGATTCCATTCATACAAACTTCAACAAACAGGTGATACTTGTGTGTGCTGGTTGAAAGCTAGTAAGTGTTCACCCTTAGTTGGGGATCATGAATGGAACTGGACCTACAGGGTCTTCTGAGGAGTTAGAAATATTTTGTATCTTCATCTGGGTACTGATTACATGGATGTGTTCAATATGTGAGAGGTCACTGAGCTATACAAATGTTAGTATACTTTTCTACACGTATGTTGCACTTCAGTGAATGTGAAAAAACCCATGGACAATATTTATAATGAAAATAGGTGGCAGTGTATCCCCATGAACCTCACAATAAAAACAGGTAAGGGCAAATTACCCATAGCCACAAGATCCAGCAGTTATTGGCATCTGTGCAGGAGAAAACCAGAGTTGACAGGCCATCTGAAAAACTTGACAAACAGAATTCCAAAACAGTGTATTCCCTAGAAAGAATGGCAGTCCAATTTAAGAACTGCAGTTGAAACTGGGAGGGATGAGTATGAGGGTCCAATAGTCAGAAGGTCTGAAAGCGATAGAGTAGTCTAGTCCTTAGTGAACTCTTGAAGTTGATCCACCGGTCTCCCTTCCAGGACAGGGACTCACACTGAGGAGAAATTGCTGAGAGTAGAATTGAAATTAAGCAGGACAGGAATAGAAAAAGAAAGAAAAGGTCCAGATGAAATTAGGAGAGAGGACCAGAACCAGGAACTCCAATCAAGCAAGTAATCATATTTCTTTAATTCACATGAAAACAGCAGAAAGGGAGCCCTTATGAAGTTAGAAAAGCTACTCTGAACCATGCTTCTTTCTACAAGTTTAGGAAAACATTTCACGTAAAAATGAACAACAGATTGTGGTGATGGTTGCACAACTCTGAATATAAAACACTGAACTGTTGGCTCACACCTGTAATCCCAGCACTTTGGGAGGCGGATCACAAGGTCAGGAGTTTGAGACCAGCCTGGCCAAGATGGTGAAACCCCGTCTCTACTAAAAATACAAAAAAAAAAGAAAAATTAGCCGGGCATGGTGGTACGTGCCTGTAGTCCCAGCTACTTGGGAGGCTGAGGCAGGAGAATTGGCTTGAACCTGGGAGGCAGAGGTTGCAGTGAGTCGAGATCGTGCCACTGCACTCCAGCCTGGCAACAGAGTGAGACTTTGTCTCAAAAAATAAAAAAACAAAAAGAAACACTGAAATGTATACTTTTAAGTGGGTAGATTTTATGGATTGTGAAATACAGCACAAAGCTGAGAAAAAGGGAACAGAAAATTATCAAAGTCAAACCCTACACAAAGTTATTAGAAGAGAAAAACACTACAGAAAGACACGCTCAAAAAAACAGAACAAATCTGAAACATGGTATCCAAAAAAGAGTTGGAAGATATTCAGAAAATAACATAGGACATGGAAGGACAATATAAAGCAGGATTAGAAAAACTCAGAAATATGACAGCTTGGGGAACATGAATCATTTCAGAAATATAGGCTAAAGTAGAAGGAAACAAGAATGAGTGAACACAACAGAAAATGCCTTACTATGGTAAAAGGAAGGAAAATTTTAAAACGAAAAAAGATAAACAGGGTTTGAGGAAAAGTGACATATACTAAAGATAGTAAAGAAGACCTGGCATATAGATAATAGGATTATCTGAAGAAGAAAGCCAAAGCAAGGAAAAAGAATAAATGCTAAAAGTTAATATTAAGGAAAGTTTCTTGGGATTAAAAAAGTTGCGCGGGGGGAATCTCTTGGTGTTGGGTGTGACGCGACCCACAGGCAGCCACAGCAGTGCTGTGTTCCAAGGCACGGGTGCTCAGGGTGGCTGTGGAGCTTGGTCCTGGGTCCAGTGTCTTCTTGAACTGCTGCGGGACCTGTGACATGGGTGCAGGTTCAGTCTCAGGCACAGGTGGATGCTGCTCTCCCACCAAGGCAAGGACTATGACTCTGAGGCACTTCTCAGTAGCTCGGGCCCAGGGGCAGGGACGTAGCTGTGATTCCTAACCTGGGGGTCAGGGCATAGTACTGGCATGGCTCTGGGGAGGGAGGGGTGTTCCAGACGCTCAGACCCCAGGGAGCAGGGCACAGTGGCAATTCAGGCACCAGGAAAGAAGATGCTGTATAGTGGTGACTCTGGACCCTGGAAGCTCTATGAGGCCGGGTGCAGTGGCAACACAGCCCCAGGAATGGTAGGGCATAGCTGTGGCTTGGGCTCCAGGGGGTGGGATGCAGTGCAATGTTGGCTTTGCTCCCCAGGAAGGTGGGACACCTCAGTGGCTCAGACCCCGGAGGGCTGGTCCAGATCCAGGGAGGTGGGGGTGCTATTGCCGTTTGGCCCAGAGAGCAGTGTGTACAGATTAGCCAAGGCTGTGTTTCCCTGGGGGGTCCAGGGACCTGGTGCCATGCAGGCTAAGGCACCAGGGTCCCAGCTGCCCCCCTGGGCCAAAGCTCCAGTTCCCTGGGGCTGAGACACTGCACCAAAGAGGCACAACTGCTGCCCGGCACCAGGCCCAGCTTCTCCATGGGGCCTAAGCTCCTGGTCCTGGAGGGCTCGAGCGCCACGGTCACTTGATAGGAAAAATCACACCATGTTCCTGGGAAAGGACCCAGAATGACCAACAAGACATAGTCTAATAAAATTTCCGAACTTTAAAGAAAAAAAAGCCACAGACATCTCAGTAAAAATAGTAAGTGATTTATAAAGGAAAGCAACTTAGGTTACCCTCAGATTTTTTGAGATCTATACTTTATGCCAGAAGAAAGAAGAAAATGGAATAGCAGGTATTTAAGAAACTCAGAGGGAAAAAAATGTGAGCCAAGGAACATTATACCTGGTAAAACTGACTTTCAAGTATAAAGAGTACAGATATTTATCAACATGCAGGAATTCAAGAAATATTGTTCCACCATCCCATGAATTTGCTAGAGAATGAGCTTCAGACAGCCAAAGTGTTGAGAGACATTGAAATAAGGACAGGTAGCAAGCGTTAAATGTACAGTTACTTGTAGAATTAAGATGAAATGAGGATTAAAAGGGAGATAGAGTATGTAATGCCTATGTGCCCAGATAATGTAGATAACTTTTTAAAAATGGAGAAATGGGGAAATCATGCAAAATTTTAACAGTTCTCAGTAATTATATTGGTGGAGTGTCAAAGTTAGTGTTATTATTCCAAGACTATGTATAATGTGAGATAATATAAATGAGCAGTTATTAGATAATCTAATTCTATCATCCTCTGTCTTTGAGAACTAGGACTTTTAATGTGAAAGAATACAGATGTAATTCCAAAGAATTTAGATTTTTTTTAAACCCTGTAGTACTCCATATGAACTCATGAGAAATTTTATTTAAAACTAAACACACACACACACCCACCCCTGCTTTTGCTCTATTCACTGAAAAGGCTTAGAAACAAGGACCAGCCCAGTAGCAATGAGTATACCTAGTAACTCCAATTGTGATACAGAAATATTCTTCCCAATATTCTTTCTTTTAAGAAATCAGGGTGTCTTAGAGAAATAACTGACTACAATTCTGGGGCAGGAAATATACAAATAAGCTTGGAACATCTTGTCATAAAAGATAGGGAAGGAGCTTTCAAAGACTACTGGGGTCATATCGAGCCAATTTAAAGATGTTTCCACTGGCCAATTCGGTTTCACAGAGGATAATTGACAGTAGCAACAAGTCCATCCAACACCCAAATCTTGGTTTCTAATACCATCCTCTAATAAATGAACCAGGGCTCCTTGGAGAAATAGCTGATTCTAGGGCTGAGGCAGGGAATATACAAGATGAACCTGGAGCATCTCGTAGTCAGATGATAGTCAACGTATGATGGGGTTATATCCTGGTAAAGCCATTCTAAGTTGAAAATATTGTTAAGTTGATAATGCATTTGCTATACCCAACCTACCCAACATCACAGCTTAGCCTAACCTACCTTCGACCTGCTCAGAACACTTACGTTAGTCCACAGTTGGGCAAAATCATCTAACACAAAGCCTATTTTATACTAAAATATTGAATATCTCAAAATATGAGGTATGGCTTTTACTGTATGCATGTCACTTTCACACCATCATAAACTTGAAAAATCTTAACTCAGGGCTCTCTGTACTAGAAAACAAGAGCTCAAAAAACTGTTGGGGTGTTAAAGGAACACAAGAGCCAGCTGCACCCTCACAGCCCAAAACTGGGAGAACTTGGGCAGGAAAGTAAATTTAACAGTATTGGATTATCACACTAGGAATAAAATGAATACACACAAGTCCATTGTGATAGAAATAAGTGGTTGAATAAGTAAATAAATGAGGGAGAAGAGATAAATCTCCCCTACAGAAAAATTTCAATTAATTTTATGTAGATACTCCTGCTTCAAGGAGGTGTAGCATGACTGTGTACCCCGAAAGTGTGGGCTGTGCTTAGTGACTTGCTTCCAGAGACTGCAATGTGGAAGGAGACAGGAGAAGTAACTTTAGTTGGAAACCTACAAATACCACTTTGGTCAGGTCATCGAGGTTATTATCAGTGTGAAGTCAGGTTGATAGCATATATAGTATTGTCCTCCAAAACCCATAACCCTAGTCTAATTCTGTAAAAAATAGGCAACCCAAACTGAGGGACATTCTACAAAATACCTGACAAGTACTCTTCAAAACTGTCCAGGTCATCAGAATGAAGGAAAGTCTGAGAAAGAGTTACATCCTAGAGGAGACTAAAGAAACAGACAACAAAATGTACTGTGGTGACCTGGATAGGATCCTGGAACGGAAAAGGGACATTAGGTAAAACCTAAGGACATTTGAGTAATGTATGCACTTTAGTTGTTAATAATATATTAGTATTGGTTCATTAGTTGTATCACAGAAACTGTATTAATGTAAGAGGTTGATGATAAGAAACTGGGTGTGGTTATGTAGGAACTCAGTACTATTTTCTCAATTTTTCTGTAAATTGAAAACTTCTAAAATTAAGAAGTTGATTTAAATAGTTTTTTAAAACAATAATTGTGGGCCGGGCGCGGTGGCTCACGCCTGTAATTCCAGCACTTTGGGAGGCTTAGGTGGGTGGATCACTTGAGGTCAGAAGTTCAAGACCAGCCTGGCCAATGTGATAAAACCCCATCTCTACTAAAAATGCAAAAAGTAGCCAGGCGTGGTGGCACATGCCTGTAATGCCAGCCACTCGGGAGGATGAGACAGGAGAATCGCTTGAGCCCAGGAGGCGGAGGTTGCAGTGAGCCAAGATCACACCACTGCACTCCAGCCTGGGTGACAGAGCAAGACTCCTTTGTCTCAAAAATAATAATAATAGTTGCAACTGGCTGAAACTCACCAGATATGTTTAAATCTCTAAGTTCATAATTATATATATATATTTTTATTTTTTTAGAGGTGGGTCTCACACTCTGAGCCCAGGCCAGGCTCAAGCAATCCTCCTGCCTCAGCCTCTCGAGTGAGTAGGACTACAGCCATGCACTACCATGCCTGGCAGATTTTAAAAGTTTTTTTCTTTTTTATAATTTTTTGAGCCAATATAAGTGTCATAAATATTTTTTTTGTAGACACAGGGTCTCGCCATCTTGCCCAGGATGATCTCGAACTCCTGGGTTCAAGCAGTCCTCCCACCTCAGCCTCTCAAAGTGCTGTGATTACAGGTGTGAGCCATCGTGCCCAGCCCATAATTATATTATAAAACAAGACCAAATTATTCAACCTCAGAGGCTAATAAGGGAACCCAATATCTTGAGAAATGGTAAATAAAGGGAAAGAGTCAAGTATTTTATCTTTTCTACTAGGTAACCAAATAGTAGTTGATGAGGGGAAGGCTCTCTTTGTAAAAGTATTCCAGTTAATTTTAAAAAGTTAAAATTAAGGGTATCACCTTTTTGAAACCCCCCAATAAATGAATGGGTCTCGGCATTGAGCATCAACAGCTCCTAACATTACAACGAGACAGAGATATTTACATGCCTCCTGATGAAGGAATGCAGCACCACCTATAATTATAATTCATGCTGAAGGGATCAAACTTGAGTCAAATCAAGCCTCTGTATTCAGCTGCCAATCTGCAGAAAATAAAGGAGGACATGTTAGACTGCATCATGAGTATGCAATCAGCAAAATCCAGTCTTTGGGAAACAAACTCTACAGGTCATATGCCCCAACTTCTTCAACAGATAACTTGAAAGAAAGGGGTGGAGGGGGAACCCATAGATTTAAAAAGATATCAAAACATTTTTAAATAGGCAAGGCTAACCTCAAAAATACGATGCTAGGCCAGGCGCAGTGGCTCACACCTGTAATCCCAGCACTTTGGGAGGCCGAGGCAGGCAGATCACTTGAGGTCAGGAGTTCGAGACCAGCGTGGCCAATGTGGTGAAACCCCATGTCTACTAAAAATACAAAAATTAGCTGAGTGTGGTGGCAGGCACCTTTAATCCCAGCTACTCGGGAGACTGAGGCAGGAGAATTACTTGAACCCGGGAGGTGGAGGTTGCAGTGAGCCAAGATCGCACCACTGCTCTCCAGCCTGGGAGACAGAGCAAGACTGTCTCAACAACAACAACAAAAAAAGGTGATGATGCTAAGTGAAAGAAGTCAGCCGCAAAAGATCACAGATTACATGATTTTGATTTCATGTGTATGAAATGTCCAGAATAGGCACATCTATGGAGACAGAAAGTTGATTCATGGTTCTAGGAGCTGGGGGCAGGGAGGGAAGGAATGGGAATTAACTGTAAATGGGCACAAGGGATCTTTTGGGGTTATAGAATTTTTTAAATTGGATTGTGGTGATAGTTGCACAACTCTGTACTAAAAAATACATTGAGTAAAAAAATGAATGTACAAATGGACAATTACAGTGTCTAGTGGTATGCACTTGGGTGATAAAGCTGTGATGAACTCTAGGAAGTTATTACTATAAAAAGCAGTATAGAGGTTACTTTTGCAGGGGAGGAGAGTTGATTTGTATAATGTACACAGAGAGGCTTTTAGGGTGGATACAGGAGATCTGTTTCTTGACCTGAGTGGAGGCTATAAGGCCTCCTTACAAAAATTTGTTTTATATGTACTTGTGTGGTTTCCACCATGTTTTATTTTATAGTAAAGGGTTTAAAAGAAAAGAACGAGGCAAGGTGGCTCACGCCTGTAACCCCAGCACTTTGGGAGGGCCGAGACCAGCCTGGGCAACATAGGGGAAGACCTTGTCTCCACAAAAAATGTAAAAATTAGCCAAGTGTGGTGGTTCATGCCTGTGGTTCCAGCTACTCGGGAGGCTGAGGCAGGAGGATGACTTGAGCCCAGGAGTTCGAGGCTACAGTTAGCCATGATCACACCACTGTACTCCAGCCTAGGCAACAGAGAGAAACCCTATCTCAGAAAAAAAGACTCCTGAGCTGTTAGAAGAGATCAGATCCCCACACATTTCATTCATAGTAATGAGACTATTTCTCATGAGCAAAGTCAGAGTAGCCAGGAAAATGCTGCTTTACCTCACAAAGGAAAAAAAATGCAAAAGAGATGCAGCAGTTGGTTTAATTTCTTTTGGGTGTACACTGCATGATAAATGCCATTTGGACCTCAGAGCCTATTTCAAGCACTGCAAAATAATACGTAGGCATTCTTTTCTGGTAGGTCCAACTGCCCTGTGATTTTCAATTTTATGCACAAAAACTTATGTATGACTATAGTAAAGGAAATGGATGGAGGAGGAAACGTCAACTGCAATCCCACCCCCCTGGCAACTCACAAATCACAAATTCATAAATATTTTTTCTTTCCTGTTTTTGGATTGCAGGGGTTGTTTGATGGTGGTGGTAATGTTTTTGTTTAGGGGCTTGGGGGGGGTGGGTGTTGGCCATTTTTGCAAGAATTCTCTTCCAAAATAGAATTCATTCTGAGGGGCACCTTTTATGATTTTTGCCTTCTTGTGGAAACCACTTAGAGCATCCTTTCGTACTATTTTTTAACATGCGATATATTAGGTAATGCAAGTTCTCTCCCCGCTTCCGCCGGGCTCAGGGTAGGCAGCTGGCTGTATTCCTGTTCTCATTGCATGTGGTTGTGCTCAGAGTGGAACTGAGGCCCCTGACGTTACTTATTAACATTCCCTCAATTTCTCACCTCCCTTTCTAATTTTTCCACTTTAGAGGAATTCAGAAAAGCAGCTCAGCAACAGGAAGAACAAGAAGAAAAGGAGGAAGAGGATGATGAACAAACACTCCACAGAGCCCGGGAGTGGGATGACTGGAAGGACACCCATCCTAGGGGCTATGGGAACCGACAGAACATGGGCTGATCTTCCCACAACACCACAGGACTGCAGGGTGCACAACTCCCCTGCCAAGGAAAACCATGCAGTCCTCCCCTCCCTGGTCTCCTGCTTCAGCTCTGTACAACGAGGGCAAAGATGCTAAATCTTGCTTTGCATTCAGTAAAGTGTCAAGTGATTAAGTGTGTATTTGTACCCTAGATGATATGAACCAGCAGTCTTGTTTTGGCATCATCCTCATCATGTTGTATTCCAGCTTCTTAAGTGGAAGGAAAAGAGTGCTGAGAAATGGCTCTGTATAATCTATGGCTATCCGAATTCTCTGAAAAAATAATAAAAGTCCCCTCTATTATATGAGCCTGTACAGAAATATGGCTATCAGCTGCTTTTTTTTTGCCGGGGGAGTGGGGACATTTAGCTGTGGGTCTCTGGGCTTATGGGGAGATGCCCTTTGATGTGGGCAGTGAATTGGTCCAGCATCAGATCTGCCCAGGCATTCTCCTTCCTACTGGGCATATGATATGAAGCCATATAAGTAGCACCCTGCACCATGAAGCAATCCAGCACTCTACAAGGGGAGATCATAAAAACCAGAGCTTTCCCTGGTACACAGCACTATTCTCAGAAACTATAGCTGTAAGGTGAATGGACCGCAAAGGGATGTAGTCTACTTCCCAGTCCTATCTACCTCGTCCTAGCTTGGCCAGAAGAAATGAGAGATAGAGGAGGCACTCTTAAAAGTCATCCTTGTGTATGTATCTGAGGCCAGAGCCTTTACTCTCATGCGTTTACCATATATCCCTTAGGGTGAAGAGTAGCCTCAGGCCATAGCCTTTTTTTTTTTTTTTTTTTTTTTTTTGAGACGAGTGTCATTCTGTTGCTGGAATGCAATGGCGTGATCTCAGCTTACTACAACTTCCACCTCCCTGGTTCAAGCAATTATCCTGCCTCAGCCTCACAAGTAGCTGGGATTACAGGCGCCCGTCACCACACCCAGCTAATTTTTGTATTTTTAGTAGAGACGGGGTTTTACCATGTTGGTCAGGCTGGTCTCGAACTCCTGACCTCGTGAGCCACCCACCTCGGCCTCGAAAGTGCTGGGATTACAGGCGTGAGTCACCGCACCCAGCCATCCTAACTCTTCAATTGGCCCTTCTTGCCTATGCTGTGAGATACTTGGCACAATCCAAACTAATGGCCTGGGTAAATGTGCTGTGGTGGTCGTTTGGCTGCTTAGTGAGGTGCCTGCAGTCACGCAGATAATGGGTGTGGAGGAGGGGGACAGTACAGATGACACTGCAGGGTACCTACTTTCTGGGGAACAGAGAAGACAGTGTCCTCAGCTCTTGCGTTGGCATCCTATAAAAGCAGCCATGTGTTGAAACAAATGATATGCACAGAAAGCATACTTCTGTGGCTTTGTTACACGGGTTTTCTTTCAAGAGGAAGATGACTCAGCCCTCCCAGCTTCTGCAGTCTAGCTTAGGAGAGGTGTTTGAAAAGGAGACTCAGTTCCCTCTTGTTTATAGGGTGGTTAGTGGAGGGCTGTCAGGTGATGAGGGGGAGGTTGTGTTTCGTGGGAGATGACAGAAGACTACCAATAATCTATTTGTATACTGCTTAATGAGGAGTCATCTCACCCTCACAACATAAGCTCCTGAAACTGGGAGAGCACAGATTAAATCCCCCAAGGATTTGGAAAGCAACATTTTCCGCTCTCTTCCAGTGGCTGCCAGCCTGCCTCTAGCAATGGCCTATTTCCTGTTTTTGAAACTCCACCCTGAGTTTATTCCCAAATGGGCCAGGTTGGAGTTACCTCTTGGTCCAAGTCCGTTGAAGATTGGGCCTTCCAGGAGGCCCAGCTCAGTTAAACAGCTTCACACATCCTGATATCTAACAGGCAAACCAGACAAGGTGGGTTTGAATTCTGGCTTTAAAAATTGCAGGCTGACAGAAAGACAAACTTCGCATGTTCTCGCTTATTTGTGGGAACTAACAAAACAATTGGACTCATGGAGATAGATAGAGTAGAAGATTTACCAGAGACTGGGAAGGGTACTGGGGTGGGGATGGGGATGGTTAATGGATACAAAAAAATATAATGAATAAGACCCACTATTTGACAGCACAACAGGGCGACTATAGTCAATAATAATTTAATCGTACATTTAAAAATAAAAGTGTATAATTTGTAACAAAGGAGAAATGTTTAAGGGGATAGATACCCCATTTTTCATGATGTGATTGTTATGCATTGCATGCCTATATCAAAACATCTCAGGTACCCCATAAATATATACACCTATGCACCCCCAAAACTAAAAAATAAGAAAATCAAAAATTGCAGGCTGTGTGACGTGACCTTGGGCAATAAGACTCTGAGCTGCCTTTTCTTCGGTGTATGTAGATAAGCTGTCTCCTGGGGCTGTGAGGATTAAATGAATAATGGCACCTATTATCTGTAAACTCAGGCAACTGAAGAGTAAGTGCTTTCTGTTAGCTTAGTGACTGCAGTCTGTCCACTGAGAAGGGAAAGGAAATGGACAGATATTGGGCCCCTGGTATGTGCCAGGCACTTTCCCACACTATTAATACAATGACCCTGCGAAACTTGATTTCTTCAAGTTCACACTAGTAAGATGTTATGCTGCTGTCATTTTCCATGTGCTTCCCAATTGCTTGTGCTTTTAGCTGTGTCTTAAAGCTGCTTCAAAGAGGAGCAGCTTTAGAAATCCAAACTAAAACAACCATGTCTACATCAGTGGAGCTCTAGAAATTCCTTCTTAGCTGACTCACCAAAGCAAAGGTTATGCCAGCTCCCCCGCCACTGCCCCCTCAGCTGGGGGATAAGAAGACGGAGGTGGTGAGCAAGCTCATCTTCCTCCATTTTCCTCCCCAGTTCTGTCTGCCTGAAGGCCGGAGAAACCAAAAAAGCACCACCTTCTCTACTCCCACCAGAGGCGAGTTCTTTCAGGGTCCTAGAGTGAGCTGGGTTTGCTGGATTCCCGGAAGCAAAGACTCTTAAAGTTCTCAATGATAGTACTGCTTCATAGTTTGCAAAACACTTTCACATATGCTGCTTATTTCATTCTCACAACCTGTCAAGCAAGATCTGATATCTTCACACAGCTAAGAAGTAGAGCACGCAAACAGATCAGCTTAGCCAAAGTATTTGCTCTCTGCGGCCCTCACGTGGAGGCCAATTAGATTTGGAAGAGGAGAATGCTAGGCACTATTTCCTTTAATGCCGTTACACACTGATTTGTCCTTTCCACTCTTGTTCCTCTCAACACCCCTGTGAGAAAGGGCAAGGGGAGAAATGAGCTGACTTCAAACCCAAGAAGTTGGAGTTAGAGTCCTGAGTCAAAGTCTCAATTCTGGGGGCTCTGCCACTCCCAAGCTGGGTGGCCCCAGGCAAAGTCTTCTGTAAAACCGCCTCTCTGTGTCACCCAAACCCCAGAAAGTCCTCCTCCGCTGACCCTGCGCCTGCAGTTTGCTCATTAGCACAACAGGAGCATAGCCACCTGTCTCTGTTGGGCACGCTACAGCAATAGGGTATTGTTGTCACTGTCTCCTTGCAAAACAGCTGTCCCCAAAACCTGTGCATCATTTCCTCACAGATTCCTTTTAACCCACTCATCAAAGGTGCAAGTCAACAGGGCACGGTTCGTTTCTGTCCATCACAAGGAGGCGTGGGTTCTAGTCCCAGCTCTGTCACTGTCTTAGCCCCTCTGAGATGGCAGCCAATATCTGCCCTACTTACCTCACAGGCCAGGGTGGGGAGCAAATGAAATCATATAGGCAAAAGCACTTTGAACAGTTATAAGACACGACACAAGAGTGACGAGTAAGAGCAGCAGGCTGTTGGTAAGCTGGAGGGACGGAGGAGGGGATGCTTTTTTTTTTTAATTTTGGTAATAGAGAAGGGGTCTCCCTGTGTTGCCCAGGCTGGTGTCAAACTCCTGGGTTCAAGCGATCCTCCTGCCTCAGTCTCTCAAGTAGCTGAGATTACAGGTGTGAACCACCATACCCTGCTGATTTTTGTATTTTTTGTAGAGATGGGGTTTCACCATGTTGCCCAGGCTGGTCTCGAACTCTTGGGCTCAAGTGATCCTCCTGCTTGGCCTCCCAAAGTGCTGGGATTACAGGCATGAGCCACCGTGCCCGGCCTTTTTTTTTTTTTTAAATTCAGCAGTTCACGACTTAAACCCTTGCTCCTCCGATGCTTTCTCAATCAGTCTTCTAGATCTCACCACCAGCCAAGAGGTTTGTGACATGCTTTTCTTCATGTGCTGAAATGACCAGCAAAAAAAAAGAACTATGCACAGTGAAAACTGGGAACCAGTTTTTACATATCTGCCTGCCAGGCCACCTTTGACAAATGTATGTGAAAAGATGATGGGCAAAGTCTTAGATTTCAGTGTCTTGTTCCAACTGGCAACAAATCCCTCAAAGAGAGTAGAAGTGAGCAATGTCTTAGGCTGGCCTAGTCCAGTGTGGTAGCAGGAATAAAAATTATGGCTACTGTGTATTAAGCACCTACTATATACTAGGAGCTTTACATACAGTATTTCTAATCCTCACAACACCCAAGGGAGATACTATTATAGTCTCAGTCTGTCGATGAGGAAATTGAGGTTTAGAGAAGAGATTTCCCAAAGATCACTAAGCTCTAAGTGGTTGAGCTGGGCCTGGATTCCAGGTTGGCCTGAGGACATATGAAGGTAGGAAATACATCCTGGTGGTACACTGCTCTGGGGATAACCCCTTCCCTTTCTCTGTCCAAGTTTTGAGCAAAAATTCCTGCTGGCCCCTTCAGGGACAGTCTGAGACCTGCTCACTAGGGGCAAACCCCACTCAGAAATCTACCCCTCCTGGGGCCCTCGCATCACTCAACCCGCAGTGGAACATTTCTGCCCCCAATGCCAAGCCCACCTACTTTCCCTTTCCCTGTCCAGCCTTACTTAGCTGGTCTTTGTTCAAGTAAATCTTTTATTTTTATTTTTATTTTTTTTAGAGACAGAATCTTGCTCTCTTTCTTAGGCTGGAGTGCAATGGTGCAATCACAGCTCACTGTAACCGCGAACTCTGCTCTCTTTAACCTGAATGCCATCAACTCATTTTTAAAAATAGAGACAGCCTTACTATGTTGCGCAGGCTGGAGTGCAGTGGCTATTCACAGGCACAATCTTTGCACACTGCAGCCTTGAACTCCTGGGCTCAAGCGATCCTCCTGCTTCAGCCTACTGGTAGCTAGGATAATAGATACATGTCCACACCCAGCTATTTTTTCTATGTTTTACTTTGTAGAGATGGGGTCTTGCTATGTTGCCTAGGCTTCAGGTAAACCTTTTAAATATTTTCTCCCAGATGCTCATTCAGGGGTTCCTACATGTTTTCTAAGCCAGTCACAGCATCTCTTCATCTACCAGGCCTTTCAGGACAACTAAGACCAGACCCAGGCCATGCATGCATGGGGTTTGGGAGACAGGGGCTGGGAGGAAGGGTTTCTGCCTGAACTCTGAGGCGCTTCAACACTCAGGAACAGATACAGCCTCTGCTACCCTGGTGCCCTTGGCCCTGGCTCAGAGGTGTTAAGAGATTTGCAGAAATAAACAGCTTTATTTCATCTGTCTTCCCCTTTCCTTGTCTAACTTCTCCATTCCACCTCCGGCTTCCCTGTCCACAAATATACTGGCGGCTATCACTAGCCCTGGCTGTTTCACTGAGCTCCCAGACCTGTATCCTGCCATCTGCTATACAGCTACCCTTGATGAATAAACTGAACTCAAACTCCCCAGTCTTACAATGAACTCATCACATTCCCCACCCCTCTCTCTCCATCAGAGCTTCTTAATGTCCCCATCACCTACTTAGTGCTCATCCTCAGAAGCTCACCATTGTTTCTGGCTTTTCCTCCTGACAAAGCAAGCATTCAAATGTCTGCTGAATGAATTACTGAATGAATGAGTCCCATCATGAATCACACTTCATCAGGCAGATTCACAAGAATCCAGCCCCTTTCTTTTCATATTCAAACAACTTTACATAAAAGAAAACTTTGAATGCCTTCACCTTAAAGCAGCAATCATTTCTGTCTCAGGCTGATGGATCAGTTCCATCTATCACTGAAGAGACCAGTTTTTTTGGGGTTTTTTTTTTTTGTTTTTTTTTAATCAAGTGCATTCAATGTGGAGGTCTGCTTTATATTCTGCTTTTAAAACTTAGCATGTAATACTACAGTCTGCCTTATAATAATTTTAATAATGTTTAATGACTGCAGATTAGTCTATAATGTTGCTATATAATCGCTTACTTAGCCAGCCCCAGATTTTGAACATTTGGAATGATTCCAGGTTTTTACTGTTAGTTTCTTTATTCATTAACAAAGCAAATTACCTTATTTGCTTGTGTATGCAAAAAGAGGTCCCTAGAGGGGGAGGAGTATTGGGTTGTTAGAGGCCAGGAGTGGGAAGGACACTTTTCACTGAGCACGCATAGTTCCTTCTGAATTCTGAGTCATGTCAATATACCAGCTATTCAAAATGTACATGCCAAAAGCTTACTGTACACCAAGCATTGCGCCAGAAGCTGGCTGTAGAGTTGGGGTCTATACTCTCAACCCAACTCCTTGATATGTGCTCTCCCAAAAGTATGTATAATGTGCCTTGGAAACCCAGAGGAGAGAGCAGGGAATGACATTTTCACTGAATCTTGAAGGGTGGGTAGGAGCCAGTCAGGTTGATAGGATGCTGCTATGGGCAAAGGCTCAGAATAGGAAAGGACACTTCCGGTTTGGGGAACTAGGCTGTATCTGGTGTGGTGTGAAAGTGATGGGAAATGAGACTTTCAAGGAGGGTGGAAACCAGTGTTTCCCTTTCTAGGGCTCTGGGTCCAGGTCCTGGGGTCTGAATTGGATCCCAGAGGCAATGGAGCCTTTGGAGTGTTTGAAACAAGGCAGAGAGACAGTAAGAGCTGTGTTTGACAGCAGCCCCTCTAACTGCAGAATGGAGACCAAAGGAAGGGAGGCAAGCAGGCAACAACCTGCTGTAGTCCAGGAGACAGTGACAAGGGCCCAAACTAGGGGGACCGACTGTTCCAGTTTGCCCAAGATTATACCAGTTTTAGCCCTGGAAGTCCAGCATCCTGGGAAACTCCTCATCCCAGGCAAACTGGGAGGGTTGGCCACCCCTCCCCCAAGACCCTGAACCAGGACACTGGAGGCCGCTGTTCCCTGGGGCCTTGCCTGCCATGAGAAGTGATCCAGTCACTACTGCTTCCAGGGGATTTTAAACGTCCCCTGTTCTGCCCTACCCTCCATCTCCACAGGCCCCTCGTCCCACCACCACTCCTGGGTCTACTTTCACTGGATTCTAGACCTAGAATCCAGTGAAACATAAATCTCTTTACGTATCTAGGCCTCCAGATACGTAAAGAGATTTGTGAGGAAATCAGCTCCACTTATCGCTTTCCAGCCTTCTCTTCTTCTACTCCCCTCCACCAACCTGAGACTCCTATCAAACTAAACCACCCCGTGTGCCAAAGCAAACCTCTGGTCTTTTGTGTATGCTGGGCCACTGTAGGAAATGTCATCCTCCCCACTTCTCAACCTGTTAGAGCACATTGCAAATACTCCCTCCCCACAGCTGAATAGGAGCGCTAGTGAACAGCTCCTGGATGGCAGACACTGCACGAGAAGCTTTTCAAACACTGCCACTACATCTCACAGCAAAGAAATAGGATGCATCCTTTTTACCAGATGAAGAAACCAAGACTCAAAGAGAGGAAGTGTCTGGTCCAAGGTCACACAGCTGCTAGTGTTCGTCTCTGTCTCCTTTGGAATTCTCTGATGGCCCCAATCCTTGTATTGATGACATATGCACTTCTTTCATTCCCTGTCCGTGCCCCCTGCCCCATAACCCAACACACATGCAATTGTAAACCTAGAACAATACCAGACTTAGAGTAAGTAGGGCCTCAAGAAAAATTTGGTGAATGAAGGGATTAGGTACACTCCTTCTAGAATACCTAGCCTGGTGCTTGGCATTAAATAGGTTCTCCATTGTTGTTGTTTAAGACAGGGTCTTGCTCTGTCATCCAGGCTGGAGTGCAGTGGTACATTCTTGGCTCACTGCAGTCTCGACCTTCTGGGCTCTAGAGATTCTTCCACCTCAGCCTCCAAAGTGAGTAGCTGGGACTACAGGTCTGCACCACCATGCTCAGCTAATTTTTGTATTTTTAGTAGACACAGGGTTTCACCATGTTGGCCAGGCTGGTCTCAAACTCCTGGACTCAAGTGATGCGCCCACCTCAGCCTCCCAAAGTGCTGGGATTACAGGCGTGAGCCACCATGCCTGGGCCTAATGTTTTCAATTGAGCTGAAATTGTAATACCTAACCATATAAGGGTATGACAGAGGGAGAAGATCAGAAGAAAACAAATTATGGCAAAACCTCAGCTATCCAAAGCTGTCTGGAAATGAGTCATTCCAAAGGCTGAGGGTGAACCTTTGAATCAGAGCTACCCTTTCTGAATCAGAGCTTTGAATCAGAGCTACCCCTTCACTTCCACCACCCTTTCTGAGCTCTCTGGTCCCGGTCCCCTTGATCTGTTTCCTTCCACTTTTCTCCTTTCTTTGTTTTTCTGTTGCTCCTTTGAAGTTTCTTTGGGGTCCAGCTTATCACAGCCCCGTTTGATGAGCTCACGGCCGTCTCTTGGACTGCCCGTCCAGGCCTCTCTCGCCTGATCCATTTCTCCTCACTGCAGCAGGCCCTCTTCCACAGACCCCTCCCTCACCTCCCAGGGCAGGCAGGTGCTTCTCTCGTCTGTGCAACCCACAGCACCCCATGCAGGTGTCTGCTTTTACACCTACTTCCAACACTGGACTGTGAGTTTCTTGAGGGTGGGAATCACGTCAACCTTCAATGTCTACAAATGAAATTGGCAGGCCCTTTGTGCTCCTTGGCAACCCTTCCTTCTTTATTGCTTACTCTGAGGCTGCCAAGCTTCTGCTTGTTGGTTGATGAATTGTAACTGGGAAATCACGAGTGCTGGATGTTCAGGGTTTATCTGCTAGCCTAATTATCTTCTTCTTGCTCTTTCTTTGTTCACTGATGTTTATGTTATACTTGTCCATTTGGCTCAAGAGAGCTCCAGCTGGGCCAGCGTGCTCTGTCTTTGGGAGCAAAGGGTGGCCAATCTGGGTCAGTCTATCTTGCCTGAGGCATCAAGAGACCTGGTCTCCCTCACAGGTTCAACAGACATTTACTTGAGTGCCTGCTCTGCACCAGACCCTGACCCAGATGTTAGGGAGACAGAGGTAGAAAACTGTCTGGCCCTGTCTGCCTCTGGTTCCTGCATCACCTTGAGCCCTTTCCAGATCTCCTCCATTCACCCATCTGAAAGTGGAGGGGAGCGGAGACCTGATCTGTAAGGGGCGTTGGAGCTCTTGATACTGTGGATCTCGTCTGGCCTGGGCACTCTAAGCCCCTCCATATCTCTGCTTTCCCTGAGCAGAGCCAAGCCTGCCTCTCTTACCTCCCTCCCTCCTCCCGTGCAAATTCTGAGCAGATACGCTCTGATACATCTCACCTTCTATGTGGTCAAGCAGCCCCAAGAAGCAGCTGGAGAACCCCAGCTAGCCCAAGGGGAAGAAAAGAAAGAGGAGGAAGAGGAAGGTGTCGCATGTCAGATGACCATCTAGTGCACACGGGGGAGTGAAAGCACACCCTGACATACCAGAAAAGTTCCCCAAGCTCAGCTCTGAAGAGTCACATTGGTCAGTCTAATGCGGGAAGCCCAAAGCAGAGTGGGGGTGGGGAGATGACAGAGTTCCAACAATCTCCCTGGAAAAGGGACCAATGCCCCCTTGCACTTATAGAACCCTTGATACCATTTTTGTATCTCATTTTCCCAGCAACCCCTTCAGTTATGTTTAACAGATGTTTTTGACTACCTTCTATATTCAAGGCCTTCTGCTGGGAGTACTGGGCTTTTCCTGTAGGACACATTGCAACTTCAAGTGTACAGACATTTTATCTTAATTTTATTTTATTATTTATTTATTTACTTATTTTGTAGAGATGGCATCTCGTTATGTTACCCAGGCCGGTCTGGAGCTTCTGGGCTCAAGTAACCCTCCCGCTTCAGCCTCCCAAAGTGCCAGGATTACAGGCATGAGCCACCGCACCCAGCCTAACATTTTTGTGATTTTTTTTTTGTTTTAATGTCTGTCTCCTCCACTAGACTGTAGACTCAAAGAAGGCAAGAATCATGTCTGTCTTCTTCCCTACTGAATCCTCAGCACCTAAACACAGTGCCTGGCAAACAGCAGTCACTCAATAGATAGTGACAGAAAAAATATATCCAACATGGTGAAACTCTCTCACTACTAAAAATACAAAAACTAGCTGGACGTGGTGGCGCACGCCAGTAGTCCCAGCTACGCAGGAGGATGAGGCAGGAGAATCACTTGAACCCAGAAGGCAGAGGTTGCAGTGATCCGAGATCACGCCACTGCACTCCAGCCTGGGCGACACAGTGAGACTCTGTCTGGAAAAAAAAAAACAAACGAAACAAACAAACAGAAAAAAAACGGTCTGAGACCTGGGAACAGTCTTCAGTTTTCCAAAGGCTATTACACAGAAGCAAGCCTCAGCCTGAAACATATGTTACTTGTTCAATATGTGTTACTTGAACTCAGTGAGTAGTAATGACAGGAAACGGTGCCAGGCTGTGTGCTAAGCACTTTATATTCATTCACTTATCTAATCCTCAGAACTACTCTAAGAAGTAGGTACTATTATAGTCCCACTTTTACAGATGGAGAAACTGGGGCATAGAGGTTCACCACCTTGTAAGTGACAGAGCTGAGATGTGAACCCCAGCTATCTGGCTCTAAAGTCTATGCCCCTAACCTATATTACATTCTAGCAATGAATGCTCAAACTGAGCTCTAGAGAGATGTAACATTTTCCAAAGGTGTCACAGGAAGAGCATGGCAGAGCTGGGACTGGGAGCCAGGTCTTCCTTCTGTGCAATGTTTCTCCCGCTCTATGATAAGGTATCTGGCCACTGAGGCAGGTCCCTTGGGACTAGAGGCACAAAGAGGGATCTGAAGAGTCTATTAACAGATATCCGGTGCAGAAAAACAGCCCCAGTGGGCTAGGTGACTCAGCAGAAGACAAGAGGAGACAAAGGGTAACCACTAGGGCAGGAACAAGTGTGGCTGCCAAGTCCCTTTTCTTAAGCAGGGAAAGGTAGTGGGGTGCTTTTCGGAGGTCCTATTTGAGGCCCAAGATACTCTCTTCCTGCGCTGATTTATCAAGAGTGCCCCTCCCCCACAGCTAGAGCCGCCCCAGGGCCATTTCTGCTTCATTACAATTGGGCACACGTGGAGAAAGGATACTACTGGGGAGATCAATTATATTGCCTGATCTGCAACCTGATGTGTGGGTAGGAAGTTGGGGCGGGGCAGTGGAGGAAAAGTTTGGTCAAGCCTGACAAAACCCCAGCAGCTAATCTTACTCCACAGTAAGAGATTATAGCAAAGCATCTATAATCAACTCAGCTTAAGAAGTTTTGACCTTCTGGTTAGGCTTCTTGCCACAACAGAACAGCACCATAACCATGGCTTTCTTCTCCCGACTGAATCTCCAGGAGGGCCTCCAAACCTTCTTTGTTTTGCAATGGATCCCAGTCTATATATTTTTAGGTGAGTGAACCCCAAGGGCTGGAGAGCACATGGGGAACAAACCAAAAGAGTGGCCAATCTCCAGATGAGGAGGGTTCCAAAGAGATCATCTGGGTGATCTCCACCCTCTGGGAAGGATCTGGCTGGCACAAAGGCCAGGAGTGAGGCTGCAGCTGTTCTGGTTTAAAGATTACTCCAGGCCAGGCACGGTGGCTCAGGCCTATAATCCCAGCACTTTGGGAGGCCGAGGCAGGTGGATCACCTGAGGTCAGGAGTTTGAGACCAGCCTGGCCAACATTGTGAAATCTCGTCTCTACTGAAAAAAAAAAAAATACAAAAATTAGCCAGGCATGGTGGCATGCACTGGTAATCCCAGCTACTTGGGAGGCTGAGACAGGAGAATCACTTGAACCCGGGAGGTGGAGCTTGCAGTGAGCCAAGATCGTGCCACTGCACTCCAGCCTGGGTGACAGAGCAAGACTCCGTCTCAAGATGAAAAAAAAAAAAAAATCACTCCAGTCTTCTCAGGAGCTGTCCCCTATGAACTAGCTGAAAAGAGTCATATTCAGGGACAGGGCAGAAGTGGTGGTGGCTTACAGAGTTGGTGTTACTAGGTAGGTGTAGGGTGATTTTCTAGTCTATGGTTATGGTGAGACAATTCTGGAAAATCTGAGGGCTGCCTGAGTGACATCTCAGACAGAATTTTGAGAAAGAGCCAGTTGTTCTGTGGACTCACAGCACAGAAGTCAACAATGTTGGGCCTCTCCCACCCAAGGCTCTTCTGAGGCAGCTTTTTTTTGTTGTTGTTGAGATGAAGTTTCACTCTTGTCGCCCAGGCTGGAGTGCAAACGGCAAACGGGCTGACAGCTCCAAGATTTTCCCTGCCAGAAACCAGGGATTTGGGGGTGGTCAATTACAGGTGCAAGCTTGAAAACTGGATGAGGAGAAATAATGTCATCCTGAAGGATGAGACAGGTAGGAGACAGCTGGTTCCAACCCATGGGAGGCTATATGACCCTTAGAGCAGAGGCTCTCAACCAGGGTCCTATAGACCAAAAATTCAGGGTGGATGGGGGTTACTTTGAATTGGGATGAATAAAACTGCCTCTTTCTTTCCACTAACCTCTAACTGAAATGTAGTATTTCCTTCAATGATGAATGTAGGCAATAAACCACGAAGTGTTAGGAGTACCTGTGAGTGTCAGTAACAGACATCACAGAGATTTGCATTTCATATTATAGTTGTTGCAGGCATCTCGAAATTTCATTTATGTTCACGACTACTTCAAAATTCCAGTAGTTATTGGCACTGCTGTTAGATCTGGTTATTTAATGCATACATCAAGAAGCACATATGTTACTATATTATATTGTGGGTAATATTTTGATAACTGAATTTTAATATAATGGGTTTCCTTTGTAAATCTGCGTATTTTATTTTGTGCATTTAAACATATTATTCAGAGAAAGGGTCCATGGCTTCACCAGACTGCCAGAGGGGTCCACAGCCTTCTCAAAATGCAGACTTATTAAGCCTTATTAAAATCAAAACATGCTAAGCCCATTGATGGCTTGACTTTAGCTATATCGAGAGAAGAAAGTCATTTTGTTAGTAAACTTAGTTGTTTCTAGACTTTCATAGTTTCCTTTTGTTTTCCTTTGCATTTCCCCTAACTTCCTCAAAAAGACCCCTTTGATAAGTTCTGACCCTCAGCCAGGAAAGTGAGGAGCACAGGAATGTCCTAAGAGACTTGCTATTGGGGTGGCAGCAACCGTGTCAAATCCGGGTCCCAGAAAGAGTGGGCAGAGATGGGGCAGAGAGAGCAGGGGAAAGAGGTCAAGAGAGGATGAGCTATGTGAGCGGGTCCTTTTAGGTGTAGGGCCTGTCCCACCCAAGAATGCTCTTCTGAGGCAGCTTTTTTTTTTTTTTTTTTTTTTGAGATGGAGTTTCACTCTTGTCGCCCAGGCTGGAGTGCAATGGCAGGATCTTGGCTCACTGCTACCTCCGCCTCCCGAGTTCAAGCGATTCTCCTGCTTCAGCTTCCCGAGTAGCCGGGACTACAGGTGTGTGCCACCACGCACAGCTAATTTTTGTATTTTTAGTAGAGACGGGGTATCGCCATGTTAGCCAAGCTGTTCTCAAACTGCTGACCTCAGGTGATCCGCCGACCTAGGCCTCCCAAAGTGCTGGCTGGGATTACCGGCATGAGCCACCGCGCCGGGCCGAGGCAGTGTTTCTAATTAAAATGTACTCATTTTTCTGCCAGAAAATGATACTTTCTCATATATATTTTTCTCTATTTCATTTCCCCTCTCAAAGGACACTGTGTCCTGCTGGGTATAGGGTAGAGAGTGTATCAGACAACTGGATATGTGAGGGACCAAGAAGGTGAGGATTAGCCTCCAAGTAATGCCCCTTTACCCCCAAATCTCAACGGTTTCTAGTTGTCCCAGAAGAGCTGGAGGAGTGGAGTGGGGATGATACCTATGGGTCTTCAGTGGAAACACATAAGAATAAATGGGGCCAGGTGCGGTGGCTCACGCCTGTAATCCCAGCACTTTGGGAGGCCGAGGCGGGTGGATCACAAGATCAAGAGATCGAGACCATCTTGGCCAACATGATGAAACCCCATCTCTACTAAAAATAGAAAAATTAGCTGTGTGTGGTGGCGCGTGCCTGTAGTCCTAGCTACTCGGGAGGCTGAGGAAGGAGAATCACTTGAACCCGAGAGGCAGAGGTTGCAGTGAGCCAAGATTGCGCCACTGCACTCCAGCCTGGTGACAGAGCAAGACTCTGTCTCAAACAAAAAAAGTAAAAAATAAAAAATAAAAATAAAAATAAAGAATAAACGGGATTTTTTTTCACCTTCATTTTTAAAAGTTATTTTTATTGTGGTACAATACCTAGAACATAAAATTTACCGTTTTAACCATTTCTAAGTATGCTCTAAGTACATGTCATTAAGTACATTCACAATGCATGGCCACCATCCATCTCCAGAATTTTATCTTCCCAAACTGAAACTCTGTATCCATTACACAATAACTCCCTAATTCCCCCTCCCTCCAGCCCCTGGCAACCACCATTCTGCTTTCTGTCTCTATGAATTTGCCTATTCTAGGTACCTCATATAATTGGAATTATTATTCCAGTGTTTGTCCTTTCATGATTGGCTTATTTTACTTAGTATAATGGCTTTAAGGCTCACCATGTGGTATCATGGGTCAGAATTTATTTCCTTTGAAAGGCTGAGTTATACGGTGCCTTGTGTGGATATGCCACATATTGTTTTCCATTCATCTATTGATGGACATTTAGGTTGCCTTGACGTTTTGGCTATTGTGAGTAATGTTGCTATGAACATAGATGTACAAACATCTCTTTGAGACTCTGCTTTCAATGCTTTTGATATATACCCAGAAATGGAATTCCTGGATCACACAGTAATTCTGTTTTTATTTTTATTTTTTGGAATTGCCATCCTGTTTTCCTCAATGGCTGCACAATTTCACATTCCCACCAACAGTGCACAAGAGTTTCAATTTCTCCACATCCTCACCTATACTTCTTATTTTCTGTTTTTTAAATAATAGCCATCCCAATGGGTGTGAGATGATCTCATTGTGGTTTTGCTTTACATTTCCCTGATGATCAGTAATGTTGAGCATCTTTTCATGTGCCTGTTGGCCATTTGATTTGACTTCTTTTAGACTGATTAGCTTTACCATTCCATTTGTCTTTCTCTTCTAGTTTAGGTGCTATACATCTTGTTTCTGTTCTTTTAGTGATTATGCTAGAAATTACAACACAAATCCTGGGTCTTGAAGGTTACCAAGGTAGCTTCAGTGTCCAACAGGGCGTGATGCCCACAGAGGTGCCTAAGACATTCAAATATGTTCAATCCAACAGTTATAGATTAAATACTAATGATATGATCTTGGGCTGTCCTTGCTGTGAGATCCTTGCAGCCTCCTTACTATCTAGTAACAGAGATAAACCAATCATTCATTCAATCATTGTCCGCATTTTATGTGCCAGTGCTGGACATATACACAGATCACTATAATGTAAGACAGACTGTGGTGAGTGAAAGAGCCATGACAAAGTGATATTAGGGTATCGGAATAAGAAATTATTACATAAGTTGAACAGATCAGGGGAGACAGGAAAGGGAATCACCGTGGAATGGCAAACAGGACATGAGTTCTGGAGTTCATCAGACTTAGATGGCAATTAGCTATGTGACTCCAAGCAAGTACTGCAATCCCTCTAAGTCTCAGTATCCCCATCCTCTCAGTCTGGTCCATGGGAAATGCTCCTACAGAAATGTCTGCCTTCCTCCCTTCCTTCCTCCTCTTCTTTCTCGCCTATCTTTCCTTCCTCCTTTTCTTTCTCACCTTCTTTCCTTCCTTCCTTCTATCTTGCTCAGAGCCTCCCTCAGTGCTTCCCCTCCTTCCCAAATGATGTTCAGAATCATAGCTGATTACTGAGCATTACTGGAAGTAATGGGGAGGAAATAGAGAAAATGGAGGAAAGGCAGAGGGACAAGAAGGAAGGAGGAAGCAAGAAGAGAGGAACGAGAAAATGGCTTGGAGGAGATTTGGAACACAAATATTCATGTCCTTAAAATTAGGCTGTGGCTCTGACAGCCCCTCTGAGAGCCAGCTTTCATTCAGAGGATGGCTTTCCCTCATCTCTTCCGGGCTTGTATCACCATCCCCCTAAACTATCTCAATATCCTTTTTCCTGATCGTCTAACCTCTGATCTCCACCCTCTCCAATCTATTCCAGTGCTTACTTCTGGAGGTCTTTCAAAAGCATCTTTTTTTTTTTTTTTTTTTTTTTTTTTTGAGACGGAGTCTTACTCTGTTGCCCAGGCTGGAGTGCAGTGGGGCAATCTCGGCTCACTGCAACCTCTGCCTCCCGGGTTCAAGCAATTCACCTGCCTCAGCCTCCTGAGTAGCTGGGATTACAGGTGTGTGCCACCACACCCAGCTAATTTTTTGTTTGTTTGTTTTTGTTTTGAGGCAGAGTCTCGCTCTGTCGCCCAGGCTGGAGTGCAGTGGCGCGATCTCGGCTCACTGCAAGCTCCGCCTCCCGGGCTCACGCCATTCTCCTGCCTCAGCCTCCCGAGTAGCTGGGACTACAGGTGCCCGCCACGATGCCCGGCTAAGTTTTTTGTATTTTTTTAGTACAGATGGGGTTTCACCGTGTTAGCCAGGATGGTCTCGATCTCCTGACCTTGTGATCCGCCTGCCTCGGCCTCCCAAAGTGCTGGGATTACAGGCGTGAGCCACCGCGCCCGACCATTTCTTTTGTATTTTTAGTAGAGACAGGGTTTTGCCACGTTGGCCAGGCTGGTCTCGAACTCCTGACCTCAGGTGATCTGCCCTCCTCAGCCTCCCAAAGTGCTGGGATTACAGGCGTGAGCCACCGCCTCAAAAGCATATTTGATTACATCCCTCTCCTGCTCAAAAATAGTCAGTGGTTTCCCATTGCCTAAGTGATGATGTATAAAGGTATCAGACTGGGCATTCAAAGCCCTCCTCCATTCTCTGGTGTTAACCCCTTGCCAGCTCGTCCTCCTACTCTTCCCTACGTGATTGCCTTGCGTTCCAGGCAATCTATTCACTAAACAAACAGGAAATGTACTCTCCCACTCCTTCACCTCTGCTCCCACTACTCCCACTACTCCTGCCAGTGGAAAGATGGCATGATAGCTCTTCCTGGACTATCCAGGGACAGCGCCTCCTTTTAGATATTACTCAAGTCATATCTTCTCTGTAACATTTTCCAGACAACCCAAGACTATATCGCCTCTGAAAGTCTAGAGCATTTTGTAAGAATGGCTGGGTAGCAGCCATTATATCTTTGGTGCCCTCTACCCAATAAGCTCCATGAGAACAGGAGCCCTTTCTTATCATTATTATATTTCATGCAAGACCAAGCTTGACACTAACTTGAAGGTCTTCCAGATTTCTTCTTCCTCAGCAGAAATCTTTAAATTCACTCTTATTCTTTTTTCTCTCCCTTGGACATCCTTTTTGGGTGTGTGGGCCTGCCCTCTTTCTCTGGTTTCTGGTACTGTAAAAAATAGAACAGGTTGGGTGCAGTGGCTCATGCCTGTAATCCAAATATTTTTGGAGGCCGAGGTGGGAGGATCGCTCGAGCCTGGGAGTTTGAGACCAGCTTGGGCAACACAGTGAGACTCCATCTCTACAGAAAAAAAAAAAAATCAAAAAATTAGCCAGGCATGGTGGTGCATGCCTGTGGTCCTAGCTATTGTGCAGGCTGAAATGGGGGGCTCCTTTGAGCCTAAGAGGTAAAGGTTAGAGTGAGTTGTGATCACGCTATTGCACTCTAGCCTGGGTGACAGAGTGAGATCCTGTCTCAAAATAAATAAATAAAAATAGAACATAGTCTTCAGACCAGTTCTGTCACTTACTTGCTATGAGACCTTATGCAAGTGAGTCTCTGTTATTTTCTATGTGACCTTGAGCAAGTAAGTCATTCACCCTGTACCATAACAGAAACAGCATAGTACCTGCCTCTCAAGACTGTTCCAGAGATCTTTGAGGTGAGAAAATCCTCAATACATGTTAATTTTCTTCCTTTTAACTACCGAAATTGACTACTTGGAGCCCAACCACCACACCTGATAAGATACTACCAACCTTGTCAATCTTGCCACTTGATCAAGAGAGGAGTGACAACCACTCCTCTGAGGCAGACACCTTAGACACTGACTTTATTACATCTTCAGGAAGAATAATGATAACTAAAGCAGATACAGGCTTTTTCTTTTTCTTATTTTCTTTCTTTTTTTTTGGAGACAGAGTCTTGCTCTGTCTCCCAGGCTGAGGCTGGAGTGCAGTGGTATGATCATAACTCACTGCAGCCTCGAACTCCTGGGTTCAAGCGATCCTCTTGCCTCAGCTTCCCGAGTATCTGGGACTACAAGTGTGCACCACCATGCTTGGTTAATTTTTAAATTTTTTTGTAGAGACGAGGTCTCACTATGTTGCCTGGGTTGGTCTCGAACTCCTGGACTCCAGGGATCCTCCTGCCCTGGCCTCCCAAAATGCTGGCATTACAGGAGTGAGCCACCATGCCTGGCCTAGACTTTGATGCATTCCCAGCATTCCCACATACCCCATCACGGCATCTTTCATTAATCCCCTTCCATCACCCCAGCATCAACTCAGCTGCGTTGGGCTGAAAAATTCTACCTCCTTGGTGACTTTCAAATTGGTATGTGAAATAGTAGCCTATTTCAGGTTCCCATTGGCTTTCATCTGAATGCCAAAACTCTTAGCTGATCTCTTTGCCTATAGTTTCTCTTGCTCTCACAGTTATTCCAGATTATCTTCCTGAAACAGACACGATCATGCTACTCTTCTGCTCTCTGCTTACTAACCTTTACTGGCTATTCATTTCCTTCAGCATCAGGCCTAATCTCTCCAGTTTCCTTCCCAGCTTCATCTCCTGTACCACGGCTTCCTTAGGCTGCCTGTGTTTTTGCAGGTAATGATGTTACTCCCAGGCCTTGGACTCTCCCATCTCCTGGACTTTGTTCAGGCTCTTCTTTGTGCATGGAGGACCCTTCCTCTACCAATCCATCTGACAAAAATCCTACCTTTCCTCCAAAATTCAACTTTGAACCTTATCTTTCACAAGAAACCCAGAGCTTCTCCAAGACAGGAATTTTGTTTTCCACACGTATTAATGTGAGTTAATACACATGAGGTACTTAAAATAGTTATTGGCACATAATGAATGCTATCTACTTTTTTTCCTACAGCTTGGAGTAAAGATACATGATCTCTCTGATTCTTAGTTTCTTCATCTGTAAAACGAGATAATAAAATTATCCACCTATGAGGACTGCAAGAACATTAAATGAGATAATATACATTAAGTGCTGAACAGAGTGCTGTTTCACAACAAATGGTCAATACATGGTATCAAGGACCATGCTTGCATTATTTTCATCATTTCCATATTTACTCCTTTCACCCTCCCCTTTCCAGTTCCCAACCCTGTCCCCATGGCTTTTAACATAGAGATTTCATATGAGGTAGGCTCATCAATGTTTACTGAATTATTAAATTACCTGTCACTCCTACAAGTTCTTATATTTATAGTTTATTTGGATCCAACAAGTAATCACAAAGCCACAGAAATTCCTCTTTGACAAACTACTTTTGTTTTTTTTTTGTTTTGTTTTTTTGTTTTTTTTTTTTAAATTTCTGAAGGCATTGAGCCAACTGACTAGATTAGGCAAGCATTGCCAACATTCAGATTTAGGTCATTGCCCCGAAACATGAAACATAATGTTTTCACCCATAAGAATTATAGGTTTTCACCTTACACTGGAAATAACTCGTTGCCTATATCCTTACACACACATGCACACCTTATAACTTCAGATAGCCTTTCCTTGTTTGGAATACGGTTTCTCTTCCTATTAACTTTCACCTGCAACTTGGAGAATTGTGAAATTGAACTTCTTCCTTTACTATAATTCAATGTAATGAACATTTATCATAAGCTATCTCTCTGTGTTTGGCACTGTGCTAAAGGCCAAACTTACTGTCTGATAGGGAGAGAGACAGACATATGAGGTACTAATTACACCATCAAACAAAATGAACCAGAACCAGAAAGAAGCACGAGTAATGTCTTGGGAGTGTGCAGAAGAGGGAGTCCTCAATTCTGACCGGGAGATGAGCAAAGATATCACAAGGAAGTGTCATTTGAGCTAAACCATAAAGCCTGAGAGAATTTTGATAAGCAGAAAGTTGGAAAGAGAGTAATAAAAATAAGGGAACAGTATCATCAAAGGCACAGAAATGTGAATTACATGGTGAGTTGAGGGAATGGGAAGTAGACAAAGGTGGTCGGGCCCGTTTCCCATACTTTAGCCATTTGTGTCCCATCTTCTGGCTCTTTCCACAGCTGTGTACCACCTATGCTATTATTACTTAACATACTTTTCCTTCAAATTAAGTCATCTCTGTAGCCTAAATTAATGTATTTTAACAGGAAATTTTATATCGCTACCATGAATTTGCTTTTATTCTCTATGCATTAAAATAACTTTTTATCCATACACCACCTTGGATCATCTAATGTCCCTACAGGGCATGGGAACACTAGGCTACGAAACACTTTGAGAAATACTAGGCTGCAGCATAAGGAATGTGAGTACGGCTACTGAGAGATGAGGCTAGGAAGACACGTGGGGCTAGGCCAGTGAGGGCCTTGAATACCAAGCCAATGTGTTCAGACTTTATTCTGTCAGCAGTTGGAAAATATTGATGGTTTTGGAGGAAGCAAACAACATTATGTGATTGTGCTTTTTAAAAATTTCTGGCAGAGGTGTGGGAAATGGATTGGAGGGGAAGAAACCCATAGCTGAAGGGCAGACAAAAGGCTGCAGTCCAGACTAGAAAAAAATCAAGTCCTGGACCATAGCAGTAGCAATGGGGACAGAGGCAGGAAGACGGATAGGAGAAGTTTTTTGTTTGTTTGTTTGTTTGTTTGTTTGTTTGTTTGGAAAGGGAAAGAAGTCAAAGATGGCCTAAAAATATTGAACCTATGACATTTATCTTGAGGCCTGAAAGATGAATAGGAACTAGCCAGACACAGAGCTGAAGAGAGAGTTTTCCAGGCAAAGGGGACCGCAGGCAGAGAAGCCCTGAAGCTAGAGAGCACTTGAAGGAGCTGAAAAAAATAGCATGGTGGAATGCAAAGAACAAGGTGGTGGCCAGAGACTAGATCACCAAGATCTCCTAACCCTTCTAAGCCAGGGTTAGGAGACTGGACTTGATCCTAAGGGCCACAGGAAACCATATTTATTGTTGAATTGTTAAATTACCATATACTCCCACAGGTTCTTATATTTATAGTTAACTTAGATACAGTAAGTAATCATAAAGCCACAGATATGCCTCTTTGATAAACCAGCCATGTCCTTGGCTACATGCTATAGATTGATAGAGACAGACTTGCATTTAATGCACTGGCTGCATCATGGCTCAAATGGAAGCAGGCAGCCTATTTAGAAGACACTGGTAGTCATCCAGGTGAGAGATAATGGTGGCTTTGACCAAGTGGTAGCATGGAGGTGGGAAATAGAATAATTTGAAAGATATCTGGAAGGCAGAACTGGCAAGAATTGGTAAATGACTAAAGGGAAGTAACAGCTAGAGCTTAGTGGTTAAGGGTACAGTCTCTGGGGTAAGACAATCTTGGTTTTCAGCCCTGGCCACTCACCTGCTAGCTGTCTAATCTTGGAACAATGTAATCACTCTGAACCTCAGGTCCTCATCCACAAAATGATAATGATTACTGTTCTCATGGGGTCTTTATGAAGATTAAATAAACTATGCCATGTGAAACAGTTTTACATGATAAGTGTACAATAGATATTGGCTATTAATCTATGGGCTAAGTGAGCAAGTGAGAGGAATCAGAGATGATTTGAAGAAAGGACCCACTTAGGTCATATTGGTACCATTTTTAACTTAAGCTAGTAATCATTAGCAATTTGAGGCTGTACAGGTTTAACTTTTTTTAAAGTCAGGATCAGGGATAAAGAGTGACATTATGTAATGATAAATGGGCTGATTCACCAAGAAAACAACTATCCTAAATGTGCATGCATCAAATGATAGAACTGCAAAATATATGATGCAAAAACTGATGGTGCTGAAAAGAAAAATAGACAAATTAGCAATTATATTTGGAGACCTCCTTGACAACTACAATCAATCAAAACTCACCTAACATGAAATAAATAACCCATCACTATAATCTTAATTTTAGAAGGTTAGAAACCTTCCAAAAAGAGATTTTCAGACCCAGATGGTTTCAACAGCAAATTCTACAAACATTTTACAGAAAAAATATCACGAATTCTATGCAATCTCTGCAAGAAAGCTTAAGAGAAAGGAACATTTCCCAACTCATTTACGAGGCCACATCCTGATACCAAAATCAGACAAAGATAGTACAAAAAAGGAAAAGAAAACTACAGACTAAGATCCCTCATATATATAAATGAAAAAAGCAACAAAATATTAACAAATTGAATCCAGCAATACATTACAAAGAGTAATGCACCATGACCAAGTGGCCTTTATCCAGGAAGGCAAGTGTAAATATTTGAAAATAAATCAATGTAAACTACCATACTAACCATCTAAGCATGAAAAAACCCCATGTAATCATATCAATTGACAAACTTCAACATGTAATCATGATAAAATCTCTCAGCAAACTAGGAATAGAAGGGAACTTCCTCAACCTGATAAAGGGCATCTACAAAAAAAAAAAAAAAAAAACCCTACAGTTAACATCACACTTGATCATGAAAGATGAAATGCTTTCTCCCTAAGATTAGAAACAAAGCAAGGATGTCCACTCTCACCACTTGTATTCAACGGTATGCTAAAAGCCCTAGCAAATGCAATATGGCAAAAAGAAAAAAAGAAATAAATGCATACAGATCGGAAAAAAAGAGAAATAAAACTGTCCTTACTTGTAGATGACATGATAGTATGTATGGAAAATCCCAAGGACTCTACTTTAAATAAAACAAAAACCTCCAAGCACTAACAAATGAGATTAGCCAGTCACAGGATACAAGATCATGCATAAAAATTAATCACATTTCTATATACTAGCAGAGAAGAATTGAAAATAGAAATTTTAAAAAAAATACCATTTAAATACCTTCAAAAATAAAATGTTTGGGAATAAATCTAGTAAACCATACAGGATTCATAGGCTAAAAACTGTAAAATGCTGATGAATAAAATAAAAGATCTAAATAATTAGAGACATACCATGTTCACAGATTGGAAGATTCAACACAGTAAAGATGCCAATTCTCCCCAGATTGATCTATAAGTATAATGCAATTCAAGTAAAAATCACAGTCAGGCTATATTAGGTAATAGTTTCGCATAAATATTAAATTTCCCAAATTTGGTAATAGCATTGTGGGTGCTATAAGGGAAGAGAATATCGTTTTTCTTGCAAAATACACGCTAAAAACTATTTAGAAGCAAAAGGTTGTAATCTCTGTGATGTATTCTCAAATACAAACATATATGTATATACTTACATTTTTACATTTAAAGATAAATCAAACGTAAAATGTTGACAATGGGTAGATGTAGATGAAGATTAAACAAGACTTTATTAAAATAATCTTGTTTTTTCAAAATAAAAAGTTTAATTAAAAAACCTCCATCAAGAGTTTTTGTAGCAATAAACAAGCTGATTCAAAAATTTATATAGAAAAACAAAGAAACTACAAATAATTAAAACAATTTTGAGAACGAATAAAGTTAAAGGAATTATACCATCTGATTTTGAGACTTAGTATAAGACTAGAGCAATCAAGACAGTGATGTATTTGTGAAGGAATAGATATATTGATCCACAGAACAGAAAAGAGTCAAGAAATAAACACATGAATATGGTCAATTGATTTTTGACAAAGATGAAAAAGCAATTCCATGGAGGATGAATAAGTCTTTTCAAGGAACGGTGTAGGAAAATTTGATGTCCATATGTGGCAAAATGAATCTTGACCCAAACTTCAGGCTCTATAAAAATTAACTCAAGTATGACATCAACAAGATGGTGAATGGGAAGTCCATCACATCTCTCCAGAGCAACAAGAATCTGGCAGCCATCCATGGACCAAAGTACCTTTGTGGGAATTTTGGACCCAGGTAGGATGTTGCAAAACTCTAGTAGAGTCCAACACCAAGGAAGGCTGTTTTGAGAGGGCAGGCCCACACCCAGGCTTGTTGACTGTGGTGAAGGTTACAGACCTGGAAATAGCCTCATCCCCCTGTAAACTCAGCTACAATGCCATTTGGTCATGATTCTGCCACCAAAATCATCTTCCAAGGCATCCAGGAGGAGTCACAACCATCTGTGCCTCAAGTTACAGGACTGCCAATCTTGGTCCCAGCAGTATACCCTGAAGCAGCCTTATAACTCAGCTCTGGTCACACTCTGCTGTGGTATGGGAGCAATTATGCCTTCCCAGGGGCTTGCTGGGAGTCATGCCTGTCTGTGCCATAGGAAGCAAGCTTGCTAACCTTGGTATCACAGCAGATCCTGAAACAGCCCTGTAACTTGGGTCCAGCTCCATTCAACTGTACAGGGCAGTCCTGTCCACCCAGGAACCTGGCAGGAGGCACACCTGTCCATGCCCATGGAGGCAGGCCCGCAGGCCTCAGTCTTGGCTATAGACCTTGAGGCAGTTCTATGACTTGGTTCTAGCCCTTCTCAGCCACAGTCCCGGGCCTGTCCTGCCTGCCCAGGGACCCACCCAGTGACCTAGCAGAAGCCCCCCCATAAACCTGCTGAAATCACTCTATAAAGACTGATTTGCTCCTTCAAATGCACAGAAACCAGTGAAAGGCTATACAAATAACAAATAATCCAGCAAACATGACATCATGGAAGAAAACTAGTATAATTCCAGTAACAGCCCAAATAAATGGAGATCTATTAAAGGCTTGAAGAAGAATTCAAGATAATCATCCTGAAGTGCAGTGAGTTGTAAGAGAACACAGACAACTGAACAAAATCAGAAAAACAACACATAAATGAGATGAGAAGTTTAATA
This sequence comes from Homo sapiens, assembly GCF_000001405.40. Lineage (NCBI taxonomy): Eukaryota > Metazoa > Chordata > Mammalia > Primates > Hominidae > Homo > Homo sapiens. Next base: position 70,191,305 of record NC_000023.11, read on the forward strand.
AAGAAATAAAAACCACAAAAAGGACCCAAACAGAAATCCTGGAGCTGATGTATACAATGACAGAACTGAAAACTAAAAGAAAGAGTTTCAATAGCAGACTTGATCATGCAGAAGAAAGAAATGGGTAACACAAAGATAGGTAATTTGAAATTAGCCAATTAGAGAAACAAAAAAAGAAAAAAAATGAAAATGAGTGAAGAAAGCATAAGGAACCTATGGGACACAATAAGCAAATGAATCTACTAATTATGGGTGTCCCATAATTTAGGAGAAGAAAAAGAGAGAGAAAGAAACAGAAAGATTATTTCAAGAAATAATGGTTGGAAACTTCACAAATCCTAGGAAAGAAATGGACATCAAGATTCATGAAGCTCAGAGGATCCCAAGCAAGATCAACTCAAAGAAGAATATCCTGAAGCACATTATAATCAAATTGTCAAAAGTCAAAGACAACAGAGAATATTGAAAGCATTAAGAGAAAAGAGTCTCACCACATACAAGGGAACCTCATCAGCAAACTTCTCAGCAGAAATCTTGCAGGCCAGGAGGGAGTGGGATGATACATTCAAAGTGCTAAAAGATGAAAAAACTGCCAATGAAGAATACTATAACCAGCAAAGTGGTCATTCATAAATGAAGGAACAATAAAGACATTCTCAAAGCCAGGCATGGTGGCTCATGTCTGTAATCCCAGCATGTTGGGAGGCTGAGGTGGGAGGATTGCTTGAGGCCAGTTTGAGACCAGCTGGGGCAACATAGTGAGACTCTGTCTCTACAAAAATAAAAATAATAAAATTACCCAGGCATGGTGATGTCCAGCTACTTGGACTTCCAGCTACTTGGGAAGCTAAGGCAAGAAGATCGCTTGAGCCCAGGAGTTCAAACTTCAGTGAGCTATGAGCATGCCACTGCACTTCAGCATAGGTGACAAAATGAGACCCCATCTCTAACAACAAGAAAAAAAGACATTTCCAGACAAATAAAAGATAAAGGATTTCATCACGACTAGACCTACCTTACAAGAAATGCTAAAGAAAGGTGTTTAAGTTGAAATGAAAGGATACTAAATAACAACATTAAAACATATAAAAATATGAAACTCACTGGTAAAGGTAAATATATCATCAAATCCAAAATACTCAGAATACTGCAATGGTAGTGTGTAAATCACTTTTAACTTTATATCTTTTTATATCATGTATCCATTAACAAATTATTGTAGCTGTAGTTATTTTTAGTACTTTCGTCACTTATGTTAGAGTTAAAAGTGGAAATCAAAAAGTATCTTGAGGCAAATGAAAATGGAAACACATCATACCAAAACTTATAGAATGCAGCAAAAACAGTTCTAAGGGGAAAGTTTATCATGATAAATACCTACATAAAGAAAAAAGGAATGTCACAAATCAATAACCTAACTTTACATCCCATGAAACTAGAAAAAAAAGAATAAAATAACCCTAAGATAAACAAAAGTAACAAACCCTTAGCTAAACTAACCAAGGAAAAAAGAGACACAATATCAAATAAATAAAATCAGAAATAAAAGAGAAGACATTACACCTGATGACACAGAAATATAAAGGTCATAAAAGACTACCATGAACAATCATATGCCAACAAATTGGATAACCTAGAAGAAATGCATATGTTTCTAGACACATACAACCTACCAAGAATAAATTATGAAGGAAGAAAATCTAAACAGATCAATGACAAATGAAATTTAATCGATAATCAAAAACCTCCTAACAAAGAAAAGCCCAGGACCAGACAGCTTCCTAGGTGGTCAGTAGTTCAAGACCAGCTCGGCCAACATGGTGAGTTTGAGACCAGCCTGGCCAACATGCTGAAAATACAAAAATTAGCCAGGCATGGTGGCGTGCTCCTGTAGTCCCAGCTACTCGGGAGGCTGAGGCACGAGAATTGCTTGAACCAGGGAGCAGTGAGCCGAGATCGCGCCATTGCACTCCAGCCTGGGCAACAGAGTGAAAGTGTGTGTCAAAAGAAAAAAAAAAAAAAGGATTAATGTCAATCCTTCTCCAACTCTTCCAGAAAACTGAAAAGGCAGGAGCACTTCCAAACTCCTTTTACAATGCAAGCACTACCCTGATACCAAAGCTAGGCAAGGATAGTCCCAGAAAAGAACATTACAGGCCCATATCCCTGATGAACATAGATGCAAAAAATCCTCAACAAAATACTAGCAAACCAAATTCAACAGCACATTAAAAGGAGCGTACACCACGATCAAGTGGGATTTATCCCTGGGATGCAGGGGTGGTTCAACATGCATATGTCAATAAATGTAATATACCACATTAAGAGAAGAAGAATAAAAATCATAAGATCATCTCAATAGGTGCAGAAAAAGCATTTGACAAAATTTAACATCTTTCCATGATAAAAACTCTCAGCAAATTAGACATAGAAGGAATGGATCTCAACATAATAAAGGCCATATATGAAAAGTCCACAGCTAACATCATACACAATGGTGAAAAGCTGAAAGCTTTTCCTCTAAGATTAGAAACAAGGCAAGGGTGCTCATTCTGCCATTTCTATTCAACACAGTACTGGATGTCCTACCAAGAGCAATTACACAAGAAAAAGAAATAAAAGGCATCTAAATTGGAAAGAAAAAAGTTAAATTGTCTCTGTTAGCAGATGACATAATCTTATATAGAAAACCCTAAAGCCTCCACCAAAAAATTGTTAGAACTAATAGATGAATTCAGTAAAGTGTCAGGATATAAAATGAACATACAAAAATCAGTTGCATTTCTATACACTGACAATAAACTATCCAAAAAAGAAATGAAGGAAAACAATTCAATTTACAATATCACTAAAAGGAATAAAATACTTAGGAATAAATTTAACCTAGGAGGTGAGAGATCTGTATACCAAAAACTGTAAGACATTGAAAAAAATCGAAGAAGCCACAAATAAGTTGAAAGATATCCTGTGTTCATGGACTGGAAAAATTAACATTATTAACATGTCTATACTACTCAAAGTGAGCTATAGATCCAATACAATCCCTATGAAAATTCCAATGACATTTTTAAAAGAAACATAAAAAAATCCTAAAATTTGTATGAGACAACAAAAGACCCTGAATAGCCAAAGTAATCTTGAGAAAGAAAAACAAAGCTAGAGGCATCACACTTCCTGATTTCAAACTATATTACAAAGCCATAGTAATCAAAACACTATGGTACTGACATAAAAACAGACACAGAAACCAATGAAATAAGATAGATAGCCCAGAAATAATCCCATGCATTTATAGTCAACTAATCTTTGAAATGGGTCCCAAGAATACACAATGGGAAAAGGATAGTTTCTTCAATAAATGGTGTTGAACTAGACATCCTCATGCAAAATAATGAAACTAGACTCTTACCTTATGACATACACAAACATTAACTCAAAATGGATTAAAGACTTAAATGTAAGACCTGAAATCACTAAACTCCTAAAAGAAAATATAGGGAAAAAGCTCCTTGACATTGGCCTTGACAATGATTTTTTGGATATGACAACAAAAGCACAGGCAACAAAAGCAAAAATAAACAAGCAGGAGTACCTCAAACTAAAAATCTTCTGCCTAGCCAAGGAAACAATCAACAAAATGAAAAGGCAACCCACAGAATGGAAGAAAATATTTGCAAACCATATCTCTTATAAGGGGTTAATCTCTAAAATATATAAAGAACTCATACCACTCAATAGAAAAAAATAAAATAACATAAACTTTTTAATAGGCAAAGGACTTGAATAGACATTTTTCCAAAGAAAACATACAAATAGCCAAAGGGTATATGAAAAGGGGCTCAACATTATTAGTCATCAGGGAGCTGCAAATCAAAACCACAGTGAGATATCACCTTACACCTGTTAGGATAGCTATTATCAAAAAGACAAATGGTAAGTTTTGGTGAGGATATAGATAAAAGGGAATCTTTGTACACTGTTGGTAGGTATGTAAATTGTTACAACCAGTATGGAAAATAGTGGGGAGTTTCCAACAGTAATGAAATTAGTGTCTTGAAGAAATATCTGCACCCCCATGTTCACTGCAGTATTATTAGTAATAGCCAAGACGTGGGATCGACCTAAGTGTCCACTGGCAGATGAATGAATAAAGAAAGTGTCACACACACACACACACACACACGAATATTATTCAGCCATAAAAAGGAGATCCTGCCATTTGCAATAACATGGATGAACCAGGAGGATACTATGCTAAGTGAAATAAGCTAGACACAGAAAGAAAAATACCATATGATCTCATTAGAGCTGGATGTGGTGTCACATGTTTGTAATCCTAGCTACTCAGGAGGCTGAGGTGGGAGCATCACTTCAGCTCAGGAATTTGAGACCAGCTTGGGCAGCACAGAGAGAACCTGTCTCTAAATATATATATTTGTAAATAAATGTAAATTAAATTCATAGAAGCAGAGAATAGAATGGTGGCTGCCAGGAGCTGGGGCAGAGGGAAAATAAGGAAAAATTTGTCAAAGGGCACAAAATTTCAGTTACAAAAAGAATAATTTCTGGGAATCTAAAGTATAGCAGCATTAATAATACTGTATTATATGCTTGAAATTTGCTGAGTGGATCTTAAGTATCCTCACCTCTAGCCACAAACACACACAAAGGGTAACTATGTATGGTGGTGAATGTATTGATTAATTTGATTGTTGTAATCATCACACAATGTATACCTGTCTCAAATCATCACATTGTGCACATTGAATATACACCATTTTTATTTGTAAATTATACCTCCATAAAACTGGTAAAAATGAACTTGAAGTGTATTGTAGATCTAAATGTAAAAAAAGAAAACTGTAAAATGTTTAGTAGAAAACACAGGGGAGGTCAGGGGCAGTGGCTCACACCTGTAATCCCAGCACTTTGGGAGGCTAAGGCAGGAGGACCACTTGAGACCTGGAGTTTGAAACTAGCCAGGGCAACATAGCAAGACCCTGTCTCTACAAAAAAATACAAAATAAATTGGCTGGGTGTGGTGGCATGCTCCTGTAGTCCCAGCCACTCTGGAGGCTGAAGTGGGGGGATCGCTTGAGCCCAGGAAGCGGAGGTTGCAGTGAGTTGAGCCGAGATCACGCCATGGAACGCCAGTCTGGGTGACAGAACCAGATCCTGTCTCAAAAAAAAAAAAAAAAGAAAGAAAAAAGAAAAAAAAAGAAAAAAGAAAGAAAGAAAAGAAAAGAAAATATAGGGGAAAAATCTTCATGACATGAGGTTAGACAAAGAGTTCTTTCAGTTTGACACCAAAAGCACAATCTATAAAAGAAAAAAAATTAATAAGTTGGGCTTCATCAATATTAAAAGCTTTTGCTGTAAAAAGGACCCTGTTAACAAGAATGAAAAGATAGACACAGATTAGGAGAAAATGTTTGCAAATCACATATCAGACAAAAAAACTTATATCCAAAATGCATAAAGAACTACCGAAAGTCAACAGTAAGAAAACAACCCAATTGAAAAATGGGCAAAAGATTTGAATGGACACTTCACCAAAGAGGATATACAGAAAGCAGACAAGCACATGAAAAGCTGTTACGCATCACTAGCTATTGGAGAAATGCAAGTTAAAATTATGATGAGCTACCAATGCGCATATATTAGTTTTTTTTTCTTCTTTTTTTTTCTTTTCTTTTCCCCCAGTGCACATATATTAGAATGGCTTGGCCATCTTCACTACAAACTAAATTAGGAGCCTACCTATGTGAACTTCCTCTTTGATAACCCTCTCCAAGACGCCTCACTTGAACGTGACAAGAGAAATTGGAACCATCTTCTGGTGTCAAGGCCATAATACCTAAGGGAGTGTCACACATACATAAATGCTTGTTCTTCATCATTCCTTCTTCAGATACCCTTGCTTTATGTCACGGAACTCTTTTTACATGAGACTTAGCTCTTCCACATTTGGCTTCTATTTCTCCTATATCTTTAAATTCCACTTTTGTTACCGTGCACGACACTGATGACACTCGGGCTGGGTCTGGAAGCCTTGCTCTGAAAAAAACGTTCCTCGTCTCCTGCCGGGTCATATCTGCAGTTCCAATAGGTTCCACAAGGGGGATGGTGTTACCCAGGTAAGGGCTCTTAGACCGCCTTTAGGACTGGTGGATGAATGAATCAGATAAAAGGCACACAACTAATCCGTCTATGCTTTTAAAATAACATCACATTTAAATAACACTATACATGCTGACTAAATAGTAATTATCAAGTTTACTACTGAAAAGAGAAAACATTTGCTTATTTCGTTTTCAATTGGTCTACAGATATTTGTTGAACACCTACTGTGTGCCAAGCTCTCTTCTAAATACTGGGGAAACAAACAAAATTTATTTGAAACAAAATATAAAAGAAATGATACACTTAGGCTAACTTTAATTAGTGATTATTCTTATTTAACTTTATCTGAATTTCCTTCTGAAGCTTAACTGGCAAATTTACTCTCCTCTTTGATGAAGGGCATAGATAGCAAGGCTTTTTCTCCATGGCAGGCTTCCCATAAAACTCCTCCCACCACGCTTTCCTGTCTAATTTGAATGCTTACAACAACTATCTCGACCAGTGCTTATGAGGGCAATTCAGCCTATTACAAAGGTTTCTTCTACTCCATAACATGACTTTTTAAAGCACTGTCCACTCAGCCTTTTTCCTGCTATTTTCATTTATGTCCAAAATGCAAGAGACAAAGAACTGGTAGGTAACTCCCGAGTTTCTTCTTCCCTGAAACTTTTATCTGCTATGACATGGTACCTGGTCAAAGAAGTCATTCCCTTAGCTAAGTCTTTTTTTATTCACCATATGTATACTTAGCCCCTCTTTCTCATGAATGCAGATTTTTTAAATGGAATTCATTCGCACTGCTGTAACATGTATCGTGTTTGCAGTTACAGCCTGCTATGGCCATTTGCTAACACAGACTTCCCCTTCTGAACCTTTGTGATACTTTTGAATGGAACAAAATGAACACAGTAAAGTGTTTTTTGTTGTTGTTGTTTTGTTTTTTGTTTTTTTGGTTTTTTAGAGATACTGTCTTGCTTTGTTGCCCAGGCTGGTCTCAAACTCCTAGGTTCAAGCTGTCCTCTCACTTTGGCCTCCCAAATTGCTAAGATTATAGGAGTGAGCCACCGCACCTGGCCTAGTAGGGCAGTTTTGTTGTTGTTGTTGTTGTTTGTTTTGTTTTGTTTTGTTTTTTCAAGACGGAGTCTTGCTCTGTTGCCCAGGCTGGAGTGCAATGGCACGATCTCAGCTCACTGCAACCTCCACCTCCTGGGTTCAAGCGATTCTCCTGCCTCCACCTCCCGAGTAGCACTCCAATCATGTGCCACCATGCCCGGCTAATTTTTTGTATCTTTAGTAGAGATGGGGTTTCACCGTGTTAGCCAGGATGGTCTCGATCTCCTGACCTCGTGATCTGCCTGCCTCGGCCTCCCAAAGTGGAGTGGTTTTTAATCCGTGTTTACTTTTCAGCATCAAACAGCCTGTACACTGCGGGTAACCTCCCTGCTGGAATATGCAGACTTATCAGTTCAGCACAGGAAAGAGGGTCAAGCTTTTAGAAAGAATTTCCAGAGGTCCCAGAATGGGGATTCAGCTACCAGCCCAATGTGCTCTTCTTCCCATTCACCAAGCCGTGCTGTCCTTTGACCTCAACTTCATGGTTCTGCTCTTTCTTCAATTGAGAGTTTGGCCATCAAGGAGACCCAGATCCAGGGGCTTCAGAGGCCTGCCTAGACCACAGCAGAGACAAATGGAGGGCGAGGGGTTGGGGAAGAGGGGAGAAGGAGAGAAGAGTCCCACATCAGCCTAGCCCTGCTCCTGTAGTGTAGAGCAGAGGCCGGGGTTATGAGAAGTATACTAAAACTTGAAGGGAACTGAAAGGCTTGAACCCTTTGTGTCTCCCCAGGAGCTATTCCCATTCTCCTTATACCCTACTTTCTGTTATTCAGTAAGTTCTGGCCCTTGGCTGTGCTCTCCTTAGCCTGGCTCACCTATGATTGGAACACCCACAGTCAAGGTAAGAGACAGGGGCACAATGGTGGTCCTGTTTGGGCCAAGAATGGAAGGACAGGGAGAGGGAGGTGGAGGGAGAGGGGGAGAACCAAGGGTAGGGGAGAGGGGAAGGAAGGGGAGGGAGAAGGGAGAGCAAAGCTCAGCAGGGACAGAGGTCTCTACCAGGTAGCTCAGGAAGAATTATGAGGTTGAGGTCTCTGGGCAGGTGCCCCCAGCTTCAGACTATTTTCCTGTCACCTTTCTGGTCGGCTCTAGAGGAGCAGGGGCTTCCTATGTCTTGGGGATTGGATTCAGGGACAGTACTTACAGTTCTGAGGTGTCAGAAGGAGGCCCCTCACGTGACCTGAGGACTGCAGGCAGAACTCTCCTCCTCTGGGAGAGGTAGAGGGACTGCAATGCCCTGTGTACTCTTCCCTTCCCTTCTGTACCCACAGGTGGCAGGCGTTCAGCTTGGGTACGAAACTGGACCCTATGGAAGTATTTCCGAAATTACTTCCCAGTAAAGGTGACCACTCTTCCTCGGGGTGCCCTCAGTCCCTGTTGCCCAGACCCTTGCTCCCTACTCAGCTCCATGTTTTCAGAGGCTTTGGTGGTCAGCAGCGAAGGTCAAGGCCCCGAGTCATAATGCAAAGCAAGGGCCCAAGATGGATGGGCAGGTGGGGAAACAGGTGGATGGCAGCCTTTCCTTCACTGGCAAACCCAGGTCAGCCTCTCTGACCATCGTGAGCCCTGGCAATCCTATGACAATGATGACAACCTAGTGAACAGGGATTTGGGGCTCCCAGAGGGAAACATAGGCTACCTGCTGGGATTTTAGTCCACACGTGGTTTCTTCCTTCTTTGTAGCCAATGCTCTGACTCAATTTCCCTCTAACAGCTGGTGAAGACTCATGATCTTTCTCCCAAACACAACTACATCATTGCCAATCACCCCCATGGCATTCTCTCTTTTGGTGTCTTCATCAACTTTGCCACTGAGGCCACTGGCATTGCTCGGATTTTCCCATCCATCACTCCCTTTGTAGGGACCTTAGAAAGGATATTTTGGATCCCAATTGTGCGAGAATATGTGATGTCAATGGGTGAGTATAAGAAATAATTAATTCTATTTTTTTACCTACTTCAAAGGTGCAACCCCAATAAGTCCTGACAATCACTACCTGCTTGAAGAGTACATGATAGAAAATAAGTCCAGGACACCCTGGGCCCGTAACAGGAGTATGTGGCTAAGCATTAGTTTCTGTCCAAGATCTAGGGAGCAGGGTTTGATTGGGCAGCAGGGGAAATTATAGGCATTCATAGGAGTCACCAGGACTTTTTTCAGAGGGAGAACCAGAAGGCTGGAATTCAGGACCAATGCCAAAGTGCAAATCGAGGATGAAAGCCAAGAATTAAACACAAATCCAGGGAAAAGCAGGTGTGAATGGGATAGCTCAGGCGAACTTCACCAGGCTCTCTCTAGGATGTCAGCTGGCCTCTTTGGGCCGGTCATTTGTACACCATGGTGTCTTAAAAACATTTTGAAGTCTATCATACTAGCTAAAACCCTCCTGGTCCATGACTTTTATCTCCCTGGAACCCCTTCACACTTGCATAAAATACTAAGGGATAAAGGATAGGAGTTCATCAGAGTATCCAGAACAACTTCCCCATGCTCAGCTTCAAGTCAGGGCACTGTGACAAATGTCTCTCTCTCTGGACAAATAGTCATCCTTCTGGACACCAGAAAACAACTGAAGCCAAACATCCAAAGGTAAGATACATTTCTGTGGAGGGGCCAGGTGGGACCACTAGAGTCCCAGAGGATGCTTCTACTCTGCTCTGAGGTTAGCATGGCCCTGGAGCAGGAATACTTCTCAATGGCTAGAGTCTGGAGGCAATTTCTGCCATCACAGTAGACAATAGAAGGTGAGCGCAGGGCAAAGATGGGAGACAGAAGTGAGAAAGGCTAGATGATTGTTGTTAAACAACAGGGTGTCATTCACATTCCATTATTCATCTACGTTTCAGTTTGGCTTGGTCAGGCTCAGGGGTCTGCCTACTCTCCAGAAACCCCAGCCATTGGCTTCCCTTTGGCAGGTTACTCTTAGGGAGGAAGCAGGTTGGTGGTGGCTAGTCTCGATTACCCCTGGAGGAGAGAACTCTGGAGGATCTCCAGTGTTGTCAGGCTGGGCAGAGTGGAAGATGGCTGTGCTTCATGGGTAGAGAGGGATGAGGTGGGCTTAGATACTATTGATCTGAAATGCAGTAGGCTATGGATGGTAGGAGGCAGAGGAGCTCAGTATAGACCCAACTGCAGAAGCACAGACCCCCAAGGCAAACAGCTGACCCTAAGGACCAATCTTAGGCTAGGGCAGTCATAACCCGGGACACGAAGGTCAGAGACAGAAAGGTGGAAACAGCAATAGTCAGAAAACAGAAGAACTGTCTCCAAAAGGAAGAGCCTGGGAAAACCCCTTACCCCATCCTCAGGAATGAAGTTTTTCTACCACTTGACTCTTTGGTTTCACAGGTGTGTGCCCTGTGAGTAGCTCAGCCTTGAAGTACTTGCTGACCCAGAAAGGCTCAGGCAATGCCGTGGTTATTGTGGTGGGTGGAGCTGCTGAAGCTCTCTTGTGCCGACCAGGAGCCTCCACTCTCTTCCTCAAGCAGCGTAAAGGTTTTGTGAAGATGGCACTGCAAACAGGGTGGGTTCCAAGGTTCTAGTGCTCTGTTGTCAGGGTGCCATAGGCCCTCTGTAGCCCTCTCCAGAATGGTGCCCTCCCTGGGCACCTGTTAGAGGGCCCCCATCTTCACTCTAATTCCTTCTGTCTACCCCCTCACATTGTGCCTTAGGGATGTTTGGGCCTCCAGATACATTTCAGTGGGCACTTTTCTTACTTGAAGTTGGAGAAAGAACAGCAGAAGAAAACCTTTTACTTTCTGCCCATTGGCCTGGTAGGCTGGAGGTCTGGGAAAGCGGGGCTTCACTCTATATCAACCTGTTAACTGAGAGGCCCTAAGAATCTACCAACTGCAAGGGAGGCACTAGCTTTGATACCGTGAGGATCAAAAAGATAAGACATGACCCCAAAGAGCATACAATCTGGTTTGAGAAATAGACCTTATTCATTCAGCAGTTACGGAACACCCACTGTATATCAGGCATAGTACTAGGCATTTAGGATATAAAAGTAAATAAGACCTGGTCCTTGCAAACTCACAGTCCAATATGGAAGAAGACAGACCCATGCACATATAATTACCAAATACCTGCAGAATCCAACCACTTACTACCTAGGCTACCACCCCTTGGTTTACTACCACCATCTCTCCCCTTGGTTGATTACAACACTTCTAACTGCTCTTCCTGTATCTATTCCCACCTCCCCCACCCCAAGAGTCTATTCCCAGCTTCAGCCAGGATGATCCTGTTAAACATGAGTCAGATCATGTCACTTCTCAAAATAATCCAATGGCTCCCATGTCACTCAGAGTAAAAGCCAAAGTCTTTATAGGGGCTTGCAAGACGCGGAATAATCTGGTCTATAGCTGCCTCTCTGTCCTCATCACTCACTTCTCTTCCCACTCTCTCACTCCATCATAGCTATACCGGCCTCTTTGCGGTCCCTCAAGCAGGCCACCCGCTCCTGCTTTAGAGTCTTTGCTTTAGCGGTTCCCTTGGAACACTATTCCTCCAAATGACTGCTTGGCTCATTCCTTTATCTCCTTCAAGTCTTTGCTCAAATGTCTCTTCTCAATACAGTTATCTGACCATCTTGCTCTATTTTTTGCCGGTTACACTTATCTTCTTATAGCTCATCCATTTTATTTATTTGTTTACCAACTATTTTCAATGTTTATTGTCTGTCTTCCTCCCAGAAAAAGTAAACTCCACGAACACAGAATTTTTAAAAATCCATTGTATTCACTGATGCATCTCCAGGGCCTAAAACAGTGCTGGCACATAGAAAGAGCTTAATATTTGTTAAATAAATGGAACACTACAATGGAAATGTGTACAAAGTGCCACGTGAGCACCAATTTATGGAAAGATCTTGACCCAGAATAGAGGTTTCATAGGTGGGTAACATCTGAACTGTGAATTGAAATATTGGTAGGAGTTGCCAGGCAGACCAAAAGGGAGAAAGAACTCAGGCATTCAGTGAGGACCTATGGCATGTCAAGTGCTATGCCAGGGCCTAGGGATTCAAAGATGAATATGACCCAGTTCTTGCCTTTGATTGGCTTGCTGTCTACTGGGGGAGTCAGGCAAGTAAGGAGATGACTATAATACACGGTTGGGGCAGCGTTAGTGTAGAAGAGAGGTAAGCACTAGATGAGGGGTACCTAATCCGCGTTGGGGGAAATGAAGTGGTCAAACAAAGTTGCTTTAAGGGGATGAGATTGGGACTGAGTGCAAAATTGAATGAGCCACATAAAGACAGAGGGAAGAAGGAAGATACTTCCGACAGAGGGAGCAGAATGTACAAAGACACAGAGATGAGAGAGTATGAGGCACACTTAATATGGCTAAGCAGATTGCAAGGAAAGAGTGGGGAAAGGGAAAGCTAGCCAAGGAGGGAAGGCTAGAGCAAAAAGGCCGTAAGGAAGCAGCATGGTGCAAACTGAGGAGCTCTGGAAGAGTTTGAGAGGAGTGGCATGTCCAGATATGCAGTTTACGAAGAACACTCTGCATGCTGGATGCAATGAAGACAGAGCTTTTGAGATTAGTTTCTCCCTATAACAGGACAAGGCAGAGCAGCAGCTCCCTTCAGAGTTCAGTTGGGAGAGTGAGGCATGGCAGGAATGGGACATGAAGATGGAGATGTTTGGGTGCTTGGGTTCTTGTCCTATAATGGGGAGGTTGGAGAGGTTTCCCACCTTGGAGAGGATTTTTCCGGGGATCTTCCTCAGAGAGCTCACACTCCTGCCCCTCTCTTTGCAGGGCATACCTTGTCCCTTCATATTCCTTTGGTGAGAACGAAGTTTTCAATCAGGAGACCTTCCCTGAGGGCACGTGGTTAAGGTTGTTCCAAAAAACCTTCCAGGACACATTCAAAAAAATCCTGGGACTAAATTTCTGTACCTTCCATGGCCGGGGCTTCACTCGCGGATCCTGGGGCTTCCTGCCTTTCAATCGGCCCATTACCACTGTTGGTGAGCTTTCCCTTATCTCCGGATGACCTGTTTCTTCATTCACTTCCCACCCACTTTAAATCATCCATCAAGTCCAGGGGGACCCAACTCACATCTGGGATGGGCAATGGGTGTGGTTAAGAGCAGGGTGGGTAGGACAACTAAACAGATAAGAGTTGTGGCCATTCATGGATGTGACATCAGCATCTGCTACAAGAGCATCACCATTCGCACACATTCTGTCACCACTCTCCTGAGCTTGCTTGCATTCTCTTGAGCATGGGTTTGATTAGATGATCAGAGAACAGGGGCCAGGATGAGACTGGAGCAAAGGGAAAGAAAGAAAGAAGGGGAGGAAAGCCAGATACTGAGTTTCAGTACATGGCTCCCAGTGAGGGATGAGTAGTTTGAGTTGAGGGGGGAACTCTGATGTTTGTCTCTTTTCTTTTTTCATAGTTGGGGAACCCCTTCCAATTCCCAGGATTAAGAGGCCAAACCAGAAGACAGTAGACAAGTATCACGCACTCTACATCAGTGCCCTGCGCAAGCTCTTTGACCAACACAAAGTTGAATATGGCCTCCCTGAGACCCAAGAGCTGACAATTACATAACAGGAGCCACATTCCCCATTGATCAACCCCCAAAGCCATGAGGGATCCAAGTAGAGCCACAGAAAAAGAAGAATTCCAGGAGAGGGAAAGATCGTAAGGATGAGAGAGGAGACCATCCAAGCCAGAAATTATTTAATAAATCAGAGTTCTAGCAATAGAGTCCTCTCCCAAGTGGCTGAGGCAGGCTTAGGGGAAAGAACCAGAGGGGCAGGGGAGGACTGGGGAGGGCTGGCTAGCCAGAGGAGTTGGCTGTATCACCCCTGGTTATTTTAGGGCAACAACCCAGTTGGGGAGTCTTATGAATCATTCCAGCCAACTCTCTGATCACAAAGAATACTGTGCCCCTTTCTCCTAAACCTTAGTTCACCATCACTACGTAGGTTTAGACTTAGAAGCTTTATTTGGAACAGGGATAGTTTGTTTCCTCTTGGTCCTTTCCTTACAACTTGGGAACTGCCACAAGGTAAACCAGGGACCTGAACTGTAGCTGCCTGGTCCAAGCAGACAGGATTCCGTCAGTTGTGATAGAGTTCTAGATTGGCAATGCAGTTACATTGTTTCTTCTTTGAAAATAAAGTTCTAGACATATAAAACAGGATACCACTATTTCCTGATTATTCTGTGGTTCGCTATTGGGCTTCCCTCAAACCTAAGATTTTCCCTTCTGGCCAGAAAGCTGCTCTATGGAGAGCCCTTTTCCTCTTCTTTATTTACCCTTCATACTTCCCCGGACAGAAAAGGTGGGGGAATGGAACCATAGCTGCTGCAAAGTGTAAGAGACAGGAGCAGAAACATGGGAACTGGCACAGGTACCCGCTGTGTAGCCCACCTCTCCTGATCCCACATAACCATCCTATGTCAGAAGGGAGGGAGCCACAAGACCATGCACCAACTGTAAGTTTGCTTGATGTCAAGTCCCTTCTATGTTCCAGGGACCATGACATTGCTTTCATAACCATTGTCTCTCAATACTAAACATAAGCCCAGTGAGATTGAGATTGTCATCACCTCCATTTCACAGTAGCTAAAGCTCCTAGAGGGTTAGTAGCTTGCCCAAAGCCACACAACTTTGGATAGAACTAGCATTCAAACCAGAGTTCTCTCCAATGCACCACTCTATGTCCCCATTCCTCATTTTCTGGAGACCCACTTTTCAGCTTCATTTTCCTAAATGAGGCCCCATGGCACTCCACCAAAATTAGTTCATAAGTGTGGGCAAAAATGGCATGGATTCTACTCACAGTGGTCCTATATTAGGCCTCAGGGAAAATAATTGATTAATTTAAAAAACCTTTCTATATCAATAGAATGGAATTGAGAACACAGAGGGTCAATTGATTTTCACCTAGGGTGCCAAGACAATTCAATGTGGGAAAGAATAGTCTTCAACAAACAATACTGAAACAACTGGACATCCACATGCAGAAAAATAAAGTTGGACCTTACCTCATATCATATACAAAAATTAACTCAAATGGATCAAAGACCTAAAGTGAAAGTCAAAACTATTAAACTCATGGAAGAAAACATAGGTGTAAAGCTTCATAATCTTGGATTAGGCAATGGCTTCTTATATATGACATCAAAAGCACAAACAACAAAATAAAAAATTGATAAGTTGGGCTCCATTATAATTAAACACTTTTGTGCTTCAAAGGACACCATTAAGAAAGTGAAAAGACAACCCACAGAATGGGAGAAAATACCTACAAATCATGTATCTCATAAGAGTCTAGGAGCCAGAATAGATAAATAATTCTTATAACTCAACAACTGAAAGGCAATTCAATTTTAAAAATAAGCAAAAGATTTAAATAGACATTTCTCCAAAGAAGCTATACAAATGAAAAAGTAAGGGTCAGGTGCAATGGCTAACGCCTGTAATCCCAGCACTTTGGGAGGCCCAGGAGGGAGGATTGCTCGAGCCCAAGAATTCGAGACCAGCCTGGGCAACATAGTGAGACCCCATCTCTATAAAAAATTTAAAAATTAGCCAGGTGTGGTGGTGCATGCCTGTGTTCCCAGCTACCAGGAGACTGAGGTGGGAGGATTGCTAGAGCCCAGGAGTTCAAGGCTGCAGTGAGCTACAATCGTCACGTCACTGCACTCAAGCATGGGTGACAGGGTGAGACCCTGTCTCTAATAAAAAAGAAAAAGTGCTCAAAATCATTAATCATTAGGAAAATGCAAATCAAAACCACCATGATACCATTTTACACCCACTAGGATGACTATAATAAAACAAGATAGACAATAATAAGTATTAGTTAGGATATGGAGAAACGGAATTCTTGGGCATTGCTGATGGTAAAATGGTAGAGCCACTTTGGAAAACAGTTTGACAGTTCTCAAAGAGTTAAGTGTAGAGTTACCATATGACCCAGCAATTCTACTTTTAGTTATATAACCCCCAAATTTAAAACATGGTCACACAAAAACTTGTACATAGATGATCACAGCAGAATTACTCCTAATAGCAAAACAGTGCAAACAATCCAAAGGTCTAGCAACTGATGAATGGATAAATGTATTGGGGTCTATCCATACAACGGAATACTATTTGGCAATAAAAAATGCAGTGATGATACATGCTACAAAACAGATGAACCTTGAAAACATTATGGTAAGTGAAAGAAGCCAGGTCATATATTGCATGATTCCATTTCTATGAAATTTCTATGAAATGTCCAGAATGAGCAAATATAGAGATAGAGAGAAAGAAAGAGAGAAGAGAAAGAGAAAATAAATTAGTTGTTACCAGGGATTGTGAAGGAAGAAAGGAAAGGAGAATGACATCTAATGGGTGGGGGTTTCTTTCGGGGGTGATGAAAATGTTCTGGAATTAGATAATGGTGGCGGTTGCACAACCTTGCAAATATGCTAAAACCACTAAATTGGACACTTTAAAATGGTGAATTTTATGGTATGTGAATTCTATCTCAGTGAAAGAGCAATGTTTAAGAAAACTTAGCCTTTTAGTTTAAGAGAAAAAAGTGTGAGCTATTTTAAAGTAAAAAAAATCACAATAAAAAATTTTAAATGCTTTCTATTTTAAAATGATTGTAGATTTACAGGTAGTTGCAAAATTAGAGTCCCTTGAACCCTTTATCCAACTTTCCACAATGGTGACATCATATGTAACTGTAGTACAATATCAAAACAGGAAATTGACACTGGTACAATACTGCTAAAACTTATTCAGTTTTCACTGTTTTTACACTCACATATGTGTGTTTGTGTGTGTGTGCATGTGTGTCTACGCAATTTGATCCCATAAATAGATTCATGTAACTCCCATGACCATCATGATATAGAACTGTTTTATTAGCACAGAGGAACTTCCTCATATTACCCCTGTATAACCACACGCCCCCACCTTTGTCCCTATCCCTGGCAATCACTGATCTACTTTCCATCTCTACAGCTTTGTCATTTCAAGGATTATACAAATGGAATCACAGTATGTAATATTCTGAGATTGTCTTTTTTCACTAAGCATAATGCCCTTAAAGATCTAAGTTATAATGTATCCATAGTTCATTCCTTTGTGTTGGCTTGGCAGTACTCTATGGTCTGCACATACCAGAGTTTGTTTAACCACTCACCCATTCAAAGACATCTGGATTGTTTCCAGTTGTTTGGCTATTACAAGTAAAGCTGCTGAAAACATCTAAAACTTACACCCTTCCCAATATATAAGAAAAGAAATGTCAAATCAATAAAATATCAAGAAGAGCTGTGATTTAAAATCAAAATACAATATTTTGAATTTTGATTCCATGAACACATAATAAGCCAGGCACAATTTTGGCAAAAATATTGTCTCTCTTATGAACATACAAAAGTAGGTGGAGTGAGATATCAAAGAAAGACATTTCATTCTGAGCAAAATGTATTTTCGGTGTAACAACTACAGTAAGAGAACTGGTTGCTGTAACCAGTCCCAGGATTGGGACAGAGGGTATCTGCAGGTTCCAGCACAAAAGCATTGAAGTTTCTGGCAAAGTTAACTGAAATCTTGAAAATGAAAGGTACTAATTGCAAACAAGTGTCTAATACCAATGGAACAAGACTTTTTTTTTTTATAATCTAATGCTGTCACAACTCCACACTACTGAGAAATACAAATCAAGGTCTGACTATAAAGCAGAGATGGTTGAATTGTTAGATTCTCAAAAGAATTCAGCCATAAAATGTGATTGAAATAGGAGAGCAAGGGATCATTGTAACAGTTGCTATAGAAATTACCTTGTTCCAAATATTTACCATGTGTCATTACACACCTCATTGACATCAAAAACTTTCCAGAGGTGGCAGGATTATATAATACACCTGTATTATAAAATACACCTGGAGGGTCCTGAGAGTAATAAAGAATCCCTGTGTTTACTTGAGGAATATTGAGCAGAAAAATATGACATCTTCATTCCAAACTTGGAGGACTTGTATTTCTTTTTTTTTTTTTTTTTTTTACTTGAGATTTAAAACACAGACCATATGATATGGTTTGGCTGTGTCTCCACCCAAATCTTTTCTTGAATTTTAGTTACCGTAACCCCCACGTGTTGTGGGAGAGACCCAGTGGGAGGTAATTTAATCATGGAGGCAATTACCCTCATGCTGTTCTCGTGATAGTGAGTGAGTTCTCACGAGATATAAGGGGCTTTTCCCCCTTTTTGCTAGGCAATTCTTTCTCCTGCCACCATGTGGAGAAGGATGTATTTGCTTCCCCTTCTGCCATACTTCTAAGTTTCCTGAGGCCTCCCAGCCATGCTGAACTGTAAGTCAATTAAACCTCTTTCCTTTATAAATTACCCAGTCTCACGTATGTCTTTATTAGCAGCATGAGAACGGACTAATACAGCAAATTGGCACCACAGAGAGTGGGGTGCTGCTGTAAAGATACCCAAAAATGTGGAAGTGATTTTGGAACTGGGTAATAGGCAGAGGTTGGAACAGTTTGGAGGTCTTAGAAGAAGACAGGAAAAGGTGGGAAAGTTTGGAACTTCCTAGAGACATAGAGAGCTCAGAAGACAGGAAGATGTGGGGAGGTTTGGAACTTCCTAGACACTTATTGAATAGCTTTGACCAAAATGCTGAGTGATATGGACAATGAAGTCCAGGCTGAGGTGGTCTCAGATGGAGATGAGGAACTTGTTGGGAGCTGTAGTAAAGGTGATTCTTGCTATGCTTTAGCAAAGAGACTGGTGGCATTTTGCCTCTGCCCCAGAGATCTGAGGAACTTTGAACTTGAGAGAGATGATTTGGGGTATCTGGCAGAAGAAATTTCTTTTTTTTTTTTTATTATTATTATACTTTAAGTTTTAGGGTACATGTCCACAACGTGCAGGTTTGTTACATATGTATACATGTGCCATGTTGGTGTGCTGCACCCATTAACTCATCATTTAGCATTAGGTGTATCTCCTACTGCTATCCCTCCCCACTCCCCCCACGTCACAACAGTCCCCAGAGTGTGATGTTCCCCTTCCTGTGTCCATGTGTTCTCATTGTTCAGTTCCCACCTATGAGTGAGAACATGCAGTGTTTGGTTTTTGTCCTTGTGATAGTTTGCTGAGAATGATGGTTTCCAGCTTCATCCATGTCCCTACAAAGGACATGAACTCATCATTTTTTATGGCTGCATAGTATTCCATGGTGTATATGTGCCACATTTCCTTAATCCAGTCTATCATTGTTGGACATTTGGGTTGGTTCCAAGTCTTTGCTATTGTGAATAGTGCCGCAATAAACATACGTGTGCATGTGTCTTTATAGCAGCATGATTTATAATCCTTTGGGTATATACCCAGTAATGGGATGGCTGGGTCAAATGGTATTTCTAGTTCTAGATCCCTGAGGAATTGCCACACTGACTTCCACAATGGTTGAACTAGTTTCCAGTCCCACCAACAGTGTAAAAGTGTTCCTATTTCTCCACATCCTCTCCAGCACCTGTTGTTTCCTGACTTTTTAATGATTGCCATTCTAACTGGTGTGAGATGTTATCTCATTGTGGTTTTGATTTGCATTTCTCTGATGGCCAGTGATGATCAGCATTTTTTCATGTGTCTTTTGGCTGCATAAATGTCTTCTTTTGAGAAATGTCTGTTCATATCCTTCGCCCACTTTTTGATGGGGTTGTTTGTTTTTTCTTGTAAATTTGTTTGAGCTCATTGTAGATTCTGGATATTAGCCCTTTGTCAGATGAGTAGGTTGCGAAAATTTTCTCCCATTCTGTAGGTTGCCTGTTCACTCTGATGGTGGTTTCTTTTGCTGTGCAGAAGCTCTTTAGTTTAATTAGATCCCATTTGTCAGTTTTGGCTTTTGTGGCCATTGCTTTTGGTGTTTTAGACATGAAGTCCTTGCCCATGCCTATGCCCTGAATTGTATTGCCTGGGTTTTCTTCTAGGGTTTTTATGGTTTTAGGTCTAACATGTAAGTCTTTAATCCATCTTGAATTAATTTTTGTATAAGGTGTAAGGAAGGGATCCAGTTTCAGCTTTCTCCACATGGCTAGCCAGTTTTCCCAGCACCATTTATTAAATAGGGAATCCTTTCCCCATTGCTTGTTTTTGTCAGGTTTGTCAAAGATCAGATAGTTGTAGATATGCGGCATTATTTCTGAGGGCTCTGTTCTGTTCCATTGGTCTATATCGGTTTTGGTACCAGTACCATGCTGTTTTGGTTACTGTAGCCTTGTAGTATAGTTTAAAGTCAGGTAGTGTGATGCCTCCAGCTTTGTTCTTTTGGCTTAGGATTGACTTGGCGATGCGGGCTCTTTTTTGGTTCCATATGAACTTTAAAGTAGTTTTTTCCAATTCTGTGAAGAAAGTCATTGGTAGCTTGATGGGGATGGCATTGAATCTGTAAGTTACCTTGGGCAGTATGGCCATTTTCACGATATTGATTCTTCCTACCCATGAGCATGGAATGTTCTTCCATTTGTTTGTATCCTCTTTTATTTCATTGAGCAGTGGTTTGTAGTTCTCCTTGAAGAGGTCCTTCACATCCCTTGTGAGATGGATTCCTGGGTATTTTATTCTCTTTGAATCCATTGTGAATGGGAGTTCACTCATGATTTGGCTCTCTGTTTGTCTGTTATTGGTGTATAAGAATGCTTGTGAATTTTGCACATTGATTTTGTATCCTGAGACTTTGCTGAAGTTGCTTATCAGCTTAAGGAGATTTGGGGCTGAGACAATGGGGTTTTCTAGATATACAATCATGTCATCTGCAAACAGGGACAATTTGACTTCCTCTTTTCCTAATTGAATGCCCTTTATTTCCTTCTCCTGCCTGATTGCCCTGGCCAGAACTTCCAACACTATGTTGAATAGGAGTGGTGAGAGAGGGCATCCCTGTCTTGTGCCAGTTTTCAAAGGGAATGCTTCCAGTTTTTGCCCATTCAGTATGATATTGGCTGTGGGTTTGTCATAGATAGCTCTTGTTATTTTGAGATACGTCCCATCAATACCTAATTTATTGAGAGTTTTTAGCATGAAGGGTTGTTGAATTTTGTCAAAGGCCTTTTCTGCATCTGTTGAGATAATCATGTGGTTTTTGTCTTTGGTTCTGTTTATATGCTGGATTACGTTCATTGATTTTCATATGTTGAAGCAGCCTTGCATCCCAAGGATGAAGCCCACTTGATCATGGTGGATAAGCTTTTTGATGTGTTGCTGGATTCAGTGTGCCAGTATTTTATTGAGGATTTTTGCATCAATGTTCATCAAGGATATTGGTCTAAAATTCTCTTTTTTTGTTGTGTCTCTGCCAGGCTTTGGTATCAGGATGATGCTGGCCTCACAAAATGAGTTAGGGAGGATTCCCTCTTTTTCTATTGATTGGAATAGTTTCAGAAGGAATGGTACCAGCTCCTCCTTGTACCTCTGGTAGAATTTGGCTGTGAATCCGTCTGGTCCTGAACTTTTTTTGGTTGTTAAGCTATTAATTATTGCCTCAATTTCAGATGTTGTTATTGGACTATTCAGAGATTCAACTTCTTCCTGGTTTAGTCTTGGGAGAGTGTATGTGTCGAGGAATTTATCCATTTCTTCTATATTTTCTAGTTTATTTGCGTAGAGGTGTTTATAGTATTCTCTGATGGTAGTTTGTATTTCTGTGGGATTGGTGGTGATATCCCCTTTTCCATTTTTTATTGCGTTTATTTGATTCTTCTCTCTTTTATTCATTAATCTTGCTAGCAGTCTATCAATTTTGTTGATCTTTTCAAAAAACCAGCTCCTGGATTCATTGATTTTTTGAAGGGTTTTTTTGTGTCTCTATTTCCTTCAGTTCTGCTCTGATTTTAGTTATTTCTTGCCTTCTGCTAGCTTTTGAATGTTTGCTCTTGCTTCTCTAGTTATTTTAATTGTAATGTTAGGGTGTCAATTTTAGATCTTTCCTGCTTTCTCTTGTGGGCATTTAGTGCTATAAATTTCCCTCTACACACTGTTTTGAATGTGTCCCATAGATTGTGGTATGTTGTGTCTTTGTTCTCATTGGTTTCAAAGAACATTGTTATTTCTGCCTTCATTTCATTATGTACCCAGCAGTCATTCAGGAGCAGGTTGTTCAGTTTCCATGTAGTTGAGCGGTTTTGAGTGAGTTTCTTAATCCTGAGTTCTAGTTTGATTGCACTGTGGTCTGAGAGACAGTTGGTTATAATTTCTGTTCTTTTACATTTGCTGAGGAGTGCTTTACTTCCAAGTATGTGGTCAATTTTGGAATAGGTGTGGTGTGGTGCTGAAAAGAATGTATATTCTGTTGATTTGTGGTGGAGAGTTCTATAGATGTCTATTAGGTCTGCTTGGTGCAGAGCTGATTTCAGTTCCTGGATATCCTTGTTAACCTTCTGTCTCGTTGATCTGTCTAATGTTGACAGTGGGGTGTTAAAGTCTCCCATTATTATTGTGTGGGAGTCTAAGTCTCTTTGTAGGTCACTCAGGACTTGCTTTATGAATCTGGGTGCTCCTGTATTGGGTGCATATATATTTAGGATAGTTAGCTCTTCTTGTTGAATTGATCCCTTTACCATTATGTAATGGCCTTCTTTGTCTCTTTTGATCTTTGTTGGTTTAAAGTCTGTTTGATCAGAGACTAGGATTGCAACCCCTGCCTTTTTTTGTTTTCCATTTTCTTGGTAGATCTTCCTCCATCCCTTTATTTTGAGCCTGTGTGTGTCTCTGCACGTGAGATGGGTTTCCTGAATACAGCACACTGATGGGTCTTGACTCTTTATCCAATTTGCCAGTCTGTGCCTTTTAATTGGAGCATTTAGCCCATTTAAATTTAAGGTTAATATTGTTATGTATGAATTTGATCCTGTCATTATGATGTTAGCTGGTTATTTTGCTCATTAGTTGATGCAGTTTCTTCCTAGCCTTGTCTTTGCAATTTGGTATGTTTTTGCAGTGGCTGGTCCCAGTTGTTCCTTTCCATGTTTAGTGCTTCCTTCAGGAGCTCTTTTAGGGCAGGCCTGGTGGTGACAAAATCTCTCAGCATTTGCTTGTCTGTGAAGTATTTTATTTCTCCTTCACTTATGAAGCTTAGTTTGGCTGGATATGAAATTCTGGGTTGAAAATTCTTTTCTTTAGGAATGTTGAATATTGGCCCCCACTCTCTTCTGGCTTGTAGACTTTCTGCCAAGAGATCAGCTGTTAGTCTGATGGGCTTCCTTTGTGGGTAACCTGATCTTTCTCTCTGGCTGCCCTTAACATTTTTTCCTTCATTTCAACTTTGGTGAATCTGACAATTATGTGTCTTGGAGTTGCTCTTCTCGAGGAGTATATTTGTGGCATTTTCTGTATTTCCTGAATTTGAATGTTGGCCTGCCTTGCTAGAATGGGGAAGTTCTCCTGCATAATATCCTGCAGAGTGTTTTCCAACTTGGTTCCATTCTCCCCATCACTTTCAGGTACACCAATTAGATGTAGATTTGGTCTTTTCACATAGTCCCATATTTCTTGGAGGCTTTGTTCATTTCCTTTTATTCTTTTTCCTCTAAACTTCTCTTCACGCTTCATTTCATTCATTTCATCTTCCATCGCTGATACCCTTTCTTCCAGTTGATCGCATCGGTTACTGAGGCTTGTGCATTCGTCATGTACTTCCCGTGCCGTGGTTTTCAGCTCCATCAGGTCCTTTAAAGACTTCTCTGCATTGGTTATTCTAGTTATCCATTTGTCTAATTTTTTTTCAAAGTTTTTAACTTCTTTGCCATTCGTTCGAACTTCCTCCTTTAGCTCGGAGTAGTTTGATCTTCTGAAGCCTTCCTCTCTCAACTCATCAAAGTCATTCTCCATCCAGCTTTGTTCCATTGCTGGTGAGGAACTGCGTTCCTTTGGAGGAGGAGAGGCGCTCTGATTTTTAGAGTTTCCAGTTTTTCTGCTCTGTTTTTTCCCCATCTTTGTGGTTTTATCTACCTTTGCTCTTTGATGATGGTGACTTACAGATGGGTTTTTGGTGTGGATGTCCTTTCTGTTTGTTAGTTTTCCTTCTAACAGTCAGGACCCTCAGCTGCAGGTCTGTTGGAGTTTACTGGAGGTCCACTCCAGACCCTGTTTGCCTGGGTATCAGCAGCGGTGGCTGCATAACAGCAGATATTGGTGAACCGCAAATGCTGCTGCCTGATCGTTCCTCTGGAAGTTTTGTCTCAGGAGTACCCGGCCGTGTGAGGTGTCAGTCTGCCCCTACTGGGGGGTGCCTCCCAGTTAGGCTACTCGGGAGTCAGCGACTCACTTGAGGAGGCAGTCTGCCCATTCTCAGATATCCAGCTGCGTGCTGGGAGAACCACTACTCTCTTCAAAGCTGTCAGACAGGGACATTTAAGTCTGCAGAGGTTATTGCGGTCTTTTGTTTGTCTGTGCCCTGCCCCCAGAGGTGGAGCCTACAGAGGCAGGCAGGCCTCCTTGAGCTGTGGTGGGCTCCACCCAGTTTGAGCTTCCTGGCCGTTTTGTTTACCTACTCAAGCCTGAGCAATGGTGGGCACCCCTCCCCCAGCCTCACTGCTGCCTTGCAGTTTGATCTCAGACTGCTGTGCTAGCAATGAGCGAGGCTCCGTGGGTGTAGGACCCTCTGAGCCATGTGTGGGATATAATCTCCTGGTGTGCCGTTTGTTAAGCCCGTTGGAAGAGCGCAGTATTAGGGTGGGAGTGACCCGATTTTCCAGGTGCCATCTGTCACCCCTTTCTTTGACTAGGAAAGGGAATTCCCTGACGCCTTGTGCTTCCCAGGTGAGGTGATGCCTCGCCCTGCTTCAGCTCATGCATGGTGCACTGCACCCACTGTCCTGCACCCACTGTCTGGCACTCCCCAGTGAGATGAACCCAGTACCTCAGTTGGAAAT
This sequence comes from Homo sapiens, assembly GCF_000001405.40. Taxonomy (NCBI): domain Eukaryota; kingdom Metazoa; phylum Chordata; class Mammalia; order Primates; family Hominidae; genus Homo; species Homo sapiens. The sequence goes on from NC_000023.11 coordinate 70,216,457, forward strand.
GCAGAAATCACCCGTCTTCTGTGTCGCTCATGCTGGGAGCTGTAGACTGGAGCTGTTCCTTTTCAGCCATCTTGGCTCCACCCGGCAGAAGAAATTTCTAAGTGGCAAAGTGTTCAAGAGGGAACAGAGCATAAAGGTTTGAAAAATTTGCAGGATGACAATGAGACTGAAAAGAAAAACCCATTTTCTGAGGAGATATTCAAGCCGGCTGCAGAAATTTGCATAAGTAACAGAGAGCCAAATATTAATCACCAAGACAATGGGAAAAATGTCTCCAGGGCATGTCAGAAACCTTAGCGGCAGCCCCTCCCATCATAGGCCTGGAGGCCTAGGAGGAAAAGGTGGTTTAGTGGGCTGGGCTCAGGGCCCCACTGCTGTGTGCAGTCTAAGAACTTGGTGCCTGGTGTCCCAGCTGCTCCAGTTATGGCTAAAAGGGGCCAAGGTACAGCTGAGGCTGTGCTTCAGAGGGTGCAAGCTCCAAGCTTTGGAAGCTTCCACGTGGTGTTGGGCCTGTGGGTACACAGAAGTCAAGAATCAAGGTTTGGGAACCTCCACCTAGATTGCAGAGGATGTACGAAAATGCCTGCATGTCCAGGCAGAAGTTTGCTGAAGGGACAGGGCCCTCATGGAGAACCTCAGCTAGGGCAGTGCAGAAGAGAAATGTGGGGTTGAAGCCCCAACACAGAATCCTCACTGGAGCATTGCCTAGTGGAGCTGTGAGAAGAGGGCCACCATCCTCCAGCCCACAGAATGGTAGATCCATCCACAGCTTGCACCATGTACCTGGAAAATCCACAGACATTCAATGCCAGCCTGTGAAAGAAGCCAGGAGGAGAGCTGTACCTTGCAAAGCCACAGGCGCAGGGCTCTCCAAGACCATGGGAGCCCACCTCCCAAGTCAGTGTGACCTGGATGTGAGACATGGAGTCAAAAGAGATCATTTTGGAACTTTAAGGTTTAATGACTGCCTAATAGGATTTAGGACTTGCATGGAGTTGGTAGCCCCTTTGTTTTGTCCAATTTCTCCCATTTGGAACAGGTATATTCACCCAATGCCTGTACCCCATTGTATCTAGGAAGTAACTAACTTGCTTTTGATTTTACAGGCTCATAGGCAGAAGAGACTTGCCTTGTCTCAGATGGGACTTTGGACTTAGACTTTTGAGTTAATGCTGGAATTAGTTAAGACTTTGTAACAGCCGGGTGCAGTGGCTCACCCCTGTAATCCCAGCACTTTGGGAGGCCAAGGCAGGTGGATCATCTGAGGTCAGGAGTTTGAGACCAGCCTGGCTAACATGCTGAAACCCCATGTCTACTAAAACCACAAAAATTAGCCAATTGTGGTAGCGGATGCCTGTAATCCCAGCTACTCAGGAGGCTGAGGCATGAGAATCACTTGAACTCGGGAGACAGAGGTTGCAGTGAGCCGAAATCACACCATTGCACTCCAGCCTGGGTGACAAGTGAGACTCTGTCTCAAAAAAAAAAAAAGACTTTGGGGGACTGTTGGAAGGGCATGGTTGTGTTTTGAAATGTGAGGACATGAGATTTGGGAGGGGCCAGGAGCAGAATGATGGTTTGGCTGTGTTCTTACCCAAATCTCATCTTGAATTATAATTCCCATAATCCCCATGTGTCGTGGAAGGGACGTAGTGAGAGGTTTTTGTTTTGTTTTGTTTTGTTTTGTTTTGTTTTTTTGAGACAGAGTCCTGCTCAGTCTCCCAGGTTGGAGTGCAGTGGTGCAATCTCGGCTCACTGCAACCTCTGCCTCCCGGGCTCAAGCCATTCTCCTGACTCAGCCTCCTGAGTAGCTGGGATTACAGGCACCCACCACCATGCCAGGCTAATTTTTGTATTTTTAGTAAAGACAGGGTTTCTCCATGTTGGCCAGGCTGGCCTTGAACTCCTGACCTCAGGTGATCCACCTGCCTAGGCCTCCCAAAGTGCTAGGATTACAGGCATGAACCACTGTCCCTGGCTGAGAGGTAATTTAATCATGGGGGTGGTTACCCTCACGCTGTTCTTGTGATAGTGAGTGAGTTCTCATGAGATCTGATGATTTTATAAGGGCTTTTCCCCTCTTCACTCATTATTCTCCTTCCTGCTGCCATGTCAAGAAGGATGTGTTTGCTTCCTCTTCCACCATGATTGTAAGTTTCCTGAGGCTTCCCAAGCCATGCTGAACTGTGAGTCAATTAAACCTCTTTCCTTTATAAACTACCCAGTCTCAGGTATGGCTTTATTAGCAGCATGAGAACAGACTAATAGACTAATACACTATATAATTCATTCTTTTAAAGTGTACAAATTCAGTAGTTTTTCATGTTCTTCACAATGGATGTCTATTTTAAGGCATCTGAGATAGTCCAGTCTCTGAGAAAAAATAATCCTCCAAGAGAAGCATTTCTTTTTTTTTAGGCTAGTCAATCCAAAAGAAGCATTTATGATGTAGCATTTCTATTGAGTGTTTGGTTTTACATAGTTAACACGAGTTTTTAAAATAATATATTTGGATTTTCTTTTCATTTATTTTCATGATCAATTTTGGCATTTTTACAGTGTGAGATGAGTCTTTAGGAACAAAATTACAATGTATTATTATATTGTGCCAATAGGATTTGAGTTTACCTTATGATAGCCTAATGTCTGAACTTGGCCCAGGAACAACTAAGCTATAAGTTATTTGCAAACAATATGGTTGTTTACTTTAAAAACTCAAGAGAAGAAGCTGAGAAATTGTTAGAATTCATAAGAGAGTTCAGCTAAATACAAGATAATATACACAAAAATAAACTTTTCCTATATACCAATAACAACCAGACTAGAAAACACAATGGGAGAAAGAGCTACAAACATTAATGAGATACATAAAGGAATGTGGGAATAAACAGAGATTTACCACGTTCCTGGATGAGACAATTCAATGTTGTGAAGCTATTATTTCCAAATTAAACTGAATGTTTAATGTACATAAAATACTAACAGGGTTTTGTCTGAAATGTAAGAAATTTATTCTAAAATTCATCTGAAAGAATAAACAGTTGAAATAACATATATATATATACATGTCTGTGTGTACACACACACACACACACACACACACACAGAATACAGGATAAAGGAAGCCTCACAAATAAACAAGGAAGAGGTGGATTGTTCAATAAATGGTGCTACAGGGGAAGTAAGCTATTATTTGGAGGAAAGAGTTAAAATGTCATGCCGTATACCTAAGTGTATTGTAATTAGATTAAAGAGTTTCATTTAAATCATCAAACCATAAAAATAACAGAATAAACTGAAGGGACTCTCAGAAGATGGGCTCAGGATTTAGAGTCCCTCTGCTTGCAGTTCCTTTGTGGTCTATTCCCTTAAGAGAAAACAGTGGGGCCCTCCTCAGAGCCTACAAATGTTTTTCCTTGGCCCTGGTGCTTTCTAGGCAGAAGCAAGACTCCAACCCAATGGCACAACACTACCTCATGTGCAGCAAAATCAGTGGTCAAGGTCCCTTAGCATTTGTTGAGCTGAAAAGAAATGAATGGGGCCTCTGCTCAGGCATCCCTCAGGTGCCTCAGGCCCAAGCTCACTTCTATTCTGTCGCTGCATAACAAGAAAGTACCAAGAGGGACAAGGGAGAGGTTGGATGTAATGTAGATAGGGGAACAATTCCTTGTTGAGGGAAGTAAACAGACCTTCAGACTCACTGCTGCTGCCAGGTCCACAACTGTCACAGGGAACTCACTCTTTTCAGGCCTCCACAACATAAACCACCACAGTCTCAAGGCACGATGTCTGAGGAAGAATTAAAAACATTGAGAGCCTACATGCTGGCTCCCAAGACCTGGTGGCGCTTTTTCTCAACAACCAGTTTTCCTGTTTTCCCCAGTAACTGGAAGAAAACAGAGCTTAGGGATGGCCTTGGACAGGGAACTGGTGAATCAGAAAACACAGCAGTCATGCTGATAGCTAGAGGAGGGCTCCACCCGCTTTACAAACCAACTGCCTGGAGGTGAGCCAGGTAACACAGCCCCAAAGCATCTGTGCAAACAAGTCCTCCCTGAAGACAAGCAGAGTCTGGGAGATGCCTCACTCTTTATCTCCGAGATCTGTCACACCATATGACATATACAGGTCATTATAGCACATGGTGTTTGTAGAGGATTAGCAGTTCAGCAAATGTGTCAACCTGACAAATCACTCAGTGCTTTCAAGTGATCACTACCCTGTTCTTTGGTTATTTTAACAAATGCTTATGGAGTTCCTACTATGTGGCAACCACTGTTCTATTAGGTTGGTGCAACCTAATAGAACTACTTTTGCACTAAGGCTGGGTGCAGTGGCTCATGCCTGTACCAGCGCTTTGGGAGGCCGAGGTGGGCAGATCACGAGGTCAGGAGTTCAAGACCAGCCTGGCCAATATGGTGAAAACCTGTCTCTACTAAAAATACAAAAATTAGCCAGGCATGGTGGCACATGCCTGTAGCCCCAGCTACTCGGGAGGCTGAGGCAGAAGAATCGCTTGAACCTGGGAGGCGGAGGTTGCAGTGAGCTGAGATCACACCACTGCACTCCAGCCTGGGTGACAGAGTGAGACTCTGTCTCAAAAAAAAAAAAAAAAAAAAAAAGGAAAAAAAAAAGAATTACTTTTGTGCCAACCTACCAGATGTTGGGATTGCAGCACTGAATAAAACAAAGACTCTGCCCTCAGAGAGTTTGTATTCTAGTTTAGGGAGGCAGACAATCAATCAAGTAAGCAAGCCACACCATTAGGTAGTGATAAGTACCGTGAAGAAAAATCAAGGGCTCAGTGGGAGTCCTATTTCAGCTGGGGTACTGACAGAGACCCTTCCTGGAAATGTGTTATTTGGATAGAGATCTGAATGAAGTGAGGCAACCAGCTGCCACTGGGGGAAGAACAGTCCAAGCAAAGGGATGAGTAAGGACAAAAATACTGAGAAGGAATCTACTTGGCATGTTTAGGGAACAGCAAGATGGCCTGGTAACTGGCTGAGGTGAAATGAACAGGGGGAGAATGGAAGATGAGGTGAGAGAGGTGACAGGGACTAGATCAAGTAGGACCTCAGGGATCAAGGTGTTGACTTTGGATATTTTTTCTAAGTGAGAGGAGGAATTGTTGGAGGAGTTAAAATGTTTTATTATGAAAGTTTCTAAACAGATACAAAAGTAGAGAGAATAGTATAATGAACCTCCATAAATTCATCACCTAGATTCAACAATTATCAAGATAATACCACTTCCTTCATCTATTTCAAATTTTCTATTTTTGCTGAAGTATTTTAAAGCAAATTTCACCCTTACATATGTCACATCTGAAAAATATGAATATTTTCTTACATAAAAATAAAGCCATTATCACAACTAACAAAATTAATTCTTTGGTATCATCTAATGCTCAGTCCATAGTCAAATTTCCCTCATTGCCTTAAAAATATTTTTTCCAGTTGGTTTATGATGTCCCATAAATTATTTTCATCTAAAGCAGTCCTTCATCTCCTGTCCCTCACTTTTTTCATACCACGGACTTATTTTTAAGAAAAGGGGTCTCATTATGTTGCCCAGGATGGAGTGCAGTGGTTATTAATAGGCACGATCCCACCACTGATCAGCACTGGAGTTGTGACCTGCTCTATTTCCAACCTGGCTCAGTTCACCCCTCCTTAAGCAATCTGGTGGTCCCCGCTGCTCCCGAGAGGTCACCATATCAATGCCAAACTTGTGCCAAACTTAGTGCAGATACCCCACTGGCATAGCACACTCCAGCCCAGAGCTCCTGGGCTCAAGCAATCTTCCTGCCTCAGCGTTCCAAGTAGCTGGGACTACAGGTACGTGTCTCCAAGCCCGGATCCACTGACTTCTTAAAGAAACTAGATTACTGTCCTGTAAAAAGTCCTGGATTCTGGATTTCTCTGTTTGCTTCCCTGTGGTATCTTTTAATTTGTTCCTTTATTCCATTTCCTGTAAACTGAAAGTTAGTCCAAGGCTTGTTTAGATTCAGGATTAACTTTAGAGGTAAGAATAAGTATAGGTAGGTCCTTTATATATATGAAGTATACTAATACTTCATAAGTATAGGTTGCCCCACTTTTAGTGATTCTAAGATTGATCAGAAGTGCAGGTGGTGACAGCGTGATCTTTTCATTGTGACATTCTATATCCACCTTTCACCTCATGGTTTTAGCAGCCAATGATCATCATTGACTGACACTATTATTTCATCAGAGGTTGTACAATAATGTTTTTCTATTTCTGTCATTCCCTCCACACTTATTAGCTGATATGATACAGTATATTCAGAGACATCTCACTTCCATCTCCACCCCCTCTAACCTGTCCTTTCCCTCTCCCTACAGATAACCATTTTTGTTAATTTGGGGTTTGTTTTCCTTGTAGAGTACTTTTTGCAATAAAAGCATTTCTGTATATATGTATTTGTACATATATATAAACATGTTTTATATATGTACAAATACATATTATATATAATATATAATAATGTATATAATATATAAAAATATATATATTTTGTTCCCCTCATCTAGCCCAAAAGGTAGTATTACTATATATGCTGCTCTGTATCTTGCTTTTTTCACTAAAATATATTCTGGAAATCACTCCACATCAGTGTCTAGAGATTGTCGTCATCATTGGAAGGGCTTTGAGCAGGGAATGGCAAAATCTGGCCTACAGTTTAGAAGCCTTCCTCTAGCTGTCTGGTAGAAAATAGAATGTAATGGGGCAAATGCCAAAGCAGGGAGGTCATTAAGAGGCTATTACAATGGTCTAGGGAGACCTGGTGATGAACCAGCGTGGATAATGCAAGTAAGGCCAACACCCCAGGGATGGAGGGGCCCGGGCCCCTAACAACTTCATTGAGCAGAACTGCCACAGTAACGCAGATACCTTGTGGTGACTGAGAGAAAGAAAGACATAGATCTTTAACTTATTTAAGCCATATTTTATTTTGGATCTCTGTTACATGCACTGAACCTACATCCCAACTAACAGAAATCATTCTAGTTCTAACATGTTCTTATTGTTACAACTGAGAGTCAAGAAAACTGGCTTCTTGTCTTGACTGGGTTGGTCATGCCACCTTGGGCGAAGAAGAGATGTGTGGGTATTCCAGGTAGAGGGAACAACATGGGAGAGCTTTCAGAGACTGTGAAATTTGGCCTTTATCTCATAAGCAATAGTACCTGAAAGTGACAAATGCAAAGGGAAATTTCAAAAGATTAAATGGGTAGTGAAGGGAAGAGAAACCAGGGACCAAGAGACCAGAATAGAAATCCAGCCCTACTCCTTGCTACTGCCCAATAGGCAGTCATTGATGACTCAAGATAACTTATGTCCTCAAAGACTTGCCATGGCTAACCCTACCACTACCTCTCTGACCCCACTTCCTACTCCTTTCTCTACTTGTTACTCACCACACTGGCCCACTTGCTGCCCCTTGAACAAGTTAAGCATGCTCCTGCCTCAAGGACTTTGTACCTGCTATTCTGTCTGTCTACGGTGACTTTTCCCCTAGAGCCACATGCCTTCCCTTGCCAACCTATCTAAAATTGCAACCCATTCCCCAGCCCCCTTACTCTGATTTTTTCATTTTGCAGAATGTAGCACAGCTTGGTATTATATTATATTATATTATATATATGTTTGCTGTTGTCTTCTCTCCCTAGAATGTAAGCATCGTGAGGACAGAGACTTTGTCTAGTTCACTTCTGTAACCCCAGCACTTAGAACACTGCATGAAACATAGCACACAATAAATATTTGTTGAACAAATGAATGAGATATAAAATGGATTTCACTTAAGTCCTTTTACTTGTACTTTTCTTCAAGGAATCTTAGCTAGAGAAAATGTGAGGTAGCAGTGGTTGGCAGAGGAGGGCTAGGATGGAAGGCTCGGCCCTGAGACTAAAAACATCAGGGAAGGAGCTTGAAGAGGAGCCAAGAGGCTTAGCCCAGCCCCATTTACAGACTGAGAATCACTCCGGTCAATATTTGTGGAAACTCTTTTCTGTAACTATCTAAACCTGCTGTTTTTGCAGCCCTTTCTCTTCCCTAAAGTTATGAATAAATTTTTAAGAAAAATAGACTTAAAATTTAGGAAGAAAATTCATAGGAAAATATCTTTAAAACCTCAGATGGGGAAGAATTGATTAAACAACACGCAAAAAGTATAAACCTCAAGGGAAAGGATTGATAAATTCAACCAAGTTAAAATTAAGAACTTGAAAAAAAATCTCTAAAAAAGGGAAAAGGGCTGGGCAAAGTAGCTCACGCCTTTAATGCCAACACTTTTGGAGGCTGAGGTGAGTGGATTGCTAGAGTCCAGGAATTTGAGACCAGCCTGGCCAACATGGTGAAACCCCATCTCCACAAAAAATACAAAAATTAGCTGGGCATTGTGGTGTGCATCTGTAGTCCCAGCTACTTGATAGGCTGAGGCACAAGAATTCCTTGAACTCAGGAGGTGGAGGTTGCAGTGAGCTGAAATCGCACCACTGCACTCTAGCCTGGGTGACAGAGTGAGACTCTCTCTCAAATAAATAAATAAATAAATAAATAAAAAGTGAAAAGACAATCTACCAACTAGGAAAAGGAGAATTCATTCAACAAATATTATTGAGCACCTACTATGTGCCAGGCATTGTCAACAGCCCTTCAGATACATCAGTGAACAGATCAAAGCATATTGTTTAGACTTAGGGAGATAATCACCAGAATTAATACCAAAATGAGTTAAAATTATTTTCCCTTAGGAAGTGGAGACAGGGTTAGATAACTGTTCCTTTTCATCATAAACCCTCTGTACTATTTTATTTTTTATCACTTGAATTTATTACTTTGTTAGAAATTTAAAAGAGAAAACATTGTAACAAAATAAAAGTTACTTTATAAATTTTCTTTAAATCCCTACTCTCAGAGGAGCATTTTATTTAAAACTATGCCTTTGTTCTCACTTATAAGTGGGAGCCATATGATGAGAACGCATGGACACAAACAGATACTGGGGCCTACTTGTGGGTGGAAGAAGGGAGGAGGGAGAGGATCAGAAAAAATAACGAATGGGTGCTAGGTTTAGTACCTGGGTGATGAAATAATCTGTACAACGAACCCCTGTGACATGAGTTTACCTATAAAACAAACCTGCACATGTACTCCGGAGCCTAAAATAAAAGCTTTTTTTAAAATAGCTATGTCTTGATTACCAGGCACCATTCTAAGTACTTTACACATATTAAATCAATTAATCATCATCATAACTTATGAATTAGGTACTCCACAGATGAGAACAAAGAAGCTCAAAGGGGTTAAGGAAACTGAGGCACAGAGAGGTTAAATTGTGCGAGATCTTTTACAGTTAGTAAAAAGTGGAGCTGGGATTTGAATCCACGTAGTCTGGCTCTGGAGGCTATGTCCTCCATACCCCACCACACATTGGTATGTTGACAGTTCCAGCACCTAACTGACAAAGGATTAATATGTGGAATATATCAAGAGCTCCTGCAAATCAATAAGAGGAAAACAACCAATAGAAAAATCAATAACAACATAGACAAGAATTTTCCAGAAGAAATATTGCTCATAAACATATGAACTGATACACCCAAACTCATTAGTAATTAAGGAAATGCACATTAAAACCACAGCAATGTAGCATCTCACACTAAACTGATTGGCAAAAATTTTAAAGTTAGTTAAAGCCAAGTGTTAGAGAAGATATGGAGCAATGTGAACTCTCACACTCTGGCAAAGGCATATACTGATACAATCACTTTGGAAAACAATCTAGTATGCTCTAGTACAATTGAATACACACAGACCATATGACCCAGCAGTTCCACTCTTAGTTATAGATCCTAGAGAAACTTTTGCACATGAGCACCAGAAGACATAAAATAGAATGTTCTAGAAGCAATGTACATAATAGCAAAAACCAATATAAATGTCCATCAATAAGAACATGGATGAATGAACTGTGGTACATCCATATTCATACAATGGAATACAAAAAGCAGAGCTGCGTATGTCAACAAAGATGAGTATCAAAATCATAGTGTTGAGTGAAAACAATCAAGTAACAGAAGAATACTGTGTGTGTGTGTGTGTGTGTGTGTGTGTGTGTGTGTGTAATGTTTCTATGTCAAAAGCAGACAAACCTAAATGTTTTATTGTTTAAGGAGACATACATATGTGATGGAACTGTAAATAAAATCAAGGGAATAATAGACAAACACATCAGTTACTCATGGTAGGGGAGGGCACGGGGGAATGAGAACAGGGACAGGCACACAGGGGCCTTAGAAACTACTGGTAGCATCTATTTCTTAAGTCAGATGCATATATGTATGTATGTGTGTCTTGTTTTTCTGAACCATTTCAAATTTAAAAACAACCATAACCGTGCTGTCCACATAAAACATGTATACATGTATACATGTACATATGCATATATGTACAGAGAGATAAATATGCACAATATTAATTGTTGAATTTGAGAGGTAGATGATATACAGTTGTTTATTATACTATTCTTTCAACCTTCCTGTATGTTTGAAGTTTTTTCTAAAAATAGTTGGAGAAACTAAATTTGAAGGCCTTTAGAAGGAACACGCCCTCTCTGGGTCAACATACTCCCCACCATTCCTTGTTACAACTCTCAGCCTGGTTCCCTCATCTCTATATCTCTGATCCCTAGAGACATTTGAGTTTGCAACCTCTGGCTCAGCTTGTAGGTCTTGACTCCTTCTAGGTCTCCCTGCCTCCTCTATGTAACAGGTCACAGCTTTGGGGCATAAAAGATGTTTTTCTCATTCCCAGAGGTTGAATAAACCATACACTAAGTTTAGTTTAGTTTTGAGAACATATTAAGGACAATAAAAGTTTATGTAATTCCCCACTACCCTGCAGTGAAGGGTATCCCTCTCTGCCCGCAGCCCCAGCAGCTACAGTAACTTTGGCAAGCATGCCATCTCTTAGAAGATAAAGACGAAGCCTTGGAAACATCAAGCCACACCAGCTACTTCTCCCAGAAGATAAGATGAAAAATTTTATGATTCTTTTTTTTTTTTTCAGATGGCGTTTCGCTCTTGTTGCCCAGGCTGGAGTGCAATGGCGTGATCTCAGCTCACTGCAACCTCCGCCTCCGGGTTCAAGTGATTCTCCTGCCTCAGCCTCCCGAGTAGCTGGAATTACAGGCGCCCACCACCATGTCCAGCTAATTTTTTGTATTTTTAGTAGAGATGGGGTTTCACCATGTTGGCCAGGCTGGTCTTGAACTCCTGACCTCAAGTAATCCACCTGCCTCGGCCTCCCAAAGTGCTAAGATTACAGGTGCGAGCCACCACGCCCAGCCCAGTTTTATGATCTTGATGTCCCTTGTAGTCTCTCTGACACCAAAGGTGAAAAGAGTGGGAAACTAAGATCTTCCAGAAACATCGAGGGGCCAATGGGGTTAACTACTTATGAAGGATATAATGTATGAGATGAATGGCTGTTACCCAGTGGGCACAGGCAGCCATTCCTGGACTTGAGAATGAATGAGAAAGAGTCCCTGGTGGGTGCCTAGGCCCCGGAGAGTTTGCAGCCAATAAACCATTGCCCTTCAGACTGATGGGTTCTCAGTCCCTCACAGTTCAGTCATGTTGGAGAAACGGAAGCAGCTTGCCAGATAGCATTTGCCTAGCCACATTCTGTGATATGAGAGATTCTTTGCACACCATGGTTTTCACTCCTGCAGCTATCACACTGCATTAAATCCTCGATCTTTGCTGCCCCTACCTTGGCTAGTTATACACACACACACACACACACACACACACACACACACACACACCCTACAGCATGAATTCATCCAATTGTTTTGCACAAAAACATGTTTAAAATGAAAAGGCAGAAAGCCAGAGGCAGGTAGGGTAACTTGGGTATAAGCTGAGGTTAGCCAGTGACACTGCATGACAGCTTGGCCCAGCATGTCAAAGCAGGTGTGACAATGGCAAGACTCCTGTCTGATTGTTCTAATCATCCAGACAGAGAGACCAAGATCACTTGCCCTTTTGATATCCACTAACCTTTGACCTAGGACTAGGCCTGGGTGGTTTCCACTGGCTTTGCCGCTTTTTGGAGTGGCCTTCCCTCTTGGTTTATTTTTGCCTTGACCTCCCTACTTGCTGACCTTCCAGATCTTAGAACATCAAGTTGTGTCTTGATACCTAGATCCTCATATGACCAAACATTGGCTTAGGAGAATGTTGACACCTCTTCATCCTCCGTGACCTATTTTAGCTATTTGCTGCCCACATCCTATTATGACAGAACTCACTTGAGAGTTTGAATCTGCTCTGATGAATGCTTACAGGCCAGGGACTGAAGATAAGGGAAAGAAGAATTCTATTACCAAAGCTGTAGCATCAAGAAGATACCTTCAGCTCTCAGAGAAGAAAGCGAAGACCAAGGCCAGATAACTAGCGGCTAACTTGTGATCCAGGGGCAAGACAGTACTTTACATGTGTAGTGCTCGAGAGGGAAATTCCAACTGGAAAAACCTGGATCAATAAAGGTAGGTAGGTAGGTAGGTAGATAGATAGATAGATACACAGATACATAGATACATAGATACATGGATACATAGATAGAAAAGAAGGACATTCATAAAACAATGAAAGTATGTCATTCGCCAAGGATTACGATTACTACAATTTCTTGATGTCACATTAAGAAAACAAAAACAAAAGGAAAGGATCATGTCCTTACTAACAACCAGTTCTCCACATTCCCAGGTTTTCTTTTAGCTATTACTTTTTTAAAAATATGTCATTCAGGAAGGGTGGCCAGGACCACCCAGATACCAAGAAAATCCCTGGATGCCCCAGACATTCTGGCCTAGGAAATTGTAAAACACTAATCATTAGTTCAGGTGAGCTGACTGAATTTTTCTCAAAAGGAAAACAAAACAATAGAAAAGCCTAGAAGCCAAGACACTGATGAAACAACAGATTTCTTACCTAGTTTGTCCTGGGTACAGGCTGACCTCAGTGATGGGACTTACAAGTCCCATTTTTCCAGGCTTCACCTCAGCCCTGGACTTAGCTTGCATTTATTTAAACATTTCCTCAATTTAACTGAGGTGAATCCAAACAACAGCCCTGCCAGGTCTAGTAGGATACTGTGGGCCTTCATGAAACCTGCTGTCTTGGACAATTTTGTGTTGCCATAACAGAATACTACAGACTGGGTAATTCACAAAGAAAATAAATTTATTTCTTCTAGTTCTGGGGTCTGAGATGTCCAAACTTAAGGGGCCTGCGTCTGGTGAGGGTCTTCTTACTGAGTCATTCCATGGTAGAAGGCAGAAGAGCAAGAGCGAGAGCAAGAAAGCGCCAAACTCGCTTTTATAATGAATCCCCTCTTGTGATAAAGAACCTACTCCCATGATAACTAGCCCCTTCCTGTGATAATGACATTAATTATCCCTTAAAGGCCCACCTCTTAACAGCATTGTATTTGGAATTAAGTTTCTAACACATGAACTTTGGGGGACACATTCAGACCATAGCTATGCTTCCTGAGTTGTTTGGAGAAGAAAATCAAGCCCTTTGTTCAGACATGGTCATCTCCTTGGAGAGAGAGGCTGATTCTGCTAACCTGGCTACCTGGTCCCTGGAACCTACCCAGGTTGATGGAAGCTTAAGAATGCATTTCACAGGCCGGGCGTGGTGGCTCATGCCTGTAATCCCAGCACTTTGGGAGGCCAAGACGGGTGGATCAGTTGAGGTCAGGAGTTCAAGACCAGCCTAGCCAACATGGTGCAACCCCGTCTCTACTAAAAATACAAAAATTAGCCAGGTGTGGCGGCACACACCTGTGATCCCAGCTACTCAGGAGGCTGAGTCAGGAGAATCACTTGAACCCAGGAGGCAGAGGTTGCAGTGAGCCGAGATCATGCCATTGCACTCCAGCCTGGGGCACAAGAGCGAGACTCTGTCTCAAAAAAAAAAAAAGAAAAAAGAATGCATTTCACTTTCTGTACCACTAACTCCTAGGAAGTGCTGGGGGAGAGGACACAGCATTGCCATTGAGAAGGCTCCAAGTATAGGAGGGTTTCTGATCAGTGACATTTCACCTACCATTAAAAGAGCTAAAGATCTGACCAGAGTGTGAAAGAGACATGTCTAAAAATAAGTGCTTCCTCCATAATAGGAGATTGGTTAAATGAATTATAGCATATCCATACAATGAAATGCTATGTATAATGTTACAGAAGAAGATTGACATGAAAAATGTCCACGATATACTTTTGGGTGAAAAAGCAGGTTACAAAATGGGACATAGAATATAATCCCATTTTGGTTAATATATATAGTAACTAACATGTATCGAGCTTTTAATATGATCATATATATGAGCAAGGCACTGATCAAAATGCTTCACATGAATTATTCTAACTTCTTGACAACTCTGTGATGTGGGTATTATAAGTATCTTTTTACTTATGAGGAAACGGAGGCACTAAGAGATTAAATCATCTGCCATAGTTCACTTAAGTGGCAGAGCTGAGACATAGACTTAGATATGTTGGACTCAAGAGCCCGAACTCTTAACAGGGACTCTATACCTATGCTTATATTTGTATAGACAAAAAGTCAAGAAAGATAGATACCAGGATGTTAACAGTTAACAGTGGTCATTTCTGGGTAGTGAGATTATGAATGACTTTTGTTCCCTTTATACTTTTCTGAGTGCTCTGAAAATTTTATGATTTACATGGATTATTTTCATAATCAGAAAAAAAAGGAAATAAATTTCCGTTTTGGAAAAAAGCAAGAAAGCCATTGTTTCCAACCTGGAGGTGCAAACCTCTGAGGAGTGGAGGAGTAACTTAATTATTACAAGGACTCCAGAAACCTCTACCTGACCCGAGCATTGTTTAGAATGAATAAATAATATGCTTACAGCACACTTTTCTTTCAAATGCATATAAATACTGTCATGATGTATATACATAGTGGCTTTAGTTTGTTACGTATTATCATGTGGAGATCCATGGCATTGTAAACGTTAAAGTACTAAGGCAATGGTTGGGATCTAGTGCTAAAAAGAAAAATATATATACAGGTCAACTCTCTTAGCTTGAAGGTCTTCTCAACAACTTACTTACTTTTTTTTCCAAGGGAGGCAGGAGGAAATAGAGGAGAAAAACTGAGAATTCACATATTATTAAAAGTTAACCCAGGAGGCTTGCTTCCTGGAGAAGACAATTTACAAGGATGAGAGAGTATGAAGAGGGAGTTGGTGTAGGCCCAGGATATTCTATTCTGGAAAGACAGAGTGCTAATCTCCCCCATATTATCAGGGGCGAGTTTCCAACCTCAACCACAGGATGTCAACACATCGATAGGGCAGTGGTGCCGTAAGACCTGAGTGCTAACATTTGCTCTAGAGCCAGGCTGGTTTCCAGTAAACAGGAAGACCTGGAGTGGGAGGGCAAAGTAGGCAGAACTTTTTCTTTTGCCAAAGTGCCTCAAAGGTGAGCGTCTGCCTTCCTTTCTCTCATTCTTTCTTCTCCCCTTTTGTAATGTGTTCCTTGTCTTGTTTCTGTATGGCCTCTCATCCCCCACTCAAGTCCCCGGGACATATGCCCCCATAGGACTCTAGTGATCTCATTACCCGTAAGAAATCATCCAATCATAGACCCCAAACTAAGATCCTCACTTACTGATCCTTCTCTTAACGCCGAGGCCCTAGGGCTTTCAGGCATTAGGAGCAGATATACTGACAAATAAGATATGGTCCCAATCTCTTTAGAAGCATGTAAACTTCAGGTGGAAAAAGCAAAAAACAAAACCAAAAACCACACACACACAACCACGTTTGCTTTAATGGGCATAAAGTTACAACAAGAGTTCAAGAGAGAAATGAGGGCTTTGCTTCCCCCCTCCCACGTTGGCCTGTATTTGAGACTCACCTAGGAATCACACTCCACACCCCAACCCTGCTCACAGAAGCTTGGAAGACTGGCTTACTCCAAAGAAAAACAGTCTTCACTAAGTCAGTGGCATGGGAAAAAAAGGAGGGGAGGAAGGGAGATTGTTCTATATTAAAAGAAAATTAAGATCTTGACAAAGGGATCAAATCTGAATCACTATAGTCTTTGAATCCAGCTATCAATCTGCAAGAAATACAGAGGAACATGCTGAAGCACCCTAAGTAAGTATGAGATAAGCAAAATCCAAACTGTGGGAAATTCTACAGGTCAAATGCTGTGGGTTCTTCAATAGCTAAAGCATAAGGAAAGGAAAGGGATGGAGGGGGAACCGACTTAAACTCTTCAAAAGCACCAAAGTCATGGAAGTCACGGAAAGACCGAGAAACTAACCCAATCTGAGTATGTGGTTAAAAAATAATAATAAAATAAAATAAAAACAGAGACACTGTCAAAGGAGGAGGAGACAAAGGAGAGATGATGATTAAATGCAATGTGAGATTCCAATGGGATCCTGGGACAGAAAATGGACATTTGTGGAAAAAAATTGATACAATACAAATAAAACCTGGTGTTTAGTAAATATAAATGCACCAATATTGGTTTCTTAGTTGTGATAAATATACCATTGTTTTATAAGATGTTAACATAAAGGGGAAGCTACACGAAGGGTGTAGGGAACTCTCTGTACTATCTTTGCAACTCTCTCATAAATCTAAAAGTATTCCAAATTAAAAAGTAAAAATGGCCAGGTATGATGGCTCATGCTTGTAATCCCAGCACTTTGGGATGCTGAGGTGGGAGGATTTCTTGAGCTCATGAGTTCAAGACCAGCCTGGGCAACATGGTGACACCCCATCTCTACAAAAAATAAAAAATTAGCCAGGCGTGATGGTGCGCACCTGTGGTCCCAACTACTCAGGAGGCTGAGGCTGGAGGATCACTTAAGCCTGGGAGATTGAGGCTGCAGTGAGCTGTGTTTGCGCCACTACACTCCAGCCTGGGTGGCAGAGTAAGATCCTGCCTCAAAAAAGAAAAAAAACCATAAAAAAGAGAGAGAGAAAACTTCAAGGACATATCAATATTTAAAATGGGGAAGACTAAACCATAGTCATTAGGGAAGTACACTTAGGTAAGAAAACCACAGAAATGCAAGGAAAAGATGACTCTAAATGTCAAAGATAATGGTTACTTTGGGAGGAGGAAGTGGATTGTGATTGAAATGGGGCACATGGAGAGCATCCTGGGGTGGAGAGAAAAGTTCATCTTCTTCATCAAGTGGTGGTTACAAGATGTTTGTCTTATAATAATTCATTAACCCATACATTTGTTTTAAGTGGCTCTCTGTATCTGGGTTCTATTTTATAATGACAGACAGAGAGCAAGAGACTGAGACATAAGACACATAACATCCAAATATAACCAGTGGACCTTGTTTGGATTCTGATTCAAATTGGCCAACTATAGAAAGACATTTGAATATGGACTGGATGTTAGATATTATTAAGGAATTATTAAATTTGTTAAGGGTAATATGGAAGAAAACATCTGTATTTTTTGTAGATGCATAGTGATGTATTTAGGGGTGAAATGACACACTATCTTAGAATTGCTTTAAAATACTCCAAGAAAAAAAAAAGGTGGGGAGATAAATGAAACAAGTATGGAAAAATATTAATAGTTGTTGAAGATGAACATGAAGATAAAAATTTGTTGCATCTTCTAGCTTTTTGTGTGTTTGGAAATTTTTATAATTAAAGTTAAAGGTGGGGCAGCCCCAAAGCAGGCTGCTTCAGGGCAACAAAAGCCAAATCCCAGGTGCTCCCCACATCACAAATCCCCAGAACTCCCTTCCCAGCAGTCATCTCCCAAAGGTCACAAATCCCTATAGTTTCTGAGTAGCCTGTGAGGGGGTTTCACCTTCTCTAGGTCCCTGTGTCACTCTGACTACATGGCAGTCATTCTCACCTTTCTCCATCTTGATGTCCTAATAATCCTAGGAAAGAGAGTCAAAGGGCAAATGAGCTGGACCAGACCTGACGGGGCAGTCCTTGTACTTCAGAGCCTGCCCCTGCGGTGGGTGGGGGGGCAGGGAAGGACAAGAGGGAAGAGGGCAGGTGCAAACTCCTCATAGTTATATGCATTCACTATTAAGTGAACTTCCAGAGGCTGGTGGCACCTTTGGTTGGAACACTGTTCTGAGATCTTTGCCTCCCTCAGGCTCCCGAGAATCATGGCTCATTCCAAGCAGCCTAGTCACTTCCAGAGTCTGATGCTTCTGCAGTGGCCTTTGAGCTACCTTGCCATCTGTGAGTATTGACCCAAGAGTGCATAGCAAGAAGCCAGAGTCAGAAGCCAGGGCCAGATCTAGGGTGACTTTTAGGGCCATGTGAAGTCTCATTTTGAGCCTTTCCATCATCTAAGATTGTACTAGAGAGTAAAACCAAGGAGTCTTGAGTTCCATGAGTGCCCTGGAGAAGAATGAGATAGAGCCCCAGGAGACAGTGAGAATATGTAGTGGGAGGGGGCGGGGGGTGGAACAGGGTCATGATGGATATGAGTAGATCTAGTTAATTTCAGCCACTTCCTAATCCTTACTATCTAGAGAGGAAAAGTGAGGCCCAGGGAATGCTCCCTTATGATCATGGGGAATAGGACAGAGGAAACATTAGCATCCCAGACTTAAAGAAGTATAGCCTGTGTCTGAACCATAGAGTTGTCTATTCTGGGAGTGGGGTGGTGGTAGCATGCGGGAAGACAGTGTCATTGGAAAGAATGGTGAATGGGCAAGAGGACAAGCATAGTGGATAGGAAATACTAGAAGGATGCAGATGCTGGATGGGCAGCGTGTAGGAAGATATAGATAGTATAGGGGTGAGGGAGAGTGGGCTAGTGGCTTAACGAGGGATGACGGATAGGGAGGGAGACAGGAGACAAGAGGAAAAAGATGGTGACCAAATGGGGGCAGGAGGAAAAAAAACTGGTGGGAAGTAGAGAGCAGGAGTACAGAGGTAGTGGCTGTACAGGGAAGCAGGTGGACAGGGATGACAGACAGGCAGAGAAATAGGGCTTCTGTATGGTAAATGATAGAGGAAAAGTTTGAAGGACAAGTAGACATGGATGATGAACAGGACCTGGATTGTGTTGAGGGCCAGGACCAGAGGCTTAGGTAATGTGGAGAGCTGGTGATGGGACTGGGCATGGTCAAGTTCTGCTGGCAGCACAAATTTGGTCTAACCTGGTCCCTCATCAGTTTGGATCTTGCAGCCATTGTTCGTCTACCTGCTGTTTACATCCTTGTGGCCGCTACCAGTGCTTTACTTTGCCTGGTTGTTCCTGGACTGGAAGACCCCAGAGCGAGGTAAGACTCACAGACCTAGAAAGAAGAATGTTCCATCATAACCTGCAGCCAGAGAGTCCCACTCGCCATACCACAGGCCCCTCATCCAAGTTCTCAGAGCCACAGGAGCTCGGCCAAACAGGACCATCCTAGGGTCTCCTCCTTTCCCACCTCTCTAGCAGAGCCATGCTAGGGAATCCCTGAGTCCGTGGAATGTATGGGATGGCACACACTGACATCATCCCCTACTTCTTCTTTTGCCTCAGGTGGCAGGCGTTCGGCCTGGGTAAGGAACTGGTGTGTCTGGACCCACATCAGGGACTATTTCCCCATTACGGTAAGTATCTCTTCCCCAGTGTCCTCAGAGTTCCCAAAATACTGGGTAGGCATTTATACCACATGACTAGAGTTGTCCATAAGGAAGATAAGTATCCCAGGGAAGTCTCAGTCTATGCTAGATATACTTCAAGATTCAACATTTCTACTGAGCACTCCATACTCAGCTAGGAAACTTTGGACACCCTTGGCATCACCTGCCAGCTGACACAGTCAGAAGGCAAGCACAGTTCAGATCAGTTTAATAAGCATGGATTGAAAATCTACTCTGAACCACGTTAGCAGTACAGAGAAATGAATAGGATGCAATTCTCTGCCATCGAGGAGCTCACATCTAATGGGGAGGACATTAGTATAAAGTATATTATTTGTTTGGCACAAGGTACAGAAGTAGTTCAGATGCGGGATAAGGAAAGGCTTCACAGACATGGTGATATCTTAGCAGGGTTTTCCAAGTTCCATACAAGTTATTTAGGCAGGCACTGGAAGGGGATTGGCAGGAAACAATGCCAGGAAGAGGTTCCAGAAATGTACTGTTATGCTGATCCTCAGGGCACTCTTTGGAGTATACAACAAACACCACCCCGACTTTTAGAGCCAAGCTTCCTGATCTTTTTCACAAAAGTGCTCATAGACAATGATAATTTGCACAAAGCACACTGACATAGATGGCTGAGGCTACTTCTAGCCACAGGCAGGAGATCTGGCAGTTCTAGCTGTCCCAGATCCTACCTTGTTGTCCAATGGCCACAGAGACCAATATCTCAGCCCTCCTGAAACCCATTCAGGAAATCTGTTGGAAAGCTCTGCTTTAGAGAGCACCCTGATCCCTGAAGTATCACCACCCTTGTTTCTGCCATGTAATCTCATTCCACCACCTCTGGCATTTCTCTCCATGGCTGCAGATCCTGAAGACAAAGGACCTATCACCTGAGCACAACTACCTCATGGGGGTTCACCCCCATGGCCTCCTGACCTTTGGCGCCTTCTGCAACTTCTGCACTGAGGCCACAGGCTTCTCGAAGACCTTCCCAGGCATCACTCCTCACTTGGCCACGCTGTCCTGGTTCTTCAAGATCCCCTTTGTTAGGGAGTACCTCATGGCCAAAGGTGCTTCTGACCATACTTACTGGAGCTTCTGGTCCATGTTTCTGCTTGGAAATGCACCCTTTTAAATTCCATCCCCTCCTCCCCCCACCCGCCCCCATGTCATTATGGCATAGTAGTCAAAAGCATATGTTCTAGAGCTAAGCTGCCTGGCATTGAACCCTCCTAGCTCTACCACTTGTGTGGTCTTGAGCAAACTAGCCTCAGTTTCCTCATCCATAAAGTGGTACAGATGAAAATAGTCTGACATCAGTTGTGGGATGATGACTAAAAGTGAGATGATGCAAGTAAAGAATTCGACACTGGCCAGGTGCAGTGACTCACGCCTGTAATCCCAGCACTTTGGGAGGCTGAGGTGGGTGGATCACCTGAGGTCAGGAGTTCGAGACCAGCCTAGCCAACATGGGAAAACCCCATCTCTACTTAAAATACGAAAATTAGCTGGGCATGGTGGTGGGCACCTGTAATCCCACCTACTCAGGAGGCTGAGGCAGGAGAATCGTTTGAACCCAGGAGGTGCAGGTTGCAGTGAGCCGAGATCACAGCATTGAACTCCAGCCTGGGTGACAGAGAGAAACTCTGTCTCAAAAAAAAAAAAAAAAAAAAAAAAAGAATTCGACACAATGCCTGCCACAGAGTATATCCTCAATAAATAATAGCTGTTGCTCTTAATGAAAAAAAAAAAAAAGGTACCATTATACATGGGATTCAGGAAGTCCTTCTGGTTATCCCACTGAAAACCTTCCTACCGGTTTTGGCTCAGTGCCTCCTGCAAAGTGAAGATATTGCCTCATTGTGAGCTATTCTGTTTGTCAACAGCCTTTTCTTCTCCACACTCTTTAGTCCCATCTCATTGCTCCTCTCCTCCTTGGAACTATGAGAACAAGCCAGTGAAGAGCAGAGAAGAGTGTTCCCTCTTAGCAATTTTCTCCTCTCCTGATCATTTTGCTCCTTGATTCTCTTTAGGTGTGTGCTCTGTGAGCCAGCCAGCCATCAACTATCTGCTGAGCCATGGCACTGGCAACCTCGTGGGCATTGTAGTGGGAGGTGTGGGTGAGGCCCTGCAAAGTGTGCCCAACACCACCACCCTCATCCTCCAGAAGCGCAAGGGGTTCGTGCGCACAGCCCTCCAGCATGGGTAGGTGTTCCCCACAGAGGGGCAGTGCATGGTGTTCTCTGAGCAGCATGACCCTGTCGGTGAGGCCAGGATGAATCAGATGTGAATTTTGCCCTCAAGGAACATACTACCAAGTAAGAAAAATGGGTCATCCAGTCCTTCTGAGCTAGCTCAACTAGTTTCTAAGAGGCCAAACCATAAACCCAGGTTCAATATCAAGGGGATTGGGCTAAGGCTGCCCTGGCATATAGATGATGCCCACATTATCTCTATCAATGCTGGTATCTACATCTGTCTGCTAATGGTAAGTGCATGGGGCAGTACAGTATAATGAGTGTGTGTGCAGGATTGGGAGTCAGGAGCCTGATTTAAAATCCTGGCTCCATGACTGTGCACTCTGGGACAGGTTCCTTAACCATTCTGAGCCTTGGTGTTTTTCATCTTAATGATGTGGCTAAGAACTGTACCTACTCCATAGGGTGACTGTGGGCTTTAAATGAATTTATCCCCACAAAACACTTACCATGTCCCTGGCACACTGTAAGAGATCAATAAATGTTAGTATTTGTGATTTAGGGGTCCAGAGCTGGAGCTGTAGAGTGCCCCATTGGGTCAGCAGGCCAGCTCTCTGGACACAGGGACAATTGTCGTATTGCAGACCTAGAGAAGAGGGCAGTATTTCTTCCAAGGACCTTGCCTGAAGGGCCTGTTCACCAGTTGGAAGAATCATGTAGGGAAGAGAGCTCTGAGCTGGGAGTCCTGGGTTCTAGTCCAGATCCTGCCACTCACTCACTGCCTGAGTGGCCATCCCTTTCTGAACCTGTACTTCTGCATCCCCCACTGTGCCCTCCACGGCCTTTGCTGTGAGGAACCAGTAAGGTAACATATGTCAAAGTGCTGAGAGATTGTTATTAGCAAGTCACAAAGATTTGTATAAGAGAGATTTACTTTTCTTTCCCTCACGGAATTTGAGCCTGACTGTCTACCCAGGGCACTGTTCAGGGTGGAATCTCATGGTCTGTGGAAGGGAAACAACTTTTCTCTGCTCTAATCCCATAACCCAAGGACAGAATACCTTATGCATCCCCTCTTGGGGATCTCTGCTCAACTTCTCTTGCTTCCCTGACGCTCCCCGCCCCCTGGCTATATCGTGCCCTTGTAATCCTGGCCCAGAGAGAGCAATCTCACTGGCCTTGAAAATTTCATGACAAGAGACATTAAATAGGGAAACCCTGTTTAGTGCAAGAAAAAATGCTTTATGTCACCAGGATTTCATCAAAATAGATGAGGGCCTGGCAAGCAAACAAATGTTCTTCCAGGGTGGGTCTCATCCTAGCTTGTGTTTAGAAAATAAATTGGAGTTTTCCTACAGGGCTCATCTGGTCCCCACCTTCACTTTTGGGGAAACTGAGGTGTATGATCAGGTGCTGTTCCATAAGGATAGCAGGATGTACAAGTTCCAGAGCTGCTTCCGCCGTATCTTTGGTTTCTACTGTTGTGTCTTCTATGGACAAAGCTTCTGTCAAGGCTCCACTGGGCTCCTGCCATACTCCAGGCCTATTGTCACTGTGGGTGAGTGCCACTCTCAGCCCCAGTGCCACCTCAGGTTTCTCAACCTCAACCTCAGCCTGGCCCCACCAAAGAAGAGGGCAGCAGAGGGGAAGGTGGGAGCTGATCTGGGATGCGAGAGTCAGGCCCAAGGTAGGAGAGGGAGGTTAAAGGAAGAGGAGGTCCTAACACTTTCCTCTTCTCTTTTCCGATCTCTCTTGGCAGTTGGGGAGCCTCTGCCACTGCCCCAAATTGAAAAGCCAAGCCAGGAGATGGTGGACAAATACCATGCACTTTATATGGATGCTCTGCACAAACTGTTCGACCAGCATAAGACCCACTATGGCTGCTCAGAGACCCAAAAGCTGTTTTTCCTGTGAATGAAGGTACTGCATGCCCAGGAGCACAGGAGTGCCTGCCTTGAAGAAGAGACTCATCTGCCACTAACCAAAGACAGGCAGGAGATGAGGGAGGTTATATGTGGTAGGGGAGGGCATGAGGAATTCCTTCTTTGCCTTCTTGCCACAGGGTCCTTACAGGAATTCTTTCTGAAGAGCTGCACACAGTCATTCCTCAAAGGAGGGCATCCTAGTGCCCCTCATGCTGGGGCCTGATGCCTGGTCATCATTTGAGTCCTCTGGGACACATTAGCAGTCACTGCATATTCCCCCAGCCCCTGGGCAACTATCTACTTTCTGTCTCTGTGGATTTGCCAA
Source organism: Homo sapiens (assembly GCF_000001405.40). Lineage (NCBI taxonomy): Eukaryota > Metazoa > Chordata > Mammalia > Primates > Hominidae > Homo > Homo sapiens. The sequence goes on from NC_000023.11 coordinate 70,240,627, forward strand.
TTCTGAACATTTTATATAAATGGAATAATACAATATGTGGTCTTTTGTGGCTGGCTTCTTAGCATAATATTTCCAAGGTCTATCCATGCTGTAGCACGTGTTAGTGTTCATTCCTCCTTATGGCTGGACAACACTCCAGTGTGTATAGGTATACCACATTTGTTTATCCATTCACCACTTGATGGACATTTGGGTCATTTCCACTTTTTAGCTATTATGAACAGTACTGCTATAAATACTCATGTATGTACAAGTTTTTGTGTGGTCATCTGCCATCCCCAGATATAAAGGCTTATCTTATGCCCACACCACTGACAAGCATGCCTTTAGGATAGATAAAAGGTACTCAGGATCATTTTTTAGTTGGCATGGGCATTTCCCATAAGTCACCTTGTCATAATGATCCTCTGACTTCATAGTCCCAGGGCACTTGCAACCATCCTCATAGCCTACTGTGGGGAATACACTTGATATCTATGTTTTAAAAGCCTTACTAAATTCTGTTTAAAAGTTTTTCTTGCCGGGCGCAGTGGCTCACGCCTGTAATCCCAACACTTTGGGAGGCCAAGGCAGGTGGATTGCCTGAGATCACGAGTTAAAGATCAGCCCGACCCCGTCTCTACTAAAAATACAAAAATCAGCCAGGCGTGGTGGCACACGCCTGTAGTCTCAGCTACTCGGGAGGCTGAGGCAGTAGAATTGCTTAAACCCAAGAGGTGGAGGTTGCAGTGAGCCAAGAGGGCACCACTACACTCCAGCCTGGGAGACAGAGTGAGACTCTATCTCAAAAAAAAAAATTAAATTAAATAAATAAATAAAAGTTTTTCTTAAAGTTGTATTCTGAGAATCTTAAAAGAGTAAATAAAAACACAGATATCTCTTCCTTCACGAGGCAGCCAATAAGAGACACTTAAAAACACAGCAAATGACCAAAAGTTAAAAGACCATTGAGACTACTAGCTTTTTTTTTCCTTTGCTTAACCTTTAAATATTGGGTCCCATCCTGTTCTCTCACATTCTACTGTTTCAGGTCTGAGACATCTATTTCTAACCCATATTTTCCTCATAAGCAAACAGTGCGATATATCCAATTTACTAATCTCCAACAAGCACCTCAACCTCAACATACCCAATACCAGTTGAGTCATCTTCCTTCTCCCAACTTCATAACTTATCACCAAGTTGTATCAATTTTGCCACCTTCATATTAATCCAACCTGTCCCCTTCTCCCCTTCTACAGTCACAATCTAGTCAAGGCCCTCAACATTCCAAGACTATATCCACTCCCTCTAGAAAAGTCCTCTTTAATCAACCCACCCATCATGCTATTTCCAGGGCAATCTTGCTAAAACTTATATCTGACTTTTCATTCCCCTGCTTAAATCCTTTACTGTTCCTACAATACCTCCACTCTGGGTACCAATAATGTTCCTTAGATGTTAATGAATATTGCACAGAAAAAAATAATTCTGTGGGGGTGCGGTGGCTCATGCCTATAATCCCAGCATTCTGGGAGGCCGAGGCGAGTGGATCACCTAAGGTCAGGAGTTCGAGACCAGCCTAGCCAAAATGGTGAAACCCCATCTCTATTAAAATTACAAAAATTATCCGGGTGTGGTGGCACATGCCTGTAGTCCCAGCTACTCAGTAGGCTGAGGCAGGATAATCACTTGAACCTGGGAGGCAGAGGTTGCAGTGAGCTGAGATCGTGCTCATCTCTTAAGCCTACATCAAATCTCACCTTCCCAGTGAAGCCTTCACCAGACCGAATGAGTTACTCCTTCCTTCATTCTTCCATAGCCTTTTGATAGGGATTGATTTGTGATAAGGCTGAAAAGTACAGAGCTGAATAATACAATAAATAACGTAGACTAGGCTTTCAAATGGTAAGGACTTAGTGAGCAAGTCAGGGAATTACATTTTCTTTACAAGTGTACATGAATCATTCACAACCATTATTTATGTATTTGAAAATAAAAATACTTTTAACTAAGATGTAAAAGGCAGAAATTCTACCTACTATAATCACAGGATACAACACAGCAAACTTAGAAATAAATAATTAAGATAGAATTAGAGTCCACAGCTGAATTGGAATAAAAAATATTCTCCTGACAACTGGCTCAGAAAATAAATTTAGAGACAATAATAGAATATGTTGGAAGGAACAAATGAAATGTAAATATCACACATAAAAATGTATGCAAATAGAAGATCATCCTGGAGCATCTTCAAGTGTCAGAAAGCAAAGAAGTGCTCAGAAAACAAAAGAATAATGGTGTGTCAAGGGGACACAGGAGCAACCTGAAAAAGCTCTCAATGGCCAAAGCTGAAACAATTTGAGCAATAAGACAAATAACATAAGTAACATAGTGTTGAATTATAATCTGAAGTATAAATTATGTATACATGATTCCATATTGATATAAATGAATGAGTAAACAAATAAATAGTGGCAAAGGGACAAATCTTCTTTACAGAAGAATTACAAATAATGTATGTAGATACTTCCCCTCAGGAGGTAGAACTTAATCCCCTCCCCACCCTCAAGTGTGGGCTAGATTTAGCAATTCAATTCCAAAGAACAGAGTGTGGGAAGTGAAAAGCATTACTTTTAATGGCAAAACTGCAATCACTTTTGCCCCAACCTAATAGTACTTTACAGCAGAGAAACCAGGCAAACACTACCTTAACCCAGCAATCAAGGTTAACATTGAAACCACCTTTGCAAAATTATGACTGAGACAGTGAAAGAGATCTAACTTAACCGACTCCATCTTGCTTCTAACCTCCAAGTTGTCCTTGTTCATTCCTGGGTGTAGGCTGAACTAACTTTGGGAGAAACTTAGTTTATAGTTTAAACAAAGATGGTAACAGTCCTTTCCCAAGGCAAACCTCCTTCTTGCGTGGGGACTAGATTGCCTTTGTAGGACTAACATTAGCCACAAGATTAGAAATTATGGTTTAGGAGTCATGCAGCTGGAGGCTACAAGATTCTGACCCTCTCTAAACTGCTCCTAACATCAGTGCTTGAGATATTTTGCAGAACCTGTACTTGATGGATCAGCTGGCACCACCCAGATCAATATACTGGCTCATCTGATCCTGTGGCTCCCACACAGGAACTGACTCAGTGCAAGAGGACAGTTTCGACTCCCTGTGATTTCATCTCTGACCAATCAGCATTCCTGGCTCATTGGCTTCCCTCCACCTACCAAGTTATCCTTAAAAACTCTGCTCCCCAGTCGGGTGCGGTGGCTCATGCCTGTAATCCCAACACTTTGGGAGGCTGAGGCGGGTGGATCATGAGGTCAGGAGTTCAAGACCAGCCTAGCAAATATGGTGAAACCCCGTCTCTACTAAAAATACAAAAATTAGCTAGGCGTGGTGGCAGGCGCCTGTAATCCCAGCTACTCCGGAGACTGAGGCAGGAGAATCACTTGAACCTGGGAGGCAGAGGTTGCAGTGAGCTGAGATAGCGCCACTGCACTCCAGCCTGGGTGACAGAGTGAGACTCCATCTCAAAACAAAAACAAAAACAAAACAAATGAAACTCTGCTCCCTGAATGCTTGGGGAGACTGATTTGAGTAATAATAAAACTCTGGCCTCCCGCACAGCTGGCTCTGTGTGAATTACTCTTTCTCTATTGCAATTCTCCTGTCTTGATGAATTCGCTCTGTCTAGGCAGCGGGCAAGGTGAGCCCCTTGGGCGGTTACAACATCACAAGTGATAAATCATGTTGATATCTTGTGAGAAGAAGGGTATTTCACTTCTGTGCTATTCTCCAGTCCCAAGAACCTAGTCTAATTATGACAAAAATATCAAAGAAGCCCAAATTGAGGAATATTTCACTAAATACCTGACTAGGACTTCAAAGTCATTAAAGTCATGAAAACAAGGAAAGACATATTGTTCACAGACCAAAGGAGACTAAGGAGACGTGATGATTAAATGCAACGTGCTATCCTGAATTGCATCTTGGAACAGAAAAAAACAGTATCAGTGGAAAAACTGGTGAAATTTGAATAAAGTCTGGAGTTTAATTAATAGTAATGTACCAATGTCAATGTCTCAGTTATGAAAAATGTGCCATGGTTATATAAGATGTTAACATTAGGGGAAATTGAATGAGAGGTATTTGGGAACTCTGTGCATCATCTTTGCAGTTTTTCTGTAAGTGTAAAATTAATCCAAAATAAATAATTTATTTTAAAAATGTGTGGGTTTCTGCCAGATTGGTACTGAAAGAAAACCTAATCGCTTTTAAATGTTTTTACTAATAAGAAAAGAAATTAATTATATTCCTACACGAAAAGCTTTAAAAGTTACAGGAGAGTTAACCAATTAATTAGAACATATATAAGATAAAACCCAGGGGTGTGTGTGGGTGTAATAAATCCTAGGCAGAGTCACCGAATTTGGCCAAAGTACTCTGTATTACTTGGCTTGGGCTGCTATGATAAAATACCACAGACTGGACGGCTTACACAACTAAAATTTATTTTCTCACAGTTCTGGAGGCTGGAAAAGTCCAAGATTAAGGTGCCAGCAAGTTTGGTTCCTGGTAAGGGCGCTTTTCCTGGCTCATAGATGGCCACCCTTCTTGCTTTTAGGTCTTCATATGGTCTTTCCTCGGTGAATGCACTTGGTGAGAGAGAGTGAGAGGGAGCTCTCTGGTGTCTCTTTCTGTAAGGACACTAATCCTATCAGATCAGAGCTCCATCTTTATGACCTAATTTAACCTCAATTACTTCCTTAAAGGCCTCATCTCCAAATACTGCCATACTTGGGGGTTAGGATATTAACATATGAATTATGGGGTGGAGAACACAAATACTCAGTACATAACATACTCCATGTTGTATAAGGGGGACATAAGAAGATCACTTTCATACCATAGGTAATATTCCAGCCAGGTGCAATGGCTCACACCTGTAATCCCAACACTTTGAGAGGCTGAGATGGGAGGATTGCTTGAGCCCAGGAGTTTGAGACCAGCCAGGGCAACATAATGAGACCTTATCTCTACAAAAATTAGCCCGACATAGTGGTGCACGCCTGTGGTCCCAGCTACTTGGGAGGATGAGGTGGGAGGATTGCTTGAGTTTGAGGCTGCAGTGAGCTGTGATCACGCCTCGGCACTCCAGCCTGAGAGACAGAGCGAGACCTTGCCTAAAAAAAATTAAATTATATCTCAATTCTAATCTTTATAGAATTGTTTGATGTACTAGTCTTAACAACACTAGAAATAACTTCTAGGAACTATATTTAATTTTTAATTAACTAATTCCATTTGGGCCATGAATTGTGCTCTTCCATTGACTTCATCTGAAAGTAAACATTTATTTAACATGGAAAATGTACAAAACAGTGAGCACAAGAACAATCATGCTGCTCACAATGCTGACACATTATGGTTCCTTCGCTGTAAGGTCAAATTTCTTAAAAATTGCTACCAAAAATTTTAAGTTGTAATAATATTTATTTTTAATAAAGTTTCAGATTTATTCTTATATACCAGAGATTCATGCTAAAATAGATAGTGATATTCAACTTCATCCTGAGCTTCAGTTGAATATTGACTTTAAAACTTGGTCATACAGGCTAGTATCAAAAAGTCAAAAAATAACAGATGCTGGCAAGGTTGCAGAGAAAAGGGAACACTTATACACTGTGGGAATGGAAATTAGTTCAGCCACTGTGGAAAACAGTTTGGAGATTTCTCAAAGGACTTAAAGCAGAACTACCATTTTACTCAGCAATCCCATTACTGGGTATATACTCACAGGAATAGAAATTATTCTACCAAAAAGACAAATGCATGTGTATATTCATCACAGCACTACTCACAATAGAAAAGACATGGAATTGACCTAGATGCCCTTCAATGGTGGATTGGATAAAGAAAATGTGGTACATATACACCATTGAGTATATGCAGCCATTAAAAAGAATAAAATCATATCCTTTGCAGCAACATGCATGGAGCTGGAAGCCATTATCCTAAGCGAATCAACATAGGAACAGAACAACAACTACTGCGTGTTCTTACTTCTAAGTGGGAGCTAAACATTAAGTACACATGGACACAAAGAAGGGAACAACAGACACCAGGGCCTACTTGAGAGTGGAGGGTGGGAGGAGGAGGGTGAGGATCAAAAAACTACCTATCAGGTACTATGCTTACTACCTGCTGATGAAATAATCTGTACACCGAACCCCAGTGACACATAATTTACCTATGTAACAACCTGCGCATGTACCCCTGAACTTAAAATAAAAATTAGAAGGAAAAAACTTGGCCATTCAGCATTTGGCCAAAATAAGTTTACAATGCCCCTTGTATTTGTGCATAAGAAAAGATCTGGAGGGATATACACCAAGGTATGAATAGTGACTCTCTAATCTTCTTTATGGTGGACTTTATTTAAGACACTGGTCGCAGTGGCTCATGCCTGTAATCCCAGCACTTTCGGAAGCCAAGGTGGGAGGACTGCTTGAGTCCAAAAGTTCAAGACCAGCCTGGGCGACAAAACGAGACCTCATCTCTACAGAAGAAAAATTAGCAAGGTGTGGTGGCAAGCCCCAATTGTCCTAGCTACTCGAGAGGCTGAGGTGGGAGGATCAACTGAGCCCGGGAGGTTGAGGCTGCAGTATGCCATGATCATGCCACTGTGCTCCAGCCTGGGTGACAGAGTGAGACACTGTCTCAAAAAAAAAAAAAAAAAGAAAGAAAAGCTACTATAAACATCTTTATATGGCCATATATTTGTCTTGGGTAAATACCTGGAAATATAATTCCTGCGTCACAGGATAGGTATATGTTTACTTATATAAGAAACTAACAGACTCTTTCCAAAAGTGTTTGTACCATTTTACACTCCCATCAACAATGTAGGAAATTTTTTGGATGTTTCACACTCTCACCAACATTTGGCATTATCAATTCTTTTAGTTTTAGCTGTTCTGGAGAGTGTGTAATAGTATCCCATGGTGGTTTTAATGTTCAGTTCTTTGATGACTAATAATGTTGATCATTTTTTTCACCATGCTTGGCCACTAATAAATATATCTTCTTTTTTGAAGTATCTGTTTATATCTTTTGCCTATTTTGTGGGGCTCTTTGTGTTCTCATTATTGAGTGTTAGCAGGAATTCTTTATACATCTTAGATACCAGTACTTTATCACTTTATCAGATAGATGTTTTGCAAATATTTTCTCCCAGTCAGTGGTTTGTCTATTTATGTGATAAATTTATGTGATAATGGTCTCTCTCTCTCTTTTTTTTTTGGAGATGGAGTCTCACTCTGTTGCTCAGGCTGGAAGTGCGGTGGCACGATCTTGGCTCACTGCAACCTCCACCCCTGGGTTCAAGCAATCCTGCCTCAGCCTCCTGAAGAGCTGGGACTACAGGATCCCACCACCACACACAGCTAAGTTTTGTATTTTTAGTAGAGACGGGGTTTTGCCATGTTGGCCAGACTGGTCTCAAACTCCTGCCCTCAAGTGATCCACCTGCCTCGGCCTCCCAAAGTGCTGGGATTACAGGCATGAGCCACCGCGCCCAGCCGGTAATGGTCTCTTTTGATGAGCAAAGTTTTGTTTGTGCTTTCATAGACTTTATTGTTTGGAATAGTGTTAGATTTACTGAAAATTGAGATAGTGCAGTTTCCCTATTGTTAACATCTCACACTAGTACGGTATAGTTGTTACAATTAATGAACCAACATTGATATGTTATTATTAACTACACTTTATTCATATTTCCTTAGTTTTTACCTAATGTCCTTTTACTGTTCCAGGATCCCATCCAGCATACCCTATTACATTAAGGTATTATATGTTTGGCTCCCCTTAGCTTTGATGGTTTTTCAGATTTTCCTTGTTTTTAATGACCTTGATGCTTTTGAGGCATGCTGGTCAAGTACATTGTAGGATGTCCTGCTATTGAAATTTGTCTGATGTTTTTTATCATGATGAGACTGAAGTTATGGGTTTCAGGGAAGAAGACCACAGAGGTAAAGTACCATTTTTCATTACCTTATAACTAAGACACATAGTATCAACAAGACTTATTACAGTTGTTGACCTTGATCACCTGGCTGAGGTAGTATTTGTCAAGTTTCTCCACTGTAAAGTTACTCTTTTTCCCCTTTTCCACTCTGTGAGAAGTCTCAATAGTTCACCCTTAAGGAGTGGGGAATTATGCTCCCTATCCTTGAGGATGAAGCAGCTGCATGAATTATTTGAAATTTTTCTGGTCGGCGCAGTGGCTCAAACCTGTAATCCCAGCACTTTGGGAGGCCAAGCCAGGCGGATCACCTGATTTCAGGAGTTTGAGATCAGCCTGGCCAACATGGTGAAACCCCGTGTTCTACTAAAAATACAAAAATTAGCCGGGTGTAGTGGCGGGTGCATGTAATCCCAGTTACTTGGGAGGCTGAGGCAGGAGAATTGCTTGAACCCGGGAGGCAGAGGTTGTCTTGAGCTGACATCGCGCCATTGCACTCCAGCCTGGGTGACAGAGCAAGACTCCATCTCAAAAAAAAAAAAAAAAAAAAAATCCTCATTGGAGATTTGTTTCTAGCAATTTTTACAAATTTTTGATAAAGCCTAATTTATCAAATTATTTCATATGGTTATTGTTTTCTGGGTTCTAATAAATCTTTGCATGCCCCACAGAGTTCTTGCTTGTCTGTATTTTAGGATCCTTGTGTAGTGATAATGCATTGTGTTTGTAATAATGTAAGGCAAGTTTTAATTTTTTTTTTGTTTTTTTTTTTGAGTTGGAGTCTCACTTCGTTGCCAGGCTGGAGTGTAGTGGCACGATCTCGGCTCACTGCAACCTCCGCCTCTCGGGTTCAAGCAATTCTCCTCCCTCAGCCTCCCGAGGGACTACAGGCACGTGCCACCATGCCCAGCTAATTTTTATATTCTTAGTAGAGACGGGGTTTTACCATGTTGGCCAGGATGGTCTCGATCTCTTGACCTCTGCCTGCCTCAGCCTCCCAAAATGCTGGGATTACAGGCGTGAGCCATCGTGCCCGGCCAAGTTTTAAAAATTTAATAAAAATCCATAGCTTTTCAGATGTGGGATTATTGCTCCTACATTTTTGGAATTTTATTCCTAATTCATTTTTAGACAGTTGTGCCAGACCTGATGTTTTGGCAATGCCTTAATAAATTAAAAATAAAAACCCAAATTTTGAAAAACAAAGATATTTTAAAATGCATAGAAGTTTTCCAAAACCATCTCTGGTGCACCAAAATTAACCAATATTTAAAGAATTGCTTTTGAATCAACTGTTGACAGTTCAGTTTTTCTGCTGTCTTCTCACCTGACAGGCTGGTCCTTTCCTACTTGGGGCTAGATCTTCCTTGATAACGTAGGGCCCTGACAGGTCTTCCTGGACACCTCAGATAATTCACTCATTCACTCACTTCATTCAGCAATACTTATTGACCACCTATTATGTTCTAGGCACTGGGGAAGACAGAGAAATAAGTCAGACGCCTACGTCCTTAAGAACTCGATCTATTGGATGACTGCTCAAATTCAGTTGATGGTTATTAATGCTGATTTACTATACATTAAGCATTCTCACATGCAGACTGTATAAAACTTTGCATGTGAAATGGAAGCGACAATGTCAGGCTACAATAGTATGTACACAATGAGTACAAGACAATTTGGAGGAATTTCAATTGTTGAATTCAAGATTTATTAGGTTCTTGGTTTTCCGAGAAGTTAAGTTTGTAAAAGATGTGATAAAGGATTGCATACTGTTAATCTTACTTTTGTTACAGAACTTTCTCAGAAAGGAGTTTAGTTGTATTACAGAAAGTTATCATGGGAAAATCAGTTTTTAAGTCAGAAGAAAAAAAACAAGCAGTATGTAACAGACCCTGCTAGTATCCTACCCAATACCTATTATTATCCCTGTCTTCTTTACTCAGAAAACTCCCTGTCCATTTGGGGCAGCAATATACTCAGCTTCCCATACACATAGCTGGGGGTGGCCACATGACCTAGCTCTAACTAGTGAGGTGTAAGCAGAAGTCTACTGGGTGGTGTTTCTGGAAAGGCTATTGTTTTCCTGATAAAGAAAAAGGGCTTAGTTTACGGGATTCTTTAGCCTCTTGCTATATACCTTTACTCCTTTCCTCCCATGTAGAACACAGACAATGTGCTTGGAAATTGAGCAGCCATTTTATAACCACAAAGATTAAAAACATACATTAAAGAGATGGTAAAGCAGGAAGCTGTAAGCATTTTCTTGAGCATCTGTACCTACCCTGTATTGCCGACATGGGGATTTTTTTGATAAAACAAACAAACACACACAAGAAACACATACCTTGTTGAGCCCTCACCATGGGTTTCTGTTACACACAGTCAAATGCATTCCTAATTGATGGACTACCTCAAAAGGGAAAGGTTTCCAGGGAAAGTATTTTACTTATTATTAGGAGAGGGGAAAACTTTTCCATCAAATTTGAAAAGCTGTGCGATTTCCTGGAAAATGTAGAAAAGCATTTTTTACATTTCTACATATGAAAAAAGAAAAGAACTTTTTTGGTCTGTATCTGCCCATGGTGGAGAGAAGAAATCTAGGAGTGCAGGAGACATAAGCTAACTCCTACCCTCTGACTAGGTGGTTTCCAGATAGTAGGTTTCCCTTACTAGAACGGTGGTCCTAAAATGTATCTTGGCATAGGAGGTCCTTGAGCTGTGCCTTGCAGGAAAAAAATGGTTCCTTGGTCCATAAGTCTGGTAGGTATTGTACATAGAACCCCCTCCTCTTAGAAATTCACAGTGGATATTATGATGTTAAGGGCTCCAGATAAATCCTGTAGTAAAGAAACCTGCTTAACAATATTAAACCCAGCCCCTTCAAAACTTAGTAGCACCTGGAAAATGTATTTGAGAAAATTTCATTAGAGAAATAAAGACAAAAACGTTTAAAAAAAATCAAACCAGCTTAAATCCTCAAAGAACCACAACAGCAGCTACCCTCTGGAAAGGGATCTAGCAATATTTAGAGTGGGTAAAAAAAATGTTTTATTCACACTGCAGATAGAGGGCTATTGATTTAGTGAAGGGAATGAGATTTACAAAGAGCAGTAAGTTAAACATCAGTGAGAAGTAACACAAATTGGGCAGGTGCCATCGGCGTGGTGATCCCTGAGAGGGTATCAGTTGATTCTTCTCTTAAGTTTTCCCAGTACATTTCTTTTCTTTCATTTTTTTGAGTTGGAGTCTTGCTCTGTCACCTAGGCTGGAGTGCAGTGACACGATCTTGGCTCACTGCAACCTCCACTTCCCAGGTTCAAGCGATTCTCCTGCCTCAGCCTCCCGAGTAGCTGGGATTACAGGCATGTACCACCATTCCCGGCTAATTTTTGTATTTTTAGTAGAGACAAGGTTTCACCATGTTGGCCAGGCTGGTCTCAAACTCCTGACCTCAGGTGATCCACTTGCCTCAGCCTCCCAAAGTGCTGGGATTACAGGCGTGAGTCACCGCGCCTGGCCCCAGTACATTTACTTCCTTCTTTCCATCAGTAGATCCAAAAACAGGACTAGGACCCCAAACTGTGGTACAAAATAAACAATAATAACCAATCTGCTTCAAGAAAGATTTCATCTTCCTCTCTCTCTGGAAGAGTTCTTACATTTTAATAATTTATACTTTGACCCAAGAAGGGATAATTTTTCTTCCCATCTTGTGACCCAAATACATAAGCTCTGGTAATCAAACCTATACCAAGGTACCCTCATAGACATACTCACTCTTTGGTTCCACTCAGATATTTCTGCTCTTCCTTTTGATGAGAAGCCACATCTCATCTCATATAGGAAATATCAGCTCTGTAGTTATGGCAAGTAACCCATTAAATGGGTTATTCTGAAAACTTTGGAAAGAGGTGTGGTCAACAGGAAACTTTGGAAAGAGGTGTGGTCACCAACTAATGCATGTAAAAAGTTCTTGATTACAAAAGCTATTTAAAATTGGCCTCTTTAGTCAATGCCACTGGCTATTATCTATTGTATGCATAAACCCAGTTTGGCAGAGAATCAAGTATTTTTTATTGAGTGTTTCTGAGAATCACATCCTCCTTGAATTCTCTTAGGCATTTGACACTGTTGATTGCTTTCTTAATCGTTCTCTTTTTTTATTCAAAGGTTTTTTGTTTTTTAAATAACTATCCTAAATCCCTGTTTCTGAAACTCTCTTCTCCCTCGATGCAATGCCAGAGTCCCAAACTGTTTCCTCCCAATCCATCACTATGGCCATCCCTCGGTGATCAGTTCTTAGCCCTCTGCTTCTCACACTCGAAGGTTTATTCTTTGTCATGATCTTAACTATCACATCTAAGCAGCAGATTCAAATATTGAGTTCTGGTTCCATGATCTATGGCCATACCACCATGAACGTGCCCGATCTCATCTGATTTCCGAAGCTAAGCAGGGTCGGGCCTGATTAGTACTTGAATGGGAGCTCTTATTCCACGTCCAGCTATGCTAAAGTTGAAAACCATTGAAAGGAAGTTCCTGCCCACAGGAATTGTAAGTGATGTTTCGTCATCCATTACTCCATTGACTCTTTGCAACAGCTTTGTCAAATGGGTATTCTTATCCCAATTTATCAACGAGGAAATTGAAGTTCAGAGAGATCAAGTAACTTGTCGAGATCATGCAGCTAGTGAGTATCAGATCAAGGATTCAAAGTCAAGTCCAGTTATCTGATGAAAATTGTTTGTTCTCTCTACTACTCCTTATCACTTCCTTTACCAAAAGCTGGCTTTCATCACATCAATGAAGGAGAGCAGACTCCTGAGTGAAGCATTTCACTTAACCAGCTGGGGATTGTTGGATGAAGGAATAGAAAACGTAAGCAAAGTGAAAGCTCAGAATGTGTCACCTTCCCCTCCTCCCTACATCCAGGTTAGCCTTACAGGCAGGCCAAGTAGTGAGTAGCCCACAGAGTGGAATGTGAAAGATGCTGGTTATGTCTACTTCCCCTCAAAACATCTTTCCAATGCCCTCCCACCACCATTGTTCCTAAAGTCCCCTTGGCCTTTAATTCCTTGGGGTTCCTGTGGCCTCTCAAAGTGGAAATATACCCAGAAGAAGAAACAAAAAACTGAATTACTAACGTATAATCATTCAGAAAATATTTATTAAGCACCAGAATCTGAAGAGGTACTTAAAGCTTCACCAGAATCTGAAGAGGTACTTAAAGCTGAGATAATTGTCTTCTTTTTACAGATGATGAAATTGTGGTTCAGAGAGTCTGAGTGACTCATCCAAGATGACACACCTGAGCCCCATTTTCTGAATCAGAGCTCAGACTTGGGTCTTCTGATTTTCTGTTCTATGCTCTTTCCTTTCTATCGCAGTAACTCAAGGGGTTTATAGGTGGGAACTCAAGACAAACATACATGAATAGTTAAATAACAATTCAAGATAACAGTAGAAGTAATGTTAAAAGACAATAAAAGTGCCCAATGACTGATAGAGACAATAATTACTCTAGGAGTGACCTGGAAGGTCACTGTGGGTAAGAGTCAGCAGAGAAGGCCTCAAACAGGAAGTAGGACTTAAGCCTGGCCTTGGAAACTGAATAGAAAAAGGGCAGCCCAAGAAGAAAGGGAGGGCATTCCAGTGTGGGGGACAGGAAGAATAAAGACGGAGGTGAGAAAATCCAAGTCTTGTTTGGAAAGAGAATGAAAAGACCAATTTAGCTAGAGAAGAGAGACTTTTACTGGGGAATAATGGAAAGTAAGATTCAAAGACCCTCTTGAACTTCTGACAAAAGGATTTTGACTTGTCTTGTGGACAATAGTGAACCATGAAAAAATTTTGAGTAAGACAGTGAAACTCTGAAAGCAGTGTGTGGGTAGACTAATCTGGCAATATGCATTGTAGAGGATGCCTTTCGATGGGAAGAGACTGGAGATAAGGAAGACTAGTTAGGAGCCTATGACAGTCAGGGATAAGGTGACAAAAGCCAGTATTAAAATGGTGGTGCTGAGACTAAAAGGAAGGCCAATTGTAATTGGCAAGATGAAGAAAGAAATGTCAGAACCTGTGAAATAGGGAGAGACAAGAGTTGAACTTGCCTGAGAGTTTTCAAGCCTAGCTGACTTGAAGAAAGAAGACGCCATGAACAGAAATTAGCAAGACAGGTAGAAAAACTGGTTCAGGGAGTTTTGCTTTTGACATCTTGGGGTGGAAGTAACAATGGAAGGTCCAAGTGAAACTGTCTAGTAGGCAATTGAAGATGTAGAGGTGGAGGTTGGGAGAAGGGAAGGCCTAGAATTGAGTTGGCTTGGTATAATGGTATATAATGGAGCCCTGGGAGTCAGGAGACCTGGGACTTTGCCTCTTCTCTGCCACTAACTTACTGAGTCACGGGCAAGCCACCTCTCTGGGCCTGTTTCCTTCACCGTAAAGTGAGGGGGTGCACAGACCCTATATGATCTCTGAGGTACTCTCAAGGACTATGAGTCACCTGCATGTATGTTTTCTCCATGGCAAAATCAATAGTCAGATGAACAAAGGGCATTAAATAATCCCCAAATGCTATGACTCTGTGACCGATCTCAGGAATGCTGTTTACTTAAGGAGCAAAAGAGAAGTCAGCAAAGGAGATAGAAAGTAATCAGAGAGATAAAAGCATGAGGAGAGAAATTCTAAAGCAAGAGGATAAAATAAGGAACTAAAATTAAAAGTATCACAATAAATAAGATAAATATTTACATCAAATAATGACAAAGGGATAGCATGTATATTAAGAATACATTTAGATATATAAGAATACCACTAGGGTGCCAATTAAAGAAAGATGCAAAGAGTAAACATATGGGAAAGAGTTCAATCACATGAGTAATCAAAGAAATGAAAAAAATATCAAAATAATGTTTAATCATCTAAAGAGATTTCTTCTAAAGTCCAATGCTAGCGCTGCAAGGGAACTGGAACAACTCATACGTCATTGTGGTGTTGAAAATTTTTGCAGTCCTTTTGGCAGTCACAATCCATAAAAACATTCATGCTCTTTGGTCTGGTAATCCCACTCCTGGGAATTTGTCCTAGAGACAGAATTACAAAGAAGAAAAAAAGCCATACACATTAAGATGTTCAAAGCACAGAAAAATTGAAATATATCTAAATATTCAATAATAGGGGAATAGTCAAATAAAATGTAATCTACTGACAGGTGTAATTTTATGAGGCAACTGAAATAATAGATATGAAAGACTATAGCAACCAGGGAGAATATTTACAATAAAAGGTTTCTAGGCCAGGCGTGGTAGCTCATGCCTGTAATCCCAGCACTTTGGGAGGCTGAGGTGGGCGGATCACTTGAGGTCAGAAGTTCGAGACCAGCCTGGCCAACATGATGCAACCCTGTCTCTACTAAACATACAAAAATTAGCCAGGCGTGGTGATGTGTGCCTATAATCCCAGCTACTTGGGAGGCTGAGGCAGGAGAATCACTTGAACCTGGGAAGTGAAGGTTGCAGTGAGCCGAGAATTGTGCCACTGCACTACAGCCTGGGCGACAGAGCAACTCCGTCTCAAAAAAAAAGAAAAAAGAAAAGACAAACGGCAGCAGGGTTAAGGTGTCAGTGATAATGCTTTGGTTTTTTTGTTGTTGTTGTTTGTTTTTAAGATGGGATAAAATGGGTGATGGAAGAGACTTGAAATAATGAAGAGAGGTAAACAAAGGAATAAGAAAGGGGACCACCTCTTATTCTGGAACTTCAGGGAAGAAAGGGAGAAAGACAGGGCAAATATAGAGTAGTTATCGTGAATGATAACTGGAAGTTGAAGCGTTAGAGCTTCTCAGTTTCGCAGGAGGCAAGGTAACTCTCTTAAGAGATCACAAGAAGGAGATGAATTTGGGGACTTGTGGAGGTGAAAAAGACAGGAAACAGCTGCTGTGGAATGTTCACTAGGAACACACCAGGCTAAGAGGAATGAGAGCTTAGGCAAAGTTCCAGGATGTGAAGTCTTAGTGGGTCAAGCCAGCCTTGTTCTCTGGCTTCATCTGCAATTTCCTCCAGTCCTAGAAGAAAGGAGATTGGCCTAAGGTGAAAGTCAAGGTGTTTAAAGCTAAAGTGCAAGGGAAGACAGCCCTAAAGTAACAGACCAGAAAGTTCATCTCGATTAAGCATATGGGAGTTAAATAGACTGAGGAAATGGAGGAGGCTGAGTCAGTTGGGATGGAAAGAGCAGCTTTACTGGGTGGGGACAGCAGGTTAGGGGAGGTGATGGGCAAAGAGGCCATGGTCATAGGAATAAAAGGAAGAGAGTGCAGATGAGGAACAGTGTACGCAACAGTGGCTGTGAGACTGGGAGAACTAGTAAGAAGAGGAGAAAAAAGCCGGTTCATTTACTCCTAATGGCAGGAGTCCTGCATAGCAAGAAGGTCCTGGATATCTAGGGAGAAAGTGGGAGCCTTTCAAAAAACAAAAAGGGAAATTCAGGGGAACTGAAGTCATTTTTTTTTCCTTCAGTCCAGCCCCAGCCCTACTCTACAGAGAGAGACGCTTAGAAGCCAATAAGAGTTAGTATCATTAGATAAGTAAGAGATCAGAGACAGGTTAGCAAGGGTGGGAAAAAAAGAAAGGCAAGGCTGGGGTCTGACTCAGGAGACCAACAGGCTGGAAGGTGATTTCAGAGGGAGAAGGCCTGTAAGTGTGAGCCCACCCTTCTCAAGAATGCCTGCCAAGAAATTCTTACTTCCCAAGGCTTAGGGGTTAGCTTCTCAATTTCCAATGCACCCCCCTCCCCTCTGCAACTTGATCCAATAAGCCTGTAAGTGCTAAGATGGCACTGGAAGAGAGAAGCAATGAATGGGTGGGAAACTTTAAAAAGAACCTTCCCAGTCCTAGTGCTCCACCCTGGCCTCAAAGTCCTGAAGCCTGATCTGAAAGAGCTGGTGACAGATTTATCATTTATTTGGGGCAGGACCTAGAGAAAGTGGAGAGATCAGTGAAACACTAGCTCTGGGCGTCAATTCTTGTCACCACCTTCCTCTGCACAAATCTGCTCTACTCCTCAATGCTAGAACTTACAGCCATAGACGTGAGAGCTCCACCCCCTCAGTCTGAGCCATCCACTTGTCCTTTTGTTAAGTACAGGAGAGCTGTCATATACATGTTCTCAGCAAACATCATAAAGAAGGTCCAGTCCCATTCCTGTCCCAAAGGCTGTTATCAGCTAAGGTCCCCACCCTATCACAGGACTTTAATTCATGCTGCACACCAGTTCAACAGTGTCAGGCCCCCAGCTACATGCGGGGACCCTGGCATGCAGGCTCCCTGGGATCACACCCTATTCCAGCATCTTGGTAAGCAAGACTATGCTGTCTTTGAGAGAGAACCAGGAAGTCAGTGTGGGTGCTACATATGGCACATCCTCGGCATCTGTGATATGGAAGTTGCCTCCACTTCCTGATTCTGGTTATCACCATCAGATACGTCAGGCCAATCCTGAGATGACTCTGCCTGATCCACCCCTTCAGCTGAATGCTCTGGTCTGGGTAGAGAAACACATGCTATAGGAGGCTGTGGGGGAAATGGGACAGGGAAAGAGGACTGGGGAAGATTTTCAGGAAGATTGTAGGACCAATGGCCCCAGGAAGGAACAGAAACAACGAGAAAGGAGTAGAAGATTGGCATTGGCTAAAAAGAGTCGGCAACTGAAGGGGTTATGAGAGATGAGGTCACCCATGATATCCCTGCCTCCCTGCAACCCTCAGGGTGAGGGCTTCTCTCCAGAGCCTGGAAAAGAGGAAGAAGCACCTTACCAGGTATCACTATTGGGTTCCCTCACCTCTGCCCTGCACTCATCCCCTTTTCTCTCACTTCCCGGCTTCCCGTGTTACAATCTATCTGCCCTAGGAGTAGAGCAGCTACTGTCCTGGGGGGTGGCCGCCCACCTGCAGCTGCTATCCTCAGGCAGGGACACTAGTGCCAGGGAAGAGGCAGCCGTGCGGGGCTGGGGCTTGCCACCACCACAGAGCTGACGGAGCTGACGTCGATATTTGTCCCCAGTGAGCAAGTAGAGCACAGGATCCAGGCAGCTGTTGGCACTGGCCAGGGGCCGAGTCACTTTATAGACCACGTTGACAATGTTCAGTACTCGGCAGTCAGCTTCCAACAGCCTGGCCAGGTAGTAAATGGTGCGGGTGATGTGGAAAGGCACGAAGCAGACAGCAAAGACAGTCAGCACCACAGCTATGGTGCGGAGAGAGCGGAGGCGAGAAGACGACTGTGCAGAGCCTGGCAAGGGCTGATACAGGCGACGAGCCATGAGTCCATAGCAAACAAGAGTGACCAGGCAGGGCACGCCAAAGAGCAGCCCCATGACCGCCGAGCTGAAGTGCACATAGTGGTCAAACTCTTCAGGCCGAGTGGTGTCATGGCACAGGACGGTGGTCCCTTTGTTGCTGGTTGTGACAAAGAACAGGTTGGGCACGAGGCAGCCGGCTACGACCAACCAAACTGCCAGGCAGAGAAGGCCTGCGAGGCGAGGGCGGCCCCAGCGTAGTGCCCGAAGTGGGTGGCAGATGCCCAGGTAGCGGTGCACGCTGATGCAGGTGAGGAAAAGGACACTGCAGTAGAGGTTCCAATAGAAAAGAAAGCGGACGAACTTGCAGATCTCAGTGCCAAAGGGCCAGTGGTTGTGGGCTGCATAATAGTAGATGAGGGTGGGCAGCGACAGCACATACAAGGTGTCTGACAATGCCAGGTGGAACATGTAGGTGGCCGTTGCATCCCAGGGTCGGAGGCGGAAGATGAAGAGCCATAGGGTTGGGGCGTTAAGGCCCAAGCCCAGCACAAAGACAACTGCATAGCTCACAGGCAGCAGGATGAACTTGAAATCCTCATCAAACCAACAGTCCAGCTCCACCTCACTGCTGCCAGGACCTGGGCTGAGGCCTAGGGATCTCAACAGGGAGGACTCTGTACTGGCCATGGCCCCCCTGGAGATGGGAAGGGGAGAAGTGAGGGTGGCAGGATTTCCCTGCCCACCCCCATCCCTGAGCTGGAGCAAAAAAAGTAGAGCAGGGAGAGCAGTGGTTGAAGCACTAGGGAGAGCTGACAGAAGCGCATCTGGGTGCACTCAGGCTAGCCTGGCCCCTACCCAAGCTCCCTTGGTCCAGCTTGGGAAGTGGTGGGCAGCAGGCAGTGCTGGGGCTCAGGCAGGCAGCCCGTGTATTTGGGTTGTACTCACTCTGCAGCTCACTCTGTCCCTAAGAGCCTGGCTGGCTGAAGAGGGTGGAGGCCTCCCAGCACTATCCAAAGTGGGAAGATACCCAGACCCAAAGTGTCTTCTGACTCGTCATCACAGCTATATCCCTGGAAGAGGAGTGTCTCTCCCCACAGTGCCTTCGCCTCTCCTAGTGCCCTGGTCACAGTGTCTCCAGATGACATTTACCTATGACACCTTCCCCACTGCCTGCCTACAGCCCAGGAGCCCCATTGCCACCCTTGCCCAAGAACGTTGGCACATCTCCTACCTGGTCCCCTTGAAGCTGAGCTCAGCTGACTCTGTCACCCTTCCCCTTGGCAGCCAGAGGGCATATCCAAGGAGGTGGAGTTGGAGGTGGGGCCTGTCCCTCCTCCCACCTGGGAGATTAAAAGAGTTAGAAAGGCCCTTTACGATGACCTAGTCCAACCCACTCATTGTACAGATTGGGAAACTGGGGCCCAGCGAGATTACTATTTAACAGCTTTGAAATGACTGCAGGAGGGAGAACACGAGGAAACATCCAAGTTTACTGATGAAGAGCCAGGTCCCTGGAGATAGATTACAGGGGGATCATACAAGCCTGTGTAAGTGAGCAGAAACATGGGAAACGAATTTTCACATGGGCAAGTGCAAGACAACACATTGAAAGATTTTAGAAAATCTAAACTACTGATATTTAATATAAATCTCATATGCATATAATTACAAAGAATGCTTATATAGCACTTACTATGTGACAGGCATTTTTCTAAGTGCTTTATACTTATTAATGACCCCATAGGCTCTCTATGAGCTAGATACTATTATTGTCTCTGCTTTGCTGATGAAAAAATGAAGGCACAGAAAGTTTAGGTGTCTTGCTAGTTAGTGGTAGAGTCAAGATTTGAACCAAGACAGGCCTGCCTTTGGATCAGGCTCTAGCATCCATAACTTAATTGCTATGCTTAAGTTGCCTCTCTAAGCCACTGGCTATGATCCAGGAAAGAATCAACAAATATTTATGGCAGACAGAGGCAGGCAGATCGCTGGAGCTCAGGAGTTCAAGACAAGCCTGGACAACGTGGCAAAACCCTGTCTCTACAAAAAATTAGTCGGGCGTGGTGGCATGCACCTGATGTCCCAGCTACATGGGGGGCTGAGGCAGGAGGAGTGCTTGAACCTGGGATGTTGAGGCTGCAGTGAGCTGTGATCGCGCCACTGCACTCCAATCTGGGTGACAAAGTGAGACCCTGTCTCAAATATAAATAATTTTTTTAAAACCACGAATATTTACTGAGAGCCTACTTTTGCCTGGTCCAGTTCTAGTTACTGGTAGTTCCTTAGGAGTGGACAAAATAGATAAAAACTCCCACCCTAATGGTGCTTACATACTACTGGGGGATAATAAAATTAATAAGTAAAATATGTAGATTGTGATCATCATTATGGAGAAAAATTAAAGAGGGAAGGAAAAGGGTAATAAAGAGGGAAGGAAAAGGGTAATAGAGAGGGTTGTTGTTTTAAATATTAGGAATGAAACCAGGCACAGTGGCTCACACCTGTAATCCCAGTGCTTTGGGAGTCGGAGATAGGAGGATCACTTGAGCCCAGCAGTTTGAGGTTGCAGTGAACTATGGTCAGACCTCTGCACTCCAGCCTGAATGACAAAGCAAGACCCTGTCTATAAGTAAATAAATAAATATTAAGGGTGACTTTTGAATAAAGGCCAGGTGTTGTGAGAAGGGGAAAAGTAAAAAATGAGGTCAGAGAGTTTGGCAGGGACCAGATCATGAAGGTCCTTGGAGGCCATTGTAAAGGACTCTTTGGTGAACGGGAAGGCACTTAGGGTTTAGAGAAGAGAGGTGTCATCTGACTTACATTTTAGAAGGCTCACTGGCCAGCTCTATATTGAGAATAGACTGCAGGGCTGGAGGTACAGGGGGAAGACCAGTCAAGAGGCTATTGCTGATAGAGATGATGGTAGCTTGGATCACAGTGGTGGAGATGATGAGAAGTGGTCAAATTCTGGATAGACTTTTTTAAGTAGGGACAGCAAGATTTACTGATGTGGGGTATAAGAGAAAGAAGAGTCAAAAATTACTCCAAAATGTCCGGCCTGAGCAACTGGAAGAATAGAGTTACTGTTGACAGAGACAGGAGTGGGTTTAGGGGAAAGATTGGGAGTTCACTTTTCAGCCTGTAAATTTTGAGATGCCTATTATACATGTAAGAGGGGATGGCCAGGAGACAGTTCATGCCTCCTTAAGGATACCAGCCAATACATTTCCCATACAGACTCTACCCCTTTCTATACAGTACCCCTCGTCTCTCTTGATCACTCCCAGAGACTTGGTCTGAATATAGTGGAGAAGGTGCAGAGAGCAAGCCTAGATGTTTGAGAGCCTGGTGTAGGGAATTGCCAGCAGCTCAGGATCTGGGGCTCCTGAAGCCAACTAAGCCTCCGTAAGTATATCTTAGGCACTAGAGGCAAACCCGGTCTGGAGGACTCTGAGGATGAGGTAAGCAGTGCCTTTGGGGAGGGGTGAGCAGGCTGGAGCAGAATCCACTCTGCATGGAGCTGAGAAGCAATGGGGACTCTGAACTTACTTGATCCTCAGGTCCTGAGAATGTCACCCAGCTGGATCCTGGGAGTGAGAGGAGGAGGCGGACTTCTAGAATCTAGAATCTAGATCTCTCGGAAAGCCCAGAAACCTGGATGGGGAAACTGAAGATCCTTGCCCTGTGGCAGAGTAAAGGGTGGAATAAAAGGTAGCAGTGGAGGACACAGTCATAACCTGAGTCCTGGACAGCTGACTACTGTGACATTACATAAGAGGCCCAAGTTTTTGAAGCCAGACGGGCTGGTGTTTAAATCCTTGCTCTTCCACTTATTAGTTATGTGAGCCTGGGCGCCTCTTTGTAACTTCCATTCTTCACCAGTGAAATGGGAATAATAATAATACCAATCTTTTAGGGTTTCCTGAATATTGAATTGGTTAACAGGTGTGGAGCACTTTGTGAACCATAAAATGCTGCAAGTTTAGAAGGTGTTTTTTGTTACTGCTTTGCTCCCAGGAATGAACCTGGCCTCTGCAGAGGTGGACAAGCGTGTTTTGAAGTTTGGTGTACACCCAAGGAGAAGCACTACACTAGAGAAGCCCCAGCCTGAGCCAGCTTCCTGCTCCTACTGCTTCAGGCTGGTTTACCTCTGCTACATTTCTCCTGACTTAGCTCTGCTACGTTTCTGCATGTCCCGACACAGCTGCAGCTGCTGCTGCTGCCACCACTGCCGCCCAGTGGCTATTTCAGGAAAAGACCTCTCCCAACCCTCCCCAACCGGCACACCTGCCTGGCTTTTACTGTCCTCACCCAGGGCCAAGAGGAACGGAATGCAGCAGATCAGCCTCACTCTCTTCTGTGAAACTCTTCTTTACTTTGGTTCCTGTGACTTTGCTTTACTCCGGTTCTCCTCTTCCTCTGGATGTTCCTTCTGGCCCCTTCCCTGGCTCTTTTTTCCCCTACTTCCCCAACATGTGAGCCTTCCCCCAAAGATCCTCTCCTCTCCTCTCTCCTCTCCTCTCCTCTCCTCTCTCTCCCTCTCCACCATCTCTCTCCCCCTACCCCCACCCTCTCTTCCCCTTCTCTCTTGGAACATCCACTCTCATGATTTCAACTATGACTCAGAGGTTATCAAAAATTGTAATGGCCAAGAGACTCCAGCATACAGATCTCTCTCTAATCAAAATGCATCTCTCCTTCTCTCACACTCTTATCACATTTGATTTCTACAGAGATGGCACATACCACAGGCAGCCTAGAATTATACTCATTTGTGTTTTTGGCCATCTCCTCCTGATCCTCCCACCCCCATACCAGAACCAGAGCTCCTTGAGAACATGTACCTCATTTTACCTCTGTCTTTCCCATAGCCTTCCAGGTAAAGTTATTATAACATATGTTCTAGATATTTCCTTTCAAATTATATTCTCTGCTGTCCCCCAAAAAATGCCTTCCAATTCAGAGTTAAGAAAACAAGTACCTTCCACATAGTACATGTTCAATAATAGTTGTTGAGTGAATGAATGACTTAATTATAATTTGTTGAACTGAATGGTTCCCACATCTATAATCTAAGCCCTATATATGTTGTTTGCTATAGGACACACACACTTGGGTATCTCATTGATGTCTGGAATTTAGTATGCAGGAAAAGTTTACTATTTTTTCCCTGACAGAGATAAATAAGATGTACAAATACCATTATTGCTGACACCCTTCCATTGCCCTACTCCTCCAGTTTGTTCCAGTCCTCTCCCTCCTGGCCCTTCACATCTAATATTCGTAATTGTCTTGATGACAGTTTCTTTGCAAGGTTTGCTGTTTCCTTGGGGCTTTAAGAAGGAAAGGGGGAAGAGGCATGATTTCTAATCTCTTTATCTGAGTTAGGAGGAAAGGAACGAAGGAAGGGAGAGAAGGAGGGAAGGAGGGAGGGAGGGGAGAAAGGAGGAATAAAGGTAGGAAGGGAGGGAGAGGGAAGAAAATGAGGGAGGGAAGGTAAGTGATATAGTGGAAAAAATGCAGGCTTGGAGTCAGACAGACCTAGGGTTGAACTCTGGCTCCATCGCCTGCCGGCTATGACTATGGATAAGTCTTTCTGAACCTCCATTTCCTCATATGTAGAATGAGGATGCTAGCACCTAGCTTGTTGTGAGAAGACAATGAAGCAATGCATGTAAGGAACCCAGCAGAGTGCCCTCATTGTCGTTATTGAGAATTAAAGTATACGTGTATTTGGAAGGTGTGAGGTCCACTCCAATTGGCTGAATTTTCTTTATGAAGTGAACAAATGGAATTACCTGCTGAGAGTAAGTGGAACACGAAAGTCACTCAATCTCAATGGAAAGGAGTAGTGATCTGAAGCCCTGGATGTCTAAACTTACTAATAAAATCATTGGGAAGTGACTGGCTTCACATAGTTGTACACAAGTTAACTTTGTCCATATGTATTCTCTGTAGTGTGCCCTTTTTGTCTTTCTACATGTCCAACTTTATCTCCAGCAAGGCTGTTAACAACCTTAGAGTGGAGACCAGGACTAGTTTGTTCAGCACCTAGGACAGCACAGGAAATCTGTTTCTGCGATTTAATCCATCTATCTCCGTTCCGTCCTCCCCCACTGAGCTAATGCCTCATCCACATCCCACTTGAATCTTTTGCTATGTTTTCAGTTGCAATAACAGAAAATCCCAACTTAGATGACTGTTTTTAAAAAAGGAAATATATTATCTTGCATATAAGTTCAGTAGTGGGTGGCTTTGGAGCTGATTAATTCAGCAGTTCAACAATGTCATTAAAAAATCCTGATTCTTTCCATCTTTCTGATTTGCAAACCTCAGCATGTTATTTAGCAACTTTCATGGTCACAAGGTGGCTATTGCCGGTCAGGCATTGTTTCCAGACATGGCAATATTCAATGGTAAAAGAGGAAGGCCTCTTCCTGTATGCTTATTTTTATCATTCAAGAAAACTTTCCCAGAATCTCTCCAGCATACCTCCTCTCACATCACAGTGGCCTGAATTTCACCATGCCTATAACTAGGCTGATCACTGGCAAGGGGGATAAAACGACCATGACTGGCATAGAGGAGCACAGACTCATGCGGAGGAGGATGAATTACCTTAAAAATGGGGATTCTTTCCACAAGGAGGAAGAGGGAGATGACTATTGAGTTGGTAAGCAATTCTGTCTGCTACAACCTTTTACTGAATAACCCACTCCTTCCTCATGCAGACATCTGATCATCATTTTCTAACTGGAAGGTCTGGTTGGGGATATCATCCGGGTGTACAGAATGAGGGTGGGTAAGGACCTAAAAATATTTCTTCCACCCATGTATTATAGGGGCCAGAAACTCCATTAGCTATGCATTCCTTTGCCTACTTACTGTTGCATCCTTGTAAAATGCAAGTATTCCAGGTCAAAGCAAAACTGGTGACAGTTCTCTTTGGGAAGCTACTAACTGGAAAGAGGCACAAAGAAATTTTCTGGGGGGATGGAAATGTTCTATATCTTAACCTGGGTGGTCGTTATATGCGCGTTTACGCAGGTGTATTAGTTTCCTATGGATGCTGTAATAAATTACCACAGACTTGGTGACTTAAAACAATGCACAGTTCTTCTCTTACAGTTCTGGAGGTCAGAAGTCCAAAATCAGTTTCAATGGACCAAAATCAAGGTTTCAGCAGGGCCATGCCTGAGCAGGAACAGCCATCTTGCAGCCATGAGAGACTTTAGGGGAGAATCGATTTCTTTGTCTTTTCCAGTTTCTAGAGCTGTATTCCTTGCATTCCTTAGCTCATGGCCCCTTCCTCCGTCTTCAAAGCCAGCAGCCTAACATCTTGCTTCAGGCCTCATATTTCCTCCTATCTCAGAGTCAAAACTCTCTCTGCCCCTCTCTCATAAAGAGACTGGTGATTACATTAGGGCCCACCTGGATAATCCAGAATGATCTCCCTATTTCAACATCCTTAATTTATTCACATCTGCAAAGTCTCTTTTTCATATAAGGTAATGTTCATCGGTTCCCAGGATTAAGACCTGACATCTTTGGGGGCATAATTCAGCTTGCCACAGTAGGTAAAAATTCATTGAGCTGCAGTTAAGATTTGTGAATTTTACCTCAGTCAAGAAATGCACAAACTTCTGGAAAAGAGTAATGATTTACATTCCATCATAATAATGAATTAAAGACCTAGCAGATCTACTCTTTTCCTACCGAGAGGCCCATGGATCTGAGTAGAAAGAGAAGATAAGCGGGATTGAGTACCTAAAAGGGAGGTAGGAGCCTCGAGTGTGGGTCTAAAGACAAAAACAGGCTGACCACTAGTCATTCTAGAGATCTGGGAAAGGTTTCCTGAATGATGAAAATAAGCATACAAGAAGAGAGGCCTTCCTTTCCTGCCATTGAATATTGCCATGTCTGGCATGAAAAGTAGATTCATTCTGACTTTTCGCCTTCCTCGCAGACACCAACCTTGGCATGTATACAAATCTTTCCTGTATGTCCAGCATCAGTTCCTATCCCACTGTGGTACCTGCAGAATCTGGGCTTCTTGCACTATCTGAAAGCCCCTGAGAAGGAGAGAGTTATAGTAACTAAACAACCAGGCCCTGAGATGCATATTGGCTAGGAATGGCAGGGGCTG
Organism: Homo sapiens; assembly: GCF_000001405.40. Lineage (NCBI taxonomy): Eukaryota > Metazoa > Chordata > Mammalia > Primates > Hominidae > Homo > Homo sapiens. The sequence goes on from NC_000023.11 coordinate 70,267,084, forward strand.
ACACTGTGAACTGTGCAAAGAGAATATGGGACAGCTGTCCAGGGCCCTCAGTGAGGGGCAGGAGTTAGGGAAGGCCCTGCCCAGCCCTCTGAGCCATAGCCATAGCCATCCTCTGAGGAATGGACACCCCATTGTGGGGGTTGGGGTTGAGGGCTGTGTCTATAGATAACTACTAATGTCCAGACTGCTGTAAGGGGAGGTGAAGGAGGTCAGAGTCCTGAAACCCCAGAGCTTATAGATTCTGTCTCTACATTTTCTATGCCCGTGAAGCCTGAGCCTAGGCCCTGTGGGAAGGACAGTCAAGAAAGGAAGATTACTTTGTTGTTGCTGTTGTGGGGGTCCTGGCAGCTGAAGAGACAGAAATATCTCTAATTCCATGAGCGGTCATACGAGGCAAGAGAAGCTGCTTAGAGCATGGACTTAGTTAGTTTCAGGGATTGGACAGAGTCAAGAGCTGGGGTGAGGAGGTTTACCCTCGGTAGGGGTGACACAGATGTCAACCGCCTATTCCCTCCACATGCATGTCCTGCCAGAAGAACCTGTCCCTGGGCTGGGAATCTTATATTACCTTCCTCTCCAATGAGAAGAGAAGTTCAAGGCTCACAGACATGTGCATACACAGCTCAATGCACTCAGATCCCCCTCCACCACTCCTGCCCCCACTACCTACAGGAGATTGACTCCTGCTGTGCACATAAGCTGGGATAATCAGGGTTTCTAAACATCAGCTTCAAAAGTCCAATGTCCCAAAGTGGTGGGGGGCTGGGGACGAGGTACTCTTTCCCATACCCTTGGCTTTTGTGTGGCCTGGAGCCGCTGATATAGAGATTGGAGTGGGACACGAGGTATTCCTTTCAAAAACACAAAGGCCTATACTTTGAGCCCTCCCATTTCAATCCCCCACCATGCTTCACCTTTAAGACCTCCAACTCCACTTTGATCCCAGTTCTCAGGTTCAAGGCCTCACAAGGCCAAAATCCTGAAGTTACCCTTCTCAAACTCCCTTGCCTTTAACATCATCAGAATCAACCTCCTACCCCCACTCTGTCCCAGCAGCAATAGCCTGCTAATCTTTTAGCCACTAATCTTTTAGGCACTAATCTGCTTTCCAAACTCTTGGCACCTGAACTATTTATAGCAGTGTTTTATGCCCCCCCACCAAGAACCCTATTCTTTTCCCATGACCCCCACCAATCAAAACACTCAGAGGACTGTGGGTATAAGAGGCTGGGGAGGCAGGCATAGCAACCAGAGCTGGAGACTGATGTGAACTTCATCTCTCTCCCCAGGTAATATTCCAAAGCCCTCTACTTCTAGCCCATACTAAGCCCTATATCCCTTGCTCTTAGCATCCCTCTTAATATATCAGGCAGCAGTTGAGGGACACCCTTCCTGACATAGCCTATAGACATTCAGGCCTAGAGACCCTCCAAAGACCTCTGGAAGCTCCCCTAAGCTCACCCCCTGGGCCAGGCTCAGTAAGCATCAAAGGAAAGCACTAGAGAGACATCTCCCTCTCTCTAAGGATTCCCATCCAAAGGCCTAGCCCCTGGGGACCTGGATGGGGATAAGGATGGGAAAATCTAGGAAAGGCAATGAGAGGGATGAGTTGGTTCAAGGAGGACTTTCAACCTCCATAGAGACTTCTGTCACCAAAAACTGAGAGCATGAAGGCACCAACCCCTTCTCTCTCACACTTTTCTCCCTTCTTTGTTGAGAGTCAAGGGCATCATGAGGTGAACTCAGGTTCAGGATCCATTGCAGGAGCAGAAGGAGACAGAATCCATTGATTTGTCCATTCATTCATTCATTCATTCATTCATTCATGTATCCAACAAACATGTCTTGGCACCTAGTGTGTGCCAGGGGATGTCTAGCCTCATACAGACCAAGAAACACATTTTTCTCACACTTTTCTGGATGGAAGCCTCTGTCCAGCCTCTTTCCAGAGAAGTTCCTTCTCTCTCAGGGTTCTCAAGAGTTCCCCAGCCATTCTAGGAAGTTTGGCCCTTTCTGGAGAATACATAGTATGGTTAGTCAATGATTTGTACAAAATAGGAAGGTTTTTTTCCCCTCTTGCCCAAGATGGGCAAGAATATGGCTGAAGAAGTACCCTTGGCAGAAGGGAGAATAGGAGGTACTTGATGTGGGTGAGGTGTCTGTCTAAGGAGGAAAGGTTACATCACACTAGGTGTATATGGATGGTATGCTGGAGTGGGGTGAGAAGAATAGAAATGAAATGATTGAGCCTTTCTTCTTTCCCTTTTCCCAGAAAAGGCTCAACATCAACTATATAGCCAACATGTCCAAGTAAGAATTCCTTCTAATCCTCTGAACCTGTGAATTGCTCCCTACCCCAATCCAAGTATTTCCCTTTGGGGTAGGGGGATTTCCAATTTCTCCCTAACTTGTGTCCTTGGATTCTACCCCAATTATCCCTACCTTTGCCCCATCCTATGCTCCTGGAGCCTCTTCTCCTAATCCTAAGAATATTTCTTTTTCTCCCCAATTCCCTTATTTCCTCTTCCCTGCACTTCCAATCCCCCTCTCCATCCTCTTTCTGGTTTTCTCCTCATAGGGTGTTTAAGAAGACCAGCTCCAATGGGAAGGTGAGAGAACCTGGCCCAGCTGGGCAAATGAGAGGGCAAAAGGGATAGGTGGGTACATCCTTCAAGGTCTCAGGGGTCTGGGTTGGGGGTTTCAGGGGAATCCATTCAAAAATGATTGTGAGAATAACATGGGAAGTTGTTCCACAACAGCTCTCCATCTACCTGGGGAAACGGGACTTCGTGGACCATGTGGACACGGTGGAACCCATTGGTCAGTGAGTCCAAAAAAGGGAAGCCTGGGGAAAGAGGAATGGAAACTAGGGAGTAAAAGAAAGTCCAGGAAAGACCGTGCAGAAAAGGAGGCAAATTAAAGGGAAGAATAGGAAGAACCATTTCAGGGATCATCCTCTGTTTCATAGTCTGAGAGTTTTTCCTGACCAAAGTGCTGTCTGTCCTTCTCTCCACAGACGGTGTTGTCCTGGTTGATCCTGAGTACTTAAAATGTCGAAAGTGTAAGTGGAAATCCTTGTTGGTCTTTGTATGTTTCAGACAGGTAACCCGATGAGTGGATTGCACCAGAGTACAACAAAACCAGAAAGTGGCAGGAACTGCGAATGCCTTCTCTGGTGGAGGCTGACAACTGGGAATTCCAGCCCAGTGTGGCCAAATTTTCTAATTGTTAATGAGGAGCTGTAAACGAAGCTCAAAATAAGACTTTTAGAGGCCCAAAGTGTGAAAAGATTATGGTGCCCCCTTACCCAAATAATATTCAAAGTAAATATCTAAAGCATAAATTAAATTTTATTTTTCAAAATTACACAAAACTTACACTTGTGCTGAAATTAAAATAGCTTCTTTCAGAATTTCAGATTTTCTCTATTATTACTGGTGGTGCCCCTGCTTGGCTATTGATCTGGATCTTAGACTGCCTATAGAATGATCCAGTAAGTCAGAAATCCATATTTTAAGGCAAATTTCCTGATTTTCAAATGTCAGCAACTCACTAAAAGACTTTAGAAGCCTGGATAGATTATAAACTTTTTTTTTTTTTCTGTTGGCTAGATGTGACTTTCAGGCTGTCATTTTGTAACCTCTGGTATACGTCTTTCCATCTCCTTTTTTTGTGTAGGGAAACTGGCTGACCTTTTATTCAAGAAAAAAAAATCCCAAACAAAGAAACAAAACAACAACCATAGGAAGTAACACTAAGAAACATTACTCTGGCAGCAGTATTACAGATCAAGATTATGCTGATTTTTTTTTTTTGCTGCTTTTTTTCCTTTTAATTCTCACTATGGATTAACCCCACTGTGATCCAACTAGACTGAAAATTGGGTTTGATTTGAAAAAGGCTCTGAATGGGTTGATGAATACTAGTTCAGATGTAACTGTTAGATATTGGAGAATAAAGTAGCCTAAATCTCTCAGATTAAGCAGTGTAAATAAGCAATCAAATCGGTTTTAAGTATCAGAGGAACTTTGGGATAGACTCATAAATTAACCAACTTATTTAAGGTTCCCAAGTATTCTATATTTCTAAAACCTAAATCATTTTTTCACATTTCTACAAAATCTTCACAAGCTATGGAAAGAAATCTTTAGTTAAAAATATATGTTGTTCCAGGAAGAGATGCATTTTTCCTTTTATTCTAATCTTCTTTTATGTCCCCTTAGTAGAGTTTTATATTACTTTTCATTTAAGTTGTGCATATTTCTTGTTTATTCTTAGTTTTTCAATATGGTTTGTTACCTCTGTGAAGATTGTCTTGTTTGCATCATATTTTCTAATGTGTTTTTCTATCAAGGTACATTTGTGGATGTAAAATATGCTTACCCTATACTGTGGAGTGATAAAGGCCAGTGATAGGGCAGTATATGTGGTGGTGTGAACGAATTGTTGTTTAACAAAAATCTATCTGGAATCTCTCTCTGTATTATTTCTTACAACTGCATGTGACTCTACAATGATCTCAAAATACAAAGTTTAACTTCAAAAAGGCAATGAGAGAAAAGTAAAAAATACCTAAGGTGGCCTTGTGTTCAATTATAGCAACAGACAAAGTTGAGAAGCACACATAACAGGTATTAACAGTAGTTATCTGTGGAACATGATATATTATGGTGGAGCTTTGATTTGTCTTTTTGTTTGTATTTTCTGATGTTCAGACAATTAACATATATTTTGTAGAATAAACACAACTATACATTAATAACTTTAAAATAGATACTGACTTTAAAAGAAAATAAAAACAAGCTATTTCCTAGCATGCAAAAAAAAGGACGATTCTAAACTGCTAGAGAGCCAATTAGAGCTTCAGTTGGGGGTAGGAGTTGCGTGATGCAGTTGATGTCTTAGTCTGCTGCCTTCCCAACACAGGAACAGAAAGCGATTCCAAGAACAAGTCATCTGATTAACGTCCTTACCTCAGGTGCTACTAGATCCCCTTCTGCCTCGCCCATCCTGACCTTTTTTTCTGTCTCATTCCTCATCTTTTTCATTTCTTCTCTCACCCTGCCTCCTACCAGCCACCTCTTTTCCTCTCCTTTTTACTTTCTGTCTTTTTCCTTTCCTTTGTGCCTTATTTTCCTTTCTTTCTCTCTCCTTTCTCTCACTATAATTGGCCATAATTGAGAACCAAGGTGAATCTATTTGCTGTATCTTTGAAAATTATTAGGTTTGTCTCCATTGTAGAAAAATTAGAAAACATAGATGAAGGAGAGACTGTGTAACCTTACCATCTTTAATCACTAATCTTTTGATCTTATTTATTCATATTTTCTGTGCAAACATATCTATATTTTCACTAAAAATGCTATACTAAAAATAATATTTTACATTTTTTAAACCTATGTCAATATACACAAATCTATAACTTTTTAAGTTGCCTAGTACTATATCATATGGGGATACCACAACGCCCTGTAATGCACATCCTTTTCATACTTGTTCAATTATTTCTTTCTAAGTGCCTAGAAGAGGAATTAATGGCCAAAAGGCATTCACACATTTTTAAAGCTTTCTATACCTATTGTCAAATTGCCCTCTAAAATGCTTATACCAATTAAATCTCACTCCTGCAGTGCATGAGTCTTCTCATATTGCCCCAGTCCTTATAAACACTGATATTATCAATACTTTCAGGCTTTGCTATATCTTTTGAATATAGGTTCATTTTTCTCATTCTCAATTTTAAAAGCAAATAATCTGGTGTTTGATGTTTTGAGTTCTTAAAAATACTAAAATAAGTTGCTTTCTACTCAAGTGCTGCTGTTGGTAGTTTTTATTTTTTCTTTGGGTCAGAGCCCCTGATAGAAATAAGGTTATCCATTCCTGTTCTACATCTTTCCTTGCCTCAACCTCTGTCACCCTGTACTTGGACAGGTATCCCTCTCTACTCCATTCTATATTCCATTAGCGCATTTCAGATGATTTCTATCCGCCTCTCACTTGATTTCTTTCAAATCTTAGATACCTGTTACAAAGTATGAGTTCAATTATAACTCTTCCATTTCTGTCAATATCATCATCATCACCATCATCATCCACATCTATAATTATTTTGAAGTTTCCGAAAGGATTCCTTTTTTTTTTTTTTTTTTTTTTTTTGAGATGGAGACTTGCTCTGTCGCCCAGGCTGGAGTGCAGTGGTGCGATGTCAGCTCACAGCAACCTCCACCTCCTGGGTTCAAGCGATTCTCCTGCCTCAGCCTCCTGAGTAGCTAGGATTACAGGTGCCCACCACCACGCCCGGTTAATTTTTGTGTTTTTAGTAAAGACAGGGTTTCACCATGTGGGCCAGGCTGGACTCGAACTCCTGACCTCAGCCTATCCACCCGCCTGGGCCTCCCAAAGTGCTGGGATTACAGGCGTGAGCCACTGTGCCCGGCCTCCAAAGGGATTTCGAATACATCAGCTCCTCACAACTGTCCTATGAGTTAAGTTGAGCACCTATGAGCCTGAGCTTTGGAGTCAGACAGGCCTGGGTTGAAATCCTGAACCATTGCTTAATAGCTCTGAGCTCACTTTCTTTGCCTCTAAAGTGGAGATAATAATACTTCAGAGGGTTGTTTTGAGGTCTAAATGGCATATGTAGGGTTACTAGAGCAGTCCTATTATTGACAGGTGTAATAACTGAGACCCAGAGAAATCAAGGGATTTGTGCAAGTCCTATTCAAGTCCAGGTATTCTGACCCTAAATATTATTGTTTCTCTTTTTCATGATAAAATATTTATCAAGGCATACAGAATTATATAATGAATACCCTGTACTCATCACCAAGCTTTAAAAAGAATTACAGAAACAAACTAAAGCCTCCTGTGTGTCCTTCCCTGATCCAGTTTGCCTCCCTCCCTCCCTACTTAACCCTTCTCCTCTTTCTCTCCTCCCTCCCCAGATAACGACTACCCTGAATTTGGTGTTTATTATTCTCTTGATGGCTCCATACTTCTACTCCATATTTATGTGTCTATGATCAACTTTGATATTGTCCTACATGCTTTTAAACTTTATATAACCGGTAACATACTGTACCTATCATTCTGCAGCTAGATTTTTTGTTCAGTAGCTTTTTTTTTTTTTTTTTTCTGAGACAGAGACTCACTCTGTCACCCCCACTGGAGGGCAGTGGTGCAATCTCAGCTCACTGCAACCTCCGCCTCCCGAGTTCAAGCGATTCTCCTGCCTCAGCCTCCTGAGTAGCTGGAATTACAGGTGTATGCCACCATGCCCAGCTAATTTTTGTATTTTAGTAGAGACGGGTTATCACCATGTTGGCCAGGCTGGTCTCGAACTCCTGTCCTCAAGCGATCTGTCCACCTAGGCCTCCCAAAGAGCTGGGATTACAGGCGTGAGCTACCACGCCCAGCCTTGTTCAATAGCTTTTGAGATTTAACCTTGTTGGCACAGGTCTTAGTCTGTTTGTGCTGCCACAGCAAAATACCTGAGACTAGGTAATTTATAAAGAACAGATATTTATTTTCTCACAATTCTGAAAGCTGGGAAGTCTAAGATCAAGGCTCTAGCAGGTTCTGTTGTCTGATGACGGCTGCTCTCTGCTTCCAAGATGGTGCCTTATTGCTGCATCCTCCAGAGGGGAGAAACATTGTGTCCTCACATGGTGGAAGGTGGAAGGGCAAAAGGTCTCCTTTATAAGGGTCTTAATCCCATTCATAAAGGAATTCATGAACAAAGAAGCCCCATGATCTAATCACCTCTTAATGGCCATCTTAATACCATCACAATGACCATCAAGTTTCAACTCCTGAGTTATGGAGAGGCCACATACAAACCATAGGGCATTCTTTGAAGTTCTAGCTCATTTATTTTAACCTTGGTTTAGTATTCCATTATGTGAATATACCACAAATTTTTTATCCATTCTCCTGTTGATAGATTTTTAGATTATCTCCAGTTTTATGTTCTGACAAACGTTGATGCGACGGCCATTATCATATGTATCTCTCCTGAACAAAAGCTCCTTTAAAGTCAACTTATTAGCTCATACTCTACGAGCAGATTTAATTTTACTGGATAATCCCAAATAGTCTTCCAAATTGGTTGCATTAATACTCCCACCAGCAGTATGTAAGAACTCCTTTTGCTCCACATCTTCATCAACACGTAGTGTTGTCACATTTAAAATTTTTTGACAATCTCATGGGTGTGAAATCTTATCTCGTTGTGGTTTTAATTTGCATTTATCTGATTACTCACGAGACTAAACATGTTTTCATATGTTATTGGCCATTCCTTCACACACTTTGCACACTTCTGCAAGGGCCTATTCACATTCTTTGCACAGTTTTATACTGGCATTATTGTTGATGTGTGGGAGTCCTTATATATTTTGGACTCTAAACTTCAGTGTGTTATATGTGTTGCAAAGATTTTCTCCCAGGCTTTCCATTTTTTTCTTTGTTTATAAAGACTTTGAATATAAAGAAGACTTTATAAAGACTTTTAACATAAATTTTACTGCAGTCAAATGTATTAAGAATCTTTTCATTTGTGCCCATAGCCTTCAATCTTTTTTTTTTTTTTTTTTTTTTTTTTTTGAGACAGAGTCTTGCTCTGTTGCCCAGGCTGGAGGGCAGTGACACGATCTCGGCTCACTGCAAGCTCTGCCTCCTGGGTTCACGCCATTCTCCTGCCTCAGCCTCCCAAGTAGCTGGGACTACAGGCGCCCACTACCACCAAGCCAGGCTAATACTTTGTATTTTTTTTTTAGTAGAGATGGGGTTTCACTGTGTTAGCCAGGGTGGTTTCTATCTCCTGACCTCGTGATCCACCCACCTCGGCCTCCCAAAGTGCTGGGATTACAGGCGTGAGCCACCGCGCCCAGCCAGCCTTCGATCATATTACATCACCTCTCTGTGTCTTCTTGACCCAGTTAAGATTCCCCTTCCCACTCAGGCCTGACAGACCACTCTCTTCCTCCTATGCCTGCAGTGTTTGTCATGTTGACATGTGCCTTTCGCTATGGCCGTGATGACTTGGAAGTGATTGGTCTGACGTTCCGAAAAGATCTGTATGTGCAGACCCTGCAAGTGGTCCCAGCTGAATCCAGCAGCCCTCAGGGGCCCCTCACAGTCCTACAGGAGCGACTACTGCACAAGCTAGGGGACAATGCCTACCCCTTTACCCTGCAGGTACTGACCCCAAGCCCTGGGCAGGCAAGGTCTCCAGGGAAGATTAAGAGAGGAAGCTCAAGAAGGACAACAAGGGAGAGGGTTCCCCATTTCTTTTGTATTTGTTTGTATTCTTTTCTACTTCTTTTCTGATCTCCTTTTTGTCCCCTAGATGGTGACCAACCTGCCCTGTTCTGTGACACTGCAGCCAGGTCCTGAAGATGCAGGAAAGGTGAGGACTGGGTTCTAAGAAAGAGGGATAGGTAGTGCCAGGGAAGAGGAACAGTGGGACAGTCAAGACTGGAGAAATGGACAGCTAAGGAAAGAGGTCAGGCATTTTCTTATAGGCCCATGAGGAAGGGAGGACAGCACTGGAAATGAGCTCTCTTTGCCCTTGTCCCTTTACAGCCCTGTGGGATTGACTTTGAAGTGAAGAGTTTCTGTGCTGAAAACCCAGAGGAGACAGTCTCCAAGAGGTATTCTTTGGTTGTCCCCAAAAATCCCTGCCTCCAGCCTCTGCCAGGAAACAGATCCTGCTCTCATGACAGAAATAGCCCCACTTCTAACCTCCACAGCCTCATCGCCACCAGTGACACCCGGTTCTGAGTCCCCTCTGACTTACCTTCTTTGATCTAGGGCAGGGGTCAGCAAACTTTTCTGTAATGGGCCAAAAAAAGAAATATTTGGCTTTTTGAGCCCTATAGTCTCCGTTGCAACTACTCAACTCTGCCGTTGTAGTGCAATCGCAGCCACAGATAGTATAGAAATGAATGAGTGTGGCTGTGTGTCCAATAGAACTTTACTTATGGACACTGAAATTTGAATTTCATGTAATGTCCACATGTCACAAAATAGCATTGTTCTTTGATTTATTTCAACCATTTACAAATGTAATATAACCATTCTCAGCTTGTGGGCCATAGGAAAACAGGCATCAGGCCAGATTTGGCCAGTGGGCCATAGTTTAATAACCTTTGGTCTACATGCTTACATTAAGGGACTAGAGGAGTTCTCTGAGGGAGGCCTTCCCCTGCTCCCATTCTTAAGCAACAATTGGACTATGGGGGTGGCATGGGAGAGGTCTGTGGGTCTGAAAGGAGGACGCTCTGGCTAATCTCTTGGTCTCTGCTCAGAGACTATGTGCGGCTGGTTGTCCGGAAAGTACAATTTGCACCACCGGAGGCAGGCCCTGGCCCCTCAGCCCAGACCATCCGCCGCTTCCTTCTGTCAGCTCAGCCCCTACAACTCCAGGCCTGGATGGACAGGGAGGTTTGTGACCCCCACTTTTTGCCTCCCACCCCAGAACCCCTCTGATGCCCTTTCTTCACTGATTTCCTACTTGGGCAGGCAGAGATGGGAGCCAGGGTGGCAATAGCGCTAAGGAAGCAGGGGTTCTAGGTCTCCATCTGCGTATTCGTCCTCCAGCCTTGACATGGGTCCCCGCTCCTGCTTTAGGTTCACTACCACGGAGAACCCATCTCTGTCAATGTTTCTATCAACAACTGCACCAACAAGGTCATCAAAAAAATCAAGATTTCAGGTGAGTTTCTTTTCCCATCCCTGTGCACCTGGTCCCAAAGCCACAGGTCTTTTCCCAAAATTCTATCTCACTTACCTGTCTGCATTCATCTAGGCTTTCCCTCTAACATGGGCTTGTCAAAATGCATATCTTGTTTTGTCAATGAGCATGTCTCACTGCATCATGTATAGTGTGCCTATGTATAAGGTCACATCTAAGGACACTGAGCTGGGGTCTCAAGGATGACTGACTGATTATAATCATGTGCTTTTCCTGGCTTGTTCAGTTGACCAGATCACAGATGTTGTCCTGTATTCACTAGACAAGTACACCAAGACTGTGTTCATTCAGGAATTCACGTGAGCTGGTGCTGGGGCTAGGACCAGAGAGCCAAGGGGTGGGGTGGTGGGAAGAGGTCCAGGAGGCAGTTGAGGGGGTAGAGTGGGGGAGAAGAGTGGTGGAAGATTCCAGGGAGGGATTCCCAGGAGAACTAGATGGAGGGGATGCAACTTACCCCCAGGAGTCCCATCACGATGCTGAGCGAGGGCAGGGGCATAAGGATTTCCCACCAGAACTAATTTCTCCCAGTCTTCAGTTAAACATGTTACCTCTCTTGGATACTCCAGTAGGTTCTTGTATAATCTTGTACAAGATACTCTTGGGAGTAAAAGTATGCTTAGTCAGCAAGCCCAGCCTAAATTCTTCTCTTGTTCTTCTTTTGTAGGGAGACTGTAGCTGCTAATTCCAGCTTCTCCCAGAGCTTTGCAGTAACCCCAATCCTGGCTGCCAGCTGCCAGAAACGGGGCCTGGCACTGGATGGCAAACTTAAGCATGAAGATACCAACCTGGCCTCTAGCACAATGTAAGCTCAAATATAACTCTCAGCCTCCATTTCCTACCCCTCAACCATTCCACATGCTACATTTACAGCTCTGAGGTTTCATGTTCAGTAAAGCCTACCTGTTTTTTAAAGTGTCTCTAGGGCAGTGTTCAGAGACTCCTCCAGGCCTAAAGGCCTGCAGCAAGCTCAATAATGCCTGTGGGACCAACGGCAGGCTTAGGTCAGCGGCAGAAAAAAAGGAAAACATGGAGAGGAAAACAATCCTTATGTTGTATAAGATTTCACAGTTCACAAAGGTCCGACATATGTACTATGCTATCTTTGTGAGAATCCCACTAAAGTAGCCTGGACAGGTGTTCTTATTCCCTTTTACACTTAAGGACCCTGAGGCTCAGAGAGAAGAAGGAACTCACTTAAAGTGGCATAGCTGATAAGTGGTAGATGTAGACAGGATTATATCACATGTCATCTGGCTCTGAATACTGTGATCTCTACAGAAGCTACTCTCTAGAAAAAATAAAGATGGAGTAGAAGACTAGGAGATGAGAAATGGAGGAAAAGGAGGACAAAAAAGGAAAATGATGCAACAGGAATTAATAGAATTCTAGGAAGTCATTCACTTGGTCCTGTGCCTTCGGAGGCCCTAGTGTTAGATGTGTCTTCCACCAAAAACCACCTGCCACCATCTGTCAAGTGTAATCCCTCCATCTCTCCATACGTCTTTTCAATCAAGTAGCTATAGACTGTTATTGCTAGAAATACCCTTAGAAATCATCCAAACTGCATTATTTTATATGTAAGAGATCAGCAGCCCAGAGCAATGAAGAGATTTTCTCAAGCTCATGCAGCTTTCGCTGTCTTATTTTTCAATCAGTGGGTTTTTTACTGAACCCCTATTACATGCTCTTTCCTATGCTAAGCAATGTGGAGAATATAAAGAAGTTTAAGACAGTCTCTGCCTTCAGTCAATTTATGGCCTAGATGAGGAACGAAGAGAGATGCAAATACAACCCAACAGTTAAATGTTAGTACACGTGGTTCAGAGTAAATCGCAACAAAGTTAAAAGAAGCCAGGAGAGCTGGTGAGGGCTTCCTGGAGGAGGTAGAATGAGCTAGATCTTGAAGAATGTGAAGGATCTGGATACCAACAGAGGAAAAAAAGGAGCACTGTAGACTAGGGACACAGCATGGGCAAAGGCTAGAAGGTGGGAATCCACATGGCATGTTCTGATCACGGAGAGAAGATGGGTCTGCTTAGGTTGTATCCCAGGAGTTAGGGGAGAAAAGGTTAGAGAGGCTAGATAGGGCAAGGTTGTTAGGGGTCTTGAAAGTCAGGCAGAGTAGTTGTTATATTCAAAAGGTAGGCTCTTGAGCAGAGAGTGACATGGTAAAAGTGAATGTCAGGAAGAGAAATGTGGTCTCAACGGGTAGGAAAGGTTAGAGCCTGGGAGATATTCTGGGATAAGACTAAACATAATAGGGTGTGGTGATAGGAATGCATGAGAAGAAACTGGGGACAGAATGAATTACTCTTCATGCCCCAAACACCCTAAAACGAATACTACAACCTCCAGTATTAGACCGGGAATGGACAAAGAGCTGCTGGGGATCCTGGTGTCCTACAAAGTCAGAGTCAACCTGATGGTGTCCTGTGGTGGGTAAGTGAGGGTTCTGGGTCTGTCTGGGCAGGGGCTGAAGAGTCAAGGGCTTTTCGCCTCTGTTTTTCTCCCAGTTAGATTGACCCAATCAAACCATTCCCCACCCTTTCTCCCAGACCAGGTTCCCAAACCTGTGAGCTCAGTGAGCAAGTCACTTTCCCTTCCAGAAACCCATTCTGTGGCTGGCTCATTAGGTCTTATGATCCCTCATCCCCTTGTGAAACTAGGTTGCCCCTTCTCTATTTCCCGCTGCTAATTTTGGGTGTCATTCTACCCACAGCATCCTAGGAGACCTGACAGCCAGGTGAGAGACTGTGGGGTGGGGGAACTTGGGCAAGAAGAGGAGGACAAGGGGATAAGGAGAGCAAAATAATGATTGATTCTGGAGGGTCTGAGGGCATCCAAAGACTGGAAAACTAAGGGAGGGAGGTTCAGGGATTGGGCTTGTAGAGAGAGGAGATGTAACTCCACCTTGGGATCCTTGCAGCGATGTTGGTGTGGAGCTACCCTTGGTCCTGATCCATCCGAAGCCATCTCATGGTGAGTGACCAGGTGGAACTCACAGGGACGGCTGTCCTGAGGGCTGGGGTCCAAACCATTCTGATCTCATGAATTGGAGACTAGCAGTTTGCCTGGGGATGGAATAGCAATAGGTAGGCTGGGTGTCTAGGTATTCAGGGGAAGTGTGTGTGTCGTGTGTGCTGGAGCAAAGGATTGGGAAGTTGGGGGGGGGGGAAGTAAAGATACTTCTTCAGGGAACCGAAGAGCCTCTAATCAGCTTCAGCTCCATTTTTTCCCTCCGTCTCCATGCTTGCTACAGAGGCCGCTAGGTAATGGAATACAAGATTGGGAAGCCCCATTCCCCTCTTCCCATTTCCACCCTCCATGTTATGACGATAGAAATGTGAAAATGCTTCCTTGGGGTGCTTTCAATACATGTGCAGTGGAAACATATGGCTTAGCTTCGTGTCACAGTTCGGTGCTTTTCATATGCCCTCCTTTCCCTTTCTGCATCCCCCCGCCCTCCACCTTCTGCTCTTGTTGGAATCATCCTTCCCCCTCATCCCCTTCCCATTTTTCTTTTTCCTTTTCCCCCACCCGCTCGCCCTTACTTCTTTCGTCTTTCATTCTTTGATACCTTCCCTCCTTCCCATCCCTCATCCTTATGTCCCTTTCAGTGCTCCTGGGGGACTTTTGTGCTGGGAAATTTGGGCGGGAATGAAAGGAAACAAGCCAGAGTGGCTGATGGAAAAGTGGGGACACCAAGAGGGGGCCGAGGAGCCTACCTGGGAAGCAGGGAGGGGATCACTTTTCTGGGATCAGGAAAAAAGAGTGGACACGGAGGACACCCAGAAAGGGGTTCCTAACCTTCCATTCTCTTCTGCTGCTTCTGCAAGCTCTGAGGACATAGTCATCGAGGAGTTTACGCGGAAAGGCGAGGAGGAGAGCCAGAAGGCTGTGGAGGCTGAGGGAGATGAGGGGAGCTGAGCACCTCGCTCTGGTGCCCGTCTGTGTGGGAGCCCCCACTGTAACACTCTAATAAATCAGTTTGTTCAGATGTGCCTAGCGATCTCTTGCCTATTTCCTCTTCCTGGAGGGTCACGGAACTACTGAGAACAATCTTCCCCACCTCCACCCCTTTGCTGTGATTACACTACACTTAGCCCGTGCTTTTCCCCATACGCTGACCCCAACTTCCCTCTGACACGGTCAGTGGCCATCCCTCTCTCCACCCCATGACCCCACTCGAGTGGTCATAGGATTGCGCTGAACACCAGGCGCAGTGCAAGCTGCCAGGAGGGGGCCGAGGGGGCGTGGCCATGCCCAGGCCTGGGTGTGAAGCCAATGGCCGTCAGCCGACGTCAGTAGAGCATGGCGTGAAGTCCGGCGGCTCAGGCTGAGCGTTGGAAGCCATTTTGGCTGCAACCTACCTGAAGCGATGTCTGCCTTTGGTCACGACGAGGCCTGGATGGAGGCCGGAGGCTTTGGTCTGGAGGCTGCCGAAAGAACGGAATACCAGTCTCTGTGCAAATCTAAACTCTTATTCCTGGGAGAGCAGAGCGGTGTGGGTCTGGGTTGGGCTTTGGGGACATGGAGGTGTAATTGGTATGAAATGGGGTGGGGCATTCTCTGGGGAACCGAGTTCCTCCTCGTTGGGAAAGATTGGAGTTGGAGGAGGAGGGAGGGCTCATAGAAACTTTGAGGGGAGAAAGGGCACTGAGGGCGACGATTGGCCTGCTTATCTCCCTCACAGTAGGGAAGACATCCATCATCAGCCGCTTCATGTACAACAGCTTCGGCTGCGCCTGCCAGGTAAGACCACCACCGAGTCATATGGTACATTTTTGCCACTCTTCTTGGCGGACTCACCTGGAGATTCTCCTCCTCAAAGTTATGTATTGTAAGCATTGGGAAGTGGAGCCAGGACAACTTCTTGAAGGGTCATTCTCCACTTTGGGTTCTAAGACTGCCTCATATTGGGAATAGAGGGAATGCTGGAGTGTATCTGATTTTCTTTTGCAGGCAACTGTTGGAATTGACTTCTTGTCTAAGACCATGTACTTGGAGGACCAAATAGTGAGTGTTAACTCTCATACCACTAACCCTACACTTCAACCCCTTAGGCCTATTCATCACAGTTGGGTAGCACCATCAAAAAAAACTGAAGCCTCTTCAAATTACCAAGCCCTATGATGTTTCTTGTTCTGTCTGCCTTCATCTAATCTCCAACTGTAACATAAAGTCCAAGAGACCTTGAATCCTTAAATCTGCTGTGCTGTAGGGTCTTCCTGAATCAAAACAGTATATTGAAATTGGTTGGACCTGTCCTAGGACTATAGGCCATTTGGTCTGAGGCTATAGCAGCCACTTCTCAGGGATCCAGTCTACCTGACCTTTTGTATTCTGCCTTTATTAGGTTTGAGCTTTTTAAAAAGGCTAGTTTCTTGTCTACCTTTCCCCCATCTTCTTCCTAAACATTTTTATGCAGGTTCAGCTGCAGCTATGGGACACAGCTGGCCAGGAGCGCTTTCACAGCCTAATTCCTAGCTACATTCGTGATTCAACTATTGCAGTGGTTGTCTATGACATTACAAGTGGGTGTTATGCAATGTTTTATTTGAAAAGGGGATTATAAAGGGATTGATAGGGAGATTGACAAAATTAGCAGAGAGGAAGTGTTCTCTCCAAATCTCTCCTAAATGTTTCAACGCTCTGGAACATATTCTCTTGCAGACATCAATTCTTTTAAGGAGACAGATAAGTGGGTAGAACACGTGCGAGCAGAAAGAGGTGACGATGTTGTCATCATGTTGTTGGGTAACAAGATTGATTTGGATAACAAAAGGTAAAGTATAACTACAACTTCTTCTGGCATACCTAAAATTCAGTCTCTATGGGGAGGGTCAACTGTCCTCTATTTACTTGGGGAGGAGTTACCTTAGTCCCCTCTGCCCCCTACCAGCACTGCAGGATGGGAAGGACAGGGGGGCGTCCCATCAGGGCACAAGGATATGTTGGGGGTATAGGAGAGAGTCCCCACCCTGTAGTCAGAAGGGTCATGGGTTTAAGGCTTCTAGGGTTCCTGGCCCTAGGTAAGCATCATTACACCTCAGAAGAGTCTATCCATATCCAATAACTCTGGCCCTTTTCATCATTTCTGATTCGTCCAGACAAGTCACTGCAGAACAGGGTGAAGAAAAATCCAGAAACCTCAATGTGATGTTTATTGAGACCAGTGCCAAAACCGGTTACAACGTGAAAAAGGTAATACTTGTTTCTTTCTATGATACTTTAATTGTGCTCTGTCTGTAGCTACTACTACTGTTTACTCTTTTGGATAAGCTTGGCTTATCTTTTGTGGGATAGGGGTCAAGGTTCATCTCCCCATCATGTATCTCAAAGGCCCTGAATTATCCTAGCCTCTGAACCTGACCTTTTTTTTTTCCCCTTTTTTTTTTTTTGGTCCCCATTCACACACACACACAGCTGTTCCGGCGTGTGGCTTCTGCCCTTCTTTCCACAAGGACTTCACCTCCACCAAAAGAGGGGAGTATCCTTTTTCCTAGCTTTGCTGGGGTAGGGAGTATACAAGTAGAGAAGGTAAGTTTCCTTGCTGAGTTGATGCCTGAGTGGTACCTAAGGGGAAAATGGGACTAACTTTAGCCCAAAGTAGTTCCTTCGTTTGCCTTTAGGTGAGAGGGATTGTAAGATCAGAATTCCTCTTCTACATCTCCTAGAAGCTGACCTTGGGTGTTAAGATTTGACTCCAGTCACCTCACTGTATTAGCTTCCTTGACACACACTTCAGCGGTTGAAATCGAACTGGAATCCTTCGAGGAGTCAGGCAACAGAAGCTATTGTTGACAGCTTAGGCTTTCTCTGCCTCATTTGATGGATTTCTTACATTTGGGCTTGCCATACCAGTTCTCCTCCCCACCTCGTTTTATGATACATGGCCACTTACTCTCTTCCAATTCCTAGGCTTGGGGTAAAAACAGAACCCCTGAAAGTGCTATCATTTTTTCCTGACCGCATCTCACAGCTACTGGGTGGAAGCTTCTTGCAGCACCTGGGAATTCTACCTTACCTTCTCCGACAGCTAAAAGACATCTGTAGAGAATACAGTTCTACAGCAGCTGACATACTTCAAAGGCCAATACAATTCATTCTCCACTGTTTGTTGTTGTTTACCTACACCCTCAATAAATGGTTCTTTAACCTAAGGCTGTTATTGCTTGTGCTTTCTCCACACTATACCTATATTTCCACAATGCAATTATCTCATGTTGGTGCCCTAACATAGAACCAATCCAAGTATTTCAAACAAGAACCAATTTAAGGCAGGAGGGTTTTTGCCTCTTAGGCCCATGGCACCTGGCTGGGACTTTTTACCATGTTTTTCATACTTCTTAGATACAATGTTTTAAGACCTGTTAACCACAGGAAGAGTCTTGGACCTCAACATTCAGCCAAGTCACCCAACATGCCTTTATGGAAGTAACCAAGCTACTATTTTCTTTCTTTCGTGGCCAATGCGGGGCATGGGGTCAGCAAATAGGAGGATAGAACAGGATTTCCCAGGAAGCATAGGGACAGCTACATTAATTCTACCTCCAGCTCTGCTCTCAAGGGATGTTGCCACCTAACAATAGCAGTGAGGCTCTAGAAGAGGTATGTCAGTAGAGCTAGGGTGGGATATATAGGAAGAACCAGACCTTCCTCATACAGTATAGTACTACTATTTAGAACAATGTTTCCTACATTTGAAGACTTATTTACTTATTTCCTTTGCTTCTTTAAAAATCCAGATTTCCAGATTCCACCTCAGACTAACAGAATCATTGTCCAGTAGAAGGGCCTATAAATACATATTTAAGCTCCCCAGGATTCTTTCAAGGCAAATTTTGGGACTTCATCATAGGGGTACATCACCCCACACCACACTAGAAAACTCTTTTTTTTCTTTGAGACAGTCTCACTCTGTCACCCAGCCTGGAGTGCAGCGGCGCCATCTTGGCTTACTGCAACCTCCACCTCCAGGGTTCAAATGATCCTCCTGCCTCAGCCTCCCGAGTAGCTGGGACTACAGGTAGTGTCCCACCACACCTGTCTCATTTTTGTATTTTTAGTAGAGATGGGGTTGCACCTTTTTGGCCAGGCTGCTCTCGAACTCCTGGCCTCAAGCTATCCATCTGCCTTGGCCTCCCAAAGTGGTGAGATTACAGGCATGAGCCACCGCGCCCAGCCTCACACTAGAAAACTTTCAATTCCAAATGGGTATTTTAAACATGCCAGTGGCGATGGCATAGGCATGACTAGGAATCTTGTAATGGTGGATTGGTAACTAAAGATCTAGGAACATGGCAGAATGTTATTTGGGGCTGGGGTGAAGAAAAGGGAGAAGTCAGCAGTTAGCACTACTCAACTTACAAGTTGGAAACTGTGAACCAATTTCTTACTGCTGCCTCAGAAAAGAAATGCATCTAAGCCCCTTCCTTAGTTTATGTTCCAGATCAAAGAATGTGGGAAAGGAGAAGAGAGAATTATATTACTACTGTCCCCTGCAGAGAAATGCTCAAAGCTCCTAGGGGAACGGGCAGTTTCTTTCAGTGCCCCTCACTCTATGCCATTTCTTAGTTATACTGTGGTTAAAGTTCCTTGGCCTTGCTAATGTTCTGGTCAGACATCACAGGTAGTTGCGAGGAAGGTATAGTATTGCTCTGTTCCTTCCAGTGGCTCCTCTCTTTGGAAGAGCTTTTTCTTCCCTCGATAGCATTTTACATCCAATCGGTAACATTCAAAAGTCACACCAATATTTCTTCAGCATTGTGTTTTACTTTTTGGGAGAGAGGCTAGGAGGAGGAAGGGGTGAAAACAGCGTCTCACTGGAGTCTCAAAAGTGTATGAATCTTCTGGTAGTGCAAGGATGGGATAAGATGGCCAGGGAAGTCAGATGGAAAATCCCCAAGATTCTTTTTGCTACTGATTTCTATAATTAAAATATGACATATGTAAGGGACTAGTGCATGATATTCAATAAATGTCAGTTGTCTTTCCTAACTAGGTTCCTCACAGGCTAGGTTATGCCTAGATATCATCATCCTCCTTTCAGGGAATGAAGCTCACCTAGAAAACTAGGGAACTAAAAGTGCAATATGGTTTGGGTAATGCAGTTGGTTAGCTGTCTCCCCATCCTCCCAACTCACTATTCCAGGGAGGGGCTGAAAACAGAAGTGGCTCCCCTGAAGTCTAGTTAGCATGTCATGACAGAGTCCACATGAAGGGCTGTGGGCTGCAACTTTCTAGTGCACAGTCCTCTCTTTTTGGCGATGATAATCTGAAGGAAAGAAGAAGAAAAGGAGGAACAGAGCAGGTTATCTTCACGCTTGAGCTCCTGATTCCCTATCCCCAACTTGTAGGGCCTCTAGTCATCAGTATTTAAAGAGTTCTTACTTAGGGCCCTGTCAGGAAAGTGAAAAAAGAAAGTGGCACTTACTGTAGGGAAAGAAGCGCACACGCATGCTGATTTCACGAGCTGTCTTCAGGATCTCAACAGCCTGGAAGGAACACAGCAGCTTGTACAAATGAAGAGATATGACCCAAGACAGAATCATAATAGGGGGAAAGGGATTTGCCACTCCAACCTGTGTGTCACTAATAGCTGCTTCCCTCCTGTACTTTCCCAGGAGAGGTGCTTACTTTCTCTCTCTCTTTTTGTTTGTTTGTTTGTTTGTTTTGAGACAGGGTCTTGCTGCGTTGCCTGGGCTGGTCTTAAATTCCTGGGCTCAAGTGATCCTCCCGCCTCAGCCTCCTAAGTAGCTGGGATTACAGGCGTGTACCACAGTGCCCAGCAAAATGCTTTCTTATTAAGTTACAGATTAGGCTACTCCTGTCCAATCTGTCCTATTTGAGATGGCTTCTTGCAGCACCACAGCCCAAGTACTGTGCTCACCTTGCTGTGCTCAATATCTTGGAAATCCACATCATTCACAGCTAGAACTTGGTCCCCTTCCTGCAGTCCTGCTCTATGTGCATCAGAGTCAGGAATCACCTGTTGGTAAAGAGAGAATACATGTGATTGGGATGCGATAATTTCAGAAGACTGTCAGTGAAATTCGGTGCTATTCAAATGTATGGTGCTATTGTTTTTCTGTGACAATGTATGCAGACAGATGGCCTGCCAAATGAAAAGTTTTAAGTGGGAAAGGGGGTGTCTCCATTATACCCCTTCTATGAATCCAGAGTCATCCTCTCAGCCCTTGGGACATTAGGGTTCTGCAATCTGTTAATTTAACAAAGGGAAGTAACGATCCATATTGCCTACTGGGCATAAATACCTTGGAGATGAAGATGCCTAGCTGGGAGGCCTTTCCTCCTCGGATGTTAAATCCCAACTGTAAGACAAGAGCACAGAATGGGGGCTCAATGGAGACCACAAACACAAGAACAACTAGTAGCATCATCGTACAATAGCTCAGCTTGTGTGTCCCTGAGAGGAAAGTCAGAAGTTGCAGAAGTGTTATCTCAGCTTTTCTGTCCACAAGAAGGAAAGTTTCCTCACATCTGCACCTGCTTTCCAATCCATCCCCCCAACACTGCCAATTTGTGGTATGGATGAATCTAGCCTGAAATAAGGTTTCATAAGTTCACCTGAGCTCCAGGAGGCTTCTTCAGTGTGATGGTTCGGGGCAGAAACTGGGTCAACTCATTGTTGTAGTCCGGGTGGTGTACCCTCTGCAAGACACAGCAACCCCAGAAATTTTACCAGTCTTACTTCACACCTACCTTCATCTGAAACACTAATGAATTACCCTGAAGTCAGGAAAAGGAAAGGTCATAGACTTAATTTAAGTAGAACAGATAACACAGACTAAATGAGTAGATGGATAGCACTGGGGCAGCCCAGTAGCTCCCCATTTCTTCACCTTTTTTTTTTTTTTTTGAGATGGAGTTTTGCTCTTGTTGCCCAGGCTGGAGTGCAATGGCTCAATCTCAGCTCACCGCAACCTCTGCCTCCCAGGTTCAAGCAATTCTCCCGCCTCAGCCTCCCTAGTAGCTGGGATTACAGGCATGTGCCACCACGCCCGGCTAATTTTGTATTTTTAGTAGAGACGCGGTTTCTCCATGTTGGTCAGGCTGGTCTCGAACTCCCAACCTCAGGTGATCCGCCTGTTTCGGCCTCCCAAAGTGCTGGGATTACAGGCATGAGCCACCGCGCTGAACCTCTTAACAGTATGGAAATGAAGGCTCCAAATTTCCAGAATTAACCGGTGTGAACAGACCCTAGCAGGAGGCTTCCATAAAGAAGTTCCCAATGGGTCCTGTTGCTCAGAATCCAGCTTCTGGGTCCTCTGGCTACAAGTGCTAAGATTCACTCTCCGTTTCGCCTTCTAACCCTGCTATCCTACCTTTCATGCATCATCTCATGCCCACGGGGAAAAAAATCTCCTACTCAGGAATACAGATGGTTCCCACCTCATGAGGAGGAATCCATGCTGGAGGATTCTCATAGGCAGGCAAGAAAACCACCGGGTAGTCATCATAAGGAATCCGGCTGTCCATCTCGGGCAAGGCCCTGGAAGAGTGAATCAGAACAGACAAAAAGTGGTTCAAAAGGGAGAGCAGCCCAGCAAGTTTCAGACAGCAGCTCCAACCCATTCCAAGGCAGTCAGTCTACAGGCCCAGCCCATATCTAGGTGTTAAGGTTGGAGGAGAGAAGGAAGACAGAAGAAAACTCTTAACTTAGCTAAACATCTTCTGGATGCCAAGCAACCTGTCAGGTACTCTAGAAAGAGGACCTCATTTTTCACAATCCTGCAAAACAGATGTTACCGTCTCAAACCTGGAGAAGAGGAAATCAGGGTCGAGTCTAAAAAGATCTACTTTCGAAGCCCAAGGGAGTGTTAACTATCCGCAGGGACTCGGGGCAAGGCACCGCCCCACATTTCCTAGATGTGATTAGTAATGGTAGGGTCCTTAGATCGACCCTTCCTTCACCTGACCAGCCACCTCCCACGTCCCCGCCCCACATTCTGCCTGAGACCCGCACTCTCAGCCGCATAAACGCCGCACCACCTCACCAGTGGGCAGTCCACAGCGACCTCAGACTCCGCTCACTGACAATTCAGTCTGGGAACCGGAAGCGGATGCTCCGCAGGGTCGAAAAGAGGCCGGGCCAGGGTGCAACGAGCTGACCCTCCCCTTCCCACCGCGCCGGCCTGCGCGCGCCGACGTGCGCGCTCCGCCCTCGGGCAGTCCGCACTGCAATTGGTTGGCGTCTCCGGGACGGATTTGAAACTTGGCGGTTAAAGCTCCGGCTGGGACAGGGCGGCGGGAGGCCCAGGGAGAACGGGGAAGGGACATTTAGTTTGGTGAGTTACGGGGGCACACCTTAGCTCAGAACCTGTTTTTACCCAGTACCCTAGGGCTTTGGTTCTTTGTCGCCGTCCCCGTTGGAGTTTTTTCTTTGCCTTTCAGAAGCCCGTGCACTCTCTTTAGAGTGCAGGGCTGACGGGCGGTCCAGCCCTGGCCAAGTCATGGAGCGTGAATCTCCCAAGTCAGTGTTCCCGCTGAGGAGGGTCGGAACCGGGGAGGACGCCCTCCCACCCCTGCTGACCTACTAACATTCATCAGCGAGCCTTCTTTTTCCCCCTCGCAGAGACGGTGCTGAGATAGGATCATGAAGGAAGAGGTGAAGGGAATTCCCGTAAGAGTGGCGCTGCGTTGTCGCCCTCTGGTCCCCAAAGAGATTAGCGAGGGCTGCCAGATGTGCCTTTCCTTCGTGCCCGGAGAGCCTCAGGTGCGTAGCAGAGTCCAGAGCCTGTGTCTGAACAGCTGGGGCCAAATGGTAACGAGGGGTGTGGTCTTGCCTTTCATTTTTAACCTTACGCCTTGTCCCGTGCCTTCTCTAGGTGGTGGTTGGTACAGATAAATCCTTCACCTACGATTTTGTATTTGATCCCTCTACTGAACAGGAAGAAGTCTTCAATACAGCAGTAGCGCCACTCATAAAAGGTGTATTTAAAGGTAAGGCGATTTGATTCCTCGAACGTAACATATATATTCCTTGAGCATATACTATGTGCCAAGCACTGTGCTTGGGCACTGCAAATACAGGAATCGATGAATCATGATTCCTGCCTTCAAGAAGCCCTTAGCCTAATAACATTTGTCAACGTCTCTGTACCCTTGAAGCTAGTTTTATTCTGTATTTGCTTTATGTGGTTCTGTTCATCTTTGACTTGTATATGTTTGTTTATCCTGGAACTTCATTAGATTATAAACTCTGTGGTGGTTGCTGATGGTGATAAGTGTGCCAACCTACTTGAGGCCCAGGCACTGCAAAGCTTGTTGAGGGATTCAGGTGATAAATAATATAGCTTCGAGGCCCTGAAGGAGTTCAAAGTCCAGGGGATAGGAATGGAGATAGATGACTACATAAATAATTTTGAATATATAAAAATTTTTAAATTTTTTGTACCTATCTTTTAGAAGAAAAATTTTTCAAGTTAAAAATATACAACAGAGTCAGTCCTATGGAAGTAGTAGCTCTGCTCTCATACAAAGTGGTATGAAAAACAAAAGGATGGCTCTAACTCTGCTTGGGGAATTTGGGGTGAATTTCACAGAGTGGGAAAACTTTGAGATGGGTCTTGAATAATGAGTATACTTCTTTTAGGTGGAGAAGGGGAGTGCCTAAAGCCTCTGAATACTATCACCAGTTAATAATCTTTACTGGGGAAGCTAAGTCTTTAATGCTGTTGAGGACCATAGCAGGGTTCTAAAGAAGGGAGCAGTGCCTGAGAGATGTCTAATTATTATTCTAATACAGTGGTTATTCAAGATTCAAAACAGAGGTTCGTTTAAAAGAAGTAGAATCATGGCATGCTAGTGCCTTAAAGTTGAAAGAGACATTTGTATATCATCTAGTTTGTTTTTCATCCAAAGAAAAATGCGTTCTAACAATATCTGTTAGGTGAACTGCCAGTGTCTAAAATTTTTTTGACAGGGAACTCACTGACTCACAGGTAGTCCAGTTGAGATTTGGGTTTTGGACAAGTCTAATTATGTTATAAAGATCTTTATAATGAGATGAAATTTGCTTCCTGGTAATTTCTACCCAGTGATGTTAGTTCATTCCTTTAGAAGCCTTCTTCTAGGCAACAGCTATTCACATATTTTTTCACGTTTTTTTGTTTAATGATATGGCTCAAGGAACACTGAAATTTTTGTTTCAAAATTTTAAGATATTAATGCAATAATTTCAAACGTATAGAATGTTGCAAGAACAGCATAAAAAACATTTTTTCCCTGAACCATTTGAGATGAATCATTGGCCTGATAACCCCCCATACTTTAGTGTATATTTCCTACAAAAAAGGACTTTCTTCTAAGTTACCACAATACAACCATCAAAACAATAAAATTTGCACTGCTACATTACTACCATCTATTCCTGAAACCCCATTCAAGTTTCACCAATTGTCCCAGTAAATATTTTATGGCAAAAAGATCTAGTTCAAAATCACGTTTTATTTAGTTTTGCTGTCTCTTTAGTCTCCATTCTAAAACAGTTCTTTAGTCTTTTTTTGACTTTTATGAGTTTGACACTTTGAAGATTACAGGCCAGTTATTTTGTAAACCTTTTCTCAATATTGTTTTGTCTGGCATTTACTTATGATTAGATTCAGGTTGTGTATCTTTTAGCAGGAATATCACAGAAGTGGTGCTGTTTTCTTCTCACTGAAGCCTATTGGGCAGCACATGATTTTGATTTATTCTATTACTACTGATGTTCATTTTGATCATTTGATTAAGGTGTTAATCTGCTGGGCTTCTCCACTATAATCTTTTTCCTTTTTACATACAGTATTTGGAAAACCGTTAAGTGTTTCTACCTAATTCTCTTCAATTATCCCCGCCTTTCCTTTAGCCATTCCTGAAACAATATGCTTTTCAGACCCTGCACTATCTGGTCAGATTCCTCAGGCTATACCTCCACAGCTTAGTAAGAGCACCACAGTTCTACTTTTACATTCTTAACTTGGGAAACTGATAGAATTAAATTATGTTCTTTAAAGGCAACATAAAGTAGAAAGTGATTCCAATATACATGTGTTTGCTTAACATTACCCTTGGTTGCAAAAACAAAGTCAATATTTTTTATAGTCAGCTCAACAGCACCCTCTTGTACTCTGAACTCCTGGTACCACAGAGCCCTAAGTATTTTGTAAAAACTACTAAAACCTCATTTCCCAAGTTATTGCTATCTGCACATATCTGTGGTATTGCAGAAAATTATGGAATGTTATTCTCTTGCCCCATAGTCATGCCAGCTGATACCAGCGGTCTATTACAGTGAAAATCTCAATTTAGCATCTTCTTATGATCCTTCATTTAGACCAACAAGTTTTTTCAAAACTTCAAAGTTTTCATTTAGATTAAAACGTTGTTTCAAAGTTTAAAGGGTTTTTTCCTTCAGACTGCAAAATTATCTTGGTAAATAGCAGATAACAGCTTTGACATAAATATGATGATCATTTAACAGAGAAAGCTTGCTTTGTGTTCCTTGACAACATGTCTGCCACACTAATAAGGAACAGACTTCCCTAAGGTCATTATTTTTTTCACCTTGAAGTAAATTTGCATTTGTAGTTCCTTTTAGGTGCCATGCTTATAGTTTTAGAAGCTACTACTGTACAATTAAGTAGCAAGTTATAATTATGCATCAGTTAACGACAGGGATACCTTCTGAGAAGTGCATTATTAGGCGGTTTTGTCATTGTATGAACATGGTGGAGTGCATGTATACAAACCTAGATAGTATAGCCTCCTATACACCTGAGCCTACTGCTCCTAGGCTACAAACCTGCAAAGCATGTTACTGTACTGAATACTGTAGGCGGTTGTAACATCATGGAAAATATTTGTGATCTAAGTATAGAAAAGGTGAGGTAAAAATACAGTATGAAAGGTAAAAACTGATACACCCGTATAGGGCAATTACCGTGAATGGAGCTTGCAGGACTGGAAGTTGCTCTGAGTGAGTCAGTGATGAGTGGTGAGTGAATGTAAGGGCCTAAAACATTATTGTATACTACTGTAGACTTTATAAACACTGGATACTTAGCTTACACTAAATTTATTAAACTTTGTGTCTTTCTTCAATCATAAATTAACCTTCGCTTATTATACGTTTTTTACTTTATAAACTTTAATTTTTTAAATCTTTTTGACTTTTTTGTAATAATACTTAGCTTAAAACACAAATACATTGCACAGCGGAATAAACATTTTCACTCTGCATCTTTATTCTGTAAGCTTTTTTCTTTTTAAAAAAATATATTTTTTTACTTTTTAAACTTTTTGTTAAAAACTAAGACACAAACATACACATTAGCCTAGGCCCACCCAGGGCCAGGATCTTCAATATCACTGTCTTCCACCTCCACGTCTTGTCCTACTGGAAAGTCTTCAGGGACAATAACATCCATAGAGCTGTCATCTCCTATGACAACAATACTTTCTTCTGGAATACCTCCTGAAGGACCTGCCTGAGGCTGTTTTACAGTTAACTTTATTTATCATAAGTAGAAGGAGTATACTCTTAAAAATGATAAAAAGTATGGTATAGTATACTAAACACATAAACTAGTAACAATCATTTATTATTATGAAGCGTTACATACTGTACATAGTTGGATGTGCTGTACTTTTATATGACTAGCAGTGAAGTAGGTTTCTTTACCCCAGCATCAACACAAACATGTAACATGTTGCACTGCAATATTATAATGGCTAAGTCAATAAGCAACAGGAATTTTTCACCATCGTGTATACATTCCACATGATTGAAATGCTATTATATGGCACACGACTGTAACAATTGAAGTTAAAGTAAGAATAACCTGTCTATTGTCTAATTGTTTCTTTATAAAATCTTGCTACAGTTGTTTATCTTCCTCTAGCTTCAATCCAAACTTTGAATTTACGGGATAAAACGAAAATGCCCGCTGGGCATGGTCGCTCAAGCCTGTAATCTCAGCACTTTGGGAGGCTGAGGTGGGCAGATCATTTGATGTCAGGAGTTCGAAACCAGCCTGGCCAATATGGCGAAACTCGTCTCTACCAAAAAATACAAAAAAATTAGCTGGGCATAGTGGCGCGTGCCTGTAGTCCTAGCTACCCTGGAGGCTCAGGTGGGAGGATCGCTTGGGCCTGGGAGGCGAAGCCGTGATAGCACACACTGTGCTGCAGCCTGGGTGACAGAGTGAGACCTTGTCTCAAAAAACCGGGGAGGGGGAGTGCTGAGTAACTAGTAATCTGGATTATCTGACAAGAGAAAATATAAAAACTAATCTACAAAATAAACATTTTTACCAGAACTAAGCCCAAACAGAAATATACTTTTTTTTGAAACCGAATCTCCCTCAGTGGCCCAGGCTGAAGTGCAGTGGTGCGATCTCGGTTCACTGTAACCTCCGCCTCCTGGGTTCAAGCAATTCTCCTGCCTCAGCCTCCCGAGTAGCTGGGACCACAGGCGCCCACCATCACACCCAGCTAATTTTTGTGTTTTTAGTACAGATAGGGTTTTGCCATGTTGGCCGGGCTGGTTTCAAACTCTGACCTCAAGCGATCTGCCCGCCTCGGCCTCCCAAAGTGCTCGATTGCAGGCGTGAGCCACCACGCCTGGCCAATAAACTCAAACAGAAATATATTTTATGGGTCTTTCTGCAAACAGTACTGATAACATAAGTGATAACGAAAAACACAGCCTCTGTTCAATAATGCCTTCTATTTAATAATTTAAAAAATACAAACGGGGGAAAAGAAAACACAAAAAATTTACCATCCTATGGCTTGGTGTGGTGGCTCACGCCTGTAATACCAGCACTTTGGGAGGCCAAGATGGGCGGATCACAAGGTCAGGAGATCAAGACCATCCTGGCTAACACGGTGAAACCCCGTCTCTACTAAAAATTCAAAAAATTAGCTGGGCGTGGTGGCACGCGTCTGTAATCCCAGCTACTCGGGAGACTGAGGCAGGAGAATCGCTTGAACCCGGGAGGTGGAGGTTGTAGTTAGCCGAGATCGCGCCACTGCACTCCAGCCTGGGCGGCAGAGCGAGACTCCATCTCAAAAAAAAAAAAAAATTTACCATCCTATTTCTCAGAGATAAACATCAAAATAATTAATAATTTATATACTTTTGATCTTTTCCTATCCATACACTCATATTTAACAATTATTTTTAAGCTGCTTTTTTCAGTTAACTATATTGTGAACATCTTTGAATAAATGATGCTTTTTTTTTTTTTTTTTTTTGAGACAGGGTCTGCTCTGTCACCTAGGCTGGAGTGCAGTGGCTTGATCAAGGCTCACTGTAACCTCTGCCTCCCAGGCTCAGGTGATTCTCCTGCCTCAGCCTCCAAAGTAGCTGGGATTATAGGCACCTGCCACCATGCCCTGTTAATTTTTGTATTTTTAGTAGAGACAGGGTTTCACCATGTTGCCCAGTCTAATGTTAAACTCCTGAGCTAAAGCAATCTGCCTGCCTCGGCTTCCCAAAGTGCTGGGATTACAGGTATGAGTCACGGAACCTGGCTCATTAATGGATGATTCTTTATCAATTCTCAATAAAAGCAAAGGCATATATCACATTGAATTATGCTTAAATGATGATATTTCTGTAAGCAGCCTGATAATATGGTTCAAATGCATTCTGAGAGTTCAGATATGAAGTAGATGCTTTCATTGACTGTAAAAAGCAATGTTGTTTCCTTTTCAGATAAATACTGTTAATCAAGAAAATACATGCCAGAATCCTTTCTTTTTCTTTAATTTAATTTCTGTAATTTAAAATTGCTTAAGGTAGGAAGACAGAATTTTCAAGCTCCAATGGCTTTTGACAGTGGCTTGGCCACCTTCATTTAGTCAGTCATATCTTTTAAGTGTTTGATTTCTTAGCTTCTAAGGGCTATCACTACGGGGACACATTTTAGGGTTGGGTTTTGTTTTGTTTTTGTTTGTTTTTTGCTTATTTTGAGTAGTGCAAGGTCATGGTACCCACAGAACTTTTCTTTGTGTCTGCCATTCTTAAGAGACTGTATTAAGAGAGCAATCTCAGTTTTATTACAAATAATTGCTGAAGGAAATGGAGTATATTGATTAGATGAAAATGTTTAAACACCACTATGCATGTGACGTCTATTTTGTCAGGATATAATGCAACGGTCCTGGCCTATGGGCAGACTGGCTCTGGAAAAACCTATTCAATGGGAGGTGCATATACTGCAGAGCAAGAGAATGAACCAACAGTTGGGGTTATTCCTAGGGTAATACAACTGCTCTTCAAAGAAATTGATAAAAAGAGTGACTTTGAATTTACTCTGAAAGTGTCTTACTTAGAGGTAAGCAATTTATGTTTAATTATTCTGAATTCGAAATTGTCTTTGGGTCGAAAAATAAATCCAAATCAGGTTTTTCCTGACATGACTCAAATTAGTAAGTTGCATTTTAATTAATTGATAGAGAAAACTTACTGACTCAGTTGGATCCGGCTCCCACCCAGTTCTTTCCTTGGTGTTAGAATAGTCTGTTTAATTTGATTGTTGGAGGAATTGACATTGCCATATAAAAGGTGATAGGAATTCTTTAATTCCAGTTTGGCCTCTGTTACTGATTACCTGTATAGTCTGCAGAAGAGTGTTTGATTTCCCTTTACTGTTTAAGACTTAAATGATAATGCTGTTGCCTCATGAAGAATGTTAAAAACCAGCTGAAATATTGAGCTGTATAAGCGGTGATAGAGTGTGTTTATTAAACAGATATTTACTGAGAACCTACCATGTGCCAGGCCCAATTCTAGGCACTTGGGTATATGAGGTACTTGGTATATATCAGTGAACAAAACAAAAATTCTAGCCCTTATGGGAGTTTGTGTTCTAGTGTATATTAGTATAGTTGTAGACTGGCCAATTGTATCTAACTTCATAACATCAAAAACACATCTTTAGGGAACTGATGGCTTCTGGGAAGCTAGCTACTTGATTCCATAGCAGTGATGTCTTATCCTTTAGGGGGTAATAATTAAACTTATATAATTTAAGCATGTGAACACTTAATCCTGAAGTTCAATCTCAGCATGCTAACAGGTAAAGAGATGTAGAACTGGAAGACAGGGGATTACATCATTAAGATTAGCCTTCTTGGCCAGGCCCGGTGGTTCACGCCTGTAATCCCAGCACTTTGGGAGGCCAGGGCGGGAGGATCACTTCAACCCAGGGGTCCGAGACCAGCCTGGGCAACATAGTGAGACCTTGTCTCTACAAAAACTTTAAAGATTAGCCAGGTGAGGTGGTGCATGCCTGCAGTCCCAGCTGCTCAGGAGGCTGAGGTAGGGTGGAAGGATTGCTTGAGCCCCAGAGTGAGACCTTAAAGGCAATTTTTAATTCTATTTATTTATTTCTTTTGAGAAAGAGTCCCACTCTCTCACAGGCTGGAGTGCAGTGGCAAAATCATAGCTCACTGCAGCCTCCAGCTCCTGCTCAAGCGATCCTCCCACCCCACCTCAGCCTTCCAAGCAGCTGGGACTACAAGCGTGTGCCACTTCGCCTGGCTAATTTTTAAATTTTTGTAGAGACAGGGTCTCACTATGTTGCCCAGGCTGGTGACAGACCCCTGGGCTCAAGTGATCCTCCCATTTTGGCTTCCCAAAGTGCTGGGATTATAGGCGTGAGTGACTGTGCTCAGCTAGATTAGCCTTCTTGAGTCTCTTGATTAACCTAGTTGTGGCCAACATAATTGAATATCAAAATAACTCCAGATCCTGGTATGTTAAATAATAGCAATAGCAGTAATAGCAAACACATGTAGTGCTTAGATGTGCTAAACACTGTTCTAAGTACTTAAAATTCTGTTTCATATTGAAATATTAGCTGCCACTTCTTCCTTTTCCATCCACCCCCATCTATGTACCTGTTATTCACATTTTAACAAAATGGGTGAATGTAATGCTATTATGATGCCATCAAAGAACTGAATTTGCGTGGTCATGTAACTTTTCATGTGTCTGCTGTTCCTAAGAGACTGTCTTAAGAGAGCAATCTCAATTTTGCTACAAGTGATATGTGAATTCATTCTTATAAAACATCAAGTGATTACCTATAGGGTTATGGTCCTTTTCTTAATTCTACAAGTAATACATGTTCATTATGAACAAATGTTTAAATATAGAAAGTCACAAATAATTTTAAAAATTACCTATGATCTCACCACCCAGAGATTACCACTGTTAACATCTTGTTTTTGCCACTTTATTTTCAACAATATCAGATTTACAATGAAGAAATTTTGGATCTTCTATGCCCATCTCGTGAGAAAGCTCAAATAAATATACGAGAGGATCCTAAGGAAGGCATAAAGGTGTGTTTGTCTCTCATTTGATGTTATTAAAAAAATTTGGCAATTATAATACTAAAGTTCACATCCCTTTTATCTGCCACTGTGGTTTTAAATGACTACTATCATCTCAGTCAGGTTTTCTGTGGTCCTAAGTCCCTTTGTTAATCTAAAATTTCTAGGTGGGAGCTCTTGTGGGGAAGCAAGGAAAGACGCATGTTCAGTTTTATCACCTTCCTGTTACCTAGAGGAATGCCAATATCAATTAAATATTATTTACAGAGTTCTAAGGCTGAGCAGTCCAGTATGTTAGCCACTAGCCACAAGTGGCTATTTAAATTTAAATGAATTAAAATTGAATAAAATTTTAAAAATTCATTTCCTCAGGCACACTAGCCACGTATGAAGTGCTCGATAGCTACATATGGCTAGTGGTAACCATGTTTGAGAGCACAGATAGATACAGAACATATCCATGTATTTTCTTCTGGGTCATTGTTAGCCAGCTACTAATGCATGGATATGATTGAACATATCTATATCCAATAGAAAATTCTGTTGGACAGCACTGTAATAGACATTTTGCTGGGCTTTGGGATGATATTTTTAAAATTGAAAAGTTAAACTATATATAATTTTTAAAACATGTAAGTATCATAGGAAGAAGAGATAGCTTATTTGAGAATCTTCTGTCAGATGGTATAGATGCAAGATGAGGAGCTAGAACTGAACAGAAAATGTGAGGCAAAATTGAGAGTTTCCTATGTGGGAGTGAGCCAAATCCAGAAGCCAGTGTTGAAAACAGGCAGAGCTTGAGTATTCAGGAGTGGGAAAATCAGAGGCTGGAGGTAGATGAGGCTAGGTAGTACTCTGGAAAACTTGGAATAATATCTTACTCCTGTTCTCCTTCCCTTCTTCTCTTGCACAAAGAAAAACAGAGAAAGTTGAAGATTTGGGGTACCAGTGAGGGACAGGTGCCTGTGCTCCTGATTTTTTTTTCTGGGTCATTAAGTTGTTAGCCAGCTACTAATGCAAAGTTTAAAGGATCAGCCCTGATAAGCTTGGAATATGCAAAGATGATTTGGATAGTGAGGATAAGAAACCTGGACAAAATACATGCTATTGTACTGAGCCAGCACTTGACCCTGTTTCAAGATCTTTTATATACCCCATGTTAAGGCAGGAATTAAGTCCTAAGAGTTGTTTGAGGTGAGATTTGCAATACAGAGAAGTATGAGTTCCTGACACAAATTGGTAAGGAAGAGTTTGTAAACACTCTTCAGATGGGATGGATAGGCTTTAAGTAAGTAGAGAAAATAAGGATATTCTTATGGTAAGGAATAGCTTTAGCAGGAAAGCAGAAAATATACACCTGAGGGTAATAAGACTACACAAGTCTGTCTGGATTAGAGGATTTGGGCTGGGAAGTAACAGGAGATATGTTAGGACCAGATTATGAAGCCGGGCTAAAGAGCTTAGTTTCTATCCCTGTGAACCATATAAACTATGTAAAACTTCTGAGTGAGGGATTACTGTGGCTACTTTTACCAAGTTTTTATCTTATGTGTGTATCTCTCCAACTCTGTTACAAGTGATATGTGAATTCATTCTTATAAGGAATTCACCCTAACCTGGAGGTCAGGGGAGTACTTTGAAATCTCTTTGTATCTTCGTTATCTAGCACAGGGCTTAGTAGGTTGGTGACATTTTAGGAAAACCAAACAGAAATGGATTGAAAAGGAGAAAGACTGGGATGAGAAAGACCAGTTGGGGAAACTGTTGCTTATTTTTTAGGTGTGAAGTAATATGGGCCTGAACTAGGCAAGTAGATGTGTAAAGGAAAAGGAAGTGATGGATTCAAAAGGAGAATGACTAGTAGTTGGTGATAGATATTATATGGAGGAGTGGGAGAAGTTGAAGGTGATGTGAGTTTTTGAGAATATGAGACAAGATTAATAGAAATGGAGAAGTATTATAGTAGAGAGAATTAGTGTTTGTGGGAGGAAGATGAATTTGGTTTATAATTGACTGATTTCAAAGTGTAAGTGGTAAGGTAGATCATTAGAAATAAAAGACTAGAAATTAGGGCCACAGAAGTAAGTTTGGGAGCTATGAAGTAATAAAATTATAGCATATTGGAGCTAGAAAAGACTTCATAAGCATCTAGTCCAATCACCTCAGAGGCTCCAAGAGATTCAACTTGTATAAGTTCTCCAAGGTAAATACAGTACTAAGCCTGGGGTCCTGTTTTCCTGGCTTCCTAATCCAGTGGAAACTGTACCATGCTATTTCCTCTAGTGAAAATGAGGTTAAAAATGAATCAGAGGTACAGAGAGGAGCATGGGGTCAGATAGGGGTGAAAGTAACAAAGAGAAATGCCATCGCTGTTTGTGTTGTACTTGCTCTCCTTGGGACCAGAATTAACTTCACTTGGGGTTTCTTGGAAGGCACGTAGCCATTGCTACCCTAAAATCTTGAGATCTTTTCTAGCTCCAGTATTAGCTGGCACGCTTGTTTCTGAAGTTCCTAAGGAAGATTGGAGACCTTAGTTTCCAGCTATCTTCACAGAGTTGCCAGTTAAAGCAGTTCTTATCACCATGACTGTTCTATTTGAGGTTCTACTAGACTATCAAGGCATTTTTTTAAACCACCAATCCCTATATTTCTGACCAAGCATTTGAAGTATAAATCATAAGGGAATTTTCTCTTTCTTGCAATTAGATTGTGGGACTCACTGAGAAGACTGTTTTGGTTGCCTTGGATACTGTTTCCTGTTTGGAACAGGGCAACAACTCTAGGACTGTGGCCTCCACGGCTATGAACTCCCAGTCGTCCCGATCTCATGCCATCTTTACAATCTCCTTAGAGCAAAGAAAGAAAAGTGACAAGTAAGTTACAATTTAAAGAGTCAAGATTTTTAGTATTAGTTCTATTAAGGTTAAACATTAGACTGCTTCTTCAATTGATTTGACAAATCATCAGACATCAGTATTGTGAGCACGAGTGACTAATGGAGCCATTTTGACTGACTTGAAAGAAAATGAGAGCTGACAGGTCAGCTTTGATATTCAGTTACTCTCAAGCTTGTGTACCATTCTCACTGTGTCTTCCTTTCATTATCACAGGAATAGCAGCTTTCGCTCCAAGCTGCATCTTGTAGACCTCGCTGGATCAGAAAGACAGAAGAAAACCAAGGCTGAAGGGGATCGTCTAAAAGAGGGTAAGAGAGTAATTAAGGTCACAGTTGTAGATTAAAAACTTCTAGTACTCTTGTTGGTATTGTTGGTGTTTTCGACTGGGATTTGAGATCACATTCTAACAGTAGCTACGATTCAGATTTGAGGCTGAGTTCAGAAATAGCGAAAAATTGTTTCTTTCCCTTGCTCTCATTCTCTAATTCAGGTATGAGATTTGGATCTGGCCTTTGGTTTGATTTCATCTGGTCCAGGCAAGTTTTAGTTTTAGTTTTGTTTTGTTTTGTTTTACCCCAACTATTTATAATTAAAATCAGTATCCTGATTCTGTCATTTTAAGTATTCACCATCCCTTCCAGATGTTGTCACATATAAACCTCAGCCCAATTTCCATGCCTTCATTCAAGTTGTTGAATTTGAAAAGTGATGAAATTCCTAAGGCTAGAAGAACCCTGTGATGTAGGCTATTAGAAACCTTCTTCTAACATTATAGTGACCTGGTAATCTGCATGCCTTGGTAATGATCTTGAAGTGATTATTAATCTCTCTAACAAAAATTAACATCCAGCTCTATATCTCAATTTTGTTCTTAAGGATATCATAAAATAGTTCATCAGATGCCTTGCTAAATCCAGATACACCATATCTACTGTATTTCTCATAGCTACCAGCTTAGTAACAATACAAAAAAGAAATAAGGGATTTTAGCCTAAAGTGCTTTTTCTTGGTGAATTCAAGGTTGGCTTCTAGTGCTTATTCTTCTGTTTTCTAGGTTCTTGCATGCTGTCCCTCTAATAATCCACTCTAGACTTATATCAAACCCACTGTTTGGTAATTTATGGAATTAACTTTTATCCCTGTTTTGAAAATTGAAATTGCATCTGCCCAGTCTTCTAGAATGTCTTTCTCTGTGATTCGTCAAAGATCATTGACATAGCTTCAGCAGTCTCGTTTGAAATTACTCTATGTTCCCTTAGCTATAATTCATCTGGTCCAAGATATTTGAACTCTTATTAAAGCAGTTGGGTTTACACTTACTACCTCTTTACTCATATTGGGCTTCATTTCTCTCTTGGGAACTGAGAAGGCAGAAGGAAAAATATTAATTGAGGAATTTTATTTCTGTCATTTATCATTATTATACTGTTGGCACTGAGTGCAGACCTGTTTCTTCCTCATTCAGCTTTTTGTTCTGAGTGTCATTCAAAGTACCCTTTTTGTTCTATGTTTGCACTTGAGATTTAGCTTTCCTAAGACTATTTTTAAAGGCTGTAATGCTTTCTTTATCTTCTTTTAGGTGTTCAGTTCCAAGTTGTTTTATTTAACAGCTTTATTGAGATATAATTTACGTACTATAACATTACCTATTTAAACTGTACATATCAGTGGATTTTAGTATATTCACAGAGTTGTACAATCATCATCATAATCTAATTTTAGAACATTTTATCATCCCAAGGAGAAGCCCCATATTCATTAGCAGTCACTCCCCATTCCCACCCCTTTCCCTGGCCCTAGGCAACCACTTAACTTACATTTCTTTTTTTTTATTTTTTTATTTTATTTTATTATTATTATTATTATACTTTAAGTTTTAGGGTACATGTGCACAATGTGCAGGTTAGTTACATATGTATACATGTGCCATGCTGGTGTGCTGCACCCATTAACTCGTCATTTAGCATTAGGTATATCTCCTAATGCTATCCCTCCCCCCTCCCCCCACCCCACAACAGTCCGCAGAGTGTGATGTTCCCCTTCCTGTGTCCATGTGTTCTCATTGTGCAATTCCCACCTATGAGTGAGAACATGTGGTGTTTGGTTTTTTGTCCTTGCGATAGTTTACTGAGAATGATGATTTCCAATTTCATCCATGTCCCTACAAAGGACATGAACTCATCATTTTTTATGGCTGCATAGTATTCCATGGTGTACATGTGCCACATTTTCTTAATCCAGTCTATCATTGTTGGACATTTGGGTTGGTTCCAAGTCTTTGCTATTGTGAATAGTGCTGCAATAAACATATGTGTGCATGTGTCTTTATAGCAGCATGATTTATAGTCCTTTGGGTATATACCCAGTAATGGGATGGCTGGGTCAAATGGTATTTCTAGTTTTCGATCCCTGAGGAATCGCCACACTGACTTCCACAATGGTTGAACTAGTTTACATTTCATATAAATGTAATCATACAATATATTGTCTTTTGTGACTGGCTTAGCCTAAGATTTTCAAGGTTCATCCATGTTGCATCATATATCAGTACTTCATTCCTTTTTTTTTTTTTTTTTTTTTTTGAGAGAGAGAGAGTCTCACTCTGTTGCCCAGGCTGGAGTGCAGTGGCATGATCTTGGCTCACTGCAACCTCCACCTTCCAGGTTCAGGCAGTTCTACTGCCTCAGCCTCCCATAGCTGGGGTTACAAGCATGTGCCACCATGCCTGGCTAATTTTTGTATTTTTTAGTAGAGATGGGGTTTCATTCACCATGTTGGCCAGGCTGGTCTTGAACTCCTGACCTCAAGTGATCCACCCACCTTGGCCTCCCAAAGTGCTGGGATTACAGGTGTGAGCCACCATACCCGGCCTCATTTCTTTCTATTGCTGAACAATATTCCATTGTATGGATATGCCACATTTTGGTTGTTCATTCATCAGTCATATCCAATTTTCTCTGTTATGAACTTCTGTGTGTAAATTTTCACGTGGACAAAGGTTTTCATTTATCTTGGGTATATACCTAGGAATGGAATTGCTAGGTCATATGGTAACTCTGTTTAACTTTTTTTTTAAAAGAATAAAAGATATAATTATATAATTAACATACCATAACACTCACCCTTTTAAAGTATACATTTCACTGATTTTTAGTATGTTCACAAGGAGTTGTATAACCATCACCGCAATAAATTTTAGAATATTTTCATCACCTCAAAAAGAAATCCATACCCATTAGCATTCACTCCTTATTTCCCCTCAATATATGTTCCTCACCTCTCATCCTAGGCAATAACCAATCCTCTGTCTCTGCAGATTTGCCTATTCTGGGCATTTCATATAAATGGAATTATACAATATGTGGTCTTTTGTGACTGGCTTCTTTCACATAGCATAATGTCAAAGTTCATCTATATTGTAGCATGTATCAGTACTGAATTCTGTTTTATTGCCAAACAATCTTCCATTGTATGGAAATACCATGTTTTTATTTATCCATTCATCCCTTGATGGACATTTGGGTTGTTTTCATTTTGGGTTATTATGAATAATGCTGCTATGAACATTTGTGTATGTTTTTCTGTAGACAAGTTTTCATTTCTCTTGAGTGTATACCTATGAGTGGAATTGCTGGATCATATGGTCACTCCATGTTTAACCTTTTGAAGAACTACCATCACACTGTTTTTCAAAGCAACGACATCATTTTTTGTTCTCACCAGCAATATATAAGGGTTCCAGTATCTCCACATTTTCACTTGTTACTTATTTATTTTTCAAACTCCTGGGTGCCATCAGATTTGCTTGTTATTATGCCTTTTTAATTATAGCTATCCTAGTGGGTACGAAGTGGTATCTCATTGTGGTTTTTATTTATATTTCACTGATGGCTAATGATGTTGAACATCATTTCATGTTATATAACTTTTGGAAGAATGTCCTTTCATATCACATTTAGGCTTTGACCCATTTTGAGTTAATTTTTGCATATGATGTGAAGAGTGGTCCAGTTTCTTTTGCATCTGTATATGAGTTATCCCAGCATCGTTTGTTGAAAAGACTATCCTTTCCCCCATTGAATTGTCTTGGCATACTTGTCAAGAAGCAACTGGTCTCTATTCCTTTGATCTATATGCCTTACGCCTTATGTCTTCATTACTGTAGCTTTGTGGTAAGTTTTGAAATTGGGAAGTGTGAGTCCTCCAACTTCGTTCTTGTTCAAGATTGTATTGGCTATTCTGGGCCCCTTTCATTTCCATATGAACATTAGGTTCAACTTGTCAATTTCTGCAAAAAAGCCAGCTGGGATTTTATAGAGATTTCGCTGAATCTGTAGACCCACTTGGGAAGTATTGCCATCTTAACAATATTAAGTCTTTCAATGTATGAACATCAGATGTCTTTCTTTTTCTTTTTCAAATTTTTTCAAATTTTTTATTTTTATCTTTATTTTATTTTATTTTTTGAGACAATCTCACTCTGTTGCCCAGGCTGGAGTGCAGTGGTGTGATCTCGGCTCACTGCAACCTCTGCTTCCCAGGTTCAAGCTATTCTCCTGCCTTAGCCTCCCAAGTAAGTAGCTGAGACTACAGACACATGCCAGCACACCTGGCTGATTTTTGTATTTTTAGTAGAGACGGGACTTCACCATGTTGGCCAGGCTGGTCTCAAACTCCTAACCTCAAGTGATCCACCCGCCTTGGCCTTCCAAAGTGCTGGGATTACAGGCATGAGCCACCGTGCCCGGCCTCTTTTTTTTTTTTTTAGAGACAAGATCTTGCTCTGTTTCCCAGGTTGGAAAGCAATGGCTGCAGCCTAAACCTCCCAGGCTCAAGCAATCTTCCTACCTCAGCCTCCCAAGTAGCTGGGACTATAGGCATGTACCACCACTCTTGGTTGATTTTTAATTTTTTTTTGTAGAGACGGGTCTCACTTTCTTGCCCAGGCTGGTCTTGAATGCCTGGCCTCAAGTGATCTTCCTGCCTTTACCTCCCAAAGTGCTGGTTTATAGGCATGAGCGACTGTGCTTGGAGTATCTTTCTTTTTATTTAATTCTTTTTTAATATTTTTTGATAATTTTTTTTTAATTTTCAGAGTATAAGTTTTACACTTCTTTTGTTAAATTTATTCCTAAGTATTTTATCCTTTCCAATGCTATTGTAAATGCAATTGTTTTCTTAATTTCATTTTCAATTTGTTTATTGAGTTTTGTAGATCTTGTATCTGCAAACTTGCAGAACTTATTAGTTCTAATAGCTTTTTAAATAGATGCTTTAGGATTTCTGTGTACAAGATCATGTCACCTGTGAATAGAGATACTTTTACTTCTTTCTTTCTAGTCTGGATGCCTTTACTTCTTTTTCTTGCCTGCTTGTCCTGACTAGAAGCGCCAGTATAATGGTGAATAAAAGTGGTGAGAATGAATGTTGTTATTTTGTTCCTGATCTTAAGGGAAAAGCATTCAGTCTTTGTTCTTCATAGGTGCCCTACCAGGTTGAGGAAGTTCCCTTGTACACCTAGTTTGTTAAGTGTTTTTATCATGAATGGGTATTTGTCAAATGCTTTTTTGTCATCTATTGATGTGATCACATGATCACATTATTTTTGTTCTTTAGTCTATTGATATGGTATACTGCATTAATTGATTTTTGAATGTTAAACCAACCTTGTATTCCTAGGATAAATCTCACTTGTTTTTGTTTGTTTAGTGACTTTCCTGGACTGATTCTGTAAACTGGATTCCCTGTAGTTTGCCATCACAGAAGTGTCTTCTCTGTTAATTTAGTGGTTACTTGATGACTGGTCTCAGTTACTTAAATGCCTTGAACCTATACATCTTCCACCATTTGCCAAGAGTTTTGTGTCTGTGTTTGGGCATATGCCTTCAACACTCAGGCACTTTTACAACTCTGCCTTAGCCTTCACTGCTTAAACAGAGTCTCAAAGTCAGCCAGAGATGCAAAATTTATGGCTTTTTAGGTCTTTCCTGAGCATGTAGACAGCCCTATACATTCAGACAACTTTCTAGACCTTCAGAAATATATCTGAACTTTTTAATCCCCACTCCCTCCCGTGGATACCTCATTTCCCAGACCTTTTAAGCTCTTAGCTAGGCTTTTGTTTAACCATGATTATTAAGTTTGGTGTTTATCTTTACCAGATGTTTTTCTGTGCATATGTGTATGTGTGCATATAGTAATATAGTTTTTATATACCTTTAAATATTTTGGCATTGCCTAATTTATTTATTTCCTTTTAACTATACAAGTAATACATGAATAGATTCTCATATAAAAATACAAACAATACAGATGAAGATAAAATCTACCTTGATTTACCACCCAGTCCTAATCCAGAGGTGAACACTTTCATCTGACTGGTGGGTATCATTCAAGATTTTTTCACGTACACATATATTTTTTATTGGTGTTGCTGTGTTTTTAAAGATAAATGTCATCATGCTACACATATTGTTTTTCAACTTGCTTTTATCTCTTCGTGATACAACTTAGATTTTTTGTTTTGTTTTGTTTTAAGAGATGGAGTCTTGCTCTGTCATCCAGGCTGGAGTACAGTGGCACGATCTCGGCTCACTGCAACCTCCGCCTCCTGGGTTCAAGTAATTCTCCTGCCTCAGCCTCCTAAGTAGGTGGGACTACAGGCACATGCTGCCATGCATGACTAATTTTTTGTATTTTAGTAGAGATGGGGTTTCACCTTGTTGCCCAGGCTGGTCTCGAACTCCTGAGCTCAAGCAATCTGCCTGCCTCGGCCTCCCAAAGTGCTAGGATTACAGGCGTGAGCCACCACGCCAGGCCTGAGATCTTTTTTGTATCCCGTGTATATAAGTCTACTTCATTTAAAAAACTGTTACATAGGATTCCACGGTATACAGTCTACCTTGTTTATTCCTATTTTGGTTGACATTTCAGTTTTCCAATTTCTGGCTATTGGAAATTGATGCCTCACTAGATAGCCTTGTACATGATAAACATGTGAGAGTATTCTCTGTTATGTACCTGAAAGAGGAATTGCTAGATTGAAGGGTATACACGTTTGAGTAAATACTATTAAATATTGCACACCAAAATGTCTGCCTCTTTATCCACTCTACCTACAAAATATGATGATGTTTCTCTATACTACTGACAATATTGGATATTATTGACCTTTTTAGTCTTGCCTCTCTTGAATATTGCATGTTATTGGCTATTTCTCTTTCCATTTCTATGAATTGCCTGTTCATACCATTTGCTTATTTTTTCTTCTTTCATGTTGTATTTTTCTTATTGATTTATAGGAGTTGTTTATATATTCTGGATATTAAGCCTTAGTTACATATATTGCATATGTTTTCCTCAGTCTCATTTTTTAACTTTATTGATCTTTTTCATTTGTGCCTTGTGTGTGTTTTTCTTCTTACATATTTTTTCTATTTTTGAATATGTAAAATTGGCTACTTAAGGAGCAATAGCTTTTTTTCTTTTTCAGCCTTATTGAGGTATAATAGACAAAAAAAATTGTAAATGTTTAAAGTAGACAGTGCGATACTTTGATATATGCATAAATTGTGAAATGATTACCACAGTCAAGCTAATTAGCATATCAATCACCTCATGTAGTTATATTTTTCAATATGTTATTTCTTGAAGTAAAATTTATATACAATTGGCCTGGCACAGTGACTCATGCCTGTAATCCCAACACTTGGGGAGGTCGAGAAGGGCAGATCACTTGAGGCCAGGAGTTTGAGACCAGTCTGGCCAACATGGCAAACCCTGTGTCTACTAACATTCCAAAAATTAGCCAAGCGTGGTGGCGCACGCCTGTAGTCCCAGCTACTCTGGTGGCTGAGGCACGAGATTTGCTTGAACCTGCAAGGTGGAGGTTGCAGTGAGCCAAGATCACGCCACTGCACTCCAGGCTGGGTGACAGAGTGAGACTCTTTCTCAAAAGCAAACAAAAAAAATTT
The DNA here is from genome assembly GCF_000001405.40 of Homo sapiens. NCBI lineage: Eukaryota > Metazoa > Chordata > Mammalia > Primates > Hominidae > Homo > Homo sapiens. The sequence goes on from NC_000023.11 coordinate 70,310,064, forward strand.
ATATACAGTAAAATGCGCATACCTTAAATGCTTAGTTTGTTGAGTTTTGCTAGTTATATACATTCATATATCTACCACCAAAAATATCATATAAAACAATTCCATCTTTCCAGAAACTTCCCTTGTGCCCCTTTCCAGTCAATCCATCCTTCCCCCATTCCACTTCCAGCAACCACTTTCTGACTTCTGTCACCATAGATTAATTTTGCATGTTCTTAGACTTCATTACAGTGGGATCTCAAAATGGTTGTGTGTGTGTGTGTGTGTGTGTGTGTGTGTGTGTGTGCCTGGATTCTTTTGCTCAACATAGTGTTTTTTGAGATTTGTTCATGTTCTTGCTTTGATTAGTGATTTTCCTTTGTATTGCTGAGTAGTATTCAATTCTATGATTATACCACTATTTGTTTTTCTATTCTCGTATTGTTGAGAATTTAGGTTATCTCAAATTTTTAGCTATTATGAATAAAGCTACCCTGAACATTTGTATACAGGTCTTTTTGTGAACATATGTTTCCATTTCACTTGGATAAATACCTAGGAATAGAAGAGGGCAAGCGTATGTTTAACTTTATGAGAAAGTGCCTAACAGTTCTCTAACATGGTTTGTATCATTTTACACCCCAGCAGTGTATGAGAGTTCCAGTTTTTTACGTTTTTTTGTATGCTCTGGTACAGTTGATATAACATGGAAATTATCTCTGAAGGTTTCTTGAAGATTTGATTTTCTATATCTTGAGCCAATTCTGGTCATTTATATTTTCTTAGAAAATTGTTCATTTTGGCCAGTCACAGAGGCTCACACCTATAATCTCAGCATTTTGGGAGGCCTAGGTAGGAGGATCGCTTGAGCCCGGGAGTTGGAGACCAGCCTGAGCAATATAGTAAGATCACTGTCTCTACAAAAAATAAAAAATTAGCCAGGCATGGTGGCACATGCCTGTAGTCCTGGCTACTCGGGGGACTGAGGTGGAGGATCGATTGAGCCCTGAAGACCAAGGCTGTAGTGAGCCAAGATCGCACCACAGCACTCCAGCCTGGGTGACAGAGTGAGACCCTGTCCTAAAAAAAAAAAAGAAGAAGAAGAAGAAAAAGAAAGAAAATTATTCATTTTTTCTGATTGCCGAATTTATTAATATAATATTGCAAATAGATTTACTTTATAGTTTTAATCTCCTCTTTATCTGTAGTTATGTCTCACTTTCATTTCAATTGTTTATATATCTTCTGTTTTTTCTATCACATTTGACAGATTAACTCTACCTTTTTCCAATTTTTACTATTACTCTATTACTGAGTTCTTCCTAAGTTGTTTTATTTTGTTTTATGTTCTTTTTATTGCTTCTTGAGTTGAAAGCTGAGTTTACTTCTTTTCTTCTCCTTTTTAAAAAAGCTTTTCAAGCATATACAGAAGAGGTCAGGATGGTATAATGAATGCCTCCCCCAATATACCTGTCATGAAGTTTCAGCAATGACTAATTTATGACCAGTCTTGTTTTGTCTATATAATACCCACTTTCTCCCTCTGATATTATTTGAAACAAATCACGGACATATTGTTTTATTTTTTTCAGTTTGTATCTGTAGAAATTAAGAACTCTTAAAATATAATCACCTAGGTCAGGTTCAGTGACTCATGCCTGTAATTTCAGCACTTTGGGAGGTCAAAGCAGGAAGATTGCTTGAGACCAGGAATTTGACAGCAGCCTGAGCAACATAGCGAGACCCCACCATCTCTACAAAAATAAAAAATAAAATAGCCAGGTGTGGTGGCATATACCTGTAGTCCTAGCTGAGGCAGGAGGATGGCTGGAGCCCAGGAGTTTGAGACTGTGGTGAGCTGTGATTGAGCCACTGCACTCCAGCCTAGGCCATAGAGTGGGACCGTCTCTAAAAAAAAAAAAAGAAAAAAAAATATATATATACACCTAAAAATTAAATTAACAATAATACTAATGCCTTAAAATTACATATCTAGTCAGTGTTCAAATTTTTAATTGTCTTATAGATTTTATTTATTTGGATCAGGATACAAACAAGGTCCACACATTGTTATTGCTCAATAGGCCTTTTAAATGTCTTTTTTTTTTTTTTTTTTTTTTAAGACGGAGTGTCACTCTGTTGCCCAGGCTGGAGTGCAGTGGCATGATCTTGGCTAACTGCAGCCTCTGCCTCCCAGATTCAAGTGATTTTCCTGCCTCAGCCTCCCAAGTAGCTGGGATTACAGGCACACGCCACCACGTCCAGCTAATTTTTGCATTTTTAGTAGAGATGGGGTTTCACCATGTTGGCCAGGCTGATCTTGAACTCCTGATCTCAGGTGATTTGACCACCTCAACCTCCCAAAGTGCTGGGATTACAGGCATGAGCCACTGCACCCAGCCAAGGCCTAAATGTCCTTTAATCTCTAGGTACCTCCTCCATCTTTCTTTACCCCTCAAGTCCCTGGAATTTGTTTATTGAAGAAATCAAGTTGTCTTGTAGAATTTCCCATAGTGTGAATTTTGCCAATTGCATGCCTATATAGTTTCACATGTTTCACTTTTATTCTCTATTTCCTATAAATTGGTAATTCGATCTAGAGGCTTAATCACATTCAAGATCAATTTTTTTCTTTTATTTGCACATACATAACTATGTCTCATTTATTTTCAGTTGTTCTTATCTAAAAAGATATATTTAAAGCTATACATCTCCTCTAACTACCACTTCAATCTAATCTTATAATTTTGAGAAATAGTACTCTTATTGTTCATGTCTAAATAGGATATTTACTCTTTCATTTTCTCTCAAACCTAAAAGTTATTTAGAAGGTGCTTCTGTCTTTCCTTTTATTGTCAATTTCTAATGTATTGCATTATGTTCAACAAATGTATGTGATTTGTGTTTTTTGAAATTTGGCCTATACTTATTTGGTCTTTATTAATATTCTGTTTATATTTTTAAAAAGTGTATTTTCTCTTGGGTGTATAGTTCTATATATACCTATTAGATGAGCTTGTTACTTGTATTATTCAGATCCTCATGTTCTTTTTTTTTACTTAATATGTTATTTTCTCACAGTATGACCAAGAATTTGTCCATTTCTCCTTGTATTTCTTAGTTTATACATTTTATACTTTGGAGCTATGTTGCCAACTGCATAAAATGTCATGACATACGTCTTCTTAGAGGATTATATCTATTTTGTCTAATTAGTATTTCTTCACCTACTTTCTCTTTGTTAGCCCTTACCTGGTATGTTTTCCATCCCTATCTTACAGAAACTTTGTAGCTTGACTTCATTAATTAATTTATCCATTCATTTATACCCAATCTGATGGTCTCTCTTTTTAATTTTTTTTTCTTTTATTAAACTGCTTAGGGATGATGTTCTCTTTTAACAGGTAGTTTTACCCTCTGTATTCGTGTGTGTGTTTGGACTTATTTCTGTCATATCACTGACTATTAGTCTATGGTCCTACTCCTGCTCCTGTACCACAACCAGATACCTTGACCATTGTCCCAGGGCTTCCTTCTGTTTTCCGAATCCACTACCTTCAAGTCTGTAGTACTCCTGCAGTTGCTGCCAACTTTTTATATCAGTTCTCTCCTGCATATTTTTTCTTATGTTGGTCTGATTCATCTGCTTTCAGTCTCTCAAGGATTTTGTGGTTTCTGATCCACCAGTGATGGATTCACAGGAAGTTGGTGGCTTTCCCACTTGGCAGCCTATTCAAAGACTTTTAGGGGCTCTAAAGGAATTTTACTCAATTGCATTAGAGGGTTTTACATACACATTCTGGGTTGCCCATCTTAGCTTCAGAGCTTCAATTTCCTCATTTGTAAAATAGGATTTGAATATATTCTCCAATAGAGTTGTGGGAATTAAGTGAACTCATATTCGTAAAACATTTAATGCAATTCTTAGTAAATAGTAGTCTCTTCATAATTACCAATTCCATCATCTGTGTTTTTACTTGCTCTGAGTGTGGCTAATGAGGAATATAGGGGCTCTACTGATATTTATATACAATCTCAGCTGAACTAAGATCCCTATGAGCTTGCTAAGGTGCTTGTCAACATTTGAGGTAGATTTCGAGGGTGGAAGAAACTTTTAGGGATATGGCTTATACCTGTGGAATTAACTTTTCTTTGGCTACCAAACTGCCATTGTCAAAGGCAAGTCCTCCACTGTTAGAGGGAATCATTTTCTACTTATCAAGAACTAAGAAAGTTGCTAAACCCTCTGGAATATTTTCAGAAGGTGGATATGGCCCGGCAGAATATTGTTACATGTTGCATTACTGTGGATTGGGGGAAAGGAGATGTACCCAAGTGTCAGATTTGACTCGTGAGGCAAAGAAGTTTATGACAGAATCATAGTTGAGTCCTACATCAAGTGGCAGATGCCAAGAGTTGAAGGGAAGCTAGTGAGAAAACAGGAGATAGGTATATAGGAAGCAGACAGCAGATGGAAAGATTTTGGACATGTCAGATTTGGAGTACATATTAGAAAAATCCAGGAAGAAATCAGAAAGTCAGGACAAGAGCTTAGAAGCAACATCTGGGCTAGAGATAAATATTTGGAATCCATGGGTAGGAGAGTTGTGCAGAGAAAGACTGGACAATCAAAGAGCCACTAGTAAATATTAAATAATATTAGTAAATACTAAATATGAGCGAGGGGCACTCATATTTAAGGGCCAAGGGTAAATGAGTCAATAAGAGAAGCTGAAGAGACACTGGAGGATCATAGTATCTAGATAACCAAGGGTTTTTATAAACAAAAAGGACTGTCACCTGTGTCATATGCTTCAGTGTGATTACTGAGAAGAGGTAAATAGATTTGTCCGTTGAGGTTTTGGGTGATCTTTGTCAGAGCAGTGTCGGTCGAGTGGTAAGGAATTAGGACAGGTTGTATCAAACTAAGGGGTGAATTTAGCCACCATTCTAAATGTGGTGTTTATCCTTTCCATTAATTTCTTTATTCTTATATCCTTTAATGATATGTAGTGACATTTTGCATGTTTCTAAACTTAATGTAAGGGGTTTCATGGTATATGTGTCTTCTGAAACTGATTTTTTCCCTCAACATTATGTTCTTGAGATCAATTCATCTTGATAATATAGCTCTGTTCTAACAGGTTTTGTTAACTAGAGGCTTGAGTTTTCTTGGTATCAAATTGTATCAGTAAGAAGAAAGTTACCTCTGCCAATATTTATTCCTTTATTTAATTCTCTTATGTTTCTTAGCAATGAGAAAAATGTCAGCAGATATACCCTGGACTAGTAAAGTTGCTTTCCTCAGGGGAATCTAGTTTCTGATTTAAATCAGAATGGTTTTAATGTTTTATTATTTGGAATGATAATTGCTATTGGTGTTGGTAAATGGTATTTAATTCTCTTAGTTCTAAAGTCTTTTTTAAGTGCAAATTGTCTGTTTCATTCAGCAACTCTATTCATTAAAGTCCTGTTCTAAGTGTTCTGCATGTTCTTTTTGGCTTCTGGGTCCCTTTAGGTGTATTGTTATTTTCCTTGGTCTGCTCTCTGGGACTGAAGTCTAATGCTGGAGTATCTGAAGTCATAGCAGCCCAGTGAGTGGGAAAAGCACAGTGGTTTCTGCCCATGAGCTAGCAGGCGTATTGCCAGTCAGCTTGTCAAACCCATGAGGAGGCATCAGGAGGAGGCCTCTCTGTACTCTTGTTTCCTTGTGCTTTCTTAGTCTCAAGGTAGAGAGGACCCAACCCATCTCATTGTTTTCTTAGCATTTTCAGATGGGGAAACCTGGCACACTCACATAAGCAGTATTGACTTTCCCCCTAGGAGTTCAGAGTGGTATGGGCGAAGCCTTTGCCACAGACCATGTTTCCATCCTTGCACTTTGGCTCTGCTACACCACACTCTTAGCCCAGGGCTTTTCTCTGTTCCAGAGATGAAAAATTCTACATCACCCCTTACTCTCAGGTCTCAGACCCATCCTGCAACCTACTTTTTTGGCTGGCCCCAGCACCTACTTGGCTTAAGAACAGTCAATGAATCAGGTTTGGGAATAGAGGCGATTTGGAATATTTTCAACTTACTATCTTCCCAAAATTCATGTACCTTTTAAAAATAGATGCTACCAAACTCCCATGAAGGAATGATGAGATTATTCATTTTCCTAAATTCTCTACTAAGTATTATTACCAATTTGATAAGTGAAAAATGGCATGTCACTTTCATTTCTGTAGTTATTAGTGAAGTTGAACATACTTTTATATTTATAGGCCATTTATATTCCTGATTAAATTACCTATTCAAAGTATTTCTCTTTAGTCAGTGTGAGTGCTGTACATTTTCTGTTAAGTTTATCCCTACTTTTTGTTGTGATTTTGAATATAAAACATATTTAGGCCACTGCCAGATAGATTATAAATAGATTACAGATGGATAATAGGTAGATTATTCAATTGAAGTATAATATACATATTACACATAAATATATATTACATATACATATTATGCATATATGTATATTGCATATACATATATGTGTATTACATACATATTATGTAATATAATGATATCAAGTCATCATTATACAGTTCAACGAATGTTCACAATATGAAATACATACATGTAAATAGCACCCAGGTGAAGAAACAATATTCTAAGCATCCCAGAAGTGTCACTTGTGCTCTCTTCTAGTCACTGTCTTCCCCAAAGAGTAACCACTGTCCAGACTTTTAGTCCTAGATTAGTTTTGTAGTATGGACTCCTTCATGTCTGACTTCTTTCACTCAATGTAAGATCTCCAGAGAAAATACAAGATGCCTAGATAAATTTGAATTTCAGATAAATGACATCATTTTGTATGGAATATACCTATATTAGAAATGATTCATCATCTATCTGAAATTCAGATTTAACTGGATGTTCTATATTTTTTTTCTTTTACCAAATCTGATAACCCTAACTCAACATTATGCTTGTGAGGTTCATCCATAGTATTGCATGTAGTTGTAGTTTGTTTATTTTTCATTACAATATAGTATTCCACTGATGAATGTACCACAATTTATCCTCTTTACTGTTGGATGGGCATTTGGGTAATTTCCAGTTTGGAGTTGCTTTGAATAATGCTATGAATATTCTTGTACAGGTATTTTGGTGAATATACGTACCTAAATTCCTTTAATCCTGAATCCTCCTGTAACTACTGTCCTATCTCCTTCCCTTTAGACTCAAGCTTCTCAAAAAAGCTTACACTGCTTAGCAATACATGTGATTAACTCTTAGTTTCACTTCTTTGGTGAGACATAGCATACATACAGAACATTGCATAAGTTATGTCATGTATCTAGTTTAATAAATGATTATAAAGTAAGCATCTATATAACTACCACTCAGGTTGAAAACAAAACACTTCCAGCACCCATGCATACCCCTCCGAGATCATGATCCCCTTCCTTCTCTCTCCAGGTATCCATTCTTCTGACTTTTGTGATGTCAATTCCCTTGCCTTTTTTTTTTTTTTTTTTTGAGACAGGGTCTCGCTCTGTTGCCCAGGCTGAGTGCAGTGGCACAATCACAGCTCACTACAGCCTCAACCTCCTGGACTCAAGCAATCCTCCCTCCTTAGCCTCCTGAGTAGCTGGGACCACAGGCACATGCCACAATTCCCAGCTAATTTTTAATTTTTTCTAGAGTTGGGATCTCCCTATGTTGCCCAGGTTGGTCTTTAATTCCTGGGCTCAAGCAGTCCTCCTGCCTTAGCCTCCCAAAGTGTTGGAATTACAGGCGTAAGCCACCACACCTGGCCCCCCTTGCTTGCTTGCTTTTCTTTTCTTTCTTTCTTTCTTTTTTTTTTTTTTGAGATGGAGTCTCACTCCATTGCCCAGGCTGGAGTGCAGTGGCGTGATGTTGGGTCACTGCAACCTCTGCCTCCTGGGTTCAAGTGATTCTCCTGCCTCAGCCTCCCAAGTAGCTGGGTTTACAGGCATGTGCCACCACACCCAGCTAATTTTTCTATTTTTAGTAGCGATGGGGTTTCACCATGTTGACCAGGCTGGTCTTGAACTCCTGACCTCAGGTGATCTGCCTGCCTCGGCCTCCCAAAGTGCAGGGATTACCGGCATACACCACCATGCCCGGCCTCCCCTTGCTTTCTTGATAGCAATGCCACCTGTGTATATATCTCTAAATAGCATAATATAGTTTTGTCTACTTTTAAGCTTTATGTAAGTGGAATTATACTGTTTATAATCTGTTGTGCCTTCATTCTTCCATTTAAAATGATATTTGAGAGATTCATCTACTACATTACATACAGCTGTAGTTCATTTCTTTTCATTTTTGTATAGTAATCTATCATTTGTCTGTACCACTATTCTTTCTACTTTTGATGGATATTCCATTTTTTTCCAGTTTTTGGCTATTGTCAACAACGCCCATATGAACCTTCTTGTTTGTGTATCCCAATGCATATGTATAAGAATTTTCTAGGATATGTACCTAGAAGTAGTATCACTGGGTTATAGAGTACATATATACCAAACTATCTTTCAAAGTTTGTTTCAATGTATGAGAGTCCTAATTGCTCTATATCCACTGTTTTGTGAGAATTTTAAATTTTTGCCAATATAGTAGATGTGGAGTGATACTTTATTATGGTTTTAAGTTTCATTTCCTCAATTACTAATGGGGTTGATCACCTTTTCATATGTTTATCGACCATGTGTATTTTCAGTTAAATGCCTGTTCACGTCTTGCTCATTTTTCTATTAAATGTCTTTTTCCTACTGATTAAAAGTAATTCTTAATATACTATAGATTCTAGTTATTGGTCAGTTATATTTATTGCAAATCTCCCCACCCTGTGTGTTTTGCACATATCTTCTCCCTCCTCTCTGGCTTGTGTTTTTACTTTCTTTTTAATTTTGTGTCTTAAGAAATCCTTTAGGCCGGGTGTGGTGGCTCGCGCCTGTAATCCCAGCACTTTGGGAGGGCGAAGCAGGCGGATCACAAGGTCAGGAGATGGAGACCCTCCTGGCCAACACGGTGAAACCCCGTCTCTACTAAAAATACAAAAATTAGTCTGGCGTGGTGGCGGGCGCCTGTAGTCCCAGCTACTCGGGAGGCTGAGGCAGGAGAATCACTTGAACCCGGGAGGCAGAGGTTGCATTGAGCCGGGATTGCACCACTGCATTCCAGCCTGGGCAACAGGGCGGGACTCCGTCTCAAAAAAAAGAAAGAAAGAAAGAAATCCTTTAGTACCTCAAGATCTTAACGATATTTTTTCTATATTATCTAATAAAGGCTTTACAGTTTTGCCTTTCACACTTAAGCCTTTAATCCACCTAGAACTGTTTTTTTTATACATGATATGATGCAGGGTCCAGTTTTGTTTTTCCATATAAATACCCATTTGTCCTAGTACTGCTTATTAAAAAGTCCGTTCTTTCCCTACTGATAAGCAGTGCCATTTCTTTCATATATTAAGTGCCCAAATATCCCTTAGTCTGTTTCTGAGTATTCTATTAAATCAAAATTAAATCTGAGTGTTTTTCCCTGTAGAAGTCTTATACATCTTTTGTACTATTCTTACGTAACTTGTATTTTGACAGTATTGCAAGTGATATTTTTAAAACTTTTTATTGAAGTATAATGTGGAAATAGAAAAGTAGACCTACCATAAATGTATAGCTTGCTGCATTTTCACTAACTGAACAAACCCATGTAACCAACATAAATAGAATCTTTAAAAATTATATTTTCTAACTTTGTTTTTTGTGTGTGGAAAATAAAATGTGTTCTTTAATATTGATTTTGTATCCTGCAACCTCATTCACTCTCTCAGCAGTCTGTCTTTACCCACCTTGCCAAAACCACTATGTAAGAGATATCCAGGGATATCTTAATTACCAGAACTAATTTTTTTTCAGTGCCCATCTTACCCAACCTCTCTGTGGCATTAACACTTGAAAATACTCTTTTTGAAACTCTTAATTTGGCTTGTAAAGCCTCACTGTCCTAGTTCTTTTCCTAGCTCAAACTGTTACTTTTCAATCACTTTTGCTTTTTCTTCTTGCTGATCCATTAATCTAATTGCACCCAGCATGATCTCCCCAATTAGGAATGAGTACCCATTACCTGCTGTTAGTTCTTCCTTAGCACCATGGTAGAGATGCACCCACTTCCAGTCTGTTCCTGCCACCTCTACAAAGTCCATGCCCTCACCTGCACATCTGAACTGTAGCCTTCTAACTTTTTGACTCCTAGAAGGCATTCTATTCTAAATACCATAGCTAGGTTAATCTTAAAATACCCTTTGATCAAAGGGATACATGTACCGCTATGTTTATTGCAGCATTATTCACAATAGCAAAAATTTGGAATCAACCTAAGTGTTCAACAGATGAATGGATAAAGAAAATGTGGCATATATACACAGTGGAATACTATTGGGCCATAAAAAAGAATGAAATCCTGTCATTTGCAGCAACATAGATGGATATGGAGGCCATTATGTTAAGTGAAATAAGCCAGGCACAAAAAGACAAATATTGCATATTCTCATTCATATGTGGGAGCTAAAAACAAGGGTATAATGGACATAGAGAGTAGAATGATAGTTACCAGAGGCCAAGAAGGGTGTGGGAGTGGAGGCCGAGGGGAAGAAGAGAGAGGTTGATTAATGGGTATAAACATACAGTTAGATGGAATAAGTTCTAATGTTTGATAGCAGAGTAGGGTGATGAGTGAACAGCATTGTACTATACATTTCAAAATAACTAGAAGGGAGGAATTGAAATGTTCCCAACACATAGAAATTATAAGTGCTCAAGGTGATGGATGCCCTAAATACCCTGACTTGATCATTACAATTTCTATGCATGTAACAAAATATCACCTATATCCATAAATATGTACAAATATTGTGTATCAATAAAAATACATAAATAAATGAATTACATATGTAGCTTTAAAAATACCACCTTTTACATGGCATCTCACGTAAATAGAACTTTGAAGTAGCTGCTTACAAGATGAAGTCTAAAAAACATAGCCAAATCTTCCAGACCCTTTATACCCTGGTCCCAAGCCTACCTCCTCGACCATCTTTCACAGCTTCCCTACCCACACTCCATGCCAGCTGTCAGGTCCCCACAACATGCCCAGCTAATTCTGGTCTTTGCACACTTTCATCACAGCCATCTCCTCTTCTCCCAGAATGTAGTGTGTGCCCCCCAACACACAATCAAACCATCTACAACATAGCCACGTTTTAAGACTCAACTTAAGTGTTGGGGTTTTCGACATTGCCTTTTTTAATCATGTTATCTTCTAATGTATTTTTTTCTCCTCTGAGATTTCTCTAGTACCACAGGACTACATTGTCATTTTCTGGTGCCTCTGTATTTCTAGCTTCATCTCCCACCATTTTCCCACAAACTACAAGGTTCCAGCCATAGCAGTCTACTCATTGTTTTTCCAAACAGTTCTGTTGTTTCAGATCTCTGTGCCATTACTCCTGTGTGTTTTCTGCTGGATTTTCTCCCCACTGCCTCAGAAACATGGTTCTGTCAAGTACTCCTGCTCCTCCTGTTTTAACTTCTCCCTCTCAACTGACTTTCTGCCCTCAGCATAGAAGCATACTAATATTTCCCCAACTTAAAATAAACAAAATATTTCATCCTCCTCTTACTACTGCTCTCCTCCCTTTTCCTTTCATTCTACATTTTTGTCACCCCTCCATCCTCCTCCCATTGAAACTATCCCTTTTGAAGTCAACTCATGACCTGAACAACTGAATCCATTAGGCTCTTTTCAGTCCTCCACTGACTTGGTAATTCTGCAGGTCTGACATCCTGCCCCTTCTTCTGGACAATCTCATTCCTCTTGACTCTGTGATGCTACCCTCTCCTGATTTTCCTCTCACTTTTCTGAAGACTCTTTCACAGGCTTCTCCTCTTCCACTCACCCCTATCTGAAACATAACCCAGGCTTTGTCCTGGGATATTTTCTTTCTCTTCCCACTGTTCATGCCCATCACCCTGTCACCCTCCCCCCCCAAAGTGGTTTCACCCACTTAGATGCTTATAATTCCTACCTGTATGCTGCCAATCCTAAACCTCTATCTCGAGCCCCTATCTCATAAGTCATATTTAAGTATGTAAATATAGTTGACTGTGGGGAGTCTTATGGATGTCCCACATGTATCTCCCATTCCACATGTCCAAAACTGAGCCCCTCATTCCTCCCTGTTGCTGTTTTTTTTAATTTATTTTATTTATTTATTTATTTTTGAGACAGAGTCTCACTCTGTCGCCCAGGCTGAAGTGCAGTGGCGCAATCTCGGCTCATTGCAAGCTCTGCCTCCCGGGTTCACACCATTCTCCTGCCTCAGCCTCCTGAGTACCTGGGACTACAGGCGCCCACCACCACGCCCGGCTAATTTTTTGTATTTTTAGTAGAGATGGGGTTTCACCGTGTTAGCCAGGATGATCTCGATCTCCTGACCTCGTGATCCACCCACCTCGGCCTCCCAAAGTGCTGGGATTACAGGCGTGAGCCACCGTGACTGGCTCCCTGTTGCTTTAAATGGGTCCCTCCATCACCGGCAGTGAATAATATCAATATCCACCCAGTCACCCAAGACAGAAACCAGGGCATTGTTCTATGCTCTTTTTTTTTTTTTTTTAATCTGGCTCCTTTCCCCAATCTCATTAGTCACTGAGACCTGTCAGTCCTAACTTTTCATCTTTTACTTCACTCTCTTTTCTCTAACCCTACTACCACTATCTTATGTCAGGCCCTCATCATTTTTTTGATTATAGCAAGAACTGGTCTCCCTGTCTTCAGTTAGGTACCCTTTCAAGCCATTAACCAATCAGCAGCCAGAGTATTCTTCCTAAACTGTTTCTCGCTGCTAAGAGCTCTTCCAGAGCTCCTCAGTTTGCACCATGCTGCCTCCTTAAGGCCTTTTTGCTCTAGCCATCCCTCCCTGGCTAGCTTTTCCTCTCCCCACTCTTTCCTTGCAATCTGCTTAGCCATACTGAGTGTGCCTCGTACTCTCTCATCTATGTGTCTTTCTGCATTCTGTTCTCTCTGCGAAATTGCCTTCCCTCTATCTTCATGTGGCTCATTCAAATTTGCGCTCAGTCCCAACTTCATCCCCTTAAAGAAACTTTGTTTGACCATCTCACTTCCCCCAAAGCGGATTAGGTACCCCTCATCTAGTGCTTACCTGTCTTCCACACTAACACTGCCCCAGCCGTGTATTACAGTCATTTCCTTAACTACCTGACTCCCCCAGTAGACAGCAAGCCAATCAAAGGCAAGAACTGGGTCATATTCCTCTTTGAATCCCTAGGCCCCAGCATAGCACCTGACATGCCATAGGTCCTCACTGAATGCCTGAGTTCTTTCTCCCTTTTGGTCTGCCTGGCAACTCCTACTAATATTTCAATTCACAATTCATATGTTACCCACCTATGAAACCTCTGCTCTTGGTCAAGATCTTTCCATAAATTCATGCTCACATAGTGGGTTTTCTCTAACATTTATTGATAAAAATTTTCAAAGTTACTTCAAGTTGAAAGATTTTACAATACCCCTATACCTATAGTAAAATTAACATTTTACTATATTTGCTTTATCACAAATCTGTCCATCTATCCATTTGTCAGTCTATATCCATTTTAAAAACACATTTTTAAGTAAATTGCACAAATTAATATACTTCCTCCTAACTACTTCAGCTTACATATCATTAACTGGCATTTAATATTTATTTATTTATTTATTTATTTATTTATTTATTTATTTGAGACCGAGTCTTGCTTTGTCGCCCAGGCTGGAGTGCAGTGGCGCAATCTTGACTCACTGCAACCTCCACCTACCGGGTTCAGGCGATTCTCCTGCCTCCCAAGTAGCTGGGACTTCAGATGTGCACCATCACGCCTGGCTAATTTTTGTATTTTTAGTAGAGACAGGGTCTCACCATGTTGACCAGGCTGGTTTTGAACTCCTGACCTCAGGTGATCTGCCTCGGCCTCCCAGAGTCCTGGGATTACAGGCATGAGCCACCATACCCGACCAATATTTATATTCTTAATATAAGATGTACAATGAAAAGCACAAATTTTAAGTGTGTATTAGCTGGGTTTTGACAAATGCATTTACCCAAAAGCCTGTAACCCAAAGCCTCATCAAGATAAAGTTACCTCTTTGTCATAGTGTTCTTTCTTTTCTTGTAATTATTTAATTATCTGTTTCCCCCATTAGACTTTGAGTTCCTTAAAAGCAGAGACCATTTCTTATTTTCCTGCTACCTGTGCCCCGCACTGTGCCTTAACACAATAGGTATTCTATAACTGTTGTCTGGCTAGAAGAATAAATATGTACTTTATTCCTGGAATATTAGTATGCGACTTTATACATTCTCTTCTCTCACCTTTCACATCCAGAAGTTAGCTTAGTCATGTCATGTTTATGCCTTAAGTACTTCTGACTTCTACATCCTTCATTCCTTTTCCACTGCTGCAGTTCTCAGAGATCTGTCATCTGAACCATTAAAATAACCTTCTAAATGGTTTCTTTCTTTTTTTCAAAGTTTTAAACTTTTTATTTGCACATTTTAAAAATTATGCATTCTAGTAAATAAAATCATTTGAAAAAAAAAAGAATGGTAAAGGGTTTTTTAAACACCAATTTTTTACTCCCAAGTCCACCTTCCAAATGAGTAACAAAGTAATACTTATATTTATTTTTCTTGAGACAGGGTCTCACTCTGTCGCCTAGGCTGGAGTGCAGTGGTGTGATCACGGCTCACTGCAGCCTCAACCTCCTGGGCTGAAGCCATCCTCGCACCTCAGCCTCCCGAGTAACTGGAACTGCGAGTGTATGCCACTGTCCCCAGCAAATTTTTGTATTTTCTGTAGAGACAGGGTTTTGCAGTGTTGCCCAGGCTGGTCGTGAACTCCTGGACAAAGTAATACTTATAAAATCCGAAGTTGGTCATGTTTCCATCCTCTTTAAAACCTTTTATTTGTTTCCCATTGTCTACAACAGATTTTAATCTGCCTTCTTTTAAAAGCATAGGAGCTTTTTAAAAAATAAAACCTTACAACAAATTCTAACATTTGAAATAGATTTAAAAACATTTTAAATTCATGTAAATTTATAAGTTCAAATGTATAACATTAAGTCAATATTAAAGCCATAAGAATATTATAGGTATGTTTATGAGCACAATTTCTTTGTTTTTTTCTTAAGACAAAATCTCACTGTCACCCAAGCTGGAGTGCAGTGGCACAATCTTGGCTCACTGCAGCCTTGACCTCCCAGGTTCAAGTGATTCTCCCACCCCAGCTTCCTGAGTAGCTGGGACTACAGGTGCACACCACCACGCCCAGCTAATTTTTGTATTTTAGGTAGAGGTAGGATTTTGCCACGTTGCCCACACTGGTCTAGAACTCCTGGGCTCAAGCAATCCACCCGCTTCGGCCCCCCAAAGTGCTGGCATTACAGACATGAGCCACCATGCCTGGCCATTATTATTCTTTTTTTTAATTTCAATAGTTTCAGGGTATAGGTGGTTTTTGGTTACATAGATAAGTTCTTTAGTGGTGATTTCTGAGATTGTAGTGTGCCCGTCACCTGAGGAGTGTATACTGTACCCAATATGTAGTCTTTTTTCCCTCACCCCCATCAAACCTCCCCCTGGCCTGAGTCCCCAAAGTCCATTATGTCATTCTTATGGCTCTGTGTCCTTGTAGATTATCCAAGTTTTTCTACTCCATTAATAATAACTTAAATATAGATAGCCCTTTACAAATCACATTTGATTTTTATCCCAGTCCCATTAGGTAAGATCGGTATTTTCCCTGTTTTATGGATAAAAGAAAGTTTCAGTGGCTAGTTCAATATTATACACATTGGTGAATGGCAGAGGCAGAATTTTAACTAAGATTCTCTCTCTCCTAATGAAGTGCCTTTCCTACTCTATCCCCTATCGCTGGTTGCCTCTATATGTTTTGTGATCCATTTCAGTAACAATCATTCCCTTTCTCTTTGACCAGGCAGACCATCTATCATACCATACTTCTGTTTTTCACCCTAATTTACTCAGCCATTCTACCTGCTTTAGGCCCATACATATTTTCTTCACACGTAGAGCAGGGTTTCCCAGCTGTGGCACCGTTAATATTTTGGATCAAATAATTGTTTACGGGGAAGGAGGCTGTCCTATGCATTGTAGGATGTTTTACAACATCTTTGGCCTTTACCCGATGAATGCCAGTGGCACACATACCCCACTCCTAAGTTGTGACAACCAGAATGTCTCCAGATATTGCCAAATGTCCCCTATGAAGCAGAATTGCCCCTAGTTGAGAACCACTGCATATAGATCTACATTTCTCTCCTACCTCATTTTTCTTTTTTCTTACAAATATGCTTTTATATTCCAGCTGTAAAACCCATTGTAATGTGCCTCCATGATAGCTGTGAAGTTATATTTCTCTTTTAAAGTTAAAATCTCTCCTTTATTATTTATTTGTTGCCATAGTGAACAAACACCCAAAGGTATTGAGTAGCATTTTTGACTCTCCTTACTTGATCTGTTCTCATTCTTACAGAGAAAACTACTTCATTTTTCTTCATAGCTGTCCTTAATCAGAACTTTTAAGTCTCTGCAAATATGTTCTTCCCCATCTTTGTGATATATATTCCATCTTTGGGAATCATTTATCATTTTAATGTCTTAACAGGAAATCAAATCCTGTTTTGTGGTGATTTATTTCAAGAGAAACATTCATGTCTCTTATCTCCTTTCTATTCTTGAGCCCCAACTCTCATTTGAAGAAGAAGAAAAAAAATGCCCACTTTATCCTTAAGTCTATGGTTCTTGCTTGGATCATTGCCATAGATTCTTCTCAGGGTTTGTCTGGAATTTTGTTTTGCTCCTATATGAAACTATAGATGGAAGTTTTGCTCAGCAGCTTTGAAAAACCTCAGCAGTCTCTCCTTTACATCTAGTTGAGATATGGGCCAATAAAATAGCACAATGTTTTGTTTGGCTAAAAAGAGAAGGAAAAGACAGGAATGGACTAACATAGGATTTAGTACAGGTATTAGCAGGCAGGTTTGATAAATCTCAGCAGGCTTTCCTTCATATCCTAGAGAGGATAAGCAGTACCCATTCCAGTTGGTAATAAGAGGAAAACAAAGGGATAATTGAGAAAATTATTTTTGTTTTAGATTAGGGAGATTTGAGCGTGGGTGTAGGCTGAAAAGAAGGAAATAGTGAAGGAAAAAAATAAGTGGAAGATCTAAGAGAGAGGGAGAAGCTAAAGGATCAGGGTCCCAGAGGAAATGGAAGGAATAGAAACAGAGGCAGAAGGCAGGACCTTGAAAACAAAGGCAGCTATTTCCTCTGAAACAAGGGGAAGGATGAAGGAATAAGTAATAGCAAAAGAATGAATGTGAGGTGAGGAGAGGGGAGGTTGGGGAGCCCTTGTGGATAACTTTCATCTCTATAAAGTATTTGGTGAAATCATCTACCAATAGAAAGTGAAGATAGGTTTATATTCTTAAAAATGATGAGTCTGTATAATAGCTGCCATGGTGAATTAGATTAGTTAGATTAGAAGGTTAGTAAAGTAGGAATGAGGAAGAAAAGATGATCAATTGACCAAGGGTTCAGCTAAGGTTAGGTAGCATGTTTATAGTGGATCTCATCTGTTTGGTTATGCTGTTTCTTCAGTATTGTAGCCTACAAATAAACATACACGCACACAGTTGGTTTAACCTATGGTTGAGAATTGACATGGTGAGAATGGTAGAAGATCATATGTCCAGTGAGTTCTTAGGAAAACGTAATTGAAATTTTCAACCATAGGGTTCAGAGTAAGAGTTGAAGGTCCAGAAGAGGCTGATCTACTGACAGTATTAGAAAGTGTCAGTAAATTGGTAGTCCAAAAAAAGGGTGAAGAACAGGATCCAAAGAAATGGAAGGATAGTAGGATGCAGTCAGGAATTTCGAGTTCAGGATCTCATAAATATAATTGTTTCATGTTCAAAAGATGGCTATATAAAAGGTAGAGTAGAGCTAACAATAATGATACCATTTGTGCTGCTATAACAAAATACCTTAGACTGGGTAATTTAGAAACAATATAAATTTATTTCTTACAGTTCTGGAGACTGAGAAGTCCAGGGTCATGGTGCCAGTAGAATCAATGACTGGTGAGGACAGACATCCTGGCAGCCTCACATGGCAGATGGGGAAAAGGGATAAACGGTGTGTCCCCACATGGCAGAAGGGGCAGAAGGGCAAAAGCAACTAGCTAATTCTCTCCAGTCCTCTTATCAGGCACCAATCCCATCCATGAAGGTAGACATTTCATGGCCTAATGATCTCCTAAACGTCCCACCTCCTAATACTATTGCATTGGGGGCTAAGTTTCAAACGTGAATTTTGGAGGAGACGCAAACATTTAAACTATAGCATGATTTATTTATCATTTAACTTTGCTTCATATATAGTATCTTAATTAATTCCCTACCACAACCCAATAAGGTAGGTAGATTTGCCTCATTTTATAAAGGAACTTAACCCAAGATCATATAACTAGTCAGTGACAGAGCCAGGATTGTAAGCTGTCTATTTTAACACCAACTATGCACTTAACCATTATACTATATAGCTTTTCCACAGTAAGCCTAATAATGGGAAGTTAATTGCTTCAGCAGAACTTCAGAGGTTATTACAGTGTTTAAGAAGTAAACCTCAGAATTAACCAAAGTGGAAAATAATCTTTATCTTTTTTAAAGCTACAGTAGGAAAGGTATTTCACTATGGTATAATGAAAAGAGCATAGGACTTGACTAAAATCTTGAGATAGAATCTCAGGCCTACCATTTACTAGCTGTTTGACCTTAGGCAGGTCATTTAACCTCTGAGCTTCTTTCTTTATCTGTAAAATGAGAATGATAATAAAAATAATGATGATGATATGGTAAAAAAAAACCTGTTCATCCAATTTCACAGCATTAATTTAAAGATTATCATAATGGATATAAAAAGTAAATAACTATACAGATGGTTGTCATGGTGATAGTTATTTATCTATCTGCTTTGTTTCCATGGGAAAGGGCAAGAAGTGCCAGTGGACTCAATCATACATATCCAACATTTGGACCTTTGTCCTTTACTTAAAGAGGCACTCCAAAAAGTGAACAAGATTAAGAAGTTTTCTCAAGATTGATGACTCGATATTTTTATGGGGTCTTTATTTCTTTTCTCTTTCTCAGAAGAAACATAGGTATATGTTGGATGCATTACCAAGCAATTTAAATTTCATTTCCTGCTATTAGGTATTAATATTAACCGAGGCCTCCTATGCTTGGGAAATGTAATCAGTGCTCTTGGAGATGACAAAAAGGGTGGCTTTGTGCCCTACAGAGATTCCAAGTTGACTCGACTGCTTCAAGGTAAGCCCAAAGTGCCTCCAAAAATAAGAGAGTAACTCAAAATGATAGTGCTGAGACAGCAAAGATGAAATAGGTAAAAAGCCAGCTATTTGGACTATGACATACACAGTTGTCTAATTGATAAATACGAGAGAGTGCTGTTGGCAAGCAGGTTTCTAAGATAATGGAAAAATATCTTCATATATGACATTGAGAGCCAAGAAATCTGTAGTGCACCAACTGTACTTTGTACTTTACACCTGAAAGTGAATTTGGTTACTGTTTCTTTAATTATTAGTGCGGCTAAGCAGAATTCCCTGGAGAGTTAAAATCCACCTAGAGGGGGCATCCTAAGAATGTTTAATTCCACTAGTGGCTCCTAACTTACTTAGGCCAGGCCCCAGTTGTTTTAACCTGATTAACTGCTGAAATCACAATCCCTTTTGAGAAAGGGGACACATGCAATAGGATTTAAATGTATATTACATCAGAAATCTTAGATATGTATACATTTCCTATTATTTCAATATAAAAAACACTAAGAACTTTTTCTTATAGCTCTGAATTTTAAGTCACCAACCCGAATGGACGGCTTTGCTTATATCCTACTTGTTTGATTTCATTTCCTTTCGTTATTCTTTATTGTTCTTTTTCAGATTCTCTAGGAGGTAATAGCCATACTCTTATGATAGCCTGTGTGAGTCCTGCTGACTCCAATCTAGAGGAAACATTAAATACCCTTCGCTATGCTGACAGAGCAAGAAAAATCAAGAACAAACCTATTGTTAATATTGATCCCCAGACAGCTGAACTTAATCATCTAAAGCAACAGGTATAAGGGACTTAAAGTTTGATGGGAAAAATTACAAGTATGTGAGTGGAATGATAGAGCTTCTGTTTTCAGTTTCTTCTTTATCAGAAGTTTAGAGATGTTGGTTAGGCATTATGTTTGTTCGGGGACCTCTTAAAATAACTCCTATTAACGTGTTTGCTGTCCATTTAAGATTGGGGGTAGCATTGGAAAGTTCACTGATGAAGAAGTGAGCAGTGAGAGATGAGATGAGAGGTGTAGACAGGGGCTAAATTCTGAAGTTCCTTATATGACTTGTTAAAGAATTTGGAATTCAACCTGAAAGCTATGAAGAGCCATTGAAGAGTTTTAAGTAGGAGGGTGATATGATAAAATGTGTGTTTTGGCGAGATCATTCTAGCAGGTATAGAGAAAATAGATTAGAAGTGGGCATGACTAGAAGAAGGAAAATAAATCACTGCACAAAACAAAGAGAGTTCTAGAGAGAAGAAACATAGGTAGCAAAGTACAGTTGATTCTCGAACAATAGGAGTTTGGTCCAACAAAACACAGATCAAAAATACAGTATTTGCAGGATGAGAAACCCATGTGTAGACTTTTTATACATGTGGATTCTGCAGGGCTGACCGCAGGACTGGACTATGCATCTACATTTTTGTATACGCACAGGGTCCTGGAACCAATCCCCTGCATATACATAGGAACAGCTGTATAGTGGCCAGGAGCACTGACACTGCAATTAGCCCACCCATGTTCAAATCTTAGCTCTATAACTCACTGGCTATGTACCTTGGGCAAGTTCTCTGTGCCTTGGTATCCCTATCTGTACAGTAGAAATAATAATAATACCTTCTTCTTAGGGTTTTTGTGAGGGTTAAATGAGTTAATACATGTAAAGCACTTAGAACAGTACTTGGCTTATAGCAAGTGTTGGAAGGGTCTGAGATAGGACAGAAGTATAGTGCATTTGAAGAACTCAAAGAATGCCAGTGTGGCTAGAGTGTAGAAAGCAAGGAAAGAGTACAGGCTTACCTTAGGGATGTTGCAGGCTTGGTTCCAGACCACCACAGTAAAGCAAATATCGCAATAAAGTGAGTCACACAATTTTTTTTGTTTTCCAGTGCATAGAAAGTTATATTTACACTATACTGTAGTATATTAAATGTGCAATACCATTATGTCTTAAAACAATGTACATACCTTAATTTAAAAATACTTTATTGCTAAAAAAAAATGTTGACACAGAGACATGAAATGAGCATATGATGTTGGAAAAATGGTGCCAATAGCCTTGCTTAATGCAGGGTTGCCACAGATCTTCAATTTGTAAAAAAAAAACCACAGTATCTGTGAGGTGCAGTAAAGTGAAGCACAATAAACTGAGATGTGCCTGTATTCCAGGATGAGGCTAGAGGGAAAGCAGAGGACTGATCCAGGACTCATGGACAATATTAAAAAGGATTTTAAGCCAGGTAGTAACTTGATAATTTACATTTTTAAACAATGGCCTGGCTGCTGTATAGAAATGGATTATAGTAGAGCAAGAGTAGATTCATGGAGACCATTTAAGAAGGTACTGCAGTAGTCTAAGCGAGAGATAATGATGGCTTGGACTTAGAGTGCTGGCAGTGGTGATAGAAAGAAGTAACCAATGAATTAGATAAAGGAATGACACCCAGATTTCTGGCATGTGGAACTGGATATTCACTGACCTGGGTTACACTGGAAAAGGACCAGGTTTGAGGATACCAGACAACTAAGTGGAAATATCAGGTAGATAGTTGAATATAAAAGTATAAAGTTCAGAAAGATCTGTGCTTGAGGTAAATTTGGAAGTCACCAGTTTCAGGTAATAGAAACCAGAGGCAGAGATGAGACATTCAGAAGAGAATATAAGGAGAATGTAAGTAAGAAAACTCCTACTGAGCTTTGGGGGACTTTACCATTTAAAGGACAAGTGGAGCAAAGATGAACCAAGAAAGAGACTTAGAAGATCAGTTAGAAGAATAGAAGGAAAAGCAGGAAAATGTGTCTTGTAAGCCAAATGCTACCAGTCAGTCAGTCAAGTAAAATGAAGACTGGAAAATGCTCACTGGATTTGGTGACATGCAGCTCGTTTGTAACTTGGGCAAGTTATTTCATTGGAACAATGTAGGCAGTCATATTGGAGTAAGTTGAGGAGCAACCGAGTGGCGAGCGAAAGGAAATGGAGGCAATTGGTGTATTATTCTCTCAAACTTTGTGAAAAAAGAGAAAAATAGGGCAAGAGAGATAGGAAGTGGGGTTGGGGAGGATGCTTTTGTTTTTAAGATGGGAGAGACTTGAACATATTTTAATCTGAATAGGAAGGATCTTATAGAAAGGGAGAAATTGAAAATATAGAAGAGAGAAGGGATAACAGTGTAAGATTCATAAGATGGCAAGAAGAGTGGGAATCCAAAGCACATGCAAGGAGACCAGTCTTGGGAGGCAGAACAGCTCCCCTTGTGTCATAGGAGGGAATGGGAGAGGATGCTTACACTTGCGCTCTGGTTTAAGATCCATCTCCATGAAGCCTCCCTTTGACTATTTAGGTTTTTGTTAATTTGCTTATTCTGTCTTGTATTATTTCCTACTATTTTAGACTTCAGGCTTATCTTTCTTAAGTAGATTGTAAACTTGAGAGTAGGGGTCATATTTTATTTTTATATGTCCGTACGTTGTCTAGCCCAGTGCTGAGACTGATTTTCAAAAATAGGTACTCAAGGCCAGGAGCAGTGGCTTACATGTGTAAGCCCCGCACTTTGGGAGGACGAGGTAGGTGGATCAATTGAGGTCAGCAATTCAAGACCAGGCTGGCCAACATGGTGAAACCCTGTCTCTACAAAAAATACAAAAATTAGCTGGGTGTGTTGGCGGGCGCCTGTAGTCCCAGCTACTTGGGAGGCTGAGGCAGGAGAATCACTTGAACCTGGGAGGCAGAAGTGCCACTGCACTCCACCCTGGGCGACAGAGCAAGACTCTGTCTCCAAAAAAAAAAAAAAGAAAAGAAAAGAAAAAAGAAAAATAGGTGCTCAGTAAAAACTCATTAAGATGTAGATAAAATGGACAACTCATCTTCTACTTAATAGTTGTTCATGTAATGCTGATTTTCCTGTTATCATTGGATCATCAACTATGTATGATGCCTTTGGTAGTATCTAAGGTATGCTATCTGCCTTAGATTTCATAGACATTTAGTAAAATTACTTTATTGCTAATTGTGGTAATTTTACTGCCAAGGGTTAAGTAGCATTTGGTTGGTGACTAGCTGATTATTTTTCTTTGCTTCTCCCAGGTACAACAGCTACAAGTCTTGTTGCTACAGGCCCATGGAGGTACCCTGCCTGGATCTATAACGTAAGAGTCATAGATTAATTTGAATTGTGTATTCTAATAGAGGCTATTTTTCCTAATAATAGTTTTTCCCTGGTTTCTGCTAGCACTTGGTGTCACGGTAAGGATCTTACCAATTTTGCTGACTATTTAGGACTTAGTTATGTTTGAAGCAGCCTAATGTAACAGAAAGAGCATGGGTTCTGGCCTCAGAAATTTATTAATTGGAATTCTATTGTGAGGAAGAGCTGTCTCTTCTTCTCCATTTGTTTATTTGACATTTAGTTATATTTGTATAGATTCATGGATATTTATTTTATTCTATGGTTTAACATCCAGTACTATTATTTGTTTTATTGCTCAAATTGTTCCTGCTTTGTCCATTAGGAGCTCCTTCAGGTTGGCTCTTCTCAAGTTTTTGATCATTTCTACAAGAGGTTCCAAACTCATCTTGTATTTTCCCTACCCCAGTTCTGGAATCAACCATGTCTCCAAGGAACCCTAGTTCCTTTCTTTTTTTGTTGATGGAAAATTGTGTTTAGAAGCCAAGATTTGGGTACTAGCGCCAGCTGTGTTTATTGTTACCAGAGTTTTACTGCTTCTAAGCACTCTGAGCAGGTAGAGCTCAGAAATATCTACCTGTGTAGTAACGTACACATACACTTTCATCTATATTTTTGTATATATCTATCTGCATATATATTACAAACCATGAGTTTATACTGACACCTCTGATACCATTCCAATGTGACAGGGTTCATTTTGGCTTTCCCCCTTTCCTTATTTGTAACTTCTTTCTCCAACAGTAAGAAACCCAGCTCTCATCTGCAATCTATTTATTTACTTGCTCAGTTCTACTATACACATAAAGTAGTTTCAGAATTGTTAGCCTATATCCCTGTGGGAAACACTTTCTATGAAATAGATTACAGCATTTATGTACAGTTCTTTTTATCTTTAGGCATAGAGTATCTAAGCAAGATAATGTTTCCCACAGTTACTGTTTGTATTCCCTTTTAGGCACTCTCCCCCTAAATCTTAGTTACTTTTGTTTGTTTATATTTTAGGTATGTGAAACATAATGGATCTAAGAGTCAGAGTTACACAAAAAGATATACTCAGAGCAGAGAAATGCAAATTAAAACCCCAATGAGATATCACCTCATGCCCATTAGGATGGCTACTGTTAAATAAATAAATAGATAAATAACTGAAAATAAAAGGTGTTGGCAAGGATGTGAAGATATAGAGAAATTGGAACCCTTGTACACTGTTGGTGAGATTGTAAAATGATGTAACTACTGTGGAAAACAGCATGGAGGTTCCTAAAAAAATTAAAACTAGACTTACCATATGATCCAGCAATCCCACTTCTGTTTATATATCCAAAATAATTAAAGCAAGGTCTCAAAGAGATGTCTTCACGACCATGTTCATAGTGGCACTATTCACTATAGTTAAGAGGTAGAATAACCCAAATGTCTATCAACGTATGACCTGATAAACAAAATGTGGTATATACATGCAACAGAATATCATTCAGCCTTAAAAAGGAAGGTAATCCTGTCACTTGCTACAACATGGGTGGACATTGAAGATATGCTAAGTGAACTAAGCCAGTCACAAAAAGACAAATACTGTATGATTCCACTTATGTGAGGTATCTAATGTAGTCAAATTCATAGAAACAAAGTAGAATGGTGGTTGCCGGGGACTGGGGGATAGGTGGGAAAGGGAAGTTGTTTAATGGGTATAGAATTTTAGTTTTGCAAAATGAAAACATTCTGGAGATCTGTTTCACAGCAAGCAATGTGAATATACTTAACACTAGTGAACAACACACTTAAAGGTGATTAAGATGGTAAGTTTTATGTTTATATGTTTCCCATGATTTTCCAATTTGTATTTGTATAAATTTATGGGATATAAGTACAATTTTATTATATGGATGTGTTGTGTAGTGGTGAAGTCTGGGCTTTTAGTATATCCATCACCTGAATAATGTACATTGTAACAACTTAGAAAGTTAAATACTGGATGTTCTCACTTACAAGTGGGAGCCAAATAATGTGTTCACATGGACCTAGAGTGTGGAACAATTGACATTGGCAACTAGGAAGCATAGGAAGTTTGAGGGGAGTGGGTGGTGAGAAACTACTTAATGCATACATGTACCACAATTTTTTTCAAAAAGGAAAAAGGATATACTCAGTGAGGTAAATGTCATTCCCTCTCCATCCCTGCAACTCTGTTCCCATTCCTATTTCCCACCCTTATTTCTACCTCTTTTCTACCATTATTCTCGCTACGCCTGTATTTAACCCATCTCTTTAGTTTCTGGTTTAGCCTTCTTGTATTTCTTTTGTACAAATGAACAGATACCTGTGTATTTTATTATATCACCTTTTTTTCTCATATGAATGGTTGGGTACTGTATGTAATGATTGTATACTCTTTGTAGCTTTGCTTTGTTCAGTATTTCCTGGAAATCATTTCTTACCAGTTCAGAGAAGTCTTCCGCATTCTTTTTTGCAGGTGCATAGTACTTTTATTGTGGACATGTGCCATACATATCAATTCACCCCCCTTCCTATGTATGCACATTTAAGTTGTTTCCAATGTTTTGCAATTAAAAACATGCTGCAGTGAATAACCTGTGTGTATATATTTTTGTATTGTCAGAGGTTTATCTTAAGGGTAAATTTCTAGAAGTGGGATTGCTGGGACAAAAGGTAAGTACATTTCTACCTTTATAAGGTATTGCCATATTTGCCTCCAGAAGAGATGTACCAGTTTGCATTCCTACCAGCAGTGTATGAGAAAGCCTGTTTCCCCACAGCCTCACTAATGGAATGTATTGTCATACTTTTTCAATTTTTGGCAGTCTGATAGGTGAGAAATGCTATCTCAGTGTTGTTTTACTTTGTATTTCTCGTATTATGGGTGAATTTGAGCATTTTTTCATATGTTTAAGGGCCACTTTTATCCCTTTTGCTGGTGAATTGTCCATGTCTTTTCTCATTTTTCTATTGGGTTTTTTGGTCCTTTGGCCTCTTTTTAAAAATAAATTGTGGTAAAATATACATAACATAAAATTTACCATTTTAATTATTTTAAGTGTACAATTCAATGGCTTTAAATTCATTCACAATGTTGTGCAGCCATCACCACCATCCACCTCCAAAATTTTTTTCATCTTGCAGAACTGAAACTCTATACCCACTAAACAATAACTCCTCATTTCCTCTCTCCTCAGTCCCTGGCAACCACTATTCTGCTTTCAGTATGAATTTGACTACTCTAGGTACCTCATATGAATGGAATCATACAGTATTTGTCTTTTCATGACTGACTTGTTTCATTTAGCATAATGTCTTCAAGGTTCATCCATGTTGTAGCATGTGTCACAATTTCCTTTGATTTTAAGATTGAATAATATTTCATTGTATTTTGTGTATCCATTCATCCATTGATGGACACTTGGACTGCTTCCATCTTTTGGCTATTGTGAATGATGCTGCTATAAGCATGGGTGTACAGCTAGGTGTGGTGGTGCATGCCGAAGTCCCAGCAACTCAGTAGGATGAGGCAGGAGGATTGCTTGAACCTAGGAGTTCAAGGCTGTAGTGTGCTAAAATAGCACCTGTGAATAGCCACTGCGCTTCAGCCTGTGCAACATAGTAATATTCCGTCTCTTTAAAAACAAACAAACAAAAAAACATGGGCCAGGCGTGGTGGCTCATGCCTGTAATCCTAGCACTTTGGGAAGCAAAGGTGGGCAGATTGCTTGAGCCCAGGAGTTTAAGACTAGCCTGGGCAACATGGCGAAACCCTGTCTCTACAAAAAATACAAAATTAGCTAGGTATGATGGTGTGCACCTGTAGTCCCAGCTACTTGGGAGGCTGAGTTGGGAGGATCACCTGAGCCCAGGGAAGTTGAGGCTACAGTGAGCTATGATCATACCACGCACTCTAGTCTAGGCAACAGAGTGAGACCCTGTCTCAAAACAAACAAACAAACAAAAAACACACACAAAACAAGCAACAACAACAAAAAAACTATGGATGTACAAATGTCTGATCATATCCCTGCTTTCAATTCATTTGGGTATATACCTAGAAGTAAATAGCTAGATCATATGGTAGTTCTGTTTTTAATTTTTAAATCAAACCACCATACTGTTTTCCATAGTGGCTGTACCATTTTACATCTCCACCAGCCATGCACAAAAGTTCCAGTTTTTCCACACCCTCACCAATGTATTTTTTTTATAATAGCAACCCTAAGTTTGGCCCTTATTTTTGACAATTCTTTATATATTCGTGATATTAGCCCTTTGTCTGTGGTGTGTGTTACAGATAATTTCTCTGAATTTATCAGTTGTCTTTTACTTTGTTTATGATTTTTTTGTCATATAAAATGTTATGATTTTTATGTAGTAAAGCTTATTAATTTTTTTATTGCCTCTGGATTTTTTCAGCAGCTTTATTGAGCTAAAATTTACGTACCATAAAATTCAGTCATTTTATGTGTACCATTCAATGATTTTTAGTAAATTTACAGAGTTGTACAACTATCACCACAATTCAGGTTTAGAACATGTCCATCACCCCAAAAAGTTTCCTCATGCCCATTTGCCATCACTCTCATTCCCACTCCCAGACCAAGGCAACCACTAATCTCTTTTCTGCCTTTATAGATTTGCCTATTATAGACATTTCGTATACATGGAATCATAGAGGATGTAGTCTTTTTTTGTCTGGCTTCTTTCACTTATGTTTTGTGGTTCATCCATGTTATAGCACGTGTTAGCACTTCCCTTTCTTGCGTAATAGTACTCCATTGTCTAGATAGGCCGTATTTGTCCATCCATTTACCAGTTGATGGAGGTTTGGGTTGTTTCCACTTTTTGGCTTTCATAAATACTGCTGCTGCAAACATTCACTTGCAAGTTTTTATATGGACATGGGTTTTCATGGGGTAAATGCCTGGGTATAGAATTGGTGGGTCATATGTTTAACTTTTTACGAAACTGCCAAACTGTTTTCCAAAGTGGCTATATCATTTACATTCTCCCCATGCCTCTGGATTCATAGTTAGAAAGCCTTTCTCCACACCAGGGTTAAAAGAGGAATTCAGCCGGGCGCGGTGGCTCATGCCTGTAACCCCAGCACTTTGGGAGGCCGAGGTGGGCGGATCACAAGGTCAGGAGATCAAGACAATCCTGCCTAACACGGTGAAACCTCGTCTCTACTAAAAATAGAAAAAATTAGCTGGGTGTGGTGGCGGGCATCTGTAGTCCCAGCTACTTGGGAGGCTGAGGCAGGAGAATGGCATGAACCTGGGAGGCGGAGCTTGCAGCGAGCCAAGACCACGCCACTGCACTCCAGCCTGGGTGACAGAGCGAGACTCCATCTCAAAAAAAAAAAAAAAAAGAAAAAGAGGAATTCACCCATGTTTTCTTCTAGTAATAATGTCGTTTTATGTTTTACATTTCATTTTGGCATTTGGTATTTATTCTTATGTATGATGTGAGCATACTTTCAATATTTTTGTTTTCAATTATTCATTTTTTTCTGATTATAAAAGTGACTAATTGCTTCTAGTAGAACATTTAGAGAAGTATAGAGAATAAAACTTAAAGTTGCTATAATTTCACCACCCAGAGATGACTACCTCTTTCTTCCTAATTTTCCCCCTTTAGATAATTTAGTCTGGGTTTCCTGATTACATTTTATTCTCACTATACTCATTTAGAAGCAATTGACCCATCTTCCTTTCCTTTCAGTTTAGCACAAAAAGTTCCAGACTTCTGATTGTCTAGAATGTGCTAAAGGAAATAGTTTCAGCTGCAAAAGTAATAGATTCTAAGAAACAGTTGATGAATCAAACAATTAAACTTAATTGTTCAATATTTTACAGAGAAATAAAGATGCTCCTTTTCACAAGAATGTATATTTATATTTTTAGAGACATTTTATAAGGCTTGTTAACAAAAAGTACATTTTACATATATGAATGTTTTCACTTTTTGTCCTTAGATTATTTTCTTTTGTTTTTTAACATGTCATTGAAGCTTTTGTATTTATTTTCTGTGAGTGTCGGTCAATTTGCACATGCTCAGTTTACTTGAATTCCTAGCCTTGGCAATTAAATAGCATGTGAAAACATTGGTTTTCTGTTATATTTTCTTTTTCAGTCTGATTTTTGCCTGGCCCTAGTCCTGTTTTTGCTTTACTTTTAAAGATTTTACCCATTACGTGGCTGTCCTATATCACGTGGTCCTATAATATATCTATAATCTTGCCAAGAACTCTTTTTTTTCCTTATTACTGTGAGAGCTTTTATATCCAGTATTCTCTGCATTCATATAGTACCTATCTCTGTAGTCAGCATGGTAGTTAAGAGCATGGACTCTGAAACTAGACTGCTGAGCTCAAATTTCAGCTTCACATTACCTACTAGCTGTGTGGCTATAGGTTATTTAACTTCTTTGTGCCTCAGTTTCCCTAGTTATAAAATGAGGATAACAGTAGAACTTACCTCATAGGGGCTATTGGGAGAACTTAAAAAATTTAATGTATGTAAAGTATTTAGAATAGAGCCTAGCCCATAATGCTATAGAAGAGTTAACTATTATTAATTATAGTGGTATTTAAATATTCAAGCATTTGCCTCAAATTACAATGAAGAACCTACTTCTATGTGCTAAATTTTCCTTGGAAAAATCAACAGTTAAACTTAAATATGATTTTCCCATTTAGAGAAATCCTGGAAATTTTTTAGGGAAATAAAAAACTATCGAGTTAAAAGTATCATTACTTTGAAGCTTGTCAGCTTACATGAATGACACATGGAAGTTTTCAGTTTAATAAAGAAATAACGAAATAACACTTAAATTTACTAATAGTTTTTTTTATAATCTGCATTTTAATTGAACATTCCTTCATAAGAGTCTTAGTAAATGCTCAACAGTGTAATATGAGACCTTATTGTGTGGCCTTCCTATTAACTTTTGATAAAGTGCCTTCTAAGATCTTCTATAAAAATTGATGGAGGTCTTAAGATGGGTGAGAGGGCATCTACTCTATTCCTGAAGTCCTTTTCTATCCTTTATTGAGATTGAGAACAGCTGTTCCCTGTCCTTTATTTTTCTCTTTTTCATAGCCTTGACAACTATTCATTTTTCCCCTCAGTCTTCTTCAGATCAAATCTTCATATTTCTTCTGATCTTTTTTTAACCAGTCCTGTTTTCCAGTCTTTTGAACATTTCATCCCAGTGGATTAAAACAAAAAACAGCCCTACTTCGTATTGGTCTGCTTTACTAGTCTGGAACTGATATCAAGTGATATGTATACATTCCAAAGTTTCTTACCTATATGTATTCCTTCAAGCTATTTCTGACCCTCCCTTTTCCTCGTATTTGAAATGGACACCATTGTTGTCATGACTCACTCTAAGTAATTTAAAATTAATAGACAAATGAACAAGAGGCTATGGGTCATAAGTTCCAAGCAAAGCAAGCATTTAGAAGGGAGCACTTATTTATAAAGAATTGTGAAATGTTTTCTGAGTGGCCGCTGGTCATCATTTCAACTTTTTGACTTCTCAAATGCTGTTTCCCTAAACTTTACAATAAATGGGAAATATATTTATGTTGATTAGGTTGAATTTTGACCCTGAGCAGTGTCACTTCTACCTCCCCCATACCTCTCCCTTCTCTACTTCCCTAATCTTTAATTAGGGATTGAGGGTGGGAAGAAAAGGGACAGAACATGTATTTTAGCTCCAGTTAGCTATAACTTCATACCTACAGGACACAAACAGAAAAGATCCTAGCCAAGAGCCAAGATAGAGGTTAGTCATTCCTGTTGCAACCGTATCTGGCTCTGAATTATTACCTTTCTCCAAACCACTGAAGTACTTCAGAGATGTGTTTATTGTACATCCAATATTCTACCTGACTAGGAGGATAGATTGGGTTGGACACACTTTTCCCAGACTTTTGTGGTATAATTTTGACCTAATCCCCCTACCTATCCAAAAGGCCTATGGGATATATTTTTATCCACCTTTGATATAGGTATTATCAATCAGATATTTTTCTAATATGTTATTTACTTTGTTTTAGTGTGGAACCATCAGAGAATCTACAATCCCTGATGGAGAAGAATCAGTCCCTGGTAGAGGAGAATGAAAAATTAAGTCGTGGTCTGAGCGAGGCAGCTGGTCAGACAGCCCAGATGTTGGAGAGGATCATTTTGGTAAGCCCCCAAGAATAAACTACTAGCAATCTGAACATTTACTAGCTTTAGTTTCCAGAATATTTAACATGTATCTCATTATGAGAGACAGGTTATATTGAAAGAAATGTATTTGTATTACCATATCCTCCAGGGAGCCCCTCTGGGGTAAATATGTGGGCTTATAATCAAACATACAGAAAAGTTAAAAGAATTGTACAGTGAACACCTATGTATCTACCACAAAGAATCTACATAAATCCCATTTTAAAATAGATTCATTTAAAAATACCAGAAAGTAAAGAACCAAGTACCTCTGTCACCTTAAATCCTGCCTAATCTTTATCCATAATACCAAGTAACCATTCCTTCTCCAAGATTTTAGTTATTTTCCATCTCTCTTCCCCTAATGTTGTCACATTTCATATCCCATACTAACAGCTGCCATGGTGAGATACAACAGCTTGGAAATTAATTTTAATTCATTTTCCATGTGATTGATTTCCAAATAGTGGATCACTATATAACTGATTACACGAGTTCTGACTCCTACTACCTGCTTGTCTGTCAGTAACCTCCTGGATCAGTGCATGCTGACTCTATCACTAAGGTTTTTCTACTAGTCTAAATACAACTCAATCTTTGATAGCACGACTGTTGCCAGAAGCAAAAATAAGTTTCCACCAAAATATAATTGAACCTCTGTAATGTATACACCTTCATGCATCAGTGTGCTCTCTAGTCAAGGAAAGATAAGCTGCTTAAAGATTTCTTTCAAGTGGGCTAAATCCTACGTCCATTGTATTGTCCATTACTAACGGAGGGTGAAAATGGGATATAGGGGATTTTTATATACAGTTTTCTGTCTCCAGTGCTGTATTTATGCTTTGAAGTAACTCTAGAAGCTGTGTTTCACATGTATGTGAATGAGGCTGTTGTAACAGAAACTACTTCTTATTCTATCCACATACTCATCCGACCTTTATAAGGTTGTTACAGTGTCTGCCTGATAGGCTTATTGTTTGATATCCTGTCAGAACTTCATAACAAGCACAACATTTTTGTCCTATATAAACGATTCTTTCCAGATCTGTTATAGTATCCAGCATGTTACAGATACTGTGATTGAAATAAAACTGAAAATATCAATCACCCTTCCCAAAACGTAAGCTGCCTTCTGCTGTTTCTTCTTTCTCTACCATCATTCTTGTGCCGTACCCTTTTTCTTGCTGTCTTTTGCTAAAACTAGCCTACCATATCAAATAGTATAACTTAAAAAAAAAATCTCAGCTCAAATTTAGTGTGAGGCCCTTTTATGTTTTAAATGCCCTTATGCTGGGGCTAGGGAACAGCGTAGTGTAGGAGGCAGTTTAAAGTAAGTGGGGTTTTTTGTTTGTTTGTTTTTTGTCTTTTTTTTGTTTGTTTTTTTTGTTTGTTTGTTTTGCAAACAGCAGGGACTAACATGCCAGGAAATATTGCTTTTTCCCCTCAGTTGCAAAGTTCTCTATGGAATTAAGGCTTCACACTCCACCCCATAGTCTGAGTTTCATGGCAAGCATAAAACCTAGCTGCTCGGATGCTATTTTTAGTAGCTCATGTTGACTGAAGGGCTAATTTCCATGACTCTTTTAAAAAACACATTTTTCACTGAATAACCAAAGCCCACTAAATCCTCTGTTACAGCAAAGGAGACAGCCTCTCTACCTAGCTTTTAATTCATAGGAGTAGGAGAGCATAATTATGTGAGGCTGTCAGGCACCGCCACTGATGATCTCCTGGGTCTTTGTTGCAGACAGAGCAAGCGAATGAAAAAATGAACGCCAAGCTAGAAGAGCTCAGGCAGCATGCGGCGTAAGTTGCCCACCAGATATTTGTTAGCAACCTATAGCATCTTAGTATATAATCGTGGAGCCTCTGGCCTTTGTCATATGAATAACCCTTGGGTTCTTTTTGTTTGAATTTTCAGCTGCAAACTGGATCTTCAAAAGCTAGTGGAGACTTTGGAAGACCAGGAATTGAAAGAAAATGTAGAGATAATTTGTAACCTGCAGCAATTGATTACCCAGTTATCGGTAAGCCAAGTAGGGGCAGTGTAAATAGGCATATCACTTTCATTTGTTTCTCTTGACACATACAAGCCTTTCTAGCTCTGTGCCTTTTGCTGAAACAACTAGATTGTGAGCCGCTTTTGGACAGAGGTCGTGGATCATTTGATATGATCTGAATATTGAGTTTGTTAAAACACTCATAGGTTACATATACAATGCACATTAGTATTTCAGTATTCTAATCAAATAACAGAAGCAACAACATAGCAGTGCAAAATTGCCTAGGTAGCAAGAGCAGCAGTCATTGATTTGCTGTCCTCACAGTGTAGGCTAACTTAAAAAGAGGACTTGTACCATACCCCAATTTTAAATAAGCTAAATTCTGACAGATAGCTTAAGGCAACCAGGGAATACCATAAGCCTCTTTTATAACCAATAATAAGTAAGTTTGAATGATTGTTCTACCATAAGTTCCCATTTTTGTTTATTTTTAGAACCATTATAGTAGTGGCAGGTGTGTTTTGGGGGTGGGGTGGTTATTTGTTGTTTTTCCCAGAAGAAAAATTTTCACAATCCCACTATCCCTAAAAATCTATTTTTGTTTTGGTGTTCCATCTCTTAGTCCTTAGGCATATATGCTTTTAAAAAAAACATTGAAATCGTACTATAACATACTATGTTAAGTGGTAATGGTTGGTTTTGTTCTGTCTACACTCTGTTGTTTATTATTCTGAAACAGTGATGTGTATGCAGATGCCTGGTGGTAATTCCTAGCTCTTGGGCAGAGATTTTAATTTTACCAGAACCATGAGACTGTAGTCCCTGGTCTTGCCCAGTGTTTTCTAGAGTTGTCAATAGTGTGTCACAAAATTATCCACACATAGATTTATTCTTGAAGAGAATATTAAAAAAATGCCATGCAATATTGTCAGGACTTGTTATGATGGCCAGCTCTAAGAAATTAAATGAGTAAACTCCCCAAAGACTATTAGGCAGTGTTTTAGAATAAGGAGTACTGTAAAGCTATCATGAGCAGTCCAAGATGACAGCTCATTTATCCAACAAACAGGGTACAGTAATTGAGAGCCTGGGCTCTAGAGCCACACAGACCCTGGTTTGAAGCCAGTTCTGCCACTTCCTAGCTATGTAATCTTACTAAGTGCTGTATTACTATCAAAAGGAAAGAATTTAAGTGATTCAAATAGGGGTTAAAAGCATTATTCATCTGGGCGCAGTAGCTCTTGCCTGTAATCCCAGCACTTTGGGAGGCCAAGGTGGGCGGATCACCTGAGGTCTGGAGTTCAAAACTAGCCTGGCCAAAATGGTGAAACCCTGTTTCTACTGAAAATACAAAAATTAGCCAGGTGTAGTGGCATGCACCTGTAGTCCCAGGTACTTGGGAGGCTGAGGCAGGAGAACTGCTTGAACCCAGGAGATGGAGGTTGCAGTGAGCCGAGATTGTGCCACTGCACTCCAGCCTGGATGACAGAGCGAGACTTCATCTCAAAAA
The DNA here is from genome assembly GCF_000001405.40 of Homo sapiens. Classification (NCBI taxonomy): domain Eukaryota; kingdom Metazoa; phylum Chordata; class Mammalia; order Primates; family Hominidae; genus Homo; species Homo sapiens. The sequence continues at coordinate 70,345,469 of NC_000023.11, forward strand.
AAAAAAAAAAAGAAGAAGAAGAAGCATTATTTAGCTGATGCACTCAGGGTACACTTGAACTCCAGGTAACTTCCCAAGTAAAGCAAGATTGGAGCTTTATAGAGTAAAGAGAAGAAAGGGTTGTATGTCCGTGTGGTTTAGCTCAGGTAACAGTTTTTAATGTTAATTGATGTGAAACTTTTGGTTGGAGATTGTTTCATTTTTTTATACCTCTTCCTCAGGAATATACTGATGCAATCCTATCCGGATAACTGTTATTATATTTTGAGAGTTGTTCTTACAAGCCTTGTAGTTTCTCAGTTGGTCAAGGTTCACAGGTGGGAGAGGTGGCAAAATAGGGATAACGGGGAAAGGAGGCGAGGGTTGAAGGCAAGGAAAATTGGGAATCCTCTCTCGTGTGCTTTCTTTTATATCAGCAATGTAAGCAAAGTGCAGTGGGATCATAAAACAAAGGATGATTAACTGTTAGTCCAGAAAATTCAGGAAGGCATCATAGAAGAAACTGGGTCCTAAAAATGAACAGGAGTTTGCCATGCAGACAAAAGGGAAGGGACAGGCCAACTCTGGGCACACTGCTTACGAGTTAGCCCTGCTCCACAAGGAAAAATTTAAGAGCTTTTATATAAAATAAATAAGGTTTTTTAAAAAGGGACTAGACTATATATAGAGGAAAAGATATAGATAAAAGCAAAGAGGTATGAAAGTTTAAAAAATGGTAAGAACTTCAATGTGGCTGAAGTATAGAGTACTTGTTAGACAACGGCTATCACAAGGTTAAATTTCACAATTATAATGCCACTCAAATGCAACTGAAACATCTGATACATGAAAACCTTGTGTGAGCTGCCTCAGAATTAAGATAATCTAGGCTGCAGAAGCCCACTGGGGCCAAAACTTACAAGCTCAGAAATAGTGACCCAGGGTACCCACCATTGTTCATGGCCATCACACCAATCTTAGAGGATTAATACCACCTCATTTCTGGGGCTTCGAGTCACATAGAAAAGATGAAGGAAACCCGTGGAACCAAATTAATAAAATAAAGCATCCTCAGTGAGAATCTGGCAATATGACTGGTGCCTGGTGTGCCTGTAGAGGGAGTTGCTAGTGGTGGCTGGCTCAGAGGAACTCCGTAGAATCGCTGTGTCTGCCACTTAAATGTACTTGGCACACACAGTAGGAGGGTGCTAAAGATTGCCACAAACTGATAAAGTTCCTGGCTTCCATCCACTGTCACAGTTAGGCAGAGTAAGCCCTTTTATCCAGGAGTCCTGCTGGACTCCTGAATCAGAGTTCTCCACATCTATTGTTCGGAGACCCTCCCAGCTATATATTTTTTTGGAAATACACAACAATGTATCCCATGGCTTTTATTAAGACTCACTACAGTGAAAGCAAAATGTTTCAAAAGTAAGTGCTTGTGCCCTTCATTCTGGATTAAAACTATTTTTATTTTAAGTGACTAGTGAACACCCCCTTTTCCATTATAAAGGCAACCATTGTTCCTAGATATTCTTCCTGGGGCTTTAAGCGCTAAACTGTACCATTTCTTCCTTTAAAATATAATTCAAGCAAACCTCCTTGTGCAGTTACCTGTGAGGAAATTCAAGCAGTCCTTTCAGTTCCTACAAAATCAAATGATCTTTTTTGTTTATATCCCCTCCTCCAAGACCAGTTCCATAAAAAGCATTTTGCATGCCCAGTAACGGTACCGCCTACAAACACAAACTTCATCTTGGAGGATATTGCTGGTTAATGTAGCACAGTGTACCCTTGTTCCCCTAACCATCACCTTTATGAAATCACGTTTTATTTTTAAGAGGTTCTTGGTTATAGTCTTAGAATCGGGGGAAAGAGGGCTGTGAGACTGAAATAAATCTTATTGTCATATATTTACATTTAGGATTATAGAGGCAGAATTCTGCCATGTTCATGCAGAACATGTCACCATAGCCCTAAGCTTAAACCTTAGTATTGTAAAATTTCACTGGGCCAAAAGCCAAAGATAAACCCAGAGTAACAACATATCTTCTTCAAGGATTAACCCATCTACTTTTGATCCTAACTCTGGAAGGTACTAGAGAAAGTCTCCAAAGGCCAGTGTTTTAGGCCCTAATAATCTAGGACAGGCCTCTGATTAGTCCTTATACTGAAAATTGAAACATGGGAGGGAGGAAAGGGTAACCATTATAGATTTTTTTTAATCCTTTTTAAGAATGATTTAGGGCCGGGCGCGGTGGCTCACGCCTGTAATCCCAGCACTTTGGGAGGCCGAGGCGGGCGGATCACGAGGTCAGGAGATCGAGACCATCCTGGCTAACAAGGTGAAACCCCGTCTCTACTAAAAATACAAAAAATTAGCCGGGCGTGGTAGCGGGCGCCTGTAGTCCCAGCTACTCGGGAGGCTGAGGCAGGAGAATGGCGTGAACCCGGGAGGCGGAGCTTGCAGTGAGCCGAGATCGCGCCACTGCACTCCAGCCTGGGCGACAGAGCGAGACTCCGTCTCAAAAAAAAAAAAAGAATGATTTAGTATGTCCTGCACTTGGAGAATCACCAGTACTACAAATCATCATGAGAAAGGATGTGGGAATACTGAAGCTTCCTTTAAATTCTCTTTGAGCCTCACTGGTTGGGAGTTTCTGAGCAGAATAAGGGAAATGCTTCATAAATAGCACTTATTAAGGATCTCTTCAGGCCAGGCGCAGTGGCTTACGCCTGTAATCCAAACTCTTTGAGAGACCGAGGCAGGTGGAACCCTGGAGCCCAAGAGCTTGAGATCAGCCTAGGCAACACAGTGAGACCTTGTCTCTACAAAAAAATAAAATAAAATGAGACCATCCTTCATGACATAGTGAGACCCTGTCTACAAAAAAGTTTTTTGTTTTTTTGTTTTTTTTAGTATTTATTGATCATTCTTGGGTGTTTCTCAGAGAGGGGGATGTGGCAGGGTCATAGGATAATAGTGGAGAGAAGGTTGGCAGATAAACACGTGAACAAAGGTCTCTGGCTTTCCTAGGCAGAGGTCCCTGCAGCCTTCTGCAGTGTTTGTGTCCCTGGGTACTTGAGATTAGGGAGTGATGATGACTCTTAACGAGCATGCTGCCTTCAAGCATCTGTTTAACAAAGCACATCTTGCACCGCCCTTAATCCATTTAACCCTGAGTTGACACAGCACATGTTTCAGAGAGCACGGGGTTGGGGGTAAGGTTATAGATTAACAGCATCCCAAGGCAGAAGAATTTTTCTTAGTACAGAACAAAATGGAGTCTCCTATGTCTACTTCTTTCTACACAGACACAGTAACAATCTGATCTCTCTTTCTTTTCCCCACATTTCCCCCTCTTCTTTTCGACAAAACTGCCATTGTCATCATGGCCCGTTCTCAATGGTCGCTGTCTCTTCAGAGCTGTTGGGTACACCTCCCAGACGGGGCGGCCGGGCAGAGGCGCTCCTCACTTCCCAGATGGGGCAGCTGGGCAGAGGTGCTCCTCACCTCCCAGATGGGGCGGCCGGGCAGAGGCACTCCTCACCTCCCAGACGGGGCGGCCGGGCAGAGACGCTCCTCACCTCCCAGACGGGGTGGCCGGGCAGAGGCGCTCCTCACCTCCCAGAGGGGGCGGCCGGGCAGAGGCGCTCCTCACCTCCCAGACGGGGCGGCCAGGCAGAGGCACTTCTCACATCCCAGACGATGGGCGGCCGGGCAGAGGCACTCCTCACTTCCCAGAGGGGGCGGCCGGGCAGAGGCGCTCCTCACTTCCTAGACGGGGTGGCGGCCGGGCAGAGGCACTCCTCACATCCCAGACAATGGGCGGCTGGGTAGAGGCGCTCCTCACCTCCCAGACAGGGTGGCCGGGCAGAGGTGCTCCTCACTTCCCAGATGGGGCGGCCGGGCAGAGGCGCTCCTCACCTCCCAGACAGGGTGGCCGGGCAGAGACACTCCCTACTTCCCAGATGGGGCGGCCGGGCAGAGGCGCTCCCCACTTCCCTGACGGGGCGGCCGGGCAGAGACGCTCCTCTCTTCCCAGACGGGGCGGCTGCCGGGCAGAGGCGCTCCTCACTACTCAGACCGGGCAGCCGGGCAGAGGCACTCCTCAGTTCCCAGACGGGGCGGCCGGGCAGAGATGCTCCTCACATCCCAGACGGGGTGGTGGCCGGGCAGAGGCGCTCCTCACTTCCCAGACGGGGTGGCGGCTGGGCAGAGGCACTCCTCACTTCCTAGTCGGGGTGGCGGCCGGGCAGAGACGCTCCTCACCTCCCAGACGGGGTGGCGGCCAGGCAGAGGCGCTCCTCAGTTCCCAGACGGGGCGGCCGGGCAGAGATGCTCCTCACATCCCAGACGGGGTGGTGGCTGGGCAGAGGCGCTCCTCACTTCCCAGACGGGGTGGCAGCCGGGCAGAGGCACTCCTCACTTCCTAGACGGGGTGGCGGCCGGGCAGAGACGCTCCTCACCTCCCAGACGGGGTGGCGGCCGGGCAGAGGCGCTCCTCAGTTCCCAGACGGGGCGGCCGGGCAGAGGCGCTCCTCACTTCCCAGACGGGGCAGCCGGGCAGAGGGGCTCCTCACATCCCAGACAATGGGCGGCCAGGCGGAGACGCTCCTCACTTCCTAGATGGGGTGGCGGCCGGGCAGAGGCTGTAATCTTAGCACTTTCAGAGGCCAAGGCAGGTGGCTGGGAGGTGGAGGTTGTAGCGAGCCGAGATCACGCCACTGCACTCCAGCCTGGGCAACATTGAGCATTGAGTGAGCGAGACTCCGTCTGCAATCCCAGCACCTCGGGAGGCCGAGGCGGGCAGATCACTCGAGGTCAAGAGCTGGAGACCAGCCTGGTCAACACGGCGAAACCCCGTCTCCACCAAAAATACAAAAACCAGTCAGGCTTGGCGGCGGGTGCCTGCATTCCCAGGCACTCGGCAGGCCGAGGCAGGAGAATCACGGGAGCCGGAGGCAGGGAGGTTGCAGCGAGCTGAGATCAGGGCAGTACAGTCCAGCCTCGGCAACAGAGGGAGACGGGAGAGGGAGAGGGAGAGGGAAAGGGAGAGAGGGGGAGGGGGAGGGGGAGAGGGAGAGGGAGCTGGGTGTGGTGGTGCACACTTGTAGTCCCAGCTAGTCAGGAGGCTGAGGTGGGAAGATCATTTGAGCCCAGGAGGTGGAGGTTGCAGTGAGCTGAGATGGCAGCACCGCATTCCAGCCTGAGTGAAAGAGCGAGACTCTGTCTCAAAAAAGAGCGAGGGGAGAGGGGTCTCTTCACTTCTCACATTAAAGGTACTAAAAGTTAAGTTTCAACAACTATGTAATGTTTCATAAGGGTGATATAGAGACTCCATGTACTAACCCTAAATTCTTAGCTGTTGAGCTAATAGCTTTTTCACCTATGACCTCCTTAAGTACATGACTTCCTGGAAATAATTCTTTTTTCCCAGGGCTTTGAAGAATCACTTACACAGAAGTGGTAATCCATATCTTACAATACCAAATAAAGCCTAAATTCCAGTGGTGAGAACAGAGCTTGCTAATATGATAGCCTATAAACAAATTAGTCCTATTAAGTAGTTTAGTTTTCCCTTCTAGGTGGCATTTGTTTGAATGCCCCAAAAAATAATTTGCCAAAGAATTAGTGCTTACCCTTTTCCTCCTAGTTACCTGGAGTAGCACCATATCATCTGTTCTTTTTTTCCCTTTTTTCTTTTTTTCTATTTTTAGATTTAGGGGGTACAAGTGCAGTTTTGTTACATAGATATATCGGGTAGTACCGAAGACTGGATTTTTACTGTAGCCGTCACCTAAATACTGTACTTCGTACCCAATAAGTAATTTCTCATCCCTCACCATCCCCCAACCCTTTCACTCTTCCAAGTCTCCAATGTCTGTTATTCCACTATGCCCATGTGTACACATTATTTAGTTCCCACTTATAAGTAAGGACATGCAGTATTTGACTTTCTGAGTTATTTCACTTAAGATAATGGCCTCTAGTTTCATTCAAGTTGCTGCAAGAGACATGATTCCATTCTTCTTATGGTTGAGTAGTGTTCCATGGTGTGACTATTACTATTCCAGTAGTAGTCCATGGTGTATCAATGGATGATCAGATAAAGAAAATGTGGTATGGTATACACACACCACATACACACTTAGATTGATTCCATATCTTTATGATCAGTTCTTATTTACATGAGGGACAGAGGCTGCAGTACCTTTATCTGACTTCAAGAGCACACTTTTCTGGGAGTACCCATCTAAGGCATTTATTTCTTTCTGTTTTTTGTTTTTGTTTTTGTTTTTGTTTTTTGATTTTTGTTTTTTCTTCAAGATGGAGTCTTGCTCTGTCTCCCAGGCTGGAGTGCAGTGGCACAATCTTGGCTCACTGCAACCTCCGCCCCCCAGGTTTAAGCAATTCTCCTGCCTCAGCCTCCAGAGTAGCTGTGATTACAGGTGCTCGCCACCACGCCCGGCTAATTTTTTTTGTATTTTTAGTAGAGACGGGGTTTCATCATGTTGGCCAGGCTGATCTCGAACTCCTGACCTCTTGACCTGCCTGCCTTGGCCTCCCAAAGCGCTGGGATTACAGGCATAAGCCACCGTGCCTGGCTAGGCATTTATTTCTTTATAGAGGAAGATCCTGCTACCTTGACTGACTATAAAAATAAAAAATAACCATTCTATTTACTTTTCTGATGCATTGCCATTATTTGATATGTCTGTTCGTAGAATGGTATGTCCCCATAAGAACTGGCTAGGCTTGTACATTAATAGAGGTATACTAAGCGGTAGATGCATAAAAAGAAAGGGTAGAGTCCATAAAATGGGTTAAACTTTGGCCTTTTGGAATGGCTAAATGTTTCACTCTGGCCCAAATGTCTCTGGCAGGGCAGGAGAAGTGCAAGAAATATGTCAGTTGCCACATGACCTTATTTTTTATAAGAGCTACACAATTGTCCTTTATGAAGAAGAAAGACTCTTGAGAGATGGGAAATGGAAACGTGACTATTGGGGTTTCTGTAACTATAAAATGGGTCCAATATCTTAAACAGTCTCTGTATACACTTAAAAAAAATTAAATAACCAATATAAAATCCACCAGTAAGCTTTACTTCAGACTCTTTCCCTAAACCAAAACATTTGTTACTGCAGGATGAAACTGTTGCTTGCATGGCTGCAGCCATTGATACTGCGGTGGAGCAAGAAGCCGTAAGTAATTGGCCCCTTTGTGTAGAACCAGGAGCTCTAACTGCCGTTTCCTATAATTTATCACTCAACTGAAAAAGAGAACCTGTGATTGTTACCATCCTCCATAGAATGCCTGTTAAATCCAGAAATCTTTAGTGTAAATCTCAGCTTCATAAAATCCCTACCTTGGATAGGCTCTACCACTAATAGTATAACTGGTAATGGGGGGCAGGACTTCTCAAGAATGTAATGTTCCATATTTGCAACCCAGCTGACTGATTTCTTGTTAGAGGCTAGTATTCTGCATCAACCGTCCAGCAAGTTAAAAATGAGGAGAGGAAAAAATGAGGAAATTATGGCAAAGTCAAAAAAGCATTAGAGGAGAAACAGAAGAGAATTTTTTCTATGGATGAGATATTAGGGGCTAAAAGAACCAAGGAAAATAATTTAAGTGTTCAGATCACAAGGATAGATAAAATGTGTTAGATGTTGACTAAAGGTTATAAAGACAAAATGAAAGGCTGGATGATGGATTGCTTGAGACAGGCTTTTCTCCCTAAAATGAATCTATGTCAGTAGTTTTCACATTCTGAAAGAAGGAAAATACTAGGTCAGGTACTAGAGGTCAGCTGTGTGAGAACAAATGAACCCTTTTCTCAATTTCCAGGACCTTCTCTCCTGTAAGAACCCCTTGGAATGAGGTAAAAGTAAGAAATGCCATCCAGATCAATAAAGGAAAGAGCAAAGAAAGTTAGTTGATACTAAAAGAGTCCATTAAAGTATATAAGAAATAAGGTGCTTGAGAGAGCAGGGAACTAGGCTAGCTATTTATTTCAGATACTTAAAACAAATGTATGCAGAGCCACTGTTGTAAAGGAACAGAGATATTGTTAATGGAGAAGTGCCTGTGAGACTTGATGAAATAGTGCCTAAGGAACTCCATTTGCTTGTTTCTCTTATAAATCATTATCCTGATTTTTTTCCAGCAAGTAGAAACCAGTCCAGAGACGAGCAGGTCTTCTGACGCTTTTACCACTCAGCATGCTCTCCGTCAAGCGCAGATGTCTAAGGAGCTGGTTGAGTTGAATAAAGCGCTTGCACTGAAAGAGGCCCTGGCTAGGAAGATGACTCAGAATGACAGCCAACTGCAGCCCATTCAGTACCAATACCAGGTAAACTATTTCCTAGGGCAGTATTTGTTCATGTCTACAGTCTCTTAAACTGAATGGGAAGAAAACAACAAGCATATAATTTTTGATGATGAAAAGACAACAAAATGTATATAGTATAATGGGAGTTGTACTGTTGGTTTAAAAAGAGGATACATTCAGGACAGGGAGCATGTAATTTTGTTCCATTTAATCTAATGCCTTACCTTATGCCACAGGTATTTAATAAATAGTTTGATAACATTATAATAAATGTGGTCCCTACTTATAGAGAAATTATATTCTAATAACTATGCTTGGATTCTGAGAAAAAACACATCTTTTGGTAAATAGTCTGGGTTATAGTATGAATTATGAAGACACTAGTGGATGTCACATGACTTGACAAATGGCTAAACTTTTTTCTGATGATAGTTCTAAGTGGCCTTTGCCAATTAATAGTCAGGTCTTTACTTAAAGGCAAATCCTTGGCTTTCAGGTTACCCACAAGAAATGGCCCTTGCTCCAGACTTATTTTCCCTTGCAGACCAGTGTTTCTCACTGTTTGTAATTACAGACAAAGGGATATTAGGATGGGTGGTAGGGGGAAGAATGGGTTGTTTTCCTGTCCAGCTATATCCTACTACTCCCAAGGTATTATGTGTTTATATTGAGGAACAGCTCTAGTATCCATGCTTTCTTATTCCCCCATGGCAACTGTTCATATGACATACTTTATTTCCAATCTACAACCATTAAAAACACTTTATTACTTTACACTGTACAGTTGTTCTCACATCTGAAATAAGACACAGGGGCAGGGAGAGCTTTTGGATTGGACTGCAGTTGTCCTAGCACCCTATCTATCCTGGGAAGTAGCCTTTTGAAGACAGAAGTGGGGAGGAGAGAACAGTGGACAAGAGAGGTGGACAGTTGGCCCAAGGATGCCCTTGGTCCCTTCCCTCCTGAGGGCCTTTTCCAGGGGATCCCCCAGGGCCCACGACTGCAGGACCTTCACCAGGAAACCAGGCTGAATGGGAAGAGGGTTCACAGTATTGGCGGGGGCTGGGAAGTGGGGCCAGGATGAGGAGGAAGGACAGCTTCTGGCTTTCTTCCCAGCTGCTGGGGGTTGGAGCTGTTTTTTGGCACTGTCTACAAGGTCTTCCTGGGGTTGGGAGGAGGAGGAACTGGGGGTTTAAGATTCTTTCCTTGTGGAGTTAGGATTCTTTCCATTTGAAGAGGGGCCATCTGGTCTATGGTGAGGTTCCCAAGGCATAAACAGTCAGGGTCTTCTGCCTCCTGCCTCCCCAGGACTTCCACCCCTGCCTGGCTGGCATCATCTAGACAGCCTTTTGTAAAACCAAGACAAGTGAGAGAGGTGAGCAGAGCTGGAACCAAGCCAGGAGCAGGGAAAGAAAAAAATGTATGCTTTCTCCAGGCCCTCCAATTTATCTTCCTCTTCCAAGAGGAGAGACTATAGGGTTGGTTTTTGTTGGTGGTGGTTCCCAATCTCAGAAGTCCAGATGAGGCTAGTGTTTTCTACCTGTTCTTGGTCTAGACAGCCCCAGTCCCTCCCCAGGCTACACTAATGGCTGGCCTAGATCAGTAGTTGGCAGATTCTCATGCATGTCAGAATCATCCGGAAGGCTCCTTAAAACCCCAGCTTGCAGGGCCCCATTCCATAAGCTCTAATTCAGTGGGTCTTGGGCGGGGCCAATAATTTGCACTTCTATCAAGTTCCCAGGTGATATTCCTGCTGCTGGAATGCAATACGAGAACCACTGGCCTAGAATGGTGCCCACAGTCACATCCTCAGCAACCTGGTGTCTCCTGGGCAGTACTAAGGAGCTGGGCCACAGCTGGCAAAGCCCAGCCTTAGGGGTACCAACATCACCTGGGAAGCTGCTGGGAATGGTCTTGGGGTGAGCGCCCGGTGCAGAGAAGTAAACTAAGGCACAGAGTTCAGCGGCAGAGCTGGGAGAGGAGCAGGATACCAGGGCCCAGTAGAGAACGGATGGGGCTGCAGGACCCTACAACAAGTACTCATGCTTTTTTTAAATTGCCAGCTCTCATACGTTTTCAGAGTAAAGACAAAAAAAGTGTTTCTGCTAATTAATTTTCACCACTTTTTCCCCCTAGGTTAGAGGTTGCTTCCAAAATAATAACTGAGTTGCCAATAGAGATTTTTTTCCCTTTTGTTATCATGGTCTTTTTTAACTTTTAAAAACTTAGTTTTTTGTAATGCCAGCACTTTGGGAGGCTGCAGTGGGCAGATCACTTGAGCCCAGGAGTTTGAGACCAGCCTGGGCAACATGGCGAAACCCTGGCTCCACAAAAAATACAAAAATTAGCCGGGCCTGGTGGTGTGAGCCTGTAGTCCCAGCTACTTGGGAGGCTGAGGTGGGAGGATCACCTGAGCACAGGGAGGTGGAGGCTGCAGTGAGCTGAGATCACACCACTGCAATCCAGCCTGAGTGACAGAGTGAGACCATCCCAACAAAAAAAACTTTGGCTGGGCATGGTGCTCACACCTGTAATCCTAGCACTTTGGGAGGCCAAGGCAGGTGGATCACTTGAGGCCAGAAGTTCGAGACCAGCCTGGTCAACATGGTGAAACCCTGTCTCTACTAAAAATACAAAAATTAGCTGCATGCCTTTAATCCCAGCTACTTGGGAGGCCGAGGCGGGAGAATCGCTTGAACCCGGGAGGTGGAGGTTGCAGTGAGTCGAGATTGCACCACTGCACTCTAGCCTGGGTGACAGAGTGAGACCCTGTCTCAAAAAAACAAACAAACAAAAAACTTAATTTTTATCTATGTCAAACAAATGCATATATATCATTTTTTAAAGTCAAATACTATAATACTTAGAAAAATCAAAGCAGTCCTCTATTCCTATTCTGACATTTACCTCCATATTTCTAGATAAGAATTGGCAGTATAATTATGTTACATTTTTTAGATAAATATCTATTGACCTCCCATGATGGAAGACAAGAACGTAGCTCTCTTATCCCACCACCTGTGCACACTGCCTCACCTTCTTCTTTCAAAATGGTTATATCACCCTTTTTGTTTAAATGAGTATTTAGTGTTTAAATTTTTCTGATTACATAAATATGTTTAAAATTGAGCCATATAGTATGATTGCATTTCCTTTCTTGTATAGCTCTTTGTATTTGCTAGAGATAATAATCTCATTTTTTCCATTTACTTAGTTTTCGATATACCTGTCAATAATTTTATCTCCAAACTTCTTGACAAAACTGTAAAACTCATCCCAGCACTTTGGGAGCCCGAGGCGGGCGGATCACGAGGTCAGGAGATAGAGACCATCCTGGCTAACACGGTGAAACCCCGTCTCTACTAAAAATACAAAAAATTAGCCGAGCATGGTGGCGGGCGCCTGTAGTCCCAGCTACTGGGGAGGCTGAGGCAGGAGAATGGCGTGAACCCAGGAGGCGGAGCTTGCAGTGAGCCGAGATCACGCCACTGCACTCCAGCCTGGGCGACAGAGCAAGACTCCATCTCAAAAACAAACAAACAAACAAAAAAACTATAAAACTCTTCATTGTGGTCAGACATACCAGATAATTTATCAATCCATTTCTTTCCTGAAAACAACCGTTCTGGAATCTTCTGTCCTGGTTTGCTTTCTCTAGGGCTGTTGCCCACTCACCAGTTTGGGACCATCATCCTGGGGATTTGCTTCACTTCTTTCTCATCTGTGTTGACATGGATTTCATGTCTTCCTCCTCTTTAGTATACCCCTTTGCTTTGGTGGAGTAAAACCCCAATAGCTTTCTGAGAATGTATACATGAAAGGGAAATACTTTAAAGCTTTGCATGTCTGAAAATTGCTTTTTAAAAATTCTTTTACTTGTTAGTTTGGCTGGGTTTACAATTCTATAGAAATGTTTTCTTCATTATTTTGAAGGCCTTGCTCCATTGTCTTCTGTTTCCAGTATTGCTGTTGAGAAGTCTATTATAATTTTGGATTATTTGTTATAGACCTATTTTTTTTTACTTTGGAAACTTTCAGGATCTTTTCATTGTCCCCAGGTGTTACTTAATTTCACAATGATGGACCTTGGTATGGTTTCCTGTTGTTTTTTTGTTGTTGTTGTTATTATTGTTGTTTTTATAGAGACAGGGTCTTGCTCTGTTACCCAGGCTGGAGTGCAGTGGTGCCATCACAGCTCACTGCAGCCTCAACTTCCTGGGCTCAGGTGGTCCTCCTGCCTCAGCATCCCAAGTTGCTGGGACTACAGGCATGTGCCACCATGCCTGGCTAATTTTTTATTTTTTGTAGAGATGGGGTCTCACTATGTTGCTGAGGCTGGTCTCAAATTCCTGGTCTGTAGTGATCCTCCCAGCCTCCCAGTCCTAAAGTGCTGGGATTACAGGTATGTACCACCACACCCAGCCTTCTTTTCTCGTTTATTGTGCTTGGTGCTCGACTGGTCCTTTCAATCTAGAAATTTGTACTCCTTTCTGGGCGGTTTTTTTCCTATCATTTCTTTGATAATGCTATCTCTACATTTTCTCTGTTTTCTCTTTCTTGCACTTCTCTTAGTCAGATATTGGACCTCTTAGATTTAGTTTCTGCTTTTCTGATCTCTTTCTTCCTATTTTCTATTTCTTTGTCTTTTTATTCCACTCTGAGAGATTTCCCTTCATTCTTAGTGAATTATTTCATTTGGCTATTAATTTCCAAGGTCTCCTTTTGATCCTGTAATTGTTCCTTCTTATAGCCTTTTATTCTTTTTGTGTGGATGCATAGCCCATCTCTAAGAATAGGAATTAAATTTTATCAAGGTTTTCTTCTTCTCCCTGCCTTGCCTTTGTTTCCTCCAGATTTCCTTTCTCTACTGTGTTTGTTTTGGTCTGTCTTTCAGGTAAGATACTTTCCTACAATTTCTAGTGAGCCATGGCTATCCATTCATATTTAAGAGGGAGGCACTAAAAGCCAATAGCAAGTTGTATGTGCATGGATTTCTCTTAGGCTAGTCAATTTCCAATAAAGAAATCTTTTATTCTTTTGCCTAGAGTTGTATGGGCCTAGTGGTGGTATGCCATCATTCTAGTAACCCAGACAAAATAAGGGAGTTGAAGTCTCTCCAATCATAGACAGACTTTTATTTAATCCCTGTCAGCAGTATGGTACTGCATCCCTGCTATTAGCTGTGTCCAACCTGTTAGGTTCGGCCTCTCCAGAAAGGAAGCCTCTGCTCTACTCTGTGGCTCTGTGGTACATATTGGCATGCTTCTTCTTGATGTTTGTCCTGTAGGAGTTATATTTTAGCTTTTTCCACTCTGGATGTCAGTTACTGCTTATCCAGCTGTTTTCTTCTTCCAAAAGTTTGTTGATATCTCTCAACTGCTTTCCTTGTCTCTTTTCATTCTCGTTGATTTATACCTCCTTTTTTGTTCATTTTCATGTGATTTCAGGAGGGAGTAAGTTAAATATGTAGCTCAATTGTCCATGTTAATAGGACATACAATGCAGCCTCTTTAAGGTCAAATGTATTTTGGCTTTTCCAGGATAAACAAAGGATTACTGGTAAGGCTGAGAAGTGATTCCTCCTTTCTTGTACTCTTGCCTAGAAACATGGGGATATGTGTTCCCCCACTGTATTTCTTTCTTTCTTTCTTTCTCTCTCTCTCTCTCTCTTTCTTTCTTTCTTTCTTTAACCGGAGAGGGGTATATTTATTTTCTCACATTTTAAAAAAAAAAAAAAAGCTGAACATAAGTAGTCTGGGGCACGTACAGCAGCAAAGGCCCAGGATCCTTCCTGCTTTCTGCTTCCTTGGCCTTAGGGTGTGAATCTTTTCCTCATGCTCTCAAGACAGCTGTCTGAGCACCAGCCATCACATCCACATTCCAGGCAGGAAGAAGGCAAAGGTGAAGGGTACTGCACATGTCAGCTGAGCTCCCTTTACAGGTTCTTTCCTGCAAGTCTCTCCCGACATCATCCACTTGCATGCTACAACTGCCCACCCTGGGTTGTGAGGGAGGGTAGGACATGGCTTTTGCCTGCCCGCTTGTCAGAATTGGGCAGAAGCACTGGGATTCTGTTAGTAGGGAGGAAGGAGAATAGATGCTGGGTTAACGATTTGCAGTCCCCGCCACAGCCAGGACTTAGGCAGGGGTGATTCCCACTAAAAGCCAAAGGTTTCATGCCTGGCTGCAGGGGAGAGGTGCTTGGGCTGGGGTCCTGCCTTGTCTTAACAAATACGAGGCTCTTGTTAAATATTTAACCCTGTGAGGGTGGCTTGTGGCCCACGTGCACCCGAATCAGCTGCCTGGCATGCCTCAGCCCACTCCAGGGCTTCCAATTCACCCTGGGGCAGGGGAGGCCTGGGGCACGCGGTTTTCACACACACACTCCTAGCTGATTTCTTTTTCTTCTGTAATTTATAAAATTAACACTGCACTTATTGGAAGACATGAAAATCCAAAGATGGGTAGAGAAAAAGTTCACCTCCCTGTGCCTTGCCCCTGACTAACCCACGTTAACAGTCTTACCTGCTCCCAGGGGATTCTGGGATCATGGAAGGTCCTTGAGAAACTCTCTAGTCCTAGACAAGTGCTGGGGGGTGGGAGGATAGGCTGGGGAGAGAAGGGGGCTCCTCAGCAGGCCGAGCCTTGGTTGCTCAACCCTGCTGGTACTGACTACACATGGAGCGAGGAATGTGCTGAGGGCTCAGCCACGTGGGTGGTCCTTGTGGCCTCTGCCACTGCCCTGGGTAGTCGTCACTCAGCCACGTCAACAAGCGACATTGGGGAGGCAGGCCTGGGCCGCCTGAACCGTCACCTCAGTCCTGGTTGACACCTCAGGCCTGGTCATTATCTGAACTTTGGCTGCAGGGCTTCTGGGCAGAAAGGGCAGATCCAACTGGCTCGTCCTAGCCATGTGCTCCCGGAGCAGCCTGCCCAGGGATCTGGAGAGCAGCAGCCAGATCCTAACCTACTCTGCACCAACAGGCAGGAAAGGGCACCTTGAGTCTGCCACTGTAGGGTTTCAGAAGCAGGCTGACCTGAGGCTTTCCAAATTTCACGAGGGCTCCTTCTAAGGCCTGGGCTGTGTCCAGATGTTGGACCACATGCAAAGAATGGAGGCCGAGTCCAGAAAGAGGAGGGCCCTCCCCCATGGGAATGTGCACGTTGGAAGGGCTCCCCATTTGCCCCTAGATCCTAGGCTGGATGTGGGCTCAGGAGGCTAACCCCTATGGACCAGCCCACCCGTTCAGCCAATGGGCAGCCACAGCAAGGGCAGAGGGAGCAGCAGAGGCAGCCCACGTGGTCACAGGTCCCGTGGGCTCCAGAGCTCTCAGCTCCAGGCACCCCTGCCTGCCCCGCTTCGAGCCTATTGGGGGCAGACTTCCTGCTGTGTCTGGTCACTAACCTCTGCCCACACCACTAAAGGACTGTAGCTGAATTCTCCTTAGTTAAATCCTCTGCTAACACAAAAGGAAAAAGCCAAATCTCATCTCACAAGAGCTTTATTTGAGGTGCAGCATGCATGGGGCCTTGCCCCAAATGCCATGGGCATCACATTCAGGAAGAGGCAGACATCCCCACAACAGTCACATGCTGAAGCTTCCGTCTGCAATGTCTGGTGGCAGAGTTCTCACTCAGCAGACCTGTATCATTATATACATCACCATGTTATCAAAGTCCCTGGACTGGATATTGTCCCCGGGTTACAGAAGGGGTTGCACATCACATCTATGTAGGAGTTGTGCAGCTTCCAGAACATCCTGTGAATTTCATTGTCTCGAAGAGCTGTGTTGGAGGAATTCACCACCATGACAAACTTCACCTTGGAGATGGTAGTGTAGCCCTGTCTGCATAGCTGGTTAGGGAATGCACTTGTAAGACAAGGACTGCTGGGACAGCAGGTAAAGAACCTGCCAGCTGAGGGCCCTCTGTGTGCCCTCAGTTTGGAGAAGCCTGGCAACCTTGAATCACAGGAAGTGCCCAGGCTGGGCTGGTCCTGCAGTGACCATACTGGGTGCATGCCTACATACTTCACTGGGATGACTGGTGTTTACTGGAGAAGCAAAGGGCAGGCAGCTAAGCTTTACCCAATTCTGGCTCCGGAAGCTGAGCCATTCAGACTCTGAGTCTCTGTGTGCACCTGGGATGCCTCACCCTCTTTGTGAATCAATGCCTGGTCCAGAAAGTTAACTGCAAAACCAGAGACTTCATGAATAAGGCGGACCTCCTCTGTAGAGGCCATGTTTTGTAAAATAGTGGCTACTGGTAAATGTCACCATGGACAAGCTACATTACTGCTCTTGGAACGTCTTTGAACTCCATGGTCTCAAGTGATTTGTCCAAAGGGACTGGTCGAGAGTCTCTAGTGACTTATGAGGCAAGACCTTGTAGTCCTCTGTGGGGTAGAGCAGGTCCAGATAGACCTCTCTCTGGTTGACCAAGGCCTTCCCCATTGAGGAGATCTTCTCATCCACCACATCCAGAGATGTGTGCACCATGTACTGGAAACTCAGCTCTTTCTCCGTGGGGGTGCTGCGGATGTAGAGAGGGTAATTCTCCTTGGTGATCACCGGGATGCATATCACCATCTTGGGAGGACCAGTGCTGGGTGCCCCGCCCATTGTATTCCTAACTCTACAAAGGGGTGCTAGTAAGGAGCTATAGCTATAGTAAGAGATCTAGTCTTTTTCCCCATGGCATCTAGTCCTTTTCCCCATGGTATCAAATATGCTTGATTAACTTAAGAAGAAATAAATTTTTTTTGAGACAGAGTCTTGCTCTGTCACCCAGGCTGGAGTGTAGTGGCGCAATCTCTGCACACTGCAACCTCCACCTCTTGAGTTCAAGCAATTCTCCTGCCTCAGCCTCCTGAGTAGCTGGGATTACAGGCCTGTGCCACCATGCCTGGCTAATTTTTGTATTTTTAGTAGAGACAGGGTTTCACCATGTTGGCCAGGCTGGTCTTGAACTCCTGACCTTAGGTTATCTGCCCGCCTCGGCCTCCCAAAGTGCTGGCATTACAGGCATGAGCCACTGCACAAGGCCTGAAATAAATTCTTAATATAATCAATATGTTTTAATCACATGTGAATCACCATCTTTTTTTTTCTCTAAGAAATAAAAGCAGTTTTTAATTCAATTATTTATTTATCTAGAGACAAAGTCTCACTCTCTCGCCCAGGCTGGAGTGCAGTGGCATGATCATAGCTCACTACAGCCTTGACTTCCTGGGTTCAAGGGATCCTCCCACCTCAGCCTCCTGAGTAGCATGGTATTTTTCCTATCACCTGTAAAGAATTGCCAAAGAAAAATAGGGGGAGGGATAGGTTCTGATTAATGAAGATTACCATGAGTTGTAGTAAACCAGGACTCAAATTTTTGAATAATTCCCCCTTGTGGAGTTGGTAAGACAATTAGGGACTAAATGTGGTGTATATAATGAATAGAAACTATTTTTCTTTTTTTTTTTAATTATACTGTAAGTTTTAGGGTACAGGTGCACAACATGCAGCTTTGTTACATATGTATACATGTGCCATGTTGGTGTGCTGCACCCATTAACTCGTCATTTAACATTAGGTATATCTCCTAATGCTATCCCTCCCCCGTCCCCTGACCCCACAACAGGCCCCGGTGTGTGATGTTCCCCTTCCTGTGTCCATGTGTTCTCATTGTTCAATTCCCACCTATGAGTGAGAATATGCAGTGTTTGGTTTTTTGTCCTTGCAATAGTTTGCTGAGAATGATGGTTTCCAGCTTCATCCATGTCCCTACAAAGGACATGAACTCATCATTTTTTATGGCTACATAGTCCATGCTGTATATGTGCCACATTTTCTTAATCCAGTCTATCATTGTTGGACATTTGGGTTGGTTCCAAGTCTTTGCTATTGTGAACAGTGCTGCAATAGACATACGTGTTCATGTGTCTTTATAGCAACATAATTTATAATCCTTTGGGTATATACCCAGTAATGGGATGGCTGGGTCAAATGGTATTTCTAGTTCTAGATCCCTGAGGAATCGCCACACTGACTTCCACAATGGTTGAACTAGTTTCCAGTCCCACCAACAGTGTAAAAGTGTCCCTATTTCTCCACATCCTCTCCAGTACCTATTGTTTCCTGACTTTAATGATCACCATTCTAACTGGTGTGAGATGGTATCTCATTGTGGTTTTGATTTGCATTTCTCTGATGGCCAGTGATGATGAGCATTTTCTCATGTGTCTTGTGGCTGCATAAATGTCTTCTTTTGAGAAATGTCTGTTCATATCCTTTGACCACTTGTTGATGGGGTTGTTTGTTTTTTTCTTGTAAATTTGTTTGAGTTCATTGTAGATTCTGGATATTAGCCCTTTGTCAGATGAGTAGGTTGCGAAAATTTTCTGCCATTCTGTAGGTTGCCTCTTCACTCTGATGGTAATTTCTTTTGCTGTGCAGAAGCTCCTTAGTTTAATTAGATCCCATTTGTCAATTTTGTCTTTTGTTGCCATTGCTTTTCGTGTTTTAGACATGAAGTCTTTGCCCATGCCTGTGTCCTGAATGGTATTGCCTAGGTTTTCTTCTAGGGTTTTTATGGTTTTAGGTCTAACATGTAAGTCTTTAATCCATCTTGAATTAATTTTTGTATAAGGTGTAAGGAAGGGATCCAGTTTCAGCTTTCTACATATGGCTAGCCAGTTTTCCCAGCACCATTTATTAAATAGGGAATCCTTTCCCCATTGCTTGTTTTTGTCAGGTTTGTCAAAGATCAGATAGTTGTAGATATGCGGCATTATTTCTGAGGGCTCTGTTCTGTTCCATTGATCTATATCTCTGTTTTGGTACCAGTACCATGCTGTTTTGGTTGCTGTAGCCTTGTAGTATAGTTTGAAATCAGGTAGCATGATACCTCCAACTTTGTTCTTTTGGCTGAGGATTGACTTGGCAATGCAGGCTCTTTTTTTGTTTCCATATGAACTTTAAAGTAGTTTTTTCCAATTCTATGAAGAAAGTCATTGGTAGCTTGATGGGGATGGCATTGAATCTATAAATAACCTTGGGCAGTATGGCCATTTTCACAATATTGATTCTTCCTACCCATGAGCATGGAATGTTCTTCCATTTGTTTGTATCCCCTTTTATTTCGTTGAGCAGTGGTTTGTAGTTCTCCTTGAAGAGGTCCTTCACATCCCTTGTAAGTTGGATTCCTAGGTATTTTATTCTCTTTGAAGCCATTGTGAATGGGAGTTCACTCATGATTTGGCTCTCTGTTTGTCTGTTATTGGTGTATAAGAATGCTTGTGATTTTTGCACATTGATTTTGTATCCTGAGACTTTGCTGAAGTTGCTTATCAGCTTAAGGAGATTATGTGCTGAGACGATGGAGTTTTCTAGATATACAATCATGTCATCTGCAAACAGGGACAATTTGACTTTCTCTTTTCCTAATTGAATACTCTTCATTTCCTTCTCCTGTCTGATTTCCCTGGCCAGAACTTCCAACACTATGTTGAATAGGAGTGGTGAGAGAGGGCATCCCTGTCTTGTGCCAGTTTTCAAAGGGAATGCTTCCAGTTTTTGCCCATTCAGTATGATATTGGCTGTGGGTTTGTCATAGATAGTTCTTATTATTTTGAGATACGTCCCATCAATACCTAATTTAATGAGAGTTTTTAGCATGAAGGGTTATTGAATTTTGTCAAAGGCCTTTTCTGCATCTACTGAGATAATCATGTGGTTTTTGTCATTGGTTCTGTTTATATGCTGGATTACGTTTATTGATTTTCGTATGTTGAACCAGCCTTGCATCCCAGGGATGAAGCCCACTTGATCATGGCGGATAAGCTTTTTGATGTGCTGCTGGATTCGGTTTGCCAGTATTTTATTGAGGATTTTTGCATCGATGTTCATCAGGGATATTGGTCTAAAATTCTCTTTTTTTGTTGTGTCTCTGTCAGGCTTTGGTATCAGGATGATGCTGGCCTCATAAAATGAGATAGGGAGGATTCCCTCTTTTTCTATTGATTGGAATAGTTTCAGAAGCAGCGGTACCAGCTCCTCCTTCTACCTCTGGTAGAATTCGGCTGTGAATCCATCTGGTCCTGGACTTTTTTTGGTTGGTAAGCTATTAATTATTGTCACAATTTCAGATCCTGTTACTGGTCTATTCAGAGATTCAACTTCTTCCTGGTTTAGTCTTGGGAGGGTGTATGTGTCGAGGAGTTTATCCATTTCTTCTAGATTTTCTAGTTTATTTGCATAGAGGTGTTTATAGTATTCTCTGATGGTAGTTTGTATTTCTGTGGGATCGGCGGTGATATCTCCTTTATCATTTTTTATTGCGTCCAGTCTATTTGATTCTTCTCTCTTTTCTTCTTTATTAGTCTTGCTAGCGGTCTATGAATTTTGTTGATCTTTTCAAAAAACCAGCTCCTGGATTCATTGATTTTTTTGAAGGGTTTTTTGTGTCTCTATTTCCTTCATTTCTGCTCTGATCTTAGTTATTTCTTACCTTCTGCTAGCTTTTGAATGTGTTTGCTCTTGCTTCTCTAGTTCTTTTAATTTTGATGTTGGGGTGCCAATTTTAGATCTTTCCTGCTTTCTCTTGTGGGCATTTAGTGCTATAAATTTCCCTCTACACACTGCTTTGAATGTGTCCCAGAAATTCTGGTATGTTGTGTCTTTGTTCTCATTGGTTTCAAAGAACATCTTTATTTCTGCCTTCATTTTGTTATGTACCCAGTAGTCAGTCATTCAGGAGCAGGTTGTTCAGTTTCCATGTAGTTGAGCAGTTTTGAGTTTCTTAATCCTGAGTTCTAATTTGATTGCACTGTGGTCTGAGAGACAGTTTGTTATAATTTCTGTTCTTTTACATTTGCTGAGGAGTGCTTTACTTCCAACTATGTGGTCAGTTTTGGAATAGGTGTGGTGTGGTGCTGAAAAGAATGTATATTCTGTTGATTTGGGATGGAGAGTTCTGTAGATGTCTATTAGGTCCGCTTGGTGCAGAGCTGAGTTCAATTCCTGGATATCCTTGTTAATTTTCTGTCTCATTGATCTGTCTAATGTTGACAGTGAGGTGTTAAAGTCTCCCATTATTATTGTGTGGGAGTCTAAGTCTCTTTGTAGGTCTCTAAGGACTTACTTTATGAATCTGGGTGCTCCTGTATTGGGTGCATATATATTTAGGATAGTTAGCTCTTCTTGTTGAATTGATCCCTTTACCATTATTTAATGGCCTTCCTTGTCTCTTTTGATCTTTGTTGGTTTAAAGTCTGTTTTATCCAAGACTAGGATTCCAACCCTTGCCTTTTTTTGTTTTCCATTTGCTTGGTAGATCTTCCTCCATCCCTTTATTTTGAGCCTATGTGTGTCTCTGCACGTGAGATGGGTTTCCTGAGTACAGCACACTGATGGGTCTTGACTCTTTATCCAGTTTGCCAGTCTGTGTCTTTTAATTGGAGCATTTAGCCCGTTAACATTTAAGGTTAATATTGTTATGTGTGAATTTGATCCTGTCATTATGATGTTAGCTGGTTATTTTGCTCGTTAGTTGATGCAGTTTCTTCCTAGCCTCGATGGTCTTTACAATTTGGTATGTTTTTGCAGTGGCTGGTCCCAGTTGTTCCTTTCCATGTTTAGTGCTTCCTTCAGGAGCTCTTTTAGGGCAGGCCTGGTGGTGACAAAATCTCTCAGCATTTGCTTGTCTGCGAAGGATTTTATTTCTTCTTCACTTATGAAGCTTAGTTTGACTGGATATGAAATTCTGGGTTGAAAATTCTTTTCTTTAAGAATGTTGAATATTGGCCCCCACTCTCTTCTGGCTTGTAGAATTTCTGCCAAGAGATCAGCTGTTAGTCTGATGGGCTTCCCTTTGTGGGTAACCCGACCTTTCTCTCTGGCTGCCCTTAACATTTTTTCCTTCATTTCAACTTTGGTGAATCTGACCATTATTTGTCTTGGAGTTGCTTTTCTCGAGGAGTATCTTTGTGGCGTTCTCTGTATTTCCTGAATCTGAATGCTGGCCTGCCTTGCTAGATTGGGGAAGTTCTCCTGGATAATATCCTACAGAGTGTTTTCCAACTTGGTTCCATTCTCCCCGTCACTTTCAGGTACACCAATCAGACATAGATTTGGTCTTTTCACATAGTCCCATATTTCTTGGAGGCTTTGTTCATTTCTTTTTATTCTTTTTTCTCTATACTTATCTTCTCGCTTCATTTCATTCATTTGATCTTCCATCACTCATACCTTTTCTTCAAGTTGATCACGTCGGCTACTGAGGCTTGTGCATTCGTCACGTAGTTCTCGTGCTGTGGTTTTCAGCTCCATCAGGTCCTTGAAGGACTTCTCTGCATTGGTTATTCTAGTTAGCCATTTGTCTAATCTTTTTTCAAGGTTTTTAACTTCTTTGTCATGGGTTCGAACTTCCTCCTTTAGCTCGGAGTAGTTTGATCGTCTGAAGCCTTCTCTCATCTTGTCAAAGTCATTCTCCGTCCAGCTTTGCTCCATTGCTGGTGAGGAGCTGCGTTCCTTTGGAGGAGGAGAGCTGCTCTGATTGTTAGAATTTTCAGTTTTTCTGCTCTGTTTTTTCCCCACCTTTGTGGTTTTTATCTACCTTTGGTCTTTGATGATGGTGACCTACAGATGGGGTTTTGGTGTGGATGTCTTTTCTGTTTGTTAGTTTTCCTTGTAACAGTCAAGACCCTTAGCTGCAGGTATGTTGGAGTTTGCTGGAGGTCCACTCCAGACCCTGTTTGCCTGGGTATCAGCAGCGGAGGCTGCAGATCAGGGGATATTGGTGGACACCAAATGTCGCTGCCTGATCGTTCCTCTGGAAATTTTGTCTCAGAGGAGCACCCGGCCGTGTGAGGTGTCAGTCTGCCCCTCCTGGGGGGTGCCTCCCAGTTAGGCTACTCAGGGGTCAGGGACCCACTTGAGGAGGCAGTCTTTTCGTTCTCAGATCTTCAGCTGTGTGCTGGGAGAACCACTAGTCTCTTCAAAGTTGTCAGACAGGGACATTTAAGTCTGCAGGGGTTTCTGCTGCCTTTTGTTTGGCTATGCCCTGCCCCCAGAGGTGGAGTCTACAGAGGCAGGCAGGTGTCCTTGAGCTGCGGTGGGCTCCACCCAGTTCGAGCTTCCCAGCCTCTTTGTTTACCTACTCAAGCCTAGGCAATGGTGGGCGCCCCTCCCACAGCCTCATTGCTGCCTTGCAGTTTGATCTCAGACTGCTGTGCTAGCAATAAGCGAAGCTCCATGGGTGTAGGACCCTCTGAGCCAGGTGTGGGATACAATCTTCTGGTGTGCCATTTGCTAAGACCTTTGGAAAAGCGCAGTATTAGGGTCGGAGTGACCCGATTTTCCAGGTGCCGTCTGTCACCCCTTTCCTTGGCTAGGAAGGGGAATTCTGTGACCCCTTCCGCTTCCTGGGTGAGGCGATGCCTCGCCCTGCTTCGGCTCACGCTTGGTGCGCTGCACACACTGTCCTGCACCCACTCTCTGACAATCCCCAGTGAGACGAACCTGGTACCTCAGTTGGAAATGCAGAAATCATTTGTCTTCTGCATTGCTCACGCTGGGAGCTGTAGACTGGAGCTGTTCCTATTCAGCCATCTTGGCTCCACCCCCTAGAAACTATTTTTCATCTATCAGATTGGTAACAGTTTTTAGGTGTAGCAATATCAAATGTTGACAAGGGTGCAAGCAAAGTACTCTCATACATAGCTGGTAAGAGTGGAATAGCCCCTTTGGATGACAATTTGGCAGTATCTATAAAAAAAGAAAATGTATATCCTCATGACTCTGTAATTCCCACTTCTTTCTACCCTAGTAAAACCTTGCACATGTGCACAGAAATCATGTAGCAGAATATTTCATTATGGAAAAAAAATGAGGCAGATCTGTATATGCTGATATAAATAAATCTCCATGACTAATTAAGTTAAAAATGGCAAGTTACAGAATAACATATATATATATAAAATTCTATGTTTAACACATTTTATTTGGTATAAACACACACGTGTGTGTGTGTATATACTATATACTTACATCAATTATATATTCTAGTAATGGATATTATGTGATATGTAATATATAATACATTTGTTTAATATATAATCATGCACCAAATAATGACATTTCAGTCAGTGACAGACCATGGATACAATGATAGTCCCATAAGATTGTAATACTGTATTTTTACTGTACCATTATGTTTAGATACAAAATACCATTATGTTATAATTGCCCACAGTATTCAGTACAGTCATATGATGTACAGTCACATGATATACAGTTTTATAGCCTAGGAGCAATAGGCTATACCATATAGCCTGGGTGTATAGTAGGCTATACTATATAGATTTGTATAAGTGCACACTATCATGTTCACACAATGATGAAATTGCTTAACAATGCGTTTCTCAGAATGTATTCCTGTTATTAAGTGACATATGACTGTAAATGTCTAGATATGTAATATTTGACTATGTAAATGTCTGCAAAAAATGGAAGGTATGCATCAAGCTGATAACAGTGCTTACTTCTGGAGGGGGACTGGAATTTTGGCAGGGTTGAGGCAGTCAAGGAGACTTGACCTTTACAAGTATTATCTATTTTTTTATATAAATATATTTATATGTTACTTCTATAAGTAAAAATATAGAATATATTTTTCTATAAGTATAGATAAATATAGAATATATGTAATATAGAATATATGATATACTATATATAGAATATATGTAATATAGAATATATCATATATATTCTGTATGTATAGAATATAGAATAAATGTAGAATATATCAAATAAAGAATATATGAATATACACATACATACATACACACCCATGTTATTAGTGGTTTTAAATATGCAGGGTAGTTTGGGCGTGGTGGCTCATGCCTATAATCCCAATACTTTGGGAGGCCAAGGGAGGTGGATCACTTAAGCTCAGGAGTTCGAGACCAGCCTGGCCAACATGGTGAAACCCTGTCTCTACTAAAAATACAAAAATTAGCCAAGTGTGGTGGCAGGTGCCTGTAATCTCAGCTACTTGGGAGACTGGGGCACAAGAATCTTTTGAACCTGGGAGACAGAGGTTGCAGTAAGCCGAGATCACACCACTGCACTCCAGCCTATGTGACAGAGCAAGACTCTGTCTCAAAAAAAAAAAAAAAAAAGCAAGGTAACTATAAAGATTGATTTTCATTGGTTATACTGAAGTGACTGAGTACATTGCTTGGAAAACAGCTCTAGGCTATTTAGAAAGCTTCTCTGATATAGCCCCACCTAATCTGCCTCTGCTTATTCGTGTCAGTCTAATACTGGTCTAGGGCGTGCATATAATCTTCTTGGCTGCCAACTACTCATCCAGTCAGTTTTCGCCAATCTTTTTTGGTTATGAGAATAGGATGGAATTTGGGTTTTCCACTGTCAAACTTCAGTTTCTAGACTTCGTTTTCTTTTTTTTTTTTTCCATTTAACCCTGAGTGGACACAGCACATGTTTCAGAGAGCACAGGGTTGGGGGTAAGGTCACAGATCAACAGGATAAGAATTTTTCTTAGTACAGAACAAAATGAAAAGTCTCCCATGTCTACCTCTTTCTACACAGACACGGCAACCATCCGATTTCTCAATCTTTTCCCCACCTTTCCCCCCGCTCTATTCCACAAAACCGCCATTGTCATCATGGCCCGTTCTCAGTGAGCTGTTGGGTATACCTCCCAGACGGGGTGGTGGCCGGGCAGAAGGGCTCCTCACTTCCCAGTAGGGGCGGCCGGGCAGAGGCGCCCCTTACCTCCCGGACGGGGCAGCTGGCCGGGCGGGGGGCTGACCCCCCCACCTCCCTCCCGGATGGGGCGGCTGGCCAGGTGGGGGGCTGACCCCCCTACCTCCCTCCCGGACGGGACGGCTGGCCGGGCGGGGCCTGACCCCCCCACCTCCCTCCCGGACGGGGCGGCTGCTGGGCGGAGACGCTCCTCACTTCCCAGACGGGGTGGCTGCCAGGTGGAGGGGCTCCTCACTTCTCAGATGGGGCGGCTGCCGGGCGGAGGGGCTCCTCACTTCTCAGATGGGGCGGCTGCCGGGTGGAGGGGCTCCTCACTTCTCAGACGGGGCGGTTGCCAGGCGGAGGGTCTCCTCACTTCTCAGACGGGGTGGCCGGGCAGAGACGCTCCTCACCTCCCAGACGGGGTCACGGCCGGGTAGAGGCGCTCCTCACATCCCAGATGGGGCGGCAGGGCAGAGGCGCTCCCCACATCTCAGACGATGGGCGGCCAGGCAGAGACGCTCCTCACTTCCTAGATGGGATGGCGGCCGGGAAGAGGCGCTCCTCACTTCCTAGATGGGATGGCGGCCGGCAGAGACGCTCCTCACTTTCCAGACTGGGCAGCCAGGCAGAGGGGCTCCTCACGTCCCAGACGATGGGCGGCCAGGCAGAGACGCTCCTCACTTCCCAGACGGGGTGGCGGCCGGGCAGAGGCTGCAATCTCGGCACTTTGGGAGGCCAAGGCAGGCGGCTGGGAGGTGGAGGTTGTAGCGAGCCGAGATCACGCCACTGCACTCCAGCCTGGGCACCATTGAGCACTGAGTGAACCAGACTCCGTCTGCAATCCCGGCACCTCGGGAGGCCGAGGCTGGCGGATCACTCACGGTTAGGAGCTGGAGGCCAGCCCAGCCAACACAGCGAAACCCCGTCTCCACCAAAAAAATACGAAAACCAGTCAGGCGTGGTGGCGCGCGCCTGCAATCGCAGGCACTAGGCAGGCTGAGGCAGGAGAATCAGGCAGGGAGGTTGCAGTGAGCCAAGATGGCAGCAGTACAGTCCAGCTTCGGCTCGGCATCAGAGGGAGACCGTGGAAAGAGAGGGAGAGGGAGACCGTGGGGAGAGGGAGACAGAGGGAGAGGGAGAGGGAGAGGGAAAGGGCTAGACTTCGTTTTCCAAATGCATGCAGAACTGCAGTTGTTATTGAGTAGATAAGTTTGAAAGTTCTGAATATAAGAATATTTGTGCAGCTCTTTACAGTTTACAAAATGTCTACCTTTTTATCTTATTTGATCTTCCCAACAACCCTGTGAGGTAGGTGTTATTATTAATTATTGACATAGATAGGGAAACCTTTGGGAGTCCCCAAGAGCTCCCCTAGATCAAATGATTCACTAGGAGGACTCACAGGACTCAGCATATAGTCATACTCACAGTTAAGATTTATGGGGCTGGGTGCCATGGCTCACGCCTATAATCCTAGCACTTTAAGGAGGCCAAGGTGGGAGGATCGCTTGAGCCCAGGAGTTTAAGACCAGCCTGGGCAACATGGCGAAACCCCATCACTACAAAAAAATACAAAAATTAGCCAAGTTGGTGGCAGACTCCTGTAGTCCTTGCTACTCAGGAGGCTAAGGTGGGAGGATCACTTGAGCCCGGGAGATAAAGGCTGCAGTGAACCATGATCATGCCTCTGTACTCCAGCCTAGGTAAGAGTGAGACTCTGTCTCAAAAGAAAGAAAGAGACAGACAGAGAAGGAGGGGGAGAACGGGGAGGGAGGGAAAGGAAAGGAAGAAGGAAGAAGGGAAGGAGGGAGGGAGGGAAAAGAAAAGAAAAAAAGAAAGAAAATAAGCAAATGAAGAGCCAGATGTGGTGGCACACACCTGTAATCCTAGCACTTTGGGAGGCAGAGGCAGGAGGATCACTTGAGCCCAGGAGTTCAAGACCAACCTGGGCAACATATATATATACATGTGTGTGTATGTATATATATATATATATATATATATATATATACGTATATATATACATATATACGTGTATATATATACGTATATATATACATATATACGTGTATATATATACGTATATATATACATATATACGTGTATATATATACGTATATATATACATATATACGTGTATATATATACGTATATATATACACATATACGTGTATATATATACGTATATATATACATATATACGTGTATATATATATATACGTATATATACACATATATATACATATATACACATATACGTATATATATATACACACACATGTACACACACACACACACACATACACACACACACACACACACAAACTCTTTTCTGAACAGAAACCAAAACTAAAAGATGAAGTGACTTTCCTTAAAGATACTTATATAGTAAGCGTGGCAGTCAAGATTAAAACCCAGACCCTCAGATTCCAAACATTTCCTACTACATAATTTTAATCTCCATCAAATCAAGAGTAAATGTTTTCAGCGTGCAGTTGAAGTGGTAAAAATTAATGCATAGTTCCTTGAGACATGGAATGCTGAAGTGATTTTTCTTCCTGTGCCATATAATGTCTTCTTTCTCTTTGACCTATAACCTTTCTAGGATAACATAAAAGAGCTAGAATTAGAAGTCATCAATCTGCAAAAGGAAAAGGAAGAATTGGTTCTTGAACTTCAGACAGCAAAGAAGGATGCCAACCAAGCCAAGTAAGAATAAAGTTAATAAATGTTATTTCAAGTCCCTACTATGTGTGAGGAGCTTTGCAAGAAATAGAGAAGTAGAAGTCCCATTTACTGCCCCTAAAGATTTAAACCTAATTATGAAGAGGAAACCTAAACACAAAAAATGGTTAAATAATTGCAATTTTAAATAGCGTCTCAAGTTGACAGTAAAAGAATGTCATAACACAGCACATGATTAGTAGCCAAATAAATTTCTTAGGCAGTAATTGTGTTAAGAGTTCAGAGGCGAGGAATATCAATTCAGGCTACCATGATCAAGGAAGGCTTTGTAAAAAGTTAGCATTTGAGCTGGCTTTTGAAAGATTATCACACTTACTAGATAACAGCAGTTTCTTTGTCCCTGCACTAATGGTAAATTAGCTTGTGAATGGAATTAATGTCCAGGCTAGTGATTTAAAAAATCAATCTAGCCATCTCTTACCAGTTAAGAATAAAACCAAAGCAGATAACCATAACATCCTACTCTCCTTCAGACCTCTGCCGTATGGGCTATCCTACCTTCTTTTTACTCAGTGACTCCGTTTTATCTCTCAGTTGAGTCTAAAGCTCATGTTTGTAAAAGTTATGCTGAATGTTTACTTTCTATCTCAGACTTGTATAATAATCATCAGAATTATTCTTCATAGCTAAAGTGAAGTGAAATGCCTTCAAAGAACCATTTTGATGCAAAAGGGGCGGCGTATATTGAGGCAGTTGCATTGCTGTGTACTAAAAGTTGTCTTACTCTTTGTATTAAGCTCCTATTATTGAGACAGGTTTGGTTGTTTGGGTGGTATTCTTTTTTTAAGATGGCTATGTGACTAGTCACCTATTTTATATATGTCAGTGTTGTAACTCTGGGAGTCTAGTATTATGTCTTTTGAAGTCAGGCTTTGCTGCTGGTAGTCCTCACTTCTACAGCATCTGTGTTTAGGTTGAGTGAGCGCCGCCGCAAACGTCTCCAGGAGCTGGAGGGTCAAATTGCTGATCTGAAGAAGAAACTGAATGAGCAGTCCAAACTTCTGAAACTAAAGGAATCCACAGAGCGTACTGTCTCCAAACTGAACCAGGAGATACGGGTAATAAATTCTCATCCTTGCATTTACCCCCATTGGAATTTACAAACATAGGTATTCCATTTAGAAATATACTAGAGGTGTTTTCAGGTGAGAAAATAGCAGGCAGAGCAATCATTTCAAGTGTGTGAATCTCCACAAATGTCCCTTTTGCAGAACATTGTGCTAGTGGTCATCTAGGATCTGCTTAATAAAACGTTGCTTTGACATTCAAAATTTAATGTTAGAGTCTCTGAAACCAAAGAACAAAGACATCTCCATACTTAGTGGGTTATATCCTGATCACCTTCCATGATCATGCAGCATAATTTTGTAAAGTAGTAATAAGATGACAGACACCTAGAGAAAATTCTCAGTTATTGAATGTTCAACTTGTGGCACCAACAAAGTGGTGGTTACAGGCTACTTGTACTGAAACCTTTAGAATACAATGGTTACTAGGTGGATTTGTCCTGGAGGCTTAGTAGATGTTTCCTTGAAATTTCATTTGTATACAGTGAATTTAGGGCTGGATTTAGCTTGTAGGTACATTTTTATTTAATTTCTTCTCAGTGTTCACTTGTATAGCCTGTACTTGGAAACCCTGTGCAAGCATAGCAAGGGGTATTGTAAGCCTAATCAGGGAATCTGTTGGGGACTGCTTTCCCAGCCTAGTTCTGGCTTTTCTCTCTTCTTAATGGTAAGTCTATCCATCCGCACCAGCCTAGAATAAACTGCAGATGACTAATACTTTTGCTGGTTTTTGTTTTTATAGATGATGAAAAACCAGCGGGTACAGTTAATGCGTCAAATGAAAGAAGATGCTGAGAAGTTTAGACAGTGGAAGCAGAAAAAAGACAAAGAAGTAATACAGTTAAAAGAACGAGTAAGTAACTAAAACTTCTTGAAGGCCTAGGTAATAAACCCTTCTCTGAGCTGACTAACAATTTTAATGCTTCTCTTCAAACACCTCGTGTCTCCAAAAGTGTGACATTCTCATGAATTTAACAACTTTATTAAATGTCTACTATGTCTATTATGTGCAAGGTACTATCTACTAGGCACTATTAGAAATAGAAAAATTAGTAGTATATAAGCTCTGCCCTTGAAGAATGTCTTACCTAAAGGAGATGGTAAGATATAAGCATGGATTTCTCAAATACAAGGAAGAAAGAGATTTGGGCTATAAGAATAAAATAAAAAGTAACTAAGAGAAAAGAAAGCAAATTTGCAGTTGGAGTGAAAAGATGATGGTTGAATAGGCCCTGAATAATAGGAAGGGTTATGATAGAGATAAGTACAAGCATTCCAGATAGATAGATCAAAGAAATAGAGATGACAACTTTGTAGACACATTCAAGGAATGGCAAGTGGTCCAACTGGGGTGAAGTATAGTAGTGGACCATTCCATTGGAAAGGCAAGTCGAAGCTGGATTATTAAAGATCCAAGAAGTTTGAACTCATTTTGTTAGTAGCATAAAGATTTTTAAGGGTTTTTAGAAAGTGATATCAACAAAATACTGCTTTAGAAAGATATATCTGGGAATAATGTATAGAGCAAACTGTAATATTGAGAAACAGAGGCCAGAACACAAGAAGATATTGTATAATCCAGAAGAATTATAAGGGCCTGAATATACATCTGACAACAGAGCCCCCAGAATATATGAAGCAAACACTGACAGAAATGGAGAGAGAAATAGACAAATCAACAGTAATAAATATTTGGAGACTTCAATCCACCTCTTTATTTTCTTTCTTTTTTAGATATGGGGTCTTGTTCTGTTGCCCAGGCTGGAGTACAGTGGTGCAATCATAGCTCACTGTAGCCTCAAACTGCTGGTCTCAAGCAATCCTCCCACCTCAGCCTCCTGAGTAGCTAGAACTACAGCTGTACACCATCACACCTGGCAAATTTTTTATTTTTTGTAGAGATGGAATCTCACTATGTTGCCCAGACTGGTCTCGAACTCCTGGGCTCAAGCAGTCCTCTCACCTCGGCCTGCTAAAGTGCTGGTATTACAGGCATGAGCCACTGAACCCAGCCCCTACTTTAATAATGGATAGAACAATAGGCACAAGATCAGCAAGGATATTGAAGACTTCAACAATATAATACCTAGCATTTTCATATCTACATTCATAAGAGATATTGGTCTATAAGTTTATGTAATATGCTAGATTACACACTATACCTAACAGAATCTATAGACTACGCCAACCAACAACAGCAGGATATACAGTCTTCCTAGGTGCACATGAAACATTCTCCAGGATAGACCATATGCTAGACCTTTTATGCCTCAATAAATTTAAAAGTATTGAAACAGGCCATGCATGGTGGCTCACTCCTGTAATCCCAACACTTTGGGAGGCCAAGGTGGGCAGATCACCTGATGTCAGGAGTTCAAGACCAGTCTGGCCAACATGATGAAACACCGTGTCTATTAAAAATACAAAAATTAGCCGGGCATGGTGGCACATCTGTGATCTCCAGTATTCAGGAGGCTGAGGCAGGAGAATTGCTTGAACTTGGGAGATGGAGGTTGCAGTGAGCTGAGATCGTGCCACTGCACTCCAGCCTGTGCAACAGAGCAAGACTCCGTCTCAAAGAAAAAGTATTGAAAATAATACAAAATCTGTTCTCTAACCACAATGGAATGAAATTAAAAATCAGTAACAAAAATAAATTTAGGAAATTCACAAATATGAAGAAATTAACATAATCCTAAATAAATAATGGGTCTAAAAGGAAGTCATAGGGAAATTAAAAAATACTTTGAGATTAATAAAAACAAAGATACAACATACCAAAACTTATGAGATACAGCTAAAACAGTGTTTGGAGGGAATTTTATAGTTGTAAATGCCTATATTAAAAAATGCAGAAAGGCTCCTGTAGCCCCAGCTACTTGGGAGGCTGAGGTGGAAGGATCACTTGACCCCAGGAGTTCAAGACCAGCCTGGGCAAAATTGTGAGACTGCATCTCAGTTTTTTTTAATTGAAGAAAGATCTTAAACCAATAACCTAGCCTTCTACTTTAAAACACTGAAAAAAAGAGAGCAAACTAAACCCAAAGCTAGTAGATGAAAGGAAACATTAAAAGATTAGAGTAGAAATAGGCTGGGCGCGGTGGCTCAAGCCTGAAATCCCAGCATTTTGGGAGGCCAAGGTGAGCAGATCACCTGAGGTCGGGAGTTCGAGACCAGCCTGAGTAACATGGAGAAACCCTCTCTCTACCAAAAATACAAAATTAGCTGGGCATGGTGGTGCATGCCTGTAGTCCCAGCTACTTGGGAGGCTGAGGCAGGAGAATCGCTTGAACCCGGGAGGTGGAGGTTGCAGTGAGCCGAGATCGCACCATTGCACTCCAGCCTGGGCAACAAAAGCGAAACTGTCTCAAAAAAAAAAAAGGATTAAAGTAGAAATTAATGAAATATGAAATAGAAAAAAACGGGGAAAATCATTGAAACCAAAAGTTGGTTTTTTGAAATGATCAACAAATACTGACAAACCTTCAGATAGCCTTAATAAGAAAAAAAAAGAGGCCAGGCGCGGTGGCTCACACCTGTAGTAATCCCAGCACTTTGGGAGGCTGAGGCAGGCAGATCACAAGGTCAGGAGATCGAGACCATCCTGGCTAACACGGTGAAACCCCATCTCTACTAAAAATACAAACAAAAAAAAATTAGCCAGGTGTAGTGGTGGGTGCCTGTAGTCCCAGCTACTCAGGAGTTTGAGGGAGGAGAATGGTGTGAACCCGGAAGGCGGAGCTTGCAGTGAGCAGAGATCGCACCACTGCACTCCAGCCTGGGCAACAGAGCGAGACTCCATCTCAAAAAAAAAAGAAAAGAAAAAAGAAAAAAAAGAAAGAAAATTTAAATTACTAAAGTTAGGAATGAAAGAGGGAATATCACTACTAGTCTTGCCGGAAGGAAAGGATTATAAGGAATTACTATTAACAACTGTATGCCAACAAATTAGATAGCCTAGATTAAGTAGACAAATGCCTGGAAAGACAAAAACTACCAAAACTGACTCAAGAAGAAATAGAAAATCTGTATAGACCCATGACAAGAAGTTAAATTAGTAGTTTAAAAACTTCCCACAAAGAAAATTCCAGGCACAGATGGCTTCACTGGTGAGTTCTATCAAACATTTTAAGAAAAAATACCCATTTCTTGGCCAGGTGCTGTGGCTCATGCCTGTAATCCCAGCACTTTTGGAGGCCGAGGCAGGCAGATCACCTGAGGTCAGGAATTCGAGACCAGCCTGGCCAACATGGTGAAACCCTGTCTCTACTAAAAGTACAAAAATTATTTGGGTGTGGTGACACACACTTGTAATCCCAGCTACTTGGGAGGCTGAGACACAAGAATTGCTTGAACCCAGGTGGCGAAGGTTGCAGTGAGCCAAGATCACACCGCTGCACTCCAGCCTGGGCGATAGAGTGAGATTCTGTCTCAGAAAAAAAAAAAAAAAAGACAGAAATACCCATTTCTCAGAAACTCTTCTGAAAACTAGAAGCAGTGGAAACACTTCCCAACTCATTCCATGAGGTTTGTGTTCCCTGATACCAAAACCAAAGACATCACAAGAAAAGAATACTACAGACCAATATATCTTAATATAGGCATGAAAATCCTCAACAAAATTCTAGCAAACTAAATCCATCAACATTTAAAAAGGATGATAGGCTGGGCGTGGTGACTCACACCTGTAATCTCAGCACTTTGGAAAGCCGAGATGGGCAGATCACTTGAGGTCAGAAGTTTTGAGACCAGCCTGGCCAACATGGCGAAACCCTGTCTCTACTGAAAATACAAAAAAAAATTAGCTGAGCATGGTGGCATGTGCCTGTAATCCCAGCTACTTGGGAGGCTGAGGCACGAGAATTGCTTGAACCCAAGAGGAAGAGGCTGCAGTGAGCCAAGACCGTGCCACTGCACTCCAGCCTGGGCAACAGAGTGAGACACTGTCTCAAAAAAAAAAAGGATGATACACTTATGACCAAGTGAAGTCCATCTGAAAAATGCAAAGTTTGTTTAATATATGGAAATCAATTTATGTTATATACTGTATCAGTAGGAAAAAGGACAAGAACCACATGATCATCTCAATAGACACAGAAAAAGCATTTGACAAAAATCTAACACTCATGATAAAAACACTCAAGAAACTAGGAATAGAAGAGAACTTCCTCAGCGTAATAAAGGGCGTGTATGAAAAACCCACAGCTAACATCATACTTAATGGTGAAAAAGAGCATACTTTTCCCCTAAGATCAAGAACAAGACAAGGATGTCCACTCTTGCCATATCTATTCAACATTGTCCTGGAGGTTCTAACCAGGAAGTTTAGGGAAGAAAAATATATAAATGGCATCTAAACTGGAAAAGGTGAAGCAAGACTATCTCTGTTTATAGATGACATGATCTTGTATATAGAAAATCCTAGAGAATCCACTAAAAGTCTATTAGAATTAATATATGAGTTCACCAAGGTTGCAGAATATAAGATCAATATAAGAAAATAAGTTGTGATCTGGCACAGTGGCTCAAGCCTGTAATCCTAGCACTTTGGGAGGCCAAGGCAGGCATATCACTTGAGGCCAGGAGTTCGAGACCAGCCTGGCCAACACGGTGAAACCCCGTCTCTACTAAAAATACAAACATTAGCCAGGCATGGTAGCACATGCCTGTAGTCCCAACTACTTGAGAGGCTGAGGCACGAGAATCATTTGAACCCAGGAGGCAGAGGTTTCAGTGAGCTGAGATCAGGCCACTGCACTTCAGCCTGGGCTACAGAGCAAGACTCTGTCTCAAAAACAAACAAACAAAAAAAACAAAAGGAAAAGAAAAGAAAATCAGTAGTATATTTATATACTAGCAATTAACAATTTGACAATGAGATTAATAAAACAATCCCACGGCTGGGTGTGGTGGCTCACGCCTGTAATCCCAGCACTTTGGGAGGCTGAGGTGGGCAGATCACAAGGTAAGGAGCTCGAGACCAGCCTGGCCAACATAGTGAAACTCCGTCTCTACTAAAAATACAAAAAATTAGCTGGGTGTGGTGACAGGCACCTGTAATCGCAGCTACTTAGGAGGCTGAGGCAGGAGAATCACTTGAACCCGGGAGGTGGAGGTTGCAGTGAGTCAAGATCATGCCACTGCACCACTCCAGCCCAGGCAACAGTGCAAGACTCTGTCTCAAGAGAAAAAAAGAAAGAAAACAATTCCATTAATAATAGGATCAATACAAATAAAATACTTAGGAATAAATTTAGCAAAAGAAGTGTAAGACTTGTATACTTGAAAACTACTGAACATCATTGAATTTAATTAAGGAAGACTTAAATAAATGGAAGGATATCCCATGTTCATGGGCAGGAAGACTTGATATTCTAAAGATGGAATACCCTTCAGATTGCCTTACAGATGCAACACAATCCCAGTGAAATTCCATCTGGTTTCTTCACAGAAACTCACAAACTGATTCTAAAATATATATGGAAATGCAAGGGACCTAGAATATTCAAAGCAATCAAGGAGAAGAACAAATTTGTAAATGTCACATTTACTGATTTAAAAACTTTCTACAAAGCTACACTAATCAAGACTGTGTGGTACTGTGTAAAGATAGACATATAGGTCAATGGAATAAGATTGAGAATCCAGAAATAAACTTACACACTTATGGCCAGTTGATTTTCAACAGTAATGCCAAGACAATTCAATGAGGAAAACAATTTTGTCTTTTCAACAAATAGTCCTAGAACAACCGGGTAGTCATATGCAAAATAATGAAGTTGAAACTTGTGGCCAGGCACAGTGGCTCACGCCTGTAGTCCCAGCACTGTGGGATGCCGAGGCGGGTGGATCACTTGAGGTCAGGAGTTCAAGACCACCTGGCCAACATGGTGAAACCCCGTCTCTACTAAAATTACAAAAAAATTAGCTGGGCATGGTCGTACATGCCTGTAATCCCAGCTACTCTGGAAGCTGAGGCAGGAGAATCACTTGAACCTGGGAGGCAGAGGTTGCAGTGAGCTGAGATCACGCCCCTGCACTCCAGCCTGGGCAACAGAGTGAGACTCTGTCTCAAAAAGAAACTTGCTCTCATACCATATACAAAAATTAAAGCAGATCAAAAACCTAAACGTACGAGCTAAAACTATAAATCTCTTAGAAGAAAACATAGGTGTTAATCTTTGTGACTTTGGATTAGACAATGATTTCTTAGATGTGACACCTAAAGTACAAACAGCTAACCAAAAAAGAGTTAAATTAGACAAAATTAAAAGCTTTTGCATTGTAAACAATACCATCAAGAAAGTGAATATGATCAGGCATGGTGGCTCATGCCTGTAATCTCAACACTTTGGGAGGCCAAGGTGGGAGGATTGCTTGAGCCCAGGAAATTGACCCCACCCTGGGCAACATAGCAAGACCCCATCTCTAACAAAAAAAAAAAAAAAGAAAGTTAATAGCCAGTCCATAGATTGGGAGGAAAATATTTGCAAATCATATAGCTGATAAGAGTCTTATATCCAAGATAGATAAAGAACTCTTACTGTCTGGGCACGGTGGCTCACACCTGTAATCCCAGCACTTTGGGAGGCCAAGGCGGGCGGATCACCTGAGGTCGGGAGTTCGAGACCAGCCTGACCAACACGGAGAAACCCCGTCTCCACTAAAAATGCAAAAAAAGTGGCCGGGTGTGGTGGCACATGCCTGTAATACCAGCTACTGGGGAGGCTGAGGTAGAAGAATCGCTTGAATCCGGGAGGTGGAGGTTGTGGTGAGCCGAGATCGTGCCATTGCACTCCAGCCTGGGCAATAGAGTGAGACTCCATCTCAAAAAAAAAAAAAAAAGAACTCTTACCAATCAACAATAAAAATATAACCCAGTTTTAAAATGGGCAAAGCAATAAGTACATGAAAAGGTGCTCAATGTCATTTGCCATCAGAGAAATACAAATCAAAACCACAATGAGATGCAATTTCACATCTACTAGGATGGCTATAAACAAAAAGACAGATAATAATAAGTCTTAGCAAGAATGTGGAGACACTGAAAGCCTCATACATTTTCAGTAGGATGGGAAAATGGTATAGCTGCTTTGGCAAACAGTTTAGCAGTTTATCAAAAGGCTAAATAAAAACGTAGAGGTACCATATGATCCAGCAATTCCACTCTTAGTTTTGTCTACCCAGGAGATACGAAAACATGTCATATATGCAAAACCTTGTACCCAGATGTTCATGCAGCAGTAGTCATAATAGCCAAAAAGTGGAAAAACCCAACATGTCCATCAACTGATGAATGGGTAAATAAAATGTGGTCTATCCATACAGTGGAGTATTATTCAGCCATACAAAGGAATGAAGTACTGATACATGCTACAACATGGATGAGGCTTGAAAGCATTTTGCTTAGTGAAAGAAGCCAATCACAAAAGACCATGTATGATAGGATTCCATTTATATGAAATATCCAGAGTAGGACATTAAAATCTGTAGAGACAAAAAGTAGATTAGTGGTTCTCTAGGGCTTTGGGGTGGGGTGATGGGGTTGTAGGGTGATCACTAAACAGTATATTTCTTTTTGTGGTAATGAAAATGTTCTAAAATTAAGTGTGGTGATGTTTACATCAACTGTGTGAATGTGCCAAAAGCCATTGAATCATGTACTTTAAATGAGTGAATTGTATGGTATGTGAATTATATCTCAATAAAACTGTTAAGAAAAACAAAAGAAGAAAGGAGACATCTCTATAAAGTGATGACAACTTTACATTCTACAGGAATATATATTCCACATTGACAAGGATCTTTGTTTTGCTCACTTCTGCATTTCCAATGGCTAGAACAGTGGCTGGCAAGTAGTGGGCACTCAATAATGTTTAGTGAATGATTTTAATCATAATTAATGCAAAATATACCTTTCAAAAAATGAAGGAAGTAGGGCAACAAAAAGTACCGCGGGCTTTTCAGTGACTGTAAAGTCAGAGGAAACAGCTAGTTTGAAGAGACAAAGTTGGTTTTAGGAGAATAATCTTTGGGATGGAGAGACCTAGAAAATATTGGATAATGTTGGCCTAGAGTTCAAGGGAGAAGTTGGGCTGGACTTTGCAATTAAGAGTTGTCTTTGTGAGGCCAAGGTGGGTGGATCACGAGGTCAGGAGTTCGAGACCAGCCTGACCAACATGCTGAAACCCCATCTCTACTAAAAATACAAAAAAAATTAGCCAGGCACGGTGGCACATGCCTGTAATCCCAGCTACTCAGGAGGCTGAGGCAGGAGAATCGCTTGAACCCGGGAGGTGGAGGTTGCAGTGAGCAGAGATCGAGCCACTGCACTACAGCCTGGGCGACAGAGGGAGACTCCGTCTCAAAAAAAGATTTGTCTGCATAGAGGTGAAAAATGAAACTTTGGGAGTAATGAGATAATGGAGACAGAGAATATATAGAAAAAGAAGGCTAAGAAGAGAATCTCTTTTTTTTTTTTTTTGGTCTCACCCTGTCATCCAGGCTGGAGTACAATGGCACCATCTTGGCTCACTGCAACATCTGCCTCCTGGGTTCAAGCCTCCTGAGTAGCTGGGACTACAGGCGCATGCCACCATGCCTGGCAATTTTTTTTTGTATTTTTAGTAGAGACAGAGTTTCGCCATGTTGGCCAGGCTGGTCTTGAACTCCTGACCTCAGATGATCCACCCACCCCAGCCTCTCAAAATGCTGGGATTACAGGCATGAGCTACCATGCCCAACTGAGAATCTATTTCATGTATAAGAAAATGAAAAGAAGACAATGAAATTTGTAAGGTAGAAAAATAATTAGGATGGTATGGGGAAGTTATTGGTAGTGCTAACGATGCTGGGAGAGAAGCCAAAGAAGATAGTGACTGTAAAAACACCACTGAATTTAAGAAGTAGGAAATTCCAGGACAACTGGTAGGAACTACTTACAAGGGGATTATGGAGTGACCAGTAATGACAATTGGAAGCACTAAACATAGACCTCTCTTTCAAAAAGTCTGGTACTAAGAAGACTGTTGACTTTTCTCTTTCCACTGGACTAGCTTAGTCCTCTGACTGTGTTTCTTTAATTATCTTGACTTTTCATTTCAACACACATCATATTTTATTATAATTGTATTGCATGTTGTTTGTATTCTCTGGTAATCTCTGTAGGAGTAGTAACCATGTCATGTTTATCTCTGTATCCTAGACACCTAGCCCAGTGCCTAGTGTTTAGTTGATGGCACAGTAAATATTATATTGTTGAATGAAATGAATTGTTCTAGTATGCTGGCAAAGACATGACAAAAATGGCTGACCATTCTATCCAGATTGGATTGGAACAAGTGAAGCCAGAAGGAGCTTAATGGATTATTAGAAGAGGGAAATGGCCAAGAAATCAAAGCAGTTAAATATTGTGTGCTCAGCTGAAGCAGGTGATACCCCATAGTATTTCTTGGTATTCTTTATCTTTAATCTCTGGGAAGAAAGAGCACATTCAGTAATAACCTGTTTTTATTTTTATTTTAGATTCAGTGGGTGCAGGAGCAGGTTTGTTACAAGGGTATATTGTATGATGCTGAGCTTTGGGCTTCTACTGATCCCATCACCCAGATAGTGAACATAGTACCCAATAGGAAGTTTTTCAGCTCTTGCCCCCCTTTCTCCATCCCTCCCTCCTTTTAGAGCCCCCAATGTCTATTGTTTCCATCTTTATGTCCGTGTGTACCCAGGTTAACCTTGTTTTTTTCAAAAATGAGAAACCTCTTTTTTTTTTAGCTGCAGGTTACTTTAATTTTATAGGTGGTTGGCTATGTGATAGACTTTCTCTTTTTTGCCAGCCACCTGGGTTTTGTAATGGATGGACAGGTAGGGTTGATGGGAAAAGAATACTGGTCTATTTTTCAGGAGACCTGAATCCCACCTCTGTCAATAACTACCTATGTGGAAAGGACTGTTCATTAGATGATCTTTAAGCTTCCTTCCAGGCCTCACATTCTAGGATATTATTTCTAGTAGTTGATTTATGACTGAGACTCAAGAATTTGGCCACAGAGCAATAAGCCAAAGGGAAAAACCACTTCCCCTCTACACACAAACATGGTTTCTAGAACTACGAGTTTTTGACTCATATGAGAAGATGAAGGCAGCTCACTGTATTGTAGTTAACCTTACAAATCAAGGATGTCTTGAGAGACACCTTATAGTATAAGGTTTTATTTTAGCTAGCTGAACAGCAATTAATATCTGACTTTTTTCTTGTCAGGACCGTAAGAGGCAATATGAGCTGCTGAAACTTGAAAGAAACTTCCAGAAACAATCCAATGTGCTCAGACGTAAAACGGAGGAGGTAAGAAAATTCAATCTGCTAGGTCAAGTGTATTGTCATCTTCAGGTTTAAATGCTTGCAAAGTAATATCCTTTAAACTAGCAAGCGTCCTGAGAAACCAGGGATGCCAATCTTCACAAGCAATTCCTAAATCTTGATCACTGTTTATATGCCACTGTGAGCAGATAAAAACTTGATGAAAAATGGTACTGTTCAAATAAGGATTTTTTCCTAACTGGACGTGAGCCTTTCCTGAAAAAACAAAGTGATATTGATATGTGACATTTCTAGACACTTTTAGTCTGCAGAACTTCCTTGAAGTGTGTTCCTCCCCTAGGCACCAAAGCAGTAGCTGTTCACCAGTGTTATGTCCATGGAAGTTTATAAACCTGGTTCCTATAGGAACTCAAACCCATAGAATTTTTATCTTTACTAATGTGCTAGAAATTGGATTTTTTTTTTTTACCATTCATTCAACATTACTATGTGCCAATTTTATTTAGGCAGCAGCTGCCAACAAGCGTCTCAAGGATGCTCTCCAGAAACAACGGGAGGTTGCAGATAAGCGGAAAGAGACTCAGAGCCGTGGAATGGAAGGCACTGCAGCTCGAGTGAAGGTATGAACAACTTGAACTGCCATTTCTCTTGTGGACACTGGGAACAGGAAAAAAGGAGAAATAGCTTTTTTTTTTTCCTTTTTTTAGAAGTAAACACTGCAAAATCTAAAGTTCTACTTGAAAGCCTTATTTCCTAAAGATAGCAATGTCTTTGAACTGTTGTTAAAGACCAGGAGTATAGAACTCTTTCTATCTTTGCCCCTATTGAGGTTCAGTTACTTTTTTAAACAGCTTCATTGAAGTAGAATTGACATATTATAAATTGTACATATTTAAAGTTCACAATTTGGCCGGGCATGGTGGCTCACACCTATAATCCCAGCACATTGGGAGGCCGAGGTGGGCAGATCACCTGCGGTCAGGAGTTTGAGACCAGCCTGACCAACATGGTGAAACCTCATCTCTACTAAAAATACAAAAATTAGCTGGTTGTGGTGACAGGTGCCTGTAATCCCAGCTACTTGGGAGGCTGAGGGAGGAGAATCGTTTGAACCTGGGAGGTGGACGTTGCAGTAAGCCAAGATCGCACCATTGCACTCCAAACTGGGTGACAGTGAAACTCTGTCTCAAAAAGAAAAAAAAGTATACAATTTGATGAGTTTGGACACGTGTATACACCCATGAAATCATCACCATAATCAAGATAATGACAGTGTGCTTCATTGCCTAAACTTTCTTTGTATCCCTCTGTAATCCCTTCTTCTTATCCCTCTGTAATCCCTTCTTCTCCTCCCTGGTCTACCCGTCTACTCCCCATTTCATATATATTTCTTTATATCCCCACAGTGGTTCCAGGCAACCATTAATCTGCTTTCTGTCACTATGGATTTGTTTTCATCTGGAATCATACATTATGTATTTTTTTTCTGGCTTTTATTCACAATTATTTTGAGATTCATCCATGTGGTTGCATATGTCATATACAACTTCTTTCCTTTTTATTGCTGAGTGGCATCCCATTCATTGTATGGCTATACCATAATTTGTTTTTATATCCATCTGTTGATGGATACTTGAGTGGTTTCCAGTTTTTGGCTCTTACAAATATTGCACTGAACATTTGTGCACAAGCCTGTGTGGATTTTTTTTAATTTCTTTTGAGTAGATAGCTAGGAGTAAAATGGCTTTCTTGTATGGTTGGTGTATGTTTTAACTGCTAAGTGGCTGCCAAACTGTTTTCCAAAGCAGTTGTACCATTTTACATTCCTACTAGCAATGTATAAGGGTTCTAGTTGCTACACATTCTTGCCAATAATTAGTATGGTCAGTCTTTTGAATTTTAGCTATTCTGTGTGGGTGGGTAGTGGAACCTCATTGTGGTTCTAATTTTCTTTTCTGTAATGACTAATGATGTTGGACATCCTTTCATGTGCTTATTTGCCATATGTATGTTTTCTTTTGTGAAATATGTGTTCAAATCTGTCCCCATTTTTAAATTGGGTTGTTTATCTTTTTCTTATTATTGAATTAAAATTCTTTATATATTCTAGATATATTTAACAGAGGACTTCTGTGTTTTACAAATATTTTCTCCCTGGCTGTGGCTTGCCCTTTTCAATTTGTAACAGTGTCTTTTGAAGAGCAAACATTTATTATGTTAATGCCATCCAATTTATTGATATTTTTTTCTTTATACTTAAACAGTTTTCATATCTTGCTTAAGAAATCTTGGCTGGGTGTAGTGGCTCATGCCTATAATCCCAGCACTTTGGGAGGCTGAGGCAGGAGGATTGCTTGAGGCCAGGAGTTCAAGACCAGCCTGGGGAGCAAAGTAAGATCCTGTCTCTACAAAACAAAATTTTAAAAAAATTAACCAGACATGGTGGTGCATGCCTGTAGTCCCAACTACCGGGGAGACTGAGGTGGGAAGATCGCTTGAGACTGGGAGGTCAAGGCTACAGCAAGCCATGATCGCACCACTGCACTCCAGCCTGGGTGACACAGCAAGATCCTGTCTCAAAAAAATTTAAAACAGAAATATTTGTCTGG
Source organism: Homo sapiens (assembly GCF_000001405.40). NCBI lineage: Eukaryota > Metazoa > Chordata > Mammalia > Primates > Hominidae > Homo > Homo sapiens. Next base: position 70,389,287 of record NC_000023.11, read on the forward strand.
CCAGGCTCAGTGGCTCATGCCTGTAATCCCAGCACTTTGGGAGGCCAAGGCGGGTGGATTACCTGAGGTCAGGAGTTCAAGACCATCCTGGCCAACATGGCAAAACCCCGTCTCTACTAAAAATACAAAAAATTAGTTGTGCACGGTGGTGTGCGCCTGTAGTCCCAGCTACTCGGGAGGCTGAAGTGGAAGAATCGCTTGAACCGGGGAGGCAGAGGTTGCAGTGAGCCGAGATCGTTCCACTGCACTCCACCTGGGTGATAGAGCGAGGCTTCGTCTCAAAAAAATATATATATTTGTCAAACCCATGGTCGCTAAGATTTCCCCCTAAGTTTTCTTCTAGAAGTTACATATTTTTAAGCTTTACATTTACGTCTTTGATTCATTTTGACTGGACACCTTTGTCAAAATTAAATATCCATACATCTATTTCAGATTGTTTCATTGATCTATATGTCTATTTTTATGCCAATACCAAAAAGTCTTGAATGCAGTTGCTTTTTAAGAAATCCTGAAATCAGTGTAAGTCCAAAGTTGTTGTTCTTTGTCAAAATTGTTTTGGGAAAACTGGGTCCTTTGCATTTCCATATACATTTTAGAATTATCTTGTTAATTTCTACAAAACAGCTTGCTGGGAGTTGGATTAAGATTGCATAGAATTTACAAATCAATTCAAGGAGAATCAACATGTTAAGAATATTTAGATACACGAATGCAGTATATCTCTTTATTTAGGTTTTTAATTTCTCTCAGCAACATTTTAGTTTTTAGTGTACAAGCGTTGTACATCTTTTGTCAAACATATCCCTGAGTATTTCATATTTTTATGATATTGAAAATGGCATTTTTATTTCCATTTCCAATTGTTTAGATATTCTTGTTGGTTCTCAAAGCTTTTTTGTAGAGTTCTTAAGATTTTCTACCTAGAAAATCATGTCATCTGCAAATATGGACAATTTTATTTCTTCTTTTCTGTTCTGTGCTTTTTTATTTTTTTAACCTTTGTCTTGCCTTATTGCACTTGCTAGAACCTCCAGTACAATATTGAATAGACTAGGTGAGAGGCTACAACCTTGCTTTGTTCCCAGTCTTGGGCAGAAAGCATTCAGTTTTTCACCGTAAAGTATGATAATAGCTATAGATTTTTTGGTATATGTCTTTTATCAGGTTGAAGAAGTTCCTTTTTTTAGCTTGCGAAGTTTTTATTACAAATTGATGTTGGGTTTTTTCAGGAGCTTTTTTTTCTGTTTCTGTTGAGATGATCTGACTGTTGGTTGATTGGTCAGTTTTTATTCTGTTATATGGCAAATGGCACTGATTTTTCCCTAATTTATTCTGTCAAGGCATAGCTGACATACAATAAAATAAACCCTTTTGTTGTATAGTTCTATGTGTTTTGACAACATGTACAGTTGTGTGACCACTACAACAATCAAGATACAGAATAGTTCTCTTATCCCCAGAAACTCCCCTATATCTCTTACAGCCAATTCCTCCCACAACCCTGGCCCTTGACAAACACTGATCTGTACTCTGTCATTATTGTTTTCCCTTTCCATCAGTGTCATAGAAATAGAAACATACAGTATGACTTCCTTCACTTAGCATAATTCGAGATTAATTTGTGTTGTTTGTGTATCTGTAGTTTGCGTGTTTTTGTTGTTGTTGTTGAGTAGTATTTCATTGTATGGATATACCACAGTTTGTTTATCCATTCACCTGTTGAAGGATATCTTAGGTTTTTCTTTTCCTTAGGTTTTGGCAATTACGAATAAAGCTGCTGTTAAAAACACATACACGTTTCTATGTAAACTAATTATTTCACTTGGGTAAATACCTAAGAGTGGGACTACTGGGTCATATGATAAGTATATGCTTAATTTGTAAGAAACTGCCAAATTGTTTATCCAGTTAGTTGTTTATTGCTGATATATAGAAATACAATTTATTTTTGTATATTAACTTTTATCTCATGCCTTTATTATTCTACTAGCTCTTTTATAGGTTTTTAGGATTTTCTATGTAGACTATCATGCTGTCTGTAAATACAATTTTATTTCTTCCTTTCTAATCTGTATGTCTATCATTTCTCCTACTTGCCCTATTGCATTGGTGAGAACCTTCAGGATGATGATGAATAGGAGTGGTGAGAATAGACATCCTTCTGTTCTTCCTGATCTTAGGGGGAAAGCATTCAGTCTTTCACCATTAAGTATATTAACTGTAGTTAATTTTTTTGAAATACTTTTTGTCTCTAGTTAGTTGATTTGGTGAATTATTTTGATTGATGTTCAAATATGGAACCAACCTTGCATTTCTTTTTTTTTTCTTTCCGACTTTTACTAGGTTCAAGGATTACATGTGCAGGTTTGTTTTTACATGGGTAAATGGCATGTTTCAGGGGTTTCGTATACAGATAATTTTGTCACACAGATAATCAGCATGATACCCAATAGGTAGTTTCTCAGTCCTCACCCTCCTCCCACCCTCCACCCTCAAGTAGGCCCTGGTGCCTATTGTTCCCTTCTTTCTGTCCATGTGTACTCAATGTTTAGCTCCCACTTAGAAGTGAGAACGTGTGGTATTTGATTTTCTGTTCCTGCATTAATTCTCTTAGGATAATAGCCTCCAGTTGCATTCATGTTACTACAAAGGATGTGATTTTGTTCTTTTTTTTATGGCTGTGTAATATTCCATTCCAACCTTGCATTTCTTGGATAAACTCCATTTAATTGTGATATATCATCCTTTTTATGTATTATTAAATTCAGTAATACATAAAAAAACTTGTTTAAATTTTTGTATCTGTGTTCATGAGGGATATTGGTGTGTAGTTTTTTGTAATACCTTGGTCTGGTTTTGATATCAAGGTAATACTGGCCTCAGAAAGAGCTGGGAAGTGTAGTCGTTTCTCTTCAAATGTCTGGAAGATTTTGTGCAGAATTAATATTGTTTCTTTCTTAAAAATTTGATAGAATTCATCAGGAAAGCCATCTGTGGCTGGAGAGATTTATGTTTCTTGCTTAGTTTTGCTTTTTGGGGAGAGGGATGTTAAATAAAGTTTTAAAAATAGATATAGGATTGTTCAAAGTTATATGTTTCTCCTTGAGTAAGCTTTGGTAGTTTGTGTGTTTCAGAGAACTTGTCTGTTTCATCTAAGTTGTCAAATGTATTGGCATAAAGTTGTTCATCATATTCCCTTATCGTTCTAATATCTGTAAAATCTCAGCCAGGTGCGATTGTTTATGCCTGTAATATTGGCACTTAGAGAAGCTGAGATGGGAGGATCACTTGAGCCCAGGAATTCGAGACCAGCCTGGGCAACATAGCAAGAACACATCTCTATTTTTTTTTTAAATCTGTAATGATGTCATCTATCTCATTCCTGTTTGTATGTTTTCTCCTTTTTCTCAATCAGTCCAACTAGAGGTTTATCAAAGAACCAACTCATTCTTATAATAGGTAAAATGGTAATTTTTATGTTATATATATTTTACCACAATAAAAAAATTCAAAACAACTCCCAATTCATTAATTTCCACTCTGATCTTATAATAATAATAATAATAATAATTATTATTATTATTATTTTGAGACGGAGTCTCGCTCTGTCACCCAGGCTGGAGTGCAGTGGCGTGATCTTGGCTCACTGCAAGCTCCGCCTCCTGGATCTTTTTTTTTTTTACTTCTGCATACTTTGGATTTATTTTGGTCTTCTTTTTTTACTTAAGGAAGAAGCTAAGGTCATTGATTTCTTTCTTTTCTAATATAGGCATTCAGTGCTATAAGTTTCCCCTTAAGTATTCCTTTAACAACATCCCACAAATTTTCATAATGTTATATTTTCACTTTCATTCAATTCAAAATACATTCTAATTTTCTTATTGATTTTTTTCTTTGACCCATGGGTTATTTAGAAGTGTTATGTAGTTTCCAAATGTTTGGGGATTTTTCCAAATGTCTTTTTGTTATTGATTTCCAATTTAATTCTAATATGGTCAGAGAACATACTTCATATGACTTGAATCCTTTTGAACTTATTGAGACTTATTTTATGGCCCAGAGTATGATCAATCTTAGTAAATGTTCTATGTGTACTTGAGAAGAATGGGTATTCTGCTGTTGTTGGATGGAGTATCTATAAATGTCAATCATGTCAATTTGATTGATTGTGCTGTTAACATCTATTGTGTCCTTGCTGATTTTCTGCATACTCGTCCTATCAATTATTGAGAAATAGGTATTGAAATCACCAACTATAATTATGGATTTTTTCCTTAGAGTTCTACATTTAGGATTAATTGATCCCTGTATTATTATGAAATGGACTTCTTTATTCTTGGTAATATTCTTTGTTCTTTGTTCTAATATCTACTTTGTATGATATTACTGTAGCCCCTCCAACTTTCTTTTTATTAATGTTAGTATGTTGTTTTTTTTTTTGTCATGGTGTATTTAATGTTAACGTATTTGTGCCTTCATTTTTAAGGTGTGTTTCTTTTCTTTTCTTTTCTCTTTCTTTCTTTCTTTCTTTCTTTCTTTCTTTCTTTCTTTCTTTCTTTCTTTCTTTCTTTCTTTCTTTCTTTTTTTTTTTTTTTTGACAAGATCTTGCTCTGTTGCCCAGGCTGAAGTGCAGTAGCACAGTCACAGCTCACTGTAGCCTTAACCTCTTGGGCTCAAATGATTCTACTACTTCATCCTCCCAAGTAGCTCAGATTACAGGCACATGCCACTACGCCTGGCTAATTTTTGTATTTTTTGTAGAGATGGGGTTTCAACATGTTGCTCAGGCTGGTCTCAAACTCCTGGGGTCAAGTGATCCACCTGCCTCAGCCTCCCAAAGTGTTGGGATTACAGGTGTGAGCTACCACACCCAGCCAAGGTGTGGTTCTTATAGGCAGCATATATTTGGGTCTAGCTTTTTTTTTTTTTCCATAGACAGGATCTCACTCTGTTACCCAGGCTGGAGTGCAGTGGCGTGACCATAGTTCACTGTAACCTCGGATACCTGGACTCAAGTGATTCTCCCATCTCAGTCTCCCGACTAGCTGAGACTACATTCATATACCACCATACCTGGCTAATTTTTCTACTTTTTGTAGAGACAGGGTCTCACTATGTTGCTCAGGCTGGTCTTGAACTATGGGCCTGAAGTGATCCTCCCAAAGTGCTGGGACTACAGGTGTGAGCCACTGTGCCCAGCCATGTCTAGCTTTTTTAATCCAATCTGAAAATCTCTACAACTTAATTGGGGTGTTTAGACCATTTACATTTAATGTGATTATTGATACAGGTAGGTTTGAGCTATCATCTTGCTATTTGTTTTCTATTGTGTCATCTGTTCTTCATTTTCTTTTTCCCTGCTTTTTCCTTTTTTGGATCAGTTGAACATTTTTATGATTTATATTATCTTTGTTTACTTGTACATGATTTTGTTTCATGTATTTTGGTGCTTTGTTATTAGGGACGTACACATTAAGGATTATATTCTATTGAACAATCGGCTCCTTTATCATGAATCCTTTTTATCCCTAGTTTTATTTTTTGATAGGAATTCTACTCCATCTGATTCTAATATAATCACTCTGGCTTTCTTTTGATTACTATTAGCATGGTATACCTTCATTAAAAGCAGAAATATTCTCAGGGATAGTTACTGTTTCAAAAAGTGAATTTTGGCTGGGCATGGTGGCTCACACCTGTAATCCCAGCACTTTGGGAGGCCAAGGTGGGTGGATCACTTGAGGCCAGCAGTTCAAGACCAGCCTGGCCAACATGGTGAAACCCCATCTGTACTAAAAATACAAAAATTAGCCAGGCGTGGTGGCGCGTGCTTGTAATCCCAGCTACTTGGGTGGCTGAGGCACAAGAATTGCTTGAACCTGGGAGGCAGAGGTTGCAGTGAGCCGAGATCACGCCACTGCACTCCAGCCTGGGCGACAGAGCGACACCCTGTCTAAATAAATAAATAAAAAGTGAATTTACTGAATTTTGTTTCCTTTTTTAAAAATCCCGTTCATCTACTTTAAAAATTAAAAATGGATATTTATTTATTAAATAGAATAGATCATAAAATATTCAATTTTTTATTATGTTAAGGGCAAAGGAAAAAAATGAAGAAAATAAAGAACAGGGCACATAGAAATACTAGGAATCTGGAGAAAGATTTTCTGGAGAAAGCCTCTTTCTTGTGACCTTTTGGCATGTTGCTGTTAAAGGCTCTTCGAGAGGTACTGACATTTTTGGTAAGTGTAGGTATGAATGGATATCACACTTGTAGTTACTTGGGCTCTGGTCCAAATGAAGTTAAGTCTGGAGCTGAATCTAGCCCATGAGCTAGTGATTCCTCATCCCTAACACAGACATCACTGATTTCTCTTCCAGAATTGGCTTGGAAACGAAATTGAGGTTATGGTCAGTACTGAGGAAGCCAAACGCCATCTGAATGACCTCCTTGAAGATAGAAAGATCCTGGCTCAAGATGTGGCTCAACTCAAAGAAAAAAAGGAATCTGGGGAGAATCCACCTCCTAAACTCCGGGTAAGTACGCTTATGAAAAAATGTTGCCAATAATCAGACTCTACATTCCCCAGAAATCCTCATAGCTTTGGAGGATTACTTTCCTTTTAGTATTTCACCCTTGTTCTCACTATTATTTACAGAGGCGTACATTCTCCCTTACTGAAGTGCGTGGTCAAGTTTCGGAGTCAGAAGATTCTATTACAAAGCAGATTGAAAGCCTAGAGACTGAAATGGAATTCAGGTAACAGGGACTATCTCTAAGCCATTATAAAAATTTATGCCTGGAATCAAAAATTGAACCTATTAATCTAGTGATTCAAAAGCCTTGTGATGGTGGAAAAACACGAGAAAATAACAATTTTTTTTAAACCAGACACTGTACTAGGTATCTTAGATACATTTTCTTATTCAATCCCTTTGATGCCTTATGAGGTAAGTATCATTCTTCTCATGTTAGAGATCTAAAATTAACTTGGTCATATGGAAGTGGGTTATCAGAACTTATTAACATTAGTGTCACTGAAGTTGGTATACAACCCCCTCGCTGCTAAATTTGACTGGCTTTTTAATAAATAACTGGTTAATTGGTTAATTTTTAAAAGGAAATTCAGCAATCTTAAGAAATTTGCCAAAGGTAATTAACTGGCTAACAAACAACAGAGCTGGGATTCAAAACACACTCTAATTCCAAAGCCCATGCTTTTTACAATACAGCACAATTTTTTCTCTTTATTTTTTTAACTGATAACTAGAGAGTCAGGCACCATAATTTTTGATGCAGTAGTGTCTCTAAGATGTAGAACCAATAACAGAATTTTAGAGGAACCAAAGAAATGATAATAGAAGAGCAACAACACAGAAGGTGAACTTTAGAGATCATCAAGAAAATAGTTCTAACATGGTAAGTAAAGTTGTCATGAGCATTAAATGAAATTAGTAAAGTGCATAACAGTACTTAGCATATTAGAAGTGCTCAATGGGCCAGGCGCAGTGGCTCATGCCTGTAATCCCAGCATTTTGGGAGGCTGAGGTGGGTGGATCGCCTGAGGCCAGGAGTTCAAGACCAGCCTGGCCAACATGGTGAAACCCTTTCTCTACTAAAAATACAAAAGAAATTAGGTGGGCATGGTGGCAGGCACCTGTAATCCCAGCTACTCGGGAGGCTGAGGCAGAAGAATCGCTTCAACCCGGGAGGCAGAAGTTGCAGTGAGCCGAGATTGCGCCATTGCACTCCAGCCTGGGCGATAGAGCAAGACTCCATCTCAAAAAAGTAAAAAAATGGCCAGGCACGGTAGCTCTCGCCTGTAATCCCAGCACTTTGGGAGGCCAAGGCAGGCAGATCACGAGGTCAGGAGATCGAGACCATCCTGGCTAACACAGTGAAACCCCATCTCTACTAAAAATACAAAAAATTAGCCAGGCGTGGTGGCACGCGCCTGTAGTCCCAGCTACTCGGGAGGCTGAGGCAGGAGAATCACTTGAACCCAGGAGGCGGAGGTTGCAGTGAGCCGAGATCGTGCCACTGCACTCCTGGGCGACAGAGTGAGATTCTGTCTCAAAAATGAAAGGCAGACAGACAGAAAGAAAGGAAAGGAAAGGAAAGGAAGGAAAAAGAAAGAGAAAAGAAAGAAAAGAAAAAGAAGGAATAGAAGTGCTCAGTGAAGGCCGCACTTTCTCAGGACCTCTTGAGACTGTGTTCCCTGTGCCGTGGTCACTCATATTGGCTCTAAAAAGTAAAAAGAAAAAGAAGTGGTCAATGAATGTTCTTCTGTCCCTCATCTCCTAGCTCTAGACCAGAAATTATGCTACACAGGCTCTTCTAATCATGATTATTTTAAGCAGTTTATGAAATCTAGAAGGAACAGAACCTTGACAGAGATTTTATCGTGTTTTAGGATAATAGAACCTTGGGATCATTTAATCTGGTTTTAGCAATACATACTAACTTTATCTTGGGATACATCTATAAATCACTCAACCTTTGAGTTCCTGCTTTGTGCTACACTGGATGCAGTTGGGATATACAGAAAAAATAGATGACATTGCCCTTGCTCTCAGGTGGAAATAGTATCATTACTCACACTGGTGTCCTGGAATCATTTGCTAAAATTTCAAGAATGTTGTAAACCGTTGTTAGTTTACAATTGATTATGGTGAGAATTTTTACACCACAGAAACTGACAAAAGTTACAAATCAGGGCTGGGGTTTTTGTTTGTTTGTTTGTTTTTGTTTTATGTTTGTTTGTTTTGAGACAAAGTCTCACTCTTGCCCAGGCTGGAGTACAATGGCGCGATCTTGGCTCACTGCAGCCTCTGCCTCCTGGGTTCAAGTGATTCTCATGTCTCAGCCTCCCAAGTAGCTGGAATTACAGGCACATGGCACCATGCCTGGCTAATTTTTGTATTTTTAGTAGAGACAGGGTTTCACCATGTTGGCCAGGGTGGTCTCGAACTCCTGGCCTCAAGCGATCGGCCTGCCTTGGCCTCCCAAAGTTCCAGGATTACAGGTGTGAGCCATTGTGCCCAGCCAAGGGCTGGCTTTTTAAGTGCTGGTTATTAAAAATTTACCTACATACCATATGCGTAAGTAAATGATTATGTAAATGTAGGGCTGGTGCCAAGTAGAAGGAATTAGAGGTGAGTTTAGTTAGGAGAATTTTTTTAGAACTGATGAGACTTAAACTACATTTTGGAATAGATAAGGGACACGAATTGTCAGAGAAGACAGGAAAGGGCCAATGATAGGTGACAACTCTGAAGTGTTGTGCCCCACCTCTTCCAGAAGCCTTCCCTGACTTTTTAATCCCTCACTAATCTTCCTTGTTCTCTAAACTCTTTCAGAACTTATGATACTCAATTATGACATACTGCTGACATGTTATCTTTATGTTTATTGTTTTATGTTTATTAATTTTGTCATTCTAAAGACAGACTGTAAGCTTGTTGAAGGAAAGGACTCTACATTAGACCAGGGTTTTCAAAGTGTGGGCCGCAGATTACTGGGGAGCTCATGAGCCAGTGATCAAAACTATTTTCATAATAATATTAAGGCATTATTTGCCTTTTTTGCTACATTGGAATTTGCACTGAAAATGCAAAAGCCATAGTGGGCTAAAGTGCTGACACCCTAGGCTGAATGAAAGCAGTGGCACCAACCTGAACTAGTAGTCATTGTATGCTTCACCACTATATACTCTCAGGTTTTAAAAAAACAAGCCAGTCTTAATTAAGAATGGTGTTGCGAAAGCAGTAAAAGTTGTTGATTTTACTAAATCTGGACCCTGGAGTTCATGTCTGTGTTACATCCTGTGTGACGAAACAGGAAGAACACAGAAAGCACTTCTACTGCATGCTGAATATGATGGTCGTCTCAAGAAAAGCACTGCGATTGTTTGAGGTGTGAGCTCAATAGGCCTCTTTTTTCATGGGACATCATTTTTACTTAAATGAACAACTGACAGACAAACTGTGGTTATTAAGACTTGGTTACTTGGCAGACATTTTCTCAAAAAGAATAGAGCGAGCCTGTTGCTTTAAGGAAAACAGCTGACAGTGTTTGTTACCTAAGACAAAATGTGAGCTTTCAAGCAAAATTTGGATTTGGAAAACTTGTATCTGCCACTGTGAACTTGACAGTTTTTCATAACTTTTCTGATAAGACCAGTAGTGATATTAACAAGTGTGATTTTAAAAATATATATTTTATAGAATGAAATGTGTTAACATTTGGAAGATCTGCATGACTCTGGAGTAATATTGTCCAAATGGCACTTTATAGAATGATGTATTCGTAAATGAGCCATTCAGATTGCAAGATAGACTGATGAATTTTAATATGAGAGAATATAAAAAAGTTTATGGAAATCATCATTCTCAGTAAACTATCGCAAGGACAAAAAACCAAACACCGCATGTTCTCACTCATAGGTGGGAACTGAACAATGAGAACACATGGACAGAGGAAGAGGAACATCACACTCTGGGGACTGTTGTGGGGTGGGGGGAGGGGGGAGGGATAGCATTAGGAGATATACCTAATGCTAAATGATGAGTTACTGGGTGCAGCACACCAGCATGGCACATGTATACATATGTAACCTGCACATTGTGCACATGTACCCTAAAACTTAAAGTATAATAATAATAAAATAAAAACAACAACAACAACAACAAAGTTTATTAATAAGTTTCAGATTCAACATTGCAACTAACTCTTTTTTTTTTTTATTATACTTTAAGTTTTAGGGTACATGTGCACATTGTGCAGGTTAGTTACATATGTATACATGTGCCGTGCTGGTGCGCTGCACCCACTAACTCATCATCTAGCATTAGGTATATCTCCCAATGCTATCCCTCCCCCCTTCCCCCACCCCACAACAGTCCCCAGAGTGTGATATTCCCCTTCCTGTGTCCATGTGATCTCATTGTTCAATTCCCACCTATGAGTGAGAATATGCGGTGTTTGGTTTTTTTGTTCTTGCGATAGTTTACTGAGAATGATGATTTCCAATTTCATCCATGTCCCTACAAAGGATGTGAACTCATCATTTTTTATGGCTGCATAGTATTCCATGGTGTATATGTGCCACATTTTCTTAATCCAGTCTATCATTGTTGGACATTTGGGTTGCAACTAACTCTTAAGGAGGTACCGCTTGTTGAGTTTTAGTGTAGTCTCAAAGAAGACTATTTGCAGTTATCTGAAAAGGCTATTAAAATACTCCTTTTCCCATCTGCATATTCATGTGAGGCCAGATTGTCTTCATTTACATCAACTAGAACAACATGTCACAAAAGATTGCATACAGAGGGAGACATAAGAATCCAGCTGTCTTCAACTAAGCCAGACATTACAGAGATTTGCAAAAGTGTAAAATAATTCCTTTTCTTACTATTTATTATCTCAGAAAATGCTACTTTTCAGAAAATATGTAATGTATAATAGGTTTATGTTTTTTTTTTGTTTTTGTTTTTTTGACAGAGTCTCACTCTGTCACCCAAGCTGGAGTGCAATGACGTGATCTCGGCTCACTGCAACCTCCACCTCTTGGGTTCAAGCAATTCTCCTGCCTCAGCCTCCCAAGTAGCTGGGATTACAGGCACCTGCCACCAGGCCCAGCTAATTTTTTGTATTTTTAGTAGATACGGGGTTTCACCATGTTGGCCAGGCTGGTCTCGCTCCTGACCTCAGGTGATCCACCTGCCTCAGCCTCCCAAAGTGCTGGGATTACGGGAGTGAGCCACCGCGCCCCGCCAATAGGTTTATGATTTTTTTTTTTTTTTTTTTGAGATGGAGTCTTGCTCTGTCGCCAGGCTGGAGTGCAGTGGCACAATCTCAGCTCGCTGCAACCTCCGACTTGCTGGTTCAAGCAATTCTCCTGTCTCAGCCTCCCAAGTAGCTGGAATTACAGGCACACGCCACCACCCCTAACTAATTTTTGTATTTTTAGTAGAGACAGGGTTTCACCATGTTGGCCAGGATGGTCTCGATCTCCTGACCTCATAATTTGCCTGCCTCGGCCTCCCAAAGTGCTGGGATTGCAGGCGTGAACTACCTCGCCCAGCCTAGGTTTATGATTTTTAAGTGAATTAATTTTTTTTTTTTTTGAGATGGAGTATTGCTCTGTCTCCCAGGCTGGAGTGCAATGGCACGATCTCGGCTCACTGCAACCCCCACCTCCCGGGTTCAAGTGATTTTCCTGCCTCAGCCTCCCAAGTAGCTGGGATTACAGGCACCCACCACCACGCCTGGCTAATTTTTGTATTTTTAGTAGAGCCGGGGTTTCACCAGGTTGGCCAGGCTGGTCTCGAACTCCTGACCTCAGGTGATCCACCCACCTCGGCCTCCCAAAGTGCTGGGATTACAGGTGTGAGCCACTGCGCCCAGCTAAAATTTTTTTCAGTTGTACTTTCTAATACTATAAATCTCTATAGGTATAACACATGTGAACAGAATGTCCTAGATGTCTTCAATAATTTTTAAGGGTGTAAAGGGGTCCTGAAACCCCAAAATTTGAGAACTACAGTCTTAGATTATTTTCATACCCATCTTCCTTATAGTACCAAACTTATCACTGCATATGAAGCACATGCTGGTATACTCTTTCTCACTAGACACAGAAGAAATTTGAGAAGAAAGCTATTAATTAAACTGAAATACTGTGTAGATTTTGGTCTAGGACATACTTGATCAGAAAGTACCCAGAAGCTATAACCAGGGTCAGAATATCTAGTCTTCTTAGAAACTTCTCGGTCTTGTGGCAGGCACATCAAGATAACCTCTCACAATGCCAGCCATGGGTATCATTTTGGTACTTGATTGTAGTAAAGAGCATATCTACCTGTTCTTTTGAGCTTTTTCCTTCAAGTCTCCAACCTGAATCTTATCCTTGCATGGGTGGACCATCATGTCACAGTCTGAGCTTATATGGCCTCAAGACAAAGTAACATATTATACTTAATCCACTACAACAAAAGCCTTACTGTGATAAGTCTTTCCAAGTCCCACTTTATGACCCATTTATTTCAACCAGTATTTAATGGAATAAAACCATTTAAATAGTCTCTTAGAGTCCCTTTGTTACAAGATTTGCGATACTATGTAAAATCCTAACCAGATGACTTAAACATTATTTAAATGATATTTAACTGATAGCTCCATCCATAAAATTATTTGAAGTTTCTCCTCAGAGCTCTTCCCCCTTCTTGATGTTCAGGCTACTTGCAATAAGGCTTACTGTTTCTTTCCCTGAAGGAGTGCTCAGATTGCTGACCTACAGCAGAAGCTGCTGGATGCAGAAAGTGAAGACAGACCAAAACAACGCTGGGAGAATATTGCCACCATTCTGGAAGCCAAGTGTGCCCTGAAATATTTGATTGGAGAGGTAAACATCACTCTAACCAGCAGTTAGGAGGCTGGCTGTGTAGGTTGAAATGGGATGTTAGCCTTGAAATATTGTCAAAGTGTTATTGCCACTTTTCATGGTAGAAACCCTAATAACACTAACATTAGAGAGTTTAGTAGATAAAGGTTGGTGTAAGCAAGTACAGGCCAGTCACTTACAAAAATATAATATGACTCACAAATTGATGCCCGTTGTGACTGGCCTATAGCAAGTGCTGAATGCGTGTTAGCTGTTGTTATTAGGAAAGACCAGAATGCCATAGTGGGTCACTGGCTAAACATCAACTGTTATACTGTACTACTTTTTAAAACCCCTATGAGATGTATATTCAAAAATTTAAGATCCAGTCTAGAAAAGGGAAAACCTAAGCATCTTTTGACATATAAAGATTCATTTTAGGGAAAAGCCATCTTTGCTGACCTTAAAATGATATGTCACCTTACGTTGTCACAAGAGGAATGAAAATTGATTGCCTCTGGTGATTGAAGCATTTTCACTCAAGATAAGCATACAAACTCCAAACCCACAAGTTTAAACAATGCTACCCTTTATACATTTTTGTGTTAGCTTAGCAGATTTGTTCTACTAAGGAAATCTTGATCAGTCTTGTGAACACTGGTACTTATGATGTTCACCATCTGGGCTAGTAGTGAATGTAAAACTAGGCCAGTGTAGGATATGTAGCCTGAAGAGCCAGATCTGCAGTCTCAGTCTACAAGTTCTAACATGTGAATATAGACATTCTGAAATGGGACATAATTGGCCATAAGGGTGTGTCCTGTGGATTTTGCTTAAAAATTAAGGAAGAACTTCTTAAATATCAGAATTTGTAATTGTCAGATACTATTCGGGTTAGCTTTATTCTTGCCTTGAGGCAGAGCAAGAAATAAAATGGCCTTAGCAGTGGCTTCTAGCCCCAAGATACATGTCTCAGCAGAAATGTGGACTCTTGGCCTGGGAATAGAACAATAGTATATTTACTATTCAATGTTGGAATCCATATGACATGAAAAAATAAGAATAGACTTGAACATGGAGGAATTTTTCTCAGACCCTTTCAAGAAAGCTGACATTATCCTGCCTGTTGAAAGGGGGAAAGAAAGGTGGTCATTCTTCAAATAAACTGATCTTCTTTTATTCCTTCCAGCTGGTCTCCTCCAAAATACAGGTCAGCAAACTTGAAAGCAGCCTGAAACAGAGCAAGACCAGCTGTGCTGACATGCAGAAGATGCTGTTTGAGGAACGAAATCATTTTGCCGAGATAGAGACAGAGTTACAAGCTGAGCTGGTCAGAATGGAGCAACAGCACCAAGAGAAGGTAAACTCTAGCAAGTCAAGAAGCTATACTGTGAAACTATCATTGCCTTGTATTGTTAGTTTTAAAAAAAAAGTGGGGATATGAAATTTCTTTCAAAAGTCCACGTGGCCTTTTCTAAATTTTGCAAATAAAAAGAAACCTGAAGCAGAGACGTGACTTGTCTAACTTTATACATACCAGTGACAATGGCTCTGGGTTTCCAACTTAAATATGAATATTAACAATATTAACATGCTGAGAAACAGGCCCAGCGTGGTGGCTCGTGCCTGTAATCCCAGCACTTTGGGAGGCCAAGGCAGGCAGATTGCTTGAGTCCAGGAGAGTGAAACCCCATCTCTACAAAAAATTACAGGAAATTAGCTGAGTGTGATGGTGTGCACCTGTGATCCCAGCCACTCATAAGGCTGAAGTGGGAGAATCGCTTGAACCCGTGAGGCAGAGGTTGCTGTGAGCCATGATCGTGCCATTGCACTGCAGCCTGGGCAACAGAAAGAAAAAAAAAAACTATGCTGAGAAACATCCATGCTGTACTTACTACTTCATGCCATGACAGCAAATGAGAACAGTTTACTTCTAAATCACAAGAGAGCAGTCACCTGGATCACTGCTTGAACTAAGTCAAAATTTCTTTTTCCCCTTGGTACCTTTGTTACCACCCATTGGATCGTGTCTTTCTCTAGGTGCTGTACCTTCTCAGCCAGCTGCAGCAAAGCCAAATGGCAGAGAAGCAGTTAGAGGAATCAGTCAGTGAAAAGGAACAGCAGCTGCTGAGCACACTGAAGTGTCAGGTATGATCACGAGAGGTCTCCAGAGATGAGTTTCACAGTACTAACTGAGAATCTTGTCTCATTTAGACCCTTGTACTTGCAGCAGAGAGTAATTAACTACTGGAAAAAGTATTTATAATGGTAGCCTCTACTGCTTTTAGGCCCTATTTGATCAGGTTAGGGGTGCTTAGAGTGTAGCCATATATAGGAATAACCTCATTTTGGGTACCAAAATGGCAGCACATACTCCATATCAGACTCTGAGGCCTTGTGGTTCTTGGCGTCAACCCTGAGCTCTAAAGAGTTGAGGAAGTGAAATCATCCAGTAGTTACTTAGAATCCTAGGGCCATTCAAATGGTATGAAGAGCTTGTTCTTCTGTGCTGAGACCTGACATATTTGTAAAATGCCTGGGGTCTGAATTTCTTCCAGAGGCTAGGAACACCACACCCTTTAGTGGCATGTTGTAGCACTATTTTAGTCTAACTTAGAATCTTTTTCCTGAACCACCAGTCTGTAGGGTTTCCTTGGCACCTTCCATCTAAGACATAAGCAAACTAGTTAAGGTTGTATGCATGAATCTGGGTGTCTTAGGTGCCAGGTAGTTCGGTCAGGCTTACTAAAGTAGCAAGTAAACTGCCTAGTCTATGTTGAGAAGGGTAAAGAGAAGCATCTATAGACTTCAAGAAAATAGAGCTAAGTTTCTGCGGGTTTCTTAATCAGCATCCGAATGTGAATAAGGGATATGAAGCTAAGGAATGGAAAAGAATAAGGAAGGCTTGTCGGGCAGAGTCCACGGTTCCTATGAATGTGGTCAGAGCTGCTGGGGAGCATTGGAATGGAAGTGGCATTCAGGGCACCTAGGAACTGGGAATCAGACATTTTTCTGGGTGCCAGTGCCTGCTGTGCAAAAACCATCTGCTGCCAGCAACTTGGCAGCAGTATGTTTTCATCTATGTGAGTTGTTTGGTAACCCACATGTAGTGCCCAAAATAACCCCATATATCACTGCACTATCTGGAAATAGGATGAAGAACTTGAGAAAATGCGAGAAGTGTGTGAGCAAAATCAGCAGCTTCTCCGAGAGAATGAAATCATCAAGCAGGTAATACAGTTTCCCACCCACTTGATAAGCCCTAAGAGACCCCGTTGCTACTGAGGCCAGCTCTTGGGACCAACCCCCATTGTGGTGACTTGGCTTTATTTCATGAGGTCTACATTTAGTTTCCATGTGACATATGCATTTCAAAGTGGAATAAACATAAGTTTTTAAATTTGCCATTTTCTGAATCTAATATTGTTGATATTGGAAAGTGGGAGTCAACGTACTCTACTATAATCCTGCATCACTTTACTATGGTTTAACGTTAAGCTAGCCTAGGTCTGGTATCTGTTTTAGCCATGAACACTCCCAGAAGCTGCCCTGCATTATATACTTTGTCTCTTCTTTTCAAATAGAAACTGACCCTCCTCCAGGTAGCCAGCAGACAGAAACATCTTCCTAAGGATACCCTTCTATCTCCAGACTCTTCTTTTGAATATGTCCCACCTAAGGTAAAATGATCAGTGCCTGTGATACCTTTGCACAGCTTAGGTTTGGGGTGAGTGTGCTAAAATTGCCCTTTATAAGAGGTTGACAGTTAAAATTCCCAAATTCTAGCATCTCACTTTTCTTTGGAGTCCCAGATAAAACTACAGTTCAATCCTAAGGAAAGTAGGCATTCTTACTCCTCAGAAGGCTGACTTTGGGCCATGGACAGGCATTACCTAACACAACTGAGGAGGAGGGACAGGAGAAAAGAGCAATAATGTTCAGCTGTCCATCCAAAGATACTTATCTCATCATATCATGAGTTTCCCTTTCCTCCCTCAGATTGGTCAGCCTCCAATTTCACTGCCTTCAAAGACTCTGCAAAGCCATAGGCTAAAGCAGAATTTCTTCTGATTGGTAAAGCCAAGTGGGGTGGATTTGAGAGAGTCTGAAATCTTTGCTCTGAGAATATAGCTGGCAACAGCTACTGGGAAGATATGATGCATATATAGTTTTTAGTTTTTATTAAATAACTAAACTACTCCAAACCTTTTTTCCTAGCCAAAACCTTCTCGTGTTAAAGAAAAGTTCCTGGAGCAAAGCATGGACATCGAGGATCTAAAATATTGTTCAGAGCATTCTGTGAATGAGCATGAGGATGGTGATGGTGATGATGATGAGGGGGATGACGAGGAATGGAAGCCAACAAAATTAGTTAAGGTGTCCAGGAAGAACATCCAAGGGGTAGGAGCCAGCTCTTCAACTTTTTTTTTGTTTTGTTGTTGTTGTTTTTGGAGACAGAGTCTCACTCTGTCGCCCAGGCTGGAGTACAGTGGTGCATTCTCGGCTCACTGCAACCTCTGCCTCCCAAGTTCAAGTAATTCTCGTGTCTCAGCCTCCTGAGTACCTGGGATCACAGGCGTGTGCCACCACACCCAGTTAATTTTGTATTTTTAGTACAGACAGGGTTTCACCATGTTGACCAGGCCAGTCTCAAACTCCTGGCCTCAAGCAATCTGCCTGCCTCAGTCTCCCAAAATGCTAGGATTACAGGTGTGAGCCACCGTGCCCGGCCTAGCTCTTCAACTTTGTCAGGGGTTCTAATTCTTAGTATTCATTCACTGCCACTGGGATAGTTTTCTGAATCTAGGAATGTGTTGGCCCCATACCCTTTAGCTATCATTTAGAGGCACTGACTCCACTAAAGGGGGGCTTGTTGGGCCATCTTTGTGTAGAACCTGGGGCTAGTATAGAGGGCTGCTTGAGTGCACAAGTTGGCTCTCTTCTTGTTTTCAGGTTCTTATCAATTTGAATAGGTAATGTTCCATACCATTTCATTGAAGCTGATCCCAAAATGATCATAACAATTCTTCATGTTTTTATAGCACTTTACAGTTTATAAACCATTCTCATATATATTACCACTTTTAATCACCACAAAAAATCCAGTGAAGGGCCAGGCGCAGTGGCTCACGCCTGTAATCCCTGCACTTTGGGAGGCCAAGGCGGGCAGATCACCTGAGGTCGGGAGTTCGAGACCAGCCTGACTAACAGGAAGAAACCTCGTCTCTACTAAAAATACAAAATTAGCTGGGCCTGATGGCGCATGCCTGTAGTCCCAGCTACTCAGGAGGCTGAGACAGGAGAATCGCTTGAACCTGGGAGGGTGGAGGTTGCAGTGAGCCGAGATCATGCCGTTGCACTCCAGCCTGGGCAACAAGAGTGAGATTCCATCTCAAAAAAAAAAAAAAATCCAGTGAGATATTTACTATTTGCATTTTCCAGATGGACCCCCGACCCACAGGAGGGAAATGACCTTGCCCAAGGTCGTAAAACTAAGTGATAGTCAGGACTTGAAACCAAATATTCTGACTCCAAGTCCAGTTTGTTTCCCCCACATCATGGTTATGTCAGTAAAAACCATAGACCAGAAGTTGAGTGGGTACTTTATCTTTGCCTAACAGAGTAATTTTACTCTCTAGGCTAAGGAACAAAAAGAATTACAGAAAAAGCTAATAATTAAGATCAAACACACTAAGTTAAGGCTACTTAGGAACAATCCGACTTAGGCATGCTTTATTTTCTTATACAATGATAGTCCTACTCAAACCTAGATGTTTTATGTTGAAACATTAACTTCCCAGGCATTACAGTTCAGCACCACTACCCCCAACTGTGCCCTGCAGCCACATTCCACTTAAAGAGAACAGTTCACAAGTTATCTTAGCTGGCTTCCTACATTATTTGATTTGATTAGCCTATAGCTCATCACCTGGGGAACTAAGCCTTATAAACCCACACCACCAGGATGAAGCAAGTCATAAGATATAGACAGCCATGGTGGTAAGTCATTTGGTCAGTCAGAATCATCAAGAATGCAACATATCATGTGCTCATAGTGAAACTAAGAGCTCATCCTTAGCTTCAGAGAGTTTATAATCTAATGGGAAAACAAGGTAAAGGAATAGAAGCCTACCATAGAACCTCAGCATATTCGTCTCAGGGAGATGGACCGGGGAGTTTTTGGTTTGTTTGTTGTGTTTTTTCTTTTGAGACAGAGTTTCACTCTTGTTGCCCAGGCTGGAGTGCAATGGCACGATCTTGGCTCACCACAACCTCCTCCTCCCGGGTTCAAGCGATTCTCCAGCCTCAGCCTCCTGAGTGGCTGGGATTACAGGTGCCCGCCACCATGCCCAGCTAATTTTGTATTTTTAGTAGAGATGGGGTTTCTCCATGTTGGTCAGGCTGGTCTCGAACTCCTGACCTCAGGTGATCTGCCCACCTCGACCTCCCAAAGTGCTGGGATTACAAGCATGAGCCACCGTGCAAGTTTTTAAGAGTGACTATAAAGCCAAACCAAGGAGGTGTAATTTAAGAAAATGCCATGAAAGAGGTGACTATTGCTGCGTTGTAAGACAGAAAGGGAAATACAGTCTTGGGAGCAACTGGGAGACATTTCTGGCACAATGAATAGCATATTCCTAAGACTTGAAGATGGTAGTGGAACAGAGAGTTGGGACACTTAGAGAAAATGGGGCAGAGCGTGTCTCTTTCTTTCATTTACTCAACAAACATTTATGGACGTTTTACTATAGTTGAAGTAGAGAGCATGAGCTGAATGTAGATTAAAAGGTCAGCTAAGTAATAGGAGGCAGAGTTGAGAAGTACACACAGAAAAATGGTAGAGGCCAGGCGTGGCTCATGCCTGTAATCCCAGCACTTCGGGAGGCCAAGGCAGGCGGATCACCTGAGGTCAGGAGTTTGAGACCAGCCTGGCCAACATGGCGAAACCCCATCTCTACTAAAAATACAAAAATCAGCCAGGCATGGTGACGCATGCCTGTAATCGCAGCTACTTGGGAGGCTGAGGCAGGAGAATCGCTTGAACCCAGGAGGTGGAGATGGCAGTAAGCTGAGATCACACCACTGTACTCTAGCCTGGGATACAGAGCAAGACTGTCTCAAAAAAAAAAAAAAAAAGAAAAGAAAAAAAATGGTAGAGGGCCTAAAGCCCTGGAAAGGAATTTCCAAATATGAGGTGAATACAGGTATACTTGTCCTCAAGGAAAGCTTCATATATTTATTAGAGCACTGTTGCTCTAAGCTTAAAAGGGCAACATAGAAGTATAGCAAATATTGCAGTAAATAATATTTACTATTAGTGATAAATCCTACGTCTAAAACAATGAGGAATTACTGTTTTCTAGGCTTTTCCCCTGATTTTATAATTTGGAAAGTGAATATAACTGGGCTTTAAAGGGAACAAGTTAGCATAAAATCTGGTTTCTCTAAAGTTACCTTTTGGCAGTCTGAAAGTACATGGATACTATGACTGCTCTTTGATCAGACTGCTTGCAGACATATTACCTGTAGAACTTGATGCTTCACAGAGGACCTTTATTATTACTGCTTCAACCCAGCTGAAGCTGGCTGGGACTATCACTAGATTACTGAAAAGGAGACTGAAGCAGGCACCAAAATGATGACTTGTCCAGAGTTAATGGCTTCCTCACTCAGCCACATTTCCTATATGTACTAAGGAGATGCTGGGGGGTAAGTCATGTGCTATCATAGAAAAAGTAGTAACCTAGAAGCCAGATAGACATGGGTCTTGAGTTTGCCACGGGTTCATTGAGTAACCTTGAGCAAGTCAGTCTCCCTGGGCCTCAGATTCCTTACCTATGCAATGCAGGGTCTAGAACAGCGGTCCCCAATCTTTTTGGTACCAGGGACCGGTTTCGTGGAAGACAGTTTTTCCACGGACTGGTTGTGGGGGTGGTTTGGGGATGAAACTGTTCCATCTCAGATATCAGGCATTAGTTAGAGTCTCATAAGGAGTGCGCAACATGTGCAGTTCACAACAGGATTCTTACTCCTATGAGATTCTAATGCTGCCACTGATCTGACAGGAGGCAGAACCCAGGCTGTAATGCTTGCTCGCCTGCAGCTCACCTCCTGCTGTGTGGCTCAGTTCCTAACAGGCCACTGACCAGTACTGGTCCCCAGCCTAGGGGTTGTGGACCCCCTGGTCTAGAACAGATTATGTATAAGGTTCCTTCTAGGACTAATATCCTGAGTCAAAGTAACAGTCAAAGTTGTGTAAATGGGTTTTAATAACAATGCTTTTATATGGTGTTATATGGTATCTGAAAAGTTAGGAGGAATATATGCAAAAGCACCTTGTGAAGGATACAGTATCATGCAGATATTGTTGTTAAAGCACTGTAAGCATTTTACAAATATTCTCATTTGTCACATTTGGCAGAAAAGAGGAAGCAGGTATTTTTGCCTCTACCTTACTGATGAAGGAATAGCCTGGGCACGGTGGCTCATACCTGTAATCCCAATACTTGGGGAAGCCAAGGTGGGAGGATCACTTGAGCCCAGAGTTCAAGGCTGCAGTGAACTATGATTGTGCCACTGCACTCCAGCCTCAGTGACCGAGCAAGACCCCATCTCTAAATTTAAAAATTAAAAAAAAAAAAAGAATGGAGATTAACTTGGATGAAGTGACTTGTCCAAGGTCATGCCAAGCATTAAATATAGGACTAGAGCCTGAGTCTCCTAATTCCTAGTCTGGTATTCTTTGTTTTTTGTTTTTGCCACAGCATCACTTACCAATCCTGGTATTTTTTTTTTTTGGACCAGATCTCATCCTTCTGAAGTATGAGGTACAGTGTAACACTGAGCTTGGTGCTAGAGGAATTATGGACTCTAAAGCAGTAGTTCTCAAGTCTAGCCACACATTGGAACACCCAAGGGAGCTTTTAAACATGGAGCCTAGGACTCCACCCCCAGATATTCTGATGTAATTAGTCTGAGGTAGGACATGGACTTTTTGAAAAGCTCCCCAGAGATTTCTTATGTGCAGCCAGAGTTGAGAACAACTGGCTTAGGGGAAACCCAGACTCTGCTTTCCACTCTCTACAAAGAATCCCTTGGCCGGGTGTGGTTGCTCATGCCTATCATCCCAGCACTTTGAGAGGCCGAGGTGGGAGGATTGCTTGACGCCAGGAGTTCAAGACCAGCCTTGGCAACATAGCAAGATCCCATCTCTACAAAAGAAAAAGAAAAAAAAAAAGAGTCCCCCTATTACTTCTCAACTACGGTGCTGGGACATGCTGGTGGGTTGCCAGCAGTTGTGATACACACACACACACACACACACACCACCCTGTATACATGTATTAAATACATTTGTAGTTATGCCTGTGATAGGGACACATTCTGTCTTTGACATTCTAATCTGCTTCTTGGTGTGAGAGAGAATAGGATGAAGTTACAGCTCATGTACCTGGCATTCACGCAACTACATCTGTCATGTATGTCATGACTGTGCTATAATACCACTACCAGGTATTTATCTAACCTCTTCTTGCTTGAAGACTTCTAGTAGGGGGAAGCTCACAGTCTTATAGGACAACCCATTGGATTCCACTAATTGTTAGAAAGTTACTTCTTGTTTAGCTGAAATGTGCTGTCCTATACATCATCCCAGTAGGTCTTGGCTGTGTAAGAGCCTAATCATTCTTTATGACAGCCCTTCAGATACTGCTTTCATGATATTATCCCTAGGATAAAATAGAGAAACATGGATGAGGTAACAGCATTTTTGAAGCATTTAGATGAATTTGTAAATGGCCAAAGGACCATACCCAGGCTGTAGCAATCAATGGATCACTGTCATCCTGGTGAAGTATCACCAGGACATGTCATAGAACTCCATCTTTCATCCTGTCTTAAAGCAGCAAAGATTTTTTGTTATGATAATGTCTAGCGTTGGCAAGGGTGACTAAGAAGGGCACTTCTGGCCGGGCGCCATGGCTCACACCTGTAATCCCGACACTTTGGGAGGCTGAAGTGGGCAGATTACTTGAGCCTAGTAGTTTGAGACCAGCCTGGGCAACGTGGTGAAACCCTGTCTCTACTAGAAATACAAAAGATTAGCCTGGCATGGTGACACACACCTGTAGTCCCAGCTACTCAGTGGGGGCTGAGGCCACAGGATCACTTGAGCCCTGGAGGTTGAGGCTGCAGTGAGCTCTGATCATGCCACTGCACTCCAGCCTGGGTGACAGAGTGAGACCCTGTCTTAAAAAAAAAAAAAGAAGGGCATTTCTGTATTGCTATTAGGAATATAAATTGGTATACCTTTCAGGAAGGCAACTTGAAAATACGTATCAGTAGCCTTTAAAATGTTTCTATCCTTTGACCCAGTAATTTTACACATACAAATTTATACTGAGGAAGTAGACATTGGTATGTAAATGTATTTATTCGTTTGACAAATTTTTTTCTGAGCACCTATGTGCCAGGCACTGTTTCTAGATGCTGAGAAGACATGAAACAAGGCAGGTGAGATTCTTTACCCTCATGAAACTGGTATTCTTGTGGGGAGAGACACATGGTAACCAGAAAAATAAAATAATTTTAGATAGTGATGAGTGAAAAAGAAAAGAAAATATAGTGAAGTCATAGAGAATGTGGGATGGGAAAAGAGCACTTTAGAAGAGTGCTTGGGGCCAGGCGCAGTGGCTCACGCCTATAATCCCAGCACTTTGGGAGGCCGAGGTGGGCGGATCACTTGATGTCAGGAGTTCAAAACCAGCCTGGCCAACACAGCAAAACCCCATCTCTACTAAAAATATAAAAATTAGCCGGGCGTGATGGCGCACGCCTGTAATCCCAACCACTCAGGAGGCTGAGGCACAAGAATTGCTTAAACCTGGCAGAGGTTGCAGTGAGCTGAGATCTCGCCACTGCACTCCAGCCTGGGAGACAGAGCAAGACTCCATCTCAAAAAAAAAAAAAAAAGAGTGCTTGGGTAGGCCGGGCACGGTGGCTCATGCCTGTAATCCCAACACTTTGGGAGGCTGAGGTGGGAGGACTGCTTGAGGTCAGGAGTTAAAGACCAGGCTGGGCAACGTAGCGAGACCCCATCTCACTAAAAACAAATTTTTTTTAAAGAAGAGTGCTTGTGGAGCTCTCTCTGAGAAGGAAATATCTAAGCTGAGGCCTAAACAGTGAAGAGCAAGTCAGGAAAAGCATCAGAAGAACATTTCAGGAAAAGGGAACAGAAAATGTAAGACCTCAGGGCAGGAATGAGCTTAGTATCTCAAGGAACAGCTAAAAAGGCCAGTGTGACTAGAATGTATCAAGCATAAGCTACAGTCAGGGGATGGGTAGTCAAGGGCCAGATCATGGAGGGCCTTGTCAGTCGTGGTACAGTTTAGATTATATTTCTATACAAGGATATCTACTGCAACATGATTTATAATAGTGAACAATTTCTTTCAAAACAATCTTAATATTTAACATTAGGGGACTGGTTAAATAAATCGACATTATCCCCATGAGGAAATATATACAACTATTAAAGTCAAGTTTTTTGATTTTCAAATTTTGTAAAGTGATATATATTATTCTGCTAATCAGAAAAAAAATGTTATTGTGGTTTCTACAGAGCAACTACAGAGCAAAGGTGATGGTTCTCATATGAAAAAAACTTAAAGGCTTGAATTTGACTATAAGCTCAGTATGAATCCACAAAGATGTGACAGGAAAAAAAAAGCAACTGATTTTAGGCCTCATGAACAGGACTACTGGGTCCATAACAAGGGAGGTGTTTATCACAGTCCACCTCACAGTGGCCACACCACATTTAGAAAGTTGTGCTCATTTCTAGATCTCACAATTGAAGAACTTTGACAAATTGGTGTATAGTCAAGGTGGTGAGGATACATGAGAACCATGTCATGTGGCAAATCATTGAGGGAACTAGGTACATTTAACTTTGAGAGGATTTGGACAGAAGGGGACTGGGGAGTAAAAATTACGTTCAGGGTTTGAACAGTTATTCTATAAAAGTGGGGTTAAACTGATTCCATGTCATTTTAGATGGCAGAATTGGGTCCTATGATTAGAAGTTATATAGAAACTATTATCACCTCAGGATAAATAGAGCTTCAGATAATTAGACCAGGGATGTTAAGAGGGGCTTCATACATCAAACCAGTCTTTAGGTGGTCGCTGAGGTCTCTTCTCACTCTGTTCCTTCATCCTGTGAGCTCAGCCACCTCTGTCTTTTCAAAGCCAAACTATCCCACTTTCTTCTACGATTTTTCTTATAGCATTGCTTCCTATAATTCTGATCACTCACCTCTTTTTTGTTTAACATCCTCTTTATAAAACATACACACTGACTTCCTGAATGTGTATACAAGAAAACATGCTTATTGATTAAACTGGTTTAATAAATGGAAAGCCCTTATAGCAGTGCCTGGCACACATTAATGTTAGCTATCACTACTGCAGCCTTGTTTATAAGAATGGAAAATGGCACTATCAGGAGAATGGGTAAATTGTGGCAACTTCATAGAGTGAAAATGAATGGAATTGAAGCTATATGTATCAACATATGTCATTTATACAAAGTTTAGAAACGTGTAAGACAATTTCTTGTTTGTTTTTGTTTTTTTACAAAAACTCTTATGTGTGGCTAGGTGCTGTTGCTCACGCCTGTAATCTCAGCACTTTGGGAGGCTGAGGCAAGAGGATTGCTTGAGGCCAGGAGTTCAAGACCAGCCTGGGCAACATGGCGAGACCCTGTCTCTACAAAACCAAAAAATTAGCCAGGCATGGTGGCATGTGCTTGTGGTCTCAGATACGCTGGAGGCTGAGGCAGGAGGATCACTAAGTCAAAGAGGTTGAGGCTGCAGTGAGCTATGATTGTGCCACTGCACTCCAGCCTGGGTGACAGAGCAAGACCCTGTCTCCAAAAAAAAAAAAAAAACTAATGTGGTAAGAGACATACATAGGAATGATAAACACCTAATTCAGGAGACTGTTTATCCCTGGAAAGGGGGAGGCAAATAGGATCAGGAAGGAGTGCATAGGAGACCTTGGTTATATCTGCATTTTACTATTAAGGGGGGTTAGTGGGGGCATGAGTGAGGTTTTTTATTGCTATTGTCTATGCTTTTGTACACATGAACAAAATTATGGTGCCCTAAAATAGGATGCATTATTTCTTTTTTTTTTTTTTTTTTTTTTTGAGACGGAGTTTCACTCTTGTCGCCCAGGCTGGAGTGCAATGGCATGATCTTGGCTCACTGCAACCTCCGCCTCCCGGGTTCAAGCGATTCTCCTGCCTCAGCCTCCTGAGTAGCTGGGATTACAGGCATGCGCTATGATGCCTGGCTAATTTTGTATTTTTAGTGGAGACGGGGTTTCACCATGTTGGTCAGGCTGGTCTTGAACTTCTGACCTCAGATGATCTGCCCGCCTCGGCCTCCCAAAGTGTTGGGATTACAGGCGTGAGCCACTGCGCCCAGCCAGGATGCATTATTTCAAATGGGATCCAGTTGAGCCAGGGTACAATGAAATAATTACTCCCCATCTTTTCTGAACTCCAAATTTCTACCTGACTGCATTTGCTTTGGGACAGCCATTTCAAGCTGTTGACTCACAGAGCTTGCTTACACCTCAAATCCCTAGGCCCTTTTCTGCACAGTCTTTTTTTTTTTTTTTTTTTTTTTTTGAGACGAGGTCTCACTCTGTCACCCAGGCTGGAGTGCAGTGGCGCGATCTCAGCTCACTGCAGCTTCCACCTCCCAGGCTCAAGTGATCCTCCCACCTCAGCCTCCTGAGGTTGACACCACGTCCAGCTAATTTTTTGTATTTTTGGTGGAGACAGGGTTTCAGCATGTTGCCCAGGCTAGTCTCAAACTCCTGAGCTCAAGCGATCCACCCGCCTTGACCTCCCAAAGTGCTGGGATTACTGGCATGAGCCACCGCACGGTCTACTTTTAAGCTAGATCACTCCCCATGTTGTATTTATATGGCTGAGTTGAGGGGAACCTAAATACCAAACTTACAAACTTACTTTCTACTTTTACCCCTTAAGTCCAGCCTGTCAAAATATTTTTGAATTGTGATTCTTTTATCTTACATATTACTAATCCTTCCAGCTTTCTGTCATTGTTAGAGCTGATAAATATGCCTACCTTGTAGACAAGTTATGAGATTCAAATGAGATTTTGTATTTATGTACATGAAAGTACTCTGAAAACTGTAAAGTGCTATCAAATGTAAATGATTTTATTTCATATCATCAGTGATTTATCAAAATGTGTTAAGGACAAAGCCCAGGCTAACACTGGACAAAATGCAGAAATGTGAGCTGGATGAAAGTACAGCTTGGTAATTCTAAAAATACTGAGCAACTACACTTAGTTTTTAAATGTACTTAACTATACTACCATCCAGCTCACAGTGCTTCACTTTACCCATAAAGTTGTCATAAGAGTCTTTGTCGGTTGCCTTGCATTATTATGCTATCCCTCTGATCTGTCCTTCAAGTATTCTGTCCAAAAGAAAATGGATTTTTCAGCCAGGCGCGGTGGCTCACGCCTGTAATCCCAGCACTTTGGGAGGCCAAGGTGGGCTGATCACCTGAGGTCAGGAGTTCGAGACCAGCCTGGGCAACATGGTGAAACCCCCGTCTCTACTAAAAATACAAAAATTAGCCAGGTGGCCAGGCACGGTGGCTCACACCTGTAATCCCAGCACTTTGATAGGCCGAGGCAGGTGGATCGCCTGAGGTCGGGAGTTCAAGACCAGCCTGGCCAGCATGGTGAAACCCTGTCTCTACTGAAAATACAAAAAGTAGCCGGGCATGGTGGCAGGCACCTGTAATCCCAGCTACTCAGGAGGCTGAGGCAGGAGAATCACTTGAACCTGGGAGGCGGAGGTTGCAGTGAGCGGAGATCGTGCCACTGCACTCCAGCCTGGGTGACATAATAAGACTCCATCTCAAAGAAAAAAAGAAAAGAAAAGGAAATGGATTTGTCTGGCAAGACTTGTTCTCTTTAAACCTATGACGGTTCTTGGTGATTATTGTTTTCACCAAAGAAGAGAGGACTAAGGAGATTGAAGCTTGGTAGATAATAGTACTTTCCATTTTTTTCTAGAAAAGCTTGCAAATGAAGGGAAGTCATTTTAAACTAGTCTTCTAACCCTTTCAGTAATGTGTCTTTCTGCAAACCTGTTTTGCAGTGTTCCTGCAAGGGCTGGTGTGGAAACAAGCAGTGTGGGTGCAGGAAGCAAAAGTCAGACTGTGGTGTGGACTGTTGCTGTGACCCCACAAAGTGTCGGAACCGCCAGCAAGGCAAGGTAGGATCAGGGCTGTTTCCTCTCCCCTTCCCTTCAGACCTTCCTCTAGTTTCCACCCTCTTTTTCTGCCTTCCATCCTGAAACCTGGAGTCTCCTGCACAGCTCTTCCAACCCTTCTCCTTCCCTCTGCACCCAGAAAAAGAGACAGTTCACTTCTCAATCCTTTTTCCTTGCTGCTTGCCTGTTCACATACCCCTTTCAGAAACCACAGCACTTCCCAGGAGATTCCCAGGTATAGAGCTCCCCACCCCCAGGCTTGGCTGTAAAGTTTCTGTACTGTTTTTGAGATGACAAAGACAAGAAAGCAGGCATTCACAGGCATATAGACATGCAGGATCAAATTAGTCCAGAGGTTTAACTGGAACTGTAAGAGCCACGTACTGAGGTAGCAGCTTCCAGGAAGTTAATCCTTTTGACATCTCGAGACATTCGTTACCTAGACTCTCTCCATGGCAACCAGCTAGCTATTCCATGGCTCTAGAAAAAGACCCACAGGAACCAGGCCTTTCTAATAGTCACTGTTGTAAACCAAGTTAACCTAAATGTCCTCTTAATATTGCTCCCAGGAATAGCAAACTCAGGAAAACCAAATGTTCCCTGGGAAGAGCAGCACCAAGCAGGTCAGATCCCTATACCTGCCTTACACCTACCTGTGCAATAGCAAAAATGCATTACTACAGCTCTATATGTGATATACAGTAATTCTAGCAAGCACAATCTAATGATGATTCATCATGCATTTCTTGAACATCCACATGTGAAGAGTTTCAACCTGCATCTTCTATTAAAAAGACCTCTGGCCGGGCACGGTGGCTCACGCCTGTAATCCTAGCACTTTGGGAGGCCGAGGCGGGCGGATCACGAGGTCAGGAGATCAAGACCATCCCGGCTAACACGGTGAAACCCCGTCTCTACTAAAAATACAAAAAAATTAGCCAGGCGTGGTAGTGGGTGCCTATAGTCCCAGCTACTCAGGAGGCTGAGGCAGGAGAATGGCGTGAACCCGGGAGGCGGAGCTTGCAGTGAGCTGAGATCGTGCCACTGCACTCCAGCCTCAGCGACAGAGCGAGACTCCATCTCAAAAAAAAAAAAAAAAGACTTCTAACATAGATAGGCAAGCTAGAAGTCAGGCTAAGAACTGTAGAAGTAGCAGAGACCTTAAGGATCCTCTATTCCTGTGGTTTTTCAGTTTGCGTTCAAGAGTCATGTAGTAGCTCCATGAAAGGGCCTCCAGGCAGAGGGGCATGGCCCCTTCCTCCCTCCTCCCATCTCTATCTGTCTCTCTCTCGGACTCAGTTTTCTTAACTGAAAGGAACACCCAGTATGGATGCTAAAAGAGATATTGCAAATTGTAGAGAGGGGGAGTTTAGTCAAACAAATGACCGAGGCTTGTCTTTGCTTTAAACCTGGCCTTGTGAGATGTCCCATGCAACTACCTAGTCTTTGCCTTCAGAGGCCACCTACAGGCATTGCTCCATTCCTTCAGGGACAGAGCGTGTCAAACACTATGACCTCCCCAAGCAGGGCCTCCCTAAGACTTGCTTCAGCTGACTAATCAGGCACTTAGAGCTGTTACCTCTTTGGTTGAATGGGAGCAGACTGATTTTGTAAACCTGGCAGCCAAATTTATAATATGCCTGTCTGCTTGATTTTCAGGATAGCTTGGGCACTGTTGAACGGACCCAGGATTCCGAAGGCTCCTTCAAACTGGAGGATCCTACCGAGGTGACCCCAGGATTGAGCTTCTTTAATCCCGTCTGTGCCACCCCCAATAGCAAGGTAGGTGGGCTAAAAGGCAGGCATTGGAAAACTGGATTAGCGTCCTTCTCTGCATTATCTATGAGAGACCAGTAGGAGAGAGGCAGGTGGAGTAAAGGTGTAATCAGCTTGCTGGGAACTAGGGATCGGGCATAGACTCTAGTCTGGTTTTTTCCATAGAATGATCTTAAAGAACACTTCATACTACTGGGAGTATGTCGAGCATCTATAGCAGCTCGGCTGGGCTGAGCTTCTGCCCCTTTCTAAAGTCTATTCATACCTGTCTCTGTCCCTCCTAGATCCTGAAAGAGATGTGCGATGTGGAGCAGGTGCTGTCAAAGAAGACTCCCCCAGCTCCCTCCCCTTTTGACCTCCCAGAGTTGAAACATGTAGCAACAGAATACCAAGAAAACAAGGCTCCAGGGAAGAAAAAGAAACGGGCTCTGGCCAGCAACACCAGCTTCTTCTCTGGCTGCTCCCCTATCGAAGAAGAGGCCCACTGAAGTTGGAGTCATCATCTCTACCCCCAGTCTGGCTTGGGAGATGCTTTCAGGTTGCAGCCAGAAGGGGTTTTTTAAATGACTTCTCTGGATTTCAGGTTTCTTGCTGTTGAAAAAAGGAACAAAGCGTTACTGAAAAGAAGGTAACCTTTGTTGGATGTGGGCCTTAGCCTCCAGGTCCAGACTACTACTCTATGTTCTCCAGAAGGGTGCTAAGTCACCTACTGAAGAGAGAACCAACTGACTTTCCTATTGACTCATCAGGAACCAGTCCTCAGTCTGGTCAAGTTGTTTCTTATTTGTGAGCAGTTCAGGCTATCTCCTGATGGGGATGAGGCCAAGGCTTTCTTATCTTTTGGTTGTCTCTGCTTAATGGAGGAGCCTGGCCTAGGATGGAGGCCTGGCTTAGATCTTTCATTCCACCTCAGGAATGAGGTTGTGATCTTTCCTGTCCTGACCCTCTCTGAATTATGTTTCAATAGTACTCTTGATTGTCTGCCATGTTGTTGAAGCAAATGAATTATTTTTAAATGTTAAGTAAGTAAATAAACCTTAGCCCGTCTACTGTTTGGGAAGATCCTTCTGTGCTAGAGGGAGAAATAAAATTTCAACCTGTGTTCCTCAGCCCCTGAGGAAGCTATTAAGGGGATTCATTACAAGTACCTGAGCCTCCCTGCCTTATTGTAGCTGCCCTCTTTCCCAGAGGGTATTGTGGAGTGTGATGTGTCTTTATGTTGCTCTGCTACCCTAGGAAATCAGAATCGCGTTAGCAAGGCCAGTGGCCTGACCTCCACTGTAGAACCTGCCTGGCTTCCAGATTTGGGAGGAAGAAACCGCATTTACTAACCATCTCCATGTTCTTGCTACAGTTTTATTTGTTCTTCATACACACACAAAAAGGTCAACATAGATAGATGTCCTTATTTTGCAGATGAGGAAACTGGGGTATAAAGAAGTAACTTACCCAAAGTCACAAAGCTAGTGAGCAATAGAGCTAGGACCTGAACGCAGAGCTACCATCCAAGCTTCACTCTAGCCAACTCTCTAGAGTGCCAGCAGCAGCCACTTCTAATGCCCTGCAGCCTAATTTCTTAGTGTAGGAGGGGCGTTGCACCACACTGCTGTCCAGTCCCAGGACAGAACAGCACTGGCTCCTTGCATTCTCCTTTGAAAGATGCTTACGCCTTACAGTCTATCAGTGTTCTCTATCTCTGCTTAAAGCTAAAAGGGGGCCAGCCCTGGAATGCCATACACAAGCTGCTGACTGGCCTTGTAGCCTTCTGAGGTAGATGCTCACAAGCCCTGCGCTTCATATCCATGCATTCTGAATCCCAAAACCCTTCTCCCCAAAAAAGCTCCCAAACCATCCCCAAACACTCAAAAGCCAAGACTCCTCTAGAATCCACCAGAGCCCAAGCAAAAGAAATTGAGCAACAATCTGCCTAGAATGAAGCCTGCCATGGACTAGGTGACCTGCTGGTCCTCCCTGGCCTCCTGCCAGCAAGCAGCCCTGCTTCTCTTTGCATTTTAATGCCGAGGGAGCAAGGGAGCCTCTGCCATTGCCAACTAGAGCCTCTGGATACAATGGGAAGCCTGAGTGGGAGGGGGGCCAGCTCTTGGCATAAGAGAGCCAGTCTTCCTTCTCACTGTTTGAAATCCAGTGTGTGTTGGGGGAGGGGTAAGCAGGCTTATCCCCAGAGAAAACATCCTTTCCCACCAACACTGCACTAATAGCCCCCAGACCTCGAGTCACCACATCAGGCGTAATGTAGAGGGAGAGGTCAACCAAGCCAGCCCCTGGCCCCCATCCCACCCAGACCCCTGTGCTTTAGCACTAAGCAAACTATAGTGTGCTAGCCAGCCCTTCCCTGCTGATGCTGATGCTATAGTAACAGCATCTTTTCTATGTGTTCATCTTCCAAAAGCCTGTGACCCCAATATACTCTACACTCCTCAAAAGATTCTTGGAAAGAGACTCATATGCCTTAGGGACAAGGCAGCAGAAATGACACAAGTCCTGAATGAGCATCTCCTGTCTGGGGTGATGAGGGAAGGTGGGAGAACTGCTAGTGTCACCCAGGATCCACAAGGCCCATGGGGACCTCTGGTCCAGAAACGGCAACTTGCTATCCAGAGTTCAGGAAGTAGCTTGCAGCTTCTGTTGCCCAGGCTGGAGCACAGTAGCACAATCTCAACTCACTGCAGCCTCGACGTCCTGGGCTCAAGCAATCCTCCCACATCAGCCTCCCAAGTAGCTGGGACAAATGACCAAGGCTTGTCTTTGCTTTAAACCTGGCCTTGTGAGATGTCCCATGCAACTACCTAGTCTTTGGTAGGTGCACACCATCATGCCTGGCTAATTTTTGTATTTTTTGTAGAGACAGGGTTTCACCATGTTGGCCAGGCTGGTCTTGAACTCCTGACCTCAGGTGATCCACCCGCCTCGGCCTCCCAAAGTGTTGGGGTTACAGGTGTAAGACACCGCGCCAGGCTGCAGCTTCTTATACATGCACCTTGCTGAATTAGAAGTAGGAGCTCAATAGGGGAGGGAGCCTAATGAATCAAGGCTGTATTTCCAGGGAGCTTGAGACTTGATGTTAGGCTTACACACACGCACACACACACACACACACACGCCTTTCCAGTGGGCTGGCTGGGCCTCTTCTCCTCACTGCCAAGTTGCAAAGTTGTGTGGTCACCTCCCCCCCCCACACACACCAGCTTCCCGCCAGCCTGTGCCCTCAGCCCTCGCCTCCCTGAGCCAGGACAAAGCCCCGGCAGTGACTGGGAGGGGAACAGGAGGAGGGACAGAGGGATGGGAAAGCCTGCACAAAGGAATTCCTCACCCCAAGCCCCCTGACCGCCAGCGAGTAAAGAAGCAGATTTGCTCTCCCTCCCGCTTCCTCCCTCCCATCTTCCCACCCGGGCTGTGCCCAGGCCACAGAGCAGCTGCAGGCCTTGGGAGAGGACCCACACAGCCTCCTGTAGGTGGCAACAGTGCCACCTGTTTGACTCATAGGGCTGAACCGAGGACTGAAAAAGGGAGGAGGCAGACCAC
Organism: Homo sapiens; assembly: GCF_000001405.40. NCBI lineage: Eukaryota > Metazoa > Chordata > Mammalia > Primates > Hominidae > Homo > Homo sapiens. The sequence goes on from NC_000023.11 coordinate 70,423,321, forward strand.
TCGGAGAGGAGCTGGGAAGCAGTGCAGAGAGGAGAGCGGAGCGGAGCTGCCGCTGAGCAAAGGTGTGAGGGTTCGGGAAGGCTGGGGGGCTACAGGTGGGAGCTGTGGAGCAGAGACCAGCTCCATCCCACTGGGATTGGGCCGGGGGATTGAATGGCACCCCTGTCAGCAACCCTACTTGGGGTTTTCAGGCTGCTCAGACCCTGATCCCATCCTACAGGCAGCTCCTGAAGGGAGGGGACTCTGGAAGGCAGTGTCTGGGGTGCAGGGGTAGGACCCCAGGGGAGGCAAGAGCTTAGAGCAGGCTATCAAACCAGCTCCAAGATGGGCAGAGGCAAGGGCTTCCCTTTGGGTTGGCTTTTTACCGGGAAGGGTCTCGTAGAGGGGAGGGGTTTCCTTCCCCCAGCTCCAGCTCCTCACCCCTACCCTAACCCTCCTTTCCCAAGGCAGCATAAAGAGGGCAGTTCAGAAGCAGCCACACCTTCCTGCTTACCGGACCCACCCACTGTGCACCCCTCTAAGACTCCATAGCCTCGGGAGAGCTCTGAGGACAAGAGGTCCTGTCCCTCAGCCCGCACGCACACATGCTCACACACTTTGGGTGTATCCAGGGGCTCCTTTACATACTCAAAGTCACCTAAAATCATATTGTACCGACAGCCAGTTGTGCTGTCGCGTGCAAATGCTGACACAAATCACATACCGTCTCGCGTAGAATCAGTCACGTACCCAGCCAAGTCTGGGGATCAGCTCAGTCAGCCAAACCCAGAAGCATAAGGTACAGGGGTCCCCTGCCCCAAGACAACCACACCCCGCATACACACCTTTGCCCTGCGTTTGTTGTACTTTCACCAAAGCTAACTTAGAGGGTGGGGCTCCTAAAGGCGAGTCTGGGCTTCTGGTTGGGGTTGGGGGATGACTGGGCAGGAAAGGGCAGGACTTGAGGGGAGGCTCTGTATTTTGAAAATCCAAAGATTCCTTTAGAAGACTGGGAGTGACCCAGGCAACATGTTCACCTCAAGTCTTTCTCTTTTTGGCAGTGCCCTTTGTCCCCTGAGAGGTGGACACAGAGAATCTTTCAGGGATTTGTGATCTGAATAATCTCTATAACCATAGCAACTGGCCAACTAGCTGGGCCTTCCTTAGCCCCAGGTCAGAACTGTAACCTTTGCTTCAGGTTACTCCTGCTTCCTGGGCTGGAAAGCAATTCAACATGGGGTTGCCTCCAGCTTGGCCAAACCTGCTTTAACTTGCTGAACTGAGTTTGTCCCACCCTGGGCAGTTTCTCTTGAGTTCTTACCCCCAGGGCAAGCACTCCATCCCCAGAGGTGTGTGCTGTTAAATGGGGAGGAGCTGGAGAGAGTGGATATGAATCCTGCCCGAAAAGAGGCTGGACCTCTTGGGTGTCCCACTGACTCTCCAGGTAACAAGATTAAAGGGAAACGAAGGCTCTGGAGACTGTCTCCCATTGCCAGGCTTGCAGCTGGGGCTGCTCGCCTCATCCACTCTGGCACTCTGGGCCTGCCCCGTGACCTCCGTTGCTGAGCAGCGGCCCAGGCCTCTGCCTCTCCCCCGGGCTCCTCAGATACACTAGGAGGGAGACTGGGATCTGCCCTCTGCCAGGGTCCCTGATGGTCGAGTGTCCCTTCCCCCAGGCCTTCACCATGGCCGAGTCCCCCGGCTGCTGCTCCGTCTGGGCCCGCTGCCTCCACTGCCTGTATAGCTGCCACTGGAGGAAATGCCCCAGAGAGAGGATGCAAACCAGCAAGGTGGAGTAGGGATGGAGGGGGGAGGCTGGAAGTCAGAAGGCAGAGGCTCACTGGAGGGGATAAGGAGGCCAATTGTGCTCATAGACAGCTTGGGGGAAGGGGCTCTCTCTCCCAGGAAGAAAATCTCCCTCAAATATGGAAAGAGCTGCCCCCCGAGCAGAGCAGCCCAACACGGGGCAGGCAGCTCCCTTTAGCTGCCACCCGTTGGGGACTCTGAGTTTGAAGTAGGTATTGGTTGTGAGTTTCTCTCCTGCCCCTTTGCAGTGCGACTGTATCTGGTTTGGCCTGCTCTTCCTCACCTTCCTCCTTTCCCTGAGCTGGCTGTACATCGGGCTCGTCCTTCTCAATGACCTGCACAACTTCAATGAGTGTGTCATGGATTCCCCCTGCTTCCCCAGCATACCTGTCAACCTGCTCCCCACCCTGGGACCCGGGGGTGGCCCACTGTCAGTCATCCCCCAGCCCTGCCCAGCTGCTCAAACCCAGCTCTGCTGCTACCCAATCTCCTTAGAAAATCCCTCCACAAAATCTCCTCAATCCTTGGAGCCCCTGGCCACGAGGGGCTTTCTCCTCACTCCCTTCTAGTCTTCCTGGATCCACCCACCCCACCTCCCCTCAGGCCACTATTGACACCCCTTCCCCCACTTGGACACCTCCCTCTCCCCTCCCACAGATTCCTCTTCCGCCGCTGGGGACACTGGATGGACTGGTCCCTGGCATTCCTGCTGGTCATCTCTCTACTGGTCACATATGCATCCTTGCTATTGGTGGGTCCGGAGGCCGCTGGCCTAACCCCACCTCAGCCTTCCTTCCTGCTTAGTTTTAGCTCCCTATTCTCATCCTGGCCACTGAGGGAGGGGGCTAATTCTTGGGTAGGAGGGAAGTACCAGCCTGGGAAGCCCACCTCAGTAACCTTGCTCCCCTCTTGGCACCCCATAAGTCCCACTGCTCTCTTCCTCTAGGTCCTGGCCCTGCTCCTGCGGCTTTGTAGACAGCCCCTGCATCTGCACAGCCTCCACAAGGTACAGTAGGGATGGGAGTGCATGGGAGAGGGGGCCACTGGGCTCAGCACTTGGCTGGCTATTTGCTGAGGACCTCACTTTTATACCCCCGGGGGGTCAAGCCCAGGACCTGAAGCCCAGTAAGTGTTGAGTGAAAGGAGGAAAGCAGATGTGTCAGGGGAAGGGAAGGGTCGGGTCCCATCTCTATAGAGTGAAGGAGCAGCTCACCAACCATGAGCCCAAATTGACCAAGAGGCCTCATTCATCCCTGGCCCCCCAGGTGCTGCTGCTCCTCATTATGCTGCTTGTGGCGGCTGGCCTTGTGGGACTGGACATCCAATGGCAGCAGGAGTGGCATAGCTTGCGTGTGTCACTGCAGGTGAGTGGCCAACCTCCAGTGTCTAGACGGGAGCCTTGGCTTGCAGCCAACCCTAGAACATATCTCGCTCCTGTTCCCCCAAGACTGCAGGTAGCTCTGAACTCCAGCAGTCAGGCCCTAAGAGGAAAGCGGGGAGGGGCACTGGAGAAGAGCCCACCTCACCAGCTCTTGTCCACAGGCCACAGCCCCATTCCTTCATATTGGAGCAGCCGCTGGAATTGCCCTCCTGGCCTGGCCTGTGGCTGATACCTTCTACCGTATCCACCGAAGAGGTGCCAACGCTGCTGCCCCACTCACCCTTGCTGGCCACTCATGCTCTGCCACCTGCACTCTGCCTTCCATCCCCAGAGCTCTCCCCTTGCCCATTCTTGAAAGCCTGTCCCCCACTCCCCACAGGTCCCAAGATTCTGCTACTGCTCCTATTTTTTGGAGTTGTCCTGGTCATCTACTTGGCCCCCCTATGCATCTCCTCACCCTGCATCATGGAACCCAGAGACTTACCACCCAAGCCTGGGCTGGTGGGACACCGAGGGGCCCCCATGGTGAGTGTTGGACAGAATGCTGGGAGGGTGGGGAGGGTCTGCTCGTTTGCACCATAGCGACCAGGCCTGTGGGTTCCCAGTCTCCCACCCTTCCCTGCTACCTCATCACCTATTCCCTTTCCCAGCTGGCTCCCGAGAACACCCTGATGTCCTTGCGGAAGACAGCTGAATGCGGAGCTACTGTGTTTGAGACTGATGTGATGGTCAGGTGAGGGAAGCTGGGGCTTAGGGGATCTGGGGGGCTGAAGGACATGATGACCAGCCCCAGAGCTTGGCCCTCTGACACCCCTTGTGCCCTCAGCTCCGATGGGGTCCCCTTCCTCATGCATGATGAGCACCTCAGCAGGACCACGAATGTAGCCTCTGTATTCCCAACCCGAATCACAGCCCACAGCAGTGACTTCTCCTGGACTGAACTGAAGAGACTCAATGCTGGATCCTGGTTCCTAGAGGTGAGGACAGCCTCTGCAAAGAGGCAGCCATCTGCAGGGACACTCAGAGAGGGCAGAGTTCATTCTGTTGATAAGCATTTGCTCAGCCCTGTGCTAGGCAATAAGAACATAGTCTGTGCTCTCAAGTCACTTCCACCTAGTAGAGAGCCTAGGCAGCAGACGATTCAGGAAACCCAGAGCAATAAAAACATTTTCCTGCCTGGGAGAGAATCAGGAGTGGATTCATACAGGAGAGGATGAAAGTCTTCTTCTAAGATGCACAAAGCAGGGAACAGGAACTCCTTCAGAGGGAAGAGGACACGTAAAGCCCAGAAGTCTGAAAAAGGGTGTTTCCAGGAATAAAATGTGGCTGAATGTAACTGAGAGAGACAATTCATGGGAGTGGTAGGGAGCAGAGGCTTGGCCTTGAAGAGCTCCGAATGCCTGGCCCAGAAGTGTCAACTTCAATCCTGTAAGTGGTACAAAATATTTAAAAGGATATTGAATTTTTTCAGTTCCTCTTCCCCTGATTGTAAAAGTAATACATGTTCATTGTAAAAAGTAAAACATCAGAGAAATAAGAAATAACATAGAAATCAAAGTCTCCCATAATCCAGTCCCTCTGAAATATTCACTGTTAACAGTTGGATACACACACACACACACACACACACACACTCACACAGTCCCCGACTTATGAGGTTCCACTTAATGATTTTTTTACTTTATGATGATTTGAGATTGATATACATTCAGTAGAAACTATACTTAAGAGTACCCATACAACAATTGTTTTTCATTTTCAGTACAATATTCAATACATCACATGAGATATTCAATACTTCATTATAAAATAGGCTTTGTGTTAGATGATTTTTGCCTAACTGTAGGCTAATGTAAGTTCTGAGCACACTTAAGGCAGGCTAGGTTAAGCTAGGATATTCAGTAGGTTAGGTATATTAAATGCATTTTTGATTTTCAATCTTTTCAATTTAAAATGGGTTTATCAAGACACAACTCCATCATAAGTCAAGGTGCATCTGCATACACAAACTCTCTCTCTCTCTCTCTATTTTGCACAGACAGAATCATTACACAGACTCTTTTGCAATTTGCTTCTTTTCCATTTAACTCTTTACATCATATCAGATCAGAGTGATTAACAGCAAAGGATGTCTGGGTTTAAACCCTGGCTATACCACTTACTGGCTGTGTGACCCGAGGCAGGATTTCTTAGTCTCTCTGTGCCTCAATTTTCTCATTTGTACAATGGGAATAATAACAGTACCTACCTTGTAGGGTTATTGGGAGGATTAAATCAGTCAATGCACATAAAGTACTTAGAACACTGCCTGGCACATAGTAAGTACTTAATAAGTGTTAGATAGCTAGCTTTATCCATGTCAGCAATTAGGAAGTGAGGTCATTCATTGAGAATAAGGAGAGGAGAGTAGCAGAGGCTTGGAATAACACTAGGGGGAATGGGAGAGGGAGCAAATCAAGAGCAAGTAAAAGGATTGTTAAGCAGCGCTGAGAGCGAAAAATAAGGACTGCAGTGCCAACAGCCCACATTGTGTACTCTGCCCATGGCAGCGCTCAGCCCCCAGTTCTAGGGGTGGAGGAGGCAGACAATTGTAGAATTGAATCAGAGTCTGGGAGTTGTAGGGCAAGTGGGACAGAAAGGGAGCTGAGAGTGCTATGGAAAAGTAGTTCAAGCTGTGGATGGACCATGGGTAAGGGATGTAGGTGCAGCTAGAAAGGGGCTGATGAACTGGGAAGAAACCAAAGGGTCAAGATTGCAGAGGTCTCCTTGAGACCAAAGAGAAGGTGTAGTGGGAGAGAGAAAGTTAGGAAACTGGAAGGGTAGGAGGTTGAGGTCACAGAGTAAGATGGTAGACGGTCTGGAAGAAGGCCACAGTTTGGAAAAAGGCCCTGGCTCAGAGGTGGAAAGAAGCTGGACACCAAGTGGAAGATATGAGTGAAGATAGTGAGGATGGGGGCAAGGCCTGGAAGCCTCTTCTGGTCTTGAAATAATTGTTCTTTCTTATAGAGGCGACCCTTCTGGGGGGCCAAACCGCTGGCAGGCCCTGATCAGAAAGAGGCTGAGAGTCAGACGGTACCAGCATTAGAAGAGCTATTGGAGGAAGCTGCAGCCCTCAACCTTTCCATCATGTTCGACTTGCGCCGACCCCCACAGAACCACACATACTATGACACTTTTGTGATCCAGACATTGGAGACTGTGCTGAATGCAAGGGTGCCCCAAGCCATGGTGATGTTGCCAGGACCCCCTCTCCCCACCCTGCCTTCCCTAGGCCATGATGATGAGGATGATTTTGAGGCTGCCCCTACCCCCAGGGCCCTGCCCCAGCTCACATACCCCATTCTGTGGTCAAAACTGTTTGCCCCTGTCCCTGCCCTTGGAATCCCTAGGTCTTCCCCAGCTTCACACCCATCCTTCCTGAACCACAGGTCTTTTGGCTACCAGATGAAGATCGGGCTAATGTCCAACGACGGGCACCTGGAATGCGCCAGATATATGGACGTCAGGGAGGCAACAGAACGGAGAGGCCCCAGTTTCTTAACCTCCCCTATCAAGATCTGCCACTATTGGATATCAAGTGAGTGCTAGAGGAAAGGAACCAAGGGGATCACATGAGGCTTAATGGCAGGGAAGAACCAGTTCAGGGAGAGCAAAGCCTCTTGATTCATTCACTCACACAAAAAGTATTTACAGAACACTTGCCATGTATCAGGTAGTATTGCAGGCTTTGGGGAAACAACACAGATAAGACAGACAAGGTTCCTGCTTTTGTGGAATACATGTACTACTGAAGAAAACAGAATAAACCACTTAACAAAATACATGCATATTGAAAAGTGAAAAAGTGTTATGAAGACAAAACAGAGAGATGTAGAAGAGTGGTTAGGTTTGGGAGTGATGGGCTGGGGCAGGGAGGTGGGTGCACCCACATTAGGAAGGCTGGTTAAAGAGGTGATATCTAAGCTGAGACCTGAATGGTCACAGGGAGCTAACTATGAGCTGCAGAACAGGAACAGCAGTCTAATGAGCAAGGGGAAGGGGAAGCTAGAGAAGCAGGCAGGGGCCAAATTGGGTAGGACCTTGTAGGCCACGGGAAGGATTTTATTCCACAACAGACATCAGGGTAAGAGAGCGTGAATCAGGGAGAGTCCCAGATGTGAGCTGAGCCCCAGAAGCTGACCCAGCTGAACCATGACAGACTTCAAAGCATCTGGTTGCTAAAGCCTCTTATAAGGTCCTTGTGTTCAGATAGAAAAATGTGAACTGAATGATAGCCCAGTTATCATACATATTTCTTTTTTTAATTTGAATTTTAATTAAAAAAATTTTTTTTAGAGATAGAGTCTCACTCTGTCACCAAGCCTGTAGTGCAGTGGCCTGATCAGAGCTCACTGCAGCTTTGAACTCCTGGGCTCAAGTGATCCTGAGTAGCTAGGACTATAGGCACACACCACTATGCAAGGCTATTTTTTTTTTTTTTTTTTTAGAGACAGGTTCCTACTACCTGCCCAGGCTGGTCTCAAACTACTGGCCTCAAGCAATCTTCCTGCCTCGGCCTCCCAAAGTGCTGGGATTACAGGCCTGAGCCACTGCCCCCCTCAGCCTCCCGGTTATAAGCATGAGCTATCTCACCTAGCTATGTAAGTATTTATTTCCCCGAGTTATCACCAAAGAGGAAGACATGACATAGGGTTTGGTTCTCACCTTAGTCTTGTCCTGGTCAATATCAGCTGCTAATCAACTGCTGATCATGTTTCCAAAAGATGTGAATTGGTATTGAATACACTGATGATGGAATCGAGGCCCTGAAAGGTCTAGGTGCTGTAAAAAGATAGGCCAAATCTAGCAAGATGAAATGCACCAGGGATAGATGGAAAGACCTCTATTTGGGGCCCAAAAGAATTTCAGTTGCACAAAGACCAGAGAGGAGACACTGGCATCAACAGGAACATGTGTGAAAAAGACCAGGGCTTTCATTGAACAGTATACCTAGTGAGTCATCAGTGGGATGTAACATTGCCGAAGGCTAACCTGACTCTGGACTACCTGAATACAGGCATAGTGCCCAGAGGACAGGAGGAGATAGTTTTGCTCTATTCAAAGGTGACCCAAGCTGGCTGGGCATGGTGGCTCCCACCTGTAATCCCAGCACTTTGGGAGGCCAAGGCAGGAGGTTCACTTGAGCCTAGGAGTTCAAGACTAGCCTGGGCAACATAGCAAAACCCCGTCTCTATAAAATAAAATAAAATAAAAACCAGCTGAACATGGTGGTGCCCACCTATAGTCCCAGCTACACTGGAGGCTGAGCCTAGGAGGTCAAGCTGCAGTGAGCCAAGACTGCCACTGCACTCCAGAGCAAGATCCTGTCTCAAAAAAAAAAAGGCTGGTCCAAGCCCATCTGGGATATTATTTTCAGAGACGGGCCCCATATTTTCAAAGGAACATTGATAAATTGGAATATATCATATTAGAGAGGCTTGTACAGGGAAGGAAATGATAAGAGTAATGGCTGAAGGAGCTGGGGCTGTGGGGCCTAGAGAAGAGAAGGCTCAGGGAGACAGGGCCTCTGCTCAGGACCCAGGGGAGAGACACATTGTGTGGCCCCAGATAGCAAAGCTAGGACCCATGGGTGGAATCCACCAGAAGACAGAGTTCAGCTATGAAAGGAAAATCATTGTTGGTCAGGGGCTGCTATGGAAAGGCAGAGCTGATACCTCCTTGGCAGTGGCACTGTAGATTCAAGCACAGGCAGGGGGCTGCCTCCCATGTCCTGTGCACCATGATTCTGGACATTCCCTATTTTCTTTCCCACCTTCACAGGGCATTGCATAAGGATAATGTCTCGGTGAACCTATTTGTAGTGAACAAGCCCTGGCTCTTCTCTCTGCTTTGGTGTGCAGGGGTGGATTCGGTCACCACCAACGACTGCCAGCTGCTGCAGCAGATGCGTTACCCTATCTGGCTTATTGTAAGGGCTCTGGGACTGTCACCTCTCCTCTTCTCCCATCCCTGGTTTTCCTTAACCCTGTCCCTCTCTTCCTTACTTATTTCCCCTGACATTCTACCCTTGGGGCCTTTTCCTATTTTCACAGACCCCTCAAACCTACCTAATCATATGGGTCATTACCAATTGTGTTTCCACCATGCTGCTTTTGTGGACCTTCCTCCTCCAAAGGTGAGTGCTTTGTGCCTCAGCTTTCTGGGTCCTTACTTTCTCCAGGGCCCTGGTGATGAGGCTGCTTCAGACTCACATATGCTGCCCAAGGCTTGGGGTCTCTTTAGTTCCTTTGAGATTCTTAGGCCCTTCCTTATACTATCAAATTGGCTTGAATGTAGGAAAGGCAGTTGGGGGGAGCAGGTGTGGGGGCTGGAAGGGCCTGCTTGAAGCTAGCTGAACTCATAATGGGAAGCTTTTCTCCCCACAGAAGATTTGTTAAGAAGAGAGGGAAAACTGGTAAGAACTTTCTCCCCTCACCTCATGTTTCTCCTCCTGTAGCTTTCCCCTTGCTTAACTCCCTAGATGACCCACCCTCCCCCTCCTCCCCAGGCTTAGAAACAGCAGTGCTGCTGACAAGGATCAACAATTTCATGATGGAGTGAATGCCCTGCCCTGCTTCCCCACCCAAGCCAGTCTACATTGCCCAAACAGCAAGGGTTGGAGAGTGGCTTAAGTGGAATGCTTCAGGGGTGGTGGGTTGCAAGTGGGGGGAGCTTTGCCAACAGGAGGTTTTGAACCATGAGGGCCCTCTGCCCAGGTGATGGGCATTCCCTAAGCTGCTATGGAATCTGCTCCCTTTGGGGTTTTGACCTGAGATGTTTGGGAAGAGAGTGAGTAATGAGAAGTTTCTCCTCAAATGAAACTAGAACAGAGGAAGTAAAAGGGAGATTGCTCGGATAATGTCTCAGACTTGTGTGCACGTGTTCTTGCATAGAAGGCACAGGGTGTGTCGGGGTGGGATAGCTTGGAAGAGGGACTGAAGGAGATAACGAAATGGTCTTTTCCGGAGAACTGTAAGATGATAGAGACACCATCGCCACTCCACGATGTACTGTCTTCCTCGACCCTTGCAGCTTAGCTGTTTTCCTGCCTAGAGGCTAGGAGCTGAAGAGCCCGTCTAGCCGTGTAATTCTGTGCTTACAGGTGGCTTTTTGCTGTGCGCAGCCTTTTCTTCAAGGCAGGTTGGTTCCTGTATCTTGTCTTAATCTGTTACTCAACGAATGTAATCTCCATTTGGTCACAGCCTAATCTTTTCGGCCCAGGGGCTGGGGAAAGGAGGCACCTTCCATCTACGGTTGGATGGGACACGACCTTGAGGGGCCATCAGGGGGAGATGGGAGGAGGTGGGTTGGAGGTGGGAGGAGAATCACCTGCGGCAATGAAGGACTCGCGGGAGGCTCGCGGGAGGCCCGCAGGAGAGCAGCCACCTCGGGGGCGTCCGGAGGCCGGGCGCGCGGTGCAGGGTTGCACTGTAGCTCCACCTTGTGGCCGCCCCAAGAGGAGGGCCGCATCCGTCGTCGCCGTGACGTATTTGCTGAATGCCACCTGTTTTCCGTGCCGCTTGGGGACTCGTGTCCTTGACTCAGGACTCCGAGGGCAAGGTCCGATTTCCACAAGTTTTCGCTCCTCTGGGCTGCGCGCAGGGTCCAATTTCCGGCCCAGCCTTCCCTTGGAGGAGCAAGTTCCCCAATGTGTTTGCGGCTCGGGAGTCCCTGGGCTCCGCAGCTAAGGTGGCCAGTGCGGAGCTGACGGAGGATGAAGAGTCTAGTAGAAGAAGGGAGGGGCTAAGCCAAAAATGGGGACAAGAGGGGCTCTGTGGTGACCCCACAGTCTTCCGCCACACCCACATTCGACCTAGTTCGTATCTCCACACGGAGGGAAGTAGAACTAAGGAGTCGGCCAGGTAGGGAGGTCGGGTTCTCGGTTCCTCCTCTCTCGCCAGACTGGGACCTGGGGCAGCACTGGCATCCTCGGGACAAGACCCGCCCCCCACCCTCGGTTGCCGGGCAGCCGCGGGAACTACAATTCCCAGTGAGTCCCCGGCCATTTCCGGTATCTGGCTGGACGCAGGCGAGTTTGAATCCGTGTTCCCGCCCCCTTCTCCCGGGCCCACCCCTTTCCTTTCTGGCCGCCCCGCCCTCTCCGTGCGCATCCCTGCACACTCCGGCTCCGGAGGCCGGCCGCGCCCACGTACCTGACCTGCAGCTGGCGCGGTGGGCGGGGGTGCCAGCATGCGACGCACGGGGAGGCTGGAGGCGCGCGGAGAGCGAACGCCGCAATCCGGTCCTGGTCCTGGTCTTCCTGGGAGTCCACGCCGCTGTGTACCGGGCAGGTCTCTCCTACACTCTGCCTTTTCGAGCAGCATTTCCTTACTTTTCCTGGTTCCCGATCCATCCCCTCTCTTTCAGGCTGGCTACCAGCCTTAGCTCTAGGGCCCCCAGTCTGCCCGGTACTGCCGGGCTGTCACCTCTCAGCACGTACCTCCTCCCCCATCCCTACTTTTCTGTCCCTTCCCAATCGCCCAGTCTCTTCCTCCCCTCACCTCCCAACCTCACCCTGAAGACCTCCAGCAACTCCATCCCTGCAGCCCCAACCTCTCAGCTCTCACACTCTCAGCTGCGGCCCTCTAAACCCAGCGTCTGGCCCCCCAACCCAGCGCCAGCCTCTGACCCCTTTCTCCTAGCCCCTAGCCTTGGGTACGCAGCCTTGAGCCTGCCACCGGAAATCCTCACTCTCTTCCCAGGAGAACTGGACAGCTAAAGCGGTTTAACCTATAGGCCCTGGGCCCTGGGCTGGAGACTGACACTGACAAAAACTTAAGGGCGGAGGACCCGGGGGAGCTGCTCATTGGGGTTCGGATGTAGTTGCTCTTCGTTATTTTTAGCTGCTGACTCACAGCTCCTGGCATCCGGGTTTGGGGCTAGCAGGCTGGGCTAGGGGGCTATTAATAGAGCAGGAGCACAGCCCCGACCCAGTTCAGTTTGGAAACACAGAGAGCAAGAAGCGTCCCCTGCCACTATGCCCTGTGGAGATGTGGACTGAGCAGTGGCTGGGCCAGATGCTGTCTGGATGCTAGTTACCTCACCCTGGTATCTCTACCTTGGAACTCTTGAGGGAAACCCCACGAGGAGACTCCTGGGCACAGCTCTCCCCTAAGCTCGCCATGGCTTGGGGCTCTGCCACAATCAAGCTTCTGTTGTACTAGCCGAGAAGGCAGAGATGCGTCCCAAGTGGAAAGATTGTTTTGGTCATGGCCTTGGCCTGCCTGGACCCACTCCTGGGCCAGAATGCTAGGTTACTAGAAGGAAAAGCTATGGATTTCTGGTCCCCCACAGCCTTCATAAGGATGGAGTGCTTCAGCATGGTCCTAACACAGGGGGCACAGAGCTGGGGATCCCCAAACCAGACACAGAGCTCAGAAGCTGCCAGATTCTGTGCTTATCACACCCCCAACCCCGCCATTCTTTTTATTTCTTTCCATTTTGTTGAGCTCTGTCCCAACTCACAGGGATTTACAGACCTCATGATCTCTCCCTTGTCTGGAGAGAAACCGTATTCATGAAAGCCACTGCTTGTCCCCAATGAGGTATGAATGATCCTTTATATATTGTCATTCCCATTGACCTTTTTATTTTAATGGGCTAACGTAAGAGTTTCCTAATGTATACATTGGGAATCGTGAGGAAATCTTGATGGACTGATCAAAATTATTCCCACGCAAGCTCAATTTTCTAGAATTCCCATTGACTAAGGGTGCACACCCACAACAATGCTCCTCCCCTCCTTGCAAATCAGAAACTTCCACCTTCATCGACCCGAGTCTCCAGCCCCCAGATGAAACCACATTTGGGGCAAGAGTGATCGTTTCACCACGCACAATATGGAGGTCACTCAGTGAAGCTCTATTTTCAAGAATGAGCCCAGCTTATCAGACAGACAGCAGCAGACCGCGCGGTCCCAACCCCGTCTACTTGCTGAAGGAGCCGGAGTGGCGGTGGAAGGGGAGATAAATGGTCTCTCTGCTTGAAAATCCGTTCCTGAAGTCCTCCATCGCCTGGTTGCCTAGCAACCAGAGCTGCTTGCAGCGGTGTGGGGCGCTTTTGGTCCGTAGGGGGCGACTGTCTCCCTGGGGTCTCAGGCTGGAGCCCTAGCAGTTGGGAGGGAGGTTCCCTAGTTAAGTGTCACAGTGTCTCAGTGTGGCTGACCTCCTCCCAGCCTTGTCAACCCAGTCCGGTCTGAGCGGCAGGGAGCCTATGGAATGAGGAGAAGCCCACTATGAGTCTGAAGGGATTTTGCTCACAATCATTAAAAATGAAGAGAGAGAGGGTGGGAGGAAGGGAGGAAGGAACCTGTTAAAGGGGATAGGGCAAAAAAGGGGGTAAGGAAGGGGCCTGAGGAGGGTAGTTTGACCCTCTCCATTCAGTCGAGGCTTATCAATGCTTATTTTTCAATCAGAGCAGTTCAGAGGTTGAAAGGAGTCTAGCAATCTCTATTGACAAACTGTTAAGCATATAAAAGACTAGGCTCCTGGGTTACCAGCCTAGCCTAGATTTGGTCATTAAGGAAGATATTCATTCATTCATATGACCATAATTAACACTAACCCACTATGTACCACGTGGTGTGCTAAGTGTCCTACATTTAACCCTCACAAGAACACTGTGATTATTTCCTTTTCACAGATTACAATACCAAGTCTCAGAGAGGTTAAGTAATGTCCAGACTCACAAAAATAGTGACTGGATTGGGTCTGATTGAGCAATCACTGTGTGCCAAGTCTAGGAGTACAGAAAACAATACATTTCTTTTTTCTGTCTAATGAACGCCCAGTCACCCTTTGGGACAAAACTGAAAATATCATCTGCTTTGTGAAACTTTTCTTAAGTCCCCTTCCCCCCAACAAGCAGAACTGATAACTTGCTTTTCTGTACACCCTCCTGAAATACCACTTTTCACAGGTATGGTAATGATCTGCTTCCATATTTCCATTTCTTTCACTTTGAGCACCTTGGTGGCAGGGCCTGTGTTCATCTCCAATTGGACATCTAACAAACATCCCAAACTCAACATGTTCGTTTCTGAACAGCTGACCTTTTCCCCCAAAAATGACCCCTCCTAAAACTGTCCTCATCTCAGTTGATGGCAATTTCACATTTCCAGTTGTCCTGGCAAAAAATCCTTGGAACCACACCTTGTATCCAATCTGTCAGCAAATCCTGTCAGCTCTCCCTTCCAAATACACCCAGAATCCAACCACTTATCATCTCTGGTGCTACCACACTGGTCCAAGGCACAACCACCTCTCAGCTGGATCACTTCAGCAGCTGCCTGACTAGTCTCACTGCTTCCACCCTCGCCCCTGTGGCCTATTCTCTGCAAAGAAGCTATACCAATCCTGCTAAACCCAAGTCACGTCATGCCAGTTCTCTGCACGAAACCCTCCAATGGCACTCCATCTCTCTGAGAGGAAAGCCAAAATCTTTTCAGTGGTCTACAAGGTCCTACACAATCTAGTCCCTTATTCAATCTCTGATCTCGTCTCCTGGCGTTCTCCCCTCCCTTACTCTGTTAAAGCCACTTGATTCTCCTTGCTGTTCCTTGAGCAAGTCGGATGCACTCCTTACCAGGACCTTTGCACTCCTTACCAGGACCTTTGCACTGGCTTCCCCCTGCATGGCTCACTTCCTCACCTCCCTCAATTCTTTGCTGAAATGCCACGTTCTCAGTGAAGCCTACCCTGACCAACCTATTTAAGATTCCCTCTATTTTAATTTCCAGTTTACAGTAAATACAGGGTACAATAGTCCTCCTTTATCCATGGGGAATATGTTCCAAGACCCCCAGTGGATGCCTGAAACAGCAGATAGTACCAAACCCTATATATACTATATTATTCTGAAGTGATAACCAAGATGGCTACTAAGTGACTTATAGGTGGGTAGTGTATGCAGTGTGGATACACTGGACAAAGGGATGATTCACATCCTGGGCGGGATGGAGCAGGACAGCACAAGATTTCATTACATAACGGCATACTATTTAAAACTTATAAATTGTTTATTTCCGGAACTTTCCATTTAATATTTTCAGACTGCAGTTGACCATGGGTAACTGAAACTATGGCAAGTTAAAACCATGAATAAGAGGGAGAGTACTGTATAAAGGAACGAGATAAATGACACCATGAGGAAAAAGACAAATCCAAAACAATTGACTGGCACTCTTCAAAAACTCGATGTAGTTAATTTTTTAAAAAAGATGGAAGACTTCCAGTTATGGACCCAGTTAGAGTAGACACACTTCTCCCTATTCCTCACACTAAGTACAGCTAAAACTCTGGACATTATATATAAGACAAACATAAGAAGACTATGAAAGAAGAGGAAGGGGGCAGACTAACTAGGAACCCCAGTGACCTGAACTCGAGGTGATGAGTTCCCTGGGTTTTCTCGTTGTATCAAATATTCCAGATCAGGTACTGGAGAAGCCAGCAGCCTGGAAATGCCAATGGGCACAGACAAAAAAAATGCAAACACCAGTAACTGGCCTATTCTCTCTAGCCATAAGACCAGGAAATGGAATTTAGCCAGACAGAAAACTCTTAGACAATAACCACCACTGCAACCACACACCACAGAAAAAAAAAAAAAAAAAAAAAACTGCAGCTGCACCCAAGCCAGCAAAGGCCAAGTAGATAACCCAGATTTTCACTCTGGCCAGGCTCCCCCGTACTCTCTGGGGTAGTGTCAGAGAAGGCTGAGTAGAGAGCCTAAACTTCCATCCCTGAGGGGTAACAAGAACCCCTTCCTGTTGGGTGGTGTCAGTGTCAGAGAAGCCTGGTGGTGAGTCAGGACTTTTACCACAACATATCATTTGATGAGGCCATTAGCCTCCCTCTCCTCCCCTCCCAAAATCTCTCCACCTCCTGACTGTGGTGTTAGTGGAAGCCCACCTGGGGAACAGTAAAAAGGCACTTCTGCCCCTTCCAGCTAGAGAGGCATCAGTAGAGGCATAGTAGGGAGCTGGAATTTTTACCCCTGCACAGTAGAAAGGAGAAGCCTCCACCACACATACCAACCAAGACCAAGGAGGGAAATTGAACTTGAACCTCTACCCGGCAGTAACCAGGCAGTGGCCCTTTCCTCTGATGAAAATCGTGTCAGAAGAAGCCTACCAGAAACAAAAGATGTAAATGAAATCCAGAGTCTCATACTGTAATATCCAAAAATTCCCAGGATGCAATAAAAATCACTCTATATCTAAGCCCAGCACCTATAGTCCCAGTTATTCAGGAGGCTGAGTTGGGAGAATCACTTGAGCCCAGGAGTTCAAGGTCAGCTTGGGCAACATAGTGAGACCCTGTGTCCTTTTTTTTTTTTTTTTTTGAGACGGAGTCTTGCTCTGTCGCCCAGGCTGGAGTCAGTGGCGCAATATTGGCTCACCGCAACCTCCGCCTCCCGGGTTCAAGCGATTCTCCTGCCTCAGCCTGCTGAGTAGCTGGGACTACAGGCACCCGCCACCACGCCCAGGCAATTTTTGTATTTTTAGTAGAGACAGGTTTCACCATATTGACTAGGCTAGTCTCGAACTCCTGACCTTGTGATCCACCCGCCTCGGCCTCCCAAAGTGCTGGGATTACAGGTGTGAGCCACTGCGCCCAGCCGACCCTGTGTCTTAAAAAAAAAAAAAATTCACTCATTATACCAAGAACCAGGAGACCCTCAATTTGAATGAGAAAGAGAAAGATTTCAACTACCTGACAAAGATTCTAAAGTGGCCAACATTAAAAAAAATGCTTCTATGAGCAATCTATGAGCAATTACAAACAAGGTTAAAACGAATGTAAAAAATAGTAAGTCTTGGCAAAGAAATAAGAGATATAATGAAGAATCAAATAAAATTTTAGAACAAACTATAATAACCAAACTAAAAAACTCAGTAGATGAGCTCAAAAGGAGGATGGAGAGGACAGAGGAAAGAATCAGTGAACATAAAGATAGAACATTAGAAATTACCCAATCTGAACAACAATGAGAAAATAATAGACAAAAAATAAATGAACAGAGCTGGGCACAGTGGCTCACGCCTGTAATCCCAGCACTTTGGGAGGCTGAGGTGGGCAGATCACTTGAGCCCAGGAGTTCAAGACCAGCTTGGGCAACATGGCGAAACCCTGTCTCTATTAAAAATACAAAAATTAGCTGGATGTGGTGATGCACACCTGTAGTCCCAGCTACTCAGGGGGCTGAGGTGGGAGGATCACCTGAGCTTGGGAGATCGGGGCTGCAGTAAGCTGTGATTGTGCCACTACATTCTAGCTTGGGTGACAAAATGAAACAGAGTCTCAAAGAAAAAAAAATGAACAGAGCCTCAGGGATGCTTGGGACTATAACGAAGGACTTAACATTCACATAATTGGAGATGTGGAAGAAGAAGAGAAAGAGCATGGGGCTAAAAAAAATTACTCAAGAAATAATGGCTGAAAATTTGGCAAAAGACATAAATGAACAGGTTCAAGAGGTTGAACAAACCCCAAATAGGATAAACTCAAATTCACCCCAAGGCACATCATAATCAAACTTCTGAAAACTGAAGATGGGAAACTTGAAAGCAGCAAGAGAGAAACAACACCTTACCTACATAGGAAAAGGAATTCAAATGTGGCCAGGTACAGTGGCTAACACCTGTAATTCCAATACTTTGGGAGGCCAAGGTGGGAGGATAACCCAAGGCCAGGAGTTTGAGACCAGCCTGGGCAACATAATGAGACCTCGTCTCTACTAAAAATAAAAAAATTAACCAGGAGTGGTGTGCGCCTATAGTCCCACCTACTGAGGAGCCTGCTTGGGAGACTGAGGCAGGAGGATCACTTTGAGGCCAGGAGTTTCAAGGCTGCAGTGAACTATGGTCACACCACTGCACTCCAGCATGCTATATCTGGTGAAAATATCCTTCAGGAATGAGGGGGAAATCAAGACATTCTCAGACAAAGGAAAGCTAAGATAATTTGTTGCCAGCAGACAAAGAATGGCTAAAGGAAGTTATCAAAACTTACAGATGAATAATGGAACCATTTACATGTAATGAAACTTACATGTAAATGGTTCAGAAAAAGGGATAGATAGATAGATAGATAGATAGATAGATAGATAGAGCATTAACTGGGCATGGTGGCACACACCTGTGGTCCCAGCCACTTGTGAGGCTGAGGTGGGAGGATTGCTTGAGCCCGGGAGTTTGAGGTTGCAGTGAGCCATGATCACGCCACTGCACTCTAACCTGAGTGAGTGAGCAAGACCTACTCTTTAAAAAATATAGATAGATGGATAGATACATAGATACATAGACAGAGCAAATATAACAATCAAAACAAGTCAAATTGTCGACTTGATAAGGAAGGCATACAGTGGTGTCCATTGTACTACTCTTCCAATATTTTTGTATGTTTGTAAATTTTCATTTTTAAAACTGTTGGAGAGGATATGTGGAGGATAGATATATGATAAAGCAAGCATAGCAAAATGTTAATGAGAATCCTAGGCAGTGGGTAATTGGATGTTCACTGTAAAATTCTTTGAATTTTTCTGTATGTTTGAAAACTTTCATATTAAACTGTGGGGGCAAAAAACTTGAAAAAAAAATCACAACTTGGTATCCTCCCCTACCATTCCCAATCCATCTTACTGTGCTCTACTTTTTATTTTTTTCCATGGCACTTATCACCATATACACAGCAGGTGTATATGCTGAATAATGTTGTTTTCTTCAACATCATTTTGTTTTAACATTGATGAGGGGGAAAAAAAAACAACTAAAACGATTCCTGGCCAGAGCCACTGTCTGTGTGGAGTTTGCACACTCTCCCCATGTATGTGTGGGTTTTCTCGGGTATTCCAGGGTACTGCGCTTCCTCCCACATCCCAGTGCACGTTAGGTGAATTGGCGTGTCTAAATTGTCCCAGTGTGAGTGAGTGTGGGTGTGTATGTGAGCGCACCCTGTGATGGAATGGCATCCTGTCCAGGATTGGTTCCTGCCCTGTACCCTGAGCTGCTGTGATAGGCTGTGGCCACCCTTGACCCTGAACTGAAATAAGCAGATTGAAAAATGAATGAATGGATGGATGGATGGATGGATGGATGGATACAAAGTACTGTAAAATAAAAATTTGTCAAGTAGTTGATAATCATACAAATGCACAATAAACTATGAGGTAAGAAAGTGCTCATCGAGCTCACCATATTCGTGATTGTTTGCTTTTGAACTGCATGGTGGTAGGGAGGTGCTCCTTACAATTTTCGCTTTGCATACATTTATTCCTTGATTCAACCCACCACCACTTCCACTGCTGTCACTCACTGGTTCACCAAAGGTTAGGTAATTATTTACTTGTTTTCATTAATCTTTCTATATGTATGCATAGCTCATATTTATTTCAATGTTCAATATCAGAAGTGTTTTGGGTCTTTATTTGGAAGCTGGGTGATGTTTTGTGACCAGAAATATGCTGTAGGAACTTAGCTCTTGTTTATATTAATTAGCCTGTGGTAAAATTGGTTTTGTTATACGTTGTTTCACTTAGTCCCAGTTGCCAAGGACCTACCAATGATGTTAAATGAGGACCTACTGTACTACATAATTCACTTATTTATTGTGTTTATTTTTGTCTGTGTCCTCTCACTAGGAGGTAAGCTCCCCAAGGGCAGGGATTTGTTCTGTTTGTTCTGTTTTATTTTGTTTCCTGCTATATCCCCAAATCCTACAACAGTGTCTGGCACACAGCAAGTGTTCCACGCATATTTGTTGAATTAAGAATGAATCTCTGAGGGCCGGGCACAGTGGATCACACCTGCAATCCCAGCACTTTGGGAGGCCAAGGTGGGTGGATCACTTGACGTCGGGAGTTCGAGACCAGCCTGGCCAACGTGATGAAACCCCATCTCTACTAAGAAAATACAAAAATTAGCCGGGCGTGGTGGCAGGAGCCTGTAGTCCTAGCTACTAGGGAGACTGAGAGGCAGGAGAATCGTTTGAACCTGGGAAGCTGAGGTTGCAGTGAGCTGAGATCACGCCACTGCACTCCAGCCTGGGTGACAGAATGAGAATCCATCTCAAAAAAAAAAAAAAAAAAAAAAAAGAACCTCTGTATCCCTAATACCTAGGTCAAGGTCTTGCACAGAGCAGGTGCTCAATGAATATTTGCTGAATTGAACTGAGATGTAAATTCTGCAGGAGAACTTAGAATAGACCTGTCGTACTAGAGTGGTTCACAGCGTGGACTCTGGAGTCAAATAATCAGGATTTGCATCCTGATTCTGTCACTTCCAGCTGTGTTACCTAGCTGTGTTAACATCTTTGAGCCTCAATTTCTCATTGGTAAAATGAAGATAATAATAGCATCAGCTTGGTAGGATTTGGGTTTGCGTGTTATGCACTTAGGACTTTGTAAAGACCCAATAATTGGTAGCTAAAAACAAAACAAGAACTGCAAAAAAGATAGTCTTTCTTGTATGTCATCCTTCCTCCATTCCCCCGACAAGCTGAGCCAGGAGAGGGTAAGGAGATGTCCTTGGACAAGTATTCCTAAGCTCTATTCCAGACCCATAGAAGGGTTTCTCTCTCTTCAAATCCCTTCTTACCTTTTCACCTGTCCTGGACTTTCATCTTGATATCCTGAAGTTCCTTCCCCCATCATAACCATGCAGGGGTGGAGTGGAGGAGATAGGGGTTTGTGGGCCAGGGACAAGGACTTAGAGCTTTCTGTTAATCCCTGTTCTAGGGTTGAGTTCTTTACTGGTGATGGTAGAAGGTCAAGTGTGAGGTCACAGTAATTTCAGGGCCTAGAGACTGAGAGAACAATAGTCTTGTGTAGGAGGCATTGACAGGACAGCGGGCCTCATATGCTGCCTTCTTCTTTGGTCCCCTGTAAGAGAAAGCACCTCCCTCACCCTGCTCCAACGTCCTTTCTGTCCATCCTGCTACCTCGTCTTTACTTCTGGTGGCCCCAGCTCAGAGCAAGCCTGGGGACCCATTGAACATCTCCCTGCAACTCCCTCTTGGAAGTGGGGTGGGGTGGAGTGGGCAGAGGACAGGCTAAAACTGGCGATATAAGGGCACAAGATCGGGTGCCTGAGCTTTCTGGTGGCCCACGTCCTCTGCCCCCGCCCTTAGAGCCAACAGTTCCCTAGAGATTGGGGGAGCTGGGGCTGAGCCTGGGGGCGCCGCTGCCTCTGTTCCTTTAAGTAGCCGCTGTTTAGCATTCCTGCCGCCGCCGCTGCCGCTGCCGCTGCCTGCCTCTGCGCGCTGATTGGCTGGAATCAACTGAGAAGGGAGCCAGGGAGAGATGCTCTTGACTCCACTCAGATCCATCCTGGGGACCAGAGCAGAAGCGGTCCTCACAGCACCCATTCTCTGCTTGAGCTCCCGCTTCTTCTTTGCCGCTGGGCCTCGGCCCAGAAGCCACGACGGGCGACACGGAGCCGCCAGTGCTGGAGGGGGAGCCGTGGGTGCGGGGCAGCGTGGGGGCCGAGGCCCCGGGACGCCCGCCCGGCCCCAGGCCCCGCTCAGCCCGGGCGCCCCCACGGGTGCCCCCCCCTTCTTGGTCCGAGCAGTGTGAGTGTGCCAGGGAGCCCGGCGGCGGCGGCGGCGGTGGTGGCGGCGGTGGCGGCGGCGTGGAATCCGGCGTGGGCTGGGGGGTCCGAGCCGCGGGGGGCAGTGCCATGCACAAGCACCAGCACTGCTGTAAGTGCCCTGAGTGCTATGAGGTGACCCGCCTGGCCGCCCTGCGGCGCCTCGAGCCTCCGGGCTACGGCGACTGGCAAGTCCCCGACCCTTACGGGCCAGGTGGGGGCAACGGCGCCAGCGCGGGTTATGGGGGCTACAGCTCGCAGACCTTGCCCTCGCAGGCGGGGGCCACCCCCACCCCTCGCACCAAGGCCAAGCTCATCCCCACCGGCCGGGATGTGGGGCCGGTGCCTCCTAAGCCAGTCCCGGGCAAGAGCACCCCCAAACTCAACGGCAGCGGCCCCAGCTGGTGGCCAGAGTGCACCTGTACCAACCGGGACTGGTATGAGCAGGTATGGACCAGCGGAGGGGGGAGCGGTGGGGCAACCCAGGAGGGCTGGAGAGTGGGGGCCTAGAGGCCTGGGATGCAGTAGGGGTCGCTGGGGCTCCAAGCCTGTGGACCCCGAGCCCTAGCATTGCAGCTGGGCAAAGAGAGGCGGTGGGAAATGTGTGGTTCCCTGTGTGTGTCTGTTTGGGGGTCTCCATTAGAAGACTGGGAGGAGCCGTGTGTCAGGGGGTAAGGGCATGGCGGAGGGGCACATTTTCCTGTGTGGGGGAATTGGGTTTGTCTCAGTGTGGGGGTTTGGCAATGTCTCTGTGTCTGGCAGGGGGCGGGAGGTTCTGCGGGGGCTGTGTGTGGTGTGTGTCTCCACCGGAGGGGAGGGGAGGGGGCATGGTGCTCTGCGTAGGGGGGACATATGTGTGTGTATGTATGTTGGGGTGTGTGGAGGAAGGCAATGGAGCTGCCGTGAATCCGTGTGGAGGAGCCCATGTGCCCGGCTCGCTGAGCTTCATCCCTTGATGCCATGAGTCCCTCTCCGTCCCAGTCCCTTTGTGTGTGAATGTGCACATGGATGTGTGGAGATGTCACTCTGAATGTGGAGAGGTCTCTGTAGAGGAGGCTGCAGGGATGGCTGTGTTTGTGTGTGTGGCTACATGTATATGTGTGTGAGCATGTGGCTGCAAGAGTGTGCACGCGTGTGCCTGGTGTGTGTGTGTGAGTGTGTGTTTGTATGTGTTGTCTCTGGTGAGAGGCGCTTGACAGGCAAGGGAGGGGAGAGGAAGGAGGCGAGAGACATGTCCCAAGCAAGGCTGAGAGGCTGCTGAGAAGGACGGACTCTTTTGTCCAAGCAGCTCTGTAGTGTGTGTGCCGGGGTGGGGTGGCGGGGGGCGGGGGGAGATTTGAAGGAACTGAAGCAAGCCTCCTCGCTCTAGAGCAGGCATGGTGCCTGGAGCCGGCAAGGGGCAGCTGCCCTGGTGCAGAGACTGGCCCCA
Organism: Homo sapiens; assembly: GCF_000001405.40. Classification (NCBI taxonomy): domain Eukaryota; kingdom Metazoa; phylum Chordata; class Mammalia; order Primates; family Hominidae; genus Homo; species Homo sapiens. Next base: position 70,446,541 of record NC_000023.11, read on the forward strand.
GTGGGGCATGTCCCCCTTGGGTACCTCCAGATGTGAGAGGGCTTAGCCCCCCAGCCCTGACTTGGCACAGCTTGGGAGCCCCTGGGTGCTGGGCACAACTCCGGCTTCCACTCCCAGCCTAAACTGCCAGCTTAGAAAATGGAAGGAGCATCTGTGGGAGAAGCAGCAAAATGGAGGCTGGGCTGGCAGAGCCAGGTCCCTGGCACGCAAGGCGGAGGGCCTGTCTGGTTATCCGGCTCTGCAGCTCCTAGGGTGGGGAGAGAGGAAGAGGAGGCTTTGCTGTCGAGGGCAGGTGATGACTTCCCCAAGCTGGTGACCGTTCTGGCTGCCTCTGTCCTCTGGGGATAGGATGTGCTCTCACTCAGAGGCAAAGGTGGGGACTTCCTGGGGAGAAGAGCCCTCAGTTCTGGCCTTCTGTCTGTCCACACTTACTGCTTTCCCACATCCCTTGCCTTGGCCTCTTGCCCTTTCCAGCGAGTCCCTCTCTCTCCTTTGCCCCCTCTCTGTCCTGGAGGCCTTTCTCTCGCAAACACCCTCTTATGCTTGTCCTGCCCGGCTGGGAGACAGGTGGCAATCCCAGGCTGGGCCAGTTGGCCAAGGTTTCTTTGCCAGGGCTGATCCCTGGATGGCTCCTGGCCCTGAGAACAAGGTCCTTGAGTAGGGGTGGGGGCTAGAGCGTGGACCACTGGGAACGGGAAGCCTCTGGGTACCACTGGGGCTGGGCTTGAGGCATGGCTTGTCACATGTGGGCACACATGGTACACCAAATGCACACAAGAGCCACATGGGTGTCCCTTTGCTTATGTGTCTGTTGCATGGTACTTAAGGCAGCTGTGTTGGTTTCGGGTCTCTAAGGAGCCTTCAGTTCTTCTTCCTGGGGTCACAGACCAGGGTAAGGCTGTAGCTGGAGTCCTCCCACCAACTCCCACAGCTGCAGAGCCAGCCCAGAAATGGTGGAGGCATGATGAGCTAGTCCTCTCTCCCTCTCCTCCTCTCTGCTTCTTGAAGCCAAAGCTGTGTGGGGTGGAGGTGGGACGGGGGAAGCACAGCAGGACATGTGGAGGAGCCCCCACCCTGGTTTCCAGCTCCCCACTTCTGAGGAGGAGGCTAGAGGTCAGGGAAGGGACAACATAGCCAGAGAAAGGTGGGGGAGGGGTGCCAGGGTACCTGGGGAGACAGGCAAGAGGGCTTCTCCATTCTTGGAGGTGAAAGTGGGAGCCAGCAGGCAGGTGCTGCTTGTATGTCCAGAATCACATTTTCACTTGACAAATAGATACACACATGTCCTGTCTGGGAGGCCATCTCTGTGGGTTGGCCAAATCACCCCTGTGTTTCTGACCCCTTCCCTTGCCTCTTCTTGCATGGCTACTACATATTGAAAACCATGGACTCTGCTGCCAATCAGCCTGTGGGTCACCAACTTCTCCCTCATGGGGAATCTTGTCTACCCTGCTCCAGTCCCACCCGTGGCTTTGTCTCTGACTCCTGACCAGATCCCACCCTCGCCCTTTCTGCTGGGAAAAACAAAGGGCTCAGAATCAAAAATCCTTTGGTAGAAAATGGATTAGGACTTTGACTCCTTCTGCCTATTTGAGGAATTGGGTTCCTGGAGTCCAAGAAAGAGGTATAGAGTGAAGACTCACGAGGTGCTCCAAAGTGGGGCAACTGTCCTTTTTCCCATGAGCTCTGCTGGGGTACGGGGATGAGTGACCAAAACATCAGTGGCCTTAAGAGCTTACTGTAATCAAAAGAACACCTGGATATCCTATTGCTCTGTCACTAATTCCCAGTGTGCCCTTAGGCACATCCCATGTCTTCTCTGGGCCTCCGTGTCACCTACTGTCACATAAAGGGGATAGGACAAGATGATGTCTGCTGTCCTTCCAGTTCGGACACAGTGGGAGTCTATGATCCCCCAGTCAGGGAGAACTGTGGTTCAGAAGGGGAAGGGTTATCTGTCTAGGCCACTGGGTATCCCCTATGGACACTGGGTGTGGCATGGTTTGCCTGCCATGCTCCATCTCTGCCATCCCCCTTAGGCCAGGCCTGCACCCCTCCTAGTGAACCCTGAGACACTGAAGCACAGCCTCTCGGTGAGTGCACCACTGGCTGGCTCAGTCTCAGACAATTGATCTGGGCTAAATGAGCAGCTTGGTTTGGGCTGATATGGTTGGAAGCAAAGCAGGGATTGGTGGGGTGAGTGAGGAGCGGCCTCTTCCAGGTCAGCCTGTCCTCATCTGTGGCCAAGAGGTGACCTGGGGTGCACTTGGGCTCTTCTACTCTGTGGGAGTAGGGGAGGAGGCAGGTTGACTAAGGGGCAGATGGCTGGAAGGGCAGGGGGCACTAAGGGAACTGCCTGTGTCTCCCCCTAGGTGAATGGCAGTGATGGCATGTTCAAATATGAGGAAATCGTACTTGAGAGGGTGAGTCTGCCAGTGGGGAAAAGCGGAAAGGGAAGGAGAGGGTTGGAGCCAGGATAAGGGAGACCCCTGAATCATGGTTTCAAGACCCATGGGGGGACCTGCATTTAGAGGATGGTGAAACAGCGGCCCTCAGAGGCTGCTTCACTGCATCAATCAATCAACCCACTAACAAATATTAATTGACCTTGCTCACTGAGGCCTGGGGAATTGGGGAGGGGATGGGTTTCCCAAAATGATCAGCAGAGGCTGGGTGTCTGACAAATGTGCCCAGCCTGCCATGGCCCCTTCTGAGGCCTGGAGAACTAGCTCTGGGATATAAGGGGAGATGAGGTACCCAGAACTCTCCTTTGTGCCCTCAGAGTGAACAGACTGTGCCTTTCCACCCACTTCTGCAGGGCAACTCTGGCCTGGGCTTCAGTATCGCAGGTGGCATCGACAATCCCCATGTCCCTGATGACCCTGGCATCTTTATTACCAAGATTATCCCTGGTGGAGCAGCTGCCATGGATGGGAGGCTGGGGTGAGATGGCCTGGAAGCAGGGTTGTGGGTGGCAGGGACAGGATCGAGATGAGGGGAGGAAAGCCTGCCTGGCAGGATGACCCTTCCATTAGATCTGAGGGCGGGGTGGGAGGGCAGAGGAGGGGAGGACAGAGAAGTGGGAGGAAGCAGGAGAGGGGGTGGAGGGGTAGGGGCACAGTGTCATGCCTCTCGGGCTTCCCCCACAGGGTGAATGACTGTGTGCTGCGGGTGAATGAGGTGGACGTGTCGGAGGTGGTACACAGCCGGGCGGTGGAGGCGCTGAAGGAGGCAGGCCCTGTGGTGCGATTGGTGGTGCGGAGGCGACAGCCTCCACCCGAGACCATCATGGAGGTCAACCTGCTCAAAGGGCCCAAAGGTGCGGCCCTCCAGGTTCCTGTGCTCCAGCCAGAGCCTTAGGCCCCAGATCCCATCTTGCCCCATAGGGAATTGGAAGGGAATGGCCTTACTCCTTGCCTGACTCCCCCTGTTCCAACTCACAGCCTACTTTTTTGACCTCAGGCCTCACCCTTACTCATCTCAGGATGGCAGCTTAGCGTTTGGATCCCCCGGGGGGAGCTCCTGTGGGGCCAGTGGGTTGGCTGGGGGAGGGGGTTTGGATTTGGGATCGACAACACTTTAACCTCTCCTTGTGGCCCTCTCCCACCTCCTGCTGGCTCCCGCTCAGGCCTGGGTTTCAGCATTGCTGGGGGTATTGGCAACCAGCACATCCCAGGAGACAACAGCATCTACATCACCAAGATCATTGAGGGGGGTGCTGCTCAGAAGGATGGACGCCTACAGATTGGGGACCGGCTGCTGGCGGTGAGACAGACTTCATGGGGATGCCCAAATGGTAGGGTAGGGAGGAGGAGCTCCAGTACCCCTTACTCCGCCTAAACCTCACTCAGGGATGAGGCATCATGGGGGAATTTCAAGAGTTATCATCTGTGTTGTGTTTGCCCAGATACAAAGGCCCTAATTCTTTCTGTGGCCAGGGTCTTGCCCTATCCCCTACCTCCTGCCTCTGCTCCTCACAGCACTATACTTGGGCCTTTGTTAGCATGCTGTTGAATTTCACTGAAAAGGCATCCCTCGAGTTCCCTGGAGAAGCCTCTCCTTCTTCCAAGTCCCAGCCTGAGGCCTCTCCTCTTCTAGGTGAACAACACCAATCTGCAGGATGTGAGGCACGAGGAAGCTGTGGCCTCACTGAAGAACACATCTGATATGGTGTATTTGAAGGTGGCCAAGCCAGGCAGCCTCCACCTCAACGACATGTACGCTCCCCCTGACTACGCCAGCAGTACGTACTCATCAGCCCCTGTCCCTGGTCTAAAGCTCTGTCCCCTGGTTTCTGGAGGGGAAGAAGTTCATACCCTTTGTTAAGAGAGGGCAAGCAGCTTTGCTCAGTGGTGGCACTGTAGCAGCCAATAAGGTTTATCTGAGGCGCCATTATTGCTAATTGAAAACTTTGCTCAGTACCCCATCGTGAAGACTTGCCATAGAGTCAGCATTGGCAATTTTTGACAATTTCTATGGAGAGTGAATTTTAAAAAGAGGAGAGAGAGAAGCCGCAGAGGATAGTGCACAGAACTGAGTCCAGATCCCAGTTCTGTCTTTGTTTTTTTGTTTGTTTGTTTGAGACGGAGTCTTGCTCTGTCGCCAGGCTGGAGTGCAGTGGCACGATGTCAGCTCACTGCGAACTCCACCTCCTGGGTTCAAGCAATTCTCCTGCCTCAGCCTCCCGAGTAGCTGGGATTACAGGTGCCTGCCACCATGCCTGGCTAATTTTTTGTATTTTTAGTAGAGACGGGGTTTCTCCATGTTGGCAAGGATGGTCTCGATCTCCTGACCTCGTGATCCACCCACCTCGGCCTCCCAAAGTGCTGGGATTACAGGCTTGAGCCACCGTGCCTGGCCCCCAGCTCTGTCCCTTAGAGCTGGGTGCCCTTAGACAAGTCCCTTTCACCTGTTTTTTGTTTCCTCTTTGGCAAAAGGGAGCTAATGATGTATGTGCTGCCTTCCTCATAGGACTGCTGCAAGGATCAAATGAGATCATGGATGAGAAAACCCTTGGAAAACTGTATTAGGCTATAGAGATGTGAGGGATTATTATTAGTCACACCTCTAGTCATGCCTTTCTTTGTAGACTGCCTTGACTTCAGCTCTTTCTAAGACTCACAGGAGTGAGCCAAGGATTTAGAAAGGGACTGCGGAGGAGGAACCCTGGGTGGCGGGTGGATGGAGTGGGGAGGTGCGGCCTGAGGAATCAGCATCCCTTGGTCTCTTTTGCATCTGAAGTGGGGTGTGGGGGAAAGTCCTTGAGGAGTTTGGGGTACCTCCCTGGACCAGTCTCTGAACTTTTCTCTCCCTTTCTTGATTCCAGCTTTTACTGCCTTGGCTGACAACCACATAAGCCATAATTCCAGCCTGGGTTATCTCGGGGCTGTGGAGAGCAAGGTCAGCTACCCTGCTCCTCCTCAGGTTCCCCCCACCCGCTACTCTCCTATTCCCAGGCACATGCTGGCTGAGGAGGACTTCACCAGGTAAGACCCCGCCCCCAACATCCCATTCAATCTACCCAGAAATTGGGGAGGGGAGGAATCCGTTTCTGGCCGGCCACAGGCTCCTTGTAGTATGGCAAAGAAGAGGATAAGGCCCTCATCACTCCCGGCTTTGGGGTCCGAGGCCCTCTCTCAGGCCTTGGGGACCTAGAGAGGGACAGAAGTGGCTGCAGGGACAAGCTCTACCATCAGGGGGAGTGCCGAGTGAGTGGCCCCGGTCCAAAAGTGCAGATAAAGAAAGGATGGGGTGGAGCGTTTAGGGGGCTGAGGAGGCGAGGGCAGCGGAGTTTCCTGCCCTGAGATAGTTGCAGCCCGCTCTGCTGCAACCATTTCAAATTAGAGAAGAAAGCAGTTCAGCCGGTGGGGCTGGCGGGACTCTGACCGGCCCGGTGGCCTCGCCGGCAACGGCCCCGCCCCGCTGGCGGCAGCGGCGGCGGCAGCGGCTGCGCGGGGCCTGGAACTGGTCGGGCCGGCTGGGGTTCCGGGGGACAGGTTTGCAGGGTGGGGCCCGAGAGGCTGGCGGGCAGGCAGCAGTGGAGCCGGAAGGGTAGGCAGCCAGGGGAGAGAGAGAGGAGCTATGGAGAGGGCCCGCAAGTTCTCGGGCTCCGGCTTGGCCATGGGCTTGGGCTCCGCCTCCGCTTCGGCCTGGAGGAGGGCTTCGCAGAGGTGGGCCTGGCCGCTCCGCTCCCTGCGGCCCGGAGGGGATGCCAGGTAGGAGTGGAGGGCTAGGAGCAAGAGCATCCGGGACTCAGGGAGGGAGTCTCGCCCCTGAGACTGGGAGCAAGAAAGGAAGAGTCTTGCGTGGGGCTTTGGGCTCCTCCGAGGAAAGATGCTTGTAACAAGTGAAGGCGGTGGGCCGGGAACGTGCCCTGGGAGTTGGGCGGATGACACTGTGACCTTTTACAGAGGGCTTCCTTAGATGTGGTTAGTTTTATTCGCATTTCTCATGTGCTTGTCTGCTCTCTTCAGTTTGGATTCTAAACTCCTTTTGGGGACCTGGGATCCCCCTAAGAACCCAGGCGCTGCAACCCCCTGGGGCTACATAGTGTTAGCTGCTGATTAAATATGTTGTTGGGGCAGCAGGTAGGAGGGGTCATAGTTGATGGGTGAGATTTTGAGACTGCAGAAGAGTGTCTGTGAAGTAAGTGTGCACATCCTGTGGATGATGAGTGCAGTCAACCCCAGGGTGACTCCACTGCCCCTAACTGCTTCCTCTTCTTGTGGTCCAGGGTCCATCACACGGGTTGGTAGGATAGGAGAATCTGGGAAGGAAGAGGACCAGTGAGTGGGCCTGAGATTTGGTCTCTGGAGTTCAGGGTAGGGATTTGTTCACCCGAGAGAGTAGGGGACTGTCCACTGGGAAGTTGACTGCAAGCCCTCGGGAAGAAGGGAGGGAAGAGGAACTGAAACTTGGCACCTGACAGAACAGCAGCCAAGCAGGTTTCAGGAGACAAAGGGAGGCTCAGGGTATCATACATAGGGAACCACGTCCTTACTCCCTACAGCAAGTATGGACCTTGTTCCAGGCTGGCCCTCAAAGGACAACAGTCCATATCTACCTAGTCCTGACTCCTCCACTCCTTTCCCACCAGAGAGCCTCGCAAGATCATCCTGCACAAAGGCTCCACAGGCCTGGGCTTCAACATCGTAGGAGGAGAGGATGGAGAAGGCATTTTTGTCTCCTTCATCCTGGCAGGAGGCCCAGCTGACCTGAGTGGGGAGCTGCGCAGGGGAGACCGGATCTTATCGGTGAGGAGACAAAGGAGAGGTGGGAGGATGGGAACTGTGCCAGTCTAAAATGGAGAGCGAGAGACCTTACTTCCTCCGAGGAATGCTTCTTGAGATGAAGGGAGGGCTAAGGACTGGAGAAAACTTCTCTTGTTTTTATAGACATCCTTAGTGACAGGGACCGGGACTAGACTTATCTTTGAAGAGGAAATGAATGCCTATTGGATCTTAACCCTGATTGGCATTTGACCTTTATGAAGATAATTGTTACACTAGAGATGTCGTATCCTTTAGGCCTTGTTTTAGGGGCAAGGTTGGAATATTGGGAAAGGCATCTAAACAGGCTTAGGGGTGGGGTACCCATCTCCCTCTCCTAACTGCTAATGCAGAGGACCCTCTTTCTTGCTTTTGGGGTGGCTCACAGCTTCTCTCTTTGGACAGGTGAATGGAGTGAATCTGAGGAATGCAACTCATGAGCAGGCTGCAGCTGCTCTGAAACGGGCCGGCCAGTCAGTCACCATTGTGGCCCAGTACAGACCTGAAGGTAGGAGAAGGGAAGGTGGGAAGAGATGATGTGGGGGAGTTAGACTTATATTATGTGTTGGCTTTTTGCCATCCTAGGTAACAAAGCCACTTGACCAGGTCCCTTCTACCTAGAGCAGTAACCTCTTCCTCTCTCCTTTTCCTGCTGGGTAGGGGTTGGTTTGGGCGGCTTGAAAGCATCAATTAAGGCTGTGCTCAGAGCCTGCTGATGTGGGCTGCAGTGCAGGAGAAGGCCAGTAGTGGGCAGCAGCCTACTGGAAGCAGCATCCAAAGATTAGGGCGACTGGAAAAAGGGGAGGGGGCGGAGGGCCCACAGGAGAAGACTGGGAACTGTGTGCCCTGGAAGAGGAGAGCAGCTCTTGGTTAGAAGGACCTCAGGTAGAAGAGATCCGACCTCTTAAGAGATCTTGGGCCAAACCTCTGTGACCCCCACTCCCCTCCCCTCATCAAGATGACCGTGAAAGACCCATAAACGCGCTGAAAAGGTGATACTATGCCCTTGGGATAGGCCAACTGGAGTCGACTCCCTCCCCTCCGGGGGGCCTTCTTTGTATTCTCAGTGAGCAGTCCTTGGCTGGGGCGAATGGGCGGGGCTGGTCATGCAAATAAAGGCGTTTGATTGGCTGGGGCCAACCGAGGCCCAGGTGCCGAGGTGAGCCGCGGGAAGGCGCGCCCTAGCCTGCGGGCCAGTGGAGTGGCCATTGGCCGGCTGAGGGCGGCCTCCAGCCGCATGCCCCGCCCCCTGACCCAGGAGGAGGGCGGCAGGCGCCCCTCCTTCCCCCCATCGCGCGCCTCAGGCGTCTCCTCCTCCTCCCTCCTTCCCCCTCCTCTCTCCTCCCCTCCTCCCGCGCGCCCCGCTTTGTGTCCGTGGTCTCCCGCGCGGGACGGAGGGACTGGCCGGAGCTGGCGCTTTCTCAGCACTAGATCTGGACTCCGACCCGGCGCCAGGTGAGGTGGGGCGGACGGGGGTCAGGCCCCCTCGCAGTCCCCCCTAACCTCTCTACGGCTCTGTTCTCAGCCTCTTTTCCAACACTGCGTGCCCCAATTCTGCCCTCTCCCTCGAATGCCTTCGTTGCGTGCCCCCAGGCTCCTTCTGAGACCCTCCTCAGGGCCCCTCGGAGCGCCGCGCGGGGCTCAGCGCCCCCTCACCCTACACTGGGCCCAGTCTGGCCTTCACCTCTTAGCCATCACCTCTCCCCCACAGCGAGCTGTGCCCCCTTCTCACCCCAGGGCCTCTGTCCTGCCTCAGCCCCCTTCCTGCTGGCTGCTGCGCCCCCAAGCAGCTCCCTAATCCCTTGCCCTAGAGGAATTTTCTAAATCTTCCCCTCCCCCGACACCCATTTCTCCACCCAACCTGTCCACCTCTGAGAACAGCCGCGACCGGCTTGGTATTCTGCCCCCTCCCTTTTGTTTGCAAGGGATTCGTACCATTCCCGACTTCTTTCGCCTCCTCCTCCCCTTTGTCCCCTAGGGCTGCAGCGCCTGGGCTCCTGGGACACCTAGGCCCTGTGGGCCGATTACTAAGGTGGAAGGGACCGACCTCTCCCTGGCAGGTGCTCTATTTCCGCGATGAGAGGGGGAGAGGCTGGGAGCCCCGTCGCCAAGCCGAAAGGGATGGAAAGCGCCTACCTTTGTCCTTTCCGTTCCCCTCCCCCCATGCTCCTTCAGTGCCTCAAGATCCTGAAGGGAAAGAAGAGAGAGCCTGCGACCTTTTCCACGAGGCTCTTCTGATCGAGGACAGAAGTGCAGGGAGGTAACTCACAGGAGAGAGAGCTTGTTGGTCTGAGGTAATGAGAAAGAGGGATGCAAATGGACACTTTGAGTCATTTCTCTCCTTGTTTGGTTTTCAGCTTACTGATCAGGAACGCACCTTAGGGATATTGTTTTTTTATGATTTATGTGTGTGCTGTTCGCTTTCCAGTACAGAGCTAACCGTCTGATTTTTATTAGCAACTAATATTTGTGCATTTCATGCCCACAACTTAGACAACACAGGTTCTGCAAAGGAAATGGTTTTTCTTGCGTATTTGTGTGTGTATGTTGTAGGAGAAATTGATGTTTCTTTCGGTTTTGCTCTCTGATGTTGGGCACATGGAAACAATACTGTGAATTGTGTGTGGTGGGGGTATGCTGGATACTAGTGACTACATATTTCTATGACTTGTTAGGGGAATGCAACTGGCTTGCATAAAAAGCTGCAGGTTGTCCAGGGTAAGGGGATTCCTGCAGTGTTTATTGCTCTCTGAGCATATTTCTGAGAGTTTATAATGTAGGTTGAGGTGCTGTTTTATGCTAGTTCTTTCTACTACTTGCCAAATAAGGCCTTTCTTCTCTTAGGATTTAGGTGAACCACTGTTGTTAAGGCTCTGCCACCCCAATCAATCTTACTTCCTCCTTTGGTTTGGTAAATCCAGCAAGTCCCCAACATGCAAAAGCTTTTTTTTTTTTCCCCTTTTGAAAACAGATCCCTGGAGACTGGTCCAGAGGGACTGTCAAGCATTCTGTGTTGGGCTCTAAATTTTCTTTGGTAAAGTGCTAGTTTTTAAAAATAAGGACTCCATGTTGATCAATTTATAAACAAGTGTGGTTCTTCAGAGGATTACATCACGGTGGGTATTTACAAAATGAATAATCCAAATACATGTATGTTGGTTGGCAAGAGACCTTGCATGTGATTGGCCAAGTAAGTGTTCATTACTTGAATTTTTTTTTCTTCACGTGAATGTGAGAGCTGGAAAGGATCAAGTGGTCCAATTCTTCATTGTGCATACTGAAACAATGACAAGAGAGCCAAGATATAACTTGTCTAAGAAGGGAAAGTTGCTGAAGGTCAGCATCAGAGGGTCAGCAAATCAGCTTAATCCTGAGGTCTACCAGTTGGGACAGACCATGCTTGTGAACACCTGAGGGACCTAACACCTAGTTAAAAGTGGAGGAGCAACAGGAAGGATACTGGGGAATTAACAGAGGACAGACTAGGAAGAGTGTAAGGGAAAGAAAGATGGATGTGGAGGGGAAGGTTAGAGTGATCTCCATGGTGGCCTCTGAGGCACCTTTGCCAAACCAGTGCAGCCTTTAGCATGAGAGATTTAAAAAATAGGTTTGACTAATAGAACAATCAGAGTAAGACAATTTGTCTCCTTTTTAAAATGGTGTTATTGAGAGGTAAGTCATTTACCATACAGTTTCCTCATTTAGATATATATTTCAGTGACTTTAGGTATAGTTGTGCCTCCATCACCACAGTACGTTTTAGGACTTTTTTTTTTTTTTTGAGACGGAGTCTTGCTCTGTCGCCCAGGCTGGAGTGCAGTGGCACGATCTCGGCTCACTGCAAGCTCTGCCTCCCAAGTTCAAGCGATTCTCCTGCCTCAGCCTCCCCAGTAGCTGGGACTACAGGTGCTCGCCACCACGCCCGGCTAATTTTTTGTATTTTTAGTAGAGACGGGGTTTCACCATGTTAGCCAGGATGGTCTCAATCTCCTGACCTTGTGATCCGCCCGCCTCGGCCTCCCAAAGTGCTGGGATTACAGGAGTGAGCCACTGTGCCCGGCCTAAAACTTTTTGTGTGTGTGTGTGAGACAGTGTCAGGCTCTGTTGCCCAGGCTGGAGTGCAGTAGCACGATCTCGGCTCACTGCAACCTCTGCCCCTCAAGCTCAAGCCATCCTCCCACCTCAGCCTCCTGAGTAGCTGGGACTATAGGTGTGCACCAATACACCTGGCTAATTTTTGTATTTTTTGTAGAGATGGGGTTTCACCATGTTGCCCAGGCTGGTCTTGAACTCCTGGGCTCAAGCATTCTTCCTGCCTTGGCCTCCCAAAGTGCTGGGATTACAGGTGTGAGCCACCATGCCCAGCCTAATTTTTGTATTTTTAGTAGAGATAGGGGTTTGCCATGTTGCCTAGGCTGGTCTTGAACTCCTGAGCTCAAGCAGTCCACCCACCTTGGCCTCTCAAAGTGCTGGGATCACCGCTCCCGGCCTAGAACATTTTCCTTACCCCTCTTCTTTTAATACATAAAAGGTGTGCAAGCATTAGAAAGATGATGGGTTTAGGACAATTGCTTCCTAATGTTCCTCCTCTGGATACTTAGAGGCTGGTGGCAACTTGAGAATGCTCTAACTGTGAGATTCTTTTTTTATTTGTTAATTTATTTGTAGAAACAGGGTCTCACTATATTGCCCAGGCTGGCCTCGAACTCCTGGCCCAAGTGATCCTCCCACCTCGACCTCCCAAAGCACTGGGATTACAGGCGTGAGCCATAATGCCCAGCCAAGATTCTTTCAAATACCTGGTTTGCTTAATGTGGGTTTAACCCATAATGAAGTATAGGAACTGTGTCTTTCTATTTGAACTTTGTATTGTGCCCAGCATGGGTGCTTTACAGGTGTTTTTATGATGAGGCTTTGGAAAATATTAAAATAGAAATAGAAATGCTAAATGATAAGATACCACAGTAAGAGATACTATTTAGTGGTTTCACTCCTGATTGCTCTAAACGGTTATGGACACAGCAATCCTACCTATTAGCTAAAAATAGCATGATGTTCTTGGACATGTATAATACTGCTTAAAATTCAATTGAAAATTTAAACAACTGGCTCTTGGCAAAGGCTCTCTTAAAATCTATTCTAAAATGAAAAATATTTTTCTGTGACTTGTGGAATTGTCCCACCAAGGGAAGGATGGGTTATGTGTTAGAACATTTTGAGATCTCCTACATTTTCCCCGTAGTGACTTTATATCAGCCTCTGTTTATAAACTGATCTAGTATTTTTCTTGAAAGCCCTTTTGTTTTTAGAGTAGAAACTGATCTCAAAAACAGGAGGTGAGCCAGAAATTGGTCATTAAGGTAGCTTAACTGGGAAATGATCCTTTATGACCAGTCTTTTCGGGAATGTAAATCCAGGCAGGCTGGGGGTACAAGGAGTGAGAGAGAATGAGAGTATTTCTGTAAGTTATTTTAAGGTGCTGAATAAGCATACTTTTACCATGGAAACACCTTTGGGTAAGGCCTGGAAGAGTTAGAAATCAGTGGTGTTAATAACTTGAAAGCATAAAAGGGATATTTTCCCCATAACATTTAAGTAACCATTCTATCTCCCCCTTTTTGAGAATGAAGGATGTAAATGTAACTGCTATCCTATCAGCATTGAAAGCACAAAGGTGAGAGTATACCAAGGCAGGGAGTCAAAGTTCTGAAATTCCCGTTGTCATCCTAAAAGAAGGCAAGGTAAGGAAGAAAGAAAATGATTTCCTATCAGCAGCATTTGTACACTGTGAACAATTTGAAGGCAGCTAGTATTACATTTATCTTTGTGTCCCCAGCGTCTAGTATGGAGCCTGGCAAATAGTTTGTTGAATTATTATCTCTGTTTCAGATAACTTTTATAAGCATTAATCTTCAGAATATCCCTGTGGATTAGGTGGCATTATCCCCATTTTACAAATGAGGAAAGTGAGGGTCAGAGTGGTTGAGTGACTTGCTCAGGGTCACACAAGTCTGTAAGGGACAGAATAAAAGTTTGAGTACAGATTTCTGGAGAACTTCTTTGAGTCCAGGGCTTTTGTCACCAGGCCACAACTATCTCCCTACCCAGAGACATCTGGCTACAGCAGAAGATATCACTCTGAGACTCTTCAAGTGCCAGAAGCTGTCAACAAATGCAGTATAAATGAACTCCCAGGCCGGGCGCGGTGGCTCACACCTGTAATCCCAACACTTTTGGAGGCCAAGGTGGGTGGATCACGAGGTCAAGAGATCGAGACCATCCTGGCCAACATGGTGAAATTCCATCTCTACTAAAAATACAAAAATTAGCTGGGTGTGGTGGCATGCGCCTGTAGTCCCAGCTACTCAGGAGGCTGAGGCAGGAGAATCGCTTGAACCCGGGAGGTGGAGGTTGCAGTGAGCTGAGATCGTGCCACTACACTCCAGCCTGGTGTCAGAGCTGAGACTCTGTCTCAAAAAAAAAAAAAAAAAAAAAAAAACTCCCAAATCTCAGCTTTTTAGTCTTGATGACCATAAACAGGAAGAAGTAACTTGAGGGTAGATGGCCTGCTGGGAAGCCTGAGGGAGATCCCTTCTCAGGCAGAAGGAAAGTGGATTTAGGAAGACTACCAGGGAATGATACTGTTGGGGGAACCCCAGGAGGAGCCAAAAGATGGGAGTTGGTTTGCCTGACTTAATAGTAAACGTGTGCAGGCTTAAGGATATTAATGGAATAAGCAAGCATTCATTTTTTAATTCTTCAAGTGAAATGGAGTTGTATTTGTCATTCATTTTTTATGACCTTACGATTCATTCATTTAAGAGTATACTTAAGCGGTTTTTAGAATGTTCACAGAGTTGTGCAGCCATCACCACAATTGATTTTAGAATTTTAATCACCCCTGTACGCTTTAGCTGTCACCCTTCATCTCCCCATCCCCCTCATGTCTAAGCAACCACTAATCTATTATACTTTTTGTCTCTATGGATTTGCCCAATCTGGACATTGCATATAACTAGATTCATATAATATGTGACTGGCTTCTCTCACTTAGCATAATATTGTCAAGGTTCATCTGTGTTGTACATGTATCAATACTTCATTCCTTTTTATAGCTGAATATATATCATTATATGGATATACCACGTATTGTTTATCGGTTGATGGACATTTGGGTTGTTTTCACTTTTTTGCTATTATGAATAATGCTCTGTGAACATCTGTGTGCAAGTTTTTGCATGGACATGTTTATATTTCTCTTGAGTATACATACCTGTGAGTGGAACTGCTGGATCATTTGACAACTCTGACCTTTGGTGGAATGGCCAGGCTGCTTTCCACATTTAGGCTGCAACATTTTACATTCCCACCAGTAGTATGTAAGGGTTCCAATTTCTCCACATCATCCCCAACACTTGTTATTGTAAGTCCTTTTGATTCTAGCCATCCTGGTAGGTGTGAAGTGGTATCTAATTGCGGTTTTGATTTGAATTTTCCCCCATGGCTAATGTTGCACATTTTTCATGTGCTTATTGTTTGCTATTCACTTTTGTTTTGCTTCGTCCCCTGATTTGATTCTCTTGATTCTCTCTCTGTTTCCAAATTGACTTGAGACCAGAGCAAGCCAACTATGTTATTAGGCAACTAGAAAGAACCAGGAAGATAACTACTTCTCACTGCTTTGTGTGCTCGGGGGGTTTAAGGCTTTGGGCGTAGATAATTTTAGCTTAGGAATGCTGATCTGATAAAAATGATAGGGCCCCCCCTTTTTTTTTTTTTTGAGACAGAGTCTCACTCTGTCACCCAGGCTGGAGTGCAATGGCACAATCTCAGCTCACTGCAACCTCCGCCTCCCAGGTTCAAGGGATTCTCCTCCCAAGTAGCTGGGATTACAGTCACCCACCATCATGCCCGGCTAATTTTTGTATTTTTGTAGAGACGAGGTTTCACCATGTTGGCCAGGCTGGTCTTGAACTCCTGACCTCAGGTGATCCGCCCGCCTCGGCCTCCCAAAGTGCTGGAATTATAGGCATGAGCCACCATGCCCAGCCAAGGGCCTACCTTTTTAACAAAAAATTGCTGATTGAGATATAATTCACATGCTACAATGCACTCATTGAAAGGGTACAACAATTTTTAGAATTTTTAGAGTTGTGCAACTATCATCACAATCAATTTTAGAACATATCACCCCAAAAAGAAGCCCTGACCCCATTAGCAATCACTCCTCATCCCCCCCCCACCGCCCCCCCAGCCCTAGGCAACTACCAGTCTACTTTCTGTTTTCATAAAGTTGCCTCTTCTGGCCAGTTCATATAAATGAAATCATGCAGTATGTGGCCTTTTGTGTTTGGCTTTTTTCACTTAGCATAATGTTTTCAAGATTCATGTGTGTTATAGCATGTATCAGTACTTAATTCCTTTTTCTTTCTTTCTTTTTTTTTTTTTTTTTTTTTTTTGAGACAGAGCCTCACTCTGTTACCCAGGCTGGAGTGCAGTGGCATGATCTCGGCTCACTGCAACTTCTGCCTCCCAGGTTCAAGCGATTCTCCTGCCTCAGCCTCCTGAGTAGCTGGGACTACAGATGTGCACCACCATGCCCAGCTATTTTTTGTATTTTTGGTAGCAATGGGGTTTCGCCATGTTAGCCAGGCTGGTCTCAAACTCCTGACCTCAGGTGATCCACCCACCTCGGCCTCCCAGCCTCCCAAAGTGCTAGGATTACAGGCGCGAGCCACCATACCCGGCCACTTGATTACTTTTTATGGCTGAACAATATTTCATCCTATGGTTATGCCACATTTTGTCTATCCATTCTTGAGTTGATGGACATTTGGGTTGTTTCCACCTTTTGACTATTGTGAACACTGCTGCTATGAACATTAATATACAAGTTTTTGTATGAACATGTTTTCAGTTCTCTTAGGTGATATATGCTTAGGAGTAGAATTGCTAGGTCATAGGTAACTTAGTGTTTAGCATTTTTGAGGAACTGTCTGGCTTTTTTTAAAAGTAGCTACACCCTTTTAGGCCCAGCCCTGTTCTATATACTTAGAAAAGAAAAAAAGATTACGTTTTCTTTTCAATTTTGCCCCCTGGAGCTGAACTTCATATGTGTGTGTTTGTTTTGGGCTTTTCTTTATTCTATGTAACCCAAGGACATGGTGCTAGATTTAGTAAAGCACTCTGAATTTAGCTGGTCAGGTGCTTTCTCGTCTTTGTTAGATGGTTTGAGGCAAAATCCTAGGAGCTTTGGTGTCTGTAAAACATCAGTTTTTCCTGATAGGGTAGAATGATTAGAATAACAGTAATGAGAATGAGTTATTTCTTTTTATTTTATTTTATTTTATTTTTTTGAGACGGAGTTTCACTCTTGTTGCCCAGTCTGGAGTGCAGTGGCGCAATCTCAGCTCACTGCAACCTCTGCCTCCTGGGTTCAAGTGATTGTCCTGACTCAGCCTTCCAAGTAGTTGGGATTACAGGCATGTGCCACCATGCCCAGCAAATTTTTTATATCTAGTAGAGATGAGGGTTCATCATGTTGGCCAGGCTGGTCTCGAACTCCTGTCCTCAGGTGATCCACCTGCCTCGGCCTCCCAAAGTGCTGGGATTACAGGCTTGAGCCACTGTGCCAAGCCTGAGAATGAGTTATTTCTTACTTAACTGTAGCTTTTTAGGATTTCTTTTTGGTTTAATATGTTGCTTGTTGAAATCTTGACTCTGATATTGACACTGTTCCTTTGTTTAAAGCTTTAGTCTTATATTGCACAATAGGGTAATTGTTTTTTGTAAAATATATCGGTTTTGCTCCTTTTATGTGAGAATGTATATATGTATGAAATCTATATATATATAAAATCTTGGCAGAGGAGCCAAGGCCCTGGGTTCTGACTTAGAGTAGCTGAATGATCTTAGACTAGTCAACCTTCCTCTTAGGGACTCAATTTTTTGATCTATAAAATGAGGAGACTGTGCAAAATGGTCACTAGTGTGTACCTCAAATTCTGTGTCAGATAAGTGGTAGTGAGTTGTGAATTCAATTTACAATTTCCTATTTGTACCTGGACTCTTTTATTGTTTAAATTAGGGATGGGGTCTTGCTATGTTGCCCAGGCTGGTCTTGAACTCTTGGACTCAAGTGATCCACCCACCTTGGCCTCCCAAAGTGCTGGGATTACAGGAGTGAGCCACTGCACTCAGCCCCTTTTTTAATTTTAATTTTAATTTTATTTTTTTGTATAGAGACAAGATCTTACTATGTTGCCCAGGCTGGTCTTGAACTCCTGGGCTCAAGGAGTCCTTCCACCTCAGCTTCCCAAAGTGCTAAGGTTACAGGTACTGCACCCAGCATAGACTTTTATTTCCTTCCTTCCTTTTTTCTTTTTCCTTTCCTTTCCTTTCCTTTCCTTTCCTTTCCTTTCTCTTTCCTTTCCTTTCTCTTTCCTTTCCTTTCCTTTCTCTTTCCTTTCTCTTTTCTTTTGTCTCACTTTGTCACCCAGGCTGGAGTGCAATGGTGTGATCATGGCTCACTGTAGCCTCAATTTCCTGAGCTCCAGTGATCCTCCCACCTCAGCCTGCCAGGTAGCTGGGACTACAGGTGCATGCTACCACACTGCTAATTTTTGTATTTTTTGTAGAGACTGGGTTTTGCCATGTTGCTCAGGCTGGTCTTGAACTCCTGAGCTCAAGTGATTCCCTCGCCTCCGCCTCCAGCAGTGCTGGGATTACAGGCTTTGAGCCACTACCCCCGGCCAAGACTCACAGTCTTGAGCTAGTAACAGTCTTGCTTATGAGGGTCTTGTCTTCCCCTCTTGAAATGGACTTTTGTTTATTTTTTGCTGAATTTAGGTATCTTTAAAAAAGCAGGCCGGGTGTGGTGGCTCATGCCTGTAATTCCAGCACTTTGGGAGGCCCAGAAGGGTGAATCACTTGAGCCCAGGAATTCGAGACCGGCCTGGCCAAAATGGTGAAACCCCATCTCTACTAAAAATACAAAAATTAGCCAGGCGTGGTGGTACACCCCTGTAATCTCAGCTACTCAGGAGGTTGAGGCAGGAGAATCTCTTGAATCTGGGAGGCGGAGGTTGCAGTGGGCTGAGATGGCACCACTGTGCTAAAAAAGCAAAGGCCCTAGAGATTTTATGATTTTTCTACTTGATGAAATTAAGTGATAAAAAATTTGAGTAGAAAATTAACATATTTTGTATAAATATGTACATTAGGGGCCTAAGTAGACGTCCTTTGGATTTTCAAAAAGGAGAGAATTTTGCAAATTTTGGGTTAAATTCCAGGGTAGATTAAGAGTTGTTTTGTAAATATTCAGAAAAAGAAGTGGTGAGCACTAGGAACTGGTATTGGTTCACCAAGGACAAAAAAGTCTTGTCAGCCTGATCAAATTTTCTTGATGGACAGGGTTACTGGGCTGTAGATTAGGGAAATACGGTAGATGCACTATATCTAGATTTCTGCAAGGCATTCACAAAACTTCTTTGGTCTACTTTTGGATAAGATGGCTGGGTGATAATGGTGATAATATGTTTAACTGGACTTGTCTGGAACTGGTTGAATGAATAGTCCCAGAGGAAAATGATTAATGAAGCCAGGAGCAGTGTGGAGAGAAGTTTCTAGTGCATGTGTGTCCTGGCTTTGTCCTTGAGCCTGTCCTGTTCAGTCTACTTTCCCATTCTCTTCAAATTATATTTTTCTCCTGCATTTAAAAGTATATTACATTTAGATTTGTGGAAAATTGGAAAATACAGAAAAATACAAAGTAAAGTAAATTCAAATCATCTGTAAAACTATATCCAGAGATAACCACTGTTGTATGTGTATATTTCTGTGTATTTCCCTCTAAACTTTTATATATTTATATTACATATATCATATAATATGTTTGTATCTATCTGTTTTAAGAAGGAGATTATTGGCTTTAAGCAGTTTTATGTTCTTCCCATTAACTTATGTCATGAACATTTTCCTCGATCACCATATATTTTTTGAAAAAAATGGTTTTTAATAGTTAAATAATATTTCATCATGTGTGTGCCATAATTCGTATAACCATTCCCCTGTTGGTGAACATTTAGATTATTTCCAATGTTTTGATATTACACAAAACATTCTGATTGATACCCTTGTATACGGTTTTTGTGAATCTCTGATTATGTTCCGAAAAGATTTTTTTAAGGTGGAATTAATTGGATCAAAGGGTATGAACATACTTAAGGTTTTTGATGTATTTGGCCAATTAGCTTCCATTTCCACTGACAGTATAAGAATGTCTATTTCAAGATCCTCACTAATGTGGAGTATTATTTTTTAAGACAATTTCTGTAAATTTGATAGGTTAAAAATGTTATTCTTTAATTTGTATTTTAATTTGTATTTCTTTTGTTAATAATAGGGTTGAACATTTGTGTGCAAGTGTTTCTTGGTCATTTGTGTGTGTGTGTGTGTGTGTGTGTGTGTGTGTGTGTGTGTGTGTGTGGATTGCCTGTTCATACCCTTTCCCCATTTCCCTATTGGGGTGGGTTCATCAATTCTTATTGATATATAAAAGCCTTAATATGGTTAGAATATTAATTCTTTGTCATATATATTGCAAAGACTACTCCCAGTTTATAGTTTGCTTTCTTTTTTTTTTTTTTTGTGATTGAGTCTTGCTCTGTTGCCCAGGCTGGAGTGCAGTGGTGCGATCTCAGCTCACTGCAACCTTCGCTTCCCAGGTTCAAGCGATTCTCCTGCCTCAGCCTCCTGAGTAGCTGGGACTACAGGTGTGCGCCACCACACTCGGCTGATTTTTGTATTTTTTAGTAGAGAGGGGGTTTCACCATGTTGGCCAGGCTGGCCTCGAACTCCTGGCCTCAAGTGATCTGTCCACTTCAGCCTCCCAAAGTGCTGGGATTACAGGTGTGAGGCACTGCGCCCAGCCTGTTTTTTAAATTTTATCTTGATGTACAGATGTTTCATATGTTTTTATGTGGTCAAATCTATTAATGTTTTGTATATTTTGCCTGTGCCCAGAGGTTTAGAAGGGCCTTGCCTACCCGAGGGCAAATAAATACTGTCCGAGTTTTATTCTAGTTATTTAATATTTTTGTTTTTGTATTTGTTATTTTTTTAGAGACAGGGTCTGGCTTTGTCACCCAGGCTGGAGTGCAGTGGCATGATCATAGATCACTGGAACCTTAAACTCCTAGGCTCATGTGATCCTCCTGCCTCAGCTTCCCAAGTAGCTAAGGACCACAGGCACATGCTACCAAGCATGGCTAATTTTTGTGGTTTTTTTGTAGAGATGGGGTCTCACTGTGTTGCCCAGGCTGCTCTCTCAAATTCCTGGCCTCAAGTGATTTTCCTGCCTTGGCATCTCAAAGCACTGGGATTACAGCCAAGAGCCACTGTGCCTGGCCTGTTTTTGTGTTTAAAACCTTAACTTGCCTGGAGTTGATTTGTGATGTAAAGTAGGGTACTAACTTAATTTCTTCCAAATGTTAATGAATTACCTCAGTACCATTTGTTAGATAATCCATCATTTCTCTGCATTTTTGAAGTACCACCTTTATTATAAATAAAATTCTTTTATACACACACACACACGATTTGGACTTTAATATTTTACTTTTGGATTATCAGTTACTGAAAAATGACCATAGGTGTTTTGACAACTTAGATGAGAAGAGTATTTCTCCAGGTCCCATTTTCTGAGTTTCTTCCACAGAAACTTGACCTAAAGGAGATTCAGTTGAGTTTGTGATCCTGTGGGTGTGACAACTGTGAAGAACATTTGAATCGAGACTCTCCATTGACCTGGTAAAACATAGAAATTGGTTACATTAACTCAAGTTGTCAAACTTCATCATAAAATGTGTGTGTTTTAGTTACTGTGTTATAGTATCTCTGTTAAGTGGAAAAGATTCTTCTTATCAAGTGTACCCACCACCTGGAGAACAGGGAAAAGGTACAAATCTGTCTTTATTCTCATGTTTTTTGGATGAGGTATTTTGTTTTGGTGGTCTTTATGTATACTTTGGCTTATGGGTTGCAAGAGCCAAAGACTCTGTTAATCTTTCATTTGAATATGCTATATGAAATTGCTTTAAGATATAGAGAAGGCCCTATTGAGGCTTTTACCCTGAGCTGCTGGGTGATCCGGAATAGGTGAGAAGGCAAGATCCTGTGAATACTTTTTCTTAGTTTGATGTGAGATCAAGGCATTTTTCATTCCAGTCATTTTAGACCAGGTAGATTTTTTTTTGTTTGTTTGTTTCATTTTTGTTTATGAGATGGAGTCTCACTCTGTCGCCCAGGCTGGAGTGCAGCGGCGCGATCTCGGCTCACTGCAACCTCTGCCTCCTGAGTTCAAGCGATTCTTGTGCTTCAGCCTCCTGAGTAGCTGGGATTACAGGTGCCCGCCACCATGCCCAACTAATTTTTGTATTTCTAGTAGAGATGGGTTTTCACCATGTTGGCCAGACTGGTCTCAAACTCCTGACCTCCGGTGATCCGCCCGCTTCGGCCTCCCAAAGTGCTGGGATTACAGGAGTGAGCCACGCGGCACCTGGCCTAGTATAGCATTTTCACTCAGTAGCTCTTCTTGCATCCTCACTAAGCTCTTTGGGGGACAAAAACATCCAGTCAATAGGGATAAACTGGAAATTTTTATGGCATGCTGATCCGGCATGTTTTGTTTTCTGTTTTCTTCTCAGTATCCTTCAGGATGGTATCCAGAACCCTGGCTATGTGTGTGTATGGCCGAGGAAGCATACACAGTGACAGTGCAGGGACCAGAATAAGGACACCCAGCTTTCTGGGTTAGTCATAGTTCCAAAATTATTCTAAAAGTAGAACTGAAATTATTTTTCCTCAAGCAATATTTGCCCATTGAAGCCTATTTGCCATATTTCTGCCCTCTCACATAGCCTTGAGAAATATTTTTGGTAATTTATGTTTATTGATTTGGTATTGTTTTTACCCAAAGAGTTTAGAATTATTTGCAGATTTGAAGATTTCCCTCTCTAAATTATATTTAAAAATTAAATCAGACTAGTTCTAACTTTGATTCCGTATGGACCTCATTGATTTGGTCATAAAATCATAATGATGTCATAATTAGAAGGGATCTTAGAAATTATCTAGTTTTAGAGGTGTTAGACAACACCTCTAAACAATGGACCCATCATTAGAAACTAACCCAAGTAATAGGCTTCATTATTATTATTTTCAGACAAGGTGTTACTCTGACACCCAGGCTGGAGTGCAGTGGTGTGATCATAGCTCCCTGTAGCCTTGAACCCCTGGGCTCAAGCGATCCTCCTGCTTCAGCCTCCTGAGTAGTTGGGACTACAGGCGTACACCACCACGCCTGACTAATTCTCTTATTTTTTTTGCAAAGACAGGGTCTCAATATGTTGTGCAGGTTGGCCTCAAAATCCTGGCCTCAAGCAATCCTCACACCTTGGCCTCCCAAAATGTTATGATTACAAGTGTGAGCCACTGCATCTGGCCCCATAACTATTTTATAAAGACAAGTTTGTGATTCCTAGAAATGTTCTGATATTTGGCAATTCATATACTTACTCCATACTAACAAGTATCTTCTTAATGGGCTTATTTTACTTTCACCTCCATCCATTTCTTTCTTTTTTTTTTTTTTAAGATGGTGTCTCACTCTGTCACCCAGGATGGAGTGCAGTGGTGTAGTCTCGGCTCACTGCAACCTCCCCCTCCCAGGTTCAAGTGATTCTCATGTCTCAGCCTCCTGAGTAGCTGGCATTACAGGAGCCCACCACTATGCCTGGCTAATTTTTTGTATTTTTTTTTAGTAGAGATGGGGTTTCACCATGTTGGCCAGGCTGGTCTCGAACTCCTGACCTCAAGCAATCCACCTGGCTCAGCCTCCCAAAGTGCTGGGATTACAGGCGTGAGCCACCGCGCCAGCCCATCCATTTCTTTTTAAAATATGAACCATAGTGTGAAGGTTTATACTCCAAAGGCAAATATAGGAACCTAAACCACAATTCATACTCCTCAAATTCTGTGACTCTCTCTGAGGCTGTAACTTCACTTCCACCAGAGTTCTGTTATTTTTCACAATTGGTGACTTATTTCTTTGAGCCTCAGGGCAGCTCAGCAATGGCAAATGAGGGCTGTATGAGTTTGAGATTTGAATGTCTGCACTTCCATAAGATGGAAAGAACTTTTTGGGCAGCAGTTGATTTATTTTGAGGTTATAGGCAACTAAAACACGAGCCATTATTCAGCCATGTCTTCCCTACTCAATATTTGTGTGGGAACTCAAGGTCAAGAAGATACAGTTCTCTATTTCACTTTATTTTTATTTGCATCTTCTGATTCTTTCTACCTATCATAATCTGTGTGTTTGAAGTCTGTCATCCAGTTGCTTCCCCAGTGTCATCGTCATTTCTAATTTTTTTTTTTTGAGATGGAGTCTTGCTCTGTTGCCCAGGCTGGAGTGCAGTGGTGTGATCTCAGCTCACTGCAACCTCTCTGCCTCCTGGGTTCAAGCGATTCTCGTGCCTCAGCCTCCTGAGTAGCAGAGATTATAGGTGTGCACCACCACGCCTGGCTAATTTTTGTATTTTTAGTAGAGACAGGGTTTCACCATGTTGGCCAGGCTGGTCTCAAACTCCTCATCTCCAGTGGTCCGCCCACCTCGGCCTCCCAAATTGCTGGAATTATAGGAGTGAGCCACTGCACCCAGCGTCATTTCTAAATTTGATAGGCAGGATGTTATTTTGTAGCTTTTCCCTTTTATATCTTCATTCGAGTCATTGGTAGTCTGTACTATATGCAGAATAAATATCGTCTGTTGCTACCACTTGTTTCCTGTCTCTACAATATTTTCCTGCCTATAATCAAATAGAACCAAATAAACAATACAGGTTGAGAAACTGAGCACCTCTCAGCTTTCCAAATTAATAAAAAATGTCATCTTTAATTTTTGACAATTTTCCTGTCATTAGGCAGGTAGATGGATTTGGAAGCAGAGGCTTAGAGGAGAGACGGACTTGGAAGCCTGGGTGTGTGTCCAGTTCGCAATAGGGAACTTGTAGTTTCAGTCCCCTTTGATGCCTTATTGGGCTGTTAACTATGTCTTGAAACCTCTGACATGTTAGTGTTTTGCAGAAGTGGTTCGTGGTTTTGTTGGTCAGTTTTTAGCATGTTTGGGTGGGTGAAAGGAGAAAGTTTGTATTCCTTTTTTTTTTTACATTTGTTCCTGAGGAGCCAAAATTTGAGAATCACAGAGTCCAGGTTTGTCCTGTCAGACCTCTATATCCAGTTGGCACATTCAATAAATGTTGACTCAACAGGGGTGCAGATCGCCACACTAAACCTTGAGAAGGAAGCAAAAACCACATCAAGGAGCTTATATTTTAGTAAATGACATCACCACTAATTCTGAGCACTAGATTTTAAAAGGGTGAGGTAGTGGAGGGTTAGGAAACTATGTTGGATGAAGAATGGTTAAGGAAATAACAACATTTAGCCTGGAGAAGACATAACTTTTTTTTTTTTTTTTGAGACGGAGTCTCCCTCTGTTGCACAGGCTGGAGTGCAGTGGTGCGATCTCGGCTCACTGCAAGCTCCGCCTCCTGGGTTCACACCGTTCTCCTGCCTCAGCCTCCTGAGAAGCTGGGACTACAGGCGCCCGCCACCACGCCCGGCTAATTTTTTGTATTTTCAGTAGAGACGGGGTTTCACTGTGTTAGCCAGGATGATCTCAATCTCCTGACCTCGTGATCCGCCCATCTCGGCTAAGACATAACTTTTTGAGGACATTCTTGAGATCATTCTTCATTATGGCTGATATTATCCCACCTTTTCCATGTCTCCAAGGAAAAAACTCAGATTCTTTGCCTTTGATCCTTTCTCACTCTACATCCAATCAGATGTCAAATTTTCTCCCTTCAAGCCCCAATATATTTCTTTTTTGTCTTTCTCCACTTTTGAAGGATCCAACATATTTCTTGATTCCTGTCTCTTCTTTCTGTCTTCATTGCCCTTATACTATGTCAGGCCTTTATAATTATTGTCTGTAGTAGTAGAGCAGCTTCCCGGTCTCTGTTATCTCTCTCTCTCTGTCCTCCAATTCTGTCTTACACTCCCAGAATAATTTTCCCTCAAACCTAGTTCTAATTGTGTTACTTTCCTGTTTAAACACTTAAACGCAGTTCCCATTGCCTAGTAAGAGAAGTGCTATCTCAAGCACTTATAATCTGGCCTGCAACCTACCATTACTTCCCCTTCCCCTGTTTGCACTCTGCCATCTACTCCCATTTTATTCAGTAGTCTTGTTCCAGTCTTTTCCAACTCTTTGACCTTCTTTAAACTATTCCTTCACACTGTTTTGAAGGAAAGAACCCATCATGTTTTATGCTGTTTTAGACATGAAAATTAGGACCAGCTGGCAGAAGGGATGGCGCTAAACCAAAAAATTTTCTCGGCTGGGTGCAGTGGCTCACGCCTATAATCCCAACACTTTGGGAGGCCGAGGTGGGTGGATCACTTGAGGCCAGGAGTTTGAGACTAGCCTGGCCAACATGGTGAAACCCCGTCTCTACTAAAAATACAAAAAAATTAGTTGGATGTGGTGGCGGGCACCTGTAATCCCAGCTACTCCGGATGCTGAGGCACAAGAATTCCTTGAACCTGGGAGGCGGAGCTTGCAGTGAGCCGAGATCACACCACTGCACTCCAGCCTGGGTGACAGAACGAGACTCCTGTCTCAGAAAAGAAAAAGAAAAAAAAAGAATTAGAGAGCTTCCCAGTATTGGACATGTTTGAGCAGAGGCTGAAGGGCTAGCTGGTTTGGATGCTGTAAGAGCAGGGGCTTCTTATACTAGGGGCTGTGGAGAATACACAAACATAGAAAGCATGTGCTTCGTCTGTCAAGAAACTTAAATGTAGATATAAGACACTTCACTTATTCTCTCCACAGTAGCCAAAGTGACACACATATCTGATCATGTCCTTCCGTTCCTTAAAATCATTCAATGGCTTCTTTCCATTGAGAAAGAATTTATCTTAGGATAAAAGCAAATAACCTGTCCGGGCGCAGTGGCTCACACCTGCAATCCCAGCACTTTGGGAGGCCGAGGTGGGCAGATCACCTGAGGTCAAGAGTTCAAGACCAGCTTGGCCAACATGGTGAAACCCTGTCTCTACTAAAAATACAAATATTAGCTGGGAGTGGTGGCAGGCGCCTGTAATCCCAGCTACTCAGGAGGCTGAGGCAGGAGAATCGCTTGAACCTAGGAGGTGGAGGTTGCAGTGAGCTGAGATCATGCCATTGCACTCCAGCCTGGGTGACAAGAGCGAAACTCCGTCTCAAAAAAAAAAAAAAAAAAAAAGCAAATAACCTTACCATAGTTTACAAGGCCTTGTATGATCTGACCCCTGCTTACCTCTTAGTCTGATCTCCTGCCAGTATCCCCTTGCTTTCCTGTGTTCCATACATTTTGTACCCTTACATAATGCTGTTCCTTCTGTCTGGAATGCTTTCTTCACCAGCGCCCTTTCCCTGGACTCAGCTTAAATGTCACTTCCTCAGGGAAACCTTTGTTGAACTCCACCCCCTTCCCACAGGTAGGTTAAGTCACCCTATTAGTCTCTCTCTTAGCATTTTCTTCATCACAGTTATCACAATTGTAATTAAATAATTGTTTGTTTTGTAATTGTAATTTCTAGGGACCATTTTGATTACCATTATATTCTCAGCAGCTAGCACAATGCCTGATACACAGTAGACATTCAGTAATTTTTTTTTATTTTTTTTTATTTTTAGAGACAGCATCTCACTCTGTCACCTAGGCTGGAGTCCAGAGGTGTGATCATAGCTCACTGCAGCCTCAAACTCCTGACCTCAAGTGATCCTTCTACCTCAGCCTCTCGAGTAGCTAGGACTATAGGTGTGCACCACCATGCCCAGTTAATTTTTGAATTTTTTGTAGAATTGGGGTCTCATTATATTGCCCAGGCTGGTCTTGAACTCCTGGTTTCAAGCAATACTTCTACCTCGGCCTCCCAAAGCATTGGGATTACAGGTGTGAGTCACTGTGCCCAAACTTAGAAAATATTTGAATAAATAAATGAATGAATAAAACTTCTTGGAATGAGGTAGGAAAGATGGTGAAGGATGTAAAGGTTGTTCAGTGTCAGGCAGGGGAGAAATGTTTCAGGAGCAGGGAATAACAGGTAGAACTGAACAAG
Organism: Homo sapiens; assembly: GCF_000001405.40. NCBI lineage: Eukaryota > Metazoa > Chordata > Mammalia > Primates > Hominidae > Homo > Homo sapiens. Next base: position 70,474,038 of record NC_000023.11, read on the forward strand.
CTGTATTCAAGGGGTCCAGGCAAGCTAGCTCAAAAGAAGACCTGTGTAATTCAGATGTGGGATAGATAGGCTGGCTGTGATGGGAGGATGGTTGTAGCAGTCCTTGAAAGTTTGGCTGACATAGTAAAAGTAAAATTCTTTAGTGCTCATTGAGTCGTTATAGATACTTGGACAGGGGGGCTACAAATTCAAGCTTTAGGAAAGCTTTTCAAATAAGAATCTAATCTGGATTGAGTTTGTAAAGCCTTGGGGCAGAAGACCAGTTAGGGAGGTACAGCAGTGGCCCAGAGAAGAGATAATAAAATAGTCAAGGGAAAATTAAGACACGAAATCAACAGTACGGCAATGACAATTAAAAGTATAAAGAAATAGATTGAGGAAGCAATTAGGAAGAAACATCAGCAAAATTTGAGGAAACACTGGTTGTATGCAGGGAAAAGGGGGTGTCGTTTACAGTAATGGGGGTTTGGCATGAGGAAAAAAAAGGCTTGGTTTTCAAGTTGGGGGCAGATTTAATGTAGTCAAATTAGGTAGATACTTATAGAGGTAGATATAGTGTCATGTAGGTGGAACAGCGTCTTAACTCATGGTTAAACAGGGCCAGGGAAAGAGGGAGAGAAAGACCTGTGGACTAAGGCCTAACCTGGAGAACCAGCAACTCCACTCACCAAGAGGACACCTTTTCTATTATAATGCAGACAACATTTTAGCTCCTCTTTGTCCATTCCAGAATAAAATCTTTACTTTTGCATAACCAAAAGGCTCATTAAACTGTTTTTCTCCAAACAAAAGATCAATTTGTCCTCAAAGGTAAATTCTGCCTCCACTTCAGAAACAGAAAAAGTGCTGGAAGAGTGGAATAGTAGTTTATCCTTAGTCAGAAAGGTTTCAGGATGTTGGGGTTCAATTTGGTAGTGCTAATCAAAAATTTTAATTTGCATATAATTTGACCCTGCAGTTTCACTTCTAGGAATCTATGCAACAGAAATGCTCAAACAAATATACAGTGCAGGCCGGGCATGGTGGCTCATGCCTGTAATCCTAGCACTTTGGGAGGCTGAGGCAGGTGGATTCCTTGAGGTCAGGAGTTCGAGACCAGCCTGGCAACATAGTGAGACCCCCATCTCTACAAAAAATAAAATATAAAAAACAAAAAAAAACCCACAAATACACAATGCAGCATTGATTGTAATATTAAGAATTGTAAACAACTTAAATGTGTATCAATTGAAATATGACTGAATAAATTATGGTCTGTCCATAGTATGGAATCCTATGCAGCTATTAAAATGAAGTCTGTGTACTGACATGGATGATTTTTTGTTTGTTTGTTTGTTTGAGACAGAGTCTTGCTCTGTCACCCAGGCTGGAGTGCAGTGGCGCGATCTCGGCTCACTGCAACCCTCGCCTCCCAGGTTCAAGCGATTCTCCTGCCTCAGCCTCACTAGTAGCTGGGACTACAGGCGTGTGGCCACCACACCTGGCTGATTTTTGTAGAGACGGGGTTTCACCATGTTGGCCACACTGGTCTTGAACTCCTGACCTCAGATGAGTCACCATGCCTGGCCAACATGGATGAGTTTTCATGATGTATCAGAAAATGAAAAAAGCTTGCGTGTGAATTGTGAGTACATGTATATAAGCCATATATGCATGGAAGTAAGTCTGGAAGGACACATACTAAAAATACCAACAGTGGTATCTTCTGGGGAGTGGGATGGAGAAGTGATACAGAATTTTTAAAAAGTGTAAACTCAGCAGCTTTCTTTGCAGGCACATAAGACTGTGGCATCTTTAGGGCTTTCCTTTCCTGAAGGATTTGCAATTGTATTACCAAGTTTTATTTTTGAGAGCTTATCCACTCTCTGGCCCCACCTTTCTTTTCAGAGACACTGCAGGATCCAATTCTGTAAGTTAAGACCAGCAGCTCCAAACTTTATCAGAATCACACTGATGCTTGTTAAAATGCAGATTCCTGGGCCCCTGCTCAGTAGATTCTGATTCTGTGTATCTGGGATGGGGTGCCAAATCCTGATCTTTTAGAGGCACCCCAACTTGTCAGTGACTGGGGCAAAACCCTTCTTCGGTACTGACTTCTGATTGTGCCCCCTCCCACTTGTTTCTCTGTGATTAGCAACTGGGAAAAAGGAAAGAGGGCGATGACTGGATATCTTTGTGGGTCACAAACAGTTGGGTTCATCTGAATGGGAAAAAACAAAGCAGTTTAGTAGACTTGAGATTTTAGTGTTGCTTCTTTGAAGTGGGCCCTCTGGGTTAGAGGCTGGTCAGGTGGGCTTCCTAGGCGGTGACTTTGGCCTAGGAGATGTCCTCCAGCATTGGCTGCGATGGCTGTGTTAGTGACAAATCAGAGGGAAGGAGGGAGCTTGGCGAGTCCTGAAGTCTTAGAATTGAGATGCTTTTTAAGGGAAGCTTTTGTCCTGGGAAAATGATACCTCTAATATTTAAGATGAGGTAGTATCTAAGTCTATTCTAAACAGTTTTTTGTTAGAATGATTTTTCTTTGTTGTAAAAAGTTGTTAATCAGCCGCCTATTGTGGGTTGTTAACATCTCAAAAGGGTGTTTAAAAATAATAAACCCCAATTGCTCCCAACAATTAACCTTGGGAACAAAAGTAAATGTGAATGCTTCTTAACCACCTTTCTAAGCCCTCAGTGAAGCTGGCAGCCATCAGTTAAATAAACCATTAAGTTTATTAGTTTAAGAATAGAAGTGTCAACTTGGACACAGTTTTCTAATTTGCTCCTCATTTACCCAACAATCATTTATTCAAAGGCTGCTCTGCCTAGTAGACTTTAGATAAATCTACAAATAAAAGCCAGAGACTGATGGGCAGCTGGAACTCTAAGGGAATCATCCAAATGGAAAAAAAAGTGAATAAAACACAATTTAATAAACTTGAAATTTTAGCAGCACATGTAAAAACAAAAAGCGTATGCCTTAGAGCAATAGCTTTGTTCTCTTTCTGTAGTCTATTTTAAGTGGGCCCTCTGGCCCAGAATTATCAGCCTTGGATTAGGAGCTTTGAGGAAATGGTGGTTTCGTGGTTGTTTTTTAAAGGATTTTTAAAGAAATGTAGTTACTAAGCAACTGCCATGACCTGCTGCTAAGTTGGAGTTCAGCGGGCAAGTCGATTCCAAAGAAGGGAATATATAAACAAGTTTCAAGAAGGGGAAAACATGGCTTAAAGATAGATTGGGTGTACTTTTTTGTTCACAGTTCAATGCATAGTTCTTTCTCTCTTTGACTTATCTTCCCCTAAGAAAGGGCTGCCTGGTCAGAAATCTTTGTCTCACACGGTTCTGCCCATAGCCGGTGAGCTCAGAGGAGGGCCAGAAAGGAACAAATGAGAAACAATCCCCACCCAGTGTAGAGGGCCAAGCCCTGGGGTGGGGCCAGCACCCAGGCGGTCTCCAGAGGTAGACTGGCCTGCTGTTATGCTCTAGGACAGTCCAGGGCTTAGGTTGGGGCACCTCATTGATATTGATGGCTTGCCGTGTAACCCTCAGAACAGGAACATTGTCCAGCTGTTGTCTCTCTACCCTCCGCCACCCCACCCCCCGCAACGTTTAATGGGTGAGTCAGTGACTTAACTGCTTCCTCCAGGATTTCAGGAACAGGAGTAGGTAATGAGGACAAATCACCATAACACCGGCGTGTGATGAATGAAAGAGCACACGAATTTAACCCGTTGGTTAAACTGATATCACAGTGAACAAAAGAAACTTTGTTGAGAGGAGGTTATTTGCCTCACTCCATTCCTTCCCCTTTAGGCTTTAGCAATTCCCCTTACACCCAGTTGAAGGTCAGTCTGGTTGCTTTGCAGAGGGAAGGGGAGTGTCAGGTGCTGGAACAGGTGTTTTGTTTTCTCCTGTAGAGTCATACGGACTAGGTGGGGATGCTTCTTGCCAGCCCTCTATGGTGCACGAAATTGCTTTTGTGGAATTTTTTCCCCTGGAAGTGTGTTTGTTTTTTAAAGCAGTTTCCCAACCTTCAACCCCTAGTATAAATTTTGACTCGCTTCAAAGTCAGCTTGTCATAGTGAAGTGTGCCTGTTTTCTAGCATTTCCACGGCCTGTGGCCTTAGATATACCCCATTTTATGCGGCAATTATAGGCCTGGAAAATGTGTAATTGTGTGTTTGGTAAGTGTGAATATTGTATTTTAAATGTCCTAGGAGAATGTCACAGCAAAGCAGCCCTATAAAAAGCCTTTTATAATAATTGTACAGCTAGAGTTAATTTTCTTGTATCAGGTTTTCTTAAATTCGGCATAAACCTGTATTACATTTCCAGAGTGATAAGGCTGTTTCCAGCTGTTGTGATGGTCTCAATGGGCTATAAGGTTAGGGATGGACTTATGACCTCACTGACTGGATGATTTTGGAGGTGAGAGGTGTCAGCCGACTTCTCGGTTTGGGAGAATTTATGTTTTAATGTATGCTACTGAAGCCAAAGAGGCTATTGGTTAAAAGGGAAATAACTCAGGAGAGCTTTAATTCTCCTCATATGGTTGTTACGGTTGTGAGGTTTGTTTGTTTTTACCTCTGTACTGGGTTCCAATATCACCCCCCTTCACCCCAGCCAAAAAGTCATCCTGAAAAAATTGTCTTCTTGCCTAACAATGATATAATTGACCTCAGGTCCTTTCCAGCCCCTCCGCTCTGCGTCTCAGGGCCATCTGTTCTCTGCAATCCGCTTTTTGGGAAAGTCTCCTTTCCCATCTGCTCTCCTTGGGCCTTAGTGTCAGCTCTAAAGATTTATAAAGGTTGCACTGGAACCTCTTTCCAGTTGTTATTTTTATAAAGGATCAGTGACATTTTGAGGCAGATAAGAGCTTTGTGCATTTGACCTGCCCAAATGCTACTCCCTTTTCAGGTGCATTCTTTCCTTCTGTTAGTCTGGGGTTGAAGGGAAGTCTGTCTTTCTGTGCTTAGGAGGAGGGACTTTGCTTATCAAAGCAAAGACTGAGTGGGCTGGCTCTGGCTGCTTTTAAGCCAAGGGGCCTTCTGGCTTTTTGGCTGCTGGCATGCAAGCTCAGAGGCGCTCCTTGAGTTCATTCTTTTCCCATCTTTTCCCTTGTTTCCGTGACAGAATACAGTCGCTTTGAATCGAAGATACATGACTTACGAGAACAAATGATGAACAGCAGCATGAGCTCTGGGTCTGGGTCCCTCCGAACAAGTGAAAAGAGGTCCTTGTATGTCAGGTAAGTTGCCCTTCAGAGCACTAGCCCTTGTGCTGGACGAGGAGAGCTCCATGCCAACCCAGCCCTTCTTATTTAACTAGTGGGCTAGGGAGTATGTACTCCCAGTTCTAAAATAACGCTTCTCACTGTATGCTTAGGTTGTGTATTTTATGGTCAGTGTCTCCTCCCTTTTGTGAGCTGGCTTCTTCCTTTTAGCTCATGAATGACTCAGTATGGGAAAATTTCAGTTTGCTCTAATTGTAAAAGACTGTTGGGTGATTGTTGCTAGTCAGCATTCAAATATCAGTCAAATGTTCAAAGTACTTTGCTTGCAATCTGTGCTTTGAGGGGAAACTTGCCACCCCCCCATCCCCTTCCATGTATGCATAATAGACATCAGGATTTGTATCTGAGCATAGCAACTATCGCAGTGTTCTGGTACAGGATCTCTTTTAAGAGACCAAAGAACTGACAGGTTGCTGCATTCTGGATGTTTTATTGTGATTCCATTCCCCCCTCACCACCCGCTGCACTGGTCTGCTGTATCTATGAATCATGGGATGTATAGTGTATGTGCCCTAGGAAGAGGGAGGGGGTGGAGGGAACAGATAGGTAGCATGGAGTATATTGCTGCTGAAAGCTATTCCAAGATATTTCCAAGGTTGAGCTTCTCTGACCCTTGAGGCATAGCTTAATACTTTGTCAGGTCAAAGTACAAATCTCCTGGGGAGTTGGAGTGCCAAGTGAATACTGTGGACTCCTCATAGAATTAGGGATAGCTTCCTTCTTCCTGCTTTGGCTTCTTGGCAAAACTCCAAAATCTGGTGCCAAGTACATTGTATCCTCCAAGGTTAAAGCCCTTAGAGAAAGGTGGTGGGGATTACTCTCCTGAGCCAGAAGTTGCTACAGTATTGTGTTTAATGCTTAGGTGTGGGGTCATATCAAACTCTTGGGCTGAACTTTTTCTAGTGGCCTCTGATACCTGGCTGGGAAGTTGCACTTGCTAGTTGCTTGGCAACGTGACAACTGCTCTGTCCTTGGGGTGTGAGAGGACAATAGTGAAGGGATGTCAACGCTAATTGCAGTTTTTCTCATGGTGCTTGCTTTTCTTTTTCCCCAGTTGGTGGTCCCTGACTCTACCGCAGGGAGTGGAGCTAAAGGAGCCCATCTCTGAGCCTGAAGCCCACTAGAACCCTTCACAATCTTTCCTAATGTGAACCCTCAACTCCACCCCTTGTGTGTTGAAAGCATGTGCTATGCTTACCTCCCGCTGTGAAGGGAGAATGGTAGGAAGGCGGGACTAGTCACTGGTCATTTTTCCAATTCCCCGGAAAGGAAAGTTTTGTTTTCTGTCACTAAAGCCCTTGCTCCCAGTCTGCAGCCTGGATACTGGGGTGCTGATGGGTGAAATCAGAAATGCACTGTCGACCCCCCAAAATAGGTAATGGTTATATGACTTGGTCAGGATTGTTCCGTTCCGTGCTTCCAGCCCCCGCAGATGTGGCACTCCAGTGTGCGTGGGAAGCTGCTCTTTAGGCAAGACAGTTTCTTTGGAGAGCTTTATTTTTAGATTTCCCCTCTCCGCCTATCCTGTGTTAGAGTTCTCTCTGCCTGGGCAGGGGGAGTGGGACATTGGCTCCCGATATGGAGCACTCTTCCCTGGCTCAGGCAAGGGAATTAAAGGGATACACTTAGCTTAACTCTGGGGCGAGGGTGGAGACCATGACTGTGTCTAGTGAATCAGTTTATATAATCTGCCCGTAACCTTCTCTAGATAAATTATCTGTATCCTCTGAGGAAAGTAGATGTGGTTAGGAAAATAGTAACCATTTGTGATCACTAGATTTAATCAGGGGCACTTAATGTCTTATGGCTAAAGCATTGAGCTGAGGCCCTTTGCTAAGCTAACCCCTTTATCAGAACCTGGCTTACTCTCTTCCCTTTTGTTCCTGATTTTGGCCCTTCACTCTACACTTGGTTCCTTTTCTTCAGCATGTAAACATATTTAAGCTTCTTCCATTCTTAAAAAGAAGAAAATATCCCTTGATACCAATAGTCCCTTAAACTATTGTCTTGTATCCCTTTGCTTACTGCATTTGCCAAATTATTGGCCAGAAAACACTAGCTCCTCAAGATATTACTAAGTATTGTGTGAAAAATCAGTGGTTTAGTAAGTTGGGCAAATGCAGGCTTAAACAGAGGAAAATGGGGCTCTTTCCTGTGATTAATCTCCAGGAAGGACTGTACTAGGCAGTGTTTCCCCAAAAGATAGAGCGTGGGAGCCTTATTTGAGAAACCTATGTCAACATCCAGGTTGGGAAATGTTGGAGTACTTGCTGCTGCTTCAAATCACTTCTCTTTCACTAGCCCGAAAGGAAGCGTGCATCTGCTTTTCAGTGTGGTAGTGTGGCTCTGAACAGCTCTGGAAAGCTCCAGGGGAGCAGAAACCTGACTCTCTGTCAGGGATCAGTGGGTGACTTCTTAGTCTTCAAATTTAGTGACTGGTTCACTGGTTCTCTGACATTGTTCTGACCTCTTCACCACATTTGTTTCCATGAATTACCTGCTTTCTTCTTTAAAGGCTCTCTTTCTACCCTGCTTACCATTCCTTAATACCTTTCATTAGCTCTGCCCCCCTAAATGGCAATGTCATTTATTTTCACAGCTTCAAATCCTGCCGTATAAATGACATTCCTGATCTCTTTACTGAACTACAGACCTGCATATCTACTACTTGCTGGACATGTGCATAAATAAAACTGCCCTCTCAGCGCCTCAAACAAGCGGCATGTACTTTCCTTATCTAAGTTAATTGCCTCACCCTATCATGTGGAAAAGGGATTAGATTTGTTCTGTCACCCAAGGCAGATCTCTGCTCAACATAAGGAAGGAAGAGCTAATGATTAAAACTGTCTGAAAATGGAATGGACTGCTTCCGGATATAGTAAATTCGATCTTTAGTCACTCAAGGTGTTACAGAAGAGGCTGGGCAACCATTTGCCTGGGTATTGCAGAGGGGGTTGAAACTAAAGCAATAATCTGAACATGATCTGCTCAAAAGCTTTCACTAGTTCCTCAGTGTCTTCAAGATAAAGGGGAACAAACATTTAGGGAACACATTGTTCATCAAGACCTTTGTTATTCTCTTTAAATGGCTTTTAATATCCCTTTAATAATCCTACAGAGTAGATATTATGATTCCCATTTTGCAGATGAGAAAACTGAGACTCCAGTTAGATAGCTAAGAAGTTCAAAAACTGGAACTTGAACTTGGTTGCTCTGACTATAAAGTGTGGTTCTTTCAGTGTTTCCCCAACTTCCTCATAGGAATCAGCTGGAATGCTAGTAAAAATACAGATTCCCAGGCTCCTTTTCTAGTGCTTTGGATTCATCAGGTTTGGGAAAATACATGTGTGGTGTTTTTTTTTTTTTTTTTTTTTTTGACGGAGTCTCGCTCTGTCGCCCAGGCTGGAGTGGAGTGCAGTGGCGCGATATAGGCTCACTACAAGCTCCGCCTCCTGGGTTCACGCCATTCTGCCTCAGCCTCCCGAGTAGCTGGGACTACAGGCGCCTGCCACCACACCCGGCTGATTTTTTGTATTTTTAGTAGAGACAGGGTTTCATCGTGTTAGCCAGGATGGTCTTGATCTCCTGACCTCGTGATCCGCCCACCTCAGCCTCCCAAAGTGCTAGGATTACAGGCATGAGTCACCGCGCCCTGCCCAGGAAAATATATGTTTTTAACAAGCAATCAAGGCTGGGTGTGGCAGCTCACACCAGTAATCCCAGCACTTTGGGAGGCCAAGATAGGAGGATTGCTTGAGCCCAGGAGTTCGAGACCAGTCTGCACAACATAGTGAGCCCCACTCTTAAAAAGTAAAAAGTTTTTAATTAGCCAGGTGTGGTGGCATGTGTCTGTAGTCCCAGCTACTCAGGGGGCTAAGGCAGGAGGATCACTTGAGCCCAGGAGGTTGAGACTTCAGTAAGCTATGATCATGACACTGTATTCCGTCCTGGGTAACAGAGCAAGACCTTGTCTCTATAAAAAATTATAAAAAATAAACATCACACTTACTTTAGCTCCTACTATGTAGAAAGCAGTAAAACACAAGGCTAAGAATTTGGGCACAGTTGCAGGGTATATTCAAGGAAGCAGCGGGTATGGTCCCTGCCCTCTGGCAGTTCGCCATCTACCCAGAAAAGATTTAAGCGGCAGGTGGTTAAAGTGAGGGAACCCTTTTTCAGTTTGGGTGTCACCTCTGATTATTTTGCTGTCGCTTTCCCTATGACATGATTATTTTGCTTTCCTTCCCCTCCCCTGAGTATCTATCTCCCTTTGGTGTACATGTGTTTGCAAAGCTATTTTGAAGTAAATAACACTCTCTTAGAGCTGCAACAGAGGCTCTAACAGGTGAAACCCTAGGGAGCTGCAGCTGTACTAACCACAGGGGACGTGGGGTTTGTAGAGCAGGGAGCAGGAGGAAGAAGGAACGAGAGCAGTATTTGGAGAATGAAATTTGATTTTAAAGTCATCAGTGACTTATTTGGAAGGACCTTCCTCACACTTCACTATGCTAGAATTATCTCTTAAGTAGATGACCGGGATAAGCACAGCACCTCAGTCTGCCCAGCCTAGGGCTTTTGCTCTGCTGGAGGATTTGCCTTGCCCACTGGAAGAGTCCACAGAAATAAACCTCTCTTGAACTTCTTGCTTAGGGTTGGGATGGGTAGGTGTTTAACTCAGACCATTCTGATGTGAAGGCAGTACAAAGACACTGAGTAAGTTAGAGTTCCAGGGATGACCTTGTTCTATACTTGTATTTAATTTAATTTAATTTAATTTAATTTATTGAATGAGTAAAGCAAAGACCCTTGTGCTCCAAAGGTTGCCAAGAGGCTCAAGAGTACAGTTGTAGAAATAGCTTTTGAAAGTCCGTTCGGGCTAGCCTGGCTGCATTCTTTGCAGCCATAGGATGGCATTCAGGTAGTTTGGGAGTCCTGGCCTCCTGACTGGCCATCTGCCATCTCAGTCGTCTTAGGAAGGAAATCATGTTAGAGCATCTGTAGTCTTGATTCAAGAAACAATGTCAGACATATTGGCTTGTTCATTAAAGAAGGCTGGAGAATGCTCATTCCTGTCAACAAGCAGACATTAATTGTGCAACTACTCTGCTTTGCCCAGGGTGGTGCTTGGTGGAGCCTGACTTGGTCTTGCTTGTTAATGAGTTTCAATAGTGTATTAAGATGCCAATGGGGAAATATTGGCAGGCTTCACTAGCTGATAGAATTTGGGGGTGGGGATAATATGTATTTTAAAAAGCAACAATAATGTATGTAAGTGTTCAGGGCTACCAGAGGGTGGGGCAGAGCTTCCTGCATCAGTGATTTCTAGAACTACCTATTCCCAAACACTAGTCCTGGGCTTGCACTCATAATCCCTCAGCTCATCCTATCATCTGCAAGTGCTGTGAGCCCCAAACAGTCGCTCATTGCGGGCTAATTGGTCCTTGAATGCCTCTCCAACATCATAATTGCCATAAGGCCTGACACTTTGAGACAGACAAAGGAGGAAGGTGCTCTTAACCTGCTCTCCATGCACCTTTCTTCAAGATACACCAGGGAGGCCCGATCACTCCTTTTGTGTTGACCCACACTGTGCCTGTCTGAGTGCTCGGGTTTGTGCTGTTAGGCTGCTCTTCAGAGGCTGCTGGAAATTTAATTCTTACTAAGGTCAAGGGCTGATGAGTGACTGTTGCTTTATAACTTTCTGTGCATGCTTTATACAGACTGGGCAAGGGATGGGCTGCTTAGTTGTCAAATAATGTGTGCCCTTTATCCAGTACTTTCTGGCCAAAGGAATAAAGTGATATCTTAGGCCCCAGTTACTATGGGAGGGAACACTCTCAGGGTTAGAAACTAGGGAGTAACTGGGAGGGTCTTCTGTGGACACTCCATCCCCTGTAGCTAGGTCTCACCCACCATTCACAAGGATTCAGAATCCCACATGAAGCATAAGACATGGTCTCAGTTTTCAAAGGGCTTCCACTTTGGCGGTGTAATATGAAACATTAAAAAAACCTTGCAAGAATTAAATAGCAATAAGTAGAAAATATAAAGAAAGGTTGCTGCCAAATGTGGTAGCAAATACAGTATGGATTTAGAAGAATGAAATTTGGAGTGGGCAGGATCACAAAGCTGGGAGAGACTTAGGCTGGGCCTCAGAGGAGTTGCTGAGCTGGGTGAGGGGACTGACGGAGCATCTCAGGCTATAGACAGATGGCTCGAGCCACAGGTAGAGAGGTGGGCACAATACTAGGTTATTTTAGCAGAAGCAACCCCTTGCCTTTGAGGCTATAGCGCTAAAATGCTCATTTGCTTTGCATCGAGAAACCTGCTTGACCAGTTTCCTTCTTAGTTACCATTTGCTTTGCGTTCCGGTTCATTAAGACATCACGGTGGCTGTGCCAAGTGCTTATAATTTCTCTGGATCTTTCCAACCCAAATCTCACAATTTAGGATCTCAACTGCAAGGACTTTTGCCTGATAATCTGTTTACTTTGAGCTGGTTATATTCTTGCTTTTCCATCCAGCAGAGAGGACCCAGCTGAAAGGAAGACTGGACAAAGTCCTCTAGAGCACGTACATTATCCCTGTGGGTGGGTGCATGCATCCCTTCGAGGATATTTTTAAAGGTCACCTCTTAAACAACATTGTCTTTCAAGACCTTTGGGAACACTTTCTCCTTAGGGAGACAAGCAGCAGCCTTGAGAGCTAGAGTGCTGAAGATGAGCTCAAGAACTCAAACCTGCACATCCCCTGGAAGTTGCATCTGCTCTTCATGGTGGTATGACAGCTCTGGAAAGCTGTTTTGTAGCCTACCATCACTTTGTTTTTACATGTCACATTTTCCCTGGGCTACACTCTTTCCCTTGCTCTTAAAGAATGTAATATTTTTCTGGCCTGGCGTTGATGTTTGAAAAGTTCCAGGAATACCCAGGCTCTGGCTCTCCCTGGCTTCGTAGAGATATGTGGCCATAACTAAGAAGTAACATATTCAGGGGCAGATCATCTTTCTTGTACATCAAGCACTGTGACTTCAGGCTGGGGATGGTAATATATTTCCATGAATTTTATTCTCTCATGGCACAGTGTTTTCCTCTGATGTGACCAGTCCCTAACTTGGAGGCCTCAATGAAATTATTTTTATCTTAAGTACAGAAGGAATATGAGTTTTTGAGACTTCCTTCTACTCTCCCAACACATTATCTTGTCAGATAAGCTGAAACACACACAGATATGCATGCATGTGCGCATGTGCACACACACAAGCACACACATAATGAGACCAGGGTGGCAGTTGGTTAATTGCGGCCTTTCTTTAGGTATTAAGAGACAAATACCTTTTGCTTTTTTTTTTTTTTTTTTTCATGCTCACTCTAATTTTGAGTCAGGTTGAAATGGTTGGTTGCTATGTCATGTGGGCCTTGCATGTGTAGGACTTCCGTCCTGGGACAGTGGTTCAGCCTGATTTGAAAGGGGAGTATCTGCCTTGACTTTCTCTAGTGCCTGCCCTAAGGATAAAAGGAGGAAGAGGAGAATATATCAGTGTTGTGGAAAAAGGTATTCCTTCTTCCTCTCATCAAACCTACCATGAGCCATTTATTTGTGAGAGGTGCCAGTCCCTGTCACTTCATTAGGATTCCAGGGTGTTCCTAAGACAGACTGTCACTGCTAGATGGCCACAGTTTAGCTGCTTCTTAAAGATCTTAGGAAAGCAGTCAATATTTTTAAAAAAATTATTAAGGTCTAATTTACATACTTTTTTTGGTTACACGAAATATATCTCATGGGAGAAGTTGTTTGACTTTAGTACGCTGGCCTACTCTCTTTTACTGGTTTTATTTCCACATGAAAGTTTAGCCGGATAATGGGATAAGAAAGCTGAGGTAATGAAGTTGGTCCCATAAAGCCTACTAAATGAATGTCAAACTCCTTAGCTGGACAGTGCAGGCTGTCCACAGTCAGGCCCCAACCTGCCATTCTCTGAGGCCCAGCCAGACTTGGATGCACGGCTGATCCCTGAAAATAACCCTGTGCTTCTTGCCTCCAGACCTTTGCTTACACTGTTCTCTTTAGCTGGAAGGACCTCTCCCCAGCTCTACCTTTTGAAATCCTAAATCTTCATTGAGAACCAATTCAAAAAGCAGTATCTCCTTGTAGCTTCCCCAAACTAGATGTGATCTGTACTCCCTGTGAATCCTTCTAGGCCTTGGTTTGTCCTCCTTTTGGGCTTCTTGCTACAACATCCTTAGTATACTACACCCTCTGTCACCTAGTAAGCTCCACAAGACAATAAACTTTGTTCTTGTATCTCCCATGTATCTAACACATACTCCGTATAAAGAAGACTAAGTAGTTTTTCTTTGAGACAGAGTTTTGCTCTTGTCGCCCAGGCTGGAGTGCAATGGCGCGATCTCGGTTTACCGCAACCTCTGCCTCCTGGGTTCAAGCGATTCTCCTGCCTCAGCCTCCCGAGTAGCTGGGATTACAGGCATGCACCACCATACCCAGCTAATTTGTATTTTTTAGTAGAGACAGGGTTTCTCCATGTTGATCAGGCTGGTCTCGAACTCCCAACCTCAGGTGATCCGCCCGCCTCAGCCTCCCAAAGTGCTAAGATTACAGGTGTGAACCACCGCACCCAACCAGACTAAGTATTTAAATAGTGGAAGAATGGTATTTTTCCACATGTAGCTGAGTGAAGAATTAGCTTTTTTTTCTTTTTCTGAGATGGAGTCTCGCTCTGTCACCAGGCTGGAGTGCAGTGGTGTGATCTCGGCTCACTGCACCCTCTGCCTCCTGGGTTCAAGCGATTCTCCTGCCTCAGCCTCCCGAGTAACTGGGACTACAGGCATGCACCACCACGCCCAGCTAATTTTTGTATTTGTAACAGAGATGGGGTTTCACCATGTTGACCAGGATGGTCTCCATCTCCTGACCTTGTGATCCGCCCGCCTCAGTCTCCCAAAGTGCTGGGATTACAGATGTGAGCCACTGCACCCGGCCGATAATTAGCTTTTTTTGAAAAAGCACATGTGACTGTGACTTAGGCCTTATGAAATTTTCTGAGATAGAAGAGCCCTGGTCTGAGAGTCACCCAGTGTGCAGTTCTAGATGAGGCTGTGTGCATATCTGGGCCTGGCTTTCATTGTCTTTGAGGAAATTTTCTAGCTTAGTCAAACAAAATTTAAGCAGGAAAAAGAGGCAAAGTAGATTTAGAGAAAATCCACATCATGGGTTTGGAAAACAAATAAAAGTTATGACAAAGGAAGGGATTGTTGAGGGAATTGGGAATGATTAGCCTGGTAGAGAAGATCTAGGAAAGACTCAGACTCATTAAATACTAGAGCTGGAAAGAAACTTAGAGAGTATCTAAGGGATTTCCTTTATCAGATAGAAAGTTGGACAAAATGACCTCTGAGGCTTTAGCGGTCTGCAAAATTCTTTTTCTATTTGCAGTTCTGATTGATAGAAAAGGAAATTCTTGTTCAATTTTTTTGCATTCTCAACTGTGAATAATAGTCTAGTTCAGAATCTCAAACCTCAGATACTACATTTCTATGTCTTTTACAAAACCATAGCTTAAAAAAGCATTGTCCATCCTGTTCATATTTCTTGTCCATTCAGTATTCATAAATTCATCAAACAAAATCCAGATAGACTTGGGTACCATTTTTTATTGGGAAATTAGAGTTAGACAACTTCCTTTTTTGCCTTGTTTGCCAGGGAACTTAGAACCAAACGTGTTCCTCATCTGAAGTAAATGACTCAAACCAGTGCTTGATATATCTGCTTCCCCACTTTTTTTTTAATTGGCTTAATGTTTTTTGAAAATTGTGAAAGGAACACATGCTGTGGTTAAAAACATAAGCCCGAATAGTACAATTCCCAATGTGCAGAGTTAACTACTGGCAAAATCTTTTTGACTTTGATCTGTGTTTATATTGTTTTTACTTAGCTTGTGCTGTATGTGTTTTAATTTTTTTTTGTTGTTTTATTTTGTTTTGTTTTGTTTTCGAGATGGAGTCTCAGTCTGTCACCCAGGCTGGAGTACAATGGCACAATCTTGGCTCATTGCAACCTCTGCCGCCTGGGCTCAAGCGATTCTCCTGCCTCAGCCTCCCAAGTGGCTGGGATTACAGGCGCCCACCACCCCGCCCAGATAATTTTTATATTTTTAGTAGAGACGGGGTTTTGCTATGTTGGCCAGGCAGGTCTCGAACTCCTGACCTCAAATGATCTGCCCGCCTCGGCCTCCCAAAGTGCTGGGATTACAGGCGTGAGCCACCCCACCCAGCCGGAAGTAAACTGTTACATCAATTTTAGTTGAAGCTCAGATATTTAAAAAATTACAAACAGTTGGATTCCCGGCATCTAGAAAACATGTTTACGTCAACTCTACTTTATACACTTCAGCTTGTTACTGCTGTTGCCAAAGGTCAAGCATGGTTCTGGGAAGTGCTAAAATGTATCTTGTGTTTTAAACTTACAACCAGTAAACTCCGCCCTCTAATCTTCTACAAATTCATCCTAACTCCCCTAATTCATTTTATTTTATTTATTTATTATTTATTTTTTAGACAGAGTCTCGCTCTGTCACCCAGGCTGGAGTGCAGTGGCGCAATCTCGGCTCACTGCAACCTCTGCCTCCCAGGTTGAAGCAATTCTCCTGCCTCAGCCTCCCGAGTAGCTGAAATTACAGGTGCCCGCTACCATGCCCGGCCAATTTTTGTATTTTTAGCAGAGACGGGGTTTTGCCATGTTGGCCAGGCTGGTCTCGAACTCCTGACCTCAAGTGATCTGCCTGCCTCAGCCTCCCAAATTGTTAGGATTACAGACGTGAGCCACCGCGCCCGGCCTCCTAAATTCATTTTAACATCTTCCTTCCTTCTCTCACCAAACTAATTTGTGCTTAATTCAAGTTCTGTTCTTTTCCTTACTATATTTGTTCTAATCTTTGAAACCCATAATGACATCCAGTGTTTCTCATTGTCACTGAGAATGAGGTTGCTTCATGATGCTCTTCTTAGTAGGAGTGGCTGACAGAATGTCTTCCTTGCTTTAGGAAATGCAGGACTCAGGCAGTGAGAATGCATTCAGTTTTGATTCTGTCACACATAGCCCGGAATGCACCTCTCGGACAGCACCTCCTTGTCTGCTGCCTCTGCCATTCTCCTTACTGCTTTGAGTGTGTAAATTGAGGGGA
Source organism: Homo sapiens (assembly GCF_000001405.40). Lineage (NCBI taxonomy): Eukaryota > Metazoa > Chordata > Mammalia > Primates > Hominidae > Homo > Homo sapiens. The sequence goes on from NC_000023.11 coordinate 70,490,510, forward strand.
AAAAAGGGCTTTTTGTTAGAGTTTGGGTATTTTCATTTTCAAATCATCTGACGCTGATTTTTAAGAACTCTGTTTCAAGAGCTGTAAGCAGTAGGTGAGTATTTCACTCTTCATGGTTTTACTACATCCTATCTCATTTGGGCTTGCATATGGTAAGATAGTGTGTTTTACTTGCAGCTTCCAACTGAGCCAAAGGCCACAGTATTGCAGGTAGAAGTCAAAGTCTTGGAACTAGATTTTGGGCTGTGTGTGCAAAGGTGTGAAAACACCTTATTAACAGAGAATATGAAGAAGACAGCCTAGATTGCAGGTAGAAAAATACAAACTTCTCACTGAAATCACCCATTTGTGGTGACTCCATATGAAGACAGGTTCCACTGGATGTGAAAAGTAGAAACTTTTTTTTTGGCTTTTTTTTTTTGAGACAGAGTCTTGCTCTGTCGCTTAGGCTGGGGTGCAGTGTCGTAATCTTGGCTCACTGTAACCTCCACCTCTCAAGTTCAAGTGATTCTCCTGCCTCAGCCTCCCGAGTAGCTGGGACTGCAGGCATGCAACATCACACCCAGCTAATTTTTGTAGTTTTAGTAGAGATGGGGTTTCACCATATTGGCCAGGCTGCTCTTGAACTCCTGACCTCAGGTGATCCACCCGCCTCAGCCTCCCAAAGTGCTGGGATTACAGGCGTGAGCCTCTGCGCCCGACCTCCTAAGGCTCTTTTGATGTGTCACTCCTCTCAGATTTCCAGGGGCCACTAGATCTTGTCTATTCAAGGGCTTCCAAAATTTGCTTCAGACCTTTATTTCCAATACCATTTCCTAGGACTTCTAGCATCAGCCAAGCTGGTGTCCTTTTCCATAAGCCTGGATTGTATAGCTCCCTCCCCACCTTCTCCCACCTTCCCTTTTATTTCTTTACTCTGCATCATTTATAGCATGTCACAACAGCATGTCTTGTCAGAAGACCTGGGTTTTGTCCCAGGTTGGTTAGATGTATGACCTAGGTCAAACTATTTTTTCCTCCCTGAACCTCTGTTTCCCCATATGTAAGAGAAAGAGACCGCACTAGGTGACTTCTATGGTCCCATTGGTCTTTTCAACCCTACCATTCTGTGCTTTTTCTTTGGCTGCCCGAGGACATAGGGCCCTTTCTTTAGTGCTTCAGGAGTGTTTACCAGTCATTGTTTGGGATTGTAGTTAACATTTTTTGTCCTCTCTTTAGCTACTTTTTGAAGATATGTTTGTGAACTGAGAAAGCGCCCTGCTAGAGCTAGTTTCCTAGGATGTGGGTGAGGGAGAGGGCTATTGAGCGAGTTCTACTTTGGACTTTTATCTTGCATCCAGAAGCCAAGAGGAGATGGGGTTTGTAAAATATTTTCTCTTATGCTTCTTATTGGGAGAATGAGATGTTTCTTTGAAAGCGGGTGCATATTTACCACTTTGGCTCAGAAAGAAGGATGTGGTCTCCTGGAGACATCCTTCTAGTATACTGTGAGGCTGCTATGTCTGTGCTGTTTGGGTTGGCCTTCCATCTTTTCAAGGTGCCAGTGTCTTGGCATTTAGGGTTGGATGATCACTTCATCTTTCACTGTGCCTTTCAGGGCCCTGTTTGATTATGATCGGACTCGGGACAGCTGCCTGCCAAGCCAGGGGCTCAGCTTCTCTTATGGTGACATTCTGCATGTCATTAATGCCTCTGATGATGAGTGGTGGCAGGCAAGGCTGGTGACCCCACACGGAGAAAGTGAGCAGATCGGTGTGATCCCCAGTAAGAAGAGGTGAGTCGTCATGATCATGAGCAAGGCCTTTCCTGCCCTCTTGCTGGTATTTCTTTCTTGTTTTCCTATTAGAAGTTGCTTGAGAGCAACGTTTGTGCCTTGATTCCTTTTTGGTAGAGTCGGTACTCAACATGGTTTTTACTCAGTGAGCCAAAAAAATGGCTGCTGTGCCTGCTGCAACCCACTGCTGAGACCATTTACTGGCAGTAACAGGACTTCTTTCTGATTCCAAAACAGGGTGGAAAAGAAAGAAAGAGCTCGATTGAAAACTGTGAAGTTCCATGCCAGGACGGGGATGATTGAGTCTAACAGGGTAAGTGGGGATCCCCAAGGAAATCAGCCAGTAGGTAAAGAGGGTTGAGAAGCCTGGAGTTTAGTCTGATGTGTAGGAGAACTGGGGAACACAAAAGAAAATCTCTTTTTCAGGGGGCTGGCTCTGTCCTATCAGAACATTGACTGCTTTTCAGAAAGCAGAGAGGGAGCTCTTAAAGTTCACAGCCAGTCTGTGCTCCTTTCCCCTGGGTACCGGCTCTTGAAGATGTGTTAGAGTTGGACTGTCTGGAAGGCTGACTTGCTTGGGGAAAATGAAACCACTCGTGGGTGTCTCCCTGGCTATAGATCCTGTCAGAGCATCCGGCCAAGAAGCCCAGCTCCAGAGCTCCCACCTCCCTTCAGACCACCTGAGGCAGGCGGGTTCTCCATTCACCCCTTTTTTTCTATGAGCTTCACAGGCCAAAGAACTTCTGGAGCAGTAGAGGGAAGAGAGACGTGGAGTAGATGTGTATATCAGTGGTACCTTAGGGCATGTGTCCAGGAGGCTACAGTGACCTTTGTTCTTTAGGAAGTACCAGTGAGTGTTATGAGTGTCTGGATTATGTAGAAACTTCTAACATCCCTACAACATTTTCTTGTAAACATAATTTTCCTCTTACATCAACTTTCATTTAATCTCATAGACTCCATTTGTGAGAGATGGTCTTTTATTTAGCTCACCGTTGTCTCCATTTTAGTTTTTCTTGCATGCTTTAAAATCCATTGTTCTGTTTTTTTTTTTCTTCTGTCCTTCCCCTCCATCTTCATGTTCTTTCACAGTCGATCAAAACGAAACGTAAAAAGAGTTTCCGCCTCTCTCGAAAGTTTCCATTTTACAAGAGCAAAGAAAACATGGCCCAGGAGAGCAGCATACAGGAACGTAAGTAGCAGCAGAGTCCAGAGAGCAGGCCATCTGCAGCCCCATCCTCTCATCCTCAGTTGCCCTTCCCTCGAGAGAAGCCTGGGCAGGGCCACGTGTGGCCTCGTGCCTGCCTGTGTGCGTGTGCACCTGCTTATCTACAGAGTCAGGGCAGAAACTGGTCTGCCTAAGGAGATGTTGGGTTTTATTTGTCCTGCTCCTCAGTTAGAATGAATGTTGGAGGCACTGAGGTGGGACTGGTCCCAGGGTCAGCCTCCAGGAAGTGCCTGGCACTAGCAGTGGAAGTGCCAGACAGAGCTCTGCTGTGGTGGTGAGGAACGGTTTTTTAGCTAGACTGTCAGGGTCAGGAAAATGGTTTTTCAAGAGAACAAGGTCTAGGGACTCAGTGTTGCTCTCCTGGTTTCTTCCTCTTGTGTTTTCTTTCCCTTAACTTCACTCATGTATGTCAAGAGAAGAGCCTTTTCTTCCCAGGATCCCTGGAGTTGGGGCTACTTCTGGAATCCCATGCACGTGCATAAGCATACAGGATATCCACACAACTCTCAGCAGACTCGCTGTCATCCTAGAGTGCCTACAGAGCCAGTTTTCCCAGGAGAATCCTTCCTGCTTAAATGAGTTGACATGGAAGGAGTGTTGCTCCACATTGTTCAAATAAAGATCTATTGAGAAACACAAAGTTGGTTCGGTAGGAAGAGCAGTCACACTGAGCTAAATTCAACGGAAGAAGAAATTTAATCCTGATAAATCTTCTTGCTCTACCGTGTGCCTCAGCAATTAACTGCTCCAACCTTAACCTTAAACACCAGGTCTGGCTTGAAAAATGTCTTCTCACTTGTCTCATCATGAACAGTAAACATCTCTCATTTACCAGTGACTCCTCTGTCTTACATGGAGGGATCTTGGGGTCTTGGTCTATTGGGGCTGGCAGGAGACTGACTGGTTCTGATAGGAAATGTCCTTCTGTCAGGCCAGCTTGGTCCACAGTCATGGTATGTGTAAGTCATTGCTATCTGGGGTGGTACCTGGTGGACAGAAGGGTGCCCTCATCTAGATGGCAGCCACGGCTCATCATCCTGGAGTAGTTCAATGAGAAGCCATAGACGGGGTGGCTCTGCTCATGAGCAGTTAGGAGACAGTCTGAGTCAGAGGCCTGAGGTGATGTCACCATAGTTTCATCAGATGAGTCCCAGAGTCCCTCCATGCCAAGCCCAGCCTGGGGAGGTGTTCATTGCTCAGTGGTCCCGCCTGGTGGGCGAGGGGGTATCTACTGGATGACAGAGTTGAAGGTGCCTAGTGCTTCTCCAGAAGCTGAGCTCATCCCCCAAGATCTGTCCAGCTCAGGGCAGCTTTGGAGGCCACACTCTACACCATGCGAAACTTTTCCTGAAGGGTTTGAACAGAGTGAATCAGTATTGGGCAAAGGCTTCTTGAGGTGATGGCAATTCTATCTGCCTACCTGGCACACGCGGACATTTGCTCTTTCACGCACTGCAGAGGGAAATGGTGATTTCAGGGGCAAACAGAGACCTGGGCTCCACAACCAAAATTTAGTCAAAGCAGGTGCTCTAAGCCTTGGAGTGTCACCTGTCCTGTCCCATTGGCCTACAGCTGTAGACACCTCAGAAAGCTAGTCTACTCCAAGGCCCTCTGGCAATGAATTGGGCAGCATGAAGTCTTGATGTCTTATCTGCCCTGGGATGTTCTTTCTGTGGCAAAGTTCCTGGCCTCACTATAGTGCTAGGTCTTCATGGTGTTTCATAATTCTGTCACTAGTGCTCACCTACCTCTGTATTCTTCCTCCCCCCTTGTCTTTTTCTCTATTTTTTCTCTTCTCCCCAAATCTCTCCCTCTCTTCCATTCCCTCCCATCCCTTCCCCTTCCCCCCTCTTCTCCCCGTCGTCCTCTCTCCGCCCTTGCTGTCTGTGAAATCAGGACTTCCCGGGGTTAAGTGACGATTATTATGGAGCAAAGAACCTGAGTAAGTCCAACTTACACACCGTTCACTGTACTTGTGGCATGAATGGAGATAGTGGGGGTGGGGCTATTGGGGACATGGGTGAGGGTGAAGGGTGAGGGGAGGGCAGTGTTTGTGAGCACTCTGACATCACAGCAGGAAGAAGTGCATGTGGCTCCATATGTTACATGTTTGCTATGGATCCCTAGTACCCAAATAAGTCCATATCATTCATGCCTTTGTTTACCTTTTGCTACTCAAAGTGGGAGGGCGTGAGCATGGCATCCCACCTTAGAAGTGAAGTAAGCTTGAAATGTTTCTCCAAGGTAACCACTCAGCTAATCTCTAGCCTATTGTCGAAGGGAGGGGTGCCTGCTGGTTGGATTCTTCTCCCAGTGATACCACGCTAAAGAATTGGGTGTAGGAATTGCAGCTGTTAACAGTCCTCTAACTAGGGGCAAGGGTACTGTGACCCCTTTTTCCCAACCTGCATCTGAGATGTCCCAGCAGATCCCGGGCCTCAGCAAACAGCCACTGTTTGGCTTCCCACAGAGCACCTGTAAGGGGTTGAGCTGGTCTGCTAGGGGCCTCAGCATCATTTATGGACCATATATAGTTAGTGCTTTATCTCAGGAAAACTCCAACCTCATTTTCCTTTCTGGAAAAGAATCCTGGAGTGGAAAATGAAAAAGACCTAGATGATGAGGCCTTAGTGGCCATCCTGCTGCGTGCAAGGGTGCACAGACACCAAATGGGTTCTATCAGCATATACTCTCCTTCAATAAATAATACAGACCAAAGGCAAAGGAGTTGCCCATGGGGATTGTTCAGGAACTAGCCATGTGTGGCAACTCAGCCAGTCCTTTCTGGGTGGGGGGGCCACAGCATATCATGGTCTGGAACAGTGTGGTCTTGGCTGAAATGAGCAGCATCTCTCTCCATAGTTTGGTGTGTCCATGTCTCATCTTCATTCGCGTGTCATCTTGGATGGGCGGGCTTTGTTTGTGCCTCCTACGAGCGCTGCTCCTCCGCCTGAGCTTTCTTTTCCCTCACCACTAAGAGATGGGCAGATCCCAGCTGTGTGAGACAGGAGGGCTGCCTTGTCCTCAAGGTGTTTTTGTTGGTTTTGTTGTCTGTGTTTTGACATATGTGTCTGGTGGTGGATGGAGATGCTTCCCCTCTCACCACTGAAGCCAGGCTCTCCTGCTTTGGAGTGGTGGCAGGAAGGCTGGGGAGCCCACCGAATGGTCAGAGCAGCGCTCCCTGGTGTCTGCTTAACCCATCCAGCGTTTGGCCTCTTAGTTGTGGAGTGCCACATGGTTCTGTACTTCAGGGGCTCTGTTGGGCGGGGGACACCCATGAGCAGACTGGTCCCTGGACTTCTCTTTGCTCCTGTCACTGTCTTTTCTTTCCTGTTGTTAGCCTTGGGAGATGCATTTTGAAATACGATTTGGAAACCATCCAGGTCAATTTGATTCAGATGAAGAGGATGCTGCTGAAGGAAGTATGGCTTGTAGTACATAGGGAGGGACTTGGCAGACCAAGAGGGCTCTGGGGACAAGTACGAGAGGGCCAGGGGCTCAGGATTGGAGCTGTGCCTCCCAGTTGGTAGCCTGGATGTGGCAGGCCTCTGGTGGCCTGACTCAGTTGGCAGCTCAGTGTCTCGCTCCTGGAGCATTTGAGTTTTGTGCTGCATGTGACCTCTCAGTGGTGTGTTCTGAATTGGAGTCTCTTTCTTGTTGGCTTGCAGAGGGAGTGACATCCAACACCAGTGACAGCGAAAGCAGTTCCAGTAAGTGTGTGTCATTCCTTCCATGTCGTGTAGCTCCACTGTGTATCCCAGCCATCCTCATTCCAGTGTTGCACAGCTGCCATTGCTGCTCAGAGGCTGGTGCTTCTTTTAGCCATGTACACTTTGAGATCCTAGAAATGCTGTGGCCAGTTCATTCTCCTTATGGGTTGGGGTTCACCCCATGGATTAAAGGAGAGTATAAGCCCTATAGTGCTGGCCGGGACCTGACTTAAAAGCATCCCTGGCACTGGGAAGGGTAAACTGCCAAAGAGTAAATCCCTGCCATGGGTACTGTGGGCCATAGGTGCTGCCAGGTTTATAGATTTGCTCAGAGACCAAAAGAAAAATGGCTCCTCTAGGACACTGCCCTAAATCTGCCTTTCCAGGTCATTAGGACCTCTTTGCCTTTGGGGCCAGTTAAAGGATGAGGTAATTGCCAAGTTCTCCTTGGGAGATCCTGTGACCAGACCAGAGAAACCGTAATTCAAACCTCATGAACTTTGGGAGCACTGGTTTTTCAGGAGCTATGGTGGCTAGAAGCCTTGTAAAATCTGCCCAGGAATATTAGGCTCAGAAGAAGCCTTTTAGCAAGCATTGTGTGCCTTGATGCAAATATCACTGTTTTCCCTGGGACTGCCATCAGCCACTTTGGGACCTCCAGGCACCCAGCACCGAGTGGCTTGACGACTGTTTTAGGAAAACCTCAACATTGCTAGGCTCGACATGGGGCTCCACCAGGAAGAGACAGCAGGTTCAGCATTGCTCTTAAAGGGCACTGGGGACCTTAGCAGAGCCATGTGCCACTTTTCTGGATGCTGCTTCCAATGCAGGAGGTGGGTTGGTAGACCTTTAAAAGGGCAAAGTTAGGCTGCTTGGGGACCTGGGTGTGTGCCCTGACTCCCCTGCATGTTGATGAAGGGGACTCGGGCAAGCATCTCAACCAGTCAAAGTGTCCCTGTCATTCTTACCAGAGCAAGGGGGCTACTGCACACAGCTGACTTGTTACCTACAAGAAGAGTTCCTCACAAATTGGGGTGGTTTGGGGTGGAGGCTTCATGGCTTCTGGGCCTTGGCCCTTTGCCCAGTGATATTTCACTGAACAAGAGAACTGCTGACTCCTGTCTCAGAGCCAGTGAAGGGTTTCATGTGCTTTCTCACCAGCAGAAAACAGAAAGGATCACAGGTGGTGGCAAGGACCACCTGATAAGGCTGTGTCCTGGCAGGGGAGGGGTACGGGGAGTACTGTACAGAAGGAGGCAGATCATATGGTGCTAACCTATCTCTCTTTTTTGTTGCAGAAGGACAAGAGGATGCTATTTTGTCATATGAGCCAGTGACACGGCAAGAAAGTAAGCCTCCTCTGAGAGCCTTGTCTTCGTGCTGGTCTCCTGGTCGTGGGGCTCAATACAGTGGGTGGCTGTGGCAGCAGAGGGAGGGACCTGGAGGAGGAGGAAGGCTTGACTCATGGCACATCCAGCCCCTGGGCTCCTTCTTCTCTATGCTTCTTCCTAGTGTCATAGGGAAGGGGGTGCATCCAGTGTGCACTTCTCTCTGTGCCTTTGCCTGCTGCCAGGACACCTTCCAAAGGAGGGGGCAAATTTACAAGGAAAGTCTATTTCAGTAGATGTAGCCACTGCTAAAAGAGAGGTCCAGGTTCTTCCCTTCAGTGGCTGCTCTGCAAAAACCTTGCTCAGTTACTGGTGTCAGTGCAGAGATTTTTTCTGACTCTGTTAGAAGGGGAGCAGCTTCCGGTTTCAGACTTGCCTTGAACTTAGATATTCTCAAATTAAAGGCTCTTTGATGTCTTTCTGTTTAAAAGCCAGACAATGTCTGAGGATGCTTTACCCTGTCTGAGTCTCTGCTCCAGAGCCTCTGTGTTCTAGCCAGACTCAGGGGTAGGACAGGCTGTCTGGTGGGGGCCTCTGTTCACTGTCTCGATGCTCTCCCTCTCTAGTTCACTATGCAAGGCCTGTGATCATCCTGGGCCCAATGAAGGACCGAGTCAATGATGACCTGATCTCCGAATTTCCACATAAATTTGGATCCTGTGTGCCACGTAAGAGTCCAGGAAGGCCCAGAGGAGTGAGGCTTGGTGCCCTGGGAATTGTTGCTCTAATGTTTTATGGAAAAGGTCTGGGATCAGATTCTAGGGCTATTTGGGGACAGGGTACATTTGACACGCTGGAAAACAGTAGGTGGCAATATATTCCCCAAAAGCTGATGGGGTTGGAGAGATTAAGCCATCAGGCTTGGCTGCTCACTCTTGAGGGGAAGTTTCAGTGGTGATGGTTGAGAATGATTGGACAAATACGGAGGCCCAGCCAAAGTGGTGTTGATGTGACTCCATTAACAGTTTGTTAGGTTCACTGTCTCCTCTACCAAGTTTGGCACCCTCTGCCATGCTTTAGCTCAGGAAACCCCACCTTTCTAGTCCAGTTTAAGCTAAAGCAAATAGCCCCCTGTGTGAGACCTGGAGATTGGAAGAGAAGTAGGCCAGACAAACCGCTTCCCAACTGCTTGTTTTCTCCCACTTACTTGAAAAAAAAAATGGAGTGGCCCAGTGACCCACCCAGATGAGAATGGACCAGTCAGTATTTTTTGGTTTGGGGCGGATCACTGCCCCTGGGCCACAAAGCATTTCCTTTCTTCCTTCAGATACTACCCGGCCTCGACGTGATAATGAGGTGGATGGACAAGACTACCACTTTGTGGTGTCCCGAGAACAAATGGAGAAAGATATTCAGGACAACAAGTTCATCGAGGCGGGCCAATTTAATGATAACCTCTATGGGACCAGCATCCAGTCAGTGCGGGCAGTTGCAGAGAGGGTAAGTGTACAGGAGATGGCCTCAAAGGGGAGGCCAATGCTTATGCCAAGGTTCCACTTGGATCCTTATCCTTCCAACACAGGAGCTGCCCAACAGTGCTGCTGACCAAAGCCATAGCACATCTGCATACTCCCAGCGCCTTGACGAAGCTATCTGTCTCCTTCATACAACTCACCCCAGAGCATTACCCAACAGGGAATAGGGGGCCCTGGACAGATGTGGCCTTTTCTGGGTAATAGGAGCAAAAAGTAGGGCCTGTCTACTTCAGAGATCGAATTTCTTAGGCCACTTTGGGTGGCCCTCGTGCCCCTCCCCTCACCCCCACCCCCGGCCAAGGTGGATGTTTAGAATGTCACTGGATTTCTGCTTGGGACTTGGTGAATAGGGAGTGGCTGGGCTGTTACAATCTCTGCTTTTTCAGGGCAAGCACTGCATCTTAGATGTTTCCGGCAATGCTATCAAGAGACTGCAGCAAGCACAACTTTACCCCATTGCCATTTTCATCAAGCCCAAGTCCATTGAAGCCCTTATGTAAGTGTTGAACTGAGAACTCAGACACACCAAGCTAAGATCGGGTCTGGAAGGGAAATGGAGAAGAAAGTGATTTGCTGGGCAGAAACTTGAAAGAAACTCTGTGCCCCAGCTCTGGTCACTGGGCGCTCCTGTTTTGAGGGCTTGTGCATATGTTCATGGTTGGACTTTTGAACGCAGGTTTGAGGAGTTAGCTACGGGCCACTGCTGCTCTGAGAGGGCAGCTTAGCAGATTTTTAGGGATCCTGGAATAATCCTTTATGGTTAATCAGAACATAAGATCTGGTTCAGAACTATTTTTCTTCTGTCTTTGGCAGGGAAATGAACCGAAGGCAGACATATGAACAAGCAAATAAGATCTATGACAAAGCCATGAAACTGGAGCAGGAATTTGGAGAGTACTTTACAGGTAAGACTCCTGCTGCCCTGCGGGGGGTTCTGGGGAACTAGCCAGGTACCTGTTTCTATAAGTGTCTCAAAGAGGTGTAGACAGAATGTAGAAACCTTGCACGGAGTTTCCAGTTGCTTTTAAGTTTTTGAGCACAAACCTTTCCAAAGCACACAAGTTCCCCGTGTCCAGCCATAGCAGTTCAGCCAGTTTATAGCATAAACCACTCACCAAATGCTTCCTTGAATTGTTGGTTTGTTCATTTTGTCTTGTCCTTACTAGATTGTAGGCTCCCTGTATTACTCTGTCTCCCTCCGTTTCAGCTCCACTCCCCCTCCCCCAGTACTTTGCTTTGCATGTTTAGGTGCTGAATAAACGTTTGTTGATGATGATGATTCCTCGGTGTGCTGTTCAAGTTGTCTGTTGGGGTGTCTGTCTGTCTGTCTGTGTGTGTGTGTGTGTGTGTGTGTGTGTAAGGTCAGTTCCTGAAACATTGGGAAGGTTTCTATGTAATACGTTCTTCACCTTTTGAAGTACAGTGACATATATATACATAAATATATGCAAGGCAGTGCCGAATCCATTCTAGCTGGTGGTGACACTAGGTTAACTGTGTAAAGAATTCATAAATGTCCTCACACACCTTGGGTCTTCAGAGCTCCCTTTACCATCAGCATCCATGTCCTTGTTTGCTGGGCTGACCTCTGACATACAGCAGATGTGATGGGCCCAGGAGCGCTGCCTCTTGCCAGAAATTGTGGCTTTCAGTTCTTTCTGTGGAGAACTGCGATTTTCCAAATCTTTTAGTAAGGCTGCTTTAGAATAACAAGCTGCTGGCCTTATGGCACCCAAGAACAACATGAACTGCAAGGTCTGGCACATAGTGGGTGCTCAATAAACATCTTTTGAATAAACACATTTTTCTGGTCATTACTACTTAGTCTCACTGTCTCAGTGAGTTGACTTCAAGCCCTGGACTTGGGGTACCTTGTTGGTTGCCCTTACTGCCCTGAACACACAGGCAGCCAGCCAGTGAACCCAAGCCCAAACCCATACTCCTGGGAACATGTCCTTCATGTGAGGGGTGAGGGGGTGGAGGGGGGACTTGTAGGATTGTTGGGAGAGGCAGGATTGCTGGGTTTGGGGGATGTGCTATGGACCACAGTAATAATTTTGTTTTCCTCTTCACTTTAGCCATTGTACAGGGTGACTCACTGGAAGAGATTTATAACAAAATCAAACAAATCATTGAGGACCAGTCTGGGCACTACATTTGGGTCCCATCCCCTGAAAAACTCTGAAGAATCCCCTCCAACCATTCTCTTGTGAACAGAAGAAATCAAGTCCCTCTTCCCTCCTCCCTCTTCATTCCTGTCCCCATGGGGAGAACAAATGCTACTGTTCTTGTCCCCTTTTTTAGATATGTCAAAAAAAATTAAGTTTTCTAGTCCTGTTCTTTTTTTTTTTTTAAGTTTTTGTTTGTTTCAGTTTATTTTTTGGGATGATGCCATCTCATTCATCATGTGACTGTGCCCATTCCTGCATGGACCTTTCCCAAGCGCTAGCACAGGTGCAAAATCCATCAGAGCCATTGTTTTCATAAAAACCAAGCAGAAGTGAAGAGAAAAGAGGAGGACTGATGGAAAGACAGACTCTGGACAGCTGCACGGCTTGTGAAGTGAGCTAAATGCACCACATGATGAGATGCTCCTGGGCATTTCTCCCTATCTGTACTGCTGTCTTGCAGCTCTGAACGGTGCAACGTAATGGCGACAGAAAGTATCTTATTTATATATAGATATATATATGTAATTTATATAAAATATATAGAAATTATTATATATATATATTATACACTCTCATATAATATATATATATTCACACACATTTGGGTTAGAAAATCTATGGAGACTTCATCAATGGTACTATGTTATTAGAGAAATGCTTTAATTTTCATATTCCAATCAGATGGCATCTTCTATCCCAGCTGGTTGGGAAGGGATTGAAGATGGTAGCAAGTGCTGCACTAAGGGCACTCGCATTTGGTCATTCTCTTGAGAGCTAGGAGGGGTCAGCCTGAGGCCGGAGAGGAAGGGCTTTTGCCTGGGGTGAGAGGGTGAGAGACTTGACCTGAAAGCAGCTGCTGCCCCTGAGGTGCAGCCAGAGTCCTGTGTGCGGACAGAGAGAATGGCTAATGATGCTCCGCGTGGAATTGCCTATTGTTTTATGCCACCTGATGTGTCTGCATGAGAGGTTTCCTTTTTGTTCCTTTTTAAGCTGCTGTTAAACCAAAACCATGTTGTGCTACTGTGTCAGCCTTTTCATTATTGCAAATTTTACTTTTACTATTTAAGTGAATGCATAGAATCCAATTTGCCAAGGTTCTAAAGGCTTATGAGGTCCTGAAGGAGCCAGGCCTTGTGATGGAGTAGGTGACACAGGCCTGGTTGTCCTGTCAGCAGAAGGGAAAGCAGGGGCTGGGCTGAGAGGAGGACACGGAGGGCTCTGCTGAGGTTCCTTCCTGGGTTCCACCAACAGGGACAGGGAGTCACTTGCCTTCCAGTTCTGTGCTGGGATGGCGGGACAGCACTTGGCTTGCTTGGCCAGCTGCGTCATGAGTTTGATTTGGTTTTTTTTTTTTTGCAGCTGCTTCATATGCTCTGCTCCAGCCCCTCCCCAACAGCTGGTAGCTTATGGTTTCTTCAAGAGGAAAGTAGACTTTATGCTGTACATTTGAGCTGTAGAGCTAAGATTCGCTTACTGGTGAGCTGTGAAACCTTGTTGCTTTTTCCCAGAGTCTGATGGCAGTGACTGTGATCAAGGGAATCTTCACCGCCACAAGTGCAGGCAGCAGGTGTGGTTCAGGTCCCCCCCCACCCCACTGTGCTCCTTTGAAGCCAACGTGCCTCCCTCGCCTCCATACTGGAGGGACGACGCAGGGGAGAACAGAGAAGTGCTTGGCCCTAGGATTGAGGCACTTGTTTCCTAGCCCGCTGGGTTAGGGCTGGTGCAAGCGAGGCAATGTTGAGGATGCTTTAAGCACTACCAGCCGAATCCGGGAACTCTGTTAACAGTTGTCCAACCAGCAGAATGAGGCTAACTGTATAAAGCATGGGACCCAGGATGAGGATAAGGAAAGGACAGCGGCTTTCCCTGGGCAGTACAATGGCTTGAAGGCAAAAAGGGATAAAGTGACAGCCGACTGTGACTCTGGTGAGGAGGGGTGAGCAGGGAGGTTGATTCTCTGATGTTAACTAAGTGGCAAAGTCTCAACCGTGCTCAGCCCTCCCCCTCCCAGGGAAGAGAAACAAAGATTCAAAGTAAGCATGATACTAGTGGGTTTACCAGTGTTTCTTCCAAGGAGACATATATTTTTTAATAAACGATAGTTGCAATGAACTGTGGCTCAGAGACCTTCTTAAAGTAGTTGAGAAGGGAGGGCGTGGGCAAAGCAGTGGGAAGAACATCCCAAACTTTTGGGGGCCAGAGGGCTCTCTCCTTAGTGATGATCAGCTAGCCGAGCTGGGCCGTCCTGGGGATCGGTACAGCTCCCTGGGGTGGTGACAGGCCCTTTGTGAAAGTTGTGTGCTTGGTCTTCCACCCCAGCCCCAGACACTGCTTCAAATAGCACCAACCAGATGGGAGTCCACATCTGTGGTGGCAAAATGCTGACATTTTCCCAAGAGGTACACAAGGTGGGAGAGGCCTGCTGTAGCAGAGGTGTGTGTTAGAGAAAGCAGGGGCCTGATTTAGTAGCAGAGAACTGGGTGAGAAAAATGGCCAGAGAAAGTGACCTGCCAGCTACCAGTGTTTCCGAAAATGAGGGTGGGATGGGCCCATTTGCAGAGCAGGACAGCAGTCATCCCCATAGCCCTCTGAGGAGGGGAGGGATGCTTAGAGCAGGCAGTTCTGGCAGTTCTGACGTGGCAGGTGCCATTGCAACTTGTGCGGAGGAGTCTTAGGAAGTGCTGTCATAATTCATAAGGTCAAGAGCAACATCTGGATGAATGAGCCACCTGAAATGTGTGTGGGCTGAGCCACAGGAAGGGTGAGTCCTCTTGCTTGTGGTGCTTTATGGTGTGCAGGTTGCTTGCTTTCCCACATTCTCTCATTTGCTTGAAGGCAGCCTAACAAAAGGGAGTCCCCAAAGAGCTCCATGAGAGCTTAAGAAAATTCATCTCCTGAGGACAAAGAGAACAAAGATCTGTCCTGTGGTCACACTGTTGAGGCTCTGTCTTCACAGCTGATGTTCTCCTAGTGGAGGTACAGCTGAAGAACATTCAGCCCCAGCACGAGAAGATACAGAGCAACTTGGAAACCCCAAAGGGAGACACACCCTTAACACTGCCGTGCTGTGCTGTGCCGTGTCCTGAAGGAGGAGAGAGCCCTATCTCCTCCTGGTTTTGTTGCTGACATTGCAGCTGATCATGCCTTGACTCCTTCATCTCTAACAGAGGAAGAACTGTATTATCAAACCTTATGGTCTACCCATGAATAAATAAAATATTTGTTCAAGCACAAATGACCAGCTTTGTCTTAAGTCGAAAGTGCTTCTAGAAATCAGCTAATGAAAACAAAATCCTTACCTGCAGCAAGTGTGGAAGTCGAGTAGCTCAAGGGCGGAGCTAAGAAAGATGCAGAAGCAAGTGGGAGTTGAGCCGCAGGTTTGGGAGGAGCCTAGAGGGGAGGGGAAGTATCCTAAGCAGGCCAAGGCCAAGCAAAAAAGTGGGACTGAGAAGGGGTGCCAGCTCAAGCAGAAAAGCCAGCACTAAAGGCCAGTGGAGCCCTTTCTTCAGGGATAATCCTTGCTTAATACCAACCACTGCAATTAGGTGAGAAAGTGTTGAGAGAGCTGGTAATTTTCTCAAGGCAAGCTGACGAATTAGCACTGAAGTCAAAAGCGATCCTGGATGCCCGACAACCTCAACCTGGGCCTTGGAAGTGTTCATTCAGTCTCAGCATTCCCGAGTTTTGTATTTCATCCCTGTTCCCACCTAAGATTTCATGGCCTTGATTCCACTAGTCCTTTTATCCATCTCCAGCCATTTCCTTGGCACCTCTAGGACATTTTATCATCATTGCAAATAACACTCTGAAGCTCAGATTTGTTTCCTCAAAAGGTTCTTCCCCTGTCACTTCCAAGAAATAGTATTGGCTCCTGCATACCTCGGTTCCTCCCCAGTGAACAGGGTGTCGATACCTCATTGCTTTGCCAGAAAATAGCAAAGCTTCTTTAACAAGCCCCAGCTAGATTTTATCTGCAGAGCTGTTCCCATTGTGCACAATGTGATGCCCACTGGCTTCTTCCATGTTAGACCGAATGAACTACCCGTGTGGCCTTCCCTCCACCACCACTGGTAGTCTAAGCACACGTACCTAACACTTTGAAGAACTGGAAAGCGGGTGGTTTGAGAATGGGCTTCAGACCTGCGTTCTCCCAGTGAAGAGCATGTGTGAGAGGATACTCTGTTGTCTGGCCTTCCTGTCTGCCTATGGCCAGTCCTGCCCAGGCTGACAGAATCATCTGCCTCACATGCCCTACCCTTCCCATGGGTCCTGCCACCCACAGGGAGAAGTTGAAGTCCCAGCTCCTTAGCATAGCCCTTCCACCATCAGGCCCCAGGCTTTCTCTCCTGTCTCTTCTGCTGTGCCCCCTTCTGTTCTACGCATTTGAGTTCCCTGAATGCACCACAGCCCTGGGTCTTGGCTCATCCTTTTTCTGTATGCCCATAAATGCCCTTGCTGCTGCCCCATCTTGCTTAACCTGGAAGACTGTTTGAGAGACCGAGGGTAGGGGAGAGAGACAGAGAGACAGGGTCTCATCTGTCACCCAGGCTGGAGTGCAGTGGTGTGATCATAGCTCACTGCAGCCTCTCTACCTCCCAGGCTCAAGTGATTCTCCCATCTCAGCCTCACGAGTAGCTGGGACCCCAGGCGTGTGCCACCAGGCCCAGCTAATTTTTGCATTTTCTGTAGAAACGGAGTTTCACCATGTTGCCCAGGCTCGTCTCCAACTCCTGGGCGCAAGCAATCCCCCTACTGTCTCACCTTCCCAAAGTGCTGGCATTACAGGCGTGAGCCACTGCGCCTGGCCTCCTCTTAATATCTCGAGACTCAATTCAAGAATTCCCCTCTCAGTGCTCACTTTCCTGAACCACCACCTCTTCTTCCCTTTCACCCTGTAGGTAGAATTGACCTTCCCACCCTGAGTGCTGTCTTATACCCTGTAAGGACTTTGGTCATCACTATAGCAGCTCATATTTATTTCCTGCTTGCTATGTGCTGTACGCATACTAATTCACCTGTTGCTCAAAACAGCCCTAGAAGGCAGGTACTCTTTACTCTTTTTTTTCTTTTCTTTTTTTTTTTTTTTTTTTTTTTTTGAGATGGAGTCTCTGTTGCTCAGTCTGGACTACAGTGGCACTATCTCAGTTCGCTGCAACATCCGCCTCCCGGGTCCCAGCGATTCTTCTGACTCAGCCTCCTAAGTAGCTGGGATTACAGGCGCGTGCCACCACGCCTGGCTAATTTTTGTATTTTTAGTAGAGATGGAGTCTCTCCATGTTGGCCAGGCTGGTCTTGAACTCCTGGGCTCAAGTGATCCACCTGCCTCGGCCTCCCAAAGTGCTGGGGTTACAGGTGTGAGCCACCACGCCTGGCCCAGTTACTCTTATTATCCATGTTTTCCAGATGGGGAAACCAAGGCACACAGCTAATAAGTAGCAGAGCTATGAGCCCAAAACAGGCTGTCTGGCTGTAGCAGCTGTGCTCTTCAGCACACCAGGCCCAGGCTGCATCTCACTTTGCTCTGCTTAGAACATTTTCTTGCCCCATCTCTTTGCATCTGTCTTCCTCTCCTAGACTCCTCGTTGAGAGCAGAGACTATGTCCTGTTCACCTTTATACCCCCCGCACTTAGTACAGTATCTGGCACATAGTAGATGCTTGGTAAAAGAAAAGAGCTGCACTGGTCTTTGGCTCAAGCTTGGAGGGAAGTGATTTGACCAGGTCCAAACCTGTGGCGAGTGTGAATTATTTTGGTTTGTTTTATGGAGAGCTTCTTTTCTGAAGCCACTGCCGCTTCCTCTGGGATTTCACTCCATCATTATGACTCCTCTTTTTCATCTTCTTCATCCATTTCTGATCCTTTATTGCTCCTTCCCCTTCTTTTCACTCTACTGTCTTCTCACCCAGGGTTGAACCTTTTACCCGCTCTGCTCTCCTTTACTACCATCACTCGTTTATGCAACACAAGTTGATCAAGCATCTAGAAGCCCTCAAAGACCAGCCATTACCTTCCAAGCATGAAATTCCAAGACCCTAGACGGGAAAATGCCTTGCTCTCCCCGATGACTTCACTTCTCTCCCATCCTGCCCCACCCCTTCCATGGGCTCCTCCCACCTACAGCTCGGTTCCCTCTGCTCTCTTCCCCCACCCCTAAGTGCTGCCATTGCTCTAGTCACCCAGGTTTAAGCCCTGATCTCCCCACTCTGGTCATCATATCCGATCTCCTACCAAAATGTGTGGATTATTTGCAATGTCTTTTCAATCCAGTCCTTTGTTGTCATTATCACTGCCCCTACCCTTGTAGTGACAAGAGCTACTTCTTGGTGAGCACCTGCTGATAAGCATTGTGCGTGGTGCTGGAAAGACAATGGCAAATAAAGCCTGTTTTCAAGGGGCCCATCATCTAGTTGGGGGCGGGGGACAGCAAAGCAGGAAATGACTAAATACATAAGTACACATTTGAGTGAATGCCATGAAGGAAGTACATAGGATACAATGATAGAGGCTAATACTTAGAAAAGGTGCCCAGGGACAACTTCTCTGAGGAGATGAAATTCAGGTTGAAACCTGTGAGATAAGCAGGACCAGCCTGGTAGGGGAGGGGACGTGGGTGTTGGGGAGGGAAGTATTTCACACTCCACTGGCCCTAATCTGCTTGTCCAGCATTATCTCCTGATACTTCTCTACAAACCAATCTAGACTCTGAGTTTTTACCCATGAGCAAGACCTCTGTCTGGAGTGTTTTCAGTCCCCATCTCTTATTTAATGAAACCCTTCAAGCTCCAGCTCAAATGTCACCTTCCATGATCATGTCACTGATCATGGCAGAGGAGCTTCCCCTTCCCTCCTTTTGAACCGCTCTAGCAGTTGGTACTGAACACACTCTGTTCTTGCATGGTAGCAATTTGTCAATAATACACTCTCCAACCAGTCAAAAAGCTTCTAGAACGCTGGGGTTGTATCTAGTGTATCTTTCTATCCCTCACAGCACATGCCTTGAACATGATTGATACTCGATAAATGATTTGTGAATGAACTTCCCCTTTCTGAGCCTCACTATCTTACTCTAAAACATGAGGAAGTTAGACAAAGAATCTCCAAAGCCTCTCCCAGCTCCCACACTTAATGATCATGATAAAGTAGTAGAATTCTAAAGGGCATGTGCTATGCCGAATCCCTCACAAAAAGCCAGTTCACACTTTTTGTGAATTTGCAGTTAAAAAAACCAAATGGTGACACAGATGACATAAAAGGCTTAAACAGAGCTGTCAAAGAACATGGCGCTTGAGCACATTCGGTTTATACACAATCAGACACTACAGACGGACAGGCTTGGTGCCTGCTGTGAAGAAGCAAAGAACACCTGGGACATGCATGGACTGGGACCAGGGGAAATGGCTTTTTCCTAGCTGGGCAGAAGGGTCTCATTCCAGGACAGCAGGACAAAATAGACAACTTTGTGATAGAATCACTTCTTTCAGTCGGGCAAAGAAATGGTGCTAGGGAAATATGGGAATGGAGGTGCCAAAAGTACCACAAGATGGAACCCCTCCTAAGTAGAGTTGAAGTGCCCCCAGTGGCTCCTGCTGAGAGGCATTTGAGATGGGTGGGAGGGTGGTGTGGGGGCTGGGCACATGGGAGCATAGTCATAGGTGGGAGACATAACTAGGAGGTGTGGAAACTGCCCCTGTGCGCTGCAGAGTGGAGTAACCAGGTTTGTCTTTTAGTTGGAGCAATTGCTGGCTTTGTGGCTGTTAGAATCAGTGGAAGCTTTTCAACTATCATCTTTTCTTGAGGAAATAAAAAGGCTCGCAAACTAGGTTTGCAAACTGCCACCCTCTTCTGGCTTATCAGAGAGGTTGGGAGAAATGCAAAAAAAAGGATAAAAAAATAAGGAGGTAAAAGTAAACAGATCCTGCTGTTAAGTAGAGGAATGTCAAAGGAGGAAATGACAGACACATGCTTCAGGGTCTACTAGAGTTCACGTCACTAAGGGGTGAATTGGGTCATTCTACAGAAGAAATAATAAGAAGCAATAGAGGAGGTAAAGGGGAATAAAAACCAGAGTCAAGAATATGAGTAGAAGACAAAAAAAAAAGAGAGAGAGAAAACCCCTGCATGACTAGAGCTGCCCTATAATAATAGGCCGGAAGCCTTTCCAGGAGGCAGTAAATAGAGATCTGGAGAATGAGAGAATGAAGAGAGAAATGTCAAGATTTAGCGGTGGCAGGTGACCCTGCCAGACAGCAAGAGCAGAATAATGACAGTAAACATTAGAAAGCGCCTGTTCTGTGTCAGGTATTACTCGAAGAGCTTTGTGTGTATTTACTCACTTTCTCTTTACAAGTCTGTGAGGGTAGTTGTGGACATCTTATAGATGAGGAAACTGAGGTCTGCAGACATTTAATAACTTGCCCAAGGTCATATAACTCCCAAGTGGGAGAGCAAGGGTTTGAACCCAGACAATTTGGTTCCAGTGTGGGTGCCTGTACTCTGCTGACTTGCCTAGTTCTGCTGCTACTTTCCACCTTGTACTTCTTTGTTGTCTAGCTTCTGCTCTCTCACTACCCCACTGAAATTGTGCCTAAAAGTCAATATGACTTCCAAGTCACCAGATCTTTTTTTTTTTTTTTTTTGAGACAGTTTCTCACTCCATAACCCAGGCTGGAGTGCAGTGGCACGATCTTGGTTCACTGCAACCTCCACCTCCCGGGTTCAAGCGATTCTCCTGCCTCAGCCTCCCGAGTAGCTGGGATTACAGGCACCTGCCACTATGTTGGCCAGGCTGGTCTCGAACTCCTGACCTCAGGTGATCCACCTGCCTCAGCCTCCCAAAGTGTTGGGATTACAGGTGTGAAGCACTGCGCCCAGTCCCAAGTCACCAGATCTTATGCCTTCACAGACCTCATACCTACCATGCCGGGCTAACTTTTGTACTTTTAGTAGAGACGGTTTCACTGCAGTTGCCGCAATTCAATTCTTCATTACTTCCATTCATTCAACCAACACACAATTCAGCCTTTCTGTTATATTTGGCACTGTCAATTATTCTCTCCATGTGTCAGACCCTGTGGATACAATAGTGAGCAAAACAGATATGGCCTCTGCCCTTACAGAGTTTACTGTCTTGGAGCTAGTCTGATATTAAATAAATAATCACACAAACTGATAAGTGCTGTTAATGAAAATTGTGGACCTTTATAAAAGGGTGACATAGGGCCAGGCACAGTGGCTTATGCCTGTAATCCCAGCACTTTGGGAGGCCAAGGCGGGTGGATCACAAGGTCAGAAGTTCGAGACCAAATTGGCCAACATAGTGAAACCACATCTCTACTAAAAATACAAAAATTAGCCAGATGTGGTGGCAAATGCCTGTAGTCCCAGCTACTCGGGAGGCTGAGGCAGGAGAATCACCTGAACCTGGGAGGCAGAGGTTGCAGTGAGCCGAGACCGCACCATTGCACTCCAACCTGGGTGACAGACTGAGACTCCATCTCAAAAAAAAAAAAAAAAAAAAAAAAGAAAACAAAAGAAAAGAAGAAAGAAAAGAAAAGAAAAAAGGGCAACATAGGGAGATTATAGTGGCCTCCAAGTTAGTCTTCCTTCCTCTACCTTCTCCCTTCTCCAATCCGATTTACCCAGTGTTGCCCAGGTTAATACTCCTGGGGTCCATTTCTGACCCTGCCACTCCTAAGCTCAAACTCCTTCAGTGGTTTACACAATAAAGTCTAAACTCCTTAGGTAGATATTCCAGACCCTCCATAGTCTGCTTCCAACCTGCCTTTTTAACCTCTTCCCACTATTCCCCTTTAAGGACTCCATGCTGCAAATACACTGAACCCACTGCCCCTCACACAAAGCTATGCACCTTTGCCATGCTTTTCCTTTTGCCTGGAATACCTCTCCTTTCCTTCCTTATGTCCAAATCCTATACATCTTTAAAACCCAGTTCAACCTTCTCCACAAAGCATTTTCTTCTTCTTATTATTATTATTTAGAGATGGAGTGGCTGGAGTGCAGTGTCGCGATCTTGGCTCACTGCAAACTCCACCTCCTGAGTTCAAGCGATTCTGATGCCTCAGCCTCCCGAATAGCTGGGATTGTGGGTGCACACCACCACACCCGGCTAATTTTTGTATTTTTAGTAGCGACGGGGTTTCACCATGATGGCCAGGCTGGTCTTGAACTCCTGGCCTCAAGTGGTCCTCCTGCCTCAGCCTCCCAAAGTGCTGGGATTACAGGCATGAGCAGTGACTGGGTGCCCTGCCTGCAAAGCATTTCCTTATTCCCTCCTTTGGAATCTCAGTACTTTCCCCCCACTTTCATAGCACCCACCCTCTATCTTTAATATTGTAATCATTCTAATACAATAAATGGAAGCCTAACCCCTTCCCCTATCAGACTATAAGCTCATTGAGGATCTAAACCACAGTTATTCACTGGATGAATGGACAGATGAATGAATGAATGAATGAATGAAGTTGGTGACTTCCTGATTGATGATATGGAGGGAGCTGTAAATATGCAGACATAACATGACTATCGCCTTTGATCATGTATTTTCATTGCCATTTAACAAAGAGCTGTGGGAAACCCATCAAGTCAAACAAATGCTGCCCATCTCCACCTTCCTCCACCTCTTATTCTAGCAGTTGTCCCTCTTGTAGGGATGAGTGGCTACACCAAAGGGGACATGGAAATGATCTTCAAGGACTATAAAGTTGTGGGCAGAAAATTCAAGGACTTGGGGGACCAGGTGGTTTTGTTTTCCTCTTACACAAGAAAATTGGTACTTTGGAATAAAAAAGAATATATAGGCTGGGCATGATGGCTCACGCCTGTAATCCCAGCACTTTTGGAGGCCAAGATGGGTGGATCACCTGAGGTCGGGAGTTCAAGACCAGCCTGGCCAACATGGAGAAACCCCGTCTCTACTAAAAATACAGAATTAGCCAGGCGTGGTGGGGGGTGCCTGTAATCCCAGCTACTCAGGAGGCTGATGCAGGAGAATTGCTTGAACCTGGGAGGCGGAGGTTGCAGTGAGCAGAGATTGTGCCATTGCACTCCAGCCTGGGCAACAAGAGTGAAACTCCATCTCAAAAAAAAAAGGATATATATATAATACATAATATATGTAATGTATATTATATATAATAATGAAATGAAATATATATATAATAATGAAATATATATATAATGAAATGGCTGCCTTTTGAGATGGAATTTTAAAAATTTATTTATTTATTTATTTTTGACATGGGATTGTCCTATGTTGCCCCAGCTGGAGTGCAGTGGCTATTCACAGGCAGGATCATAGTTCACTGCAGCCTCAAACTCCTGGCCTCAAGCAATCCTCCCACCTCAGCCTCTGGAGTAGCTGGGATATGGGCACAGTGGGGTGATCCCCTAGAGATGGAATTTTAGAATAGGATTTGTTTTGTCTGGATCATGGTTTAAAATACTGGATTGCTGGGCTCTTGGCTAAGGACAGAGTTCTCTATGATAACTGGGAAAAATGTGTTTACCGAGAGCCGTGTTGATCTGATAAAGAGAACTTTAAATTGAAAACGGAAGGGAAAGGAAAAAAGTGTCCTGATAATATTATAAAATCAATTGCTCTGGAATGATATCAGATATGACAGCAAGAACAGTACTGGGGGAGGTGCCCATTAAGGCACAGAAGAATATATCTTGGAAAAGAGTCATAAATAGAACTTACAGCTTCAGCTGTCTTGGTATAAATACACAGCACATGCATTAGTTTGAACCGTATGAAATTGCCATTATCCAACTGTTTTTGACTACAAAAATGGTGACCTCATATGGTTCAACTTAATATTATACAGTGAACTTGAATTTTTAACTCATGGTGATAAATACTAGCTAAGAGGTATCACTAAGATTTGGGGGAATGAAACTTACAACTGGAATTTGGCATTTGAAGAAGCCTAAGAAGGCGTCCTTTAGAATGGGAGATGACGTTGTGCTATATGCATAGAAATCCACAAAGGTGGGGATATAGCCCTCTACAGAGTTTTGGTGAAGTTAAAAGGAGAAAGGGCCGGGTGCGGTGGCTCATGCCTGTAATCCCAGCACTTTGGGAGGCTGAGGCGGGTGGATCACGAGGTCAAGAGATCAAGACCATCTTGGCCAACATGGTGAAACCCCGTCTCTACTAAAAATACAAAAATTAGCCAGGCGTGGTGGCGGGTGCCTGTAGTCCCAGCTACTTGGGAGGCTGAGGCAGGAGAATGGCTTGAACCCAGGAGGTGGAGGTTGCAGTGAGCTGAGATCATGCCACTACACTCCAGCCTGGTGTCAGAGCCGAGACTCCATCTAAAAAAAAAAAAAAATGGAGAAAGAAAGAGGGGAGTTATATAGTGTAACATACCACTGCCCTGCAAAATGGAGGAAATGGGTGACATACTCCTGATGCACATCACAAAAATGGCACAGGGCAAGATACAGCAGCAATGAGGGACTTTGCTCAGAGTTGCTGTAAGTTTCCTTTTCTTAAAAGCAGGACATTTGGCCAGGCACGGTGGCTCACACCTGTAATCCCAGCACTTTGGGAGGCTGAGGCAGTTGGATCACCTGAGGTCAGGAGTTCGAGACTAGCTTGGCCTACATGGTGAAACCTCATCACTACTAAAAATACAAATATTAGCTGGGCGTGGTGGGACGCGCCTGTAATCCCAGCTACTCGGGAGGCTGAGGCAGGAGAATCACTTGAACCTGGGAAGCAGAGGTTGCAGTGAGCTGAGATAGTGCCATTGCACTCCAGCCTGGGCAACAAGAGTGAAACTCGGTCACACACACACACACACACACACACACACACAGAAAGAAGGACATTTAGAAATTCTTTTTTTTAAAATTATACTTTAAGTTTTAGGGTACATGTGCACAATGTGCAGGTTTGTTACATATGTATACATGTGCCATGTTGGTGCGCTGCACCCATTAACTCGTCATTTACATTAGGTATTTCTCCTAATGCTATCCCTCCTCCACCCCCCCCCACCCCACAACAGGCCCCGGTGTGTGATGTTCCCCACACTGTGTCCGAGTCTTCTCATTGTTCAGTTCCCACCTATGAGTGAGAACATGTGGTGTTTCGTTTTCTGTCCTTGCGATAGTTTGCTGAGAATGATGGTTTCTAGCTTCATCCATGTCCCTACAAAGGACATGAACTCATCCTTTTTTATGGCTGCATAGTATTCCATGGTGTATATGTGCCACATTTTCTTAATCCAGTCTATCACTGATGGACATTTGGGTTGGTTCCAAGTCTTTCCTATTGTGAATAGTGCTGCAGTAAACATATGTGTGCATGCATCTTTATAGTAGCATGATTTATAATCCTTTGGGTATACACCCAGTAATGGGATTGCTGGTTCAAATGGTATTTCTAGTTCTAGATCCTTGAGGAATCACCACACTGACTTCCACAATGGTTGAACTAGTTTACAGTCCCACCAGCAGTGTAAAAGTGTTCCTATTTCTCCACATCCTCTCCAGCACCTGTTGTTTCATTACTTTTTAATGATTGCCATTCTAACTGGAGTGAGATAGTATCTCATTGTGGTTTTCATTTGCATTTCTTTGATGACCAGTGATGATGAGCATTTTTTCATGTGTCTGTTGGCTGCATAAATGTCTTCCTTTGAGAAGTGTCTGTTCATATCCTTTGCCCACTTGTTGATGGAGTTGTTTGATTTTTTCTTGTAAATTTGTTTGAGTTCATTGTAGATTCTGTATATTAGCCCTTTGTCAGAAGAGTAGGTTGCGAAAATTTTCTCCCATTTTGTAGGTTGCCTGTTCACTCTGATGGTAGTTTCTTTTGCTGTGCAGAAGCTCTTTAGTTTAATTAGATCCCATTTGTCAATTTTGGCTTTTGTTGCCATTGCTTTTGGTGTTTTAGTCATGAAGTCTTTGCCCATGCCTATGTCCTGAATGGTATTGCCTAGGTTTTCTTCTAGGGTTTTTATGGTTTTAGGTCTAACATTTAAGTCTTTAATCCACCTTGAATTAATTTTATATAAGGTGTAAGGAAGGGATCCAGTTTCAGCTTTCTACATATGGCTAGCCAGTTTTCCCAGCACCATTTATTAAATAGAGAATCCTTTCCCCATTTCTTGTTTTTGTCAGGTTTGTGAAAGATCAGATGGTTGTAGATGTGTGGTGTTATTTCTGAGGTCTCTGTTCTATTCCATTGGTCTATAACTCTGTTTTGGTACCAGTACTATGCTGTTTTGGTTACCGTAGCCTTGTAGTATAGTTTGAAGTCAGGTAGCGTGATGCCTCAAGCTTTGTTCTTTTTGCTTAGGATTGTCTTAGCAATGCGGGCTCTTTTTTGGTTCCATATGAACTTTAAAGTAGTTTTTTCCAATTCTGTGAAGAAAGTCATTGGTAGCTTGATGGGGATGGCATTGAATCTATAAATTACCTTGGGCAGTATGGCCATTTTCATGATATTGATTCTTCCTACCCATGAGCATGGAATGTTCTTCCATTTGTTTGTATCCTCTTTTATTTCATTGAGCAGTGGTTTGTAGTTCTCCTTGAAGAGTTCCTTCACATCCCTTGTAAGTTGGATTCCTAGGTATTTTATTCTCTTTGTAGTAATTGTGAATGGGAGTTCACTCACGATTTGGCTCTCTGTTTGTCTGTTATTGGTGTATAGGAATGCTTGTGATTTTTGCACATTGATTTTGTATCCTGAGACTTTGCTGAAGTTGCTTATCAGCTTAAGGAGATTTGGGGCTAAGATGATGGGGTTTTCTAAATATACAATCACGTCATCTGCAAACAGGGACAATTTGGCTTCCTCTTTTCCTAATTGAATACCCTTTATTTCTTTCTCTTCCCTGATTGCCCTGGCCAGAACTTCCAACCCTATGTTGAATAGGACTGGTGAGAGAGGGCATCTTTGTCTGGTGCAGGTTTTCAAAGGGAATGCTTCCAGTGTTTGCCCATTCAGTATGATATTGGCTATGGGTTTGTCATAAATAGCTCTTATTATTTTGAGATACGTTCCATCAATACCTAGTTTATTGAGAGTTTTTAGCATGAAGGGCTGTTGAATTTTGTCAAAGGCCTTTTCTGCATCTATTGAGATAATCATGTAATTTTTGCCTTTGCTTCCATTTGTGTGATGGATTACATTTATTGATTTGTGTATGTTGAACCAGCCTTGTATCCCAGGGTTGAAGCCAACTTGATCTTGGTGGATAAGCTTTTTGATGTGCTGCTGGATTAGGTTTGCCAGTATTTTATTGAGGATTTTTGCATCAATGTTCACCAGGGATATTGGTCTAAAATTCTCTTTTTTTGTTGTGTCTCTGCCAGGCTTTGGTATCAGGATGATGCTGGACTCATAAAATGAGTTACGGAGGATTCCTTCTTTTTCTATTGATTGGAATAGTTTCAGAAAGAATGGCACCAGCTCCTTTTTGTACCTCTCATAGAATTCGGCTGTGAATCCTTCTGGTCCTGTACATTTTTGGTTGGTAGGCTATTAATAATTGCCTCAATTTCAGAGCCTGTTATTGGTCTATTCAGAGATTCAACTTCTTCCTGGTGTAGTCTTGGGAAGGTGTATGTGTCCAGGAATTTGTCCATTTCTTCTAGATTTTCTAGTTTATTTGCGTAGAGGTGTTTATAGTATTCTCTGATGGTAGTTTGTATTTCTGTGGGATCGGTGGTGATATCCCCTTTATCATTTTTTATTGCATCTATTTGATTCTTCTCTCTTTTCTTCTTTATTGGTCTTGGTAGTGGTCTATCAATTTTGTTGATCTTTAAAAAAAAACACAGCTGCTGGACTTATTGATTTTTTGAAGGGTTTTTGTGTCTCTATCTCCTTCAGTTTTGCTCTGATCTTAGTTATTTCTTGCCTTCTGCTAGCTTTTGAATGTGTTTGCTCTTGCTTCTCTAGTTCTTTTAATTGTGATGTTAGGGTGTCAATTTTAGATCTTTCCTGCTTTCTCTTGTGGGCAATTAGTGCTACAAGTTTGCCTCTACACACTGCTTTAAATGTGTCCCAGAGATTCTGGTATGTTGTGTCTTTGTTCTCACTGGTTTCAAGGAACATCTTTATTTCTGCCTTCATTTCATTATGTGCCCAGTAGTCATTCAGGAGCAGGTTGTTCAGTTTCCATGTAGTTGTGTAGTTTTGAGTGAGTTTCTTAATCCTGCGTTCTAATTTGATTGCACTGTGGTCTGAGAGACAGTTTGTTATAATTTCTGTTCTTTTACATTTGCTGAGGAGTGCTTTACTTCCAACTATGTGGTCAATTTTGGAATAAGTGAGATGTGGTGCTGATAAGAATGTATATTCTGTTGATTTGGGGTGGAGAGTTCTGTAGATGTCTATTAGGTCCACTTGGTGCAGAGGTGAGTTCAAGTCCTGGATATCCTTGTTAACCTGTCTCATTGATCTGTCTAATATTTACAGTGGGGTGTTAAACTCTCCCATTATTATTGTGTGGGAGTCTAAGTCTCTTTGTAGATCTCTAAGGACTTGCTTTATGAATCTGGGTGCTCCTGTATTGGGTGCATATATATTTAAGATAGCTCTTCTTGTTGAATTGATCCCTTTACCATTATGTAATGGCCTTGTCTATTTTGATCTTTGTTGGTTTAAAGTCTGTTTTATCAGAGACTAGGATTATAACCCCTGCTCTTTTTTGTTTTCCATTTTCTTGGTAGATCTTCCTCCATCCTTTTATTTTGTGCCTATGTGTGTCTCTGCGTGTGAGATGGGTCTCCTGAATATAGCACACTGATGGGTCTTGAGTCTTTATCCAATTTGCTAGTCTGTGTCTTTTAATTGGGGCATTTAGCCCATTTACATTTAAAGTTAATATTGTTATGTGTGAATTTGATCCCATCATTATGATATTAGCTGGTTATTTTGCCCATTAATTGATGCAGTTTCTTCCTAGCATCGATGGTCTTTACAATTTGGCATGTTTTTGCAGTGGCTGGTACGGGTTGTTCCTTTCCATGTTTAGTGCTTCCTTCAGGAGCTCTTGTAAGGGAGGCCTGCTGGTGACAAAATCTCTCAGCATTTGTTTGTGTGTAAAGGATTTCATTTCTCTTTCACTTATGAAGCTTAGTTTGGCTGGATATGAAATTCTGGGTTGAAAATTCTTTTCTTCAAGAATGTTGAATATTGGCCCCCACTCTCTTCTGGCTTGTAGAGTTTCTGCTGAGAGATCAGCTGTTAGTCCAATGGGCTTCCCTTTGTGGGTCACCTAACCTTTCTCTCTGGCTGCCCTTAACATTGTTTCCTTCATTTCAACCTTGGTGAATCTGACAATTATATGTCTTGGGGTTGCTCTTCTAGAGGAGTATCTTAGTGGTGTTCTCGGAATTTCCCCTGAATTTGAATTCTGGCCTGCCTTATTAGGTTTGGGAAGTTTTCCTGGATAATATCCTGCAGAGTGTTTTCCAACTTGGTTCCATTCTCCCCATCACTTTCAGGTACACCAATCAAACGTAGATTTGGTTTTTTCACATAGTCCCATATTTCTTGGAGGATTTGTCTGTTTCTTTTTACTCTTTTTTCTCTAAACTTCTCTTCTCACTGCATTTCATTAATTTGATCTTCAATCACTGATACCCTTTCTTCCACTTGATCAAATTGGCTACTGAAGCTTGTGCATGCGTCACGTAGTTCTCATGCCATGGTTTTAAGCTCCATCAGGTCATTTAAGGTCTTCTCTACACTGTTTATTCTAGTTAGCCATTTGTCTAATCTTGTTTCAAGGTTTTTAGCTTCCTTGCAATGGGTTCGAACATCCTCCTTTAGCTTGGAGAAGTTTGTTGTTACCGACCTTCCGAAGCCTAGTTCTGTGAACTCATCAAAGTCATTCTCTGTCCAGCTTTGTTCTGTTGCTGGCGAGGAGCTGTGACCCTTTGGAGGAGAAGAGGTGCTCTGGTTTTTAGAATTTTCAGCTTTTCTACTCTGGTTTCTCCCCATCTTTGTGGTTTCATCTACCTTTGGTCTTTGATGATGGTGACCTACAGATGGGGTTTTGGTGTGGATGTCCTTTTTGTTGATGTTGATGCTATTTCTTTCTGTTAGTTAGTTTTCCTTCTACCAGTCAGGTCCCTCAGCTGCAGGTCTGTTGGAGTTTGCTGGAGGTCCACTCCAGACCCTGTTTGCCTGGGTAACAGCCGTGGAGGCTGCAGAACAGCAAATATTGCAGAACAGCAAATATTGCTGCCTGATTCTTCCTCTGGAAGCTTCGTCTCAGAGGGGCACTCTGCTGTATGATGTGTCAATTGGCCCCCACTGGGAGATGTCTCCCAGTTAGGCTACATGGGGCTCAGGGACCCACTTGAGAAGGCAGTCTGTCTGTTCTCAGAGCTCAAACACTGTGCTTGGAGAACCACTGCTCTCTTCAGAGATGTCAGAGAGTTTAAGTCTGCAGAAGTTTCTTCTGCCTTTTGTTCAGCTATGCCCTGCCCCCAGAGGTGGAGTCTACAGAGGCAGGCAGGCCTCATTGAGCTGTGGTGGGCTCCACCGAGTTCGAGCTTCCTGGCCACTTTGTTTACCTACTGAAGCCTCTGCAATGGTGGATGACCCTCCCCCAGCCAGGCTGCCACCTTGCAGTTTGATCTTGGACTGCTGTGCTAGCAGTGAGCAAAGCTCCGCGGGCATGGGACCTGCCGAGCCAGGCACGGGATATAATCTCCTGGTGTGCCGTTTGCTAAGACCGTTGGAAAAGTGCAGTATTTGGGTGGGAGTGTCCCGATTTTCCAGTACAGTCTGTCACGGCTTCCCTTGGCTAGGAAAGGGAAATCCCCTGACCCCTTGTGCTTCCTGGGTGAGGTGATGTCCCGCCCTGCTTCAGCAGCTCACCCTCGGTGGGCTGCACCCACTGTCCAACCAGTCCCAATGAGATGAACCAGGTACTTCAGTTGGAAATGCAGAAATCACCAGTCTTCTGAGTTGATCATGCTGGGAGCTGTAGACCAGAGCTGTTCCTATTTGGCCATCTTGGAATGGGCCTTTTTTTTTTTCTTTTTGAAACAAAGTCTCACTCTGTCTCACAGGCTGGAGTGCAGTGGCATGATCTCAGTTCATTGCAACTTCCGTATCCCATGTTCACACGATTCTCCTGCCTCAGCCTCCCATAGCTGATATTACAGGCGCCCTCTACCATGCCCGGCTAATTTTTGTATTTTTAGTAGAGATGGGGTTTCACTATGTTGGCCAGGCTCATCTCGAACTCCTGACCTCAGGTGATCTGCCCTCCCTGGCCTCTCAAAGTGTTGGGATTACAGGTGTGAGCCACCTCGCCTGGCCTAGAAATTCTTTACTTGTCTTGCTGACGATATTACCCCTCAGAACGTAAAGAAATCAACAAGAGGGACTGTTTGCTGTTTATTACCGAATTCTGACCAATTAATGAAGAACTGATGGGTGAAGTGGAAACTTGTGGAACCATATGATGTCAGTTTGTGAGAGCATAAGGCTAGACATAGTAAGGTATTTTGCCTAAGAATTTAAGAGGGCAGACTTCAAAGTTCAGAGAAAAGAAAGGTAGCATGAGGGAAAAGAGTGAGGACAGGTCTGATACATATGACTTAAAATTTTTTTTTTTTTGAGACAGAGTCTCACTTTGTCACCCAGGCTGGAGTGCAGTGGTATAATCTCAGCTCACGGCAACCTCTGCCTCCCAAGGTCAAGTGATCCTCCCACCTCAGCCTTTTGAGTAGCTGGGACTACAGACACTCATCACAACACCTGGCTAAGTTTTGTATTTTGTTGTAGAGACTGGGTTTCACCATGTTGCCCAGGCTGGTCTTGAACTCCTGGGCTCAAGCAATTCACCTGCCTCAGTCTCCTAAAATGCTGGGATAATAGGTATGAACCATTGTGCCTGGCCAGATGTGACTTTAAATCATGGCTATGCCATTTACCAGCTGTGTTACCTTGGTTAAGTTACTTAAACTCTCTGAGCTTCACTTTCTCACAGGAATCACTAAGGAGAAAGGGAAGAGAGAGAGTGAAAGAAGGAGGGAATGAAATGGAATCACCTACTTCACAGGGTTGTTATCTAATTAAATGAGATAGCACATGTGTAAGTGCTTAGCTCTTAGTGGGTATGCATTAATTGTTAGTTTTCCTGCACTTTCTACCTGGCTGCCTTCCCAAAAGGGTTGAAAGGCTCTTAAAAACTAAATTCTGACCATATATGTGTGAATTATTTTAAGGAACACGTAAAAGGAGGGGTATTTAAAGAAAATGATGCAAATACACAGAGAGTTCTTTGTTTTGAGATGGAGTTTTGCTCCTGTTGCCCAGGCTGGAGTGCAATGGCGCAATCTCAGCCCACCACAACCTCCGCCTCCTGGGTTCAAGCGATTCTCCTGCCTCAGCCTCCTGAGTAGCTGGGATTAAAGGCATGTGCCACCATGCCTGGCCAATTTTGTATTTTTTTTTTTTTTTAGTAGAGACAGGGTTTCTCCATGTTGGTCAGGCTGGTCTTGAACTCCCGACCTCAGGTGATCTGCCCACCTTGGCCTCCCCAAGTGCTGGGATTACAGGCATGAGCCACCGCGCCTGGCCGACAGAGGGTTCTTTGATGGTGAGACATTAAAAAGGTAGAAAGAAGAGCATCTGACCAAGGAAGAATATAAGATGGTAAGATGGAACTGCCCAAGTCATGTCAGGAAGGCCTGGCCCAAAATGAGCTAATGCTAGGAGTTAAAAAAACAGAGGCCATTTACAGCTTAGTTTGCATCAAAAAACAAATCAAGGAAGCCTTCAAGTCCATTTGGGGCACGTAGTATGTTTTAGTTATGATTAGTTTTTTAAATTAAAAAAGTAATATAAGCACATGTAAAAAAAATGCCAATAGTACCACAGGGTATAAAATGAAAAATAAAATGTTGCAATGCTTACCAGACAACAAAGATAAATATGACCCTGTAATTCCTACTTTGCTTTGGTCTTCTCTGCCATCCAAACTCTGAACATTAGATTGGAAAGGGTCAAGCAGACATTGGCAAGAGGCAACTGGGGATCATGGTAAGTAAGAAAGCACCAAGGTGCTTTAAATAAGTCTCTTGACCTGGACAAATTGTATGTCAGGATGTTGAGAGAACCTGTAGTGAGATCGCTAAACTGGTGTTTGTAACCTTTGGGGAATCATGGGGAATGAGAGATGCCCCAAAGCCTAGAGAAGGATTATGCTTTTCTTTTTTTGAGATGAAGTCTTGCTCTGTTGCCCAGGCTGGAGTGCAGTGGCGCGATCTCGGCTCACTGCAAGCTATGCCTCCCGGGTTCACACCATTCTCCTGCCTCAGCCTCCCGAGTAGCTGGGACTACAGGCACCCACCACCACACCTGGCTAATTTTTTTGTATTTTTAGTAGAGACGGGGTTTCACTGTGTTAGCCAGGATGGTCTTGATCTCCTGACCTCGTGATCTGCCCGCCTCGGCCTCCCAAAGTGCTGGGATTACAGGGGTGAGCCACTGCACCTGGCCCCCCTCTTTTTTTTTTTTTTTTTGGAAGAAGATAGATTTCACAAGCTTTAGACAAGAAGGTTTCATCTTAATCCCAAGCAAGTTTCTGGAATACGTTATTGGAAGGAATGGTTTGCATGAGAGTCTTTAGAGGGGAGCTAGTGATCACAAAGAGTTTATAAACCCTTTACCTAAGAATAGCTTAAGACAGAGTAAGCTCATTTTCTTTTCTGAAATGAGCTTAGTAAATCAATATAAATGGGTAAAGCTTCGAAAATAGGTAAAGTGTAGCTGGGTTCCAGCAAGGCATTGACAAAAATCACTCATGACATTCTTGTGAAAAGGCTGGAAAAGTGTAGATAGTACAATTATTGAGCAGGCAAATGATCATCCCAAAGTCTGCTATTAACGGATCAATGTTTAAGCTATTTATATACTAGTTTATTACCTATTGCCCCCACTAGAATGTAAGCTCTTTGAAGGAGAGACTTGGTCCTCTATTTTGTTCACCACTTTATCTCTTGTACCATGAAGTGTCCAGTCCATTAGCAGGAAGTGTTCAGGAAATATTTGTTGTGTGAATGAAATAACCCAGAAGTAAGACTGCAAAGCACTTCACCAAGCTCTGTCTCAGCCCTCTCCTGTTCAGTGTTTTATCGTATACTTGGTTAAAGCCACTAGCTGGCATGCTGATCAAATGTGCAGATGATGTCAACTGGAGAGGGATAAGTAACATACTTAAAGACAGACTCTGCATCCAAAAAGATTAGCTGGCAAGAGCAATTTATTAGTGATACAATCAATTAGATGGTTTTTTTGTTGTTGTTGTTGTTTGTTTTTTTGAGATGGAGTTTCGCTCGTTGCCCAGGCTTGAGTGCAATGGCACGATCTCGGCTCACTGTAACCTCCGCCTCCCAGGTTCAAGCGATTCTCCTGCCTCAGCCTCCCGAGTAGCTGGGATTATAGGCATGCGCCACCACGTCCGGCTAATTTTTGTATTTTTAGTAGAGACGGGGTTTCTCCATGTTGGTCAGGCTGGTCTCAAACTCCGACCTCAGGGGATCCGCCTGCCTCGGCCTCCCAAAGAGCTGGAATTACAGGCATGAGCCACCACACCCAGCCAATTAGATGTTTTAAAAACTGGAAGTAGGCCGGACATGGCGGCTCATGCCTGCAATCCTAACATTTTGGGAAGCTGAAGCAGGAAGATCACTTGAGCTCAGGAGTTTGAGACCAGTCTGGACAACATAGTGAGACCTCATCTCTACTAAAAATAATAATAAAAAAAATTAGCTAATCATGGTGGTGCATGCCTGTGGTCCCCACTACTCGGGAGGCTGAGGCAGGAGGATCGCTTGAGCCTGGGAGTTTGAAGCTGCAGTGAGCTATGATTGAGCCACTGCACTGTGGCCTGGGTGACAGAGCAAAATGCTGTTTCAAAAACAAACACAAAAACCTGGAAGTACAAGCAGAGACATTAATTAATGGCCGTATGTGTAGAAAAAAAGACTTAGAAGTTTTCATTCTTCTTTCAACAAATATTTATTGGAAGTACCAGGCAGGCCAGGTACAGTGGCTCACACCTGTAATCCCAGCACACTGGGAGGCAGAGGCGGGCAGATCATTTGAGCTCAGGAGTTCGAGAGCAGCCTGGGCAACATGGTGAAATCCCATCTCTACAAAAAAATAGAAAAATTAGCCGAGTGTGGTGGCACTCCTCTGTAGTCCCAGCTACTTGGAAGACTGAGATGGGAGGATCATTTGAGCCCAGGAGGCGGAAGTTGCAGTGAGCTGAGATCGCACCACTGCCCTCCAGCCTGGGCAACAGAGCAGGACCCTATCTCAAAAAAAAAAAAAAGCATGCCAGGCACTGTGCTAGACCCTGGGATTATACAATGGTGAGGAAAACACAACATCTTCTCTCATGGAGCTTAAAGACTATTGAGGGAAATGGACATTAATCAAATTATTCCACAAACAAATGTATTTATTTTAAGCTGTGAAGAATAAAACAATGCTGAGAGCATAGAATAAGAGAACCTGGCCTAGTTAGGGAAAGTTTTTCCAGGGAACTGACACATGAGCCGACTTCTCAAAGATAAGTAGGAGCAAACTAAGGTGAAGGCAGGGAAGAGCAAACAGTGAGCCCGGTGAGTCAACAACATGAAGGGCCTGCTTCGATGCCATGTGGTTTCTTTCCCTTCTCCTCGGCGCGGCGGGGGTCAGGGTCAGGGCCTGGTGGCAGGTTCAGCTAGAGACTCAGCTTGCTTGCTCTCTAGACTGGCGGCTCCCTTGATAAGTTGGCCAGAGTGTTCACTGGGGCTTGGGCCAAAGGGGCAGCCTCTTGGTCAGGTTGGTGAGGTTAGGGCTGGGGAGACAACCAAAATGAGTAGGAGATTGGGATCATACAGAGAGAATGAGCCAATAAGTGAATATCGGAGGTTAATCAGCCAGGCTTCTCAATGTTGAAAGAGTTACAAATAGGGAAAGGGGAGAAAGCTAGAATAAATCCACTGGTGTTGGATTGAAAATGGAGCTATCATCAGCCAGGTGCGGTGGCTCATGCTTATAATCCCAGCATTTTGGGAGGCCGAGGTGGGTGGATCTCCTGAGGTCAGGAGTTCGAGACTAGCCTGGCCAACATGGCGAAATCTCGTCTCTACTAAAAATACAAAAATTAGCCAGGCGTGGTGGCACATGCCTGTAGTCTCAGCTACTTGGGAGGTTGAGGCAGGAGAATCGCTTGAACCCGGGAGGCAGAGGTTGCAGTGTGCCGAGATAGTGCCATTGCACTCCAGCCTGGGCGACACAGCAAGACTCCGTCTAAAAAAAAAAAAAAAAGAAAGAAAAGAAAATGGAGCTATCAGTATGAACTCATGATTTTCTATGTGTGCACGTATACATATACATTCATCTATACGTATGTACACATACAC
Source organism: Homo sapiens (assembly GCF_000001405.40). NCBI lineage: Eukaryota > Metazoa > Chordata > Mammalia > Primates > Hominidae > Homo > Homo sapiens. Next base: position 70,526,679 of record NC_000023.11, read on the forward strand.
ACATTTATTTCCCAGCTCTGTCCACTGAGAGGACCTAGAAATAATGTCACCCTCGTAACAATGAGTACACCTCTAGGACCCAGATCTTGGACACTACCACTCTGTTATAAGGCATCATGGCTCCTTGGAGAAATGACTGATTCCGGGTCTGGCACAGGGAAAGTACAAGATAAGCTCTGGTGCATCTTATTGTGCCACAAAATAAGGAAGTGCTGAAAGAATGATGGGGACATGTCAAATGGGGGTAGGACCCAGCTTTGGGCAGCAAAATAAATAATGATAATGGCTTATAACCCATTTAATAAAACAGGAATCCATTAGTCTGTACTAAAATGTATTTTAAAAACATGAATAAATAGGGGAGAAGAAAAACCTCTACCTTACCAATGCCAACTAATAAATGAAGAAGGAATGATGGAAGCAGAAAAATCAACATTTAGCAACCATCACAGTACAAATGTTCAGGCAAGAATCACCAATGGATGCTAAAACTAGTGGTGAAAGTTTAATGAGGAATGTGGTATTTACTTAGTCTCAAACTATCTTCCACCAAGTACCTCATAATTAATTATTAACCACTAAGTACAAAATATTTAGCTACTGACTTTACATTGGAGAGACCTGGCAGACATCTTCTTAACTTCAGTAACAGGGCAAATTGACATTGTGTGCTTGCTGGTATGATGCACTGAGAACACATCATTTTTTTGTGGTATGCCTACCCAAAATGCATAAACTGAAGCTAATCATTAGGAAACATCAGAATCACCTAAATTGAGGTGCATGGTACAAAGTAATTAGCCTGTACTCTTCAAAAATGTCAAGGTCATAAAAGATAAGGAAAGATTGAGGAATCATTTCAGTTTGTAGGAGATGGTAGAAGCATGACAACTAAATACAACTTATAATCCTGAACTTAGGAAGGACTTTACTAAGTTAATCAATCAGTGAAATTTGAATGCGGTCTGTGGATTAGATGGTAGAATTGAATCATTGTTAATTTCCTAATTTTGATGGTTGTACTGTGGTTATGTAAGAGAGTATCCCTGTTTTTATGAAATACTCACTGAAGCATTAAGGGGAAATGGGGCAGGATGTCTGCAAATTAATCTCAACTGGTTCAGAAAGAAACTGAGAGAGTGACAGGAAGGCAATGTGGTAAAAAATAAATAGAGAAGCTGGATAAAGGGTGTATGTCAATTCTTTGTGCTTGGTTGCAACTTAAGTCTGAAACTATGTCAAAATCAAAAGTTTAAAAATGTTAATACAAATCAACTGGAGGAAAAAGGTAGTGTAATCTTATGGTACACTAATGCCAGTCTACCCAGAAAGAGGCTGCTCAACTGTATTGGTCAGGCCTCACTGGAACATGGGGCTTGGCTTTTGGAAGGTGAGGTGACCAGATCACATGAGGAACAACTAAGGGGTCTGAGGATGTTTACCTCGAAGGAGAAAAAGCCTGGAGGACAAAGATAGGCCTGGCTTCTGTCTTCAGAGGCATCTCCAAGGGGCATCTGTGACACAGGAAGCAGATTTGTTACAGGGAGACAGACTTCTGTTTAGTATGAGGTAGGACATTTTACCAATTAGCAAAATAGGTGGGTTCAGCTATCTCAGGAATTCCCTGTCATGGGATAAGTTCCTTTTTTTGTTTTTCGAGATGGAGTCTTGCTCTGTCACCTAGGCTGGCGTACAGTGGCTCAATCTCAGCTCACTGCAACCTCTGTCTCCTGGGTTCAAACGATTCTCCTGCCTCAGCCTCCCGAGTAGCTGGGACTACAGGCACGCGCCACCATGCCTGGCTATTTTTTTTTTTTTTGTATTTTTAGTAGAGATGGAGTTTTGCCATGTTGGCCAGGCTGGTCTTGAACTCCTGGCCTCAAGTGATCTGCCCACCTCAGCCTCCCAAAGTGCTGGGATTACAGGCACAAGCCACTACGCCTGGCCTGGAATAAGTTCTGTTAGAAACTGGGCAACAGATTCTCAAGGATGTTAGAGAGAGATTTCATGAATCAGATAAATGCTGGCCCTGGTGACCACTAAGGTCCTTCCAAATAAGAGTCTGGGATTCTTTGATATCTTCAGGGATTAGGAATTTGAGCACTTTGGGAATAAAATGCAATCTGTGTTGAACTGGGATGAACATTCTCTTTTGTTCAGATGGGGCATAAACCATCTTGCTCTCACATGGTCTATTTCAATATCATCCTTAGCACTTTGGAAAATTCATTTGTCCCCCAGAAATGAGCTGGTCACCAAGGTAAATTCAGCATGCTTTTATTTTAGAAAGTTTATTCAACAACATGAAAACAGGGTCTGAGCAAACAGAAACAAAAGCTCAAGAGAAACTCTGGCAAAAATTTAAACAGTCAGCATCTCGGGACAATGTATCTTCTTCATGTGGCCATGAGCTTGCCTAATCTGACTTGCTCCAGTAGCCATGTTCATGAAAAACTGGGCCCTTGTTGTTACTCAATGCTTCCACAAGCTGACTATACAGCATATTCATCTGGGAAAGAGAACAACAAATAGATTTCTTGAGGGGAAAAAGAAATGTGGGAAAGCTTCCCAGACCCACGGTGATGGCATGAAAGTCTAACCGTTACCTTCGGAGATCTGAAGCATCTCAGATTTGGGGAGAAAATACAGTCCTCTCTTGAGGAAAAGGAATCCCCTATTATAAGGGAGAAGATACTTAACTATAAAATATCCTTTGCTCTTATTTGGTAACAAGGCTTTTTCTCTACCAAACCTCTCCTGGTTAGCCAATGGCCCAGAACTCTGCAACTGAGAATAGTTCCTGGAGAAAATGCCTTTTTCAACAGTTATTGCTTTGAGCAGAGGCCAGTCCTTTCCCACATGCACTGGCACTGACAGTGATGCATCTTTCCAGAGCTCACTCTTGGCATTCCTCTTAATTAGATTCCATTTGCTATCCTTAAATTTCCCCCTGTTCTCTGTCCTTCTTGGTTTTTGCTCTAAGGAATTACTGTTTATGGTCTCCTGATTCTTGAAGTTATGTGGAACCATTGAGAGGAACAATGAGCAAGATCCTTTCCTAGCCAAGGAGGATGGGGTTGAGTCCTTGTGGAGAGCCCAGCCATAACCTCTTGCCCCCTAGGTCATGTCATCTGCCCTAGCCCTCTCCCTCCTTACCTGAGTTTCATAGCTTTCCTTGAAGGAGGTAAGGTGGTTAAGGAAACGCAAGGCCAGGCCACACCACTTTTCAGCAGATGCATACTTGCTCCTGCTAAACATAAGTACTCCGGTATTCCAGGACTTGACCATCAGCCAGAGAATCTCCATTTCTGGGTAGTCTTTCTATAATCCAAGAACAGAAATTTTGCAGTTATTACTGTCACAGTTCATTGTGGCACTACCTGTATCCATGCTATGTCCCTTTATTACTAAACAAACAATAGGAGCTCTGCTGATGTTTAGGAAGGTCTGTGCTCCTGGAGAGTGCAGGAGGAGAGCACTTTGAAGGTTTGTCAGCTGTAGAATGTTCCATAGCAAGATCTCATGAAGAGACGTAAACCGAGGTCCTCTCTGACTGAAGGAAAGAATTAGAAAGATTCCTAATCTTCCTGAGGCACGAGAAAAACTTGCATACTGTTTGGGGCTTCCCTTGATTCTGTCTTCAGTCAATTACCTCCCTAATACCTACCTCTACTTTTCGGATAAGGTTGTCAAGAAGCAGTTTTATTGAATTTCTTAATTTCTGTCACCAGAATTAGTCCATATTTGGAGTAGAAATTATATTCATCTTCAGAGTTAACGATATCTACCTAGCTATGAACACAGCACACATTTCTAAGATGGTCCCTTAGCCTTATCAGTGGTCTTTAACATGACTAATCACAAGATTATATTTGCTTCTTCACAATACTTTGCAATAGTGAAAAGTATTAGTCTAAGAAGCTACTTTCTTGGTTCTTGCATAGGAGATGGAACACAAAGAAAGCATTCATGTTAAAGCCCCAGAAGGGAGAAATGTGATAGGAGACACATTAGGCAGCAGCTTTTTGAGAGTGTCAAGAATGCTGTCTCAGCTGTCATCCTTTCATTCATTTGGATCCAAAAAGAAATTACTATACATAAAACACTGTGATAATGAGGGCACTAAGAGGGAAAAGACAAAACTTTTATCCTAAAGGTTGTGCAATGCTTTTGGGGACACAAGGCATCCACATGTAAAGACGACTTCACAAGGTATGTGATTAAGAGACACAAACATTAGGTGCTCTCATTCAGTTAAAGAAATGAGCACTAGGATATTCCAGTCAGAGGCGGTCTAGTCTCTGCTTGAAACACTACTCCTCATCCTTGTCCACTTCATAGACTTATACTTTTTCTTCAAATTCACAAGAACAGTTAGTTGTCTGTTCCCACAGTGAGCTTTCCATTCCTCTAATATAACTTATGTTATATTGTTTTGAAATGCTATGTATTTATCTCCTCCAGACTATTGAGTTCCTTGAGGTACAGGGAATTTTTCCTGTGCATTTTTGTATCTTCAGAGTCCAGCACTGTGCCTGGCACATAAGAGGCACAACAGATGTTTGCTGAATGAATGAATGAACAAATGAATCAATATCCAGTCAGATGCCACCTCCTCAGTGAGGATTTCCCTGGCTCTCCACAATTTCTTGCTCAAACCTCTTTGCCCCTCTGCTACTTTGTTCACAGCACCATAATAGTACTTTGAACACTGTACTGCCTGTCTCCCCCACTAGGCAGGGAGCCCCTTGAAGGTAAAATGACATTTGCCTTTGCTTGGCACAGTGTCTGATACAGGGTATGAGTGTTGTGATTTTAATGTTGTGAATGAAAAAAATGACTTAAACAAACAAACAAACATGATCTTAGGGTAGATGAGTAGGATCTACATATACAGAGATTATATGAAATGTGCAGAATAGGCAAAGCCATAGAGACAGAAAGGAGATTTGTGGTTGCCAGGGGCTGGGGAAGGGAGGTATGGGGAAGGACTGCTAATGGGTATAGAGTTTCTTTTGGGGATGATGAAAATGTTCTAGAATTAGATAATGGTGATGGTTGCACAATCTTTTGAATATACTATAACTCACTGAACTGTATACCTTAATGTGAGTTTTATGATATATGAACTAAATCTCAATTAAAAAGAAAAATATAGATATTCAGAGAAAGAGAAGGGCATTCCATGTGGGTAGAACAGAATAAATGAAGACTTGGATTGTACTTGAGAACAAGCATGTCTTAGGAAGACCAAGAGTTCTTTGGCCTAAGCAGACGATTTATGTAGAGGAGTTAACGGGAAATAAGACTGGAAATGTAGGATGGAGCTTCCTAAGCCTTTCCTCAATGTTCTTCCTCAGAACACTAGTGTCATGAGAAATGTTAACAGATGGTCTATGAAAATAGAGTTCTTTAGTCAAATACATTTTGGAAATGCCGCATTCTATATATCACCCTTTTGGAGCATTATAATGCACACTAGTTCACTGAAAGTTTAGGGAAGTTTTACAGTAAAGAAACCATGGAACTTTGTCTAATCCAGGGTATGTGGAACGTTTGCTAACATCTTGTGGGCTGGAGTGTTAAGGGTTTTTGCATTACAGGCTTCAGATTTTGAAATTTATCCTGCTGGCAACGGGAAGGCACTGAAACTTTTTGAGAAGGAGAGTGATATGATGAAAGTGTAGTTTTAATAAGATAGAAATGCCAGTGGTGTTTAGAACAGACCTCCGTGTGGGAAAACACAGACAGGGAGACGTGTTTAAAGGGAGTTATGGCCTGGCGCAGTGGCTCACACCTGTAATCCCAGCACTTTGGGAGGCCAAGGCGGGCAGATCACCTGAGGTCGGGAGTTCGAGACCAGCCTGACCAACATGGAGAAACCCCGTCTCTACTAAAAATACAAAATAGCTGGGTGTGATGGCACATGCCTGTAATCCCAGCTACTCGGGAGGCTGAGGCAGGAGAATCGCTTGAACCCAGGAGGCGGAGGTTGTGGTGAGCCAAGATTGTGCCATTGCACTCCAGCCTGGGCAACAAGAGTGAAACTCCAAACTCCGTCTCAAAAAATAAAATAAAGGCCCGGCGTGGTGGCTTGTGCCTGTAATCCCAGCACTTTGGGAGGCCGAGGCAGGCAGATCACGAGGTCAGGAGATCAAGAACATCTTGGCTAACATGGTGAAATCCTGTCTCTACTAAAAATACAAAACATTAGCCGGGCGTGGTGGCAGGCACCTGTAGTCCCAGCTACTCGGAAGGCTGAGGCAGGAGAATGGCGTGAACCTGGGAGGCGGAGCTTGAAGTGAGCCAAGATCGCACCACTGCACTCCAGCCTGGGCGACAGGGCGAGATTCTGTCTCAAAAAAATAAATAAATAAAAATAAAATAAAATAAAATAAAAGGAGTTGTGTGATCTAAGAATGAAGTGATGAGGGTCAGAACTAAAATAGTGACAATTTAGATGGACGGATGTAAGAATCATTTAAAGGAAGAATCAATAGAATTTGGTAACTGATTTGATATGGGGAATGACAGGTCAAGTGAAAATGGCTCTAAGGTATGTAGTTTGAATGGCTGAAAGAATGCTGGCATCACTGAAAGAAAAAATTGAAGGACATGTTTCTGGGGATAAGGGACAACAATAAGTTCTATTTTAAACAAGTTGGCTTGAGGTAACTCTGGAGATAAGCAGGCTGTTGCAGATATGGATTGGAACTCAGGTAATAGTTAAAGTGTATTAATTCACTTAAAGGACAGAGTACAGAATACAGAGTAGCAAAGAGTAGAGAATATTGGAAATGTTCATAGTTGGGTGGTAAGAGGGAAAAGAACGCAGAGGAGTGGCGAGAAAATAAAGGACAAAGGAAAACAGAATTTCAATAAGGAGGCAGTGGTCAATAACGAAGGCCAGGGAAAAGAGACCATCATATTTGCCTAGACGGTGGTAATTTGTGGTCTTGTAAAGTGTGGCTGACAGTGCAGAATGTGAGGGAAAGAGTGGCTCAAGATGAGGACAGATAGGTTAGTAGGATCTTGTATACCACATTCAAGATTTTGGTCTTTATTTTAAGAGCAATGGGAAACTACTAAAGAGGATTTCAAAAGGTCATGCATACTCAAAAATGTAAAAGATTGGCTGGGCATGGTGGATCACACCTGTAATCCCAGGACTTTGGGAGGCCGAGGTGGGCGGATCACGAGGTCAAGAGATCGAGACCATCCTGGCCAACATGGTGAAACCTCATCTCTACTAAAAATACAAAAATTAGCTGGGCGTGGTGGCGGGTGCCTGTAGTCCCAGCTACTGGGGAGGCTGAGGCAGGGGAATCGCTTGAACCTGGGAGGCAGAGGTTGCAGTGAGCCGAGATTGCACCACTGCACTCCAGCCTGGTGACAGAGCGAGACTCCATCTCAAAAAAAAAAAAAAAAAAAAAAAAAAGTAAAAGATCACCTTGGTTGCTGGGCAAAGAAAGGAAGGAAGAAAGCAAGAGTAGATGTGAGGCCAGTTAAAAGGTTCCTGAGATCACTAAACTAGCTAAGATAAAAGGTGTGTAACTTGAACTAGGTTACTGATGGTGAAAGATAGGAGGAAGTAGATGAATTTGAGAGATATTTGGGAGGTCAAATTGATTGATAGTACTTGGTGATAGATTAGAAGTGGGAGTGAGGGAGGTGCTGAGGATGACTCCTAGATGTCTGGCTTGGGCAACCAGAAGAATGATGGTGTCATCCAATGAGTTAGGGAACACTCGAGTTTTATTTTAATTTGCATTAGTTGCCCTCATGCCCAGCATTGCTTATGAAAATCATTAATCCTCAATAAAGAAATGCATCCACACAGCTACTGACCTGAAAGCCACATGGACTTGCCTACGTGTAATACAAATCAATGTCAGCAAACTGAGGTGTTTGCTCTGATGGTTTTTGGGGCCACATATTTTAAACCAGTTTTCTCTGTCCTCAACATCTTAATACATATGGCAGCCACGTAGATCTCTAACTGAATCGTAGGTATTCTGGAGCACAAATGCCTGTCCTTTTAGGCTCTCCATAGATTCCCAAAGTAAATAGTATGTGCATCAGCTTTATTAAGATACAATTAAATAAAATACCATAGTTTATCTAAAGTGTACAATACGGTGGTTTTTAGTATATTCACAGTATTCACAGAGTTCTGCCACCATCATCACAATCAATTATGGAATATTTTCATTCCTCCAAAAGGAAAGCCCATGCCCATTGGCTCCATATTCCCCCTGCCCCCAGCCAATATCCTTCCATTTCCTCTCAACCTGCCCCCCTACCCCACTAAGCCCTGGGCAACCACTACTCTCATTTCTGTCTCTTATAGATTGGCCTTTTCTGGACATTTAAGATAAATGGGGCCAGGCAGTATGTGGGCCCTTGTGACTGACATCTTTCACTTACCATGTTTTCAAGGTTTATCCATGTTATAGCACGTGTTAGTACTTCATTCCTTTCAATGGACAAATAGTATTCCATTGAATGGAAATACCACATTTTGTTTACCCATTCATTGGCTAACAGACATTCAGGCTGTTTCCATTTTGGGCTATATGAATAACTTTGCTATGAACATTTGCTATGAGTCTTTGGACACATGTTTTCATTTCTCTTGGGTATACACCTACCAGTGGAATTTCTGGGTCACAGGGTAACTATGTTTAACCTTCTGGGAAGCTGCCAGACTTTTTCAAAGCTAGAACAATATGAACAATAAAATAAAGTAATATTGTATTATAACCCAAAGTATAAAATACATATCTGCCTGGGTGTGGTGGCTCATGCCTATAATCCCAGCACTTTGGAAGGCCAAGGAGGGTGAGTTGCTTGAGCTCAGAAGGTTGAGACCAGCCTAGGAGACATGGTGAAACCGCATCTCTACCAAACATACAAAAAATTAGCTGGGTGTAGTGGCATGTGCCTGTAGTCTCAGCTACTTGGGAGGCTGAGGTGGGAGGATCTCTTGAGCCCAGGAGGTCAAGGCTACAGTGAACCATCATCATGCCATTGCACTCCAGCCTGGGTGACGGAGTGAAACTCCATTTCAAAAAAAAACCCACAAAACTTATGGGTTTTTTTTTTTTTCATAGAGACAGAGTGTCACTTTATTGCCCAGGCTGGTCCCAAACTTCTGGCTTCAAGTGAACCTCCCACCTCGGCCTCCCAAAGTGCTGGGATTACATGCATGAGCCACTCCACCAGGCCTAAAATGTTTTGTGGTATCTTGTGCTATTTATTAATTCATGTAACCAAAACTATTTGTTTCTTATACAGCTTCTGAGTGGGTCCTCTCCATTCCATGATTTAAAAAAATGCTTTCCTCTGTTTTTTCCTAATGCTTTTATAGCTTTGATTTTATGTTTAGCTCTTTAATCTATCTGGATTTTCTTTATTTCTTCCTTTTGGACTTTATTTTTGTGCATGGTATAAGGCAAAAAAATAATACTATCACTTATATAGTACTTACTATGTGCTGCTATAAGTACTTTATATATATTAAGTTATTTAATACTAATAATACTGTAAGGTAGGCACTTTTTTTAGCTTTTATTTATTTATTTATTTTTCATAGAGACAAGATCTCGCTATGTTGGCCAGGCTGGTCTTGAACTTCTGGCCTCAAGCGATACTCCTGCCTTTGCCTCCCAAAGTGCTGAGATTATTATTATATTTATTTTACAGATGAGGATACAGAGGTATACATAATTAATTAATAAGACCAAAGTCATACAGCTAATAAATGGTGTAGCCAGAATTTATTTGAACTGGTTATGTGGCTCCAAAGTCTGTTCTCTTAACCACTATGCTATAACGCCCCTCAGTTTAAAAATAAGGACGTAACTTTGCTTTTTAAATTGTCCCAATACCATTTTACCAATTGTTCCCTCAGTGATGTGATATACCTTTTCCATTGCATACAAAATTCTCATAGATATGTGGATCTCCTTCTGGGCTCAGTCCTGTTCTATTAATCTCTTTGTAGATTTTTGCACTAATGCCATACTTTTAAAATTAATATCATTTTATAGTTTTAAAAGTATTTGATAAGGCAAGTCCTTCCTTGTTCTTTTACAAAAAATGTTTTGGTTCATTTTCTTTTAGGGAAGAATTTTAGAATCATCAAGTTTCATTAAAAATCCTATTGAGATTTTAATTTTGACTGAATTTATTGCATTGAATTTAGGGAAACTGACTTTATACTGTTAGGGCTTTCCTGTCCAAGAACATGGTATATATTTCCATTTGTTTGAGACTTATGCATTCTTGAAAGCAGAATGGAACCATCTGTAGGCAGAGAGTAAAAATGATGGACAGGCAGTAAAATGCCTCAGGAAGTAGAAGGGGATTGAACTGACAGTGCAAGGTTGAGAAAATTTCTTTTGAAAAAAGAGGAAAGGTGAGTAGGTAGGTACAGTGGTAGAATGTTATGGTTGAGACATGGGCCAATGAGGGATCTCATATGTGATGCCCTTGATCTTCTCAACTGAAATGATATGATGAGATCATCTAATGGGGAATGAGGTAGGTCTAAGTTTTTACGAGATTAGAAAAGGTTTGAAGCAGCCACTTTACTTGAGTTTGCCAAAAAGTTGACAAGAATAAAAGAATTTCTGAGCAGCAATGAGAACCCACTGAAAGCTTAACAGAATGAATCTGTACTGGGCCAGATCTAGATGGTTCTGTAACTTTCTTTAGTGCTTCTGCTGCTCAAGATCAGGAGCAGAAGAACTGATGGTGGCAAGGTACCAGGTTTGGAAAAAAATGAAACAGCAGGAATAATCAAAAGAAGAGAGAAAGAGAGAAGGAAGGGGAGGAAAGAAGGGAGGGAAGAAGGAAGGAAGCAAATAAAGAAATAAAGAAAAGAGAAAGAAAGAAAGGAAAAGAAAGAGAAAAAGAAAAAAAAGGTAGTTAGACTGGACTATAATAGAGTGGGAAAAGACGAGTGATTTGAAGTTCAAGTGAGAACAGAGAATAGATATGGGGAAGTAAGGGAGATTAGACTCAATAGAAAAGTGTTGCGTTAGTTACCAATCTTGAAGATGGAGCAGTGCCACAGTGGGTGGCTTATATGGGAGGTAGACAGTGGCTAAAAAGTGAAAAACGGAAACTGTGAGGTACAAGAATTGCTAACATGGATGCCAAAGTCACTTAGGATAATAAATAACAATGAAGTTACCAAGGAAGGAAAAGGTGGGTCCAGGACATGACAACATTGGTGATGAAGAGATATAGGTTTTAAGTGAAGAGAAGCCGTAGGAAGGTGGTATATAAATAGTACAAAGTGCCACCATGGAGCAAAGATCCAGGTAATTTAGTCCCTTCTGCTGAGAAAAAGGGAGTTGGAAAAGATGAGACCTCCATAAAAATTCGTAGTGAGGGACACGTTTTCTTCAGGGAAGATTCTGCTTTGTTCTAAGAAGAAGGGAGAGAAGGAGGTGAAGGTTGATGATAAAGAGAATATTGACTATTGCCTGGGAAAAACTCTGTCTTGTTTTGGGGGTTGAATGAGGTTATGGATAGATAGCCTTAAGGGTCTAGGTAAGGATTTGGGAAATACAGAGTTGTTAAAAGATTTGAGGGAAAGGGAGTGATAGAGCAAAAGTTGTGTTTTACGGAGATATATTTGATAGGGATGAACAGGAAAAAATGGAGAAGAGAAGAAAGAGCCAGAGACCAATTAGGAAACTACAAAGCTGTAGGAGAGACACAATATCAAAGTCTGACTCAAAGATGGCTTTGTATGAACCTCAATTCCAGTCTCAGGGAGACGTGAGGCTTGGAAGGAGGAAGATTTAGATGAAAGAAGGCTGGGTGCAGGGGCTCACACCTGTAATCCCAGCACTTTGAGAGGACATGGCAGGAGGATTGCTTGAGCCCAGGAATTTGAGACCAGCCTGGGCAACATAGTAAGACCTCCTCTCAATTAAAAAAATTTTATTAAAAAATAGATGAAAGAAAACCCAAGGACCATTGTCCTATGAAGAAATAACACGGCTGCAATTTTTAGCTTTGCCATTATATAGTGGTATGACCTTGTGTCAGATATTTAACCTTTCAATGCCTCAATTTGCAAAATAATGAGCTTAAATTAGGTAACTGCAAAGATCATTAGTTTCCAGTTCTAAATTTTCTCAGTCATTGAATGAAGCTTTACCTTATATTTCCTTTAGATCCCAATTGCCTAATCTATGAACTTATATAAGATTGGCAGAAGTAGGAACTGAGATGAAATTGAACAAGTAGAAGGCCAAACAAGAGACAAAAGATACTGATAAATGACCTTCTCAAACTTTAATGTGCATACAAGACACTTGGAAATATATATATATATATATATTTTTTTTTTTTTTAAGATGGAGTCTCACTCTGTTGCCCAAGCTGGAGTGCAGTGGTGTGATCTTGGCTCATTGCAATCTCCGCCTCCTAGGTTCAAGCAATTCTTCGGCCTCAGCCTCCCAAGTAGCTGGGATTACAGGCGCCTACCACCACGCCCGGCTAACTTTTGTAATTTTAGTAGAGACAGGGTTTCACCATGATGGCCAGGCTGGTTTTGAACTCTGACCTCAAGTAATCCATCCGCCTCGGCCTCCCAAAGTGCTAGGATTACAGGCATGAGCCACCGTGCCCGGCCGGAAGTATAGTTAAAACGCAGACTGATTCAGTAGGTCTGGGGCCTAAGATTCCATGCTTCTAACAAGCTCCTAGGGGATGCTGATCACGCTTTGGGAAGCAAACTCTTAGAGAATGTAGCTCAGTAGTTTGAATCACCTTAGCTTCCCTTGTAAAAGGAAAGAGTCTGTGTTCTTCTGGGCTTCTTGGTTACAAAACGCCTTTGTGACTCTGTGACTCTGACATCAGCTGTGAGGATTAGGTTTGTCCCTTCTCTTTAAGTGTAGGTTTCCCCCCCACCATTATTTAAGTCTTTGTATATTCTTAAAAATGAACCAAGAAATTTCCACTTCCATGAGATGGAATAAATGTACTTATCCCTATTCTTCCTGCTAAATAAAACTAACTCTTGAACATTATACATAAAACAAACATAAGAAACCTCTGAAAGGTGTAGAGAAAGGGAAGACCTTGGAGCCAAGGATTGACACAGTGATAAGTTCTCTGGGTTTTCTTTTTGCTTCATATACCCCAAACTTGGTGCTAGAGATGCCAACAGACATAGACCCAAAAAGAAAAAGAAAGAAAAAAGCCCCAAGAAAAGTCTGCTGTCTCTAGCCAAGGGACCAGTAGTAAAAAGGAGTCCTCTACCTTGAGTATCAATGATGGAGGTCAAGTTAGAAACTTAGGCTTGTTTCTACTTCTACCTGGAAGTAACAAGGCTGGGCCCACTCCCTTGCTAAAGCAGGTCAGAGAAACCAAGTTAAAACAGAAGGTTTAAATGAGATCCAGAGTCTCAGAACAAAATATGAAATTGTCCAGGTTTAACAAATTTACTCATTATACCAATAATCAGGAAGATCTCAAATAACGAAAAAAGACAATGAATTGATGCCAACACTGAGATGACAGAAATGTTACGATACCTGACAAAGATTCTTTTCTATGACTTAAAAAATGGGGTAAAATACATATAGCACAAAATTTAACCATCTTAATCATTTTAAGTGAACAGTTTAGTGGCGTTAAGTACATTCACATTGTTGTGCTATCATCACTACCATCCATCTCCAGAACCAGTTTCATCTTGCAAAGCTAAAGATCTGTACCCATTATGTAATAACCCCAGTCCTTGGTGACTACCACTTTACTTTCTTTTTTTTTCAATTGTTTATTAAATAATTTTTTTTATTATGGAGATAATTAAATGACATGTTTGTTGTCTGAAAGAGATAGACACTTTTGCTTGTTTATGGAGATATAAAATGTAAATGCCTTACTATTTTATTCCCTTCCATAAACACTGAGTTTGAGTAATTTTGCTGGATTCTTCAAACACTGAGTATTTTCTCATGTAAAACTGAGTGAACAACCCTGACTGGGAAATAGAAGCTCAAGCCCAGTGACTCCAAGCTAAGGTCAATCTTGAGCCTGCAAGAAGAGGCCATTAAACACCCAGTCAGCTCTTCCTGGGGAGCCTCCCCTGCAGGTGTCCATCTCTATGAATTTGACCACTCTGGGTACTTCATATAAATAGAAGGATACAATATTTGTCCTTTTGTAACAAACAATGACTTGATGAATCTCTAGAGAATTATGCTAAGTGAAAAGAACCAATCTTGGCCAGGTGTGGTGGCTCATGCCTATAATCCCAGCACTTTGGGAGGCCAAGGAGGGAGGATCGCTTAGTCCAGGAGTTTGAGACCATCTCTACAAAAAAATTAAAAAATTAGCTGGGCTTGGTGGTGCATGCCTGTGGTCCCAGCTACTCGGGGAGTTGAGGTGGGAGGATCGCTTAAGCCTGGGGGGCTGAGGCTGAGCTATGATCAGCTTCACTGCACTCTAGCCTGGGTGACAGAGCAAGACCCTGTCTCAAAAAAAGCCAATCTCAAAAAGTTATGTACTGTATGATTCCAAATCTCAAAAGCTATATACTGTTTGATCACATTTATATGACATGCTTGAAATGACAAAATTATAGAAATTGGTAATAGATTTGCGGTTGTCAGGGTTTAAGGAGGAGCTGAGAGTGGGAGAGAAGAGTGTGAGGGCTATACAAAGGAAACATGAGGAATACTTGTGGTGACAGAAATGCAATGCTCTATGTCTTGATTGTGATAATGCCAACATCTTGATTGTGATGTTGTACTATAGTTTTGTTATCGTTGGGGGAAACTGGGTAAAGAGTACATGAGCACTTTGGGAGGCCAAGGCGAGCAGATCACTTGAGGCCAGAAGTTCGAGACCAGCCTGTCCTACATGGTGAAAACCCATCTCTACCGAAAATACAAAAAAATTTAGCCAGGCATGGTGGCATTTGCCTGTAGTCCCAGCTACTTGGGAGGCTGAGGCATGAGAATCGCTTGAACCTGGGAGGCGGAGGTTGCAGTAAGCCGAGATGGCGCCACTGCACTCCAGCCTGGGTGACAGAGCGAGACTCTGTCTCAAAAACAAACAAACAATAAAAAGAGTACACGAGATCTCTCTGTGTTATTTCTTACAAATGCGTGTAAATCTACAATTATTTCAAAATAAAATTTTGATTTAAAAAAACTTGAACAATCGACTTCTTCTTAAAAATTATCTAGAATATGAACCTACATAGGTTGATAGGTTTGTCTGCTTAAGCCTGGGAGTCATCTCCCTGCTTTTTCATTACCACTAGCTTCTAAATATCAACTTGAGCTTCTCCTTTAAACTAAAATTTCCTAGCAAAAACTGGTAAAGAAGCCACGCACCTCCAGTGGAAACAGCCCTGTAGTTGATGTGCAACGGACTGAATGTTTGTGTCCCTTCAAAATTAGTATGTTAAAATCCTAACCTCCAAGGTGATGATATTAGGAGGTGGGGCTGTTGGGAGGTGATAAGGTCATAAGAGGAGTGCTCTCATGAATAGGATTAGTGCCCTTATAAAAGAGACCCTAGAGAGATCCTTTACCCCTTCTGCCATGTGAGCTTACAGTCAGAAAGGACCGTCTATGGGGAAGCAGACCCTCACTGGACACTGAATCTGCCAGTGTCTTGATTTTGGACTTTCTATCCTCCCAAACTGTGAGAAATAAATTTCTGTTATTTATGATCCACCCACTCTATGGTATTTTTGTTATAGCAGCCCGAATTGACTAAGACAGGAGCTCAGAAGACCTGCATTCTAGTCCTGACTCTCACTCATTAGTCATGAATGACCTTAGGTAAATTGGTTACTTGACTTTTTGAATCTTAAAATTCCCTCATTGATAAATTAGGGATAACAATAGCAGCATTGTCTACTTCTATAATTGCTGTTGGAGGTTGTACGAGAGAGTGGACGTAAGAGTACTCTGCTCAGTCTAAAGCATAATATTGTGAGGCATGAGGTTTTATATTTGTATGATAGCCATTTTGCCAGTGTGTGGAGGCACTTGATAAAGGTTATCTGCTCAGTGAATAATGAATGAGTGACTGGTCATTAAAAAAGTCAGTCAAACAAAGGCAGAATTTTGTCCCAAGCATTTGAAACAAAGGAGATGCACGGCACATTCAATCAAATAGGATAAAGCAACATATATAATATAAAGAGCCAAGAGGGTTATTAAATTAATCACTGCAGGCTGGGCGCGGTGGCTCACGCCTGTAATCCCAGCACTTTGGGAGGCCGAGGTGGGCGGATCACAAGGTCAGGAGATCAAGACCATCCTGGCTAATACGGTGAAACCCCGTCTCTACTAAAAATGCAAAAAAATTAGCCGGGTGTGGTGGCGGGTGCCTGTAGTCCCAGCTACTCAAGAGGCTGAGGCAGGAGAATGGCGTGAACCTGGGAGGTGGAGCTTGCAGTGAGCCGAGATCGCGCCACTGCACTCCAGCCTGGGCGACACAGCGAGACTCCGTCTCAAAAAAATAAATAAATAAAAAATAAATAAATAAAAATTAAAAAATTAAAAAATAAATTAATCACTGCATTAAAAAGCTAACTATCCAGTCATGTTTCAGGGGATGAGCAATAAATGGATGGGAAACTCATGAGAAAAGTAGAAAAACATTAAGCTCTCTAACAGGTAACCCAAGAGCCAGAGAATTGGAACTGCAATATATTGGACAGAATGAAAGTGGCAAAAACAAAATGCACAGAGAAATTTTGGCCTTATAGAGAGACTATGGAAATTGATCAACTTGGAGTTATAGTACAATCTAATTTCAGTTTGTATTGGTCACTATGGCAAACACACCTGAAAGGTCCAGATGAGGCTCATGGCTTAGAAATAGAATTTCCTATTCATCCGAGAAGACAGTAAAATAAATAATCCAAATGTCCAATGTTGAAGTTTTTATTTTTAAACTTAAATTCACACAGGCCATAATTACACATCTCCAGGAGAATTCTAGGCTTTGGTAAGTCAATGCTAGTTTGTATCAGATTGTCACCCTGCTATAATGTTCCACCATCTGTTGTGATTTGCAGATAGTCATGTCTCACTTCACAATGGGGACACAAGCTGAGAAATGTATCATTAGGTGATTTCGTCATTGTGTGAATATCATAGAGTGTCCTTACACAAACTTATATGGTATAGCCTCCTACACACCTAGGCGATATGGTAAAGCCCATTGCTCCTAGGCTACAAACCCATACAGCATGTGACTCTACTGACTACTGTAGGCAACTGTAACCCAGAGGTAAGTATTTGTGTATCTAAACATAGAAATGGTAGAGGAAAAATGTGGTATGAAAGATAAAAAATGGTACTCCTGTATAGGGCACTAACCATGAATAGAGCTTGCAGGACTACAAGTTGCTCTGGGTGAGTCAGTGAGTGAGTGGTGAGTGAACATGAAGGTGTAGGACATTCTTGTACATTACTGCAGACTTTATAAACACTGTATACCTAAGCTGCACTCAGTTTATTAAAGGGTATTTTTCTTTCTTAATAATAAATTAACTTTGGCCAGGTGTGGTGGCTCACACCTGTATTCTCAGCACTTTGGGAGACCAAGGTGGGCAGATTACTTGAGCAAATTACTTGAACCTGAGTTTGAGACCAGCCTGGGCAACATGGTGAAACCCTGTCTCTACTAAAAATACAAACAAATTAGCTGGGTGTGGTGGTGCGCACGTGTGGTCCCAGCTACTCAGGAGGCTGAGGTGGGAGGATTGATTGTACCTGGGAGGTCAAAGCTGTAGTGAGCTGAGATCATGCCACTGCACTCCAGCCTGGGTGACAGAGACTTTGTCTCAAAAAATATATAAATATAAATTGACCTTGTCTTACTGCAACTTTTTTCCTTTATAAACTGTAATCCCAGCACTTCGGGAGGTCGAGGCGGATGGATCACTTGAGGTCAGGAGTTTGAGACCAGCCTGACCAACATGGTGAAACCCTGTCTCTCCTAAAAATACAAAATTAGCCAGATGTGGTGGCACACGCCTGTAATCCCAGCTACTTGGGAGGCTGAGGCAGGAGAATCACTTGAGCCTGGGAGGCAGAGGTTGCAGTGAGCCGAGATTGTGCCTTCGCACTCCAGCGTCAGTGACAGCGAGACTCCATCTCAAAAAAAAAAAAAAAAAAAAAACCCAAAAAAACAAACAAAAAAACCCAAAAAAAACCTTTTTAATTAAAAAAAAAATTTTTTTTTTGGCCAGTCATGCTGGCTCACTCCTGTAATCCCAGCACTTTGGGAGGCTGAAGTGGGACAATCACTTGAGGTCAGGAGCTTGAGGCCAGCCTGGCCAATGTGGTGAAACCTCGTCTCCAGTAAAAATACAAAAATTAGCCGGGTGTGGTGGCATGCACCTATAGTCTCAGCTATTTGGGAGGCTGAAGCAGGAAAACTGCTTGAACCCGGGAGGCAGATGTTGCAGTGAGCCGAGATTGCGCCATGGCACTCCAGCCTGGGTGACAGAGCAAGACTCTGTCTCAAAAAAACAAAAACAAAACAAAAAACCCCAACTTTTTGACTCTTTTGTAATAACATTTAGCTTAAAACACAAACACATTATACAGTTGTACAAAAATATTTTCTTTATCTCCTTATTGTATAAGTGTTTTCCTATTTTTAATTTTTTAAAAAACTTTTAAAACTTTTTGATAAAAACTAAGACACAAACACATATTTTAACCTAGGCCTACCCAGGGCCAGGATCATCAATATCACTGTCTCCCACCTCCACATCTTGTCCTGCTGGAAAGGCTTCTTGGGCAAAACATACATGGAGCTGTCATTTCCTAGGATGATAATGCCATTTTCTGGAATATCTCCTGAAGGACTTGCCTGAAGCTGCCTTACAGTTTTAACTTTCTTTTATAAATAAAAGGAATATACTTTAAAATAATGATAAAAGTATAGTAAATACATGAAACAGTAACATAGTAATTTGTTATATCATTAACAAGAATTATGGACTGTATCTAATTGTATGTGCTGTACTTTTATATGACTGGCAGTTCAGTAAGTTTTCTTAACACTGGCATCACCACAAACATGTGAGTAATGTGTTGCCTTACGATGGCTATGATGTCACTAGGTGACAGGAATTTTTCAGCTCCATTATAATCTTACAGGACCACCATTATATATTATGAAATGTCATTATGTGGCACATGACTATATTTATATATTAAGAAGTAGTTGAGTCAAGAGCAGTCAGGATCCTCAGATATTAACATGGACTCAAATAATGACTTTCTGTGTAACTTTAAGCAAGGCATGTAGTGTTCTTAATGTTTTATAGCTCTCTTATAATAACAATACTGCCTTACATGTGTACAAGCTGTTAAAGTTTACAAAACATACATTATTTTCATTGATCCTTACAACCCCAGTGTGGGAGAGTCAGATCAGGTATTATTCCCACTTTACAAATGTGAAAACTGAAGTCAAACAGCAGAGGAGTGATATTAATATGCAACAGCAAACAAACAAAACATCATTTAGACCCTACCTCACACTATAACAAAATTTAAAATGAATCATAGAGCTACATGTCAGAGATAAAAGTATAAAACTTCTACAGAAACACGTAGGAAAAAATCTTTGTAAACGTGGGTTGGGCAAAGATTTCTCAGCATGACCAAAACACTACCCACAAAAGAAAAAATTGATAGATTGGACTTCATCAAAATTAAAAACTTTGGCTCTTCAAATGATACCCTTAAGAAAATGAAAAAACAAGCCAGAGACTAGGAGAAAATACTTACAAATCACATATCTGGTAAAGGACTTGTATCCAGAATATATAAAGAACTCTTATAACTCAATAAAAAATTCCATTTTAAAAATGGGAAAATAATTGAATAGACATTTATCCAAACACAATACACGAACAGTCAATAAGTACATGAAAAAATGATCATCACCATTAGCCATCAAGGAAATATAAATCAAAACCACAATGGCTATAACAAAAAAAAGAAAAGATGAACAATAGCAAGTGTTGAGAATGTAGAGAAGCTGGAATCCTCATACACCGCTAGTGAAAATGTAAAATGGTATGGCCACTTTGGCAAACAGACTGCAGCTCCTCCAAAAGTTAAACATAGATTTACCTGATGACCCAACAATTCCATTCCTAGGTATATATTCAAGAGAATTAAACACATATGCTCACAAAAACACTTGCACATGAATATTTATAGTAGCATTATTCATGATAGCCAAAAAGTGGAAACAACTCAAATATCTATGAACTGATGAACAGATAAACAAAGTGTGTTATATCCATTCCCTAGAATATTATTCAGCAAAAAAAAAAAAAAAAAAAAAAAAAGGAATGGAATACTGATAATGCTACAACATGGACGAACCTCAAAAACGTTATGCTCAATGAAATAAGCCAGACACAAGAGGCCACGTATTATATAATTTCATTTATATGATGTGTCCAGAAAGAGAAAATCTACAGAGACAGAAAGCGGATCTGTGGTTGCCTGGAGCTGAAGGTGGGAGCAAGAATTGTCTGCAAATGGGCAAGGGGAAAATTTCTAGGGTAATGGAAATGTTCTAAAACTGGATTGTGGGAGGAAGGACGGAGCAAGATGGCTGATTAGAAGCCTCCACCAATCATCCTCTCTGCAGGAACACCAAATTTAATAACTATCTACACAAAAATTAAGAATAAAAAATCAGACAAATGGGATCTAATTAAACTAAAGAGCTCCTGCACAGCAAAAGAAACTACCATCAGAGTGAACAGGCAACCTACAGAATGGGAGAAAATTTTTGCAACCTACTCATCTGACAAAGGGCTAATATCCAGAATCTACAATGAACTCAAACAAATTTACAAGAAAAAAACAAACAACCCCATTAAAAAGTGGGCAAAGGATATGAACAGACACTTCTCAAAAGAAGACATTTATGCAGCCAAAATACACATGAAAAAATGCTCATCATCACTGGCCATCAGAGAAATGCAAATCAAAACCACAATAAGATACCATCTCACACCAGTTAGAATGGCGATCATTAAAAAGTCAGGAAACAACAGGTGCTGGAGAAGATGTGGAGAAACAGGAACACTTTTACACTGTTGGTGGGACTGTAAACTAGTTCAACCATTGTGGAAGTCAGTGTGGCAATTCCTCAGGGATCTGGAACTAGAAATACCATTTGACCCAGCAATCCCATTACTGGGTATATACCCAAAGGGCTATAAATCATGCTGCTATAAAGACACATGCACACGTATGTTTATTGCAGCGCTGTTCACAATAGCAAAGACTTGGAACCAACCCAAATGTCCAGCAATGATAGACTGGATTAAGAAAATTGGCACACATACACCATGGAATACTATGCAGCCATAAAAAATGATGAGTTCATGTCCTTTGTAGGGACATGGATGAAGCTGGAAACCATCATTCTCAGCAAACTATCGCAAGGACAAAAAACCAAACACCACATGTTCTCACTCATAGGTGGGAATTGAACAATGAGAACACATGGACATAGGAAGGGGAACATCACACACCGGGGCCTGTTGTGGGGTGGGGGGAGTGGGGAGGGATAGCATTAGGAGATATACCTAATGCTAAATGATGAGTTAATGGGTGCAGCACACCAACATGGCACATGTATACATATGTAACAAACCTGCACATTGTGCACATGTACCCTAAAACTTAAAGTATAATAATAATAAAATTTAAAAAATAATAATAAAAAATCAGGTGAGTGATCACAGCACCTGGTTTTAACTTCGTATCACCGAAAGAGCCACTGAAGAGTGTAGGAAGGACAATCTTGAACTGCCAATGCCACCCCTCTCCTATGCCCCAACAGTGGCTGCATGGCATGGCGAATCTGTGTGCTTGTGGAAGGGAGAGCACAGTGATTGTGGGATCTTGCTTGGAACTCAGTGCTGCCCTGTCACAGCAGAAAGTAACACTGGGCAGAACTCAACTGATGCTCATGGAGGGAGTATTTAGACCAGCCCTAGCTAGAGAGCAATTGTCCATCCCAGTAGTTGGAACTTGAGTTCCAACAAGCCTTGCCACTGAGAGCTAAAGTGCTCTGGGGTTCTAAATAAATTTGAGAGGCAGTCTAGGCCACAAGGACTGCAACTCCTGGGCAAATCTTTGTGCTGTGCTGGGCTTGGAGCCAGTGCATCTGGGGGACATGCGACCTAGTGAGACACCAGCCAGGGCAGCCAAGGGAGTGATTGCACGACCCCTCCCTCAACCCCAGGCAGTGCAGTTTGCAGCTCCAAAACAGACCCCTTCCTTCCACTAGAGGAGAGGAGAGGGAAGCTTAAGGGGGACTTTGTCTTGCATCTTGGATACCAGCTCAGCCACAGTAGGACAGGGCACTTGGCATAGTCATGAAGGTCCCATTCCAGGACCTAGTTCCCAGATAACATTTTGAGACACACCTCGGGCTAAAAGGTACCCACTGCCTTGAAGGGAAGGACCCAGTCTCGGCAGGATTCATCACCTGCTGACTAAATAGCACTTTGGCCCTCAGTGATCAGCAGCAGTAGCCAGGTAGTACATACTGTGGGCCTTAGGTGAGACTCTGAGACATGCTGGCTTCAGTTGTGACCCAGTACATTCCCAGCTGTGGTGGCTATGAGGAGAGACTCCTTCTGCTTGAGAAAAGCAGAGGGAAGAGTAAAGAGGATTTTGTATTGCAGCTTAGATATCAACTCAGCCACAGTGGGTTAGAGCACCAAGTGGGCTCCTAGGGTCCCCGGTTCCAGGCCTTGGCTCTTGGATGGCATTTCTGTACCTGTCCTGGGCCAGAGAGGAGCCCACTTCTCTGAAGTATGAGTCCCAGGCCTGGCAGCATTCACCACAAGCTGATTGCAGAGCCCTTGGGCCTTAAGTGAACACTGGCAGTAGCCCAGCAGAACTCCCCACACCACCTGATGGTGGTGGCCACGGGGAGAGACTCTTCTGCGTGTGGAAAGAGGAAAGAGTGGGAAGGACTTTGTCTTGTGGTTTGGATACCAGCTAAGCTGCAGTAGAATAGAGCACTAGGTAGATTTCTAGGGTTTCTGACTCCAGGCCCTGGCTCCTGCATGTCATCTCTGGGGCCAGGGGGAAGTTGCTGCCCTGAAGGGAAGGACAGCCTGGCTGGCTTCATCACCTGCTGACTGTAGAGCCCTAAGGCATTGAGCAAACATAGGTGGTAGCCAGGTAGTGGTTACAGTGGGCCTTGGGTGAGACCCAGTGCTGTGCTGGCTTCAGGTCTGACCAGCACAGTCCCAGTGGCAGTGGCCACAAGGGTGCTTGTATCACCCCTCCTCCAGCCCCAGGCAGCTCAACATAGTGGAACAGAATAGCAAACCCAGAAATAAATCCATACATCTACAGTGAACTCATTTTTGACAAAGGTGCCAAGAACATACTTTGGGGAAAGAAGAGTCTCTTCAATAAATGGTGCTGGGAAAACTGGATATCCATATGCAGAAGGAGGAAAGTTGAGATCCCTATGTCTTGCCTTATACAAAGATCAAATCAAAATGGATTAAAGACTTAAATCGAACACCTCAAACTATGAAACTACTACAAGAAAATATTGGGAAAGCTCTCCAGGATATTGGAGTAGGCAAAGATTCCTTGAGCAATATCCTACAAGTATGGGCAACCAAATCAAAAATGGACAAATGGGATCACATCAAGCTAAAAAGCTTCTGCACAGCAAAGGAAACAATCAACAAAGTGAAGAGACAACCTGCAGAATGAGAGAAAATATTTACATACTACCCCTCTGATAAGGGATTAATAACCAGAATATATACAGAGCTCAAACAACTCTATAGGAAAAAAAATCTAATAATCGAGTTTTAAAATAAGGAAAATATCTGAATAGACATTTCTCAAAAGAAGACAAACAAATGGCAAACAGGCATATGAAAAGGTACTTACTATCACTGATCATCAGAGAACTGCAAATCAAAACTACAGTGAGATATCATCTCACCCCAGTTAAAATGGCTTATATCCAAATGACAGGCAATAATAGGAAGTGCTGGTGAGGATGTGGAGAAAAGGGAACCCTTGCACACTGTTGGTGGGAAAGTAAATTAGTACAACCACTATGGAGAACAGTTCGGAGGTTCCTCAAAATACGAAAAATTGAGTTACCGTATGATCCAGCAATCCCACTACTGGATATATACCCAAAAGAAAGGAAATCAGTATATCAAAGAGGTATCTGCACTCCTATGTTTGTTGCAGCACTGTTTACAATAGCTAAGATTTGCAAGCAACCTAAGTGTCCATCAACAGATGAATGGATAAAGAAAATGTGGTACCTATACACAATGGAGTACTATTCAGCCATAAAAAAAATAAGATCCAGTCACTTGCAACAACATGGATGGAACTGGAGGTCAGTATGTTGAGTGAAATAAGCCCAGCACACACACAAAAAACAAACTTCACATGTTCTCACTTATTTGTGAAAGCTAAAAATTAAAATAATTGAACTGCTGGGGAGAGAAAGAGTAGAGTGATGGTTACCAGAGGAGGGGTGGGGGAAATGTGGAAATGGTTAATAGGTACAAAAAATAGAATGAATAAGATCTGTACTTAATAGCACAACAGGGTGATTATAATCAACAATAATTTAATTGTACATTTTAAAAAACTAAAAGTATAATTGAATTGCTTGTAACACAAAGGATAAATGCTTGAGGTGATGGATACCCCATTTATCCTGATATGATTATTATGCATTATATGCCTGTACCAAAAAATCTCATGTACCCCATAAGTATGGGTACATGTACACCGCTATGTACCCACAAAAATTAAAAATAAAACATTTTTAAAACTAAAAAACACTGGATTGTAGTGATAGTTGCACAACTCTATAAATTTACTGAATTGTGCACAAGCCATGGGTGAATTTTATGATATGTGAATTATACCTCAAGAAACCTAATTTTAAAACAACTGAATAAACCTGCACAGAAAAGAAAAAGAAATCAGCAGAGGAGGGACTAGAATACAGGTCTTCAATGTTCCTTCTACTCTTCTGAGAAAGGATGCTTCTGAGAAAGGATGGGAATAGCAATAACTTTTTTCAAAAGGTTCATATCATCACAGAGAAAGTAATCATCCCACCATGATTTGAAAATATAAAATAATTCAAAATGCCTGGTGGTACTGCTACTTGGACCTAATCCATAATACACTTGTGTTAGAAAATGTCTACTTTCAACTATTTATATTTCAGAAACCCAGGAAAATTCTGTAGTGTGTAACTACAAAATTGTAATATGAATTTATCCTAAAACTCATATCAGAAAGCATTATTGTATATAATTTATAGTACACAAGACAGTTCAGTTCTTTAAAATTAACTGAAAGTTTAATATCACTATTTGACTTACAGTGCGGCTAATGTGGCTCAGAGCATCTTCAAAATAGCCCCAAACTTCTTCCAGGGGACAGAGCTCTACATTCGACGCCCCATCTGGCACTGAGAGGTTAACCAAGTTGTGCATACATTTGCTGAAAATCAAAAAGAGAAAACTCATCCCATAAGGAAAGAAATCATTGGCTTCATGGCTAAGATAAGTAAAACCTGGATCTCATCCCAGACTAACAGCTTCAAAACACTTCTGTTCTTCCCTCGGTTTTATCTGGCCTCCAACCTCAGAAGACAGATTTTTGAAGCTGTAAAACAGGTTGACCAATCCTTTCTTTTTTCATGCCTATGGTTGTCTTTCATTCTTTTTTTAGTTTCCTGCACGAAGGAGTTGTGGCTGTCTATTATATTTTATGAGCTGGTTCAATTTACAGGCATTTTAAAGCATCTCGGTACTTCCTCAAATGGGCAAGGGAACTGGGGTTTAAAGTGGAATGATTCCACAAGAACTGTCTTTCGTGCCTTAACACAGGAAGACTGTAATGATGTTTTCCAGACAAAAAAAGTCACACAACATCTATTTTTCCCCATGTCTGGACACAGAAAACAAAAAAGTCTCCAATAGATAATATTTTATACAGCACTTATCGGTGCTTAAAGTGCTTAGAAAAATAATGAGGCAAACATAGCAAGATGTTAACATTTGTTAAATCTGGGTGCTGCGTGCCTGTAATCCCAGCTACTCATGAAGCTGAGGTGGAGAATCATTTGAGCCCAGGAGTTTGAATCCAGCCTGGGCAACATCACGAGACCCCATCTCTAAAAATAAAACAAATAAATCTGGGTGGTGGATACGTTGGTGTTTGTTATATTAACCCCTGTGCTTTTCTGTACATTTGGAATATTATTTAGTGATGAAACAAAGAAAGAAAGGTACTTAGCAGTTTTATTATATACACAGATTCACACAAAGAAGCAACTTTTCCCCTTTTTTTTCTCCTTTGGGAAAACCAAGCTCCTTGACTTTGCTAAATAATTATTGGTCTGTAATACAACTCTCAGTATGGAGCTGTTCACAAGAATGCCCCCAGATCATCCCCATATCATCTTTAAAGTTGAGTCAATTAAGAACGATTGGTTACTTTTGAGGCATTGACTATAGTTCTTTTGGCTAGCAAAAAGGCTGGATTGTATTTACTAACCTGTATTGTGATATATCAATTGGTTCTTCCTTTTTGTAGAGCAATAAAGCCTTTTTCAAGGCCTTGAGAGCAATCAAAGGATAGTGTGCAGGCTTTTCCATTGCTATTACTAGAGTAAGAAAAGGAAAAAGGTTGTGAACATGATAATGTCACCCATCACAGTTTTCATCCCAGGCTACCACTTGCTTTCTCTAATGAAACTGGGCTGAAACAGATGAACAAAAATAAACAACAATGAATTTTATAAATGATAAATCTACAGTCGCTTTTGGAAATAGCTTCTACTTTCTGGGCAGAGTAGCATGGTGGGATTACCAGGTAACATCCTTTTTTCAGCAAACATCAACAGAAAACCTACTGTTTGTATGACCTTGCACACAGTCATACAGGTGAAGCAATAATCTTATGAATGACAGTCAAGGAAGGGCACACTAAGAAGGAAACAGAAAGCAGATCAGTAAAAGGGCACTAATTGAAACAGGTTTGTACTAAAATGTCCTATTTTTATCTGATACTAAAAATAGGAAACACTTGACAAGGGAGTATCAGAGGTAACTAACCCTAAGACTTCCAGATGCATTTAACAGATTTTTAGAATTGGAGTTCCATTATACAAGGAGCAGTGGTTGCTGTCACATGTCCATAAAGTATATATCATCTGCTCCATGGCTCTAGGAATTCTGTCTTGGCAAGACCAAGGAAAGGCAAATGTGACTCTTGTGCACTTGGAGCTACCTAATATTTTTATTAACCACACACATGCTCCTGAAGAGGGTGAGAGATAAAAAGGGAAGATAATTAGGCTGTTTCCTGCAGTGTACTCCCAAAAAGGCTCTATGCCCCCAAACCCACGTAAAGTTTGGCCTGAAATTTGAGAGTGGCAATTGTGTTAAAAAATATTACCAGTATTTCTCTGTACATTTCAACAAACAGCTAAGATTGCATCACTTTTGATTGTTGAAGCACTCAGTTATTTCTAGCTAGCCCAGAAAAACTTTCTAAAGTTTGAGCTCCCCCTGTTGTGTAGTTACATAATTAAATTCCACACAGAAAAAATTTGAGCACCTATTAGGAGCAATGAACTTCGCTAGGGTTTGTAAGTACAAATTAAGTAATTATTGTTTATGACCCTAAAGAGATTATAATCTCATAGAGTGAAGAAGATAAATGCACAAATGATCATAATACAAAATAGTCTAAGAATGGCATTAGAGAAGGAGAAACAAAGTGCTATGAGAAAAAATTATTTCCTACCTGGAGGTAAGAAAGAAGAGTAAAGAGAAGAAAAAAAGTCATACGATCTAAATGGGCACCAGCCTTACAAAAGCATAAATATAGCTCTTACTTGCAATTGTTTCAAAAGTTTTAGTTTCTAAATGAGGCAACTCCCACACTGATTCCAGGAAGCTTTCCAGTAATGGATCATTCAATTTGGCTCTAACTTCAAACTCGTACAGCAGAAGCAATTTCTCACATGAATCATTTGAGAAGGTCCCTAAGAAAGAGGCAAAAATGCAACATTCTTTGTGATTATATTATATTATTCTCTTTGGTTGTAATTTCACTAACTGGAGAGGTTTTCCTTCTAAGAAATATTAATTTTACTTACAATTTGAAGGTCATCTTCACTGCTGTAGACAGATTCTAAATTTTATTTTTGTTTTTTATTTGATTCTAACATTTTAAAATCTCTAAGCTAACCGCTACTTCCAACATTCTGTAGCGCATTCACTAGAACTACCTATATTTTCTCAAACAATTGCCACGATGCTTCTAAACAGCCTGAGAAAACCCTGCTGCTATTATTGATTCTAAATCAAATCCAGTGTTTACTTGCTTCTTGTGAACTTTCAACTGGGCTGGTGCTCACTCTAATGGCCGAGTTAACCAGAAGATACAGTGCTGTATAAACCAACAGTGACTTTATTTTAAGCAGAATAGAGGAGAGTTTCCAAACTGTTTCATTAGTCGACAGAATTTCTTGGGCATCAGCATAGAAAGAATTTCATGTCAGGTGTCATACACTAAACTATGTGAGACACTTTTCATTCATCCTTCTTGGTAGATTGAACATTGAAAAATGTTTTGAGGTATGACATATATACAACAAACTGAAAGAAGTGCTCTAACCTTAAACAGCTTGATGAGTTTTTACATGTGTTTAAACCCGTGTAATAACTACCTAGATTGTGATAACAAACACTTCCAACAATACAGAAGGTTCCTTTGTGCTCCTTTCCAGTCAATACCATCCAACCAAGGTAGCAACTATCTTTGCTTTTCTGCGTTTATGTTTTGCATCTATTTTCATGAGGAATCTTGGTCTGCAGTTTCTTATATTGTCTTTGTCTACTACTGGTATCAGGATAATAGTCTCATAAGATGAACTGGGAATTGGGCCCTCCTTTCAGGATGAGTTTGTATAGAGTTGGTATTACATCTTCTTTAAATGTTAGGTAGAATTCTTCAATGCAGTTTTCTTTGTTGGAAGATTTTAAACTATGAATTTAATTAATAGGCATAGGAGTATATATTTCTTCTTGAGGGAGCTTTGGTAGTTTGTGACTTTCAAGAAATTTGTACATTTCACCTAAAATTCTAAATTCATGGACATAAAAGTGTTCATAATATTCCCTTATTACCTTTTAAAATGTCTGTAGGATCTCTAGTGAGGTCTCCACATTTATGCCTGATATTGTTAATTTGTGCTTGATCTGCCTGGCTAGAGGTTTATCATTTGTATTGGTCTTTTCAAAAGAAAAAAAAACTTTTGGTTTCATTGACTTTATCTACTGTTTTCTGTCTTAAATTTTATTGATCTGTGCTCTTATTTTTATTACTTTTCTTTTGCTTGATTGGGTTTAATTTGCTCATTTTTTCTAGTTTCTTAAGGTGGAGACTTAGATTACTTGAGACCTTTCTTTTTTTTTCTAATAGGAGCATTTAATGCTATACACTTTTGTCTAGATACTGCTCTAGTTGTAGCCTACACATTTTTATATGTTGTGTCTTCATCTTCATTCAATTAAAAAAAATTCCTAATTTCCCCTGTCACTTCCTCTTTAGCCTACTGGATTATTTTAAAGTATGTTGTTTAATTTCCAAATATTGGAAGGTTTTACAGATAACTTTGTATTATAGATATATAATTCTCTTGTGGTCAGAGAAAATACTTGGATATTTCAATAATTTTATGATTTCAATACTTTTAAATTTTTTGAAGTTTGTTTCGTGGTTCAGAATATGGCTTACAATGATGAATGTTCCTTGTGAATTTGAAAAAACTGTATTCTGCTGTTGTTGGGTAGAGTGTTCTAAATGTCAATTAGGTCAAGTTGGCTGATAGTGTTGCTCATGTCTTCTACATCTTTATTGAGTATTTGTTGACCTATTCTATTGATTACTAAGAAAGGAATATTCAAGTTTCCAAGTAGTTATGGATTTGTCTATTCCTCATTTTAGTTCTAGCAGTTTTTGCTTCAAGTGTTTTGAAGCTCTGCAAAATAAATCCATTTACAATAGCATCAAAAGGAATAAAAACATCAATCTTATTCACAAGATGATATAATCTTGTGAATAAAATTCCTAGGGAATCCAGTAAAATGCCATTATAACTAATCAGCAAGTTCATCAAGATCAATATACAACAATCAAGTATTTATTTATTTATTTATTAGAGACAAGGTCTCACTATGTTGCCCAGGCTGGTCTCAAACTCCTGAGCTCAAGTGATACTCCAGTCTTGGCCTCCCAAAGTGAGCCACCATACCTGGCCAATTCTATTTTTATATAGCAGCAATGAGTAAGCTGAAAATAAAATTGAAACAATTCCCTTTATAACAGCATCAAAAAGAAGAAAATACTTAGAAATAAAGAACAAGGACCAGGCACAGTGGCTCACAACTGTAATTCCAGCACTTTGGGAGGCCAAGGCAGGTGGATCACTTGAGGCCAGGAGTTTGAGACCAGTCTGGCCAACATGGCAGAATCCCATCTCTATAAAAAAAAAAAAAAATTAGCCGGGTGTGGGGGCGCATGTGTGTAATTCCAGCTACTCAGGAGGCTGAGGCATGAGAATCACTTGAACCCGGGAGGCAGAGGTTGTAGTGAGCTGACATCGCACCACTGCACTCCAGTCTGAGTAACAGAGTGAGACTCTGTCTCAAAAAAAAAAAAAGAAAAAGAAAGAATTAGTGTGTACGTTTATAGTTTTTAGTGTATAAGTTATGTAACTTAGTTTCCATTTTGTTATGTAACTTATAAACAAAAACTATAAAACATCATTGAAATAAACAAGATGTAACAAAATGGAAACATATCCCATGTTCATGGATTTGATGATTTATCATTAAGATGATAACACTCCCCAAAATTATCTATAGATTCAACACAATCCCTATCAGCATCCCAGCTCAGTTATTTTTTTCAGAAACTGACAGTTGATCTTGAAACTCGTATGGAAATTCAAGGGACCCAGAATAACCAAAACAATCTTGAAAACCAAGAATAAAGTTGTAGGACTAACACTTCCTGATTTCAAAGCTTACTAGAAAGCAATGGAGGCTGGGCGCAGTGGCTCATGCCTATAGTCCCAGCACTTTGGGAGGCTGAGGTGGGCAGATCACTTGAGGTCAGGAGTTCGAGACCAGCCTGGCTAACTCGGTGAAACCCTGTCTCTACTAAAAATACAAAAATTAGCCAGATGTGGTGGTGGCCACCTGTAGTCCCAGCTACTTGGGAGGCTGAGAGGAGAATTGCTTGAACCAAGGAGGCAGAGGTTGCAGTAAGCCGAGATGGCACCATTGCACTCCAGCCTGGGCAACAGAGCAAGACTCAGTCTCAACAAAAAAGAAAGGAAAAGAAAAAGAAAATAGAAAGCAATGGTAATCAAGACAGCATGGTACTGACATAAGGATATATATATATATATGGAACAGAATTGACAACCCAGAAATAAAACAATGTGTCTGTGGTCAACTGATTTTCCAAAAGGGGCAAAGACCATCCAATGAGGGAAAGGATAGTCTTTTAATCAAATAGTTCTGGGACAACTGGATAGCCACATGATAAAGAATGAAGTTAGACCCTCACCTCATAGCATATACAAGAATTAACTCGAAATAGATCAAATATTTAAAGATAAGAGCTAAACTATAAAACTCATGGAAGAAAACAGAGGGGTAAACCTTCATAACTTTTGATTTGGCAATGGATTCTTAGATATGATATCAAAAGCATAAGCAATGAAAGAAAAATAGATAAACTGGACCTCCTCAAAGTTAACGAATTTTGTATTTCAAAGGACATGATCAAGAAAGAGAAAAGACAATTGACAGAGTGGGGCAAAATCAAGGCATATATCTGATCAAAGACATGTATCTAGAATACATAAATAACTCTTGCTATTCAATAATAAAAGGCAGCCTAATGAAAAATTGGGAAAGGGTGTGAATAGATACTCTCCAAAGAAGATATACAATGGCCAATAACCATCTGAAAAGATGCTCAACACCATTGGTCATCAGGAAAATTAGTCATCAGGAAATCAAAACCATAATAAGATATCACTATACATTCACTAGGATGGCTAGAATAAAAAAGGCAGGTAATACAAGTGTTGAGAAGGAGGTGGAGAAACTGGAAGCCTCATACATTGCTGGTGGAAATGTAAAATGATGCAGCTGCTTTGAAAAACACTCTGGCAGTTCCTCAAATGATTAAACATAGGGTTACCATATGACCCAGCAATTCCACTCCTAGGTATACACACACAAAAAAGTGAAAATAGGTCCACACAAAAACTTGTGCACAAGAGTTTACAGCAGCATTATTCATAATAGCTAAAAGATAGAAATGATCCAAATGTCCATCAACTGATGAATGGATGAATAAAACATGGTATGCCCAGGCAATGGAATATTATTTGACCATAAAAAGTAATGAAGTACTGACATGCCACAACATGAATGAACTTCAAAAATATGCTAAGTGAAATAAGGCAGTCACAAAAGTCCATGTATTATATAATTTTATTTAAATGAAGTGTTCAGAATATGCAAAGCTATAGAAACAGAAAGTAGATTAGTGGTTGTTCAGGGCTTGTGGGAGAAATGCAAGGGAAACTAAAGGGTACGTTGCTTTCCTTTTGAGGTAATAAAATGTTCCAAAATTGATTGTCAGTGGTGGTTGCACATATCTGTGAATATACTAAAGTGTATTGAATTGTACACTTTGATGGGTGAACTGCATGGCATGTGAGTTATATCTCAATACAATTGTTTGAAAAATTGAATTTATATTGTGTATTCTTTTGGGACCAACTTCTTTTACTCATAATGTCTGTCATATTCATAAATATTTTTGTATGCTATCAGACGTTCATTCTTTTTATTGCTTTGTAGTATTCCATTGTATGAACATACCACAATTTATTTAATCTATCATTCTGCTGATGAACAGTAATGTTGTTTCAAATTTTTAGTTCTATGAATAGAGCTGTCTTGAACATTCTTGTACATACTGTGGTGAAGAGATGTACTCATTTCACCTGAGTATATATCTAAAAGTGAGATTTGACGGTCACTGCTGGGATAGAAACATGTTTGGTTTTAGCAGATACTGCCAAACAGTTTTCCAAAGTGGTTGTACCAATTACATTTCCACTAGTTGTGTGCCAGAACTCCAGTTGCTTCCCACCCTCATTAACACTTGATTTTTTTTTTAGTCATTTCAGTGAGGGTGCAGCGGCTTCTCAATGTGCATTTTCTTGATGAGTAATGATGCTGAGCATCTTTTCCTTTGCTTGTTGACCATTTATACATTTTTTTTGGGTGAAATTTCCATTCAATTCTTTTTTTTTTTTGAGATGGATTTTCACTCTTGTTGCCCAGGCTGGAGTGCAAAGGCGTGATTTCAGCTGACCGTGACCTCCGCTTCCCGGGTTCAAGCGATTCTCCTGCCTCAGCCTACTGAGTAGCTGGGATTACAGGTATGTGCCACCACGCCCGCTTAATTTTGTATTTTTAGTAGAGATGGGGTTTCTCCATGTTGGTCAGGCTGGTCTCGAACTCCCAACCTCAGGTGATCCACCCACCTCAGCCTCCCAAAGTGCTGGGATTACAGGAACGAGCCACTGTGCCCAGCCATTCAATTCTTTTGTCCATTTTTTTATTGGGTTATTTATCTTTTCTTGTTGAATTGTAAGAATTCTTTATATATTCTGGAAGTTGTCAAGCTTATGTATTGGCATATCTTCTTCCTATCTGTGGCTTGTCTTTTTCTTTTCTCAACGGTATCTTTTGACAGACCAAAGTTCTCACTTGTAATGAAGTCCACTTTATCAATATTTTCTTTTATAGTTGGTAAACTTTTGTCTCCACAAAGTCATGAAGATATTCTCCTATGATTTTTCATTTATTTTATTTCATTATCTTTTGAGACAAGGTCTCACTTTGTCACCCAGGCTAGAGTGTAGTGGTGCAATCATAGCTCACTGTAACCTCAAATTCCTGGGCTCAAGTGATCTTCTTGCCTCAGCCTCCCAAGTAGCTGTGACCACTGTGACCACAGGTGCATGCCACCACACCGGTTTTTTTTTTTTTTTTTTTTTTTTTTTTTTTTTTTGGTAAACATAGGGTCTCGCCATGTTGCCTAGGCCATACTTGAACTCCTGGGCTCAACCAATCCTCCCACCTTGGCCTTTCAAAGTGCTAGGATTATAGTACTGTAAGCCACCACACACAGCCCCAGCTGGGATTTTGATTGGGATTGCTTTGAATCTATAGATCAATTTGGGAAAACTGATATATCCTAACAATATTGAGTTTTCTAACACATGAACATGGCATATATCTGCATTTATTTAGACCTTTAAAAATTTCTTTCAGCCATGTTTCAAGGTTTTGTGGCTTTCAGTGCAGAGGTCTTATACATCTTTCATTATAGATTACTAGGCATTTGATGGATTTTGATGCTATCAAAAATTGTATTTTAAAGGTCACTTTCCAATAATTTCTTGCTAGTATACAGAAATATAATTAATTATTTATATATAAACCTGTATCCAACAACCATATCAATTTACTTTTTTTTTTTTTTTTTTTGACAGAGTCTCGTTCTGTCGCCCAGGCTGGAGTGTGGTGGCGTGATCTCAGCTCACTGCAACCCTCACTTCCTGGGTTCAAGCAATTCTTCTACCTCAGCCTCCCGAGTAGCTGGGACTACAGGCACGTGCCACCATGCCCAGCTGATTTTTGTATTTTTAGTAGAGACGGGGTTTCACCATATTGGCCAGGCTGGTCTCGAACTCCTGACTTCATGATCCACCTGCCTTGGCCTCCCAAAGTGCTGAGATTACAGGTGTGAGCCACCGTGCCCAGCCCAAATTTACTTATTTTTAAAACTTTATTCCAAATCACAGATAAAGAAAACCATATTATATGCATGTCTATTTGCATATACATAATACATACTATATATACACACACATACATACAGTTGTTATAATGTTTGTTTTGAAAATGTGAATTTGTTCCAACATGATTGATATATTAGGTAACAATTAATGTAAATTATGTAAATTAAGTACTTGCTTATGTGCAATTTAGTCTATGTGAAATAGTAAGTGAATGCAGAAAGCAGCATCTGGCTGAACCAAGCTGTATAGGAATATGCATAACACACACATGTGCACAACTCAAACTTCTATCCACTACCTCAGTTCACTGAATGTGTTATGGGCCACACTCATCCACATCTGTTGCTACAACTTTCCATCAGATTTCAGACAACCTCCTCCCACCACTTCACAGTATCTCACAAGCTGCAGTCCTTCTGATATTCACTTCCATAAGCAAATGCCAGGTCTTTTTTAAGGTAAATAGCCATATTTATTGTAGTATTCATGTATTTTTAGTCATTTAACATATATAAAACCATGCTGTCATTTTATTAGGCTCTTATCTTTTTTTTAATATGTCACAGACCAAATTTTTTAGTGTTATACCCCAACCCCATTTTTTCCCGTAAGCCCTGTGGTCTTTATTACACAATTTTGGATACTGTAATAATTTTTAGGCATGCATATGCCATGTAACAGCAAAACTGACTAAATATGTAAAGTATTTTCATTATTGCTAATCCATATCCACGTGAAAAAAGTTACCAACTAGAATACAGTATTGTGCATAGTTCTTTTTGTCTTTAGCCTTGCATCTAATCAAAACAGAGTTTTTCAAAGTTACTTAAATCGGCTTCTTTCTTCCTCACCCCCTTCCATGTGGCTATGTAGTTCATTCGTAATAGAGTCAGATTCATTTGTCACAGTCTGAATTCCATCTGGGATTCCCTCCACATCCTGATTGATTTATTTTAAAATTGTATCCGGTAAAATCTACTCTTTGTGGCATATAGTTCTATTGGTTGTGAAAAATGCATAGAATTGTGTGTCCACTATCACTGCTCCTTATAGAACATTCATTACCCTAAAGATTCTCTCATGTTACCCCTTTATAGGGAACTCCTACTCCAATGTCCAACCTCTGGCAATCACTGATGTGTTTTCTTTTCCTATGGTTTTACCTTTTCCAGGATATCATATAAATGGAATCATAGCCTTTTGGATCTGTCTTTTTTCACTTGGCAAATGCATTTAACATTCATTTACTTCTGAGTAGTATTCCATTATAGAGATGTACAGTTTGTTTATCTATTTCAGGTTACATTTGTTGTTGGAATTATGTTGTAAGCTCCTGGAAATGGTAGATTGGCTGGGTCTCTGCAGTGTTTTCAAAGTCATGGTTTAGAAATTGCTCCATTATTCTGAGTTCTTCGGATAGGCGAAATGCCCTTCTAATGCATACACAGGGCAGGGGTTATTAACCCCACTTTCCAGATGAGAAGATTATGGCTGAGAAACTAAATGCTGTTCCTACCCATAGAAACAGCAAATTAATGGAGAGCCAGGACCCTAATCCCACATGTT
Organism: Homo sapiens; assembly: GCF_000001405.40. NCBI lineage: Eukaryota > Metazoa > Chordata > Mammalia > Primates > Hominidae > Homo > Homo sapiens. Next base: position 70,563,288 of record NC_000023.11, read on the forward strand.
CTGATTCACAATCCACTACTGGAAAACATGTAAAGGAGAAGAATGGCTATGACTAGAAGGTTGGAAAATAGAACCTATTTCTGAAATAGTTGATCTGAAGAAGACAGAGCTTAACAAATGCTTTGGAAACCGTCTTAAAGCATATAAAGGGTTTACAACTGAAGTTAAAAAAGAACATATTGTCTTTAAGAGGCAGCATGGAGAGAGTGATCAATTAGACCTAAGATGTGAAATGGGTTACTAGGAGGCCTGGAATTATTCCAGTATAATATTGAATGGAAGTGGTGATAGTGTATATCCATGTTTCATTCCCTGACATCAGTGAGAAAGTGTTCATATTTTACCATTAAATACAAAATAAGGAGTAGTTTGTTTTCAAGTAATGTTTATCAGATTGAGGAAGTGACTTTCTATTCCTAGTTCGTTGAGTGTTCTCGTCATGAATGGGTATGGAATTTTTTTCAAATGCTTTTTCTGCATCTATTGAGATTATTATATTTTCCTCTTTTATTTTGTTAATGTGCACTCATTTTTGAATGTTGAATTCCTGGGATAAGCAATATTGGTCATGATGCAGTATCCTTTTTATATATTGCTGGATTCAATTTTCTAAAATGTATTTAGGATCTTTGCATCTATCATTTAAGATACTGGCCTGATGCCGGGTGTGGTGGTCCACGCCTGTAATCCCAGCACTTTGGGAGGCCGAGGCGGGCGGATCACCTGAGGTCAGGAGTTCAAGACCAGCCTTGCCAACATGGTGAAACCCCATCTCTACTAAAAATACAAAAATTAGCTGGGCGTGGTGGTGCATGCCTGTAGTCCCAGCTACTTGGGAGGCTGAGGCTGGAGAATCGCTGGAACCTGGGAGGCAAATATTGCAGTAAGCTGAGATCGTGCCACTGCGCTCCAGCCTGGGCGACAGAGTGAGACTTCATCTCAAAAAAACAAAAACAAAAACAAACAAACAAAAAAGACACTGACACTGACTTGTATTTTTCTTTTTAGTTTTTGGAATCAGAGTATGCTGGCCTCATAAAATCCATGTATTACTTTTTTCTCTATTTTCCATAAGAGATATTTGTATGAGATTGATATTATTTCTTTCTTTTTATTTTATTTTATTATTATAATACTTTAAGTTTTAGGGTACATGTGCACAATGTGCAGGTTAGTTACATATGTATACATGTGCCATGATGGTGTGCTGCACCCATTAACTCGTCATTTAGCATTAGGTATATCTCCTAAAGCTATCCCTCGCCCCTCCCCCCACCCCACAACAGTCCCCAGAGTGTGATGTTCCCCTTCCTGTGTCCATGTATTCTCATCGTTCAATTCCCACCTATTAGGGAGAACATACAGTGTTTGGTTTTTTGTTCTTGCAATAGTTTACTGAGAATGATGATTTCCAATTTCATCCATGTCCCTACAAAGGACATGAACTCATCATTTTTTATGGCTGCATAGTATTCCATGGTGTATATGTGCCACATTTTCTTAATCCAGTCTATCATTGTTGGACATTTGGGTTGGTTCCAGGTCTTTCCTATTGTGAATAGTGCCACAATAAACATACGTGTGCATGTGTCTTTATAGCAGCATGATTTATAGTCCTTTGGGTATATACCCAGTAATGGGATTGCTGGGTCAAATGGTATTTCTAGTTCTAGATCCCTGAGGAATTGCCACACTGACTTCCACAATGGTTGAACTAGTTTACAGTCCCACCAACAGTGTAAAAGTGTTCCTATTTCTCCACATCCTCTCCAGCACCTGTTGTTTCCTGACTTTTTAATGATTGCCATTCTAACTGGTGTGAGATGGTATCTCATTGTGGTTTTGATTTGCATTTCTCTGATGGCCAGTGATGGTGAGCATTTTTTCAATGTGTTTATTGGCTGCATAAATGTCTTCTTTTGAGAAGTGTCTGTTCATGTCCTTCACCCACTTTTTGATGGGGTTTTTTTTTTTCTTGTAAATTTGTTTGAGTTCTTTGTAGATTCTGGATATTAGCCCTTTGTCAGATGAGTAGGTTGTGAAAATTTTCTCCCATTTTGTAGGTTGCCTGTTCACTCTGATGGTAGTTTCTTTTGCTGTGCAGAAGCTCTTTAGTTTAATTAGATCCCATTTGTCAATTTTGGCTTTGGTTGCCATTGCTTTTGGTGTTTTAGACATGAAGTCCTTGCCCATGCCTATGTCCTGAATGGTAATGCCTAGGTTTTCCTCTAGAGTTTTTACGGTTTTAGGTCTAACGTTTAAGTCTTTAATCCATCGTGAATTGATTTTTGTATAAGGGGTAAGGAAGGGATCCAGTTTCAGCTTTCTACATATGGCTAGCCAGTTTTCCCAGCACCATTTATTAAATAGGGAATCCTTTCCCCATTGCTTGTTTTTCTCAGGTTTGTCAAAGATCAGATAGTTGTAGATATGCGGCTTTATTTCTGAGGGCTCTGTTCTGTTCCATTGATCTATATCTCTGTTTTGGTACCAGTACCATGCTGTTTTGGTTACTGTAGCCTTGTAGTATAGTTTGAAGTCAGGTAGCTTGATGCCTCCAACTTTGTTCTTTTGGCTTAGGATTGACTTGGAGATGCAGGCTCTTTTTTGGTTCCATATGAACTTTAAAGTAGTTTTTTCCAATTCTGTGAAGAAAGTCATTGGTAGCTTGATGGGGATGGCATTGAATCTATAAATTACCTTGGGCAGTATGGCCATTTTCACGATATTGATTCCTCCTACCCATGAGCATGGAATGTTCTTCCATTTGTTTGTATCCTCTTTTATTTCCTTGAGCAGTGGTTTGTAGTTCTCCTTGAAGAGGTCCTTCACATCCCTTGTAAGTTGGATTCTTAGGTATTTTATTCTCTTTGAAGCAATTGTGAATGGGAGTTCACTCATGATTTGGCTCTCTGTTTGTCTGTTATTGGTGTATAAGAATGCTTGTGATTTTTGTACATTGATTTTGTATCCTGAGACTTTGCTGAAGTTGCTTATCAGCTTAAGGAGATTTTGGGCTGAGACAATGGGGTTTTCTAGATATACAATCATGTCATCTGCAAACAGGGACAATTTGACTTCCTCTTTTCCTAATTGAATACCCTTTATTTCCTTCTCCTGCCTGATTGCCCTGGCCAGAACTTCCAACACTATGTTGAATAGGAGTGGTGAGAGAGGGCATCCCTCTCTTGTGCCAGTTTTCAAAGGGAATGCTTCCGTTTTTGCCCATTCAGTATGATATTGGCTGTGGGTTTGTCATAGATAGCTCTTATTATTTTGAAATACATCCCATCAATACCTAATTTATTGAGAATTTTTAGCATGAAGGGTTGTTGAATTTTGTCAATGGCCTTTTCTGCATCTATTGAGATAATCATGTGGTTTTTGTCTTTGGTTCTGTTTATATGCTGGATTACATTTATTGATTTGCATATATTGAACCAGCCTTGCATCCTAGGGATGAAGCCCACTTGATCATGGTGGATAAGCTTTTTGATGTGCTACTGGATTCGGATTGCCAGTATTTTATTGAGGATTTTTGCATCAATGTTCTTCAAGGATATTGGTCTAAAATTCTCTTTTTTGGTTGTGTCTCTGCCCGGCTTTGGTATCAGAATGATGCTGGCCTCATAAAGTGAGTTAGGGAGGATTCCCTCTTTTTCTACTGATTGGAATAGTTTCAGAAGGAATGGTACCGGTTCCTCCTTGTACCTCTGGTAGAATTCGGCTGTGAATCCATCTGGTCCTGGGCTCTTTTTGGTTGGTAAGCTATTGATTATTGCCACAATTTCAGAGCCTGTTATTGGTCTATTCAGTGATTCAACTTCTTCCTGGTTTAGTCTTGGGAGGGTGTATGTGTCGAGGAATTTATCCATTTCTTCTAGATTTTCTAGTTTATTTGCGTAGAGGTGTTTGTAGTATTCTCTGATGGTAGTTTGTATTTCTGTGGGATCGGTGGTGATATCCCCTTTATCATTTTTTATTGCATCTATTTGATTCTTCTCTCTTTTCTTCCTTATTAGTCTTGCTAGAGGTCTATCAATTTTGTTGATGCTTTCAGAAAACCAGCTCCTGGATTCATGAATTTTTTGAAGGGGTTTTTGCGTCTCTATTTCCTTCAGTTCTGCTCTGATTTTAGTTATTTCTTGCCTTCTGCTAGCTTTTGAATGTGTTTGCTCTTGCTTTTCTAGTTCTTTTAATTGTGATGTTAGGGTGTCAATTTTAGATCTTTCCTGCTTTCTCTTGTGGGCATTTAGTGCTATAAATTTCCCTCTACATACTGTTTTGAATGCATCCCAGAGATTCTGGTATGTTGTGTCTTTGTTCTCGTTGGTTTCAAAGAACATCTTTATTTCTGCCTTCGTTTTGTTATGTACCCAGTAGTCATTCAGGAGCAGGTTGTTCAGTTTCCGTGTAGTTGAGCAGTTTTGAGTGAGTTTCTTAATCCTGAGTTCTAGTTTGATTGCACTGTGATCTGAGAGACAGTTTGTTATAATGTTTGTTCTTTTACATTTGCTGAGGAGAGCTTTACTTCCAAGTATGTGGTCAATTTTGGAATAGGTGTGGTGTGGTGCAGAAAAAAATGTATATTCTGTTGATTTGGGGTGAAGAGTTCTGTAGATGTCTATTAGGTCCACTTGGTGCAGAGCTGAGTTCAATTCCTGGGTATCCTTGTTAACTTTCTGTCTCGTTGAACTGTCTAATATTTACAGAGGGGTGTTAAAGTCTCCCATTATTATTGTGTGGGAGTCTAAGTCTCTTTGTAGGTCACTCAGGAGTTGCTTTATGAATCAGAGTGCTCCTGTATTGGGTGCATATATATTTAGGATAGTTAGCTCTTCTTGTTGAATTGATCCCTTTACCATTATGTAATGGCCTTCTTTGTCTCTTTTGATCTTTGTTGGTTTAAAGTCTGTTTGATCAGAGAATAGGATCGCAACCCCTGCCTTTGTTTGTTTTCCATTTGCTTGGTAGATCTTCCTCCATCCTTTTATTTTGAGCCTATGTGTGTCTCTGCATGTGAGATGGGTTTCCTGAATACAGCACATTGATGGGTCTTGACTCTTTATCCAATTTGCCAGTCTGTGTCTTTTAATTGGAGCATTTAGTCCATTTACAATTAAAGTTAATATTGTTATGTGTGAATTTGATCCTGTCATTATGATGTTAGCTGGTTATTTTGCTCGTTAGTTGATGCAGTTTCTTCCTAGTCTCGATGGTCTTTACATTTTGGCATGATTTTGCCGTGGCTGGTCCCAGTTGTTCCTTTCCATGTTTAGTGCTTCCTTCGGGAGCTCTTTTAGGGCAGGCCTGGTGGTGACAAAATCTCTCAGCATTTGCTTGTCTGTAAAGTATTTTATTTCTCCTTCACTTATGAAGCTTAGTTTGGCTGGACATGAAATTCTGCATTGAAAATTCTTTTCTTTAAGAATGTTGAATATTGGCCCCCACTCTCTTCTGGCTTTTAGAGTTTCTGCCGAGAGATCAGCTGTTAGTCTGATGGGCTTCCCTTTGTGGGTAACCCGACCTTTCTCTCTGGCTGCCCTTAACATTTTTTCCTTCATTTCAACTTTGGTGAATCTGACAATTATGTGTCTTGGAGTTGCTCTTCTCGAGGAGTATCTTTGTGGCGTTCTCTGTATTTCCTGAATCTGAATGTTGGCCTGCCTTGTTAGATTGGGGAAGTTCTCCTGGATAATATCCTACAGAGTGTTTTCCAACTTGGTTCCATTCTCCCCGTCACCTTCAGGTACACCAATCAGATGCAGATTTGGTCTTTTCACATAGTCCCATATTTCTTGGAGGCTTTGTTCATTTCTTTTTATTCTTTCTTCTCTAAACTTCCCTTCTTGCTTCATTTCATTCATTTCATCTTCCATCACTGACACCCTTTCTTCCAGTTGATCGCATCGGCTCCTGAGGCTTCTGCATTCTTCACGTAGTTCTTGAGCCTTGGCTTTCAGCTCCATCAGCTCCTTTAAGCACTTCTCTGTATTGGTTATTCTAGTTATATATTCGTCTAAATTTTTTTCAAAGTTTTCAACTTCTTTGCCTTTGGTTTGAATTTCCTCCTGTAGCTCAGAGTAGTTTGATTGTCTGAAGCCTTCTTCTCTCACCTCGTCAAAGTCCTTCTCCGTCCAGCTTTGTTCCGTTGCTGGTAAGGAGCTGCGTTCCTTTGGAGGAGGAGAGACGCTCTGATTTTTAGAGTTTCCAGTTTTTCTGCTCTGTTTTTTCCCCATCTTTGTGGTTTTATCTACTTTTGGTCTTTGATGATGGTGATGTACAGATGGGTTTTTAGTGTGGATGTCCTTTCTGTTTGTTAGCTTTCCTTCTAACAGACAGGACCCTCAGCTGCAGGTCTGTTGGAGTTTGCTAGAGGTCCACTCCAGACCCTGTTTGCCTGGGTACCAGCAGCGGTGGCTGCAGAACAGCGGATTTTCGTGAACCGCAAATGCTGCTGTCTGATCGTTCCGCTGGAAGTTTTGTCTCAGAGGAGTACCCAGCTGTGTGAGGTGTCAGTCTGCCCCTACTGGGGGGTGCCTCCCAGTTAGGCTGCTCGGGGGTCGGTGTCAGGGACCCACTTGAGGAGGCAGTCTGCTGATTCTCAGATCTCCAGCTGTGTGCTGGGAGAACCACTGCTCTCTTCAAAGCTGTCAGACAGGGACATTTAAGTCTGCAGAGGTTATTGCTGTCTTTGTTTGTCTGTGCCCTGCCCCCAGAGGTGGAGCCTACAGAGGCAGGCAGGCTTCCTCGAGCTGTGGTGGGCTCCACCCAGTTCAAGCTTCCAGGCTGCTTTGTTTACCTAAGCAAGCCTGGGCAATGGCAGGCACCCCTCCCCCGGCCTCGCTGCCGCCTTGCAGTTTGATCTCAGACTGCTGTGCTATCAATCAGTGAGACTCTGTGGGCATAGGACCCTACGAGCCAGGTGCGGGATATAATCTCCTGGTGCGCCATTTTTTAAGCCCGTCAGAAAAGCGCAGTATTGGGGTGGGAGTGACCCGATTTTCCAGGTGCCGTCTGTCACCCCTTTCTTTGACTAGGAAAGGGAACTCCCTGAAACCTTGCACTTCCCAAGTGACGCAATGCCTCGCCCTGCTTCAGCTCACTCACGGTGCGCTGCACCCACTGTCCTGCGCCCACTGTCTGGCACTCCCTAATGAGATGAACCCGGTACCTCAGATGGAAATGCAGAAATCACCCGTCTTCTGCGTCGCTCACGCTGGGAGCTGTAGACCAGAGCTGTTCCTATTTGGCCATCTTGGCTCCAACCCAAAATCTATTATTTCTTTCTTATATATTTGGAATAATGTACTGGTAAAGCCATTTCCTTTGTGAGAAGGTATTTAAGGTTGCATTTCTTTAGTAGGTTTAGGACTATTTAAAATAGTCTAAATAGGACTACTCAGATTATTTTTGGGGGCACAATTTTGTACTTGATCTTAGCCAAAAAGCTGAGAAGTAATGGGGGGCGGGAAAGTAATTTTGGTAGCTGTACTTTTCAAGGAATTTGTCCATTTTGTCCAAACTGTCAAATTTATTGGCATAAAGTTGTTCACAATATCCTTTTTATTGTGATTTTAATGTCTGAGGGATTTGTAGTGATGCCCACTTTTGAATTACTGATATTGGTAATTTGTGTTCTTTCTTGATCCATCTTGCAAGACTTTTAGCAATTGTATTAATCTTTCCAAACAAGCAACCTATAGCTTTGTTGATTTTCTGTGTTGTTGTTGTTGTTGTTGTTGTTTTGAGACAGAGTCTTTCTCTGTCGCCCAGGCTGGATTGTAGTGGCGTGATCTTGGCTCACTGCAACCTCTACCTTCCAAGCTCAGGCGATTCTCATGCCTCAGCCTCCCCAGTAGCTGTGATTACAGGCATGTGCCACCATGCCTGGCTAATTTTTGTATTTTTAGTAGAGACGGGGCTTCACCATGTTGGCCAGGCTGGTCTCAAACTCCTGACCTCAGGTGATCTGCCCGCCTTGGCCTCCCAAAGTGCTGGGATTACAGGCATGAGCCACTGTGCCCAGCCTGATTTTCTGTGTTATATGTTATTTTTCATTTCTTTGTTTTCTGCTCTTATCTTTGTTACATTCTTCCTTCTACTATCTTTAATTTGCTGTTCTTTCCCTAGACTCAAGTTGGAAGCTTAGATCATCAATTTTCAACCCTTAATCTTTTCTAATATATGCATTTAAAGCTATGTCTTTTCCTTTATTTTAGTTGTATCCAACAAGTTTTGATGTCATATTTCATTTTTGTTAAGTTCAATCTATTCCATCGTTTTCATTTTGATTTTTTCTTTGACTGATGGGTTATTTAGAAATGTTTCTTTTAGATTTCCAACAGTGGGGGTTTCCTAATCATCTTTCTGTTGTTGCTTTCTCATTTAATTGTACTTTGTTTGGATAACATACCTTGTATGATTTCAATCCTTTGAAACTTGTTGAGACTTGCTTTTTGGCCCAGCATATGATCTATTTTGGTATATGTTACAAGTACACTTGAAAAGAATATGTATTGTGATATATATATATAATCAGTTAGTGGTGGACTGAAGTTTAAAGCTTGGGAAGTCTTGTGAAAATAAGTAATGAATGTGTAGGTGAGGTATAGTACACAACTTATTCTGATCAGGAGACATTGTGCTAAGATAACTGTACAAGAAAATGTCTAAAACAGCAAAAGCAATGAAAACAAAAGCCAAAATTGACAAATGGGATCTAATTAAACTAAAGATCTTCTGCACAGCAAAAGAAACTACCATCTAACAGGCAACCTACAGAATGGGAGATAATTTTTGCAATCTACTCATCTGACAAAGGGCTAATATCCAGAATCTACAAAGAACTCAAACAAATTTACAAGAAAAAAAAAAACAACCCCATCAAAAAGTGGGCAAAGGATATGAACAGACACTTCTCAAAAGAAGACATTTATGCAGCCAAAAAACACATGAAAAAATGCTCACCATCACTGGCCATCAGAGAAATGCAAATCAAAACCACAATGAGATACCATCTCACACCAGTTAGAATGGCGATTATTAAAATGTCAGGAAACAACAGGTGCTGGAGAGGACGTGGAGAAATAGGAACACTTTTACACTGTTGGTGGGACTGTAAACTAGTTCAACTATTGTGGAAGTCAGTGTGGCGATTCCTCAGGGATCTAGAACTAGAAATACCATTTGACCCAGCCATCCCATTACTGAGTATATACCCAAAAGATTTTAAATCATGCTGCTATAAAGACACATGCACACGTATGTTTATTGCGGCACTATTCACAATAGCAAAGACTTGGAACCAAGCCAAATGTCCAACAATGATAGACTGGATTAAGTAAATGTGGCACATGTACACCATGGAATACTATGCAGCCATAAAAAATGATGAGTTCATGTCCTTTGTAGGGACATGGATGAAGCTGGAGACCATCATTCTCAGCAAACTATCGCAAGGACAAAAAACCAAGCACCGCATGTTCTCACTCATAGATGGGAATTGAACAATGAGAACACATGGACACAGGAAGGGGAACATCACACACCAGGGCCTGCTGTGGGGTGGGGGGAGGGGGGAGGGATGACATTAGGAGATATACCTAATGTTAAATGATGAGTTGATGGGTGCAGCACACCAACATGGCACATGTATACATATGTAACTAACCTGCACGTTGTGCATCTGTACCCTAAAACTTAAAGTATAATAAATAAATAAATAAATAAAATTTCCAGATTCACATTTGTCCTTTCTAAAAGCAAACCATAATAAGATATATATTGGGAACAGGGAGATTGGACTGACATTCCTAATTAGATCAGGCACTTGGGAGAAGGAATAGTATATATCACCATAAGTATCTGGGAACCATAACAAACCTGTCTCCTCAACCTGGAACCCCTACTATATTTCTTCAGTGACTCCATAGCCCTGTATCAAAGTCTCTACTCACTGCCATTAAGGCTTTGGATTGCATCATTAGGGTAAGCTTATGCTGACTATGAGGCATGATTTAAATGGAATGCTGCCAAAAGTGAAGACTTTTAGGATCCATTTTTATCAGAGATACTTGGGTATCTCCAGCTAATTGTCTAATTTCCTTCCAGGAAAAATCCTAAACTCAGGTTCTCCTATTTCTGTGGCCTAAGTTCTGGCTCAAAATGTACACTAGAAAATCTACTCAAGTTTTGCCATTCTGTTTAATGTGCCTGAGGATCAGCTCCAATTGCCTTTTCTTTTGGCTGATCTCAAAACTTTCATCTCTGAGAATTTCTTACCCATGAGAACTAATCTCTGAGACAAAAGTAATGCATGACTGATTGCTGTATTAAGCCAATGAAGGAACCAAGCAAAGACTGCCTGCAAAGGAATAAGCATTCAATCCTAGTTTTGGTGTGTACAATGGAAAAGACAAAAAATATTTCTATTTCTAGCATACACCTTGTTAAATGGCAGCTTTTATCTACTGTATTTGGATAAATTAGAATGACCTTTCCAGTTATGGGTTGAGGAGACCCTAATATATAAATATGTAATATATAATACATAAAAACATAGATAATCCTCTGCTCTGCCAGCTGAACTGCATTTATGCTGGCAGAACATCCATGCTGGGCTTTGTTCTAAAGTTCTCAGGAGGTTTGCCTTGTTTGTCATAACCACTAATACTTTCGATGATGACACTTGATGAATACTTTATACCAAAGTCAAAATTATAGCACTGGAGATAAGCGAAATTCTTCCTTGCAATGACCTACAAAAACTAAAGCCTTTTCTCTATCTTCCTGTTTTTGTGATAAATGTTTAACTCATGTTATAAAATAAATAGTTTTAAGAAACCAAATCACCAAGATTACTTCTAGCCCTAACATTTGATGATTTGCTATATATAGAGACTCTGACTCCAAGGATGCTCTTAGCAACATCCAAAAATGATAATCTTCAAGGGAGACCCAAAAGAGGAAATTTCTTTTCACAGCCAGAAAGAGAGATTCAGAAGCTGTGAGCTTCCTCAAGTAAGAAAGGTTTGAGTATCTTCTCACTATAAGCAAAGTCATCTTTGGTACAAACCCAACTTCCCCTTAAATTTCCTTTTTCACCCCTGGAAACCTGCCCTTCTCTGCTCTAAATCCCAAGTTCAATCTCCATTAAGTACTTTTTTCTAAATGTTCCTCTCCCAGAGTATACGCTGATAATGACTAAATTGTGAGCTCTCCCAAGGATCTTTGCAGAGGGTTCTCTAAGATCAAAACACTCTAAGACTAAAATAAATGACTCTCTAATGATATAATTTCTGGTGTTATAGCAGAATTTCATTTAATAAATATTTATTGAGCCCTATTATATGCCAGGCAAAACTTTAGGAGGTATGGATAAAGAATGAACAAGACAGACAACTTTTCTGCCTGCATGGAACTTGGATTCTATTTAGGGAGACAAACAATAAGCAACATAGAATATGTCAAGTAGTCAACACACAGGTTAAGGGGTTAAATAGTATTGAAAGTTGCTATTTTTGAAAGGGTGTGGTCTCTGAGGGGGTAAAACTTGAGCAAGTTGGGGAGCAAGGCATATGAATATCTAGGACAAGAGTGTCCAATGCAAAGGAAAGGGCAAATACAAAGGCCCAGAAGCAGGGAAGTACAAGGTGTTATCGAGACATAGTAGGGCTAGAGTACATGGAGCTATGAGGCAGAGTGGCAGGAGAGGTGGCGAGGAAGGTATCTAAGGACCGGATTATCTATGGCCTTGTAGATTATGGTAAGGACTTGGGATTTTATTTTAAATCCATTTAAATGGGAAGTGCAAGGAGACTGACATGAACTGACTTATGTTAAAATACTCTGGCTGCTGTGTGGCTATTGAATTTATTAGGAGGGCAAGAAGTGCAGCAGAGAGGACACTTGGGAAGCTATTGCAGTGGTCCAAGTGAGACATGAGATAGCTTGGAACTAGGTGATACTAGTGGCCTAATTTGTTATTGAGAATGGGCACATCACAAATCACACTACTTTCAGCCTACTGTGGTTTGAATGTGTCCCCTCCAAAATTCAGATGTTGAAACTTAATGGCCAATGTGATAGGATAAGAGGTGGAACCTTTAATAGCTTATTAGACCCAGAGGGCTCCTCCCTCATGAACAGGGTTACAGATAGCCCTTATGGCCCTTAAAAAAGAGGCTTCCACACAGCACTAACTTTTCTTGCCCTTCCACTTTCCTCCCTGTGAAGACACAGTGTTTCTCCCCTCTGGAGGATGCAGCAACAAGGTATCATCTTGCAATCAGAAAGCAGCCCTCACCAGAAAACTGAACCTTCTGGATCCTTGACCGTAGACTTCCCAGCCTCCAGAAATGTGAGAAAAAAAAATTTTTCTCTTTTGTAAGTTACCCGGTCTGCATGAGGTGTTTTGTTACAGCAGCAGAAACAGACTAAGACATGGACTCATCTCCCACTATATAACCCCTGAATAAGAGATAATCCCCAAACTAACAATGTTCTCCTGTATTACTCCTGGCTTCTGTTCACTTGATTCCTACCATTAAAATTCTATTTATTCTTGAAGAGTAAGTTCAAATATCACCTTTTGGAATAGATCATTTCTTCCTCTGTGGTCCCATATATTCTGTATCCCTATTAGTATAGTTATTTCATTTTGCCTTATATATGTATAATTGATTATGTTTCTGACCTTTCTTTGCTGTAAATTTGTTAGGGACAGAGACAGTAATACATTTCCTTATTTCCACAATACATAGTAGTCCTTAGGAATTTAATAAATACTTTGCAGAATAAATGTGGTGAGCTGCTTTCCTTAGGTCACTAATATAATGGCATGTCAGGGTTAATCCTTTTGTAAAAGCCAATTCCCATAGCACTAAAATTTTAATCACTGTTTATACAGCTCTTAATTAACTCTGATTTGGAGTAGATTTTTAAAAGGATGGCGTTTTCCAATTTTCCCTCAAGAATTTATGATTCACTGGCTTTGTACTTTCCCTCAATTTATCTATTTGCAGTTGGTAGCTTAATGATTTATTTACATTACTGACATACTGGGCTCATTATTTTAAGCATTAGTTCATTGGAAATACAAAATCTCAAGAAACAAACCTTTAACAAGTCAGAATAATTTTTCTAAATGTATCTTTCATTTTAATTATTAAAGTACTATGTATTCATTGAAAAATTCAAATGCAGAAACAAAAAACAAAATAAAAAGTGAAAGTCCCTTAAACACACTAATACTTGTTCCAAGAGCTATCAAGTGTTAAGTTTGGTGTGTATCCTTCCAAGGCTTTATAGATGAAATATGCATTCATAAATATATATACATATACACACATTTTATAAGAATATATATATGTGTGCATATTCTGAAGACCTATTATGTGCTAGGCGCACAATACAAAGGTAAGCAAAATCAGACACAGTATCTGTCCTTGTGGAGCTTATAGTCTAGGGTATTTGTGTACACATACACACATATGTTTTAAAAATAAAAATAGAATCAGAAAAAGTCAGCAAAAGTACAACACTCCAAGGGGAGGAGCACACCCTGAAGTGCAAATCCTTTATCTACAATAACAAGAAAAGAGTTTAGAGGCTGGTAAAGGGAACTCGTCTGGCCTTAGTTTGGTTTTGAGAAGCAGAGAATAAAGAGTGAGCAACAGGTCAGTGAAGCAGTGGGGAGGAAAGAGTCTTTGTTATGAGAAGCCCATAGCTGCCTATATCCACTGGCTGAGAAGATGTAGAGCCTACAAGAACTCACATACACAACAACCTTAGAACTTAAGTAAAAATTTCTATTATCCTTGATCAGGTCCTGAGCTCCTCTCCACATGTATCATCTGCAAGTAGAAGGTCTAAAGAGACCTCATTGCAATTAAAGATGTTATCAAGCAAAGCAAAACAAAACAAACAACTCCAGCACAGTTTATACACAAAGATACTACATGAAAATGGGATGGAAGAAACAGAAAAAAAAAATGGCAGATGGAGAATTCTTACCAGAGAAATGTTGCCATATGCAGATTAAAATTGTGACTAAACATATCAGCATAAATTCAGTAATATTAATTAAGTAGTCATCTCTATAAAACAAGAATATAAAACAGAAATGCTAGAACTCAGGGAAGAGTTGGTACACAACAAAAGGAAATGGAATATGAGCTATTTCAGAGACAAAGAAGGTAAAAAAATAAAGCCACCACAGGAATAAAAGTAAAACTGGAAGCAGCAAAAGGAAGTGGAAGCAGCAAAGGGAAAAAAGATACCGCTGAATAAACAGTAAGAGACAGAAAACAGGAAAAACCAAGCAACCAAAATGAAATGCAAATTGAAATTGGTTGTAACATCTTCTCGGTTTCCTCATCAGTTAATGAATTAAATAAAATCCTTGATGTGTTCATTTAATATTCCTAAGAGAGTCATGATTATATCTTTTTTTTTTTTTGAGACAGTCTCACTCTGTCACCAGGTTGGAGTGCAGTGGCAGGATCTCTGCTCACCGCAACCTCCGCCTCCTGGGTTCAAGTGATTCTCCTGCTTCAGCCTACCAAGTAGCTGGGATTACAGGTACCCACCACCACGCCAAGCTAATTTTTGTATTTTTAGTAGAGATGGGGTTTCACCAAGTTGGCCAAGCTGGTCTCGAACTCCTGACCTCAGGTGATCTGCCTGCCTTGGCCTCCCAAAGTGCTGGGATTACAGGTGTGAGCCACCACACCCAGCCAAGGTTATATCTTAAAAGTACTGACTGAGATGCCCAATGGATACACTTGACAGGGCCAGGTAAATTGTGTTACTGGAGAAATGTAACTCCTAGATTGTTTACATTAATCTTTTCTTGGCTTCCAGGTTGAATCCAAAGTGGCAGCAGAAATTTGTTGAATCTCTGCTTCTTTCTTTTTTCTTTTCTATTGAGTTTATGTTTTGTTTTAGTTTCTGGTTTGTGTATAGTCAGTAAGTTATATTCTTCCTTGGTAGCAGCAATGACTGGGAATGTGATTATATGGTTTGACCATTTGGTGGTCTTTGTAATTGGACTAACGGATTATCTAGTCACTTATCTAGTCACTGATGGGTGGGAAATAACAGAGAATTTGTCTTTTTTGTTGTTCTATTTGTTCATTTTGAACTTAAATTAATCAGTAATTTCACACCCGCAGGGAAGGTGAACACTGTAATATCTGGACTGGCATATTTCTGTGTTTACTCTTAACTTATAGCTGAAATTGTAGATCAGAATTCATAAGATCGCTTTATCTATGTCTATGTGTCTACAACTGAAAAAGGCTTTGACCTCACATTGTGTGAGTGTAAAATATTTTCCTATCTCTGGGGAGTATTAATAAGTTATATCATAAAGTTTCCTAAATTAAAGGAGCTCTGTTCTAATTGGTTTATAGACATAAATAAGAACTTACATACATATTTTTTTAACTCCAAGAAAAAAAGAAGTTGAACTTCTTTTTTTTTTTTTTTTTTTTTTTGAGACAGAGTTTTGCTCTTGTTGTCCAGACTGGAGTGCAATTGCACGATCTTGGCTCACTGCAACCTCTGCCTCCCGGGTTCGAGCAATTCTCCTGCCTCAGCCTTCCAAGTAGCTGGGATTACAGGCGCCCACCACCACACCCAGCTAATTTTTCGTATTTTTAGTAGAGACAGGGTTTCGCCATGTTGGCCAGACTGGTCTCGAACTCCTGACCTCAGGTGATCCACCCGCCTTGGCCTCCCAAAGTGCTGGTTACTGCGCCCAGCCAGAAGTTGAACTTTTAATACTAAAATGTGCTAAACTAAAAATATTTTCACAAAAAATTCTGCTAGCTCAAACATTTTGAGAATCCAGAATTAAGGTATATCTTTGGCAAATGAGATTTGTTTAATAATTCTTGTTTAAATCAAGAAACTGGGCCGGGCGCGGTGGCTCACACCTGTAATCCCAGCACTTTGGGAGGCGGAGGTGGGTGGATCACGAGGTCAGGAGATCGAGACCATCCTGGCTAACACGGTGAAACCCCATCTCTACTAAAAATACAAAAAAAAAAAAATTAGCTGGGTGTGGTGGCGGGCGCCTGTAGTCCCAGCTACTCGGGAGGCTGAGGCAGGAGAATGGTGGGTGAACCCAGGAGGCGGAGCTTACAGTAAGCCGAGATCGCACCACTGCACTCCAGCCTGGGCGACAGAGCAAGACTCCGTCTCAAAAACAAAAAAACAAAAAAAACAAAAAAAAAAAAAAACAAAAAAGAAACTGAAGAGACAATCCACAGAATGGGAAAAAGTATTTGCAAACTACCCCTCTGACAAGAGATTAATAAGCAGATATATATACAGAGCTCAAACAACTCTATAGGAAAAAATCTAGTAATCTAATTTTTAAAATGAGCAAAGGATCTGAATAGACATTTCTCAAAAGAAGACACATGAATGGCAAACAGGCAACTGAAAAGTTGCTCCGCATCATTGATCA
This sequence comes from Homo sapiens, assembly GCF_000001405.40. Classification (NCBI taxonomy): domain Eukaryota; kingdom Metazoa; phylum Chordata; class Mammalia; order Primates; family Hominidae; genus Homo; species Homo sapiens. The sequence goes on from NC_000023.11 coordinate 70,579,765, forward strand.
TCAGAGAAATGCAAACCAAAACTACAGTGAGATATTATCTCATCCCAGTTAAAATGGCTTATATCCAAAAGATAGGCAAAAACAAATGCTGGCGATGACATGGAAAAAAGGGAACCCTTGTACACTGCTGGTGGGAACATAAATTAGTACAACCACTGTGGAGAAGAGTCACCAATCCCACTCCTAGGTATACACTCAAAAGAAAGGAAATCAGCATATTGAAGAGATATCTGCACTCCCATATGTATTGCAGCACTATTCACAATAGCCAAGATTTGGAAGCAACCTAACTGCCCATCAGCAGATGAATGGATAGAGAAAATGTGGTACATATACACAATGGAGCACTATTCAGCCATTAAAAAGAATGAGATCTAGTCATTTGCAACAATATGAATGGGACTGGAGGTCATTATGTTAAGTGAAATAAGCCAGGCATAGAAAGACAAACCTTGCATGTTCTCACTTATTTGTGGAAGCTAAAAATTAAGCCAACTGAACTCATGCAAATAGAGAGTAGAATGATGGTTACCAGAAGCTGGGAAAGATAGTAGGGGAGAATGTGAGGATGGGTAATGGGTAAAAAATATAGAAAGAATGAATAGACCTAGTGTTTGCTAGCCTAACAGGGTGACCACAGTCAGTATTAATTGTACATTCTAAAATAACTAAAAGAGTATAATTGGATTGTTTGTAACACAAAGGATAAATGTTTGATGTGATGGCTACTTCATGTACCCTAATGTGATTATCACGCATGGCATGCCTGTATCAAAATATCTCATGTAACAATAAATGGATACACTTATAATGTACCTACAAAAATTAAAAATAAAACATTAAAAATAATTTTTATTTAAAAGAGTTATGTCATTTTTGGTGATTTATTTATGTAATGTATAAAACAAGCATACATTTTATTTTACTTCGGTCTGTTTTTCCTAAATGTATACAGATTTACTAATCAAATAAGATAATGTTACTTATATGTAATATTTAAGATTATGAAAGATGTAAATTTGTGTTCAACTGAAATTGAATCCCTGTTCTGACAAACTTTTATTTCAGCAGTAATTACATTCTGTGGTATGTTAGATTTAAGATAATCTAATTAACTTAAACACTGGTTTGATATTAAATTGAGTTCATTAATGGATAATCATTGGATACCTACATAAATTTTAATTAATATAGACTGCTTATTGATTACTAAGCACAGTTTTTTGTTTTTGTTTTTGTTTTGTTTTGTTTTTTTGAGACAGGGTCTCACTCTGTCACCCAGGCTGGAGTGCGGTGGCACAATCATGGCTCACTGCAGCCACAGCCTTCCAGGCTCAGGCAATCCTCCTGCCACAGCCTCCCGAGTAGCTGGGAGTATAAGCATGTGCCACTATTCCTGGTTAATTCTTTAAAAAATTATTTATAGAGACAGGGTCTTCCTATGTTGCCCAGGCTGGTCTTGAACTCCTGAGCTCAAGCAATCTCCCTACCTTGGCCTCACTAAGCAGTTTTAAGTTTATATACTGTTGCTTTTTTTTTTTTTTTTTTTTTTAAGATGGAGTCTCGCTCTGTCACCCAGGCTGGAGTGCAGTGGCGTGATCTCGGCTCACTGCAACCTCCGCCTGCTGGGTTCAAGTAATTCTCCTAGCACAGCCTCCCAAGTAGCTGGGACTATAGGCATGTACCACCACACCCGGCTAATTTTTTGTATTTTTAGTAGAGATGGGGTTTCACCATGTTGGTCAGGCTAGTCTTGATCCCCTGACCTCGTGATCCACCCACCTCGGCCTCCCAAAGTGTTGGGATTACAGGCATAAGCCACCGCGCCTGGTCCTATATACTGTTGCTTCTTATTTTTATATGCTATAAAGAGGCAATATCTTTGGGTCATGTTAATGGTTGTGTTCATTTTCCTCTTTAAAAGGGATGGGTGTGTACATTGAAAGTGCTACATGTGTTCGTGAGCTCTGTTAATCTGCTATAATGTTTGTGAGAGATAGTTCTCAATTGCACCCCTCAAATTTTCTCTTTGAAATAGATATTATTTTGGTTAAAAGTTAAAATTAAAACAAGTGGTTGAGATTATATTATGAGCAATAGTGACAAATGGGTATATGCTTCTGTTTTAAAGGGAAAAGTAGTTTGTTTCTAAGACAGTAGTTCTCAAACTTTCTGTTCTCAGGACCTCTTCGTACTCTGAAATATTACTAAGGACTTCCAAAGAGGTTTTCCGCATGTATGTTGTAACTATCAATACTTACCATATTATAAATTAAAACAGAAAAAATTAAATATATTTATTGATTGAATTGATTTGAGATGAATCTGTTGCATGTTGATGTCAATTTTAATAAAAATAATTTTATTTTAAAAATAAGAAGATTGCTTCACATTTTTGCAAAGTTCCCTAATGCCCAACTTAATAGAAATAATTAGACTCTACTATCTGCTTCTGCATTCAATCTATTACAATATCACACATCATACTGCCCCTGAAAAACTACACATCTTAGTATTATAATAAAAATAGTTTTGACCTAGCAGATGCTCTGAAAGATGGTCAGTTTGTTCCAGAACATCAAAGAGCATAATGAAGGACAAACTGGGAAAGTTAAATTTTTTTGCCCTGGTTTAAACCTAGGTCTGAAATAAAGCTATGCAATGTGTTAAAATTGTAGCAACCTTATCTAAATTTTGATGGGCTTGCTTCCTTAATTTATTGATTAATGCCTTCACCACAATGCAAAAGTTATTCTTCATCTTCTGTGTAATCTGCCTAGATAGCAGACTCTGTGTTTTACAAGAATAATTCTCTGAGCTTTATGTTGTCTTTTTCTTTATTTTTGATTATTTAGTGGCAAACTAACAAAGAACAAAGGTTCCTCACTTGTCAAAGAGCTAAAGTTCTTTAGAATTGTGTTACCTCCTATGTTAGAATTGTGTTACCTCCTATGTACATTTATTTATTTATTTATTTATTTATTTATTTATTTATTTATGTGATGGAATCTCACTCTGTCTCCCAGGCTGGAGTGCAGTGGCACAATCTTGGCTCACTGCAATCTCCACCTCCCAGGTTCAAGCAATTCTCCTACCTCAGCCTCCCGAGTAGCTGGGATTACAGGCGTGCACCACCACACCGAGCTAATTTTTGTATTTTTAGTAGATACGGGGTTTCACCATGTTGGCCAGGCTGGTCTTGAACTCCTGACTTCAGGTGATCCACCCACCTCGGCCTTCCAAAGCCCTATGTTTATTTTTAAATGTTTGATTGTCACTTTGTTTAAATAGGTAACCAAGTATTGTTTATTGGGCACTCATGATCCTATTTATTTATTTTTATTTTTAATTTATATAAATTTAAAGGACAGAAGTTCAGTTTTGTTACATGGATATATTAAGTAGTAGTGAAGTCTGGGTATTTACTGTAACCATCACCCAAATAATGTACATTGTACCTATTAAGTAATTTCTCATCCTTTAACCCCCTCCCACCATCTCACCCTTCCTAGTCTCCAGTGTCCATTATTCCACACTCTATGTCCATGTGCATACTTTATTTAGCTCCCACTTATGAGTGAGAACATGCAGTATTTGACGTTCTGGTTCTGAGTTGTTTCACTTAAGATAATGGCCTCCAGTTTCATCCACGTTACTGCAAATGACCTGATTTCATTCTATTTTTATGGCTGAGTACTATTTAATTGTGTGTATCTTCATTCCACATTTTCTTTGTCCAATCTTCCATTGATGGATACGTAGGTTGACTCCATATCATTGCAACTGTGAATAGTGCTGCAATAAATATATGGGTGCTGGTATCTTTTTAATATATAATTTCTTTTCCTTTGGGTAGATACCTAGTAATGGCATTGCTGGATTGAAAAGTCATCAGAAAAATGCAAATTAAAACCACAATGACATATCATCTTACACCAGTCAGGATGTCCATTATTAAAATGTCAAAAAATAACGATGTTGGCAAGGATGCAGAGAAAAGGAAATGCTTTACACTGCTGGTGGGAATGTAAATCAGTAGAGCTTCCATGGACAACAGTGTGAAGATTTCTCAAAGAACTAAAAACAGAACTACCAGATCCTATTTTAATCAAGGCCCAATTTGCCTCTAACAACTCTTGATTTTACCTTCCAAAAATTGAATCACAAATAGAGATTACTATGAACTACTGTACATCAAAAAATTAGATAACTTAGATAAAATGACAAATTCCTGGCCGGGCGCGGTGGCTCACGCCTGTAATCCCAGCACTTTGGGAGGCCGAGGCGGGTGGATCATGAGGTCAGGAGATCGAGACCATCCTGGCTAACAAGGTGAAACCCCGTCTCTACTAAAAATACAAAAAAAAAATTAGCCGGGCGCGGTGGCGGGCGCCTGTAGTCCCAGCTACTCGGGAGGCTGAGGCAGGAGAATGGCGTGAACCCGGGAAGCGGAACTTGCAGTGAGCCGAGATTACGCCACTGCAGTCCGCAGTCTGGCCTGGGCGACAGAGCGAGACTCCGTCTCAAAAAAAAAAAAAAAAATGACAAATTACTAAAAGCACACAAATTACTAAATTGACTTTAGAAGAAATAGAAAATCTCAACAGACCTATAACAAGTAAAGAGATTAAATAAGTAATTTAAAACCTCCCAATAAACAGAAGTCTAGGACCAGATGGCTTCACTGGTGAATTCTTCCAAACATTTAAAGAAGAATAAACAGCAGTTCTCTCAAACTCTTCCAAATAATGGAAGAGGAGGGAATACTTCCTAACTTCTTCTATGAAGCCAGCATTACCCTGATACTAAAGCCAAATGTAGACATCACAAGAAAAGAAAATTACAAACCAATATTCTTTATGGATATCAATTAAAAAAACCCCATGAAAATACTAGCAAACCAAATCTTACAGCATATTAAAGGATTATACAATCTGATTAGGTGTGATTTATCCCAAGAACGCAAGTTCAACATAAGTAAATCAATTAATGTAATATACCACATCAATAGAAAAAAGGAAAAAAGGTCATATTCATTGATGCAGAAAAATCATGTGATGAAATCCAAAATATTTTCAAGATAAACTAGGAATGGAAGGGAATAGCCTCAATCTGATAAAGGGCATTAAAAAAAATTCCACAGTTAACATTATACTCAAAGGTGGAAGCTTAGCCCTAAGATCAGGAACAAGACAAGGATGCCCTCTCTCACTACCGCTATTCAACATTGTACAGGAAGTTTGCTATTCAACATTGTACGGGAAGTTTTAGCCAGATAAATTAGGCAACAAAGAGAAACAAAAGGCATCCAAAGTAAAAAGAAAGAAGTGTAACTCTCACTGTTCACAGATGACATGACCCTACGTATAGAAAATCCCAAAGAAACCACAAGAAAGCTACAAATTCGGCAAAGTTGCAGGTACAAGATGAACATGCAAAGATCAATTGTGTTTCTATACATCAGCAATGAACAATCTAAAGAGGAAATTAAGAAAACAATTCATTTACAATAGTATTCAAAAGAATGAATTTAGCCAAGAAGGTGGAAGATCTGTACAATGATTACTATAACACACTGATGAAAGACATTAAAGAAGACCTAAATAAATGAAAAGACAGCCTACATTTATGGATTGGAAGACTTAATATTGTTAAGATGTCAACATTTCAAAACTTATATCACGCTAAGCGATCCCTATCAAAATTCCACCAGCCTCTTTTTACAGAAATGAAAAAGTCAATTCTCAAATTTATATGGAATTGTAAGGTGCCCCAATAGTTCAAAATGAATCTTGAAAAATAACAAAGTTGGAGGGCCAACACTTCTCTGTTTCAAAGCTTATTAGAAAGCTACAGTAATAAAACAGTGTGGTACTACCATACAGATAGACATATAGACCAATAGAATAGAACTGAGAGTTAAGAAATAAACCCATACATCTATGGCTGACTGATTTTCAACAAGGGTGTCAAGACCATTATATGGGACAAAGAATAGTCTCTTCAGGCCGGGTGTGGTGGCTTACACCTGTAATCCCAGCACTTTGGGAGGCCGAGGTGGGTGGATCACCTGAGGTCAGGAGTTCGAGACCAGCCTGACCAACATGGTGAAACCCTACCTCTACTAAAAATACAAAATTAGCCAGGCATGGTGGTGCATGCCTGTAATCCCAGCTACTTGGGAGGCTGAGGCAGAAGAATCACTTGAACCAGGGAGGAGGAGGTTGTAGTGAGCCAAGGTTGTGCCATTGCACTCCAGCCTGGGCAACAAGCAAAACTCCGTCTCAAAACAAACAAACAAACAAAAAATAATAGTCTCTTCAACAAATGGCATGGTGGCAACTGGATTTCCACAGGCAAAAGAATGAAGTTGGATGCCTACTACACCATTGAATATAAAAATGAACTCAAAATGGATCAATTACCCAAACATATAAGCTAAAACCATAAAACTCTTAGAAGAATTTATAGGAATAAATCTTCATGACTTTGGATTTGGCAATGGATTCTTTGACATGACACTGAAAGCACAAGCAACAAAAGAAAAGGTAGATAAATTGGACTTCATCAAAGTTAAAAACTTTTTTACATCAAAGGACATTATCAAGAAAGTGAAAAGAAAACATGCAGGAGAAAATATTTGCAAATCATATACCTGATAAGGGTTTAATATACAGAATATATAAAGAAATCCTAAAACGCAACACCAAAAAACAACCCAATTTTAAATATGGGCAAAGAACTTGAATAGACAAGTCCTTTCCCTCCCTCAAAGATGAAATACAAATAACCAATAAGCACATGAAAAGATGCTCAACATCTTTAGTCATCAGAGAAATACTAATCAAAACCATGAGATACTATTTAACCTACTAGAATAGCTATAATAATAAAAAATGGAAAACAACAAGTGTTGGCAAGGAGGTGGAGAAATTAAGATACATTTCCTGGTGGGAATGTAAAATGGCGAGAATGGACTAATACAGTAAATTGGTGCCAGTAGAGTGAGGTACTGCTATAAAGAGACCCAAAAATGTGGAAGTGACTTTGGAACTGGGTGACAGGTAAGAGGTTGGAACACTTTGGAGGGTTTAGAAGACAGGAAGATCTGGGAAAGTTTGGAACTTCCTAGAGACTTGTTGAATGGTTTTGGCCAAAATGCTTATAGTGATATGAACAGTGAAGCCCAGGCTGACATAATCTCACATGGAGATGAGGAACTTCTTGGGAACTGGAGCAAAGGTCACTCTTGCTATGCTTTAGCAAAGAGACTGGTGGCATTTTGCCTCTGCCCTAGAGACCTCTGGAACTATGAACTTGAGAGAGACGATCTGAAATTGGAACTTATGTTTAAAAGGGAAGCAGAGCATAAAAGTTTGGAAAATTTTCAGCCTGACAATGCAACTGAAGAGAGAAACCCATTTTCTGGGGAGAAATTCAAGCTGGCTGCAGATATTTGCATAAGTAATGAGGAGCCCAATGTTAATCACAAAGACAATAGGGAAAATGTCTCCAGGGCACGTCAGAGACCTTCAAGGCAGCTCCTCCCATCACAGGTCTGGAGGCCTAGGAGGGAAAAATGGTTTCCTGGGCCAGGCCCAGGGCTTCTCTGCTTTGTGTACTCTTGGAACTGTGACTTCTAGCCACATCCTAGCCATGGCTAAAAGGGGCCAACATACAGCTCAGGCCATTGCTTCAAAGGGTGCAAGCCCCAAGCCTTGGTGGCTTTCATGTGGTGTTGTGCCTGTGGGTGCACAGAAGTCAAGAATTGAGGTTTGGGAACTTCTACCTAGATTTCAGAGGATGTATGGAAACAAATGGGTGTCCGTGGAGAAGTTTGCTGCAGGGGTGGAGTCCTCATGGAGAACCTCTGCTAGGGTAGTGAGGAAGGGAAATGTGGGGTTGGAGCCCCCACACAGAGTCCCCACTGGGGCACTGCCTGGTGGAGCTGTAAGAAGAGGGCCACCATCCTCCAGACCCCAGAATGGTAGATCCACTGACAGCTTGCACTGTGCACCCAGAAAAGCCACAGACACTCAATGCCAGCCCGTGAAAGCAACCAAGAGGGAGGCTGTACCCTGCAAAGCCACAGGGGCAGAGCTGCCCAAGACGATGGGAACCCACCTCTTGCATCAGCATGACCTGTATGTGAGACATGGAGTCAAAGGAGATCATTTTGGAGCTTTAAGATTTGATGCCCTGCTGGATTTCAGATTTGCTTGGGGCCTGTAGCCCCTTTGTTTTGGCCAATTTCTCCCATTTGGAATGGGTGTATTTACCCAATATCTGTACCCCCATTTTATCTAGGAAGTAACTAACTTGGTTTTGCTGTTATAGGCTTACAGGTGGAAGGGACTTGCCTTGTCTCAGATGAGACTTTGAACATGGACTTATGAGTTAATGCTGGAATGAATTAAGACTTTGGGGGACTGTTGGGAAGGCATGATTGGTTTTGAAATGTGAAAGGCACATGAGATTTGGGAGGGTCCGGGGTGGAACCATATGGTTAGGCTTTGTGTCTCCACCCAAATCTCTTCTTGAATTGTAATCCCCATAATTCCCATGTATTAAGGGAGAGATTGGGTGGAGGTGATTGAATCACAAGGGCAATTTCCCTCTTGCCCTTCTCGTGATAGTGAGTTCTCATGAGATCTGATGGTTTTATAAGGGACTCTTCCCCTTCACTCGGCACTTCTCCTTCCCATCACCTTGTGAAGAAGGTGCCTTGCTTCCCCTTCGCCTTCTGCCATGATTCTAAGTTTCCTAAGGCCTCCCCAGCCATGCTGAACTGTGAGTCAATTAAACCTCTTTCCTTTATAAATTACCCAGTCTCAGGCAGTTCTTTACAGCAGTATGAAAATGGACTAATACACCATATGATGGAATAGAATTCAGCCTTAAAATGGAAGGGAATTTTGACACATGCTATGACATGGACGAATCTTGAATACATTATGCTAAGTGAAATAAGCCAGTTACAAAAAGACAAATATTGTATGATTCACTTAAAGGAAATATCTAGGGTTGGGCATGGTGGTTCACACCTGTAATCACAGCACTTAAGGAGGTCAAGGTGGGAGGATAGCTTGAGCGCAGGGTTCAAGGCTGCAGTGAGCTATGATTGTGCCACTGCACTCCATCCTAAGCAACAGACCAAAACCCCAACTCAAAAAAAAAAAAAAAGAAAGAAATATCTAGAATAGGCAAATTCATAGAGGCAGTAAGCATATGAGAGGTTACCAGGGGCTGGAGAAAGGGGGAATGGGGAAATTATTCTTTAATGGATACAGAGTTTCTGTTTGGGATGATGAAAAAATTTAAAAATAGATAGTGGTAATGGTTGTACAACTGTACACTTAAAAATGGTCAAAATAGCATATTTTATGTTATATATATTTTACCACAAAACTTTCATGAAATAATGTACTGTTTTCCAATAGGGAATTTTACTTTCCTTCATTCTGATATTAGTCACCTTAATTAACTACAGCCATTAAATCTCTATAATGTATAGACAGTTAAAAAAACTCTGAAGATTGCCTGAAGTCTATATATAAACTATATAGATACATATATATATGTATATAGTCTAGCTGTGTGTATAAAAATATACTTAGACTATATATATGTATATATAGAGAGGCATTTATCTCTATCTCACTATATCTCTCTATCTACTCTATCTATAGCCTAGTTGTATTCCTAAAAAAGAAGAAATTCATTTTTTTTGGTGGACAGTTAGCATTCTGACATACTTTTTTATTTTTTATTTTTTTGGAAACAGTGTCTTGCTGTGCTGCCCAGGCTGGAGTGCAGTGGACAATCTAGGCTTACTGCAAACTCCGCCTGCGGGGTTCAAGCGATTCTCGTGTCTCAGGCTCCCAAGTAGCTGGGATTACGGGCACATGCCACCATATTTGGCTGGTTTTTGTATTTTCAGTAGAGATGGGGTTTCGTCATGTTGGCAGGGTGGTCTCGAATTCCTGGCCTCATGTGATCCACCCACCTCGGCCTCCCAAAGTACTGGGATTACAGGCGTGAGCCACTGCATACTTGCTTAAAGAAAAGTCACGGAGGCAATGAATTTGCTCTGAGCACTGCTTTAGCACTTTAAATTCTACTATGAGTTATTTTCATTACCATTAGAGCCTAGGTATACTGTAGTTTGGGTTTTTAAAAAATGTCCAGGTGGTAGGGTATTTCAAAAGAATGATTCCAATGTTAATCTCTAGTTTTTGCATTGTGATCAGACGATGTTGTCTGTTTTATTTACATGTCTTAGAATTTATTCAGGTCTTCCTTGACATCAATTTTGTAAAACTTCAAAAGGCACACGAAAAGATGATATGTTTTCTGTTCTCAGGATACACAGTATATTTTCAGGCTACAGAGTTTTACTCCCATTAAATCTTCTATAATAAGTATTTTATTTGGGTTTTCTCTATCTTTACTTTTTGTTGTTTTTATTCATTTAAGTGACTGTCATAGACTACGAGAAGTAAATTAAATTTCATATGTTTATGTTCTTCCTTATAATTCCTATAATTTGATACTCAAACTGCCAAAGACATAACACATAAGCAAAAACAAAGTGACAGACCAATAATTTCTAAATGTTGGAAAACAGAATTCATCAATATATTAAAATAATAACATACTATGACCAAATAGGGTTTATTCCAGGAATGAAATGATGACTTAATTTTATAAAATCTATTATTATAACTCAATATATTAATAGTTCAAAAGAGAAAAATATGACTATCTCCATAAAGTCTGAAAAAGCATGTAATTCAATTGAATATCCATTGATTTTAACAAATTCTGAAACAGGGACAGAAAAACACATTGTAAAAACTTCAGTCTAAACCTAAAAGCCAATACCATATTTAATCAGGAAATAGAATCAAGATATTATATAACTTCCAAAGGCTTACTACTGTTTAGATTATTTTATTTATTTATTTATTTGTGTATTTATGTATTTATTTATTTATTTTGAGACAGAGTTTCGCTCTTGTTGCCCAGGCTGGAGTGCAATGGCGTGATCTTGGCTCACTGCAACCCCTGCCTCCTGGGTTCAAGAGATTCAAGGATGCCTCAGCCTCCTGAGTAGCTGGGATTACAGGCATGTGCCACCATGCCTGGCTAACTTTGTATTTTTGGTAGAGACGGGCTTTCTCCGTGTTGGTCAGGCTGGCCTCAAACTCCTAATCTCAGGTGATCTGTCCGCCTCGGCCTCCCAAAGTGCTGGGATTACAGGCGTGAGCCACTGCATGCAGCCTATTTAGATAATTTTATAACAAAATATTAGCAGTATCTGTTATCTTGATTGTGAAGACTAGCCTACATTTAGTCAAAGTTAAAGCTTGATTAAATTAGACATTAAATCTAGTGATCTAAGATTGATAATATTATGTTAAACAATAATAAAATATTTAATGCTATACTTTCATATAAAGCAAAGTAAAAAATATTCTTAATCTAAGTAGTGTGTTACAGAGTCAATACTGATATAGAGTGGGGAAAAAATCAGCTCTTAAAGAATCATCTGGGCTGGGAGTGGTGGCTCACACCTGTAATCCCAGTACTTTGGGAGGCCGAGGTGGGCAAATCACTTGAGGTCAGGAGTTCGAGACCAGCCTGGCCAACATGGTGAAACCCTATATCTACCAAAAAATAGAAAAGTTTAGCCAGGCGTTGTAGTGCATGCCTGTATTCCCAGCTACTCAGGAGGCTGAGGTGGGAAAATTGCTTGAACCCAGAAGGCAGAGGTTGCAGTGAGCCAAGATCACATCACCGCGCTCCAGCCTGGGTGACACAGTGAGACCCTGACTCGAAAAAACAAACAAAACAACAGAAAAAAAAAACATTTGACTGGTTATCAAGTACTGCAGTGGCACAAATTTCTGGTGACAAAAGACTTGTTTATTCGATTCTAAGCTCCTTTCAAACTGTGTTACCAAACTTCCAGTTCCTACTGTACCTGTTTGTTTCAGGAAATTATGGATGTCATTGCATGTCTGGATCTCCTCAAGTGCACGACTCAGGAACATGGTCTGTTTGGCAACAGTGCAACAAGTTAATTAGTCCCAACAAAAAAGAACTTTAAGCAAATTAATATAATCTCATATCATTTTCATTAAAAACAGGTAAAAATAAATTAATAGAAAAATGATAGTTTAAACTGAACATTTTGGAGTTTATATAGAAATATTAGCCTCTATTTGCACATTTCCTTACTGTTTCAGAAAAATGAGGATTAAATAGAAAATCTTGAGCATTATCAATTTCTTTAACAATCTAGAACAGAAGAGAAACACTTCTAGAATGGTTGTGTGAGGAGCTCCATGGATCCTCTCCTCAGCAAAACAATCATCATAACTAGTGAAAATTAGAAAACATAATCATGTAAAGGCTCAGGAAATTGCCCTGAGGGTATACAGAAAATGAAGAAACATTTATTCCAGGAAATCTACTAAGTCTTAGTAAGAACAGTAAGAGCCTGTGACATTTAAGCTATGATTCACTCACCATCCGCCAGCTCAGTGTGATGTAAGCACTACTTTAGGTGGGTGTGGCCAAGAAGATAGGACTCTCTCTACCTCCAGTTTCTGGGCTAGGGATTCTCTGAAGGGCCAGAATGCTGGCACTTCTCATCCCCCCAGATCTCTATTGTAGAAGCTCTATTATAAACAAGCATAGCTCAGAGGCCTAGAACTCTCTTTCTCTACCCAGCCTCTATTTGTAAGGCAAAAGCTCTATCCCAGGCATTGCAAGCTCAGGATCCTGGGTCTCAATCTCATCTCATCTCAGCTCTCTCATCTCAGCTCTCATCTCAGCTGCTTATAGGATAGAGTGTCCATGCTGGGAGCAGCAAGCCAAGACTATCAGGGACTACAACTCTTGTCCAGTCTTCCACTCATACAATTGGATTGTCACTCTGACAGAAGTGGGCCACTGTCCCTGCCCCTAGCTCCAAAACAGTGGTTCAGTTTCTGCCCAGTAGGAGAGGCAGATCTATAGCACTCCCTAAAGGAAATGACTTTAATTGGAACAGAGCGTGGGGAAGTTCAAGTCTAAGGACACTGTAAAAAATCATGGAGATTTTGGTAGTGAGCAATTAAGAGGAGATTGATAGCTCAATGATATTAAGAAGAAAATAATAGACCAACTAGAAGTTTATAGAGAGAAGTATGTGAAGAGACAGCTAAGAAGATTTCTATTCCTTCAAAGGGGTCTTCTTTTAATTGGAACAGGCTGTGGGGCAATTTATGCACAAGAGCATTTTAACACACACACACACACACACACACACACACACACACACACGCACACGCACACACACAGTAATCACCTAGCAATTAGTCAAGACTAACAGCTGGATGTGCTACCAATAGAAGAAGGTCATCTAGAAGCTTAAGAGGTCAGATCAGGAAAAGAGTAATAAAGAACTCTCCTAAAATCACTGTCATCCTTTACCAGAGGGAGGTATAAGCAGTCTTTGCACAGGCAAAGACTGTGCCTTCCAAAGAGTGACATCAGAGTCTATGTACCATGGGGAAAATAGACTTCACTATTTCCCTATAGCTAATTCACTAAACAAATAAAGAAGCAAACATTAACATCCACAAACCCCATGGGGAGATCAGTACCCAAAGATACTACAACATATTATCTAAAACGTCCAGTTTTCAACAGAAAATTACAAGATATGCAAAGAGACAGGAAAGTGTGACTTCTACATAGGAAAAAAGCAGGTAACAGGAACTGATTTTGAAAAAGCCCAGATGTTAAACTTAATAGACACAGAATTCAAAGCAGCTATTTTAAATATATTCAAATACTAAATGAAACCACACTTAAAGAAAGAAGGTATGATAAAAATGTTCATCAAAAATGAATCTCAATAAAAGGATAAAAATTATAAAAATCAGATGGAAATTCTGGAGTTGAAAACTACAATAAATGAAATTTTAAAACTCACTAGAGGGTATCAACATTAGGTTTGACTTAGCAGAGGAAGCAATCAGCAAACATGAAGATAGATTAGCAGAGATTACAAAATATGAGAGCAGAATGAAAAAGAAAAAAAATAAACCAAGCCTCAGTAAAACATGGGACACCATTAGGCACACCAATATACCCATAATGGGATTACCAAAAGAAAAGGAGCGAAAAAGAGAAAAAATATTTTAAACAAATGGCTGAAAATTCCCTAATTTTGATGAAAAACAATAATCTACACACTCAAGAAGCCCAAAAAACTCTAGGTGGGATCAAGAAACACAAAGATATCCAACCAAGATACATTACAAAATGGTAAAAGACAAAGAAAAATTTGAAACTAGCAAAGAGAAACATGACTCGCCACATGTACGGGTGATTAAGATTAATAGCTGATTTCTCATTAAAAACAATAAAGGCCAGAAGGCAGTGGGACAACATATCCAAAGTGATCAAAGAAAAATAAAAGTCTACTAATAATCTAATACCTAGCAAAACTATTATTCAGAGAAGGTGAAATAAAGATGTCCCTGGATAAATAAGAGCTGAGAGAATTCGTTGCTAAGAGACAATCTTTCAGGCTGAAAAGCAAGTAATGCCAGGCAGTAATTTGAATCCAGATGAAAAAACAAAGAGCACTGGTAGCATTAATTATATAATTATAAAAGATAGTATTAATATAAATGTATATTTCTTCTTCTCTTGTTTTAAAAAAACAATATATATACACATATATGTGAATATATATTTGTATTGTTGGGCCTCTGATATATAGAAATGAAATATATTTGACAATAACAGCACAAGAGGCAGGTGGGAAGAAAGTTGTTTTGGAGTAAGAAAATGAGACTGATATGGTTTGGCTGTGTCCCCACACAAATCTCACCTTGAATTGTAGTTCCCATAATCCCCATGTGTGGTGCGAGGGACCCAGTGGGAGGTAATTGAATCATGGGGGCAGTTTCCCCCATGCTATTCTCGTGATAGTAAATTCTCACAAGATCTGATGGTTCTGTAAGTGGCTTCCCACTTCACTCGGCTTTCATTCTCTTTCCTGCTACCCTGTGAAGAGGTGCCTTCCATCATGATTCTAAGTTTCCTGAGGCCTCCCCATCCATGTGGAACTATGAGTCAATTAAACCGCTTTCCTTTATGAATTACCCAGTCTCAGGTATTTCTTCATAGTGTGTGAGAGAACAGACTAATCCAGAGACCATATAGTAACTCTAATCTACAGGAAAAAATGAGGAAAAGCATAAAAGGTAAGTAAGATGCTTAATATAAGAAACCATAATATATACTTTCTTCTCTAAGTTTCTTTATTTTTGAGACAGAGTTTCGCTCTTGTTGCCCGGGCTGGAGTGCAATGGCGCGATCTTGGCTCACTGCAACCTCTGCCTGCCGGATTCAAGTGATTCTCCTGCCTTAGCCTCCTGAGTAGCTGGGATTATAGGCACCTGCCACCATGCCCAGCTAATTTTGTGTGTATTTTTAGTAGAGATGGGGTTTCACCATGTTGGCCAGGCTGATTTTGAACTCCTGACCTCAAGTGATCTGCCCACCTCGGCCTCCCAAAGTGCTAGGTTTACAGGTGTGAGCTACCACACCCGGCTTCTTCTCTGAGTTTCTTTAAAATACTTAAAATTCTATAAAGTGATACTATAAGATGTATTGTTGTGTTTGGAGCATATATAGATGTAATGTGTATAACAAAATAGCATAAAAAAAGAGGAGAGAACAGAGTTAATAGGAATAGCATTTCTATATCTCACTGAAATTGGGTTTATAATCTGATGTAGATTCTGATAAATTAAGATCTATATTGTAAGCCCCAGAGTGACCACTAAGAAAATAACTCAAATATTGTGTAAAAATCATTAAAAGAACAAAAATGTTATATTAGAAAACATTCACTTAATGCAAAAGAAAAGAGTAAAGGAGAAAATCAGGAATAAAAAATACATGAGATATATAGAAACCAAAAAGTAAAGTGGCATAAGTAAATTCAACCATAAAAATAGTAACATTAAATGTGAGTGCATTAAACAACCCAATAAAAGACAAAGATTATCATATTGAAACAAAGATGACCCAACTACATTCTGTCTACAAGAGACACATATTAGGTTCAGAGACAAATAAATAGGTTGATTGTGAAAGGATGGAAAAAGTTATGTTATGGAAACATTGACCATAAGAATGTTAGGGTGACACTACTAAAATAAGACAAAAATAGACTCTAAAACAAAAAAAAAATTACTAGGAACAAAGAGGAAAATTTTATAATGTTAAAAGGGCCAATCCATTGGAAATGTATAGCAATTATAAACATATATGACCTAACAACAGAGCCCCAAAAATATAAAGCAAAACTGGGTAGAATTGAAGAAAGAAATAGATACTTCAACTTTTATTAGTTGGAGACTTCAATAGCCCACTTTAAGTAATGAATAGAATAAGTAGGCAGAAAACCATCAAGGATATAGAACACTTGAACAACACTATCAACCTACTAGACCTAATAGCCATAAAACATTTCACTAACCCAAGTAGAATGTACATTCTTCTCAAGCACATATGCATGGCACTTTCTCTAGGATAGCTGACATGCTAGGCCATAACACAAACTTCAAATAAATTTAAAATAATTGAAGTCACAAAGTATGTACTCTGACCACAGTGGAATAAAATTTAAAATCAGCAAGAGAAAACAATTTGGGAAATTCACAAATATGTGAAAATTAAACAACAGATTCCTAAATAATAAATGGGTCAAACAGGAAAACATAATTAAGATTAGAAAATATTTTGAGATGAATGAAAAAAATACAACATACCAAAATGTATGGGATGCAGTTTAATGCAGTTCTTGAAGGGAAATTTATAGCTGCAAAAGTTGATATTAAAAAAAAGAAATATCTCAAATCAGTAACTCCAAGTTTTACCTTAAGAAGCTGTAAAAACAAAGCAAATTGAACTGTAAGCAAGCAGAAGGAAGATTTGAGTGGGAATTAATGAAATAGAGACTAGAAATGCAATAGAAAAAATGAAACCAAAAGTTGTTCTCGAAAAGAACAACAAATTGATATACTTTTGTCTATACTGACCAAGAACAAAAAGAGAGAAGACACAAATAACTAAAATTAGGAGTAAAAGAGGAGGTATCACTACTGACCTTACAAAAATAAAGAGGACTATAAGGGAATACTATGAACAACTGTAAACCAACAAATTCTATAACTTAGATGTAATGGATAAATTTCTAGAAAGATAAACTACTAAAACTGACTCAAGAGGAAATACAAAATCTGAAGAGACTACAAAAAGTAGTGAAAAATTTATAATCTGAAAACCACAAAACATTGTTGAAAGAAGTGAAAAACCTAAATAAATGGAAAGATATTCCATGTTCATGAATCAGAGGCTTTAATATTCTCCCTAAACTGATTTACAGTTTCAATGCAACCCCTATCAAAATCACAGCTGGCTTTTTTGCAGAAATCAACAAGTTGGTCCTAATGGAAATTCCAGGGACCTAGAATAGCCAGAACAATCTTTAAAAAGAAGAACAATGAGGGGGGACTAACACCTCCCTATTTCAAAATGTACTACATAAAGCTATAATTATCAAGGCAATGTGGTATTGCCCTGAGGATAGACATAGATGTCAATGGAATAGAATTGAGAATAAACCTTCTCATTTGTGGTCAAGTGATTTTCAACAATGGCACGAAGATAATTCAAGGGGAAAAAACAGTCTTCAACAAATAGTACTAGGACAAATGGATATTCAAATGCAAAACAATAAAGTTGGACCCCTATCTCACACCATACACAAAAATTAACTCAAAATGGATCACAGATCTACATGTAAGAGCTGAAAATATAAAAAACCTTACAAGAAAACATTGAGGTAAACCTTCATGACTTTGGATTAGAAAATGGTCTTAGATATGATAACAAAATAAATAAAATGGATATCATCAAAATTAAAAATGTATTTCAAAGGGCACTAGCAAGAAATGGAAAAGACAAACCACAGAACAGGAGAAAATAATTGCAAATCATGTATTTGATAAGAGTATAGTATAAAGAATATATAAAGAATTATTACAACTCAGTGGTAAAAAGACAAATAGGCTAATTTAAAATGAGCATGAAGCACTTTGGAAGGCCGAGGTGGGGGGATCAGTTGAGATAAGGAGTTTGAGACCAACCTGGCCAACATGGCAAAACCCTGTCTCTACAAAAATACAAAAATTAGCTGGGCACAGTGGTGTGTGGCTGTAGTCCCAGCTACTTGGGAGGCTGAGGCAGGAGAATCACTTGAACCTGGGAGGCAGAGATTGCAGTGAGCTGAGATCGTGCCACTGCACTCCAGCTTGGGTGACAGAACAAGACTCCATCTCTAAATAAATAGATAAATGCAAAAAGATTTCAATAGATATTTTCCAAAGAAGATATACAAATGGCCAATAAACACACGAAAAGATTCTCAACATCATTAGTCATAATGGAAATGCACATCAAAACCACAATGAGGTATCAATTTATATTCACTAGGACGGCTATAATTAAAAAGATATAATAACAAGTGGTGGCAAGGAGGTGGAGAAATTGGAATCCTCATTCAGTCCTGGTTGGAATGTAAAATGGTGCAGGTGCTTTGAAAAACTCCAGCATTCCTCAAATGATGAAACATAGAGTTACTGTATGACCCAGCAATACCAATCCTAGGTATATTTCATATTGAAAGAAATGAAAACAGATTTCCATGCAAAAATTTGTACATAAATTGTTCATCACGGCATTATTCACAAGAGCTGAAAATTGGAAACAACCCAAATGTCCATCAATGGATGAATGGATTTTAAAAATGTGATATATTTATACAATGGAATATAATTCAGCCATAAAAAGAAATGAAACACTGATACATGCTACAACACAAAGAACCTTGAAAATGTTATTCAGGCATTTATACAAGGAGCCAGTCAGAAAAGACTACACATCAAAAAACATTTGACTTTCGTGTAAAATATGATGATGATGACATTTATACGAAATATCTGGAATAGGCAAGCCTATATAGACAGAAAGTACATGGTTGCTTAGTGCTGGTGGCAGGCAATGAGAAGTGATTGCTAAGTGGGTAAGGGGTTTCTTTTTAGGGTGATAAAAATGTTCTAAAATTAGATTGTATCAACAGTTGCACAATTCTAAGAATATTCTAAAAACCAATAAATTGTATACCTAAGTGGGTGAATTATAAGGTATGTGAATTATGCCTCAATAAGTCTGTTAAAATATAATCAAGGATAGGGATCAGGACACTTTTTGTACAAAAGGCCAGACAGTAAATATTTTAGGCTTTCCTAGCCATATACAAATAAAAGAAAAGAAATAAAGAAAATAAAGAAATAAATAAATAAAATAAAGAAATATTTTTCTTTATTTTCTTTATTTTCAACTACAACCCCCCAGGGGCCTGATTTGGCCAGCTGGCAGTAGTTTACCCACTCCTGCTCTAGGAAGAAGGTGTGGTTCCTTGACAAATTACAATTAGAATATGTTTTTTACCTATCCCTCAATTTCTCCTAACTCATACTCAGAAGGGTAGAGGCAATGTTGATAAAACTATGCAGTCCATCTATATTCCTTCATCAGCTACTTATTTGGAAATATTCCCACTTATGAGGGTTTAGAGAACAGGGAGCAGATGTATACAACAGAAATCAACAAGTATTCTTTTTTTTTTATTATTATACTTTAAGTTTTAGGGTACATGTGCACATTGTGCAGGTTAGTTACATATGTATACATGTGCCATGCTGGTGCGCTGCACCCACTAACTCGTCATCTAGCATTAGGTATACCTCTCAATGCTATCCCTCCCCCTCCCCCCACCCCACAACAGTCCCCAGAGTGTGATGTTCCCCTTCCTGTGTCCATGTGATCTCATTGTTCAATACCCACCTATGAGTGAGAATATGCGGTGTTTGGTTTTCTGTTCTTGCGATAGTTTACTGAGAATGATGATTTCCAATTTCATCCATGTCCCTACAAAGGACATGAACTCATCATTTTTTATGGCTGCATAGTATTCCATGGTGTATATGTGCCACATTTTCTTAATCCAGTCTATCATTGTTGGACATTTGGGTTGGTTCCTAGCCTTTGCTATTGTGAATAATGCCTCAATAAACATACGTGTGCATGTGTATTTATAGCAGCATGATTTATAGTCCTTTGGGTATATACCCAGTAATGGGATTGCTGGGTCAAATGGTATTTCTAGTTCTAGATCCCTGAGGAATTGCCACACTGACTTCCACAATGGTTGAACTAGTTTACAGTCCAACCAACAGTGTAAAAGTGTTCCTATTTCTCCACATCCTCTCCAGCACCTGTTGTTTCCTGACTTTTTAACGATTGCCATTCTAACTGGTGTGAGATGGTATGTCATTGTGGTTTTGATTTGCATTTCTCTGATGGCCAGTGATGATGAACATTTTTTCGTGTGTTTTTTGGCTGCATAAATGTCTTCGTATTGGATATATATGCACCCAATACAGGAGCACCCAGATTCATAAAGCAAGTCCTGAGTGACCTACAAAGAGACTTAGACTCCCACACATTAATAATGGGAGACTTTAACTTCCCACCATCAACATTAGACAGATCAATGAGACAGAATGTCAATAAGGATACCCAGGAATTGAACTCAGCTTTGCACCAAGAGGACCTAATAGACATCTACAGAACTCTCCACCCCAAATCAACAGAATATACATTCTTTTCAGCACCACACCACACCTATTCCAAAATTGACCACATACTTGGAAGTAAAGCTCTCCTCAGCAAATGTAAAAGAACACAAATTATAACAAACTATCTCTCAGACCACAGTGCAATCAAACTAGAACTCAGGATTAAGAATCTCACTCAAAACCGCTCAACTACATGGAAACTGAACAACCTGCTCCTGAATGACTACTAGGTACATAACGAAATGAAGGCAGAAATAAAGATGTTCTTTGAAACCAACGAGAACAAAGACACAACATACCAGAATCTCTGGGACGCATTCAAAGCAGTGTGTAGAGGGAAATTTATAGCACTAAATGCCCACAAGAGAAAGCAGGAAAGATCCAAAATTGACACCCTAACATCACAATTAAAAGAACTAGAAAAGCAAGAGCAAACACATTCAAAAGCTAGCAGAAGGCAAGAAATAACTAAAATCAGAGCAGAACTGAAGGAAATAGAGACACAAAAAACCCTTCAAAAAATTAATGAATCCAGGAGCTGGTTTTTTGAAAGGATCAACAAAATTGATAGACCACTAGCAAGACTAATAAAGAAAAAAAGAGAGAAGAATCAAATAGATGCAATAAAAAATGATAAAGGGGATATCACCACCGATCCCACAGAAATACAAACTACCATCAGAGAATACTACAAACACCTCTACGCAAATAAACTAGAAAATCTAGAAGAAATGGATAAATTCCTTGACACATACACTCTCCCAAGACTAAACCAGGAAGAAGTTGAATCTCTGAATAGACCAATAACAGGATCTGAAATTGTGGCAATAATCAATAGCTTACCAACCAAAAAGAGTCCAGGACCAGATGGATTCACAGCCGAATTCTACCAGAGGTACAAGGAGGAACTGGTACCATACCTTCTGAAACTATTCCAATCAATAGAAAAAGAGGGAATCCTCCCTAACTCATTTTATGAGGCCAGCATCATTCTTTTTTTTTTTTTTTTTTTTTATTGATCATTCTTGGGTGTTTCTCGCAGAGGGGGATTTGGCAGGGTCATAGGACAATAGTGGAGGGAAGGTCAGCAGATAAACAAGTGAACAAAGGTCTCTGGTTTTCCTAGGCAGAGGACCCTGCGGCCTTCTGCAGTGTTTGTGTCCCTGGGTACTTAAGATTAGGGAGTGGTGATGACTCTTAACGAGCATGCTGCCTTCAAGCATCTGTTTAACAAAGCACATCTTGCACCGCCCTTAATCCATTTAACCCTGAGTGGACACAGCACATGTTTCAGAGAGCACAGGGTTGGGGATAAGGTCACAGATCAACAGGATCCCAAGGCAGAAGAATTTCTCTTAGTACAGAACAAAATGAAAAGTCTCCCATGTCCACTTCTATCCACACAGACCCGGCAACCATCCGATTTCTCAATTTTTTCCCCACCCTTCCCGCCTTTCTATTCCACAAAACCGCCATTGTCATCATGGCCCATCCCCAATGAGCCGCTGGGCACACCTCCCAGATGGGGTCCTGGCCGGGCAGAGGGGCTCCTCACTTCCCAGTAGGGGCGGCCGGGCAGAAGCGCCCCTCACCTCCTGGATAGGGCGGCTGGCCGGGCGGGGGGCTGACCCCCCCACCTCCCTCCCGGATGGGGCGGCTGGAGGCCAGCATCATTCTGATACCAAAGCCGGGCAGAGACACAACCAAAAAAGAGAATTTTAGACCAATATCCTTGATGAACATTGATGCAAAAATCCTCAATATAATACTGGCAAACCAAATCCAGCAGCACATCAAAAAGCTTATCCACCATGATCAAGTGGGCTTCATCCCTGGGATGCAAGGCTGGTTCAATATACGCAAATCAATAAATGTAATCCAGCATATAAACAGAGCCAAAGACAAAAACCACATGATTATCTCAATAGATGCAGAAAAGGCCTTTGACAAAATTCAACAACCCTTCATGCTAAAAACTCTCAATAAATTAGGTATTGATGGGATGTATTTCAAAATAATAAGAGCTATCTATGACAAACCCACAGCCAATATCATACTGAATGGGCAAACACTGGAAGCATTCCCTTTGAAAACTGGCACAAGACAGGGATGCCCTCTCTCACCACTCCTATTCAACATAGTGTTGGAAGTTCTGGCCACGGCAATTAGGCAGGAGAAGGAAATAAAGGGTATCCAATTAGGAAAAGAGGAAGTCAAATTGTCCCTGTTTGCAGATGACATGATTGTATATCTAGAAAACCCCATTGTCTCAGCCCAAAATCTCCTTAAGCTGATAAGCAACTTCAGCAAAGTCTCAGGATACAAAATCAATGTACAAAAATCAGAAGCATTCTTATACACCAATAACAGACAAACAGAGAGCCAAATCATGAGAGAACTCCCATTCACAATTGCTTCAAAGAGAATAAAATACCTAGGAATCCAACTTACAAGGGATATGAAGGACCTCTTCAAGGAGAACTACAAACCACTGCTCAAGGAAATAAAAGAGGATACAAACAAATGGAAGAACATTCCATGCTCATGGGTAGGAAGAATCAATATCGTGAAAATGGCCATACTGCCCAAGGTAATTTATAGATTCAATGCCATCCCCATCAAGCTACCAATGACTTTCTTCACAGAATTGGAAAAAACTACTTTAAAGTTCATATGGAACCAAAAAGGAGCCCGCATCGCCAAGTCAATCCTAAGCCAAAAGAACAAAGCTGGAGGCATCACACTACCTGACTTCAAACTATACTACAAGGCTACAGTAACCAAAACAGCATGGTACTGGTACCAAAACAGAGATATAGATCAATGGAACAGAACAGAGCCCTCAGAAATAACGCCGCATATCTACAACTCTCTGATCTTTGACAAACCTGAGAAAAACAAGCAATGGGGAAAGGATTCCCTATTTAATAAACGGTGCTGGGAAAACTGGCTAGCCATATGTAGAAAGCTGAAACTGGATCCCTTCCTTACACCTTATACAAAAATCAATTCAAGATGGATTAAAGACTTAAACATTCGACCTAAAACCATAAAAACCCTAAAGGAAACCTAGGCATTACCATTCAGGACATAGGCATGGGCAAGGACTTCATGTCTAAAACACCAAAAGCAGTGGCAACCAAAGCCAAAATTGACAAATGGGATCTAATTAAACTAAAGAGCTTCTGCACAGCAAAAGAAACTACCATCAGAGTGAACAGGCAACCTACAACATGGGAGAAAATTTTCGCAACCTACTCATCTGACAAAGGGCTAATATCCAGAATCTACAAGGAACTCCAACAAATTTACAAGAAAAAAACAAACAACCCCATCAAAAAGTGGGCGAAGGACATGAACAAGTATTCTTTAGAGAGACAGAGTACCACTGTCCGATTCATAGGGACCACACTTAGATGATAAAAGGCAGAAGTGCATCTTCAATTATGTATATAGACATCCTTTCAAAAGCAAAGAAGATTATAGAAAGGTTACTAGTTTAGAGAGTTCTGAGAAAACACAGAGGTGTACATGAGAAAGAACACAGAATAAAAAAGAACGGTAGTTAGAAACAAACAAAATAATGATTGTACTTAAGAGTTTGTGAAATTTCCCCCACATCAATTTGATCTCTATTCACTAAGATAAAAAATTAAACAAACTCAGGATTACCAACCAAAAAGGAAAAACTTTTAGAAATTTAAAAGCACTATATAAAAATAAGATGTTATTATTATTTTTTAGTAAAGCAAAAGTCCCTATTGAGAATTAAATTACATTTACCTTTGCCTGTTAAGTAGAATTTTTGTTTGTTTATTTTGCTCTGGGGAAGGTAGAGTCTTTTCTCATCTTCTTTTAAAATAAAAAGACTCTTAAAAGAGGGCCCCCTTTACTCCTCAGAGGCAAGGACTTTGGCTTCTTTATCTCTGTATCCCCAGTACCTAGAAAAGTGTCTGGTGCTCAAATGTTTTTTGAGTTGAACTCAACAATGGAAGGGAAAAGAAGCGAAATAGTTGGCATAGCTCTGGTGAGAGTTTGTTTCAGATCCAAAGAACAATATGAAATAAGAGATTAACAGGAGGAAGAGAATAAACAGCAAAGGGTTTATATTACTTGGAGAGGAGGGAAGGTGACAAGTATGGGAGATTAGGAAGTTTTCTTTGTCCAGGTACGAGAAACCAAGCAGAGAGATCTAGATCTTAAAAATCATACAAAAATGCTATTGGTCTGATTTGGAGACAATTTTCTTAGATTGAAAGAAGAAAGGTAAACAGCTAAAAGCAAACCAATAATCTGGTGTATGGGAGACGGTGATATTGATAGCTCCTAAAAGGGGTAACATTTAAGAATCTGATAGGGGAATTCAGGCAAAGGTAAGGAATTCTGTCTTGTAGAAATTAAGTTAATGAGATATTTAAGGATGTGGGAAAAAGAAAGCAAATGCAATTGAGAGAAGAAAAACCAGATAAGTAATAATTTCAGATGGCTATCAAAGCTATGGAAACAGATGAGTTCTTCCTTAGAAGATGTGGTAAGAAACAAAAGTGGAGTCCAAACGCGTATATAATCACAGGCAGACAATGAAGATAAAAGATATTTAAAAACATTTTTGGAAAGAGTGGTCCATAGGAAGGGGAATTTTAAAAGAAGAGATATCTAATCTTCTTAAAAGAAGAGGCCACACCAAAAGTAACCTTTGCTTAGGAAGGAATTAGCCATTACAAACTTTTGAAATCAAGACGATGCTGGAGTGGAGAAAAGGATTCTCTAAAGAGAATCAAAAAGAACTGCATCAGGGAAGGCAAACATATCAAATAGCACACTGAACTCTTGTCTTTTCTTTGAAGGTTGCACATTACCTGTTCAAAAGCTGTTGAAGCTTTTCTCCCTTGCTCTAGATCAACTGCAACTGCCATAAGTAAACATGTTTTCCGTGCAATCAGAATTACTTGATCAGAAGGACAAAACTGGGACATCTGATAAGAAGTAACCAGAACATCAATGAATAGTGAGAATTCTGCCAGGTGAACACAAACAATCAGAATGAAAATCAGCAACTTCCTGTTTGAATGAGAAAATTCAGCTGGAAAAGCACATGTCACCATAGAAATGATATAAACTATAATACTGATTTATGCTTTTAATTTTATATTACTTTCCATTGTTTTTAGTACCTTCCTAGAGATAAAAAGCTTCATTTCTTCACAGTATTCCTATCTTTTCCAGTGACAAGTAGTATCATTCGCCCTTGTATTTCTATCTAGTGATTTACTTCTTGGTTTATGTTGTAATTTGTAAGTGATTTTTCCCCTGGCAAATAAGATTTCCACCTTTGTATTGAATAGAGCCAAAATTAGTTCATATATTGTCATGGTTGAAAGAGGCATTGTCAAATCTTGACAGGCATTAGTCATGACCTCATCATTAACATTGTATAGTTTTAGGAAAAACTCCCAGCTACTACAATAAAACTCTAGGCCATTTGGATTCTTACACGCCAATCCTACAAGTCCCATCACAAATGCCAAAACTAAAACCAATTTATTTCACTTAATTAAAATGGCAGTTATGCCTAAACTTGCAAAGACTATTTCTTAATCTCCCCAAACATTCAGTGATCATAATCATCATTGTTATTAAATTAATAGCATTTTAAGACAACCAATCTCTTTAGGTCTCTGATTACTCTTATGTGAGATGAAGGAGTTGTGCTAGATAGTCTTTATAGTTCTTTCTAGCTCTAAAACTCTTAACATTTAATTGATCTCAACATATCATACTGTGTATTCCTGAATGTGTATGAAGGATATTCTTTAGTCCTTCTCCTTTTATCTTCCTGTCAATACTTGGTCCTCTTTCTGGCATTTAACCTCTACCTTGGAGGCCAACGACTATTTAAAAATGCTTATAATTAAATAACAAACTCACAAATCGCTACACTCAGGACCTGCTATAGGAAAGTTATAAAGGAGGCCTAAGCTTCTTATCTCTTTTTTCAGCCCCTGCTATCCCCAGATACTTATTCTATGTTCTTGTAGACTTATTCCCATAACTCTTCATAATGTGTTGGTAATTAACAACTACTTAGAGTATTCCCCTCCTAAAGATATTTACATTTTAATATAGGACTTTGGGAGGCTGAGATCCCTTCAAAGGCAAAGAAATAAGTCTTAAATGGTAGAACTTTAGGCTCCCTGATGAATGTTTCTGATATTTTGGTATAGAAAGATATGCCCCACATTCTTATGTTATACCCTAAAAGGAACAAATTCTTCTTAGGTCATTCCTGCTTACATATATATTAAAAGTTCCTAGATCAAGAGACAATCCTAGTCTATATTTAGCCCTTTACTATAGCCATAGTGGTTATAGCCTTGTTGTGGTCCATACATGAGATACTTATTAAAAGAAACTTACCTTATAAGAAAGTATAAAAAACTCTCTCATCATCACTGGATCTTTGTCACATTGCACAGCCAAGTTCCAAGCTGGAAATTAACATGAAATAACATAATAATATGAAATTATGAAAATCTACCATTTAGTCTGTACCATTACAATTTCTGATACTTACACCTTTGATATTAACATACTAGTAAGGGGTTTCTCAAGGTTTAAACAATTAACTTTAGGTTTTAAAGAAAAATTTTCCAGGTAAATTTAGAGACCCTCGTCAATTCCAATCTTCAACACTAGACCAATGACCAAGGGAGGTACTGCTGAATTTTTTAAAATTGGGGACATGCAATAAGAATTCTTAGCTGAGGCCAGGCTTGGTGGCTCATTCCTATAATCCCAGAACTTTGGGAGACCAAGGCAGGAGGATTGCTGGAGGCCAGGAGTTCAGGACCAGCCTGGGCAACAGAGAGAGACTCCGTCTATACAAAAAAATTAAAAAACAAACCAAAACAAAACAAAACTAGCCAGGTGTGGTGGCACACAACTATAGTCCCAGAAGACTGACACCAGGAATTTGAGGTTACAGTGAGCTATGATGCCACCACTGCACTCCAGTCTGGCAGCAAAACTCCGTCTCAAAAAAAAAAAAAATTCTTAATTGACACTAATCTATCTAAAAATGAAGATCAACATGGATAGAGCTCACTAACTCGCAGTGGTGAAAGTAAGTTAAAATTCACCTAAGAACAAGGTACACTGTAATCAAGAGTTGAGAAAAATTACTGGAGAGATTCATATCTTCCAAAGAGCAGTAGAAGCCCTCATCAGGCATCAGTCAGCATCATCTTCCCCTTGGAAAATCCAAATTAAAATGCAGTAAAGTAAAAACATTCCTTTTCAAACCTTCAAAAGATTAAAGTCACCAAACTTGTCTATATTTTAAATGTTTGTTATTTTTCATTATTTGCATCAGTTTCTTAGAAGTCAGATTGCAGTATTCATTCCCTTTCTCCCAGGATTAAAGCCCTATTAAACCTCATAACACAGGGAGAGGTTCATGTAGAATCAGTCCACTTTGTGGCACTGCTGCTTAATTGCTCATGCTTACTTATCACTGTAGTAACTGCCTCCGCAAGTTTTAAAATCATTTTTATTGAAATAGAGCCATTATAAAGTATATTACACAACTCATAATTGTACAGCTTGATGAATTTTCACAAAGTGGACATATCCATGCGTCTGGCACCCACATTAAGAAAGATCTTGAACATTACCAGAAACCCTGAAGCTCCTACAACTTTCAAGTCCAACTCCTTTTCCAGGGTAACCATTATCCTGACTTATAACACCATATATTAGTTTTGCCCATTTAAAAAATTATAAATAAAATGAACAACACAATATGTATTCTTCAATATCTAGCTTCTTTTGCTCAACATTATGTTTGTGAGATTCATCCATATTGTTGTATATAGTTCATTTTTGGTCAATCACACTCAGAAATAAATTAAGTATTCTAGGCCAGGCACGGTGGCTTACGCCTGTAATCCTAGCACTTTGGGAGGCCGAGGCAGGTGGATCACGAGGTCAGGAGATCGAGACCATCCTGGCTAACACGGTGAAACCCCATCTCTACTAAAAATACAAAAAATTAGCCGGGCGTGGTGGCGGGTGCCTGTAGTCCCAGCTACTAGGGAGGCTGAGGCAGGAGAATGGTGTGAACCCGGGAGGCGGAGCTGGCAGTGAGCTGAGATCAAGCCACTGCACTCCAGCCTGGGCGACAGAGCGAGACTCCATCTCAAAAAAAAAAAAAAAAAAATTAAGTATTCTAAACCAAGTTTAGGAGCACAACCTTGAGGACCTGTAGTTACAGTTCATTAGTTTCATCTTAGACCCATTTCTATAGAAAAGGGACACAACTAATGTCCATTGAGTATCTACTATGAAAAAAGTATATATGCTGTTTCATTTAAAACCCTTAATAACTGCATGAAGTATATATAACTATTTCCATTTTATAAGTAATAAAACAGATTAAGCAAGTTATCTCTGTACCCACAGCTACAAATGAAAGATCCAGAATTTGAAATCACATCTGTCTAATTCCACCACCCCACAATGTTTCCCAGAGCCACAGAATTTCCTCTTACCTGTTTTTCGAAACCACTGAGCTTCATTAGCTCTTGACTCCAAACTTAAGGCTTCTTCACCAAAAGGCTGAGAAAGTTTCACAAAGGCTGCATCAAACAGGAAAATTTGATACTGATGGTCTTATTTTATACTCTAGCAAAATTGTTTAATCCTGCTTTAAGAACAGTCTCACAGGAGTTTGAATTTAGAAAGTTCTTTTTTGTGTATGTGTGTAGGGGTGCATACCAAAAGTAATTAAAATGACAGAAAGCATTACCAAGTTCCAAGAAGTTGTTAACTCAAACTCTGGGGAACAAACATGTCTTTGGAGAGATTTATAATTTTAATTAGTGCAATCATTCACCACCTGAGGTAGAAAGATATGATTTACATGTGAGGAAATAAAAAATAGAAACAATCGTTTAAAAGACTGAACTGGAGATTGAAAATTAGAAGGGTATCAATATGCTGGCATAATATTTACTGAGCCAGCAAGCTCAGGACAGAACCAGAATGTGCTATCACTATCAGAAGGCATTCTCTTTCTGAGAAATAAGAATGCCAACCAGCAAAGTTTTTCTCTTTTGAAAAGAAGTGGTCTGGTTTCTAAACCACTTTGCTATGTTTAACACCCTGCTGACAGGTATTTGAGGTATAAAATTGAACTACTGCACTGAGCAGGATAGAATTTCTAAGATATGAACTTTTTGGTGTGTTTTGGACATAAGGAAAGAGGTACATGGACAGTAAAAATGGGAGATCTGTTAAAAGGGATGCCATGTAAAAAAGCATGTAGTTAGAAAAAAAATGTGATACAACTAGGAGATTAGCTTGAATAAAGTGGACAGGGAAAAATTATTAGTAGATAAGGGAGATGGCACAGACTTGGGTGGACAGCTTCAAAATAAGAGAATATGCAACCTGAATTTGATTCAGAGGGTATGAAAAAAACAGCAGGGTTCAGAGTATTTTTATTTGTCTTGATCTTTTTTCACCTGTTCAATTCTTAGGTTAGGATCAAGTGGCTACTAGAAAAGAAAGGTAGAGGGACAGGGAGGGAGAGAAGGGAGGAAGGGAGAGAAGGAAAGGAAAGGAGGGAGGGAAGGGGGAAGGAGAGAAAGAAGGAAGGAAGGAAGGAAGAGAGGGAGGGAGGGAGGGAGGGACGGGAGGGAGGGAGGGAAGGAAATGTCCTTAAAACAAATAGGAATTAAAACAGAACTGAAATCACATTTGGAGATGAATGCTAATGATGACACACTTTTCTCTGCTTGTGAATGAAGAAACCAAAATAGATTCCTGTGGCAAAGATTAATAAGGAGCATGAAGCTTAACTCAAACATAAGGTTAAAGTTGCTGTGCTTAGTGTACTTGGAGAATTCAACAGAGAATA
This sequence comes from Homo sapiens, assembly GCF_000001405.40. Lineage (NCBI taxonomy): Eukaryota > Metazoa > Chordata > Mammalia > Primates > Hominidae > Homo > Homo sapiens. The sequence goes on from NC_000023.11 coordinate 70,610,461, forward strand.
GAGGCAAGATGAAGGACTGAATATAACCAGGGAGATATTTACCTCTATTCAGGCAAGTCAAAAGTCGATCCATTTCTTTCTTCCTAAAAATAAAGAAAAGGATATTTTCCAACTGCTCCAAATCTTTACTATAAAACATAACTAAAAAGGGACACTATTTGTGCCTGAGAATTGAACTAAGAAAATGCAAAATTGTGAAGTTTTTTGCTCAGGACTCCAATCTACCATTTCAACAATCTTCTTCCCCACTGTAGGATACAGTTACTCATTCCCAGTGCCCTCATATTTTTTCTCTCTTCTACTTCTTCATAAACTCTCAGCAAAGGATTTCAATGACAAGGTTTTATATTGTAGGGTCATAACACTTGAGAGCAGCTGGTGATCTCTGTGATTTATAAGCTTTTTTGAAGGGGGGAACTAGAACCCTTATTTCAAATAAAGTTGTATAAAAGTCTAATATACAAGAAAAGATAAAAGATAAAAGTTGAGCTGCTGTGGTTGAACGAGGAGTGGGTGGAGGCTTGGAGTTTCACCTTCCTGGAAGTCCCTGATGCAGTGCCACAAAATTTCCACGGTTCTAAGGAATGCAGCTTAAAAAATAACTTATCTTGTACAGACACATCATTTTACAGATGAAGAAAAGAGTAGACCCAGGTTTCCTGACCCCTCTGTCAAGCTTCTTTAAGCATATAAAATTTAAAAGAGAACTTCCGGTTTCTAGTTATGCATGTAAGGAGCTTGGAAGTTGCCAGTTTCTCCTAACAAGTAAAACGCTGAACACACTGAAAAATTAGTAACTCTTCTTGGACCTATAAGAGACGAGAGGAAAAAGGGAAAACCACTGCCACAAAAATTGGAGAGAAGGGCGAAGATAGGGAGTCATAGCTTACTAGAGCAGAGATTCAAAAGTGGAAACTACCATGGGAACCAATGCTGGAGTAGGAAAACCTGAAGCGTAACTGACAAACCACTGGAGGCTCAGTGTGGACAAGTCTGAATTAAAAGACTCAGGAGGACCCAGTCATAAGGAGGCCTCCACAGTTTTGTGAGTTTTGCCTCCAGGAGCTTGGTTAGCTACTCAGTGAATATTGGAGCAAAATCTCTTTATGCATCTTGCAGGGGGCAGAGGAAACAAAACACTTTAAAACATGCCAGAGCACCCTGTTCTTAACAAGTCTTGCCCTCAAGAGAAACTGCTTAACCACAGCCTGACCTTCTGGGGTATATCAGAGCCTAACTGATCTCGGAGAAGGGAAATACTCAAATTCAGTCCACTCTAGCCATCCTGTCCCACTTAATGGGGGAGAAAAAAACCTGAGAAGCACTTGTGAAGTTCACAGTCCAGAGGTATAGGCTTGCTAAAAGACCAATCATAGGACTAAACAATGCTTCCCAGCCAGGTGCAGTGGCTCATGCCTGTAATCCCAGCATTTTTGATGCCAAGGCGGGAGGATTGCTTGAATCCAGGAGTTTGAGACTAGTCTGGGCAACACAGTGAGACCACATTTCTACAGAAATTTAAAAATCAGCCAGCTGTGGTTGCACATGCCTGCAGTTCCAGCTACTCTGGAGACTGAGGTGTGAGGATCACTTGGGCCTGGGTGGGGGTCAAGGCTATAGTGAGCCATGATCATGCCACTGCATTCCAGCCTGGGTGACAGAACGAGACACCATCTCAATAATAATAATAATAATAATAATGCTTCCCCTCTCCCCACAATTCACCACCACATTACTAAAGGCCTATTTATTAGGAAACTAATAGTTCCTTTTACCTGGTACATCATGCCCAGCTTTTAAGAAAAAATTAGAAGGCATACTAAAAGGCAGAAAATACAATTTGAAGACACAGAGCAAGCACTAGAACTAGACATAGCAGGAACGTTGGAATTATCAGACTGGGAATTTAAGACAACTATGATAATTGATCACGATTATGATAATTATTCTAAGGGCTCTAATGGATAAAGTGGACAGCATGCAAGGGCAGATCAGCAAAGTAATCAGAGAGATGGAAATCCTAAGAACCAAAAAGGAATGCTAGTGATCAAAAACACTGTAACAGAAATGAGAAAACCTTTGATGGGCTTATTAGTAGATTGAACAAAGCTGAGGAAAAAAAAAATCTCTGCCCTTGAGGGTATATAAACAGAAACCTCCCAAACTGAAAAGCAAAGAGAACAAAGACTGAAAAAAATAGAACAGAATATCCAAGGACTGTGAGACAACTACAAAAGGTGTAACATATGTGTAATGGGAATACCAGAAGGAGAAGAATAGGTAATGCAACAGAAAAAATACTTCAAATAATATGACTGAGAAGTTCCCCAAATTAATGTCATATATATCAAATCACAGATTCAGGAAGCTCAGAACATCAAACAGGACAAATGACAAAAAAAGACATCTAGGCATTTTATTTTCAAACTACAGGAAATAAAATATACAGACAAAATTCTGAAAAAAAGCCTGAGGAAAAAATACCTTACCTAAAGAGGAACAAAGATAAGAATTACATTCTACTTCTGCTCAGAAACCACACAAAAAAGAAGAGACTGAAGCAAATTATTTAAATGTTGAGAGAAAATCCCACTAACCCAGAATTTTGTACCTTGTGAAATTATACTTCAAAAGTGAAGGAAAATAAAGACTCTCAGACACAGGGGTGGAGCAAGATTATGGAACAGAAGGCCCACCCATCATCCTCCCCCACCGTAGGAACACCAAATTTAACCACTGTCTACATACAAAAAATGACTCTCATAAGAACCAAAAATCAGGTGAGCACTCACAGTATCTGGTTCCAACTTCATATTGTTGAAAGAGGAACTGAAGAGGGTAGGAAAGACAGTCTTTAATCACCAATGCCACCCCTTCCCTATCCCCCAGCAGCTGCCTGGTGCAGAGAAATCTGCGCACTTGAGAAAGAGAGAGAGAGTGCAGAGATTATCAGACTTTGCACTGAACTCAGTGCTGCCCTGTCACAGCAGGAAGGAAAACTGGGCTAAACACAGCCAACTCCCGCTAACAGAGGGAACATTTGGACCAGCTGTAGCAAGTGGGGAATCTCCCATCCCAGTCGTTGGAATCTGAATTCCAGCAAGCCTCGTCATCATGGGCTAAAGTGCTCTGGGGCTCTAAATAAACTTGAAAGACAGTCTAGGCCACAAGGACTGCAAGTCTTAGTGCTGAGCTGGGCTCAGAACCAATGGACTTGGGGGCACGCAACTTACTGAGCCACCAGCTGGGGTAGCTAAGGGGGTGCTTGTTCCACCCCTCCCCAACCCTGGGTAGCATAGCTTGTGGCTCCAAAGGAGACCTCTTCCTTCCGCTTGAAGAGAAGAGAGGGAAGAGAGGGAAGACTTTGTCTTGCATCTTGGATATCAGATCATCCACAGTAGGATAGGGCACTGGGCAGAGGCATGAGACCCCCATTCCAGGCTCTAGCTCCTGGATGACATTTTGATGCACACCCTGGGCCAGAAGAGAACCCATTGCCTTGAAGGGAAGGACCCAGTCCCGGAAGGATCCATCACCTGTTGACTGAAGAGCCCTTGGGCCATGAATAATCAGCAGTGATCCCAAGTAGTACACTGTAGGCCTTGGGTGAAACTCTGAGATGTGCTGGCTTCAGGTGAGATCCACCACATTCCCAGCTATGGCAGCTATGGTGAGAGACTCCTTCTGCTTGAGAAAAGCAGAGGGAAAAGTAAAGAGGACTTTGTCTTATGCCTTAGGTACCAGCTCAGCCACAGTAGGGTAGAGCATCAAGCGGGATCTCAGGATCCCCAATTCTAGGCCTTGGCTCTTGAGTGGTATTTCTGGACCTGCCTTGGGCCAGAGGGGAGCCCACTGCCCTGAAAGGTGAAATAAGGCCTGGCAGCATTTACCACAAGGTGACTGAAAAGTCCTCAGGCTTTAAGTGAACATCAGCGGTAGGCTGGCAGTACTCCCCATGGGCCTGTGGAAGTGGGAGGGAAGAGTGGGAAGGACTGTGTCTCATGGTTTGACAGCCAGCTCAGCCACAGTAGAAGAGAACATCTGAGCTACACTTCTAAGGTTTTTGACTGCCGTCCCTGGCTCCTGGACAGCTTCTCTGGACTCACCTGGGGCCTGGGGGAACTTGCTGCCCTGAAGAGGACACAGGACTAGCTGGTTTCACCACTTGCTGATTGCAGAGCCCTAAGGCCTTGAACCAACAACACAGGTGGTAGTCAGGTAGTGCTTACAGTGGGCCTTGGGTGAGAACCAGGGCTGTGTTGGCTTCAAGTCTGACCCAGTGCAGTTCTAGTGGTAATGGCCATAGGGGTGCTTGTATCAACATACCCCCAATGCCAGACAGTTCAGGAGAGAGTGAGAGAGAGAGACAGAGAAAGAGCGAGAGAGAGAGAGAGACTCCGTTTGTTTGGGGGAAAGTAAGGGAAGAGAACAAGAGTTTCTGCTTGGTAATCTAGAGAATTCTTCCGGACCTTATTCAAGACCACCAAGGTAGTACCTCTATGAGTCTCCAAGAACTATAGCATTACTGGGCTTGTGGTGTCCCCTAATGCAGATACAGCTTAGATCACAGCACCCAAGTACTTTTAAATATCACGAAAGCCCTCCCAAGAAGGACAGGTACAAATAAGCCCAGAATGCAAAGACTACAATAATACTAATTATTCAGTGCCCAGATACTGATGAACACCCAGAAGCATCAAGACCACCCAGGAAAACATGATGTCACCAAATGAACTAAATAAGACACCAGGGACCAGTTCTGGAGAAACAGAGGTATGTGACCATTCAGAAAGAGAATTCAAAATAGCTGTTTTGAGGAAATTCAAATTCAAAATAACAGAGAAGAAATTCAGAACTCTATCACATAAATTTAACAAAGAAATTAAAATAATTAAGAATCAAGCAGAAATTCTGGAGTTGAAAAATGCAATTGAAGAATATATCAGAGTTTCTAAATAGTAGAACTGATCAGGCAGAAGAAATAACTAGTTAGCTCAAAGACACACTATTTGAAAACACACGGTGAGAGGAAAAAAGAAAAAAGAATTTAAAAATGATGCACAGCTACAAGATCTAGAAGACAGTTTTAAAAGAGCAAATGTAAGAGTTAATGGCCTTGAAGAAGAGGCAGAGAAAGTGACATGGGTAGAAAGTTTCTTAAAGGGATAATAATAGAAAACTAGAGAAATCTAGAGAAAGATATCAATATCCAAGTACAAGAAAGTTACAGAACACCAAGTAGATTTAACCCAAAGAAGACTACCTCAAGACATTTAATTATCAAACTCTCAAAGGTTCAGGATAAAGAAAGAATCCTAAAAGCAACAGAAAAGAAACAACATACAATGGCGTTGCAATATGCTTGGCAGCAAACTTTTCCATGGAAACCTTACAACTGGGAGACAATGGCATGACGTATTCAAAGTGTTGAAGGAAAAAACTTTTACCCTAGAATAGTATTATCTGGCAAAAATATCCTTTAAACATGTAGGAGAAATAAAGGCTTTCCCAGACAAACAAAAGCTGAGGGATTTCGTCAACACCAGACCTGTCCTAAAAGAAATGTTAAAGGGAGTACTTTAATCAGAAATGAAAGGATGTTAATGAGCAAGAAAAAAGCATCTGAAGGTACAAAACTCACTAGTAATATATAAATACACAGAAAAAAACACAATATTATAGCACTGTAAGTACAGTGTATAAACTACCCTTAAATAGAAAAACTAAAAGTAAAAGATGAACCAACCAAAAATAATAAATATAACAACTTTTCAAGACATAGACAGTATAAGATATAAATAGAAACAACAAAAAGTTAAAAAGTGAGGGGAAGAAGTTAAGCTGTAGAATTTGTATTATTTTTCTTTTGCTTGTTAGTAGTTAATTTGTTTATGCAAGCAGTGTTAAGTCATCAGATTAAAATAATGGGTTAAAAGATATTATTTGCAAGCCTCATGATAACCTCAAATAAAAAACATAAAACAGATACACACACAAAAAAACAAAGAAGTTAAATCATACCACCAGAGAAAAATCACCTTCACTAAAAGGAAGACAGGACAGAAGGAAAGAAGGAAGAGATAGTCAGTACATCAAAGAGATATGTGCACTCCCATGTTTGTTGCAGCACTATTCACAATAGCCAAGATTCAGAAGCAACCCAAGTGTCCGTCAACAGATGAATGGATAAAGGAAATGTGGTACATATACACAATGGAGGACTATTCGGCCATAGAAAATAATTGAGATCCTGTCATTTTCAACAACTGGGATGGAACTGGAGGTCATTATGTTAAATGAAATAAGCCAGGCACAGAAAGACAAACTTCACATGTTCTCACTTATTTGTGGGAGCCAAAAATTAAAACAATTTAACTCATGGAGATAGAGAGTAGAACGATGGTTACCAGAGGCTGGGAAGGGTTGCGGGGGGTAGAAGGAAGTGAGGATGGTTAATGGGTACAAAGAAATAGTTAGGAAGAATGTATAAGAGCTAGTATTTTCTAGCACAACTAGGTGACTATAGTAAAAAGTAATTTAATTATACATTTAAAAACAACTAAAAGTGTATAATCAATAAATGTTTGAGGTGATGGATACCCCATGTACCCTGAAGTGATTATTACACATTGTATGCTTGTATCAAAATATCACATGTAGCCCATAAATATATACATCTACTATGTACCCAGAAAAAATTAACAATTAAATTAAAAGAAAGAAAACCTCTCAGACAAAGAAAGTTGAAGGAATTTGTTGCCAGTAGATTTCCTTGTAAGAAATGTTAAAAGAAGTTATTTAGAGAGAAGGAAAATGATATAGGTCAGAAACTCAGATCTACATAAAGATAGGAAAAGCATCAAAAGAAGAATAAGTGAAGGTTTTATATATATATATCATTATATATACATATATATCATTATATATTATATATAATACATATACACATATATGTATATACACATATATAATACATATATACACATATACAATACATATATATACATTATATATATATAATGAGATACTACTCAGCCATAAAAGGAATGAAACCATGTCTTTTGCAGAAGCATGGATAGAACTGGAGGCCATTATCTTAAGTGAAATAACTCAGAAGCAGAAAGTCAAATGCCACATCTCAAGTATAAGTGGGAGCTAAATAATGTGTATACATGGACACAGAAAGGGATAAAATAGACATTGGAGACTTGGAAGGATGGGAAGGATGGTGGAGGAAAATAATCCTGAAAGCTGAAATACCCATGATGAAGCCTTGGGTGATATTGGAAAAACACTCTAATTGGGAGGGCAGTGCCCAGAAAAACTCCATAATAAAATGGAAGTGGTTTATACATACATGATCATGCTACCTGTGAATGCAAGGAGGAGGTACTCATGAGCAGAGTCTCATTTCCCCTAGGACTGACTTTGGAAATGCATGAGGAGCTGCTGGATTCTATTGTCATTGGGACAGTGCCCTATAAACAGTTCTCAACTGATTGACAAAGAGCTGCTTAATTTATGCATGGCAGTTCCAAGGTGAACAAACAATATTCTGTTTGGAAGGCTACCATCAGATCAAAGAAGGTAAAAACAAATCATCTTAGCAGGCAGAACTGCATGCTGTTTTCCTAGCAGTGAAGGAAGAATTGAACAGTGGTAAAAGCCCCTGTGTTTGGGTTTTGACTGACTCATTGGCAGTGGCCAATGACCTGGCCATGTAGTCTTACAGAAGGGAAATGGAAAACTGGTCCATTAACAGGATGTTTGTATGGTGTATGACTCTATGGAAAATCACTATGGAAATCTGAGAGGTGCATTAATGTAGGACATGTTGATATCCATCAGAAGAATCCCCTTCCAGGTTTGGAAGGTGATGAGAATCAACAAGTGGATATCTCTGTGTGCTCCCTTGAGGCGGCCCCCTGGGTCCACGAAATTAGTGGGCATCTGGGGACTCAGCAAAAAGAAATGAGTTGAACCTAGACATATTCCTCTTGTAACCTCTGAAGTTGAACCTGGACATATTCCTCTTGTACCCTCTGAAGCACAAAATGCCAATAACTGTTCTGTTTTCCAACAAAAGAGACAGAGACTTAAGATGGCTATGTGGCAGATTCCTCACGGGGAAGGCCTTGAACACAGCTAGCAAGTCAGACTGATGCTGATAGCCCCAGGGTATGAGTTTCGACAGGAATAGACACTAACTCTGGATTGGCCTTTGCTTACGCAGTGGTAGATGCAAATGCTCAGAGTGTAATAAAAGAACTGGAACAGAATATACTGCACCAATTTGGGCTGCTGAGTCACATTTTCTCAGACCAAGAAACACACTTTACAACCCATAATGTCCAACAACGGGCAGAGATATATCCTCCTTGGAATAATAGTTAGAAAGGGAAGCCGGAACAAGCAATTGAAACATTGGTTGTCTAAAATGGGGGCAGACATAGGGATGAAGGACTGGCTTACATGCCTTCACAAGCTCACACTCAATATGGGGGGTGGGGCTAAGGAAGTGTCCCCACTAGATAGACTCCTCTGTTTTTCTGCTGAGTCTGAGGAAGAGGAGTTGGGGAAGGATGCTAGTATGACTGCAATTCTTCCCAAGGGTGTAGGACACTGGCATGATGACAATATTTTTTTCTTTCTTTCTTTCCTCCTCATATCACCTCAACTTTATGTTTCCTACCTGATGAAACATGAGCAAGACCATGGCTGCAACTACAAGTGTTGGAAACAGGGCAGATTCCTAAGCAAGAAACCTAACTATATTTTTAAATCTTTATGTCAGAATTCCTAAGGGCCTCTTGGGGGCAGGGTGTGTCTTTACCCTATCTAGCAAAATTGGGGTTAAGAGTAAATGCAGTTGTATTGCTTAATGGTCAAGATAGTCCACTAGTTCTGTATCTATATAACCCTACCTTATATAAATGGGAGTGGACTGAGGGGGAGGCATTTGCTAGATTAGTAGTGTTGCCTGTAATCTGGACCAGCACCTAATGTTCTTTCAAATGTGGAAAAGTTTGGTTATAAATAGAAAAAAGGAGGAATAGTAGATGAGAGTAAGAAATGAACAAATGAGTTATGTAGTAAGGGAAATCCAATATTACATCAGTACCTCAAAAGAGTCTCAAAGCAAAAGATGATATTGTCTCTTAGTTCAATTATACCAGATGCCTGAAAAGGTGAAGCCATATATTGTGGAGACCACTCCTGCTTTTGGAATCTGACCAAACAGAAGCCTGGAAACCTCAGTAGCCTTGCCCTGGGACCTGGGAGACAATTTCATGATATAATGATGGACTGGACAAATTATTAATGACTGAATGGGACTCCAGTAATGTGCCAGTATCTTTTTTTTTTTTTTTGAGACGGAGTCTCACTCTGTTGCCCAGAGTGCAGTGGCACAATCTCGGCTCACTGCAAGCTCTGCCTCCCGGGTTCATGCCATTCTCCTGCCTCAGCCTCCCGAGTAGCTGGGACTACAGCCTCCCGAGTAGCTGGGCACCTGCCACCACGCCCAGCTAATTTTTTGTATTTTTAGTAGAGATGGGGTTTCACTGTGTCAGCCAGGATGGTCTCAATCTCCTGACCTTGTGATCCGCCCGCCTCGGCCTCCCAAAGTGCTGGGATTACAGTTGTGAGCCACAATGCCCGGCCATGTGCCAGTGTCTTTTAACCGTTATGATCCTTTTGTTATATTTGGGATCTGTGGTCAAACGCCAGGGATCTTTATACTGTGGTATTATACTGTGGTATAATTAGAAGTGTATTTGGTCTGAGGTTGCTGGCAAGGGTCCTAAAATCCTTGGGAGAAAAGAATGGGCCAAAGACCTTAGCAGAAACCTTACCAAAGAAGATATACGATGACAAATACACACATAAAAAGACGCTCCAAATCATACATCATCAGAAAAATACAAAATAAAACAATGAGTTACCACTGCATACCTATCAGAATGGTCAAAATCTCAAACACTGACAACACCAAATGCTGGTGAGGGCACACAGCAACAGGGACTCTTATTCATTGCTGGCAGGAAGGAATGCAAAAGGGTACAGCCACTTTGGAAGACAGTCTACCGGTTTCTCACAAACCAAACATACATAGTCTTACCATATGACCCAGCAATCATGCTCCTCGGTATTAATATTTACCAAAGGAGCTAAAAAGTTACCTGCACATGAATGTTTACAGAAACTTTATTCACAATTGCCAAAACTTGGAAGAAATCAAGATGCCCTTCAGTAGGTGAATGGATAAATAAAATGTGATACGTTCATACAATACAATATCATTCAGTGCTATCAAGACACAAAAATACATGGAGGAACCTTAAATGCATATTACTAAGTGAAAGAAGCGAATGTGAAAAGGCTACATATTGTATGATTCCAACTGTATGACATTCTGGAAAAGACAAAACTATGGAGACAGTAAGGGGTTGATGAAGGAGGAATGAATAGGTGGAGCACAGAGAATTTTTAGGGCAGTGAAAATACTCTGTATGATATTGTAATGATACATACATGCCATTATACCTTTGTCCAAACCCATAGAATGTACAACATCAAGAGTGAACCCTAATATAAATTATGGACTTCAAATGATTATGATATGTCAATTTAGCTTCATCAATTGTAATAACTGTAGCACTCTGGCGGGGAATGGAGGAGGCTATGCATGTGGTGGGGAGAGGGGATGTATGGGAATCTCTGTGCCTTCCTGTTAGCTTTTCTGTGAACCTAAAATTTAACTAAAAAAATAAAATATTAGGGTCGGGCACGGTGGCTCACACCTGTAATCCCAGAACTTTGGGAGGCTGAGGTGGGAGGATCACGAGGTCAGGAGTTTGAGACTAGCCTGGCCAACATAGTGAAACCCCGTCTCTACTAAACATACAAAAATTAGCCGGGTGTGGTGGCGGATGCCTGTAGTCCCAGCTACTCAGGAGGCTGAGGCAGAAGAATCACTTGAAACCAGAAGGTGGAGTTTGCAGTGAGCCGAGATCACACCACTGCACTCCAGCCTGGGCGAAAGAGTGAAACTCGGTCTCAAAAAAAAAAAAAAAAAAAAAAAAAAAAAAAATATATATATATATATATATATATATAAATAAAAATAAAATATTAAACTTAAAAAATAAAATGAAATAAAAACTTAAAGCAAACAAAGGAATGAATACGAAAGTATTGGCAAACTCAACTAAGGAAGTTTACAGGAAGAAGGGTAGAACATACTATAAGACTGGCCTTATCAGTAGAGGTTTAACATATAAAGACTGTGGTCAGGAAAAGCAGCAGATTTTTCAGGGATAAATCTTAGAAGTCTGGTTTATATAAAGTAACTTCTTACAGTAAATTTATTAATTTGAATTTCAGCCAAGCTAAAGTTGATTTCTTCACTGCTTAATTCGGTGACTTCATATCAAATAATCTAGGAAGGGTCCATTAATAAAAATATACAGTACAAATAAGAATGAAGACATGCAAAGGAATGTATAATCTATTTAAGAGAAAAACTGCTTTTAAAAGATTTAGCATATGAGTTGTTAGTACTTAGGTAGATACTGCTCATTTATAACCACAGGAATTTTGGAACAGAAAAGGCCTATAAAAATTATCCAGTCCAGTTTTTAAAATTTTACAGATGAGGAAAATAAAGCTTAGAGAAGTTAAAGAAGTTGCCATTGCCTACAGTAAACCAAAAGTTATTGAAATAGCTGAACCTACAATTCAATTCTCTTGAGCCCTCTCATTGAATTAGGCACTTAAAATATTTTTTACAAGTTAGTCTAATCTATTTGTTAAATCAGGTTCTAACCTCTACCTGAAAACATTGCTAGAGGATGTTCTCTGTCACTGCATTTACTTGAAAACAATGAAGGTATATTTTAAAAAGTGTTTGTAATTTCTCATTAATTCAAACAGGATTCCCTCCCTTACCCCATTTCCCAATTGGTTTTAATGTGTGTGGTTTGACTGTATGCCACAATTATGAGAAATATGAAGCATCTTTAAGTCCAGTGCTGGAGATATTATAAATAACTAATATTCAGTCATTTAAATAAATCGAATGGCAATTATGTGTCAGATACTGCCCTAGGTTTCAGTGATACAAAGATAAATACAAATATAGTCCTAGCCCTAAAGGTACTCTTACAATCTAGTAGTTATCATGGTTTAGTCCTTTTTTAAAAAAGCTTCTTATTGGTGAAAACTTCAAAGATGTCCAAATGTTAACAGACAAGCATAATGAATCCTCATGTACCTATCACACAGCTTCAATAATTATTAACTCATCATCAATCTTATCTCCTTGATACCTCCACCCACTTCTTCCTCTCCCATATTATTTTGAAGCAAATTCCAGACATCACATTATTTCATCCATACATATTTCAAGATGTGTCTGTAAGAGATAAGCAATCTTTTAAAAAACCAACCACACTACAATTATCATGTCTAAAAGTTAATAATTTCTTAGTATCAGCAAATATTTGGTCATTATTCAAAATTCCAATTGCTTCATCTTTTGTTTGGTTTGTTTGAATTCCCTTCTAATGGATTTATGAAGCCTATAAAGAAAAGGCAAAACTTATAATATGCAATTGGGTAAAATTTGCATTATGAAAATGACAGTTATAAGTCATCTGTCCTATGTTACCTCAGTCAAAGATATATCCAAAAGAATTTATTTGAAAAAATACATTGCCTCCAGCTGCAAAAGTGAAGTAGAGGGAACTATTACAGAGTTCTTGTCTAAGCAGAGAATGCAGAGATGGGTGATATTTCTCTGAAAGTTATCCCTAATCAACACCCCGAGTAGAGTTTTCTTTCAAATAATCAGGAGGTAGTGAGATTTGTGAACGAAAAATTGGTGACCAAAGTCTTCAACGAATTGTTAAGTTTTAATATCTTATTCCAAAGATATTGTGCACAGAAATATATTTGAATACTCTCAGCAGACCTGATACAGAATCATAACCAACAAGCCATCCAGGTTATATGTTCTGTGGGAAAGTAAGAGATATGTCTATATTTGAGTCATCTGTTAAGAAAGGGGGAACAGATGCAATATCATAATTCTATCATAGATAACATTATTGAGGGCTTATTAAGTTCCTGACACTTCTAAATGTTTCACATGTATTAACTTATACTCTCGTTTCTCTGCAGATCACATAAGTCTTTTGCCTTTTAGATGTTTTAACTCATTGAGTCATCACAGCAACCCAATGGTGTAGGTATTATTATTCTTCCCACTTTACAGTTGGGGAAACTGAAGCCCAGAGACATTAAGAAACTTGCTGAAGGTTACACATCTGGTAAGCAGCAGAGCCAGGATATGAACCCAGGAAGACTGGCCCCAAAACCTGTATTGATCTTACCCACTACACTAAGTATCTCTGAATATATGATTTATATTGTAAGTTACTATAATTTGTCTAATGGGGAATACATCATTTTTGTTGAAATAACTCACTTATCTTCAGATTCCGGCATTTCAGCAATTTTTGGAAGAAGAAAACGAAGCAAACACCTGTATGACAAAGTAATATGGAAAGTGATTCTTAGGTTAGGAAGAAACATGTGTGAATGAATACATACCAAGTTACTAACCTTGATTACTCTGGGAGGGAGAAGTGAGAAAAGAGAGGGTAAAGGGGAGATTAATCTTATTTAATTTATATATATTTTATTGTTTTAACAGTTGCAATGAAAACATACCAATTTTATAATTTTGAAAGAGGAATTTAATAAAAGAGTTTTAAAACAAAAGCGTTGCTTATAACAAATTCTTAAATGGTTCCACAGTTTATACCATTGCTCAAAAACACCTGCTAGAACATCAGGTATGGTAAATCAGTCTTTATCTTTCTCTTTCTGTAGAGGAACTAGAACTGGCCTTTGGGTCTCAAACTGGGATCACTATTCTTTGAAGGGATCTGGCAGCATAATGACAAACTGACAAAATAAGGTAGTTGGTAAAGTTTTAAAACCTAAAAAGCTTTAAAAAATACTATCTCTCCTGAATGATTTTTAAATATTTACCTTACTGAAGGGATGCAAGTATCTCAAGACTCCTCTGACTCTTTTATTTATGTGACTCCATTTCCCTTTGGAAATGTGGCCTCAAGTGTAATTGACCAACAGGAGAACCACTCTAGAATCCTGCTGGTTTCTTATTTCTCACTGTGGCATTTTCTCAGTCATACCATTAAGTATTTATCAAGTCCCAACCTCACCCTCCTCTGCTTCGCTATTTTATGTAAGTTTCCTTGATCTCAATAGCACTATTTTGGCAGTTTATTGACTAAGAGCAAGATAAGCAGAGGAAATACTTTCTCTTCCACAGGATGTAGGTTACTTACTTTACAGCTGTAAGAACTTGTTCCTGGTCTTCTGAATGTTGAGCTAAATATTCCAAAGCTTTTTCTGCCACAATTTGTTGTCCATTCTAAAAAGAACAAATATAATACGTTAAATTACATCTCAAAGTGATACTGCAAAATATTATCTATATTCCTGTTCATTAAAGATAAGACAAATATCTAAACATGTTCATTTTGTATTCTCAAAAACGCTACTGCAAGATGGTAGAATGAAGATGCAACTCACTGACAAAAACAGGACACATTTGCATTAGCCCCGGAAACCGAATCCTCCCTATTCACAAACACTCAAAGCCTTGCCAATACTACCCTTAGTCCACTAGGACTAATCTTATTGTGCTCTTTATCCCCCACTTATTAGCAGTAAACAAAAGAACCCCAGATTGTCAGGTCACCCTCATTTCCAGCACTCTATTCCCAAAAGTCTCCATATATCCCCTCTTCTGTCCTCTTTTTCTATCTCTCCCCGACTCCTCCAACCCTTCCACTATGCTCTCTGAAATTCAGTCCACTTTCAGCAAAATCTCCTCTACCAGCAACCTCTTCCCTAAAAGTTTCCTCCATATTCTTGCTCTAATGGAAATCTAGGTTTCTGCCAAGGATGCTGCTTCCACTGAAGCCCTCTTAAGTGGTAGCTGTTTTTGCTCTCACTAGCTTACCCATAGGCCTGGAGATGGAGTAGGTGTCTTTCTTGCTCTTCATTGCCATTTTAAAATTATTCTCCCATTCTATTCCCTAAAATCCTCAACTTTGAATTTCCTATAACCAGACTATATCACCCACTACCCTTCATTGTTGCTGTGGCCTACTAGCTCCCAGGTCATTTCTTCTCATTTGTTGGTGACTTACTTATTGCTCAGTTATATTTTCCAAAAACTGCTCCTGTCTTAATTTTTGGCATTTTCTTTTTCTTTTTCTTTTTTTTTTTTTTAAGATGGATTCTTGCTCTTGTCACCCAGGCTGAAGCAACCTCTGCTTCCTGGGTTCAAGCGATTCTCCTGCCTCAGCCTCCTGAGTAGCTGGGATTACAGGCACCCGCCACTACGCCTGGCTAATTTTTGTAGTTTTTTTAGAGATGGGGTTTCACCATGTTGGCCAGGCTGGTCTCGAACTCCTGACCTCAGGTGATCCACCCGCCTGGGCCTCCCAAAGTGCTGGGATTACAAGCGTGAGCCACTGCGCGCGGCATATTTTCCGCATTTTCAATATATAGGTAGAGGATCCTCCCAATATTCTAGTTTCCTGGTTTCTGAAATTTTACTCTAACAATTACCTTAGCCATTTACTCCCACAGTCATTCACTAGACTCTGTCATTACTAACAATTGCAATCATTTCACACTCTCAGTCAGGGCTAGGAGTAGGGTGGGACAGGTGAGGTGAGTGAAGCACCTAGGGTGAAAAATTTAAGGAGGCTCTCAGTGTTGTACAAGTACCAAGCCTTTACTTGTACCACCCAGAGAATAAGTTCCTCCTTAAGTTTTGTGCCCTAGGTGTCTCCCTCCCTCCCCCTAGTTCTCCACCCCAGCTCTTACTTTCACACATTCTACTTTCTGTCTACCGCCTCTTACCTTTCCAACTTGATACCTCTATTACCCTGACTCCAGCAATCCTTCAACTGCAGTAAGACCCCCAACCCACTGATGTTACCAGTTTTTCACTGTCCCTCATCCCCTTGATGTTCTACCGCATACCCAGTTTAAATTCCATGGAGACTAATTATAACCACTCCCTTGTTCCTTGATTTTCCTGCCCTTCTTTTGCTTTATTGTATTCATCTGGCAAAACCTCAACTCTGATTAAGTCCAACTTTCTACTGATTTTGGTGCTTACATCCACTCATCAGCTGAATGTGGCCAGAAAAAAATACATACAACTACTTGTTTTATTTTAAAACTTCATGAAATGGCCTTAGTGCTACTGGCAAGCATATTGCACTTCCGTAGTCATTCACTTTCTTACTTTTCTGAATGAATAGTTAATACCTTATCCCTTCTTCTCAACTCCCTAATACCTCCTCTCCTGAGCTCATAATTTGACACTGAGAATGGTTGAAGAGAAAAGAGGAACTAGCAAAGGAGAAAGAAAGAGTGACTCATGAGGTAGGATAAAAATAAGGATAATGTGGTGTCCTGGAAGCCAACTGTGTTTCAAGGAGGAAAGAGTGATCAACTGCATTGAATGTTGCTGATAGGTCAAATACAATGAGGACTGAGAATTAACCACTGCAATTTACGATAAAGAGGTCATTGGTGACCTTGACAAAAGCAGTTTTGTTAGAGTGGTGGGGCAAAAGCCTGATTGGAGTAAGCTCAAGAGAGAATTGGAGACAGTAAATATAGGCAAATCTTTAGAGGAGTTTAACTACAAAGGGAAGAAGAGAAATTGGGGAGTAGTTGGTGAGAGAAGGAAGGTCAAGAGGTTTTCTTACTTTTTGTTTGTTTGATATGGGATAAATGAGCATGTTCATATGCTGATGGGAATAAACCAGTAAGAGAATAAAATGTTGACAAAGTGAGTGAGAAAAAGGCAAGAGGTGATAGAAACAAGTGTGTAAGTTTAGAGACTGGCTTTAGGAAGGAACATGATAGCTAATCTATGGTGGCAGTTGAGAAGGCAGACTATGTGGTGTGATTCCTGGTGTGTGAGTAGAGGTAGTAGGAATCTGTGGAAGTTCTCTTCCTGACTGCTTCAGTTTTCAGAACCTAGAATATCCACATTTTCTCTTGGGAGGTGGGGGAATGAATTTTGTAAAGGGATTTAAAGATAAGGTAGCTTATTTTAAAAGAAAAGAAAGCAATGTTTTGCCTGCTTAATACCCCACTCTCACTACCCTTGTCTAGACTCTCATTATTTTAAAACTGGATTATTATCACAGTCTCCCATTCTGTCCTACATATAATTTCTCCCCATTCATTTCCCCATGCACAACCCAAATTATTTTCCTAAAGCACTACTTTTACATAAATTACCATCAATATTTTCTTATTGTTTAGAGAATAAAATGTATATATAATCTTGTCACAGCTATTTCTTCTACTTTATCTCATACTCCTCCCCTATAGCATCAACATAATAATAAAAGTCATGGCTGGTGCAGTGGCTCATGCCTGTAATCCCAGCACTTTGGGAGGCTGAGGTAGACAGATCACTTAAGGCCAAGAGCTCCAGACCAGCTTGGCCAACATGGTGAAACCCCGCCTCTACTAAAAATACAAAAATTAGTCAGGTGTGGCTGGCGCACACCTGTAATCCCAGCTACATGGGAGGCTGAGGCACAAGAATCACTTGAACCTGAGAGGCAGAGGTTACAGTGAGCTGAGATTACGCCACTGCACTCCAGCCTGGGTGACAGAGTGAGACTTTGTCAAAAAAAAAAAAAAAGCCACTATTACATCAGGCAAAACATCTGGAATGGTGGAAACATAAGCCCTCCATCACTTTAACCAAACACTGTGTCTCTCAAGCCAATCACATTCCTTTCTCCATGTCTTGTTTATACCATCTCTTCCTTTAAAAAAACATTCTTACTTATGTAAATGCTACTCTTTCCAAAGCCCAACTTAAGGTTTCCTTCCGCTGTAGAGACTTCCCAAATCGATTCTGGTTCTCAGTGCTCTCTTCCTACTCTGAATTTTGGTAATTTTTAACATATATATTAGCTATTTGGTCTTTATTCTATATACTTACATAGAACTCTATATTCTGTAGACTTACTTTCCTAATGCATGGCTTGTCTGTTCAAATTGACTTGTGAGGTCCTGAAGGAACATATTTCTAGCATCTAGCCCAATATCTTGCCCAAAGTAGTTGCTAAATACAGTTTGAATGATATGTATTTTGATGTTAGTGAGAAGGGTAATAGAACTCCTGAAGGAAGAAAAGTATTTGGCAGATGCAGATATGGAATGTATTTGTGCAGAATGGGGAAGAAGATGAAAGAGAGGAAACCCAAAAGCAATTATCTTTTTAAAGGAAGGTTTATAAATGTACATTTGATGTAGAAAGCCAAAGAGAGCTACTGGAAGAAATATGGAACTGTAGTTCTGATCAGGAAGATGGTTTTCCTATTTAAAGTAGTTTTAAAAAGAAGATAAACTTAATAGTTTATAAAGCACATTTTCAGCCATCTTAATCGATTTTCATAACAATCCTGGAGGTAGGCATTATCTTTATTTTGCAAAGGATGAAATTAAGATTTGAAGAAGTTAAGCACAGATTAAATGGCAGAGCCAGTATTCAAACCTAGTCTAAGAGCTCCACAGATGCTACTATGCTTTTCCTAATTCAATATATTAATAAAACCAGAATTCTGTAGTAACAAACAGGGGTACAATTATTTATTACTTCTAAACTAATACTATTTTGTGGTTATGAACTCAAAGGATCTCCAGAAATTTAAACCATTTTGTTCAAATTGATGAGAAAGATAAGTTTCTATATAGATAGCTATTTATTGACATGGTATGGCATTTTGAATTTGGAGTTTCTTTTAAAAAATTAATGTTTTGCTACGTTTATTTTTATGTTGTTTTGAGCACAACTCTGTTACCTCACTGTTTCATTTACTTTAGTCTGCATTATAGTGAAATGAGAAGAAATAAAGCAGTTCTGCAACCAAGTTTGGCATGAAAATATGAGGCAAAACAAACAGTAAAGGTCTCTTCTGTGTCTAACTGATAATGATTCTATTAATTGTCTTTCAAAAAGGAAAAGGGATAAAAATCTAGTAGATGAATACATATGAATTACCTCTAGAGCAAACTGGGCAGCTAAACTTAGAAGCATGGTAGGTGAACCTCTCTCTGCAACTAGATCATTATCTTCTGACTCTTCATCTGTTAATATATTCTCTAAAGTAATTATTGCCTGCAAAGCTGAAAAACAAGAAAAAAATTCAAAAATGATATACTCTAATCAAAGAAATTACATATCTATGGTTAATTATGCCACAATGAATTTGGAACTTATTTTAAGAACATTTTTAAAATGTTAGTATTCATAAAGTAATGTGAGTTGCTAAGCTTTCAAGGAGGATTTGAACACCAGAAAAATGCCCAACTGAGCAACTGCACATGCACTTCTGTGAATTTATCTTACGGATATATTTGCAAAAGTAAACAAATACACATAAGGATGTTCATCCAGCATTGTTTATAAGAGTAAAATATGGGCCAGGCGCGGTGGCTCACGCCTGTAATCCCAGCACTTTGGGAGGCCGAGGAGGGTGGATCGCGAGGTCAGGAGATCGAGACCATCCTGGCTAACACGGTGAAACCCCGTCTCTACTAAAAATACAAAAAATTAGCCAGGTGCAGTTGCGGGCGTCTGTAGTCCCAGCTACTCGGGAGGCTGAGGCAGGAGAATGGCGTTAACCCGGGAGGCGGAGCTTGCAGTGAGCCGAGATCGGGCCACTGCACTCTAGCCTGGGTGACAGAGCGAAACTCTGTCTCAGAAAAAAAAAAAAAAAAAGAGTAAAATATGAAATCAGCCTAAATTCCATCATAATTAATGGGCAAAACACACTTTGGTACATCCATAATTTGAAATATAATACAGAATAAAATAAAAAATTGAGTAGCTGTGTGTTATATTCCATTATATTCTTAAAGGTGGAATATGACAAGTTAAATATGTGTACTATAGACTTCAAGCAACAAATAAATATTTGTTCAAACTAATAAGCAAAAAGGGAGATAAATGTAATCATAAAAATTCAATTAATCCAAAATAAAGCAGAAAAAAGGAAAAAGAGCAAATGGGACAAACAGAAGATAATTAATAAGATGCTAAATTTAAATCTATGTGTATCAATATCTATGTTAAATATAAATGACCAAATGACCAATTAAAAGGCAGAGATAGTAAGACTGAAAACAAAACAAAACACATCTTTTAAATATATGCCACCTACAAGAAATACACTTTAAATATAAAAGCAAAATTGATTGAAAGAAGAGGATGGGATAATATACACTAAAGTGAAGGTAATCAAAAGAAAGCTGGAGTGGCTATATTAATATCAGATAAAGTGAATTTCAGAGCAAAGAATATTATTGGCAATAAAAGGTTATTTCAAGACAATAATCAGTTTATCATGAGGACATAACTCTGAATGCTTATGCACCCAATAAAATTTCAAAATATAAGAAGCAAAAGCTGGTAGAACTGCAAGAAGAAATGAACAAATCCACAATTATAGTTAAAGATTTCAATATCCTCTCTCAATAACTGATAGAATAGAAAATCAGCAAGGATTCAGTACACTTAACACTAAATCAACTTGATGTGGCTAACATTTATAACACATTCAACCCAACACCAGCAAAATGTATATTCCTCTCAAGTGCACATGAAATATTTACCAAGAAAAACAATATTCTAGGCCCTAGAACAAGTCTCAATATATTTAAAAGGATTAAAGTCATACAAAGTATGATCTTTGACTACAATGAAATGAAATTAAAAATCAACAAAAGAATGTTCTCTGGAAAATCTGCAAATATTTGGAAAATAAGTAACACATCTAAATAATCCACAAGTTTAAAAAGGAATCCAAAGTTAAATTGGAAAGTATTTGGAACCAAATTAAAATGAAAACATCCTCTGCCAACCCTGATTCCACGCTGATTTTAGCCCAGTGAACTGATTTGGGACTGCGGCCTCCTGAACTGTAAGATAATGGATTGTGTTGTTGTAAGCTATTAACTTTGTGGTAATTTATTGGCAGCCTTTACAACAGCAGCAACAGGAAACTAATATGATATCCAAATGGTCCCTCCTTTGAGAGTATTATAAATATCTCGAAAAGATCTCTGTTTTCCTTAATCCTCACCCTCGCATAAGTTTCAAAGCCTAACGTCATGGTGTCATCTATAAAGTTGTTAGTTCACTGTAAAAGAACTGTTGAAATATAGACCATCATGTCACTTCCTCCGAATCAGAAGACTGTGTGTTGTGGAAATACTGTATGCAACAGGGAAGGCTATGTTTCCAAAGAGAAGTAAAGCCTTCCCCTTTGCATATGGTAAAGCTCAAGTAATTGTTGATACAAGGACAAATAAATGCATGGAGGAATGCAGGGGGAAAAACAGCCATTGAAAATCAACAAGTAACTCAACCGTTTCTGTTTAATATTAGATGAGTTTCAGTGTTAAAACTCATTGTAAGACATAATATTAACAAATGGGAAAATCAATGCTTGGCTTCTAAATTAGCCTTTGTTTTCATTTGGGTCTAATAAAAATGCTAAAGGAAAACCTGAAAAAAAAAAAAAATGAAAACATGACATATCAAAATTTGTGTATCGTCACTAAACAGTAATTAGATGATAATTTGTAGCATTAACTGTCCAGATAGACCAGAATAAAGGTCTTAAATCAATGACCTCAGTGTTCACCTTTAGAAATAAGAAGAAGTAGAGCAAATGGAACTCAAAGAAAGCAGAAGAATGGATATGATAAAGATCAGAACGTAAATAAATTAAATAGAAATCAGATAAAAACAATAGAGGCCAAGGTAGGAGGATCGTTTGAGCCCAGGAGTTTGAGACCAGCCTGGGCAACATGGTGAGACCCTATCTCTACAAAAAAGTTTTAAAATGAGCTAGGTGTAGTGGCATGCACCTGTGGTCCCAGCTACTCGGGAGGATGAGGCAGGAGGATAAACTGAGCCTGGGAGGCCAAGGCTGTAGTGAGCTGTGTTCGTTTTTTTGAGACTCTATCAAAAACAAAAACAAAAACAAAACTGATAGAGAAAAATTAGTAAAACCAAAAGCTGGGTTCTTTGAGAAGATCAATAAAATTGACCTTCTACACTGATTGATCCTTTAGTTACACTGACCAGGAAGAAAAATAGAGAAGACATAAATTACAAATATCAGAAATAAGAAAGGTTACAGGTGTTAAAAGGATAATATGGGGGATATTATGAACAACTTTAGGCCCATAATTTCAACAACTTAGATGAAACAAATTTTTGAAAGACACAAACCACCAAAGCTAAATCAATAAATAATAGATAACTTGAATAGCCCTATATCTATTAAAGACATTTAATTTATAATTAAAAACCTTTGCATAAAGAAAACTCCAGTCCCAGATGGCTTCACTGGTGAAATCTACCAAAAACATTTGAGGAAGAAATAATATCATTTCAACACAAACTCTTCCAGAAAACTGAAAAGGAGAATATACTTCCCAATTCACCCTATGAAGTCAGTATTACTCTGATAGCAAAACCAAAAACATTACAGGAATATAAAACTACAAACCAATTTCATTCATGAACATAGATACACATATTCTAAACAAACCATTAGCAAATCAAATTATATAAAAAGGAGTATACATCATGATCAAGTGGGGCTTGTTCCAGAAATACAGCATTGGTTTAACATTTGAAAATCAATTAATGTAACTGACTATATTAACAATTTTTTAAAAATTGACCATTTCAACAGATGCAGAAAACCATACAACCAAATTCAACATCCATTCCTTACCCCTCCCACCACCAAATGGAACTCCCTCAACCTGATAAAGGATATCTGTGAAAAACCTACAGCTAACATACTTACTGGTGGAAGACTGAATGCTTTCCCCCTAAAATCAGGAAAAAGATAAGGATGTCCACTCTCATCAGTTTTACTCAAATTTTACTGGAGAATCTAACAAGAGCAACAAAGCAAGAAAAAAATAAATTGCACCCAGATTGAAAAAGAAGTGAAATTATCTTTACCCACAGGCAACATGATTGTCTATTTAGAAAATCTGATGGGGCTGGTGCAGTAGCTCATGCCTGTAATCCCAGCACTTTGGGAGGCCAAGGTGGGAGGATTCCTTGAGGCCAGGAGTTCGAGACCAGCCTGGCCAACGTGGTGAAACCCCATTTCTACTAAAAATACAAAAATTAGCCAGGCGTGGTGGTGCATGCCTGTAATCCCAGTTTCTTGGGAGGCTGAGGCACGAGAATCGTTTGAACCCAGGAGGTGGAGGTTGCAGTGAGCCGAGATCATGCCACCGCACTCCAGCCTAGGTGACAGAACAGGTCTCGAAACAGAACAGGTCTCATAAACAAACAAACAAAACAAAACAAAAATAAAATAAAATCTGATGGAATCTACAGGGAAGGTACTGTACTGCAACTAATAAGTGAGTTTACCAAAGTTGTGGGATATAAGATCAATATACAAGAAATCATTTGTATTTCTACATATCAACAATAAGCAATCGGAAACCAAATTTTTTTAAAATGCCATTTAAAATAGCATAAAATATAGTGTACTTAGGGATAAATCTGACAAAAGATGCAGAAGACAGGTACAATGAAAAGTAGAAAACATTGCTGAGAGAAATTAAAGACCTAAATAAATGGAGGTATGTAAGTTGTTCGTGGTTTGGAAGACTCAGCAACGTTGTTAAGATGTCAGTTATCCCCAAGCTGATCTATAGATTCAATGTAATACGAATCAAAATTCATTTATGCAAAACTTAAAATAATGATTCTAAAATTCATATGGATATACAAAGGCCTTGGAATAGCCAAAACAATTAGAAAGAGAACAAAGTTGGGGTTCAAATTTATTACATAGCTACACTAATAAAGACAGCATGGGAATAGTGTAAGGATGGATTTGTTAAAGTTGACTTCAAATTTATTACATAGCTACACTGATAAAGACAGTATGGGAATAGCGTAAGGATGGATGAATAGAAGAATGGAATGGAATAGAGTCCAGAAAGAGATCCACACATATATGACAACTAATTTCTGATAAAGGCACAAAGGCAATTCAACAGAGAAAGAATAGTTTGTTAAACAAATGATGCTGGAACAATTGGATAGTCATGTGCAAAAAAAAAAAAAAATTTTCAATCCATACCTTGAACCAAATACAAAAATTAACTAAAAATTGTTCATAGACATAAATGTAAACCTAAAACTGTAAAATTTCTTGAAGAAAACATGAGACCTTTTCTGTCACCTTGCAGTAGGCAAAGATTTCTCAACTACAATGCCAAAAGCACAATCCATAAAAGAAGAAAAATAAATAGGACTATGTCGAAATTTAAAACTTCTGTTCATGAAAGACGGTGTTAATAAAAAGAAAAAATTTGCAAAATACATGTCTGATAAAGAGCTTGTGTCCACTGAACATCAACAAGATGGTGGAATAGGACTTTCCAGCGCTCATTCCCCACAAGAACATCAATTTGAACAACTATCCACACATGGAAATACCTCCACAAGAGCTAGGAAAACTAGGTGAGAGATTGCAGCACCTGGCTGTGGCACAGAAATAGAAAAGATGCATTGAAGAGTGTAGGAACAACAGCTTTTTAATACCCATGTCACCCCTCCCCCAACCCCAGGCCATAGAGCATGAAGACAGATATCCTCCACTTAGGGGAAGAAGAGGAAAGTGAGTACTGGAATTTACCTCAGACCACAACAATGGGCTGGCGGCAGTAAAACTCATCACTGGGCAGGCCCCCATGGCCCCAGACTCCAGGTCATATCCTGCAGACCCAGGCTCCAGACCTGCCCGAAGGACTTGATCTCTAGGACTGCCACATCACCAGGCCAACCCCAGCGGATTCAGGCTCCAGACTGGCCCCAGTGCTGGACCAGACCCATTAGCCCCAGGCTTTGGGCCTGTCCCAGTGCCATAGCAGTCCTAACAGACTCAGGCTTTAGATGCAGTCTCTATCCTTAGGACGAGGCTGACATCAGTAGTTCCAGGCACCAGATTGCTGCCAGTATGAAGCTGGATCCCCCGTAGCCCCAGGCTTCAGGTCTGCCTCAGCACTAGGCCAGCCCCACAGCCCTAGTCATCAGGTCAGCACCCATGGACCCAGCCTCTAGGCTGCTCCTTGTAGATATAGGATCCAGGCCTACTCAGTGCCAGGCCAGCCCCTGCAGCCCCAGGATCCAGGCATACCCCAGGTTTTCAGACCACCTCAGAGCTAGGTCAGCCCACACAGCCCCAGGCTACAGGCCTGCCCCAATACCAGATCTGTACCCCTGGCCATAGGTACGAGGCTAGCACTCATGAACACAGCCTTCACACCTGCTTATGTCACTCCACACTCCAGTGGAGCCACGGTCCAAGTCTGCTCCAGCAGACCAAGGGTCCAAGCCAATTTAGACCCTAGGGATGGGCTGGCCCCCATGGATCAAAGCCTCAGCACTTCCCCTATGCAGCCAGGTTCCAGGACAGCTCCTGCAGCTCCAGGACCCAGGTCAGACCTCACAGACCTAGCCTCCAGGCTAGCATACACACATCCATCCCCCAGGCTGGCCCCCACAGACCCAGGCCCCAGGCAGGTCCCCACAGCCCCACACACTAGGCCAGCCAGTGTGTCTCCAAATAGCAATTTAGTACCAACAATCCCAGGCTTCAAGGCAGTCCTTGTGGCCCGAGGCTCCACATCTGCCCCAACTCCAGGCCAGCTCCAGGCTCTAGGACTGTCTCAGTGGCCCCAAGCTCCAGTAGACCCAGGGTCCAGGCCTGCTGCAGTAGGCCAAGGGTCTAGTACCACCCCAGTAGACCCAGGTGCCAGGCTAGCCCCCATGGACTGAGGCTCTAAAACCACCCCTACAAACCAAGGTTCCAGGCCAGCACCCACTGACCTAGGACTGAGGCCTGCCCTAGTCCTCAGGCTTGAGGCCCACCCCAGTGCCAGGCCAACCCCTACAGACTCAGGCTCCAGGCCTATCCCAGGGGACCCAGGCACAAGGCCCATTCCCACCTGGCTGGCTCTTGCAGATTCAGACTCACCACTTTAGTGTTTGGTCAGCCAATGGGGGCCTAAACTTCAGGCCAGCCCCATTGGATACAGGCTCCAAGCCCAATCCTTCAGACCCAATCAAGAAGTCCACCTCAGTGGATATAGGCTCCAGATCCAACCCCATGGACCTAGGCATCCAGGCCCACCCAGCTGCTAATCCAGGAACAAGGCCAGGCTGCCAAAGGACTCCAGGAGTCAGCACACATGTGAACCATGCAAAACAGCCTACCCATAGTTCCTTGATAGGCCAATAAAGTGCCTTCCCAGACTAAAGAGCTGCTGCACAGCAGAAGAAACCATCATCAGAATGAACAAATAAATTATAGAATGGGAGAAAATTTTTACAATCTATCCATCTGACAAAGGCCTAATACCCAGCATCTACAAGGAACCTAAGCAAATTAAAAAAAAAGAAAACCCACTAAAAAGTGGGCAAAGGACATGAACAGACACTTCTCAAAAGAAGACATACACATGGCCAACAAATGTATGAAAAATAGCTCAACATCACTGATCATTAGGGAAATGCAAATCAAAACCACAATGAGATACCATCTCATGCCAGTCAGAATGACTATTATTAAAAAGTCAAAAAACAACAGATGCTGGCAAGGTTGTGTGTGGAGAAAAAGGAATGCTTTTACACTTTTACACTGTTGGTGGGAATGTAAATTAGTAGTTCAACCATTGTGGAAGACAGTATGGTGATTTCTCGAAGACCTACAGGCAGAAATACTATATGACCTGGCAATCCCATTACTGGGTATATACCCAAAGGAATATAAATCATTCTGTTATAAAAATAATGCACACGTATGTTCATTGTAGCACTATTCACAATAGCAAAGACATATAATCAACGTATGCCCATCAATGATAGACTGAATAAAGAAAATGTGGTACATATACACCATGGAATACTATGCAGCCATACAAAGGAACAAGACCACGTCCTTTGCAGGGACATAGATGGAGCTGGAAGCCATTATCCTCAGCAAACTAATGCAGGAACAGAAAACCAAATACTGCATGTTCTCACTTATAAGTGGAAGCTGAATGATGAGAACACATGGACACATGGGGGTTAGCAACACATACTGGGGCTTGCTGGAGGGTGGGGGCTGGGAGGAGGGATATCATAAGGAAGAACAGTTAGTGGATGCTGGACTTAACACCTAGGTGATGGGATGATTTATGCAGCAAACCACCATGGCACACGTTTACCTATGTAACAAACTTGCACATCCTGCACATGTCCCCCTGAACTTACAAGCTGGAAATAAAAAAAAAATAACATTAAAAAAAGATCTTCCTCAATAAAAAAAAAAGCTTAGGGACTTATGGGACAACAACAAAAGGGCAAATATCTGAATTATAGGAGTTCAATAAGGAGAAAAGAGATATGAAGGTCTGGAAAACACATTTCAATCAATAGCAACAGAAAACTTTCCGAACCTGGGGAAAGATAAATATACAGGTACAGGAGGGTCATCAGTCTCCAATAAGATACAATCCAAACAAGACAACACCAAGACATATTATAATCAAACTGTCAAAAATCAACATAAAAGAGAGGATCCTGAAAGTAACAATAGAAAAGCAGCATATCACATATAAAGGAGTTCCAATAAAGCTAGCAGTGCTCTTCACAGCAGAAATATAGGCCACGAAAGAGTGGGAAGATATATTCAAAGTGCCGAAGAGAAAAAACCCTGCCAATTAATACTTTACCCAGTAAAGCTATCCTTCAGAAATGAAGGAGAGATAAAGACTTTACCAGACAAACAAAAGCTGAGGGAGTTCATTGCCACCCAGACTTGTCTTACTAGAAACTAACAGTTAGTTTTTTTGAAAAGATAAACAAAATCACCAGGTATGGTGGCTCACACCTGTAATCCCAGCACTTTGGGAGGCTGAGGTGGGCAGATCACTTGAGGTCAGAATTTTGAGACCAGCCTGGCCAATGTAGTGAAACTCCATCTCTACTAAAAATGCAAAAAATTATCTGGGCATGGTGGCATGTGCCTGTAGTCCCAGCTACTTAGGAGGCTGAAGCAGAAGAACTGCTTGAACCCGGGAGGTGGAGGTTGCAGTGAGCCAAGATGGCGCCACTGCATTCCAGCCTGGGAGACAGAGCAACTGTCTCAAAAAAAAAAAAAAAAAAGATGAACAAAATTGACAAACTTTTATTTAGACTAAGAAAAAAAGATAAGGCTCAAATAAATAAAACAAGAAATGAAAGAGAAGACATTGGAGGAGCCAAGATGGCCGAATAGGAACAGCTCCAGTCTACAGCTCCCAGCATGAACCACGCAGAAGACGGGTGATTTCTGCATTTCCATCTGAGGTACCCGGTTCATCTGACTAGGGAGTGCCAGACAGTGGGCGCAGGTCAGTGGGTGCGCCCACCGTGCGCTAGCCGAAGCAGGGCGAGGCATTGCCTCACTCGGCGGGGGGAAGCGCAAGGGGTCAGGGAGTTCCCTTTCCTAATCAAAGAAAGGGGTGACGGACGGCACCTGGAAAATCGGGTCACTCCCACCTGAATACTGCGCTTTTCTCACGGGCTTAAAAAACAGCGCACCACGAGATTATATCCCGCACCTGGCTCGGAGGGTCCTACCCCACGGAGTCTCGCTGATTGCTAGCACAGCAGTCTGAGATCAAACTGCAAGGCGGCAGTGAGGCTGGGGGAGGGGCGCCCACCATTGCCCAGGCTTGCTTAGGTAAACAAAGCAGCCGGGAAGCTCGAACTGAGTGGAGCCCACCACAGCTCAAGGAGGCCTGCGTGCCTCTGTAGGCTCCACCTCTGGGGGCAGGGCACAGACAAACAAAAAGACAGCAGTAACCTCTGCAGACTTAACTGTCCCTGTCTGACAGCTTTGAAGAGAGCAGGGGTTCTCCCAGTACGCAGCTGGAGATCTGAGAACGGGCAGACTGCCTCCTCAAGTGGCTCCCTGACCCCTGACCCCCAAGCAGCCTAACTGGGAGGCACCCTCCAGCAGGGGCAGACTGACACCTCACACTGCAGGGTACTCCAGCAGACCTGCAGCTGAGGGTCCTGTCTGTTAGAAGGAAAACTAACAAACAGAAAGGACATCCACACTAAAAACCCATCTGTACATCACCATCATCAAAGACCAAAAGTAGATAAAACCACAAAGATGGGGAAAAAACAGAACAGAAAAACTGGAAACTCTAAAAATCAGAGCGCCTCTCCTCCTCCAAAGGAATGCAGCCCCTCACCAGCAACAGAACAAAGCTGGACGGAGAAGGACTTTGACGAGCTGAGAGAAGAAGACTTCAGACGATCAAATTAATCTGAGCTACGGGAGGACATTCAAACCAAAGGCAAAGAAGTTGAAAACTTTGAAAAAAATTTAGAAGAATGTATAACTAGAATAACCAATACAGAGAAGTGCTTAAAGGAGCTGATGGAGCTGAAAACCAAGGCTCGAGAACTACCTGAAGAATGCAGAAGCCTCAGGAGCCGATGCGATCAACTGGAAGAAAGGGTATCAGCAATGGAAGATGAAATGAATGAAATGAAGCGAGAAGGAAAGTTTAGAGAAAAAAGAATAAAAAGAAATGAGCAAAGCCTCCAAGAAATATGGGACTATGTGAAAAGACCAAATCTATGTCTGATTGGTGTACCTGAAAGTGATGGGGAGAATGGAACCAAGTTGGAAAACACTCTGCAGGATATTATCCAGGAGAATTTCCCCAATCTAGCAAGGCAGGCCAACGTTCAGATTCAGGAAATACAGAGAACGCCACAAAGATACTCCTCGAGAAGAGCAACTCCAAGACACATAATTGTCAGATTCACCAAAGTTGAAATGAAGGAAAAAATGTTAAGTGCAGCCAGAGAGAAACGTCAGGTTACCCTCAAAGGGAAGCCCATCAGACTAACAGCGGATCTCTCGGCAGAAACCCTACAAGCCAGAAGAGAGTGGGGACCAATATTCAACATTCTTAAAGAAAAGAATTTTCAACCCAGAATTTCATATCCAGCCAAACTAAGCTTCATAAGTGAAGGAGAAATAAAATACTTTACAGACAAGCAAATGCTGAGAGATTTTGTCACCACCAGGCCTGCCCTAAAAGAGCTCCTGAAGGAAGCACTGAACATGGAAAGGAACAACGGGTACCAGCTGCTGCAAAATCATGCCAAAATGTAAAGACCATCGAGACTAGGAAGAAACTGCATCAACTAACGGGCAAAAGAACCAGCTAACATCATAATGACAGGATCAAATTCACACATAACACTATTAACCTTAAATGTAAATGGACTAAATGCTCCAATTAAAAGACACAGACTGGCAAATTGGATAGAGTCAAGACCCAT
This sequence comes from Homo sapiens, assembly GCF_000001405.40. Taxonomy (NCBI): domain Eukaryota; kingdom Metazoa; phylum Chordata; class Mammalia; order Primates; family Hominidae; genus Homo; species Homo sapiens. The sequence goes on from NC_000023.11 coordinate 70,640,999, forward strand.
CAGTGTGCTGTATTCAGGAGACCCATCTCACTTGCAGAGACACACATAGGCTCAAAATAAAAGGATGGAGGAAGATCTACCAAGCAAATGGAAAACAAACAAAGGCAGGGGTTGCAATCCTATTCTCTGATCAAACAGACTTTAAACCAACAAAGATCAAAAGAGACAAAGAAGGCCATTACATAATGGTAAAGGGATCAATTCAACAAGAACAGCTAACTATCCTAAATATATATGCACCCAATACAGGAGCACCCAGATTCATAAAGCAAGTCCTGAGTGACCTACAAAGAGACTTAGATTCCCACACATTAATAATGGGAGGCTTTAACACCCCACTGTCAATATTAGACAGATCAACGAGACAGAAAGTCAACAAGGATACCCAGGAATTGAACTCAGCTCTGCACCAAGAGGACCTAATAGACGTCTACAGAACTCTCCACCCCAAATCAACAGAATATACGTTTTTTTCAGCACCACACCACACCTATTGCAAAACTGACCACATACTTGGAAGTAAAGCTCTCCTCAGCAAATGTAAAAGAACACAAATTATAACAAACTATCTCTCAGTCCACAGTGCAATCAAACTAGAACTCAGGATTAAGAATCTCACTCAAAACCACTCAACTACATGGAAACTGAACAACCTGCTCCTCAATGACTGCTGGGTACATAACGAAATGAAGACAGAAATAAAGATGTTCTTTGAAACCAACGAGAACAAAGACACAACATACCAGAATCTCTGGGACACATTCAAAGCAGTGTGTAGAGGGAAATTTATAGCACTAAATGCCCACAAGAGAAAGCAGGAAAGATCCAAAATTGACACCCTAACATCACAGTTAAAAGAACTAGAAAAGCAAGAGCAAACACATGCAAAAGCTAACAGAAGGCAAGAAATAACTAAGATCAGAGCAGAACTGAAGGAAATAGAGACACAAAAAAGCCTTCAAAATATTAATGAATCCAGGAGCTGGTTTTTTGAAAGGATCAACAAAATTGATAGACCGCTAGCAAGACTAATAAAGAAAAAAAGAGAGAAGAATCAAATAGACACAATAAAAAATGATAAAGGGGATATCACCACCGATCCCACAGAAATACAAACTACCATCAGAGAATACTAAAAACACCTCTATGCAAATAAACTAGAAAATCTAGAAGAAATGGATAAACTCCTCAACACATACACTCTTCCAAGACTAAACCAGGAAGAAGTTGAATCTCTGAATAGATCAATAACAGGATCTGATATTGTGGCAATAATCAATAGCTTACCAACCAAAAAGAATCCAGGACCAGATGGATTCACAGCCGAATTCTACCAGAGGTACAAGGAGGAACCGGTACCATTCCTTCTGAAACTATTCCAATCAATAGAAAAAGAGGGAATCCTCCCTAACTCATTTTATGAGATCAGCATCATTCTGATACCAAAGCCGGGCAGAGACACAACCAAAAAAGAGAATTTTAGACCAATATCCTTGATGAACATTGATGCAAAAATCCTCAATAAAATACTGGCAAACCGAATCCAGCAGCACATCAAAAAGCTTATCCACCATGATCAAGTGGGCTTCATCCTTGGGATGCAAGGCTGGTTCAATATACGCAAATCAATAAATGTAATCCAGCATATAAACAGAGCCAAAGACAAAAACCACATGATTATCTCAATAGATGCAGAAAAGGCCTTTGACAAAATTCAACAACCCTTCATGCTAAAAACTCTCAATAAATTAGGTATTGATGGGACATATTTCAAAATAATAAGAGCTATCTATGACAAACCCACAGCCAATATCATACTGAATGGGCAAAAACTGGAAGCATTCCCTTTGAAAACTGGCACAAGACAGGGATGCCCTCTCTCACCACTCCTATTCAACATAGTGTTGGAAGTTCTGGCCACGGTAATTAGGCAGGAGAAGGAAATAAAGGGTATTCAATTAGGAAAAGAGGAAGTCAAATTGTCCCTGTTTGCAGATGACATGATTGTATATCTAGAAAACCCCATTGTCTCAGCCCAAAATCTCCTTAAGCTGATAAGCAACTTCAGCAAAGTCTCAGGATACAAAATCAATGTGCAAAAATCACAAGCATTCCTATACACCAACAACAGACAAACAGAGAGCCAAATCATGAGTGAACTCCCATTCACAATTGCTTCAAAGAGAATAAAATACCTAGGAATCCAACTTACAAGGGATATGAAGGACCTCTTCAAGGAGAACTACAAACCGCTGCTCAAGGAAATAAAAGAGCATACAAACAAATGGAAGAACATTCCATGCTCATGGGTAGGAAGAATCAATATCGTGAAAATGGCCATACTGCCCAAGGTAATTTACAGATTCAATGCCATCCCCATCAAGCTACCAATGACTTTCTTCACAGAATTGGAAAAAACTACTTTAAAGTTCATATGGAACCAAAAAAGAGCCCGCATCGCCAAGTCAATCCTAAGCCAAAAGAACAAAGCTGGAGGCATCACACTACCTGACTTCAAACTATACTACAAGGCTACAGTAACCAAAACAGCATGGTACTGGTACCAAAACAGAGATATAGATCAATGGAACAGAACAGAGCCCTCAGAAATAACGCTGCATATCTACAACTCTCTGATCTTTGACAAACCTGAGAAAAACAAGCAATGGGGAAAGGATTCCCTATTTAATAAATGGTGCTGGGAAAACTGGCTAGCCATATGTAGAAAGCTGAAACTGGATCCCTTCCTTACACCTTATACAAAAATCAATTCACGATGGATTAAAGACTTAAACATTCGACCTAAAACCATAAAAACCCTAGAAGAAATCCTAGGCATTACCATTCAGGACGTAGGCATGGGCAAGGACTTCATGTCTAAAACACCAAAAGCAATGGCAACAAAAGACAAAATTGACAAATGGGATCTAATTAAACTAAAGAGCTTCTGCACAGCAAAAGAAACTACCATCAGAGTGAACAGGCAACCTACAAAATGGGAGAAAATTTTCGCAACCTACTCATATGACAAAGGGCTAATATCCAGAATCTACAATGAACTCAAACAAATTTACAAGAAAAAAAAAAACAACCCCATCAAAAAGTGGGCAAAGGACATGAATAGACACTTCTCAAAAGAAGACATTTATGCAGCCAAAAAACACATGAAAAAATGCTCACCATCACTGGCCATCAGAGAAATGCAAATCAAAACCACAATGAGATACCATCTCACACCAGTTAGAATGGCAATCATTAAAAAGTCAGGAAACAACAGGTGCTGGAGAGGATGTGGAGAAATAGGAATGCTTTTACACTGTTGGTGGGACTGTAAACTAGTTCAACCATTGTGGAAGTCAGTGTGGCGATTCCTCAGGGATCTAGAACTAGAAATACCATTTGACCCAGCCATCCCATTACTGGGTATATACCCAAAGGACTATAAATCATGCTGCTATAAAGACACATGCACACGTACGTTTATTGCGGCATTATTCACAATAGCAAAGGCTTGGAACCAACCCAAATGTCCAACAATGATAGATTGGATTAAGAAAATGTGGCACATATACACCATGGAATACTATGCAGCCATAAAAAATGATGAGTTCATGTCCTTTGTAGGGACATGGATGAAATTGGAAATCATCATTCTCAGTAAACTATCGCAAGAACAAAAAACCAAACACCGCATATTCTCACTCATAGGTGGGAATTGAACAATGAGATCACATGGACACAGGAAGGGGAACATCACACTCTGGGGACTGTTGTGGGGTGGGGGGAGGGGGGAGGGATAGCATTGGGAGATATACCTAATGCTAGATGAGGAGTTAGTGGGTGCAGCACACCAGCATGGCACATGTATACATATGTAACTAACCTGCACAATGTGCACATGTACCCTAAAACTTAAAGTATAATAAAAAAAATTAAAAAAAGATAAATAAAATAAAAAAAGAAAGAGAAGACAGTACAGCTGGTACCAGAGAAATATAAAAAATCATGCGACTACTATGAACAATTATGTACCAAGAAATTGGATAATCTAGAAGAAAGATAAAGTCCTAGACATATAAAACCGAGATGGAATCATAATGAAATAGAAAATGTGAACAAATAATGAATAAGGAGATTAAATGAATAACAAAAAATCTTCCATCTAAGAAAAGCTCAGGATCTGATGGTGTCACTGCTCCTACCAAACGTTTAAAGAACTAATACCAATCCTTCTCAAATTCTTCCAAAAAATGGAAATCATTTCACAAAATTCAACATCATTCCATGATTTAAAAAAAAAAACACAATAAAGGCCATATATGACCAATGGACAAATAACACCATACTCAATGGTGAATAGTTAGGAGCGTTTCCTCTAAAATAAGGAAGAAGACATGGATGCCCACTCTCACTACTTCTATTCAACATACTACTGGAAGTCCTAGTCAGAGTAATTAGGCATGAGAAATATCTAAGTTGGAAAGGAAGAAGTTAAATTGTCTGCTTGTAAATAACATGATCTTATATATAGAAAACCTTACAGAGGCAATGAAAAAAAATTTAGAACCAATAAGTGAATTCAATTAAGTAGCAAGATACAAAATCAATATACACAAAGTAGTAGCATTTCTACATACTAACAACAAACTACCTGAAAAAATATTAAAAACATGATTCCATTTACAATAGCTACAAAAATATTTAGGAGCAAATTTAATGTTGAAGTGAAAGACATGTACACTAAAAACTATAAAACACTGATGAAAGAAAGTGAAGAAAACACAAAGAAATGGAAAGATATCCCAGGTTCACGGATTGGAAAAATATTGTTAAATGTCCATACTACCCAAGGCAATCTACAGATGCAATGCAATCCCTATTAAAATTCCAGTGACATTTTTTCCCAGAAATAAAAAAAAAAATACTGACGTTTCCACGGAAGCAAAAAGACCCTGACTAGCTATCGCAATCTTGAGCAAAAATAAGAAAGCTGAAGTCACCATACTATGTGAAGTCAAAATAAACTACAAAGCTATACTAATCAAAACAGCATGGTATTGGCAGAAAAACAGATACATAGGCCAATGGAAGGAAATAGAGAGCCCAGAAATAAATCCACACATTTACAGTCAATTGGTTTTCAATAAAGGTGTCAAGAACACACAATGAGAAAAGGACAGTTTCTTCAACCAATAGTGTTGGTAAAACTGGATACCCACATGCAGAAGAATAAAATTTGACCCTTTTCTCACAATATATAAAAAAGCTATTCAAAATAGATTAAAGATTTAAACGTAAGACATGAAACTGTAGAACTACTAAAAGAAAACATAGAGGAAAAGTTCCACGACATTGCTAAACACAAAAATAGACACATGGGATTACATCAAACTAAAAAGCTTCCACACAGCAAAAGAAACCATCAACAGAGTGAAGACACAATGTATGGAATGGGAGAATATATTTACAAACCAGGCATTTGAGAAGGGGTTAACATCCAAAATATATAAGAAATTCAAACAATTCAATAGGAAGGAAACAAATAACCTGATTTTAAAATGGGCAAATGACCTGACAAGACACTTCTCAAAAGGAGATGAGCAAGTGGTCCACAAGTATATGAAAAAATGTCTAACATCACTACTCATCAGAGAAACGCAAATTAAAACCACGATGATAACATCACCCCACATCTGCTAGAATGGCTATTATAAAAAAGACAAAGGAGAGCAAGTGCTGACAAGGATGCGGAGAATAGGGAACTCTTGCATATTGTAGGTGGGAATGTAAATTAGTATAGCCATCATGGAAAGCAGTATGGAGGTTCCTCAAAAAAATTAAAGTAGAACTACCATATGATCCAGCAGTCCCACTACGTAGTAGAATATAAAAAAGAAGTGAAATCAATATGTCAAAGAGATATCTGCACTCCCATATTCATTGCAGCATTATTCACAATAGCCATGGTATGGAATCAACTTAACTGTTTATCGGTGGATAAGTGGATAAAGAAAATCTGGTGTATATATAGACAATGGAATACTATTCAGCCTCAATAAAAGGAGGAAATCCTGTCATTTATGAAAAAAAGGTATGAACCTCGAAGACATTATATTAAGTGAAATAAGCCAGGCACACAAAAATAAATACCACATGATCTCATATGTGAAATCTAAAGAAGTTGACCTCATAGAAGCAGAATAGAATGTTCATAGAAGCAAAGTAGAATGGTGGTTACCAGGGACTAAGGAGTCGGGGAGATTAGGGAGATGGTGAAAGAATACAGAATTTCCGTTGAGCAGAAGGAACAAGTTCAAGAGATCTATTGTACAACATGGTGACTATAGATTATAACAATGTATTCTATTCTTAAAAATCACTGAGAGTTTAAGTGTTCTCACCACAAAAAAAATGCTAAGTATGTGAGGTAGGGTTGGGTGTGATGGCTCATGCCTGTAATCCTAGCACTTTGGGAGGCTGAAGCAGGAGGATTGCTTGAGCCCAGGAGTTTGAGGCCAGCCTGGGCAACATAGTGAGACTCCATCTATACAAAAAATAATAAAAAAGATGAGGTGGAGGATCTCTTGAGCCTGGGAGGTCAAGGCTGCAATGAGCCGTGATCATTCCACTGCACTTCCACTTGGGTGACAGAGTAAGACCTTGCTTCAAAAAAATAAAAAATAAAAAAAGGATGTGAGGTAATGTATATGTTAATTAGCTTGATTTAGCCATTCCACAATGTATACATATCTTTAAAACACCATGTTGTTGCTGGAGAGGATGTGGAGAAACAGGAACACTTTTACACTGTTGGTGGGACTGTAAACTAGTTCAACCATTGTGGAAGTCAGTGTGGCGATTCCTCAGGGATCTAGAACTAGAAACACCATTTGACCCAGCCATCCCATTACTGGGTATATACTCAAAGAAGTATAAATCATGCTGCTATAAAGACACATGCACACGTATGTTTATTGCAGCACTATTCACGATAGCAAAGACTTGGAACCAACCCAAATGTCCATCAATGATAGACTGGATTAAGAAAATGTGGCACATATACACCATGGAATATTATGCAGCCATAAAAAATGATGAATTCATGTCCTTTGTAGGGACATGGATGAAGCTGGAAACCATCATTCTCAGCAAACTATAGTAAGGACAAAAAACCAAACACCGCATATTCTCACTCATAGGTGGGAATTGAACAATGAGAACACTTGGACACAGGAAGGGGAACATCACACCCCAGGGCCTGTTGTGGGATGGGGGACTGGGGAGGGATAGCATTAGGAGATATACCTAATGTAAATGACGAGTTAATGGGTGCAGCACACCAACATGGCACATGTATACATATGTAACAAACCTGCATGTTGTGCACATGTACCCTGAAACTTAAAGTATAATAATAAAATAAATAAATAAATAAAACCCACCATGTTGTTCATGATCAATATATATATAATTTTTATTTGCCAATTAAAAAAATAAGTTTTTAAAAAAGACAACTTGTATCCAGAATATATAAAGAACTGTCAAAAATCAGTAATAATAAAACAAAGTACCCTATCTTAAACTGGGAAAAAGATTTGTACAAACAACCCAAAAACATACATGGTTTAATAAAATATTAAACATTAGGGAAATGCTAATGCCACAGTAAAACACTACTACCCACTATCAGAATAGCTAAATTTTTGTTCTTTTTTATTGTTTTAACTTTAAGTTCTAGGATACATGTGCAGAAAGTGCAGTTTTATTACGTAGGCATACGTGTGTCATGGTGGTTTGATGCACCTATCAACCCATCACCTAGGTTTTAAGCCTCACATGCATTAGCTATTTGTCCTGATGTTCTCCCTCCCCTCCCCGCCCCCAACAGGCCCCAGTGTGTGTTGTTCCCCTTCCTGTGTCCATGTGTTCTCATTGTTCATCTCCCTCTTATGAGTGAGAACATGTGGTGTTTGGTTTTCGGTTCCTGCATTAGTTTGCTGAGGTTGATGGCTTCCAGCTTCATCCATGTGCCTGCAAAAGACATGATCTTATTCCTTTTTATGGCTGCATAGTATTCCACGGTGTATATGTACCACATTTTCTTTATCCAGTCTGCCATTGATGGGCATTTGGGTTGGTTCCATGTCTTTGCTATTGTGAATAGTGCTGCAATGAACACACGTGTGCATGTATCTTTATAATAGAATGGTTTATATTCCTTTGAGTATATACCCAGTAATGGGATTGCTGGGTCAAATAGTATTTCCGGTTCTAGATCCTTGAAGAATCACCATGCTGTCTTCCGCTATGATTGAACTAATTTACATTCCCACCAACAGTGTAAAAGCATTCCTATTTCTCTACAGCCTCACCAGCATCTGTTGTTTCTTGACTTTTTAATAATCTCCCAGAATGGCTAAATTTTTTTAAGTGGACAATTTCAAGTGCTGATGAGGATGTAGATCAGCTAGAACTCTTAAACATAGCTGGTTCACAGGTGAAATTGTATAGTCGCTTTAGAAAACAGTTTTGCAGTTTCTAATAAAGTTAAACATGTATTTACCATATAAGTCCACAGTCCCACTCCTAGATATTTACCCTACAGAAGTAAAATATTATCATCGAATTAACTGGGCATGGTGGTGCACACCTGTAGTCCCAGCTATTCAGGAGGCTGAGGCAGGAGAATCGCTTGAACCTGGGAGGTGGAGATTGCAGTGAGCTGAGATCATGCCACTGCACTCCAGCCTGGGTGACAGAGCAAGACCCCATCTCAAAAAAACAATATTATTATCACAGAAAATATGTAAAGAGATGTTTTACAGCACCTTTATTCACAATTGTCAAAACTGAAAACTTTGAACTTGTCTCAGAGGTGAAAAAAAACCCTGAAAACCATTCAAATATCCTTCAACTGGTGAATGCATTTTTCCATACTGTGGTATTTCCATACTATGGAATGCCACATAGCAATAAAAAAGAACAAACTGTGGATAAACACAATATGGGTGAGTTTCAAATGCATTAAGTTAAGTGAAAGAAGCTCAAAAAGATTCATACTATATGATTTCATTTATATGACATTCTGGAAAAGACAAAACTATAGAGATAGAAGAGATTACTGATTTCCAGGGCTGAAAGTGGTGAGAAGGAGTAACAGTAAAGGGCCCTGAGGTATTTTTTTTCTACATTGTGGTGGTAGTTATATGACTGTATGCACTTCAAAACTCAGAATTTTTAACATATATAAACCTCATAGGACCATACACTAGCAAGAGTAAATTTATTATATGTATCTTCAATATACGTGACTTAAAAAATGGTCACAGACAACTGGAGAAGAAATAAAAGGGTTGATCTGATGTTGTATTTAAAAAGTAAAATAATTTTTAAAAAATAATGTTAAAACAAAAGATTTAACAGGAAAATTACTAATATTTTTGCCATTTTTACTGGCAAAAAAGCTTCAAGTTATTTTACCCTTAAACACAGTATATCAAGTAAAACAAATGCCTAAAAGTCTCTAATGAAAACTTTGATGATGAACATGACAGCAATATTAACCTCTAATTTACTATTCCTTAATTATTATACAGGTATACTTTACTATTCTGGAACATTTCTTTTTTAATGTAAAATAAATGATCTTTTTTCTTAAGGAGTGAATAACAGAGTCCTTTGTACGTAGTAGGTGTCCAAAAACAGTTGCTTAATTGGATTCGTATACATTTTGTTTGGATCCATTAATTTAAGTTTCTTAACTTCTGCCAAACAAATGGCAACCAGTCTGGAGCTCAGACTCCTTCAGGATTAATTCAGCTACCTGAGGGCTGAAGGCATTAATATCTGAGCAAAGGCATATCTATAACCAATTCAACATATATGTGCCCATGCAGACACACCAGCTAGGAAACTATGCTTAACTTAATGGAAAGGCCTCAACATTAATGGGATGAGGGTCATGTGTGAAATTCCAAGACTGTCTACTCTGTGGAGAGAAACTCCATCTCAAGGCCAAATCTCTCACCAATCACCTCCCAAATAAGTGAAAACAATCAAAAGGTACCCCAACTTTCATTTTTTGAAGACAATTCTTAACTGATATGGGTTTTTAGTATAATCTCACCCACACACAGCTTTTTAAATTTAATTTTTGAATAGGTTGGTTTAAATAAAAGTATAAAAAAGTACATAGTGATAAGACTTTCCCCTAATTCTTGTCCCGCGTTTGCCCAGTTCCTATTCCCTCAATAGGTAACCACTGTTCTTTTACTTTTATATAACCTTCCACGGTTTCTTTTTGCATTGTTGTATCACCTTTACATAGGAAAGACAGAACATATATTCAATTCTATTGTCTTAAAAACAATGTTTTTTTCCCACTGTGGTTGAAGAGGATTATTTATTCTTTGTGTTAATAGTCAAATATAAGTGACAAATAAAATTTATACCTCTTTCAGAGTTGCCCTCTATGACTGCAATCTTGAATATATAAAATTGAGTGAAAACGTTCCTAGGGTCATGTCGTTCAGCTTCTGCCACTGCCTCTTTGGCCTGGAAAGAAAAACACTGGGTCATTTTAATAAAATCTACAAGGAAGGACTTACCATATTTTACTAATATCATTAAGGTAGTCAAAATGGCTGAGGGATACTCACAATGAAAATATATGAATCTAAGAAAAATATTTGCAGAAGTGCTCTTCTAGAATGCTAATGCAACAGTGAGTTATACTTCTGGAAATAGAGTAAGTTAGATATGTCAGACCAACCCTCCTGCTGAAAACAACCAAAAATATTGGATGATATATTAATTTTTTTCCAGAAAGAACAAAAGAGCAACTGACAAATAGCAAAAGAATTACCAAGGCAAAATCTAAGGAAAACTGAGGTCTCAGAGAGGTAAACAGAAAAGTAAAGTCGCTTTTATCTGGTAAGCATTTGCAAATGTAAGCAAATGTTAACTTCAGTTTTGAGGGACATCACTAGGTCAGGGGAAAAGACATCAAGTTCCAAGGGATCACACTCCTAGACTAGGGACAAGCCAAAAGTAAACCCACTCCTACCCACATCCCTGGAAAACTGCAAATAAAGTTACCTTAGTACTGAATAGAAGGCAGCACAATGGGGTGGAGGGAAACAATCCATGAGGTGTAATACTAGGAGACTCATGTATTCACTGACCCAAACTACATTATACAGGAAGCTAAAAGACCTAAAGCTGAGAATTTAGTTTAGATAGCTCCCAAGCATCTACAGAAGCAAATGTAAATCTTCTCTGGGGGAAAGCACCTTATGTCAGCCTTCGAAATATTTCCATAAATAATTTTTCAAGAACCATGAGTTGTACACGTTACAAAAATAACAAAGCACACTCGGAAACAAGGTACCATAAACAGCAGAAACGAGATAGCAGAAGCAGACCCTCAAGATGCAGATACTAGAATTATGAAAAACTGGTTATAAAACACCTATGTTTTCAAAGTCTAAAGAAATACAATGTATGTTCAAAATATATGTATGTGGGTTGATACACAGTGGTACAAATTAATACAGTTATAGTGGTTGTTTCTAGATGGTATCCATTCTGTCTCATTATTACCTGTGCCATACCAGTTATTAAATACTTTGCATATCAGTGAAGTTAGTAGGAAACAGAGACCATAAAATGTGACCTTGGGGATCTGAAACAAAGAAGCTTTTTGAAATGAAAAACCCAATTACCCAAATTAAAACATAATAGACAGGTTTAATAGCAGATTAGAAACAGGTGAAGAGAAAATTAGTGGGCTGAAAGAATAAAATAGCCAAAATGCAGCACAGAGCGATTACAAACATGGAAGACAGTTAAGAAAGGATTCTATACTTTCTAGGATAGCCACTAAAAGATTAGAAGCAGTAAATAATTTTCACACTAGTAGAAGGGGAAGACTGCAATGAAAAAAAAAATGAAAATAGTATTTTTAACAACTGGTGCTGGAACAACTAGACATCCACATGTAAAAAAGTAGAGCTAGACACAGACCATAAACCTCTCACAAAAATTAACTGAAAATGGATTATAACCTAAATATAAAAACCCAAACTATAAAACTTTTAGAAGATAACATAGGAGAAATTTTAGGTGAACTTTGGCAATGACTTTTTAGACACAACACCAAAACCATATCTATAAAAGAAAAAACTGGTAAGTTAAACTTCATTAAAATTAAAAACTGCTCTGTGAAAGACAGCATTAAGAGAATAATGATAAAAGCCACATATTGGGAAAAAATATTTGCCAAACACATATGTAATGAAGGACTGGTATTCAACATGTATGAAGAATTCTTCAAATTCAACAATAAGAAAATAAACAACCCAAGTATAAAATGGGCAAAAGACCTGAAGAAACACTTCACTAAATAAAATATGCAGATGGCAAATAAGTATATGAAAAGATGCTTAACATCTTATGTCATTAGGGTTTTGCAAATTAAAACAGCAATGAGATATCACTATGCATCTATTAGAATAACTAAAATTCAAAACACTTTAACGACATATAATGCTGGCAAGGATGTGGTGCAACAGGAACTCTCATTCATCACTGGTGGGAATGAAAAATGGTATAGCCAACTTGGAAGACAGTTTGGCAGTTTCCTACAAAACTAAACATACTCTTGCCATACAATCCAGCAGTTGCACCTTTGGTATTTATTCAAATGTGTCAAAACTTATGTCTACACAAAAATCTACATAAAGATATTTATAGTAGCTTTATTCATAACTGCCAAAATTTGGAAGCAACTAAGATGTTCTTCCATAGGTGAGTGTATAAACTAATATATCCAGATAGTGAAATATTATTCAGCACTAAAAAAAATTAACTACCAACCCATAAAAGGACATGAAGGAATCTTAAATGCATATTGCTAAGTGAAAGAAACCTATTTGAAAAGGCTACATACTGCACGATTCCAATTATGTGACATTCTGAAAAGGCAAAACTATGGAGACAGTAAAAAGATCAGTGGTTGACACTAGTTCAGTGAGAGGGAGGAAGGGATGAATAGTTGAACCACAGGGGGTTGAACTATTCTGTATGGTATTATAATGGTAGACACTTTTTTATACATTCATCAAACCACATATGATGTACAACACAAAGACTAAATCCTAATGTAAACTACGGACTTTAGTTAAAAATAACATATCAATATTGGCTTATTAACTGTAACATATATAGCACACTAATGCGAGATGTTAATGACAGGGGAAACAGTATGTGAAGAACCGTGAGGGGGTATATGAAAACTCTCTATATTTCCTACTCAATTTTTCTGTAAACCTAAAACTGCTGTAACAAGTAAAGTCTATTATTTAGAAACATTGATCCCGAAGAAGGCAAGTGAGGAGAGAAAAAGAAACAGGATAGAAATGACAAATAGAAGCCGGGCACGGTGGCTCATGCCTGTAATCCCAACACTTTGGGAGGCTCAGGCAGGCAGATCCCCTGAGAACAGGAGTTTGAGACCAGCCTGGCCAGCATGGTGAAACCCCATCTCTACTAAAAATATAAAAATTAGCTGGATGTGGTGGCACACATCTGTGATCCCAGCTACTTGGGAGGCTGAGGCATGAGAATCACTTGAACATGGGAGGCGGAGTTTGCAGTGAGCAGAGATTGTACTACTGCACTCCAGCCTGGGCATAAAGTGAGACTCTGTCTCAAAAAAAAAAAAAAAAAAAAAAAGAAATGACAAATAGAAAGCATAAAGTAAGTTACAGATTTAAACTCAGATATACCAATATTGTATTAAATGTATAAACACGAAATGCCCTAGTTAAAAAACAAAAATGGTCAGACTGGATTAAAAATATGTAACTACATGTTTTTTAGAAGTGGCACACCTAAAATATAAATGTATTAAAAGTTCAAAGTAAAGGGATTAGAGAAGATCTATCTGGAAAATATTAACCAAAGTGTGGATATATTAATATCAGACAAAAATGACTTTAAGGCAGAAAATAATACTAGATATAAAGAAGATCACTGCATAACAATAAAACTTCAACAAACAAATATATTACAGTACTAATTTTGTATGTATAAGTAGTATGGCCTAAAATATATAAAGCAAAAATGATAAAATTAAATGAAGAAATAGATCAATTCAAACCATAAAGGGATATTCCAGCACCTCATCTCAGTAAGTGATAGAGTAAGTACACAAAATATGAGTTTTGATACAGAAGATTCAAATAAAATGAACAAACTTAATCTAAATTTATACATGTGTGTATATAGGTGGTCTCCGTCTTATGATTTTTTGACTTTACCACGGGTTTATCAGGATGTAACCACATCGTAAGTCTGGGAGCTCCTTACAACTTATGACAGGGTTATGGTTTCTACTAAATGTATATTGCCTTTACATCATTATAAAATCAAAATACCATTAAGTTAAACCATCATAAGTTGTAGATGCCTGCCATTTTGCCAGCATTAACTGCATTTTCACCTTACGATATTTTCAACTTATGATCAATTTATTGGGATATAACTCCATCGTAAGTCAAGGAACATCTGTACATATATGTACATACACAGTGCCTAAAAACTGCAGAAAACACATTTTTTTCAAGCACACACAGAATATTTACAAAAAGTGACCATTTACCTAACCATTAAGCAAATCTAGTCTAGGAAGAATCCTCTACTAAAGTCTTCAGAGAGAGCATAGCTTTATCGACACCTTGATTTTGGACTTCCAGCCTCCAGAACTATAAGTGTATACATTTCTGTTGTTTTAAGCCACACAGTTTGTAGTGCTTTGTTATAGCATCCCTAGGAAACTAATACCGTATCTATACAACAACAACACAAAAAAACCCTAAAGCAAACATCATATTTAATGGCAATTTATGGTAGCTTTCCCTTTTAAATCCAAAACACCACTTTAATTCAACATAGTGGTTGAATTATTAGACAAAATAAGACAAGAAATATATAAAGCATATTGAAAAAGAAGAAACACAATTGTCAATTTGTATAATTGAATATGTAGACAACCCAGAAGAATTTATAAGCAAATTATTACAATTATTAAGAGACTTTAGCAAAGGTAGCTGTGTATATATATATATATATATGCCATATGAGGCTGGGCATGGCTGATCATGCCTGTGATCCCAGCACTTTGGGAGGCTGAGGTGAGAGGATCATCTGAGTCCAGGAGTTTGAGACCAGCTTGGGCAACATAGTAAGACCCCCGTCTCAACAAAAAAATTTTTTTAAATTAGCCAGGCATGGTGGTGCATGCCTGTGGTCCCAGCTACTCAGGAGGTTAAGGTAGGAGGATTACTTGAGCCCAGGAAGTTGAGGATGCTGTGAGCTGTGTTTACACCACTGCACTCCAGCCTAGGTGACAAAGTGAGGCCCTGTCGGTAGGTAGGTAGGAAGAAAAAAAAACTATACAAAATGATTCTGGAAATATGTGGTAGAGGTAACATTTCTCTGAATTCTCATGAAAAACAACTGAGCATGCAGATGGCAAAACCAAAAACCACAGACAGCGTTTATAACAAAACTGAGTGACAAAATATCCCGAGGCATTAAGAAACACAAGTGGGTGGAGAAAAAGCAACAACAGCTACAAGACCTGCATTATGTCAGCATCTGTACAGGATGAAGAAAAAAAAGGAAGTAATAGGGAAGCGTCTAATGGACTATATAGAAAAGGAGGACCCCAAAATTGGCTTGTAGAAATCAACTGAATAGCATGATGGGGAAACTGGAGAACAGCAGTTGAAATTGGGAGATAATTTGCTTTCTCCATTATTGAGTGAGTGCAAGGACCTCATATCAAAGATGTACTAAAGAAGCGATAGTAGTCTAGGCCCTATGAACCCTTAAAGCTTACCCACTAGAGCTCCCCTCTGAGAGGCTCCACACTAAGGAGAAACTGCTGAGAGTACAATAAAAAACTGAACAGGACAGTGACAACAAAGATGAAAGAAAAAGTATAGATCAGTGTTGTCCAATAGAGTTCTGTGATGATGGAAATATTCTATATTTGTGCTATTCAATAGAGTAGTCATTAGCCACACATGGCTATTTAGCACTTGAAATGTGGCTACTGCAATTGAAGAAATAAATTTTTATAACTTTATTTAATTTTAATTAATTTAAACTTAAACGTACATAGCCACACATGCCTCATTGCTATCATATTGGACAGTGTGGGTGTACACCAAAAGACAGAGAGAAGCAGAGCCAGGAAATCTCAGAATAAAAGCTGCCTTATTTTTAAACACTAACAAACCAAACCAAACCAAAAACAAAAAAGGGAGCTCTGTGAAGTAGTAACACTTTCTAAATGTCTACCTTTTTATAAGTTAAGGAAAACTAATTTCACATCAAAATGAGAAACAGTAAAGCTTTAAGGTAAATACCCTAAAAAGTTGTAAAAAATTAAAAAAAAAAAAGCAGCAGCAGCATCAGCAGCAGCAAAGTATCCCCACAGAAAATGAAAGCATGTCAGAAAAATGTGCTCAAAAAACAGGTCAAAATCATAACCGACTATTTAAAAATGAGCTAAACACATTTAAAAATAAATCATGCTGCTATAAAGACACATGCACACGTATGTTTATTTTGGCACTATTCACAATAGCAAAGACTTGGAACAAACCCAAATGTCCAACAATGATAGACTGGATTAAGAAAATGTGGCACATATACACCATGGAATACTATGCAGCCATAAAAAAGGATGAGTTCATGTCCTTTGTAGGTACATGGATGAAATTGGAAATCATCATTCTCAGTAAACTATCGCAAGGACAAAAAACCAAACACCGCATGTTCTCACTCATAGATGGGAATTGAACAATGAGAACACATGGACACAGGAAGGGGAACATCACACTCTGGGGACTGTTGTGGGGTGGGGGGAGGGGGGAGGGATAGCATTAGGAGATATACCTAATGCTAAATGACGAGTTAATGGGTGCAGCACACCAGCATGGCACATGTATACATATGTAACTAACCTGCACATTGTGCACATGTACCCTAAAACTTAAAGTATAATAATAAAAATTTAAAAAATGATACAAGATATGAAAGATCAACCTAAATAAGAATTAGCGGTGGGGCGTCGTGACTCACATCTGCAATCTCAGCACTTTGGGAGGCTGAGAAGGGCGGATCACCTGAGGTCAGGAGTTCCGCCTGGCCAGCCTGGCCAACATGGTGAAACCTCATCTCTACAAAAATACAAAAATTAGCCGGGCACGATGGCGGGTGCCTGTAATCCCAGCTACTCGGGAGGCTGAGGGAGGAGAATTGCTTGAACCTGGGAGGCGGAGGTTGCAGTGAGCCGAGATAGCACAACTGCTCTCCAGCCTGGGCGACAGAGCGAGACTCAGTCTCAAAAAAACAAACAAACAAACAAAAAAACCCATAGTAATAATTAGAAAAACTCAGAAATGAGGTGGTAGAGCTAAGGAAAATATTAGAAGTAAAAGAAGTCATTTCAGAAATGAAGACTAACAAGAAGAAAGTCAAAAGTAAATAAATACAGCCAATAATGCCAAAAGAGACTAAAAGTCAAAAACAAGAAAAAATTTGAAGTTAAGAAGGAATGAAGATAATGTATATTTTACCACAGTAAAAGATAAACACTGAAAAATGAAGATACCCAAAGTGATCTACAGATTCAATGTAATCCCTATGACAATTCCAAGGGCATTTTTTTTTCATAAATAAAAAAACCCATCCTAAAATTCATATGAAGTTTCAAGGGATCCTGATTTCAAGACTTAGCTATGAAGATATAGTAATCAAAACAGTATAGTACTGAGATAAGGACTGACATATAGACCAATGGCATATAATAGAGAGCCCAGAAATGAACCCTCACATATATGGTGAAATGGTTTTTGACAAGGGTTCCCAAACTATTCAATGGGAAAAGGACAGTCTTTTCAACAAATGGTGCTGGGAAACCAGGATATCCACATGCAAAAGAAAGAAGCTGGATCTTTACCTTATATCACACATAAAAATTAACTCAACATGGATTAAAGGTGTAAACATAAGAGCTAAAACTATACAAGTCTTAGAAGAAAACACATGCGAAAATCTTCATGACATCGGATTTGCAAATGACTTCTTGGATATGACACCCAAAGCACAGTCAACAAAAGAAAAATCAGATAAATGGGCCTCATCAAAAATTTTTTAAAATCTACTGTTCTTCAAAAGACACTAAGAAAAAGACAACCCACAGAATGGGAAAACATATTTGCTAATCATATTTTGGTAAGGGGTTAATATCTGAAATATATAAATAATTCCTACAATTCAACCACTATAAAATACAAATCCCAATTAAAAATGGGTAAAGGACTTCAACAGATGTTTCTCCAAAGAAGATACACAAATGGCCAATAAGCACATGAAAATATGTTCAACATCACTGGTCATTAGGGAAATGCAAATCAAAAACACAATAAGAGAACACTTCAAACCCATTAGGATGGCTTTTATCAAAAAACTTAAAAACAGTGAGTGTTGACCAGGATGTGGAGAAATTGGAACACTTGTGCATTACTGGTGGGAATGTAAAATGGTACAACCATTGTGGAAAAAAGTAGGATGATTGTTCAAAATGTTAAATACAGAATTACCACATGATCCAATGATTATATTATTAGGTAAATACTCAAAAAAACTGAAAGCAGGAACTCAAAAAGATACTTGTAATATCTATGTTCATAGAAGTATTTATTCATAATAGCCAAAATGTCAAAGCAACCCAAGTGTCCAATGAATAGATGAAAGGATAAACAAAATGTGGTACAGTCATGTGTCACTTAACAACAGGGGTACATTCTGAGAAATGTGCCATTAGGCAATTTCATCTTTGTGTGAACACCATAGTGTACTTACACAAACTTAGATGGTATAGCCTACTATACATGACTATATGGTATAGCCCATTGCTCCTAGGCTACAAATCTCTACAGCATGTGACTGTACTGAATACTGTAGGCAATTTTAATGGTAAGTATTTATATATCTAAACATATCTAAACCTAGAAAAAATACAGTAAATATAGGGTATAAAACATAAAAAATGGTACACTTGTATAGGGTACTTACATAAATGGAGCTTGTAGGACTGGAAGTTGCTCTGGGTAGTCAGTGAGTGCTGAGTGAATGTGAAGGCCTAGGATATTACTGTATACTACTGTAGACTTTATAAACAGTGTATACTTAGGCTACACTCAATTTATAAAAGGATATTTTTCTTTCTTCAATAATGGAGTTTACTGTAACTTTTTAACTTTATAAACTTTTTAATATTTAAAAAACTTTTTAAGTATTTTGTAATAACACCGAGCTTAAAATACAAACATTGTACAGTTGTACAAAAATTTCCTTTTTATATCCTTATTCTACAAGATTTTTGATTTTTAACACTTTAAAATCTTTTTTGACTTTTCAAACTTTTTGTTAAAAACTAAGACATGAGCAAACACATTAGCCTAGACCTACACAGGCTCGGGATCATCAGTATCACTGTCTTCCACCTCCACATCTTGTCCCACTGGAAAGTCCTCAGGGGCAATAACATGCATGGAGCTGTCACTTACTATGATAATGCCTTCTTCTGGAATACTTCCTGAAGGACCTGTCTGAGGCTGTTTTACAGTTAATTTTGTTTTATAATTTTGTTTTATATACTCTAAAATAGCAATAAAAGGCTGGGCGAGGTGGCTCACGCCTGTAATCCCAACACTTTGGGAGGTCAAGGTGGGTGGATCACCTGAGGTCAGGAGTTCAAGACCAGCCTGGCCAACTTGGTGAAATCCCGTCTCTATTAAAAATACAAAAATTAGGGATGGAACCAAGATGGCCGAATAGAAACAGCTCCAGTCTACAGCTCCCAGTGTGAGCGACACAGAAGACAAATGATTTCTGCATTTCCAACTGAGGTACTGGGTGCATCTCACTGAGGATTGTTGGACAGTGGGTGCAGGACAGTGGGTGCAGCACACCGAGCGTGAGCTGAAGCAGGGCGAGGCATTGCCTCACCCGGGAAGTGCAAGGGGGTCAGGGAATTCCCTTTCCTAGCCAAGGAAAGGGGTGACAGACGGCACTTGGAAAATCAGGTCACTCCCACCATAATACTGCACTTTTCCAAGGGTCTTAGCAAACGGCACACCAGGAGACTGTATCCCACGCCTGGCTCAGAGGGTCCTACGCCCACAGAGCCTCGCTCATTGCTAGCACAGCAGTCTGAGATCAAACTGCAAGGCGGCAGCAAAGCTGGGGGAGGGGCGCCCGCCATTGCCCAGGCTTGAGTAGGTAAACAAAGCAGCCCGGAAGCTCGAACTGGGTGGAGCCCACCGCAGCTCAAGGAGGCCTGCCTGCCTCTGTAGACTCCACCTCTGGGGGCAGGGCATAGCCAAACAAAAGGCAGCAGAAACCTCTGCAGACTTAACTGTCCCTGTCTGACAGCTTGGAAGAGAGTAGTGGTTCTCCTAGCATGCAGCTGGAGATCTGAGAATAGACAGACTGCCTCCTGAAGTGGGTCCCTGACCCCCAAGTAGCCTAACTGGGAGGCACCCCCCAGTAGGGGCAGACTGACACCTCACACAGCCGGGTACTCCTCTGAGACAAAACTTCCAGAGGAATGATCAGGCAGCAACATTTGCCTGATATCCACTGTTCTGCAGCCTCCGCTCTGATACCCAGGCAAACAGGGTCTGGAGTGGACCTCCAGCAAACTCCAGCAGACCTGCAGCTGAGGGTCCTGTCTGTTAGAAGGAAAACTAACAAACAGAAAGGACATCCACACCAAAACCTCATCTGTACATTACCATCATCAAAGACCAAAGGTAGATAAAACCACAAAGATGGGGAAAAAACAGAGCAGAAAAACTGAAAATTCTAAAAATCAGATTGCCTCTCCTCCTCCAAAGGAATGCAGCTCCTCATCAGCAACGGAACAAAGCTGGATAGAGAATGACTTTGACGAGTTGAGAGAAGGCTTCAGACGATCAAACTACTCCGAGCTAAAGGAGGACATTCAAACCCATGGCAAATAAGTAAAAAACCTTGAAAAAAGATTAGACAAATGGCTAACTAGAATAACCAATGCAGAGAAGTCCTTCAAGGACCTGATGGAGCTGAAAACCATGGTACGAGAACTACGTGGAGAATGCACAAGCCTCAGTAGCCGATTCGATCAACTGGAAGAAAGGGTATCAGCGATGGAAGATCAAATGAATGAAATGAAGCGAGAAGAGAAGTTTAGAGAAAAAAGAATAAAAAGAAATGAAAAAAGCCTCCAAGAAATATGGGACTATGTGAAAAGACCAAATCTATGTCTGATTGGTGTACCTGAAAGTGACGGGGAGAATGCAACCAAATTGGAAAACACTCTGCAGGATATTATCCAGGAGAACTTCCCCAATCTAGCAAGGCAGGCCAACATTCAGATTCAGGAAATACAGAGAATGCCACAAAGATACTCCTCGAGAAGAGCAACTCCAAGACACATAATTGTCAGATTCACCAAAGTTGAAATGAAGGAAAAAATGTTAAGTGCAGCCAGAGAGAAAGGTCGGGTTACCCACAAAGGGAAGCCCATCAGACTAACAGCTGATCTCTCGGCAGAAACTCTACAAGCCAGAAGAGATTCTCTAAAATTCTAAAATTGAGTGAAAGAAGCCAGATTTAAAAAAAAGGTAAAGTACATACCGTGTAATTCCATTTATATGAAACTCTAGGAAAGATAAATCTAACCTATAGTGATAGAAAGCATACCAGTCATTGCCTGGGGCTGGGAGTGGAGGTGAGGATTGACTGGGAAGGAACACAAGGAAATCTCTCAGGATAATGGAAGTCTTCTATATCTAGACCATGGTAGTGGGTAAATTTGGGGTATAAAGTTGTCAAAATTATTGAACTATACCTAAAATGAATGCATTTTTGTATGTAAATTATATTTTTATAAATTCATTTTAAAATAAATTAGTAATGACTTGCAAGGGTTCCTTTAGTTTTCAAATTCAGTGATTAATGAGCCTAGTCCCCCACAAAATCCTCTTTGACTATAATACATTTTATCAGGTTATACTGATATTTCAGAAAAATGTGGGCAGAAGATACCTCAAAGTTCTCTTAGTCAAAAAATTCTTCTGATGCTTGAATCTCCTCTATAACATTTATACCAAGTCATTCAGTCTTTACTTAAATATATTCAAGAAGACAGAATTCACTCTATTTTAAGAAAATCCATTTCATTGTTTTGGTAGGTCAAATAATTAAGAAAGGGTTTCCTTATGATAATCCAAAATCTCACTCCTTGTAGGTCTCACCCATGGAAACACTCATGAAATAAATTTAATTTCTTTACTCCCTGACAGCCATTCAAATATTGGAAGAAAGCTATCGTGTTTCTCGTAAATCTTCCATTTCCCAAGTTTAACATCCACACTTCCTTTATTCTTCAAATTAGATGATTTTTAGTGCTCTCACCATCCTCAGTGCCTTCCTCTTGGCACACTTGGGTTTGTCAATATCCTCCTTTATAAGTGGTGCCCCTCAATCCAATACAATACAGATGCTCCTCAACTAATGATGGGGTTACATCCTGATAAACCCATGGTAAACTGAAAATATCCTAAATAGAAAGTGCATTTTCAACCTATGACGGATTTATCCAGACATAACCCCATGGTAACTTGAGGAGCTTATTGAATGAGTATTGCTTTCATACTATCATAAGATTGATAAATCCTAAATCGAACCCTTGTAAGTCAAGGGCTGTCTATACAGTTGTTCCCTCGTATCTTTAGAGGATTGGTTCCAGGACACCCTCGGATATCACAATCTGCAGATGCTCAAGTTCCTTATAGTAGTTGCATATAACCTACACACATCCTTTTGTATACTTTAAATAATCTCTAGATTACTTACACCTAATGCAACGTAAATGTTCTGTAAATAGTAGTTACACTGTATTGTTTTATATTTGCATTATTTTCTATGTTGTATTGCTATTTTCTAAATTGCTTTTTTCTGAATATTTTCAGTCTGCGTTTGATTGAATCTGTACTTCAGATATATTCTAACCAGAGCAGAATAGAGGGTGATTGCCACTTTTTCTCCTTCTATACATTAAATCTCTATTGATTCAACCTAATTTGAGTAAACTTTCTTAGTATTTTTGGCTTATGCAGTGCTTATAGTCAATAAAATGTACCAAGTGACTCACATATGCTGCTTTTAGAGCCATATTTTATCTACTTTGTTCTTGTACAATTGGTTTTGGGATCCAATTATAGGATGTTTTGTTGTTTCCTGTTTGTCTTCGTCTTGCTAGAATAGGCTCATCATTTCAACCTATTAAGGTCCCTTCAGATCTGACTCTATCTTCTAACAAATCAGTTACCCTTTTCAGCTTCACATCATATGTACATTCAATCAATATTCACAAACGTCCTCATCTATATATTCCTATTCTAAGTTCATATGGTACATACCACACAATGATGTGTGATTGAACAGCCTTTTATTATTTTCTAATTATTTTATATATGTAAATATTGTTTCTGCATTAATATTTTAGGCTCACTTACAGAATAGATCATGTCTTCTACTTATTCTATAGTGCTTGGCACAGATTAGGCATTTAATATTTGTTGAGTTGGAATCTCAGTCAGGGTATTTTTACAGTATAGCTGTATCAAATGAGTCACAGCTGACCTTCATCTTATGTTTCTTTAGTGGTTTTTTTTTTTTGCATCCATATAGATGCATTTGTGGGAAAGGTACATCTACCTAAGAATTACAAAAAAAAAAAAAAAAACCCTCAGAATCAGTCAAGCACAAGCTGATGAAGTACAGAGGCCACAGTGCCATCTAGTGAATATCACTAGTTTATGTCTGCTGGTCCCAAGCTCATTTTTCGAACTTTATATGGTAAAGAGAAACAATATATAACCAGCACATGAGACATAACTGTCTTCACTTTAGGTCACATAAATATTCTATGAATAGTCTCATCTTTGTGTCTGTTGTAAGTCTTACAGCCATTCTGTGGTTTGAGAGTGTGGTTCAGTTTTATCAAACTATAGTAGTGCTAATGACATTCATGTACCTAAACTGCAGTTGCAAGCTGAGGATGGGACTTCTGTACTGAGTTAAAGAGTACCCAATTGTGCATTCCCATTAACTTACACAGACTATCACCAAAACAAGTCATTATCCATCTGTCAACTAACATTAAGGTTTTATTATGGTTTGCAGCAAAATCCCATTATATCAAGGTGTGATAAACTGCTTCTGTATTTAGAACCCAAGCTCATTTCCTTCATCCTTAATCCATTCAAACCTATGACTTGCACAAACCAAATATTTTTAAATCCTCAAAAATAATATAGCAAAATCAGGATACCAGGCTTAAGGCACTACAAACACCTCAAAGGCAGAGTTGATATCTATGAAACAACATTGTTTAATATTGTCTCATGCAAAGTACTGAAGATATCTGAATGGATAATAGCAATTAAAAAATTTTTATTTATACAATTTAGAAAACAAACCAAAGAAATGATCTATAATTGGCATTGTTATCTCAAAAAGAGGTTGCCAAGTGTGCGAGCTAATGAATCTGTAACCTAATCTACTAAAAAGTTCAAGGGAGTCTATTTCTCAACTCCATTGGCCTGCCCAAATTAACTTCTGACCTATGATTCAATATTTCATTTTAAATCAAAATAAAATGCGTTCTCACCCTCAAAAGAGAAAAGAGCTGAGCTGGAGAAAGTTATAGTGGGATGATTTTTAATAATATAATCTCATTCAGTTCTGATAATCAAAGAGCACTCACAGATCTTAATCACTATTAATTTCCAAATTATGCATAGTAGCAAGGACAGAAATAGCATGAGGAAATGGAATTCCTATATCAGAAGAAGTTGATTGACAGGTATTTATTGAGTCTTTATAACTATTTTTAATGTAATGAGCATCTACTATGCATTAGGCACTATGCTGGGTACAAGGGCAAATAAAGATAAGATATGGTCTCTGTCCTCAAGGAGGTGACTGACAGTCCAATAGATGACTAAGGCAGGTATAGAAATAACTAAAATATAATGAGAAAACAAGTATCTAGGGATAAACAGAACTGTTACAAAGTCTTGGAGGAAAGGCAAGACAAGGAAATTTCCTCAGGAAGCTAAGAATGTCATTAAGAGTTAGGCTTTGAAAAAGGGAATTTTAAGCTAGGCTTTGAAAAGGGAATTTTAGGGATGCAGGAAAGAGGTAATTTGCAATGAAGAAGCATGAAAAAAGATACTGAGGTAGAAAACATAGATCATGGCTAGGAAGCAGCAAGTACTCCAGTTGAGGACAAACATAGTATACAAGGAAATAAAACAGAAACAGTTTCCATGAAAGTAGGTTGTTATAAAGCCAGAAAGCCCCTTGGATTATGTCTCCTGGCATGAGTCTACTTCCCTTTGACTTTCTGCTATGTTTTGATCTAGCACAAAAGCCCTCACCAGAAGCCAAGCAAATGCCAGCACCATGGCCCTTGAACTTCCCAGCCTGCAGAATCATGAGCTTAAATAAACCTATTTTCTTTATTAATTACTCAGTCTTAGGTATTCTGTTATACCAACACGAAACAGACTAAGACACCACTACTTCCCTGATCACATCTCCTAATTCTCCTAATGTTCCCTCAGCTCCAGCCACAAAGGTCTCTTTGCCATTCTTTAAATACCCTAGGGCCTTTGCAGTTGTTATTCCCTCCATCTGGAATGCTCTTTTTCCTCAGGTCTCTACTTAAAAACAATCTTCTCAGTGAGGACTTCCCTGACCACCCTATCTAAAAGTTCAACCATTCATCCGCCTCTGAAACATTTAATATCACCCTTTCCTGCTTAGTTTTCTCCTTAGCACTTATCAATATTTAATATACCAGGAGTCAACAAACTATAGCCTTTGGGCAAAATCTGGCTCACCATATTTTTTGTACAGTTCATAAGTTAGAACAATTTTACATTTTAAGTGCCTGAAATAAATCAAAAGAATCATATTTTATGACACACAAAAATTACATGAAATTCAAATTTCAGTATTCCAAAACATAGTTTTATTGGAACACAGCCACACCAATTTGATTACATACTGTCTATGGCTATTTTCAAGGCACAACAACAGAGTTGATTAGTTTCAGCACAGACTGTATGGCCTGCAAAACCTAAAATATTTACTGTGGTTCTTTACAGAAAGTTTGTTGACCCCTATAATATAACATAATACTTA
This sequence comes from Homo sapiens, assembly GCF_000001405.40. Classification (NCBI taxonomy): domain Eukaryota; kingdom Metazoa; phylum Chordata; class Mammalia; order Primates; family Hominidae; genus Homo; species Homo sapiens. Next base: position 70,667,339 of record NC_000023.11, read on the forward strand.
TTTATCTTTTTATTGTTTGCCTCTCCTAGTGGAAAATAATGGGGACAGCAGTATTTGTCCATGTGGATAAAGGTTTTTATATATTTTGTTCATTACTATATCCCCAATGCCTAGAACAGTACTTAACACATAGGAGACAATAAATAAATATTTTTGAATGAATGAACACTAAAAAATTGGATTAGAAAGTTTGGCAACAAAAAGAAGGACACAGAACTGAAGTTTGAGGAGGATTACAAAGTTGAAGGAAGGTTTTTGGATAAAGAAGACTTCAAGGTAATTATAGTGACAGGAGAAAGAAACAGTAGGCCGGGCGCGGTGGCTCACGCCTGTAATCCCAGCACTTTGGGAGGCCGAGGCGGGCAGATCATGAGGTCAGGAGTTCGAGACCAGCCTGGCCAAAAAGGTGAAACCCTGTCTCTACTAAAAATATAAAAAATTACCCAGGCGTGGTGGCCCATGCCTGTAATCCCAGCTACTCAGGAGGCTGAGACAGGAGAATTGCTTGAGCTCAGGAGGCGGAGGTTGCAGTGAGCTGAGATAGCACCATTGCACTCCAGCCTGGGCAACAAGAGTGAGACTCTGTCTCAAAAAAAAAAAATAAAAAAGAAACAGTAGAGAATGATTAAACAGCTAGGGTTGAGATCTGTAGAGTAAGGTCCCCAGACAAAGTTACTTCTTTCTCGTAGGTAAGAGAAAAGAAAGGATGGGTGAAGAGGTGAGAAATTGATGAAGTTCATGTCAGTGGCTACAAGCTCAGCAAATCACACGATAAGATCTTTTGCTACAACAAAGGAGAAAGCATGGGTGCTTAAGGACAGAAAAAAAATGTTTTGGAATTATCACTGTGGGGAATGTGATAAAAACTCAACAAGAGTCAGTATTATTGACTACCTAGCTGAAAAACCATGAAATTTTAGCAAACCCAATAAACATGGTTTCATAAATTTTCCCAACAATGCTCAAGCAACTCAAAGGAAGGAGTGAAGAAAGACAATGAAAGCTAACAAAGGTTAGACACTGGCGAGGTGGGATTATTAAAATATGATGGATTGTGTATTTTTTTCACCTTTCTGTCTGTCCTAGTGCATAAGAGGATATTCATTGTATATGGAGGGTATCCAATCAATGTCTGCTAAATTCAAGACAAGGATGAAATGGAGAAATATACTAACAGTAACCAACAAAGTTACCTTGAATATATTCAAAATATCCTTTGGTTTCACCACTAATCTGGCCATAAATGATACAGTTACATATTGAGTACGCACCATTAAAATACACCTGGTTTACTGTTCTCCTATTCTTCCTAACCTCACTATTAATACCATTTGAATTTCCAATTATAAAGTCAGTGCTATACTAGGCTCTAGGACCAAACTTGACATTAGAAGAGATGTAAGTAGCATTGCTTAAGTCTCAGAAAACTGTATCTAGTCAACTTGTATTCCTCTTCTGGTCATTGCTTCCCAGTTTGGCTCCCTATGCAGGGGATCTGCTCTTAAAAACAGCCTCATATCCTGGCCCCTTTAGTTGTGGAGATCTACTTTGCTCTTTCTAGTATGTCTGCACACACTCCTATTCCTCAAAGATTTGTGTACTGTCTCAGAGTCCAAATATCTGTGATTGAAACCCTGTTCCCTGCTGTTATGTTTATGTGATGCCAACCACCTGTGTGCCTGACTTACGGACTATTTCCAACATTTAGATTTCTCTCATTGCCATGCTCTGCTTATCTGCCCATTAGGATACCATGATGTCAGCTGCTTGAGTGAGTTGAAGGCAACTATACTTTGTTCATCTCTGTAACCTCAGAGCCTAGCATAATGTCTGGTACTGTGTTCTTTCTTTCTTTCCTGACTGGCTGATTAGATATCCTCCCTTGGCCTGCAAATGCATCCATTCCCCAACTAGCATGTCTACATCCAGATATAGGTCCTTCCCAAGCTGCCTAGCTCACTGTGTCATAAATCATGGAAGTTATAAAGGCTCTGTGATTGCCTTCTTTATTAGTCTTTAAGTAAACAGTAGGCAACTACCTTTCTGAAATAGTGCTGTCCTGTGCAGAATTAGGTAACAAAATCTACATGATCATCTTCCTTTTAGATCTTAAACTGTAGGTAACTATTTTCTGAAACAGTTAAATGCTAGCCTGTACAACATTATGATGAATTAAGTAACATTTCAAGTTCTCTTCCAGGGCTGTGACTTTATAACATATAAACTAAATAGCAAATATTTTCTTGAAAGAAAATCTAAAGTATTTAAGTCAGATAAACAACTCTTCAAAAATAAACCTTCAAAGAAAACATCTGGAATCATTACCCTTAATCACCTAGGTGAACAAAGGTTAGACCTGTCATTAAAACTTGAAAGGCAACAAAAACCTTCATATTTCATTTGGGTTCACACTTGTCCTTCTAGTTCTTTGTCCTTCTAAGAGCCAATACCCCTCATTACGTGCATACCATATGATAACCAAAGGAAGAAATGTCCTAATTGCTTTGGAAAGTATTTCCGTTCTATCTTTAAACAAGCTTTTATCTTCTTTACCTTCTAGAATTTTGTCCTGATAAGAAATCAGTTAAAGAACATTTTCTAGGGTGGTTGGAAAGGCAAGAGATAACAACCTAGAAAGTGAAAGAATGGCCACTTCATTCAAGTATTTGGTCTCAATGAATGCTTGACAAAAGTGTGTACTTCAAAATTTAGCTTGCTGCAAAGGACAATATTACAGATGGTTAGTAGCAGATAACTTTGTTCAGGAGTTCCAATGATATATTACCTTTCAGAATAGGTGTGAAAAATAAAGGGTAAGTAATAGAATTAATGGTATTCCAAATTCTCTCTTTCTTTGGGAAGTTTCACTCTATGTTTACAGTGTGCAAATCAAGAAAATGTCAATTTGACCTTGTTCTATATGAGGGAACTCTCAGACATCCTAAACTAACAGCCAGGAAGTCACAGCATGGCATCTATCTCTCTGCCACTGCACATAAGAACATTTGCTACCTCTGAAAATAGATAAATCAAAGGACCTTATCAAGTTGTTGCAAATTCAGGTAACAGCAAGCCATGTTCCTCTGCAGCTTGGTGAAGTCCAGATCCATTTCATCAGTTGAATAAAACCTCAGAGAATAATAGTACCATTGTAGGGCATCAGTGTAATTTTGTACCTAAAGTTTAAAAAGAAACAACAAAATCACAGCGATGTCGCTACCCTATCTTTCCCAAGTCACCTCTAGAAACAAATAAAAGATGCTGTTGGTTTCTTTTTTAGGCAATCAAAACACAATATCCTTTATATAGGGTTCTAAGTGCATTTTATTATCAGTCTTGGTCAACATAAGTTTTAGATAAGGTGGCAATCAGTATTCTTTCTTTTTCCTACACATTAGAAATTTCACACATAGGATGAAGAGTCTAAGAGTGTAGTAAACCACCCCAGAAAACTTAAAATCTATTTTAAAAGTTATTAAAACAACAACGACAAAAATTTTAAAAGAGAACACCCATAATTCACCATGCTAATGCAGCTATTTTCATTTATCTATGTTCAATTTTAACTGTATTCTTTTGTATATTTACCTAGTTGTAATCGTAGCTTATATAGAATTTCATGTTCTATTCTTTCCATTTAATTTTGTTTTGTACATATTAATCTATGTTGCTATGTAGTCTTCACAGTAATCAATTTTAGGAGATACATAACATTTAATCAAGTATATAATGATTTTCTTAATGTTAGCTATTTAGTGAATTTGCAGGGTTTTTACTATTGTAATTGATGCTGCTGTATTTGTATATAAAAATACATTTTTCTCTTGAGTAAATTTAAAATTTTCAATGGTAAGAAGCTAGCTAGGGAAAATCTGATAGGAATAACCTGGATAATTATTTCTTAATCTAAGAAAACTGAGACTGCTTATAAACCAAGGTAAGGTAAATGATTCCCTTGTACCCTATCAAGAAGCTTCATATTTTTCAATTAAGAATAGGAGCCATTAGGACCTTCAAGGAATAAAACACCCTCTTCAACTAGAAACAATTATGCTAAATAGGTAAAACACTGCCTTTGACTATTACATTAGTCATAGTAGATTAGAAATATGTCATATTAGAAATAGTCAATTAGAAATAAGATTACATTCCTCTCCAGTGTTGGAAGTGGATGTTTTAAGAAAATTATTCAGCAAGACTGGAAAATGAGAGGAAAGAAAAAGAATCAATAGAAGAATGGGAATTCTGAAGTAGTTCTTCACCTATTCAGTAAAAAAATAAATAAAGGCCTTCTAAAAGAGAATACGAATATCATTCTATCTTGTGGTACCTAACCATAAGACCTAGGTTTCTACATGCTCCTATAAGGGATTCTCTTTCCTTCTCTTGGGTCTAATTCTTTGTTTCTCAGATTTTGTTCCCTTTTTTCTCTTCACATCTTTCTCCTACAAAACCTACCATAACATTTTTTGGAAAACAGTTTTATTGAGGTACAATTGACATATGAAACACTATGAATATTTAAACTGTACAATTGTTTTGATATATATATATATATATATATATATATATACACACACACATAGCTAAAACCATCAACACAGTCAACGGAGTGAACACATCCATCACAACCATTTTTTCTTTGTAATCCCTCAATCCAGTTCATTCTGGTCTCTCATACCCCAAGCAGTTATGGATGTGCTTTCTATAACTTTCTATAACTATTAATTTTTATTTTATAGGCTTTTATACAATGGAATCATCTAATATGTATTAATACTTTTTTGCCTGGCCCCTTTCGCTCAGCAAAACAGTTTCTAGATTTATCCCCATTATTGCATCTATCAATAGTTCATTCCTTTTCATTGCTGAGTAGTATTTCATTGAAGGACATACCAGTTTGTTTATCCACTCACTTGTTGATGGACATTTGGCTGTTTCCAGTTTTTAACTATTATAAATAAAGCTGCTATCAGCTTTTACATGCAAGTTTTTGTATGGATAAATAATTCCTTTTCTCTTGAGTACATACATAGGATTGAAATGGCTGGATCACATGATAGGGGCAAGTTTAACATTTTAGAAAACTGCCAAACTATTTTCCAAACCGTCTGTACTATCTTATATTTCCACCATGAAGTTCCAGTTCCTCAACATCTTCGTCAGCATTTGGTATGGTTAATCTTTTCCATTTTGGCTATTCTAAGAATTATGTATTGGTATCTCCTTGGGGTTTTCGTTTGCATTTCCCTAATGACTCATAAGTCATCTTTTTTGGGTGCTTATTTTCATGCATATATCCCTTTTTGGTGAAATGTCTGTTCATATCCTTTGCTAATTTTTGAATTGTTTTTCTTTGTACATTGAGTTTAGAGAGTTCTTTCTATGTTTTAGCTACTAGCCCATTATTGTATACATGGTCTGAAAATTTTTCTCCCAGTCTCTAGCTTTTTTCATCTATTCAACAGGATCTCTTTTTTTTAAAGTATAATTTTCACTTTATTTTCTTCAGAGGATAGCTTTTTTTTCAGTCCTTAAGGACTCAGCTCCATATGTAGGCTTTGGTGGAGGTTGGTGGGCAGCACCCACAGGTCTAAATCAGGGTTGGGGTGTTTGGTCCTTACCGGCTTCACGAGATTGATTCTGGACTACCTTGCTGTGAATGGTGCAACTCATGCAGTAATGTAGCTTCACAAACAGCTTGGGAAGCACATAGACATCAAAGACACTGGCTTCAGCTATGTCCCTGATAGCTGTGGCCTCTACTATGTTTTGTTGTTTTCTTTGTTTTTAGCTTTTGAGACAGGATCTTGCTCTGTGACCCAGGCTGGAGTGAAGTGGCATGATCACAGCTCACTGCAGCCTTAAACTCCTGGGCTCAAAGGATCCTTCTGCTTCAGCCTCCTGAGTAGCTGGGACTACAGGTGCATGCTACCACACCAGGCTAAATTTTTTATTTTTGTATAGATGGTGCTCCTTTATATTGCCCAGGCTGGTTGGTCCCAAACTCCTAGGCTCGAGCAATCCTCCCGCCTCAGCCTCTCAAAGCACTGGGATTACAGGCAGGAGCCACCACACTTGGCTTTCTACCATATTTTGAATGATAAACTTCTTAACATCCTTGTCTTTAGTCACATATCAAGTGCAGTTCATGCAGGGAATAGGCTGCACATGACCTGGCCTAGATCCTGAAGATTTTCTCCTATGTATTTTTATTGCACATTTTACATCTAATTTTATAATCTATTTAATTTTTGTATAAAATGTGAAGTTAAGGTCAAGGGTTTTTTTTTTTCTATGGATGTCCAATTTCTCCAGCACCATTAGTTGAAAACACCATCTTTTTCCATTGAATTACTTTTGTGCTTTCTCAAAAATCAGTTGAGCATATTTGTGTGGGATTATTTTTTGGTTTTCCATTCTGTTCCATTGATCTATGGATCTATGTCTCTAATGATACCACACAGTCTAGATTACTGTAGCTATATAAAAAGTGTTGAAATTGAATAGGGTAATTCTTTCTGTTCTATTCTCTCTCAGGTTGTTTTGGCTATTTTCTTTTTATAATTTTTATTTTAGGTTTAGGGGTACAGGTGAAGGTTTGTTACATAGGTAAACACATGTCACAGGGGTTTGTTGTACATATTATTGCATCACCCAGATATTAAGCCTAGTACCCAATAGTTATCTTTTCTGCTCCTCTCCCTTCTCTCATCCTCCACCCTCAAGTAGACACCAGTGTCTGTTGTTTCCTTCTTTGTGTTCATAAGTTCTTATCATTTAACTCCCACTTATAAGTGAAAACATGCATTATTTGGCTTTCTGATCCTGTGTTAGTTTTCTCAGGACGATAGCTTCCAGCTCCATCAATGTTCCCGCAAAAGACATGATCTTTTCTTTTTTATGGCTGCATAATATTCTATGGTGTATATGTACCACATTTTCTTTATTCAGTCTGTCATTGATGGGCATTTAGGTTGAGTCCATGTCTTTCCTATTGTGAATAGTGCTGCAATGAACATTTGCATGTATGTGTCTTTATGATAGAATGATTTTTATTCCTCTGGGTATATATCCAGTAATGGGATTGCTGGGCCAAATGGTATTCTGCTTTTAGTTCTTTCAGAAATAGCCATACTGCTTTCCACAGTGGTTGAACTAATTTACACTCCCACCAACAGTATATAAGTGTTCCTTTTTCTCTACAACCTTGCCAGCATCTATTATTTTTTGACTTTTTAATAATGTATCTTGGCTATTTTCATTCCATTGTTTTATATATAAATTTTAGAACAATCTTGTCTCTCTATATTTTTCTGATGCTTTTGTTTATAACCAATTTGTATCTTTATGTTTAAAGTACATTTCTTTTAAGCAGTACATAAACTTGGGTCTTGCTCTTTTATCCAGTTTGACAATCTCTGCCTTTTCACTGGGGTCTTGAGGTCATTTTCACTTAATGTGATTTTTTTTTCATATGCTTAGATGTAAATCTATCATCTTGCTATTTGTCTTCTATTTGTGCCATCTTTTTTGATCCGTCTTTCCTTTTTCTGCCTTATTTTAGATTATTTGAATATTTTTATGATTTGATTTTATCTCATTTTTAAAAAAAACTCTTTGTTTTGCTATTTTAATGGTTGTTTTAGGGTACATAGTATACATGTTTAACTTATCATAGTCTATCTTCAAGTGATGTTATACCACCTCACTTATGGTATACTTCCATTTCTCTCTTCTTGGCCTATATGTTCTTGTCATGCATCTTACTTTTACAGGTTATAAACTGCAGAATACAATGTTATTATTTTTGTTTAAGCAATAAACTATCTTTTAAAGAGATTGTAATAATACGAAAAAAATCTTATCAATTACTCATATAATTACCATTTCTGGTATTCTTTATTCATTTGTATAGATTCATATTTCCATCTGGTGTAAGTTTCCTTCTGCTCAGAGGACTTCCTTGTAATGTAGATCTTTGAGTGATTAGTTATTTCAGCTTTTAAATGTCTGGAAGACTATTTTGCTTTCATTTTTTAAAAACATATTTTTATTATGGTAAAAAACACATAGCATAAAATTGACTACTCTGCAACCAATCTCCAGAACTTTTTCATCTAGTAAAACTGAAACTCTATACTCATTAAACAACTCCACATTTTCCCCTCCTCCTAGCCCCTGGAAACCACCTTTCTTTCTTTTCTTTTTCTTTTTCTTTTCTTTTCCTCTCTCTCTCTCTCTTCTTTCTCTTCTCGTTTCTCTTCTCTTCTCTTCCCCTCTTCCTTTCTGTTTCTTTTCTTTTCTTTTTCTCAGAGTCTCGCTCTGTTGCCCAGGCTGGAGTGCAGTGGCACAAACTTGGCTCATTGCAACATCTGCCTCCTGGGTTCAAGTGATTCTCCTGCCTCAGCCTCCTGAGTAGCTGGAACTACATGCGTGCACCACCACACTTGGCTAATTTTTGTATTTTTAGTAGAGACGGGGTTTCACCATGTTGGCCAGGCTGGTCTCGAACTCCTGACCTTAAGTGATCCACCCGCCTTGGCCTCCCAAAGTGCTAGGATTGCAGGTGTGAGCCACCGCATCCGGCCCATTCTACTTTCATTCTCCACGGATTTGACTACTCTAGGTACCTCATGTAAGTGGAACCACACAGTATTGTTTTTTGTGACAGGCTTATGTCACTTAGCATAATGTCCTCAAGGCTCATCCATGTTATAGCATGTATCAGAAGTCCTTGCTTTTTAAGGCTAAGTAATATTTCATTGTTTGAGTATACCCCATTTTATTTATCCACTCATTTGTTGATGGAACTTGGGTTGCTTCCACCTTTTGGCTGCTATAAACATGGGTGTGCAAATATCTTGCTTTTAATTCTTTTGGATATACAAGCAAAAGTGAAAATGCTGCATCATATGTTAATAACATTTTTAATTGTTTGAAGAGCTGCCATACTGTTTTCCATAGTGGCTACACTATTTTACATTTGTACCAACTACTTTCATTTTAAACAATACTTGTGCTGGATACAGAAATTTTGGCTGACAGGTTTTAATTTTCTTTCATTATTTTAAAGATGCTGCTCCACTGAGTTCTTGCTTGCATTACTTCCAACAAGAAATCTGACGTTCTCTTTAATTTATTCCTCTGTATATAAGGTGTCACTTTTATCTGGCTGCTTTTAGGACATTCTCTTTATCACTGGTTTTGAGAATTTTGATTACGTGCGTTGGTGTCGTTTTGTGTTTCTTGTGTTTGGGGTTTGTTAAGATTTTTCTATCTATCTGTGCATTTAGAGTTTTCATTAAGTTTTGAAAGTTTTATTTCTTCAAATATTTATTATCTCCATCCTCATTTGGGAATCCCAGTTACCCGTATATTAAGCTACCTAAAATTGTCCCTAACCTCACTGAACTCTTTTAATTTTTTTAAGGGTTTTTTCCCTGTGTATTTCATTTTCAATAGCTTCTTTGCTATAACTTCAAATTCATCAGTCTTTTCTTCTACAATGTCTAATATGATGTTAATACTGTCCAATGTGCTTCTCATCCTAAACAGAGTTTTCATCTTTATAAGTTTGATTTGGGTCTTTACGTATCTTCCATGCCTCCACTTAACTTTTTGAATGCATGAAATACAATTATAAGAGATGTCCTCTGTTAATGCTAACTTCTATGTCAGTTCTGGGTCAGTATCGATTGATTGCTTATTCTCCTCATTATAGGTTGCATTTTCATGCCTCTTCACATGCTCAGTAATTTTTTTGCTGGATGCCAGACATTGTAAACTTTATCCTGTTGGGTGCTGTACAGTTTTATATTCCTATAAATATTCTTGAACTCTGCTCTGGGAAGCAATTAAGTTCCTTGGGATCAATTTGATCCTTTCACACCATAGGTTTATAATTTTTAAGGTAGTTCTGGAGCAGGACTTAGTGTAGGACTAATTATTCCCCTCTTCTGAGACAAGACCCTTCTGAGTTTTCTTCCCAATGCCCCATGAATTAGAGGTTTTCCAGACTGGGTGATAAGAACAGGCCTTATTCTCAACCCCATGTGAGTGCTAGGCACTGTTCCCGCTAATATTTTTAGATGGTTATTCTCCTAGCTTCAGGTAATTTTGCTTCATGTATGTCCTGATCAGAACTCTGTTAAACATTGGAAGAGGACCCTCATCTCACTGAAGCTCTTTTAAGTCTTTTATTCAGTGTGTTTAATTTTGAATAGCTTCTTTGCTCTGACTTCAAGTTTATCAATCTTTTCTTTTACAATGCCTAATCTACGCTATGTGGTCCTCTTCAGTACTTTGTCTTATAAATTCTGGCTGCCTTGGTCTCCTCAGACTCAGCTGCATCTCAAATCAGGACGCTTGCCAGGCTCTGCTTCAGATCCCCTTCTTGTGCTATACCCTGGAAACTCAAAGCAGTAAGCTGCACAATTGTAATGCTCACTTTCTTTCTTTCTTTTCTTTCCTTTTTTTTTTTTTTTTTTTTTTGAGATGGAGTCTTGCTCTGTCGCCAGGCTGGAGTGCAGTGGCGCGATCTCGGCTCACTGCAACCTCTGCCTCCCGGGTTCAAGCGATTCCCCTGCCTCAGCCTCCTGAGTAGCGGACACTACAGGCGTGTGCTACCATGCCCAGCTAATTTTTTGTATTTTAGTAGAGATGGGCTTTCACCATGTTAGCCAGGATGTTCTCGATCTCCTGACCTTGTGATCTGCCCACCTCAGCCTCCCAAATTGCTGGGATTACAGGCGTGAGCCACCACGCCCGGCCAATGCTCGCTTTATTTCTTATCTCCCAGGGACCATTCTCCTTCATTGCCTGATGTTCAGGGTCATAAAAGCCTTTTTTTTTCTTTTCGTCTATTTTGTCTTGTCCTTTGTGGAGAGGGGCTTGTTGTTCAAGAAGGGACATAAAACAGTCCCTGTTACTACATATTAATTGCAAGTGGAAGCAAACACAACTTTTTTTTTAATGGTACGTCCCATCTGATTTATATACACAGGGACACAAATGTATAATACACAAAGATTAGAAGGAAATATACCAAAATTATAAATGATTGTTCTTTGCTTTAAAAAAACTTATCTTTAGGTTTACAGGAAACCTGAGTTGTCTTGTAAAGGTTTTTTTTTCCATTTTTTATTACACCATTAAGTTTTTAAAGGGAATAAAACTCTTTCTCAGCCCTCATGTTAAAAAAATTACATTCTTATATCTTAATATCAGCGATGACATTTCCCTACACTGTAAGCTCTCAATGGAGAGGAATCATGTCTTATTATTTTTAATAAACTCTTGCACAATGCTCATTAACACTCTATATTGTGAATATTTAATAAATATATGGTATCTAAACAGACAGAGATTATTGAAGTATTTGATGCTCTTTTATTTTTATAGTGAATGCACTATTTTTTGTTGCAGTGGAGAAATAAAGAATGAAAAAGAGATTATTCTCAAACCTCAAAACTACTGGCAGCTTGTCTCCACAGAATGTTGTGTAACCAGTTCATTGATTCTGCTGTCAGTTGTCTTCCTGTTTGGTGAGCTGAAAAAAAAAAAAAGCTCTGAAAATAAGAATCTCGGTCTATTGTCTCCCTCTCCCTCTCCCTCTCCCTCTCCCTCTCCCCACGGTCTCCCTCTCCCTCTCTCCACGGTCTCCCTCTGATGCCGAGCTGAAGCTGGACGGTACTGCTGCCTGATTCTCCTGCCTCAGCCTGCCGACTGCCTGCGATTGCAGGCGCGCGCCGCCACGCCTGACTGGTTTTCGTATTTTTTTGGTGGAGACGAGGTTTCGCTGTGTTGGCTGGGCTGGTCTCCAGCTCCTAACCGCGAGTGATCCGCCAGCCTCGGCATCCTGAGGTGCCGGGATTGCAGACGGAGTCTCATTCACTCCGTGCTCAATGGTGCCCAGGCTGGAGTGCAGTGGCGTGATCTCGGCTCGCTACAACCTTCACCTCCCAGCCGCCTGCCTTGGCCTCCCAAAGTGCCGAGATTGCAGCCTCTGCCCGGCCACCACCCCGTCTGGGAAGTGAGGAGCGTCTCTGCCCGGCCGCCCATCGTCTGGGATGTGAGGAGCCCCTCTGCCTGGCTGCGCAGTCTGGAAAGTGAGGAGCGTCTCTGCCCGGCCGCCATCCCATCTAGGAAGTGAGGAGCGCCTCTTCCCGGCCGCCATCCCATCTGGGAAGTGAGGAGCGTCTCTGCCCGGCCGCCCCGTCTGAGAAGTGAGGAGACCCTCTGCCTGGCAACCGCCCCGTCTGAGAAGTGAGGAGCCCCTCCGCCCGGCAGCCGCGCTGTCTGAGAAGTGAGAAGCCCCTCCGCCCAGCAGCCACCCCGTCTGGGAAGTGAGGAGCGTCTCTGCCCGGCAGCCACCTCGTCAGGCAGGGAGGTGGGGGGGTCAGCCCCCCGCCCGGCCAGCCGCCCGTCCGGGAGGGAGGTGGGGGGGTCAGCCCCCCGCCCGGCCAGCCGCCCCGTCCGGGAGGGAGGTGGGAGGGGTCAGCCCCCCGCCCGGCCAGCCGCCCCGTCCGGGAGGTGAGGGGCGCCTCTGCCCGGCCGCCCCTACTGGGAAGTGAGGAGCCCCTCTGCCCGGCCAGCCGCCCCGTCCGGGAGGGAGGTGGGGGGGGTCAGCCCCCCGCCCGGCCAGCCGCCCCGTCCGGGAGGTGAGGGGCGCCTCTGCCCGGCCGCCCCTACTGGGAACTGAGGAGCCCCTCTGCCCGGCCACCACCCCGTCTGGGAGGTGTACCCAACAGCTCATTGAGAACGGGCCATGATGACAGTGGCGGTTTTGTGGAATAGAAAGGGGGGAAAGGTGGGGAAAAGATTGAGAAATCGGATGGTTGCCGTGTCTGTGTAGAAAGAGGTAGACGTGGGAGACTTTTCATTTTGTTCTGTACTAAGAAAAATTCTTCTGCCTTGGGATCCTGTTGATCTGTGACCTTACCCCCAACCCTGTGCTATCTGAAACATGTGCTGTATCCACTCAGGGTTGAATGGATTAAGGGCGGTGCAAGATGTGCTTTGTTAAACAGATGCTTGAAGGCAGCATGCTCCTTAAGAGTCATCACCACTCCCTAATCTCAAGTACCCAGGGACACAAACACTGCGGAAGGCCGCAGGGTCCTCTGCCTAGGAAAACCAGAGACCTTTGTTCACTTGTTTATCTGCTGACCTTCCCTCCACTATTGTCCTGTGACCCTGCCAAATCCCCCTCTGCGAGAAACACCCAAGAATGATCAATTAAAAAAAAAAAAAAAAAGAATCTCGGTCTATTACATTAAGTAAAGAGAGCTAACTATACTCAGAACCTATAATCTTTAAGTAATGGCTACACACAAAAAAATTCAGACAGGTTTTCATCATCAATTTTAGGTTTACTACCATAATTGATAATATAATGCAATCAGAGTTTGCTAGAATCACAGTAATTCTCCCATCAATCTGTGATAGTTTTCCAGCCTACTCTCTTTTTAACTGATTTTCCACATTCCAAATTAGATCATCATCTGGTGCCTTAATAAGGTTATTGTGAATGAGCAGACAGCAATGCCAGAAATCATTAATAAGAAGTGCTTATACTATTATGTGCTAAATAGATCAGATCAAGTTCACAAGAAAGGCCAATTATGCCTTAAAGCCTTTGTAAAATACTTTAAGACCATGCTTACACATAAACTTTATTACTTTAAATCTTAACTTGCGTTGATTGTTTCTGGTCTAGACATTTACAGAGTTCAAATACATTAGCACATTAAGGTAAAGTCTAAACTATAATAGAATTCTGCACCTCCTCTTCTGCCCTTTGGCATAAACTATCAATTTCCACAAAAGTCTTGACTAGAACATTAGGAATCTCTGACCCTCTAGCCCAGTCAGCAAATGTAGTTTGTTCCATGACTTACTTAAAAATACTCACATGAGAGTAAACAGCTACTAAATGTATCTACTTGAAATATTATAATACTTTGAGAGTGTAAGTGTAACTTAGATGTCATAATAGAACAGTCTAAGTGGAATTTTAGGAAAATGAGTAATTCTGTGTAATCAAGTTTTCTGGTCAACTGGCAGTTTACTTTCTTTAAATAAAAATCACTTCTGAATTTAAAAAGTCTGAATATTTTCATGAAAGTTCTTAAATTTTCTAAAAAGTAAACAAACTTCCTAGTTTTCTTAAGCATAATTCAACTTTTTCTTGACCACTTGAGGTCAACATTAACAACTATTTTATTTTATTGTACTATTAATATATCACAGTGATGCCTTTGGGAGTTGTTATACAGTACAGATTGTTGTATTAAAAATTTGAATCTGTTTTATAAAATTGGTAGAGTTTTTTTTCCTCCCTATGGTCAGGCTATCTGTATACTTCCCTTTAAACCTTTTCTCTATTTGCAAAGTGCTACCATCAAAATGTTAAGAGTAGGAAAACCGGATAACCAAGTTTATCAAAACTGGGTCTAAAAATAATTGGTAAATGCCTGGAGGGAGGGTGTTATCAGTAAAATATGGCTCTTAGAGATCATCTACTCAGATGACTTCCTTTAAAAAATTAATGACTTTGTTTTTATAGAAACATGAATTGTGCTTATAAAAATTCAAACAATATGGTAGAGTATTTAGAAGAAAGCAACACGTCACCTAAAATGCCACCATTCAGAATAAACCCCAGAGTTAACATTTAGTGACTATCACTCCAATTATATCTCTACATGCACTTAGTTGGAAGGACGAAGTGGTGAAGAGAATTTTCTAAGAAAGGGATCTTACTATCTGTGTTCTTCAGGGTACAGAAGTTCTGCAGGGAGGCAGAGGATTAGGGGAATGCTGAGCAGATTTGGCTCTACATCTCTGCTTTAACCAGAAAAACTCTAATCTATTTCATTCAGGGTGGGGTTCATATAAGATTGCATCACAAAAGGATGCTGCTGCTGAAAAGAAGTTAGAAACCAGGAGTTTAGTTCACAATCATCATTTTATAGTTGAAAAAAAAATCAAGGTCCTTTGACTTGTTCAAAGGTACACAGCTAAATTGAGATCAAACTAGAGATATTAAATTAGGCTTGTAACCTCACAATATTCCACCACATGTGAGCTTTAAGCTCAGAAGTTTGTCTGTTTTCAATGATGGTTTCTTATTTTTGCTTAGTTTCTCATTCCACTTGCCCAATTTGTGGGATGTGGACAGGTGAGGTGTTACTGTTAAAAGACCATTAGGGAGGAAGAAAAAAAGGAAGTGGAAGAAATCCATTGACTTGAGGATTTTGCTATTACTCTGACATCTAAGAATTATACACAAATTAATACGTTTCTAAAACACTTGCGAAAATCCTACTGACCTAAAAAGATTTCTTCAATCTTCTCCTTGGCAAGAAGTTCTTCCTTCCTTTGTAAAAGCATGTCAGTATGGAGTATCAGAACTTTTCCAATATTTTCCGATGACTTAAAACGTTCATGAATAATCGTCAGGAAATGAAACCCAACAGATTCTCTGTACAATGAGACACAATTTTAAGCAATGCGAACAGAAAAACTGGTTATTGATCAATGGGACTAAAATGTATTTCAGTGTGAGCAAAATAAGCCAGATAAAAGCATATCTGAACTCAGGTAATGTTATTAAATGTCTAAATAAGCTTAATTTGTCAATATTACATGATTTAATTTAATTTCAGTTTATTAAGCCATAAACATTTTCTATTAACACCTATAGTCAGATAATCATTTCTCTCCTAATATCTAATTTATGTTTTTCCCAGAACTGATTGCAAGCTTTAAAAATTGGTTACCGAGATCCAGTGAAGTTACATGAAAAGACATGAGAAATTTACTAGTTCCTCGGCCAAAACCTCTTTCTAAAAACTTGTTTATGTTTGATTACACAAATAATACACTAGTATCTTCTATTTAAAAATGTAAACAGTTCACGGGTTGGAAGACTAAATATTGTTAATGTGTTGATATTCCCAAAGTGATCTACAGATTTGCAGATATTTATCCCTATTAAAATCCCAGGCCAGGTGTGGTGGTTCACGCCTGTAATCCCAGCACTTTGAGAGGCTGAGGTGGGCAGACTGCTTGAGCCTAGGAGTTTGAGACTAGCTTGGGCAAGATGGCAAAAGCCTGTCTCTACAAAAAATTGGCAGCTGTGATGGCGCATGCTTGTAGTCTCAGCTACTAGCAAGGCTGAAGTGGGAGGACTGCCTGACCCTGGGAGGTCAAGGCTGCAGTGGGCTGTGATCGGGCTACTGCACTCCAGCCTGGGCGACAGACTGAGGCCCTGTCTGAAAAAAACCCCAAAATCCCAATGATGTGTTTTGCAGAAATGGAAAAAATCCATCCTAAAATTAATATGGACTTTGCTCAAGGGACCCCAAAAGCCCTAAACAAACTTGAAAACAAAGAGCAAAATTAGAGGATTTGTACTTTCTGATTTCAAAACTTATTACAAAGCCATAGTAATGAAAATGTGTGGAACTGGCATAAAGATAGACATATAGACCAATGGAATGGAATAGAGAACGCAGAAATAAATCTTGTTATATATCATCAAATTATTTGTGACAAAGGTGCCAGGACCATTTAATGGTGATAGGACAGTCCTTTCAGCAAATGGTGATAGGACAGTCCTTTCAGCAAATGGTGCTAGGAAAACGGGATTTCCACATGCAAATGAATGAAATTGGATTCTTATCTCATATCATATACAAAAATTAATTCAAAATGGATCAAAGACCCAAATGGAAGAGCTAAAAAACTGTTTCCATGGGACCAAGTGATCCTATATACGGAAGACTCTAAAGACTCCACCAAAGAACTCTAAGAACTAATAAATTACTTCAGTAAAGTTGCAGGTTACAAAATCAACATACAAAACCCAGAAGCGTTTCTTTGTGCCAACAATAAAATATCCAAAAAGGAAATCAAGAAAACAATCCTATTTACAATAGCATCAAAAATATATAAAATAGTTGGGCACAGTGGCTCATGCCTGTAATTCCAGCACTTTGAGAGGCTGAGGAGGGTGGATCACTTGAGGTCAGGAGTTCGAGACCAGACTGGCCAACATGGTGAAACCCTGTCTCTGCTAAAAATGCAAAAATTAACTGGGCATGGTGGTGCATGCCTGTAATCTCAGCTACTCAGGAGGCTGAGGCAGGAGAATCACTTGAACCCAGGAGGTGGAGGTTGCAGTGAGCCGAGATCTCCAGCCTGGGTGACAGAGTGAGTGAGACTCCATCTCAAATATATATGAATAAAAGTAACCAAGTAGGTGAAACATCTGTACACTGAAAACTAAAAAACATTGATGAAATTGAAGAAAACAAAAATAAAATAGATATCCTGTGTTCATTGATTGAAAGAATTAGTATTATTAAAATGTCCACACTACTCAAAGTGATCTACAAATGCAAGGAAATCCCTATCTTAAGTCCAATGGCATTTTTCACAGAAATAGAAAAGCTAATATTAAAATTTGTATGGAACCACAAAAGACTCTGTGCCAAAGCAACCTTAAAAACAAAAACAAAATTGGAGGCATCACGCTTTCTGATTTCAAATTATACTACAAAGCTATAGTAATCAAAGCAGTATGGTACTGGCATAAAAACAGACACATAGACCAATGGAACAGAATCGAGAGCCCAGAAAAAAACCCCAAAAAACCAAGTATATATAGCCAACTAGTATTTGACAAAGGTGCCCAAAATACACAATGGAAAAAGCACAGTCTCTTTTGTGCTTGGGCTGGGTGCAGTGGCTCACTCCTGTAATCCCAGCACTTCAGAAGGCCGAGGTTGGTGGATCGCTTGAGGCCAGGAGTTTGAGACCAGCCTGGCCAATGTGGCAAAACCCCATCTCTACTAAAAATACAAAAATTAGCTGGATGTGGTGGCACATGCCTGTAATTCCAGCTATGCGGGGAGGGCTGAGGCACAAGAATCACTTGAACCCAGGAGACACAGGTTGCAGTGAGCCAAGATCATGCCACCACACTCTAGCTTGGGTGTTGGAGTGAGACTCTGTCTCAAAAAAAAATGTGTTTGGACAACTGGACATCCACCTGCAAAAGAATAAATTGAACACATCCTACAGCACACACACAAATCAACAGAAAGTGCATTAAAAACTTAAATGTAATACTTGAAACTGTAGAACTCCTAAAAGAAAAAAATAGGGAAGAAGCTCTTTGAAATTGGCCTTGGTAAGGATTTTTTTGTATAGAACACCAAAAGCAAAGGCAAAAAAAATTTTTAAAGCAAAAACAAACAAATGGGACTATGTCAAACTAAAAAGCTTCTGCACTGCAAAGAAAACTTCAATAAAATGAAAAGTCAAACTAATTTACATTCCCATCAACAGTGTAAGTGTTCCTATTTCTCCATAGCCTCGCCAGCATCTGTTGTTTTTTGACTTTTTAATAATTGCCATTCTGACTGGTGTGAGATGGTATCTAATTGTGGTTTTGATTTGCATTTCTCTAATGATCAGTAATGCTGAGCTTTTTTCCATATGTTTGTTGGCCACATAAATGTCTTCTTTTCAGAAGTGTCTGTTCATATTCATTGCCCACTTTTTGACAAGGTTTTTTTTTTCTTGTAAATTTAAATTCTTTGTAAATTCTGGATATTAGACCTTTGTCAGATGGGTAGATTGCAAAAATTTTTTCTCATTCTGTAGGTTGCCTGCTCACTCTGATGATAGTTTCTTTTGCTGTGCAGAAGCTCTTCAGTTTAATTATACCCCATTTGTCAATTTCAGCTTTTGTTCAACCATTGTGGAAGACAGTGTGGTGATTCTTCAAGGATCTAAAATCAGAAATACCATTTGACCCAGCAATCCCATTACTGGGTATATACCCAAGGAATATAAATCATTCTATTATAAAGATATATGCACACGTATGTTTATTGCAGCACTATTCACAACAGCAAAGACATGGAACCAACCCAAATGCCCATCAATGATAGACTGGATAAAGAAAATGTGGTACATATACACCATGGAATACTACGCAGCCATAAAAATGAATGAGATCATGTCTTTTGCAGGGACATGGATTAAGCTGCAAGCCATCATCTCAGCAAACTAACACAGGAACAGAAAACCAAACACCACATGTTCTCACTCATAAGTGGGAGTTGAACAATGAGAACATATGGAGACAGGGAAAGGAACAACACACTCTGGAGCCTGTCGGGAGGTGAGGGTGAGGGGAAGGAGAGCATCAAGACAAATAGCTAATGCATGTGGGGCTTAAAACCTAGGTGACAGGTTGATAGGTGCAGCAAACCACCATGGCACACATATACCTATGTAACAAACCTGCACGTTCTGCACATGTATCCAGAACTTAAAGTAAAAAAAAAAAAAAAATACAGAATGCCCCAGTAAAATTAGAATTTCAGATAAACAAAAATTATTTTTTTAGTATTAGTGTGTCCAGTGCAATAGCTGGGATGTGCTTATTCTAAAATACTAGACATTGTTTATCTGAAATTTCAAATTAACCGAGTCTTGTATTTTATCTGGCAACTCTATTCATGAAACACCAGTTGCAAGAGATCTCGCCTTAATAAAAAGAGACCCATAGTTTTAAAAAAAGAAGTACCTTATTTATACATAGGTAGACATCCATTTGCAAGGGTTATGATTAGATCGGTTTACTTTGAATCAATAAGTATTTCCTTAACTCTCTGCTACACAAATTTCAAATATATACCAAAGTGGAGAAAATAATGTAATGAACCTACACATCATTATTATCAGGCTGTAACAACATCAAAGCCAATTTTATTTAACCCATCTTTCCACCTCATTCACACACAGAGACACACACACAGACACACACACACACTCATGCTTTTGAAGTAAATTCAAGACATCCTATTAATCCACTTCCAAGTATTTTAATTATCTATCTCTTAAAGATAGAAACTATTTTTTGTAAAAATCATAAACATAATACTATCATTACAGTTTAAAACTTAACAAGATATCCTCAATATTCTTAAGTATTTAATTACTGTTCACATTTATGTAACTGTCTCATACATTATTGATTTTAAGTGTTTGACTCAGGATCTGAATAAGATTCATACATTTCAATTGATTAAAATATCTAAGTCTTTTTAATCTAAAAAAAAAAAGCCAACAAATACCTTGATTTTGGACTTCTGGCCTCCAAAATTGTGAGAGAATAAATTTCTGTTGTTTTAAGTCATCCCATCTGTGGTAATTTGTTACAATACTCAGAAAACTAGTATATACAATAACCAAAATCTTAAAAATAACTCAACAGATGAGCTTACAGCAGAATGGAGAGGACAAAGGAAAGAATAAGTGAATTTGAAATAAAGTAGAGTTATGTGCAGTGGTTGGTGCCTGTAATCCCAGCTATTTGGCAGGCTGAAGTGGGAGGACTGCTTGAGTCCATGTGTTTGAGGCTGCAGTGAGCTATGATTATACCACTGCACTCCAGCCTGGGCAACAGAGTGAGACCTTGTTTCAAAGAAAAGAAAGAAAGGAAAGAAAGGAAGAAAAAGAAAGAAAAGGAAGGAAGGAAGGAAGGAGAAGGAAAAATAAAAAAGTAGAAATTACCTCATCTGAACAACAGAGAGAAAACAGACTGAAAAAAAAACTGCATGGAGCCTCAGCGACGTGTAAGACAACAAAAAATGTACATTATGTCATCAGAACCCTGGAAGAGGAGAAGAAAGGTAGGGCAGAACAAATAAATATTCAAAGAAATAATGTCTCAAATATTTGGGAAAAAACATAAACCTAGAGATTCAAAGAGCGGTGCAAACTCCAAACATGATAAATCCAAAGAAATTCCATCCTAAGACATGTCATAGTCAAATTCCATCCTAAGACAAAGAAAAAAATCTTGAATGCACAGAAAGAGAAATGATACCTTACCTACAGGAGCCATTTCACTGCTAGGAATTTACCCACTTGATTTGAAAACTTAGATCTACTCAAAAATCTTCCCGTGAATGTTTACAGCAACTTTATTGATAATCACCAAACACAGGAAGCAACCAAGATGTCCTCCAATAGGTAAATAGATAAACAAAGAGATGAGCTATCAGTCACAAAAAAGACATAGAGGAACCTGAAATTCATATTGCTAAGTGGAAGAAGCCAATCTAAAAAGACTACATACTGAATGATTCCAATTATGTGACATTGCAGAAATGGCACAAAAGCAAAAAGAAGAGCCAGTAAGAAAAATAGAGAGTGAAAAGATGTGGTTGCCAGCATCTCAGGAAGATGAAGAGATGAGGCACAGAGGATTTTTAGGATGGTGAAAATACTACGTGTGATACTATAATAGCAGATACGTGTCATTATGCATGTCAAAATCCACAGGACTTTACCACACAACAAGTCAATCTCAATGCATACAAATTATATATATAGTTATATATAACTAGGTATTATATATATTATATATAATTTGATATTTTATATATATATATATAATTTGGGAGGTTGGGGGAATCCTCAGATATAATAGAGACTGTGACAAGAGACTCTAACAAATGTGTGGAACAACTTCACTAAAGGAAATAGGAGGACTAGATACTGACCTAAGTAACTCTGGAAATAAGTAGAGTCTGTAAGAATAAAGGCAAAAAGAACTGCACATAAGCACTGTACTCTAGTTGACAAAGTTGTTTCTCATGAGGGTACAGGTGAACAATTCTGATACTGCTTTACATGTATACTAAAATTGAACAATTAAAAAATTAAGTAAATGAATGATGGATGGTAAGAGCCAGGTTTCCCACTGTTGGATTGGGAACAGATAAGCAAGGGTAATCTGCAAGCAAGGCTAGAATGATCTAAGTGCTAATGAATTAGAATAGGAAACATCAGTAATAACTTACGTTTAACTTAATATAGATACAGATGTTTACATACCAAAATATTTATATATATATGTCTATATACTCAGATTAGTATACACACATATATTTTCTTTGCTCCGTCAACTAATAAGGCCTAGAAGAAATGACACCCCAGTAGCAACAAGCACAACTAACATTCAGATCTTGGTTACTAATATACTTTGCCAGTGAGAGGAACTAGACCTCCTAGGAGAAATGGTTGATTCCAGGATTGGGGCAAGAAATGTGCAAGATGAACCTAGAACATTCTGTGTTGTCAGAAAGAAAGGAATTGCTTATAAAAAACAAAACCACCCACACTGATTGGGGTATGTCAAAAGGGTGCAGGAGTCAATTAAAAGAGCTCCCAATGGCCAAAGCTAAAACAATCTGAACAACAAAAATGTAGTATTGAATTATAACCTAAAGAATAAAATACATATTCCCAAGTCCGTATTGATATAAAAATGGTTGAACAAATTAACGAATTAGGGAGAAGAGACAAATTTCCCATGTAGAAGAATTCAAAATAATTTATCTAGATAAGTATGCCTTTAAGCAGGGGAGCATAACTCCACAACTGCAAAGAATATAGTATGTAAAAAGGAAAAATGGATAACTTCAAGGTGTAAACACTTGATGAATACTCAGCCAACTAATCAAGGCTAATATCAACATACATAAATCATATTGACAGTATATACCCTTGATAACGATGTAATGAAAATGGTACTTTATCTGAGTGATCTTCCTCCCCAAACCCATAACCCCAGTCTAATCATGAGAAAAATATCAGAAAAAATCTAATACATAGGTATCCTACAAAATACTTGATGGGTAGTCTCAAGACTGTCAAAATCATCAAAAAGAAAAATATATCTAAGAAACTACTATGGCCAAATGAAGTCCAAGGAGATATGACAACTAAATGTAATGTGATATCACAGGTAAGATTCTGGAATAGAAAAAGGATATTAGGTAACAACAAAGGAAATTGGAATTAACCATTGATTTTAGGTTAATAATAATGATGTATCAATATTGGTCCATTACTTATGACAAAGGTACTATATAAGATGGCAATACTAGGGGAAACTGTGTAGAGTGTATATGGCAACTCTTTGTACTATCTTCCCAATTTTTCTGTAAAACTAAAAGTAAACTAAAATATAAAGCAGAGGTTAGGTATAATGGTTCACGCCTGTAATTTCCGTGCCTTGGGAGGCCAAGACAGGAGGATCAGTTGAGGCCAGAAGTTCGGGACGAGCCTGGGCAACATAGTAAGACACCCTGTCTCTACAAAAAAATTAAAAAGAAAAAGAAAATTAGCTGAGTGTGGTGGTGTGTGCCTAGGGTCCTGGCTACTCAGGAGGCTGAGGCAGGAAGATCACTTGAGTCCAGGAGTCTGAGGTTACAGTGAGCTACAATTGCACTCCAGCCTGGGTGCTAAGAGTGAGGCCCTGTCTCTAATAAATAAATATTTTTAAAAAGGTTTTAAAAGTGTATATAGATCAGAAAATAAAAATTTAAGTGGCAAGCTTAAGCTGTAACACATCAATAATTACAAATAATGTAAATGGTCTAAATATGCCAATTAAAAGAAAGAAATTGGCAGCATAGACTAAAAAAAAATACACCAAGAAAACAATCAGCAAAATCAAAAGGCAACTTACAGAATGGAAGAAAATATTTGCAAACCATATATCCAATAAGAGGCTAATATCTAAAATTGTAAGGAACTCATTTAACTCAAGGGGAAAAAAATCAAACAACCTGATTTAAAAATCTGCAAAGAACTTGTACAGACATTTTCCCAAAGAAAACATACAAATAGCCAAAAGATATTAAAAAGATGCTCAAAATCACCAACCATCAGGGAGATGCAAATGAAAACTACCTGTTAGGATGGCTATTGTGAAAAAGTCAAAAGATAAGTGTTGGTGAGGATGTGAAGAAATTGGAACTCTTGTGCACTGCTGGTGGGAATGTAAAATGGTACAGCCACTATGGAAAATAATATGGCAGTTTCTCAAAAAAAATTAAAAATAGAACTACCATATGACACAGCAATATCACTTCTGGGTACATATCCAAAATAATTGAAAGCAGGGTCTCGAACAGATATTTGTGCACTCATATTCATAGCATTATTCACATGTGCTAAAATGTGGAAGTAACCCAAGTGTCCATTGACAGATGAATGGATAAGTAAAATGTGATGTATATACATACAATGGAATATTATTCAGCCTTCAAATGAAAGAAGCCTGTGATGTGCAACAAAGTGAATAAACGCGGAGGACACTATGCTAAGTGAAATATGTCAGACACGGAAAAACAAATACTACATGATCTCACTAATATGTGAAGGCTAAAAAAAAGTTTAAACTCATAGTAATAGATAATAGAATGGTGGTTACCAGAGTTTCATTGGGTGGGGGAATGGGGGAGATGCTGGTCAAAGGATATACACTTTAAGTTAAAAATTGATTAAGTTCTGGAGACTTAATGTACAGCATGGCGACTATAGTTAATAATAATGTATTATATACTTGAAATTTGCTAAGAACAGATCTCAAGTATCCTCTCTATAAAAAAAGGTAACCATGAAGTGGATATGTTAATTAGCTTGGTTGTGGTAATCATTTCACAATATGTAGGTATATCAAAACATCACATTAAATATACACAATTTTTAATTGTCAATTATATCTCAAAAAGGTAGGGGAAAGTCCCAAACATGTCCTAACTGTAGAGTGTGTACAAGAAACTTACTTCAAAAAAACTGATATAGGAGGGTTGAAAATAAAAGTTTGGAAAAAAATATACCATGAAACCATTAATCAAAAGTAGGAGTGGCTATATTTTTTATTTTTATTGTGGTATAGTTAATATACAATAAACACTGCACATGTTTAATGTATACAATTTGATGAGTTTGACATATGTGCACACTCAAGATATCACCACAATCAATGTAATAAATATATCCGTCACCTCCAAAAGCTCCCTTGGGTCTCTGTGCTTTTTTTCTTTTGTTTTTTGGTGTAAGAATTCTTAACATGATATCTACCCTCTTAACACAATTTTGAGTGCACAATACTTTATTGTTAGCTGCAGGCACTACATTGTACAGATCTCTAGAACTTTTTCATATCGTGTAACTGAAACTTTATACGTATTGAGCAACAATACCCCCTCTCCCCCACCTCCCAGCCCCTAGTAACCACCATTCTATTCTGTTTCTATTAGTTTTACTATTTTAGATACCTCACAGAAGTGGAATCACACAGTATTTGTCTTGTGACTAGCTTATTTCACTTAACAAAATGTCCTCAAGGTTCATCCATGCTGTCACAAATAGTGGGATTTCCTTCTTTTTAAGGTTGAATAACATTCCATCATATATATGTATCTGTATACGTTTGCGTGTGTGTATATATATATGTATATATATATATATCACATTTTGCTTACCCATTCATCCACTAATAGACACTTGGGTTGCCTTCCACATTTTAGTGAATATGAATAATGCTGTAATCAACATGGGAGTGAAGATATCTCTTTCAGATCCTACTTTCAGTTCTTTGGGGTATATACCCAAAAGTAGAATTCCTGGATCATATGGTAGTTCTATCTTTAATTTTTTGAGAAACTGCCATACTGTTTTCCACAGGGGTTCTACCATTTTACATTCCCACCAGCACTGTACAAAAATTCCAACTTCTGGCAGGGTGCAGTGGCACACGCCTGTAATCCCAGCACTTTGGGAGGCCGAGGTGGATTACCTGAGGTCAGGAGTTCAAGACCAGCCTGAATAACATGGTGAAACCCCGTATCTACTAAATACAAAAAAATTAGCTGGGCATGGTGGTGCACGCCTGTAATCCCAGCTACTTGGGAGGCTGAGGCAGGAGAATCACTTGAACCCAGGAGAAGGAGATTGCAGTGAGCAGAGATTGCACCATTGCACTCCAGCCTGGGCAACAAGAGCAAAACTCCATCTCAAAAAAAAAAATTCCAACTTTTCTACATCCTTGCCAACACTTGTTATCTTTTCTTAAAAAAAGTATCTATCCTAATAGGTGTGAGGTGATATCTCATGTGGTTTTGATTTGTATTTCCTTGATGATTAGTGGTTAATGGTTTAAAAAATGTGGTATATATTTATATACAATGGAATATTATTCATCCTTAAAAAGAAAGAAATTCCCTCATTTACAAAAACATGGATGAACTTGTAGGGATGTTATGTTAAGTTAAATAAGCCAGACACAGAACAACAAATACTGCATGATTTCACTTATATGTGGTCTCTCAAAAAGTCAGACTCATTGAAACAAGGTAGAATGGTGGTCACCAAGGGCAGTAGTGGCAGGGCTGGGGTGAGGGGTGGGTAGGAAGATTTTAGTTAAAGGGTACAAACTTGCAGTTATGCAAGATGAATAGGTTCTGGTGACCTAATGTACAGCATGGTGACTATAGTTAACAATAATATATTATGTACTGAAATTTGCTAAGAGAGTGGATCTTAAGTATTCTTACCACACAAAGAAGTAACTATGTGAGGTGATGGATATGTTAATTAGCCTCATTGTGGTAATCATTTCACAATGTATGCATATATCAAAATATATTGTTCACCTTGACTGTATACAATTTTTCAATTATACTTCAATAAAGTTGAAAAAGGATCTTGTTTACAAAATATTGAAAGGAAGTTTTCCTGTATAACAAACCTGCACATGTACTTCTGAACCTAAAATAAAAGTTAAAAAAAACCCCAAATATTGAAAGGAGCTTCATTTTTCTTTTCTTTTCTTTTTTGTGAGATGGAGTCTCACTCTGTTGCCAGGCTGGAGTGCAGTGGTGCGATCTTGGCTCACTGCAACCTCCACCTCCCGGGTTCAAGTGATTCTCCTGCCTCAGCCTCCTGAGTAGCTGGGACTACTGGCGCACACCACCATGCCCAGCTAATTTTTGTATTTTTAGTACAGACGAGGTTTCACCACGTTGGCCAGGATGGTCTCAACCTCTTGACCTCGTGATCTGCCCACGTTGGCCTCCCAAAGTGCTGCTATTACAAGCGTGAGCCACCGTGCCTGGCCTGAAAGGAGTTTCTAACTCAATACTTAAAACAAAACAAAACAAAACAAACAAACAAAACAGGGCAAAAGATTTTAACAGGCATTTCACAAAAAGGGATACACACATGAAAAGCAAATGAAAAAAATGCTCAACATTATTAGTCATTATAAAAGTGCAAATTAAAGCCACAATGAGACATCATACCTATTTAAAAGGCTGACTATACCAAATGTGGGTCAGGATGTGGAGAAACTGAAACTCTCAAACACTGCTGGTAGGAATGTTAAATGAATGTTGTAACTACTTTGGAAAAGCTTGGCAATTTCTTGAAAATTTAAATACATAGCACTGTATTAGTCTATTTTGTGTTGCTGTAACAGAATACCTAAGACTGTGTAATTTATAAAGAAAAGTTTATTTAGCTCACAGTTTTAGTATGATAGCGTGGCCCTGACTTCTAATGAGGGCTTTTGTGCTACATCATAACTTGGTGGAGAAAGTTCAAAGGGGAAGCGGATAGGAGCAAAGAGGCAAAACCCAAGTGATATCCTGGCTTTATAACAACCCACTCTCCTCAGAACTGATTCATCCCTGTAAGGACTCATCCAGCCTCTTGAAACGAGAACTCACTCACTACTGCAAGAACAGCCCCAAGTTATTCATGACCTCCATGACCCAAACACCTCCCAAGTCCTAACACTGCCACATTGGAGAACAAATTTAAACATGAATTTTGCTGGGGACAAACCATATCCAAACCATAGCACTACCTACCATCCAAACCAGACTTTTCACTTCTATGTATTTACCAAAAGAAATGAAAGCAAATGTCCATACAAAGAGACACACGTGAATGCTCACAGCAGCTTTATTTGTAATGTCCTAAAACTGAAAACAATCAAAATGTCTATGAACAGCTGAATAGATAAACAAATTGTAGGCTATCCATACAACAGACTACTACTCAGCAATAAAAAAGTATAAACTATACAGATATATGCAACAACATAGGTGGACCTCAGGGAATCATACTGAGTTAAAGAAGCCAGACTAAAAAGTATACTCAATTTCATTTATATAAAAATCTAGAAAATACAAATGAAGCTATAGTGACATTCAGTGATCAATGGCTGTCTGATGAAGGAGAGGTAGGGAGAGATTACAAAAGACCACAAGGAACCTTTTGGGGGTGGTAAATATGTTTATTATCCTGATTGCGATAATGGGTTCATAAGTATGTATGTGTAATCAAAGCTTATTGTACACTTATTCCAAATATATGCATTTAACTGTAGGTTGATTACACCTTCATAAAGCTGTTTTAAAAAACAACAATATAACATAAAATTGGGCATTTCTTTGCATAATTGCTAGAGGTGGGTGGGAAGGCCAGCTAGAATTATCATTATAAATTTAGTGTCAACTTGCATAGAGAACCCTGGAGATTGCTCTAAAGAGGTTTACATCTCTAAGGAATATACTATTCATTTCCAGGTTTTACTGGAATCTCAGCTCCTTGGAGTTAGTTTCATAGAAAACAAAGAGTATGTTTGCCAAATATAGCAAATTGTGAGAATTCACTATGTATTAGAAATATGGGGTACATAATTGATTCTTTAAAAGAATAAGAACTGTAAATTGTTATAACGCAAATACAGACACCACTGACCTTCTAGTTTAATAATAATGATCATTTTTCCATTTCAGGGTATGAAAACTGTGCACATATAAAGTCACTTTTTCATTGATTCTTAGTTTCAGGATCTACCTGAAAAACCTTAACCCTGGTTGCAACCATTTGCTTTGCAGTTGCAAAACCCACTCCAATATCTATCTGGTTGATCTGCCACTATGGAGTCCCCTAAAACTTTAGCTTTGCCATATTCATATGTATCCTTGAAAGTGCTCACGTATATATGTGTGTGTACGTGTGTGTGTGTCCATACTACTTATGGTTGCTGGACTTTAGCTCACAAACTAGCAGCTGAATAAGAATCTTGCAATCACAGAATTTAGAGCTAGAAGGAACCTTAAAGTTCATTTATTCTGACTTCCTCCACACTGCCTCCTACCCCATCATTTACAAAAGGAACTAAGGCCTCATATTAGTTTTCTATTGCTGTTGTAAAACATTGCCACAAACTTAGTGATTTAAAACAAAACTCACCAGGTGGATGGCTCATGTCTGTAATTCTAACAATTTGGGAGGCCAAGACAGGAGGATCGCTTGAGCCCAGGAGCTCAAGACCAGCCTGGGCAACACAGTGAGACCCTGTCTCTACAAAAAAAATTAAAAAATAGCTAGGTATGGTGGTGTGCGCCTGTAGTCCCAGCTACTCAGAAGGCTGAGGTGGAAGGGTCACCTGAGCCCAGGAAGTCAAGGCTGCAGTGAGCAGAGATCACGCCACTGCACTCCAGCCTAGGTGCCAGAGCAAGACTCTATCTCAAAAACAAACGAACAAACAAACAAACAACAAAAAAACCCCAAAATACTCACTTATTATTTCCCAATTTTGTAGCTCAGAAATCCATTCAGGCTTAGGCTCACACAAGGCCAAAGGCAAGATACTGGCCATCCTGGGCTCTTATATGGAGGCTTTGGGGGAGAATACATTTCTAGGCTCATTCAGGCTATTGACGAAATTCAGTTCTGTGAGATTCTAGGGCTGAGGTCCCATTTCCTTGCTGGCTGTTGGCTGGGATTTGTGTCAGCTCCTAGAGGCCACTTGTATTCCTTGGCTTATGGTTCATTCTCTCTTCAGAGCCAGTAATGGTGTGCTAAATACTTCTTGTGCTTTGAATCTATCTGACTACTTTTTCTGTATTCCTCTTCTGCTTTTAAGAGCTTGTGTGGTTATACTGGGGCTACCTAGATAATCCAGGATGATCTCCCTATTTTAAATTCAACTGGTTAGTGACTTTAATTACATATTCAGAATCAATTTTGCCATGTAAGGTAACATACTCACAGCCCCAGAGATTAGGGCATGGAAGCCCCTTTGGGGACATTATTCTGCTTGTCACTGGCCCTGAGAAGCTAAATGACTTGTCTGAGGTCGCATGGTCATTTAGTTAGTAGCAAGGACTCGTTCCAATATACCACATGTCACCTCTTGCTAACATATACTCACTGCTCATGCTAAATGGTGTTTTAGCAATCATCACTTTAATGCCTGTAAATGGGCTCAGTGTTAGTAAAACTGTCTTGCAATTTACTCTTAGACATAGCTCACAAGTGCTGATAAAACTGCTAAAGAAGCTAAATGCAGCATGATCTTGTCCAGGAATACTAACCTTATGTAAAATGATGGATTTGAATTCTATTCCACAGACATACAGCTCAACTTGGAATGAAATATTATGTTTATTGTATTAGTTCTAATACTTTTCCAGAAATGATAACAGCTAAAGTGTTGAATGCTTATCATATGCCAGGAATTTTACATTCCTTATTTAATCTTCAGAAAACCCCAACAGGTAAGTACTATTCATGAATAGTAAACTGAAGCATATATAGTTTAAATAATTTGCATAAGGTTAAGCATCTGCAAAGTGGAGGAACAAGAACTTGAAAACATGTAATCTGACGCCAAAGTCCACATTTTAAAATTATTCTATACTGGATGAATAGTTAATTTTTATTTATTTATTTCTGAAGAAGCTTGTTTAGATTTACATTTTATTTTTATTTTTTATTATTATAAGTAAATAATATGTACATTTTTATAAGTACATAGTATGTACACACTTATGGGGTACATACAATAGTTTGACACAAGCATACAGTGTGTAATGATCAATTCAGGGTAATTGGGATACCCACCACCTCAAGCATTTATCATTTCTTTTTGTTGTGAATGTCCCAATTTCACTTTTAGTTGTTTTGAAATATACAATAAATTATTACTAACTATAGTCACCCTATTGTGCTACTGAATGCTAGATTTTATTCCATCTATCTAACCTTCAGTTTAAAACAGCAGATTGAGTACAGTTATTTACCTCAAAAAAATAGAATGAATGTAAGAATAAATCTATAGTAGAGCCAGAGAGCAGGAAAATATATTGTCTTTGGTAAGAAACTTTAAAGAATTTCTATAATTAAAAGCAATCAGACTGATGGAAAAATCAAGAGGTGAGAATCCTGAAACCCAACAGAAGCCAAAAAGGAGGCCATTGAAGAAATAGATAGGTTCCCCCCAGCAAAAAAAAAAAACACCCTAGGAAACTCCACAAAATTAGAAATTAATTAGTAGGGGACAGGAAAAATTTGTGATGATCCTAGAGGAACTGCAGAAACTATTCCAATTCTCTGTTGTGCATGCAAGGAGTAGAGGCCATTGATGTTTGACCCCAGGCTCTGCTGTCAAACCTTCTAAATGATTTAAGGGATCAGTTATGGGAACCTCCCAGCTTGAGCATAAGGGACAGGAAGACTGTAGATATGAGAAAAGGAGTAAAGAGGAAAATCAATCAGCACAGTAGTGAAAATCCTTATATGGCAAGAGAACTAATTTCCTACTTTGCATATCAAGATGGAGGTGGGGGCTAGTGTCTCTAGCCCACTGTAATAACTAGTCTCTAAAGATGTACTCCCAATAAATTATGCTTCCTAGTATTCATGCCCTTGTAGTCCTCTCCCCTTGAATCTAGACTGGCTCTGTGACTTGCTTTTAACAATGCATGACTTCTAATAAGACATAAGCCTTGCAGTATCTGCCTGGTCTCTTGGAACTTTGGATGAAGCTAATCATCAGTAAGAAGTCCAACTACCCTGAGGATGTAACACTGGGAGGAATTCTAACCTAGACACATGAAGAAAGAGACAGAGATGTCTGGGTAGCATCCAGTGACTTCCAGCCTAGACAACAGACACATGAGTGAAGAAAACATAGAGTGTTCAGCCCATCCAAGCCTTTAGAATCTAAAATTTAGATGACTCTAACACCAGCCACTATCTGACTGCAACCATGTAAGACTCCAGGCAATAACCACCTAAGTTGAGCCCAATCAACCCACAGCACCATGAGATAATAATAAACTAGTGATTCAAACTGCTAAATCTTAGGGTGGTTTGCTACACAACAATAGATAACCCAAAGACCCAACGAAATCCCACCTGTCTACATGACAGAGTGGAGACACCCGCGGCTAGCCGGAACACTCATGTGGGAAGTTATTCCAAAGGATGTCAAAGGATCAAACCACAAACTATTGGTAGCAGATCTTTTCTTTTAAAAATATGAAGAGAATCAAGATCATCTGAAGAAACTAGACATTTGAAGAAAATGAACAACCTTAAAGAGAAGCACCAAAATGAACAAAGTGACCCATGAGGAAAGAAAGTAAATGTAGAAAACAAACGATAAAAGCCTTTAAACTGTTTGTCACCATGCACTGGATCTGTTTATGGTCATCATCATCATCATCATCATCATCATTTTCTAATAGATTGTTGCTTGAGATACCTTTTATCATCTTGGTTTACAAAAGGCCTTTCTAGGCATGACACAAAATCCACAAGTCATAAAAAAAGAAGGCTGACAATTTAATTTCATCAAAACTTTGTTAACTTTTACCTTTGAAATAACTATAGATCCACAGGAAATTGCAAAAAAAAAATGTATAAGGAAATCCCATGTACCCTCACCCAGTTTCCTCCTATAGTTAAATCTTATATAACTATAGAACAATATCAAAGCAGGAAACAGCATTGGTACGATGTGTGAACAGGCATACTTCATTTTATTGCACTTCTCTTTATTGTACTTTACAGTTACTAGTTTTTTGTTTGTTTGTTTGTTTGTTTTTGAAACAGGGTCTCACTCTGTCACCCAGGCTGGAGTGAAGTGCTGTGATCATAGCTCACTGCCGTCTTGATCTCCTGGCTCAAGCCTCCTGAGTAGTCTCAGCCTCCCGAGTAGTTAGAACTATAAGCACGTGCCACCAGATACTGTTCTGTTTGTTTGTTTTACAAATTGAAGATGTGTGGCAACCCTGAATCAAGCAAGTCAAGTCTACAGGTACCATTTTTCCAACAGCATGCACTCTATTTGTGTCTCTCTGTCACATTTAAGTAATTCTCGCAATATTTCAATTTTTTTCATTATTATTATAACTGTAACCAGTGATCTTTGATGTCAACATTGTAATTGTTTTGGGGTACCATAAACTAAGCCCAAATGTGTGTGTTCTAACTGCTTCATTGACTAATTATTCCCCATCTCTCTCCCTTTCCTTGGGCACCCCTATTCCCTGAGACACAGCAATACTGAAACTAGGCCAATTAATAACCCTACAATGGCCTCTAAGTGTTCAAGTACAAGGAATATTCACATATCTCTCATTTTAAATCAAAAGCCAGTGATGATTAAGCTTGGTGAGGAAGGCATGTTGAAAGCCAAGCTAGGCCGAAAGCTAGGCCTCTTGTGCCAAACAGCCAAATTGCGACTGCAAACAAAAAGTTCTTGAAGGCAATTAAAAGTACTACTCCAGTGAACACAAAAATGATAAAAAAGCAAAACAGCCTTATTGCTAATATGGACAAAGTTTTAGTGGTCTGGATAGAAGATCAACCCCAGCCACAGCACGTTCTTGAGCCAAAGCCTAATCCAGAGCAACGTCCTAACTCTCTTCATTCTATGAAGGCCTAGAGAGGTGAGGAAGCTTCAGAAGCAAAATTTGAAGCTACCAGAGGTTCGTTCTTGTGGTTTAAGGAAAGAAGCTGTCTCCGTAACATAAAAGCACAATGCAAAGCAGCAAGTTCTGATGAAGAAGCTGCGGCAAGTTATCCAGAAGATCTAAGATCACTGATGAAGGTGGCTACACTAAATAATAAATTTTCAACATAGATGAAACATTCTTACATTGGAAGAAGATGCCATCTAGAACTTTATAGCTAGAGAGAAGTCAATACCTGGCTTCAAAGCTTGAAAGGTCAGGCTCACTCTCTTGTTAGAGACTAATGCAGCTGGTGGCTTTAAGTTGAAACCAATGCTTATTTACCATTCCAAAAATCCCAGGGCCCTTAAGAATTATGCTAAATCTTCTCTGCCTGTGCTCTATAAATGGAACAACAAAGCCTGGATGATAGCACATCTGTTAACAGCATGGCTCACTGAATAGTTTAAACCCTCTGTTGAGAACCATTGCTCAGAAGAAAAGATTACTGCTCGTTGACAATGCATCTGGTCACCCAAGAGTTCTAAGGGAGATGCAGAGGGAGATTAATGTTGTTTTCATGCCTGCTAATACAACATCCATGGATCAAGGAGTAATTTAGACTTTCAAGTCTTGTTATTTAAGAAATACATTTTGCAAGGCTATAGCTGCATAGATAGTTATTCCTCTCATGGATCTGGACAAAGTACATTGAAAACATTCTGGAAAGTATTCACCATTCTAGATGCCATTAGAAACACTTGTGATTGATGGAAGAAGGTCAAAATATCAACATTTAACAGGAGTTTGGAAGAAGTTGACTCCAGTCGTCAAGGATGACTTGGAGGGGTTCAAGACTTCAGTGGAGGAAGTAACTGCAGATGTGGCGGAAATAGCAAGAGAAATAGAATTAGAACTGGGGCCTGAAGATATGATTGAATTGCTGTAATCTCATGATAAGACTTGAATGGATGAGAAGTTGCTTCTTATGGATGAATAAAGAAAGTGGTTTCTTGAGATAGAATCTACTTCTGGTGAAGATGCCGTGTACATTGTTGAAAGACA
This sequence comes from Homo sapiens, assembly GCF_000001405.40. Classification (NCBI taxonomy): domain Eukaryota; kingdom Metazoa; phylum Chordata; class Mammalia; order Primates; family Hominidae; genus Homo; species Homo sapiens. The sequence continues at coordinate 70,702,048 of NC_000023.11, forward strand.
ACACAGGATTTAGTATATTATAATATTTAGTTGATAAAGCAGTGGCAGGGTTTGAGGGAATTGACTCCAATTTTGCAAGAAGTTCTACTGTGGGTGAAATGCTAACAAACAGCACAACATGCTGCACAGAAATATTTGATTAAAGGAAGAGTCAATCAATGTGGTAAACTTCACTGTTGACTTATTTTAAGCAATTGCCATAGCCACCCCAACTTCAGCAACCATCATCCTGATCAGTCCGCAGCCAACAACATCAAGACAAGACCCTTCATTAGCACAAAGATTACAACTCACTGAAGGCTCAGATTATTATTTTTTTTTAGCAATAACGTATTTTAAAATTAAAGTATGCACATTTGGTTTTTAAGACATTATGCTATTGCATACTTAATAGACTACAGTATATAGTAACCTAACTTTTACATGCACTGAGAAATAAAAAAAATTGTGTGACTCACTTTATTGCAATACTTGCTTTATTGCAGTGTTCTGGAACCAAATGCATATCTCTGAGATGTTTGCCTGCATATAGTTCTATGTCATTTTGTCACACATGAAGATTCATGCAACTACCATGGCAAACAAGAACTGTCTTATCACCACAAAGATATCCCTCATGCTACCCTGTTACAGTCACATCTACTTCTCTCCTTCTCCCCACCATCCCTAATTCCTGGCAACCATTAATCTGTCGTCCATCTCTATAATTTTGTTGTTTCAAGAATGTTACATAGATTCCTGTAATGTCACCTTTTGAGATTGGCCTTTTTTTTCACTCAACATCCTCACCAAATTTTAAGACCTCTGTAGGGTAAAAGACAGAAAGGGGAAGATATTTGCAATACATATAACAGACAAGGTTTATTGTCCACTACGTATGAAGGGCTCCCCAAATCATAGTAGTAGCAAACTTTATATAGTGGCAAACTTTATATAGTGCTTATTATGCATCAGGCACAATTCTAACACTTTGCAGATATTAATACATTTAGTCCTCACAGCAACCTTATGAAGTAGGTACTTTGATATCTCTATTTTTAAAATGAGGAAACTGAGGCACAAAGAAGTTAAAAACTTACCTAAAGTCATACAGCTGGCTAATGGTGGAACAAGGATTCAGATCTAAGCAGCATACTCATGACCACTACACAATATTGCCTCTCAACAAATAATAATCAAAAAAGTTAATAATTAGTGAATACCTATCATAGTTTATAACTTCTACATATTTTATGTACATAATCTCTTGTAATCTGACAACAACCCTAGAAAGTGTTATAATATCATATCTCATGTTACATATAAGAAAACTGCAGATGAGGAAAGTGAGGCACAAGCAACCTGCCAGCTAGTAAAGAGAATTGCTAGGATTTGAAACCAGGCCTACTGATCCTAGAGCTAGTGCCCTCTCCCTATCAGTATACTACTTCCGTTATATATTAGGAGCTTGAACTTTCTCAATTACACCTTCTTTTTAGCCCTCTGGATACCTCCCTCCATATAGGATACTTTTCCTCTGCCTTGGACATGCACAATCTCCCCTATACTGGTGTTAGTGGGGTTGGATTTTCCCATTTGTCCCTCTACCATTTTTATCCTTTCTTTCCAATTTACTGCCAAAATATTCCAAACAGATAGGTGATCTACTACAGCTATCTCTAATTCCTAACATCTCATTTATCTCTCGCATTTCTCCTGTCTGTTCTACATTTGCTTTAGATAGGCCATATGTATCGCACTGCAATTAAGAGTACAGGTTCTGAAACTTGCCAGCCTGGGTTTGGATCCTTGCTCCACTACTTACTAGCTCTGTGACCTTGGTCAAGTTTCTTAACTTCCCTGGTATGGTTTGGACATGTGTCCTCACCCAAATCTCACGTTCGATTGTAGTCTCCAGTGTTGGAGGTCGGGCCTAGTGGGAGGTGATTGAATCATGGAGGTGGATCCTTCATGAATGGTTTAGCACCATCCCTTTGGTGCTATTCTCATGATGGAGTTCTCACGAGATCTGGTCATTTCAAAGTGTGTGGTATCTCTCTCTCTCTCTCTCTCTCCCTCTCTGTCTCTGTCTCTCTCTCTCTCTCTCTCTCCTGTTCTGCCATGTAAGATGCCTGCTTTTGCTTTGCCTTCTGCCATGAGTAAAAGTTCCCTGAGGTCTCCCCAGAAACGGATGCTGCCACACTTCCTGTACAGTCTGTGGAACCGTGAGCCAATTAAGCCTCTTTTCTTTATAAATTACCCAGCCTCAAGTATTTCTTTATAGCAGTGCGAGAATGGACTAATATACTCCCCATCTGTATAATGTGGAAGATGCTAATAGTACCTACCTCACAGTGTATTTGTGAAAGGTTAAATAATATATTAAATTAAAAGCCCTTAGAATAGTGTCTGGTACAAAGTAAGAATTCAGTGAATGATAGCTATTATAAAGATGTTTGAAGTTACTACTGAGTCCAGTACTCGAAATCATTATTCTTTTTCTCAATCTTCATTCTTTACTGTTCAAGTACATTGTATACATACATTCTATACTATTTATACCAGCTCCTCCAGGACACTGCATCATCTTGAGTCTGTTGCCATCTATCTATCCTCTTCTGTCTCCCTGTTCCCCACCTCCTATACCCAGTTACATATCTTCTTTATTCTTCCATCATAATGTCTTTCACTTCCATCACTTCTTTCCATTTCCTATTCTGGAATCTGAGAGAAACATTCCTTACTTTTATCGTTTATGACAAGTGCTAATTTGTATGACTTATGGCTTTACTAGGAAATGTTTAAAAAAAAAAGATAGGTCCTTTAGACATGAAGTCCTTGCCCATGCCTATGTCCTGAATGGTATTGCCTAGGTTTTCTTCTAGGGTTTTTATGGTTTTAGGTCTAACATTTAAGTCTTTAATACATCTTGAATTAATTTTAGTATAAGGTGTAAGGAAGGGATCCAGTTTCAGCTTTCTACATATGGCTAGCCAGTTTTCCCAGCACCATTTATTAAATAGGGAATCCTTTCTCCATTGCTTGTTTTTGTCAGGTTTGTCAAAGATCAGATGGCTGTAGATGTGTGGTATTATTTCTGAGGCCTCTGTTCTGTTCCATTGGTCTATATCTCTGTTTTGGTACCAGTACCATGCTGTTTTGGTTACTATAGCCTTGTAGTATAGTTTGAAGTCAGGTAGCGTGATGCCTCCAGCTTTGTTCTTTTGGCTTAGGATTGTCTTGGCAATGCAGGCCCTTTTTTGGTTCCATATGAACTTTAAAGTAGTTTTTTCCAATTCTGTGAAGAAAGTCACTGGTAGCTTGATGGGGATGGCATTGAATCTATAAATTACCTTGGGCAGTATGGCTATTTTCACAATATTGATTCTTCCTATGCAAAAGCAATGGCAACAAAAGCCAAAAGTGACAAATGGGATCTAATTAAACTAAAGAGCTTCTGCACAGCAAAAGAAACTACCATCAGAGTGAACAGGCAACCTACAGAATGGGAGAAAATATTTGCAATCTACTCATCTGACAAAGGGCTAATATCCAGAATCTACAAAGAACTCAAACAAATTTACAAGAAAAAAACAAACAACCCCATCAAAAAGTGGGCAAAGGATATGAGCAGACACTTCTCAAAAGAAGACATTTATGCAGCCAAAAGACACATGAAAAATGCTCATCATCACTGGCCATCAGAGAAATACAAATCAAAACCACAATGAGATACCATCTCACACCAGTTAGAATGGCATCATTAAAAAGTCAGGAAACAACAGGTGCTGGTGAGGATGTGAAAAAATAGGAACACTTTTACACTGCTGGTGGGACTCTAAACTAGTTCAACCATTGTGGAAGACAGTGTGGTGATTCCTCAAGGATCTAGAACTAGAAATACCATTTGACCCAGCCATCCCATTACCGGGTATATACCCAAAGGATTATAAATCATGCTGCTATAAAGACACATGCACACATATGTTTATTGCGGCACTATTCACAATAGGAAAGACTTGGAACCAACCCAAATGTCCATCAATGATAGACTGGATTAAGAAAATGTGGCACATATACACCATGGAATACTATGCAGCCATAAAAAAGGATGGGTTCATGTCCTTTGTAGGGACAAAGATGAAGCTGGAAACCATCATTCTCAGCAAACTATTGCAAGGTCAAAAAATCAAACACTGCATATTCTCACTCATAGGTGGGAATTGAACAATGAGAACACTTGGACACAGGAAGGGGAACATCACACACTGGGGCCTGTTGTGGGGTGGGAGGAGGGGGAGGGATAGCATTAGGAGATATACCTAATGTAAATGACGAGTTAATGGGTGCAGCACACCATCATGGCGCATGTATACATATGTAACAAACCTGCACTTTGTGCATATGTACCCTAGAACTTAAAGTATATATAAAAAAAGATAGGTCCTAAGGATAGTGTGCAGCTGGCAAGTCAGTCAAAACTGTATTAATTCTAATGCCAAATAGGTAGGCAAGAAGTAGAATAGTTTTGTCTTCATAAATTATCCTCTAACCCCCCCTTTTATGGTATAAAAATATTCTGTGATTGTATTTGTTTCATAATTTTGAGCTTATCTTCCCCATTAAGTAGTGATATCCTTGAGACCACCAGGGACATGCATATTATTTTATCTCTGCATCTTCAATGCCTAGCAACAAAATGACTGGTACATTGTAGGAACTCAAACGTGAAAGAATGAATTTCCACTGCTATCAACCTAGTTTCAGGCTCTTATTACTTCATATTTGAGCTACTTACAACAACTCAATTAATCTCCCTATCTCTCAAATTCTTGCATATTATTGCTATTAGCATGTCACTATCCTATTTGGAAACCTTCAGTGGGTCCCCATTTGCCTATATCATATAGTCCTTTAACCCAGTATCAAGGAATTTAATAAATGACTCCAATTTACTTCTCTAACTTTATATTTCATTATACTCCTTATATAAAACTTATGCTAAATCCTCTCGGATTCATTAGTCATCATATTCTAAATAGACCATGTTGTCCCCATATCTACTTATGCTATAGTCCCTACCACAGGTGTCCTAACTCTTCCTTTCCACTATTCTAAATCCTACCCTACCATCAAAGGCCAGCTCAAACCTCACCTTCAAATAAGACTTTCGGATGTTCCTAGTCCATGATGGTCTAGGCTTCTTCTGAATTCCTATACCAATTTGTCACTTATCCCCATTTTCCATGTGCTGTCTTATATTATTATCTTTACATATACTCTCTTTCCAGTAAGACTTGTAAATTCTTTGCAAGTGGTGCCTATGTTTTCCACATGGTACCCTTTGCATAAACGATACTAAATACTTTATTGGACTAAATTATTGTCCCCACACCTGCCTTGTGCTCACTCTGATCTTCCTGCTAGTAATTCCTACTCCTTCACCTATGCAAATCTTATCCATTTCTAAGACCCCACCTCCTCCATCAAGCATTCCCTGACTAATAGAGCTAACAGTGATCTTTCACTCTCTCTGAATTCATATACTGTTTTTGCCTATACCATACATTTCTCATATTCTGAATTTTATTGTTACTCAACTGATCAAGCATATATATGCTTAATTTATTATAGTAGGCTATAAATTCACTAGGGAAATGTGTGTTTGTTATATTTCTTGTATCTACAACCAGACCCTAGACAACATGTTGCACTAGGCACAATTTTTGTTGATAAAATGAATGTCAGTGCACACAATGAGGTAAGGAAAATTGAACTCTTTCTCCAGGAGCAACCAACCTTTAAAAACCTAGGAAACACCCTTCTTGACATTAGCCTTGGCAAATAATTTTTGGTTAAGTCCCCAAAAGCAATTGCAACAAAACCAAAAATTGACAAGTGAGACTTAATTACACTAAAGAGCTTCTGCACAGCATAAAAAAAATCTATCAAAAGAATATTAAAATATTCACAAACTATGGATCTAACAAAGGTATAATATCCCAGAATCTATAAGGAACTTTAAAAAAATCAACAAGCTTGTCAGAAAGGTGATTTTTTAAAAAAATCAACAAGCAAAAAACAAATAGCCTCATTAAAAAATGGGCAAAGGACATGAACAGACGCTTCTCAAAAGAAGATATACAAGCTGCCAACAAACATGTGAAAAAATGCTCATCAGCACTAATCACAAGAAAAATGCAAATCAAAACCACAATGAGATACTATCTCACACCAGTCAGAATGGCTATTATTAAAAAGTCAGAAAACAACAGATGCTGGAGAGGCTGCAAGAAAAGGGAACATTTATACACTATTAATGGAAATGTAAATTAGTTCAGCCACTGTGGAAAGCAGTTTGGAGATTCCTCAGAGAACTTAAAACAGAGCTACCATTAGACCCAGCAATCCCATTACTGGGTATATACCCAAAGGAAAACAGATTATACAAAAAAAACCTCACATGCACTCATATGTTCATCACTGTGCTATTCACAATAGCAAAGACAAGGAATCAACATAGGTGTCCCTCAATGGTGGATTGGATAAAGAAGATGTGGTACATATATACCATGGAATACTATGCAGTCATAAAAAGAATGAAGTCATGTTCTTTGCAGCAACATGGATGTAACTGGAGGCCATAATCCTAAGCAAATTAAAACAGGAACAGAAAACCAAATACCACATGTTCTCACTTATAAATGGGAGCTAAACATTGAGCACACATGGACATAAACATGGGAATAATAGACAACGGACTAGTAGAGGGGGGAGAGGTGAAGGGCATGTGGGTTGAAAAACTACCTATTGGGTACTATGCTCACTACTAGGGTACAATATACCCATGTAACTAGGCTGCATATGTGTCCCTTGTATCTAAAATAAAAGTTGAAATAATTAAAAAAAAAAAAAACTCCTTTTCCCATCTCAAGAACCCTAAAACCAATCCCTCTAGGGAAAAAACCTACAAACTTATCTATTTCAACAAAACTTATCTATACTGAAGATTCAGGAACTGAGTGTGTATTCTGTACCACCTTCACTTCCTACAGACTGGAACTATGATTCCTGAAAATAAACTCATAATGTAATGTTCATTACAACAAAAAATACGAATGTCCTACAAAATACATTACAGGGATATTCAACCTGAAGCAGGAGAAGAGAAAGATCTAGGGTGATACCAATCACCAATACTGAGCTCAGATAGTGGCTGTTACATGGGAATATCTGAATAAACATGATTAATTAAAATCTCAAGGGTCAGTTGATGTTTGCTTTTATTTCTCAGTGGCTGATAACCTTTTAGATCTATCCCAGAAAGGAATTATTATTGAGTATGAGGTCTTCAATATTGTACCTATCTCTTTTTCTATATTATCAGGATATTCTCACTCAGCTAGCATGCCATTTCTGCAACTCACCTCAAGTACGTATTATTACATTATCATAAGAATGTATTTCATTTAAACATATAATTGTAAAATTCTGCTACATTCTTAAGTATAATTTTATCATATCTTAGAGCCAAACATTTTTTGGAGGTAAATCATTTTATTTGTATAGTGTAAGTTTATGGAAAAATAATACCATATCAAATTTTCTCTGAACAGAACTTTTCAGGAACTCATTTAATGTGTAGAATCTAGATAGCTCTGAAATATTTTATTATAACATTCAACAGTGTGTTCAAAAACTATTATATTAATAAACAATATCAGGCTTTATGCAACAGGAAAGCTGGGAATAAAATGGTTAAGATGCAAGGCTTTCTGGTCTTTCTTTTTACTTGATGAGCCTGAACAAATTGCTTCCCTGTATCTCTTATGTGACTTCCAAGGATTCTGATCTTGACTTCACAAGCCTGCTGCTGCTCTCCTCTCTTCTTCATTTTAGTTTGGCAATGTCAATCTGATCTCCCACATTCTTGTTCTGTATTTTTATTTGGTGCATTGACTTTCCTAGATCACTATCTCTAGGTTTCTGATTCTGTCTTGGTAGTCTAACTGCAATTCAAGATCCCTTTGTTTATTTGATTTAGTATTCTTGTCACTGGAATAAACAGTAACTGATTAAGCTTACCTAATCAGCATCAAAAAAAAAGGGGGGCCTGACGCCTTTCACCAATAACAACATAAATGACAAATGTTAACATTGTAACTAGGAAAAATTATGCACCAATACGCATAAGGAATTAAAGGAAAGAAAAAACTAAAAGCAGATTGTTAGGATAATAATATTAGATGTGATCTTTTTTGTTTTAAATTTTTCATTACAGTCATAGCATGTTTGTAGAATTTTTTAAATAGATACAAAATTCTAAAAGAGGATTAAAGTCCAAGGTTAGGAGTAAAAGTAACTTAGTTGCCATAAAAGTGTTCAGGACCCCTGGATCAAATAAATTTACATCTAGGACTAAGATAATTTGTAGATGAGACTTATACATTAAAGAAGTCTTTCAGGAATTACGGATAAATGGAGGGGTGATGAAGACTGGGGACAGGAAAAGTTCTCATTTTTTTTTTTTTTTAGGAGGCAGTGGATTCCCAAACCATACTACTCTGAGAATGAGCCACAGACCAACAGCATTGACATCACCTGCGAGCTTCTAAGAAATGCAGATCAGGTCCCATTCCAGACCCACCAAATCAGAATCTGCATCTTAACATGATCTTCAGCTGATCTAGCCAATCATATACACATTAAAGTTTGAGAAGCACTAACATAAAGCAACAAGGATTCACTGAGAAAGATATAGCAAATTAATTTTTTTTATACTTTAAGTTTTAGGGTACATGTGCACATTGTGCAGGTTTGTTACATATGTATACATGTGCCATGTTGGTGTGCCGCACCCATTAACTCGTCATTTAACATTAGGTATATCTCCTAATGCTATCCCTCCCCACTCCCCCCACCCCACAACAGGCCCCAGTGTGTGATGTTCCTCTTCCTGTGTCCATGTGTTCTCATTGTTCAATTCCCACCTAAGAGTGAGAACATGTGGTGTTTGGTTTTTTGTCCTTGCGATAGTTTGCTGAGAATGATGGTTTCCAGCTTCATCCATGTCCCTACAAGGGACATGAACTCATCCTTTTTTATGCCTGCATAGTATTCCATGGTGTATATGTGCCACATTTTCTTAATCCAGTCTATCATTGATGGACATTTGGGTTGGTTCCAAGTCTTTGCTATTGTGAATAGTGCCGCAATAAACATACGTGTACATGTGTCTTTAGAGCAGCATGATTTATAATCCTTTAGGTATATACCCAGTAATGGGATGGCTGGGTCAAATGGTATTTCTAGTTCTAGATCCCTGAGGAATCGCCACACTGACTTCCACAATGGTTGAACTAGTTTACAGTCCCACCAACAGTGTAAAAGTGTTCCTATTTCTCCACATCCTCTCCAGCACCTGTTGTTTCCTGACTTTTTAATGATCGCCATTCTAACTGGTGTGAGATGGTATCTCATTGTGGTTTTGATTTGCATTTCTCTGATGGCCAGTGATGATGAGCATTTTTTCACGTGTCTTTTGGCTGCACAAATGTCTTCTTTTGAGAAGTGTCCATTCATATCCTTTGCCAACTTGTTGATGGGGTTCTTTGTTTTTTTCTTGTAAATTTGTTTGAGTTCTTTGTAGATTCTGGATATTAGCCCTTTGTCAGATGAGTAGATTGCAAAAATTTTCTCCCATTTTGTAGGTTGCCTGTTCACTCTGATGGTAGTTTCTTTTGCTGTGCAGAAGCTCTTTAGTTTAATTAGATCCCATTTGTCACTTTTGGCTTTTGTTGCCATTGCTTTTGCTGTTTTAGACATGAAGTCCTTGCCCATGCCTATGTCCTGAATGGTATTGCCTAGGTTTTCTTCTAGGGTTTTTATGGTTTTAGGTCTAACATTCAAATCTTTAAACCATCTTGAATTAATTTTAGTATAAGGTGTAAGGAAGGGATCCAATTTCAGCTTTCTACATATGGCTAGCCAGTTTTCCCAGCACCATTTATTAAATTGGGAATCCTTTCCCCATTTCTTGTTTTTGTCAGGTTTGTCAAAGATCAGATAGTTGTAGATATGTGGCATTATTTCTGAGGGCTCTGTTCTTTTCCATTGGTCTGTATCTCTGTTTTGGTACCAGTACTATGCTGTTTTGGTTACTGTAGCCTTGTAGTATAGTTTGAAGTCAGGAAGAGTGATGCCTCCAGTTTTGTTCTTTTGGCTGAGGATTCACTTGGCAATGTGGGCTCTTTTTTGGTTCCATATGAACTTTAAAGTAGCTTTTTCCAATTCTGTGAAGAAAGTCACTGGTAGCTTGATGGGGATTGCATTGAATCTATAAATTACCTTGGGCAGTATGGCCATTTTCATGATATTGATTCTTCCTACCCATGAGCATGGAATGTTCTTCCATTTGTTTTTATCCTCTTTTATTTCATTGAGCAGTGGTTTGTAGTTCTCCTTGAAGAGGTCCTTCATATCCCTTGAAAGTTGGATTCCTAGGTATTTTATTCTCTTTGAAGCAACTGTGAATGGGAGTTCACTCATGATTTGGCTCTCTGTTTGTCTGTTATTGGTGTATAAGAATGCCTGTGATTTTTGCACATTGATTTTGTATCCTGAGACTTTGCTGAAGTTGCTTATCAGCTTAAGGAGATTTTGGGCTGAGATGATGGGGTTTTCTAGATATACAATCATGTCATCTGCAAACAGGGACAATTTGACTTCCTCTTTTCCTAATTGAATACCCTTTATTTCCTTCTCCTGCCTGATTGCCCTGGCCAGAACTTCCAACACTATGTTGAATAGGAGTGGTGAGAGAGGGCATCCCTGTCTTGTGCCGGTTTTCAAAGGGAATGCTTCCAGTGTTTGCCCATTCAGTATGATATAGGCTGTGGGTTTGTCATAGATAGCTCTTATTATTTTGAGATACATCCCATCAATACCTAATTTATTGAGAGTTTTTAGCATGAAGAGTTGTTGAATTTTGTCAAAGGCCTTTTCTGCATCTATTGAGATAATCATGTGGTTTTTGTCATTGGTTCTGTTTATATGCTGGATTACGTTTATTGATTTGCATATGTTGAACCAGCCTCGCATCCCAGGGATGAAGCCCACTTGATCATGGTGGAGAAGCTTTTTGATGTGCTGCTGGATTCGGTTTGCCAGTATTTTATTGAGGATTTTTGCATCGATGTTCATCAGGAATATTGGTCTAAAATTCTCTTTTTTTGTTGTGCCTCTACCAGGCTTTGGTATCAGGATGATGCTGGCCTCATAAAGTGAGTTACGGAGGATTCCCTCTTTTTCTATTGATTGGAATAGTTTCAGAAGGAATGGTACCAGCTCCTCCTTGTACCTTTGGTAGAATTCGGCTGTGAATCCATCTGGTCCTGGACTTTTTTTGGTTGGTAAGCTATTGATTATTGCCTCAATGGCAGAGCCTGTTATTGGTCTATTCAGAGATTCAACTTCTTCCTGGTTTAGTCTTGGGAGAGTGTAAGTGTCAAGGAATTTATCCATTTCTTCTAGATTTTCTAGTTTGTTTGTGTAGAGGTGTTTGTAGTATTCTCTGATGGTAGTTTGTATTTCTGTGGGATCGGTGGTGATATCCCCTTTATCATTTTTTATTGCGTCTATTTGATTCTTCTCTCTTTTCTTCTTTATTAGTCTTGCTAGCGGTCTATCAATTTTGTTGATCTTTTCAAAAAACCAGCTCCTGGATTCATTGAGTTTTTGAAGGCTTTTTTGTGTCTCTATTTCCTTCAGTTCTGCTCTGATCTTAGTTATTTCTTGCCTTCTGTTAGCTTTTGCATGTGTTTGCTCTTGCTTCTCTAGTTCTTTTAATTGTAATGTTAGGGTGTCAATTTTAGATCTTTCCTGCTTTCTCTTGTGGGCATTTAGTGCTATAAATTTCCCTCTACACACTGCTTTGAATGTGTCCCAGAGATTCTGGTATGTTGTGTCTTTGTTCTCATTGGTTTCAAAGAACATCTTTATTTCTGTCTTTATTTTGTTATGTACCCAGTAGTCATTCAGGAGCAGGTTGTTCAGTTTCTGTGTAGTTGAGCGGTTTTGAGTGAGTTTCTTAATCCTGAGTTCTAGTTTCATTGCACTGTGGTCTGAGAGACAGTTTGTTATAATTTCTGTTCTTTTACATTTGCTGAGGAGTGCTTTACTTCCAAGTATGTGGTCAATTTTGGAATAGGTGTGGTGTGGTGCTGAAAAGAATGTATATTCTGTTGATTTGGGATGGAGAGTTCTGTAGATGTCTATTAGGTCTGCTTGGTGCAGAGCTGAGTTCAGTTCCTGGATATCCTTGTTAACTTTCTGTCGTGTTGATCTGTCTAATGTTGACAGTGGGGTGTTAAAGTCTCCCATTATTATTGTGTGGGAGTCTAAGTCTCTTTGTAGGTCTCCAAGGACTTGCTTTATGAATCTGGGTGCTCCTGTATTGGGTGCATATATATTTAGGATAGTTAGCTCTTCTTTTTGTATTGATCCCTTTACCATTATGTAATGGCCTTCTTTGTCTCTTTTGATCTTTGTTGGTTTAAAGTCTGTATTATCAGAGACTAGGATTGCAACCCCTGCCTTTGTTTGTTTTCCATTTGCTTGGTAGATCTTCCTCTATCCCTTTATTTTGAGCCTATGTGTGTCTCTGCACGTGAGATGGGTTTCCTGAATACAGCACACTGATGGGTCTTGACTCTTTATCCAATTTGCCAGTCTGTGTCTTTTAATTGGAGCATTTAGTCCATTTACATTTAAGGTTAATATTGTTATATGTGAATTTGACCCTGTCATTGTGATGTTAGCTGGTTATTTTGCTCGTTAGTTGAGGCAGTTTCTTCCTAGCCTTGATGGTCTTTACAATTTGGCATGTTTTTGCAGTGGCTTGTACCGGTTGTTCCTTTCTATGTTTAGTGCTTCCTTCAGGAGCTCTTTTAGGGCAGGCCTGGTGGTGACAAAATCTCTCAGCATTTGCTTATCTGTAAAGGATTTTATTTCTCCTTCACTTATGAAGCTTAGTTTGGCTGGACATGAAATTCTGGGTTGAAAATTCTTTTCTTTAAGAATGTTGAATATTGGCCCCCACACTCTTCTGGCTTGTAGAGTTTCTGCTGAGAGATCAGCTGTTAGTCTGATGGGCTTCCCTTTGTGGGCAACCCGACCTTTCTCTCTGGCTTCACTTAACATTTTTTCCTTCATTTCAACTTTGGTGAATCTGACAATTATGTGTCTTGGAGTTGCTCTTCTCGAGGTGTATCTTTGTGGCGTTCTCTGTATTTCCTGAATCTGAATGCTGGCCTGCCTTGCTAGATTGGGGAAGTTCTCCTGGATAATATCCTGCAGTGTTTTCCAACTTGGTTCCATTCTCCCCGTCACTTTCAGGTACACCAATCAGACGTAGATTTGGTCTTTTCATATAGTCCCATATTTCTTGGAGGCTTTTTTCATTTCTTTGTATTCTTTTTTCTCTAAACTTCTCTTCTCACTTCATTTCATTCATTTGATCTTCCACTACTGATACCCTTTCTTCCAGTTGATAGCATCGGCTACTGAGGCTTGTGCATTTGTCACGCAGTTCTCGTGCCATGGTTTTCAGCTCCATCAGGTCCTTTAAGGACTTCTCTGCATTGGTTATTCTAGTTAGCCATTTGTCTAATCTTTTTTCAAGGTTTTTATCTTCTTTGTCTTCGGTTTGAACTTCCTCCTTTAACTTGGAGTAGTTTGATCGTCTGAAGCCTTCTTCTCTCCACTTGTCAAAGTCATTCTCTGTCCAGCTTTGTTCCATTGCTGGTGAGGAGCTGCACTCCTTTGGAAGAGAAGAGGTGCTCTGATTTTTAGAGTTTCCAGTTTTTCTGCTCTGTTTTTTCCCCATCTTTGTGGTTTTATCTACCTTTGGTCTTTGATGATGGTGACAAACAGATGGGGTTTTGGTGTGGATGTCCTTTCTGTTTGTTAGTTTTCCTTCTAACAGTCAGGACCCTCAGCTGCAGGTGCATTGGAGTTTGCCAGAGGTCCACTCCAGACCCTGTTTGCCTGGGTATCAGAGCGGAGGCTGCAGAACAGCGGATATTGGTGAACAGCAAATGTTGCTGCCTGATCGTTCCTCTGGAAGTTTTGTCTCAGAGGAGTACCCGGCCGTGTGAGGTGTCAGTCTGCCCCTCCTGGGGGGTGCCTCCCAGTTAGGCTACTCGGGGGTCAGGGACCCACTTCAGGAGGCAGTCTGTCCATTCTCAGATCTCAAGCTGCGTGCTGGGAGAACCACTACTGTCTTCAAAGCTGTCAGACAGGGACAGTTAAGTCTGCAGAAGTTTTTGCTGCCTTTTGTTTGGCTATGCCCTGCCCCCAGAGGTGGAGTCTACAGAGGCAGGCAGGCCTCCTTGAGCTGCAGTGGGCTCCACCCAGTTCGAGCTTCCCAGCCTCTTTGTTTACCTACTCAAGCCTCGGCAATGGTGGGCGCCCCTCCCCCAGCCTCGCTGCTGCCTTGCAGTTTGATCTCAGACTGCTGTGCTAGCAATGAGCGAGGCTCTGTGGGCGTAGGACCCTCCAAACCATTCGCGGGATATAATCTCCTGGTGTGCCATTTGCTAATACCATTGGAAAAGCGCAGTATTATGGTGGGAGTGACCAAATTTTCCAGGTGCCATCCATCACCCCTAGGAAAGGGAATTCCCTGACCCCTTGTACTTTCCGGGTGAGGCCATGCCTCGCCCTGCTTCAGCTCAGGCTCAGTGCACTGCACCCACTGTCCTGCACCCACTATCCAACACTCCCCAGTGAGATGCACCCGGTACCTCAGTTGGAAATGCAGAAATCATTCGTCTTCTGCGTCGCTCACGCTGGGAGCTGTAGACTGGAGCTGTTCCTATTCAGCCATCTTGGCTCCACCTCCAATTAATCTTATCTTTTGCAAGTTTACTTAAATGTTAATGTCAGAGAGTAAATAGATATAATCTAACAAATTCAGAAAAATGATTCAATAACAGTATCAAGCCATTCACCTGCTTTTCTAGAATCCAAAGCCTATGCTCTTCCCTTAAATAGTACTGGATATTACTAGGATCTAATAAGTATATAACCTGGAATTGTCTGCTCTCTGTCTCCTAATGAAGCTTGACTGTAAAAGGTGAAATTTCAAAAAAAAAAAAAGATCGCTTAAGAGACATAGTATTTCCATCCATTCTATATATTCAAAATTTTATCCTTGCATCAAGATGGATCATCAGAAAACTAGGTCTGAACTACATTAGCTTAGTCCATTACAGAACTTCATTCACTTTCTTTTCTTTTTTTTTTTTTTGAGATGGAGTCTTGCTCTGTCGCCCAGGCTGGAGTGCAATGGCGCGATCTTGGCTCACTGCAACCTCCGTCTCCTGGGTTCAAGCAATTCTCATGCCTCAGCCTCCTGAGTAGCTGGGATTAGAGGCATGTGCCACCACAGCCCGCTCATTTTTGTGTTTTCAGTAGAGACAGGGGTTTGCCATGTTGACCAGGCTGGTCTTGAACTCCTGACCTCAGGCAATCCATCTTCCTCAGCTTCTCAAAGTGTTGAAATTACAGGCGTAAGCCACCACGCCTGGCCACTTCATTCACTTTCTAACAGTTAATGTTCTGCATGCTTAGCTTTCATTGCTTAAAAAAAAAAACTTTACTGTGTAAAATATACTTATGCTCTTGCTATAAAATTACTAAAAGCATTGTCCATTATATAATGCAACTTCCTACACTGTCTACAGAAGCCAAATATGTAACATAAATGAGTGAAGCAGACTGTAAAAAAATCCACTGCCAGATATGTAATTAAACTTTATCATTAACCGAACGATGGTATAAGCACATTAACAAATAGTATGAACAGGTAGGAAAAGAGCAGCTATATTTTAAATTTGAAATCTAAAAATATAAATAATTTATCAAATTTTCCTTTGAAATTGATTACTTTGTTGACTTGTAAATAGAAAGCTAAAATCCTTTCTTCTACACCAATATGTCAGTGTCCACATGGGCTGATAGGGAAAAGTAGATACTTAAGTGGAAATTCGGGTACCGTATCAAGAGGAAAGTGGAATGAATAAAATGATGGATGGCCAAAAGCAGCAAATGTCTACTACATACTGATATTCCAAAGTTGTCTAATTAGGATTCAGTACCACACTACAGTGCAGTTCAATTTCTTCAATTTGTAGTTCTTTACTGACATTAGTAAAATTAATTGAAAAAGACAAAATAGGCAATATTTTTAATTGCCACAATGTTGGAAATCAGAAAACTTCCTTTTTGGAATTCACTCTTTAAACCTGCAATTGTGAATACGTAGTTTAAGTAATCACTTCCATCTCTGGACACCAATTTCAGCACAGAAAAGTAAGCCGGATTATTCCTTGCCAAAAGCATTTCCCCAAAAAATGACTTCACTAAGAACATGTGAATTAAATTTTACATTTGTGTAACTACTTATGAGCACTTTCGCGAGAAAGATTCAGAGTGTTTATATGGATTATCATATTCACCAAAAAGGTCAGTCACTGAACTGAGTCAGGGATTTTCCCTTGGATGACATGAACAAGTTGAATTCTTTCAACAGTTCAAAAAATATATCTTCAGCACCTGACATAAATGCTGCACTACATCCCGAAACTCCCCTTCAGAACTGAAGTATTTATTCCCCAGTTGCTCTTTAGGAATTCGCTAGGCTGAAAAAAGCTACCACACCCAAGGTCATTCTCCTTTCCCAGGGTAACTGGCATACAGAGACTAGTCAACATTGGGCTATAAGGACCGGCCCTCTGACCTTAGCTGAGGACAATTTGGAGGGACCATCCCAGCTTCAGAGCTCCCAATAAGTAAGGCTGAGGCCTTCTGACTATATCTAGGCCAACTTCTCCCATTAGTCCAGCTGCATCCCCTTCCCTTCACAGGTGTTGATCCTGAAAGAACCCTTTAATAAATTATCTTCACGTTAACCTCCATCTCAAAATTTGCTTCCAGGGCAACCCAACCTGTGACAACACCACATACAACTAAGCCCCCTAATCTACAAGAAGCAGAAGCAACTACTGTATTGTGCATCCAATTCATCCAAAAAAAGCAATAATCTCGGTTGAGGCCACAGAATAATATCTGGTATACATATATTGTTATTATATACACGTTTCATTTTTTATCTTTTTAGGACAGTGTTTCCTGGTGAATTATACAATTAATACACTGAAGTTTTTTATCTTTAAAAACACTGCCACTTTGGATTTAAGTTTCATATCAAGTCTTGTGTTAACCATTGCAGAAATATCTTCTGTAGTCATACTTAAGTTATTTTGACCAGTCTACATTAAACTTAAGACACAGGCACTATGTTCAAAAGTTCTATCATATCAAAATTCTCATTGACACCACAAATAAATATGCTTCACTGGGCATTATTATTTATGTCTATGCAACAGAAAACACCAAAAACAATGGCAACAAAAGCCAAAATTGACAAATGGGATCCAGTTAAACTAAAGAGCTTCTGCACAGCAAAAGAAACTACCATCAGAGTGAACAGGCAACCTACAGAATGGGAGAAAATTTTTGCAATCTACTCATCTGACAAAGAGCTAATATCCAGAATCTACAAAGAACTCAAACAAATTTACAAGAAAAAACAAACAACCCCATCAAAAAGTGGGCAAAGGATATGAACAGACACTTCTCAAAAGAAGACATTTATGCAGCCAAAAGATACGTGAAAAAATGCTCATCATCACTGGCCATCAGAGAAATGCAAATCAAAACCACAATGAGATACCATCTCACACCAGTTAGAATGGCGATCATTAAAAAGTCAGGAAACAACAGGTGCTGGAGAGGATGTGGAGAAATAGGAACACTTTTACACTGTTGGTGGGACTGTAAACTAGTTCAACCATTGTGGAAGACAGTGTGGCAATTCCTCAAGGGTCTAGAACTAGAAATACCATTTGACCCAGCCATCCCATTACTGGGTATATACCCAAAGGATTATAAATCATGCTGCTATAAAGACACATGCACACGTATGTTCATTGTGGCACTATTCACAATAGGAAAGACTTGGAACCAACCCAAATGTCCAACAATGATAGACTGGATTAAGAAAATGTGGCATATATACACCATGGAATATTATGCAGCCATAAAAAGGATGAGTCCCTGTCCTATGTAGGGACATGGATGAAGCTGGAAACCATCATTCTCAGCAAACTATCGCAAGGACAAAAAACCAAACACTGCATGTTCTCACTCATAGGTGGGAATTGAACAATGAGAACACTTGGACACAGGAAGGGGAACATCACACACCGGGGCCTTTCATGGGGTGGGAGAAGGGGGTAGGGATAGCATTAGGAGATATACCTAATGTAAATGAGGAGTTAATGGGTGCAGCACACCAACATGGCACATGTATACATAAGTAACAAACCTGCATGTTGTGCACATGTACCCTAGAACTTAAAGTATAATAAAAAAAGAAGGTACTAAAAAAAAAAGAATATGTTGTGTGACTCAGTAGACACTTTTTTGTAAAGTTGTCATCTGTAAGAGAGCTAATGCCTGGGCAATCTTTTCCCTTAATATATAACTACATAACTGCATTTTACAACAGGATTGCTTATTTTATTCACTTTCCAAAATAAACCCAGTTGAAATTTCAGTCCTTTTCTTGAATTATTTTTCATTACACAGATTTTCTATGTATATATTATATACATATATATAATATATATATATATATGAAAACCATATTTTTATGTGAAATTTCCTGAATGTTTAATGTTGGCAACTAATTCAACTATATGCAACACATCTCTCGCCACACCCAGCCCATAGTCCACCACTTTGTAAACTTTTTCTAGTGATTAATTGATTTGGAATGTAGTATTGAATGTATTCCTTCTACTACAGTAATAAAAAGTGTGAGCTCTGCAAACATATTTAAATTCCAGCTCTGCTCCTTCCTAGCTATGCAATTGTGGGCAAATTACTTTTTCTATCTAACCCTCATTTTTCTCACCTGCAAAATGGGGTTAATCAAATTACGTTAGAGGTACTTCATAATTTATAATGTAAGGAATTTAGAATAGTGCCTAGTAAAAAGCAAGTATCAGTAAATGTTAGCTTTTGTTATTTAATAATGAAAATTGTATAAAATATCACATTGCCCCTTCTCCCTGGCTGCAAGAAAGCTTACCATTAAATTGAATGCTCTACCACAGCAACTATATTAGCCATTGTGTTTGGTGTGTTTGCTTCCTCCTTTTCAGGGTTTTGATTGTCTATTTCAATTTTCAGAGCTTTATTATACACTTGAATATAAGAAGTTTCAAATTCTTTTTGGAAGAAGGAAGGATAAAAGCAACCAAAACTTTAAAAAATAAAAATTAAGTTCCATGAAATTTTTGTGAACAACATGAAGGAAATTAGGTCATCTAGCTCTATAATTAGGTGGATTTATAACAGGTTCAATGATTGTACACTAAAAAGTATCAATTAATGGATTGCTGTTAACCTGGAGATTAATCTATGCTGCCACGAAGGTTCTGGCCTCAGTTTTGCTGTTTGTCAAATTATCTGGAGTTAGAAAACTATGGCCTGCAGTCCAGCTGCTCTGCTTGTTTTTATGAATAAAGTTTTACTGGAATAAAAGCCACACACATTTGTTTATGATTAGTCTACGGCTACTTTTGCACCACGACGGCAGAGTTGACTAGTTGTGACAGAGACTGTGTGGCCCACAAGCCCAAAATGTATACTTATATCTTAACCTGTAAGAAAAGTTTGCAGACCCCTGAATTAGATGAAGACAGGTGGCAATACCAAATTTGAAGATGACACAAACTGGGAGGAATAGTTAATACACTGCATGATAGAAGTGAAATTCACAAAGATCAGAAGAACTGAAAAAATAGGCTGTAACAATCAGGCTGAAATTTAATAGTTTATAAAGTATGGTTAATGGGTTCTTAACCATAAAAGTGGAGGATATGAGGCATATAGTTTCATAAGTCCAGGAAATTAACCATATGATGTAGCTGCCAGAAAAGAACTATTTTAAATGTTGTCTGCATTAAAAGAAATACAGGGTCTAAAACAGTGCTGCCCAATAGAACTTCCCTGTGACAATGGAAATTTTTTTAATCTGTAATGTCCAATAAGGCAGCCATTAGCTACATGCAGCTATTTGGATTTGATACATGGCTAGTGTGAAGGAGGGACTAAATTTTTAAAATTATTTTTGAGAGAGTCCTGCTCTGTTGCCCATGCTGGAATGCAGTGGCACTATCATAGTTCACTGTAACCTTGAACTGCTGGGCTCAAGTGATCCTCCCGCCTCAGCCTCCCGAGTAGCTATGACTACAGGCACATGCCACCATACCAGCCAATTTTTTAAAAAATATTTTGTAGAGATGGGGTCTTGCTATATTGCCAAGGTTGGTCTCAAGCTCCTGGGCTCAAGGGATCCTCCCGCCTCAGCCTCTCCAAGTGCTGGGATTCTAGGTGTGAGCCACTGGTGCCTAGCCAAAAACTGTCAGTCTTTAGAGAAAGGGAAATCAATTCTGTACCTTTCATGATCCATCAGCAGTTTAGCAATGTTCAGACAGAAGTCTAAGGGCATGTCAAGATGTAGTATTTCCATGACAGCTAACAAGATGAAAAAATGAAATAATTATCAGTTTAATTTTTGAGGAAGCTTAGTTATTTTCAATAATTTTCCTCTATTCAAAATCTACTTACTAAATGTTTGCCATATACCATGTTTTGCCTAAAAATTTATCAAAATCTTCTTTTAAAGTATTAACATCCAGTGCTGGAGAGTGTCATGACACAAGCACTCTTGCACAGATAGCAAAGTAATCTGGTGCAATCCTTTCAAAAAGCAACTTGGCAATACTATACGCTAAGAACACTGGGGTAGAGAGCTTGGTATCTGAAGTCAGACAGATCTAAATTTGAAACCACTTGCTACTTGTATGGCCATAGGCAAGTTATGCTCTCTATACCTTAGTTTTGTCACCTGTAAAATGGAGAATATACCACCAATTTCTCAGGGTTGTTGAGAGGATTACCTGAGATAATGTATGGAAATTATATAGCAAAGAACCTAGCACTTAGTAAGCATTTAATAAATGGCAGCTGCTATTATTATTCCCTTTAAGAAATTGTGCTTCTGAAAAGTCACCTGGAATAAATATGGGGAAAGTTTATGAACAAAAATATTAAAAGCAGTGTAGATTATAATAATAATAGAAAAGAAGTATACACTGTATGTCTATTACAGGGTAGCAATAAACTATTGTGCAACCATTAAAACTGTTGAGTATGAAATAAAGTGGAAAAAATGAATATACACTAATATGAAAAATGTATAAGATTAGTAAGTGAAAAATTAGAAAGCAAACTTTTATGTACTATATAGTTACAATTCTGTAATAAAAGCAAAATAAACTAAGAGAAAAAATACTGAAAATAAGTGATCAAATTTCTAAAAGTGATTGTGTTTAGATTCTATTTATTTGACAAATATTTAATGAGCATATTATCTGTACCAGGCATTGTGCTTTGTGCTGAGAACCTAGCAGTGGATAAAACATAACAAATATTCCTGCTGTCAAGGAGCTTCTAGTGGATGGTAGGACCATGAGAATTTTTAGTATTTTCCAAAAATGTCTTAAATTATTATGTGCTATCCTTTCACAATGAAAAATGTTTATTTTTAAATTTCAATCTTTCTACTACAAAAAATATCAGTGCAATAATGCCAGCAGTTAGGCTGACCATTTTAAGAGTAAAGTATTTTCACCAGCAAAGCAACAAACAGAATATAAAAATGCAAGTTTCATATATTCTTTCAATGCAAAATCTAGTATTTTTAAATATAAAAAACTTGGATTTGGGTTAGCCTCCTAATCTGTAATCAAACTATGACTGACATTGCAACTTCGGGAGTATCTAGATTGAGTTAAGTAAAAGCAATCTGTGAATAAAGAACAATTTCATTTTAAACTCTGCTTCTTACCTACATTTGGATAAACACTGTCATAAGGAATTATCATCCCAAACTAATGTACTTCAACTTGGTGACTCCAATCATCTCTCTGGTCTTCCTATGTTGTCTTAGTTGGAGTAAGTGTATTATTTTAGTTGGTTAGTTGGTTTGTTTATTCCCCCAATGCAAAAAAGTAGAGTTGTCTTCCTGGTTTCTAACATTTTTCAATCTGTGTATGCTGAGGTGATACTGTTGCCTAGAGATGCAGAATCCCCAATACATTTGAGCTTCTGAGGTCTCTTAAGTGATTGGCTAAAATTCTAGAGGCCGCCGAAAGATTCAGTAGTACTAAATTTAGGGCTACTGCCAAATTGAATTTTAGTTCTAACTATAACAAATTGTTATTATTTATTGGATAATCAGTAACTATACTAACATATAATTTTGTATAGTACAAATAATGCAGCTCTTAAAGATTACTGAAAAGCATGTACAACATTAAAAGAATTAGAGTAAATAATTTTTATGACTAAACAAAACTGAAATGTTAAGGGCTAGTGTGCATAGTTTTGCTTCATGTAATGCATCTATATAGTAGTAATAACAGTAATAATAATAACTACAGTAATAGGTAACATATATTGCACACTATGCACCAGGTATGGTGTTAAATGCTTTATACACATTTTCTCACAAGATTCTCAAAACAACATGATGAGGTAGATAATAATAATATCTCTTTTGCTAAATGAAGAAACAAAGCAAAGTTAAGTGACTTGCCCAATGACCAACTTTTGTGCAGTGTACATTCTGGTCCTTGGAGAATTATGAAAAATAAATAGCAATGTTTATAAACAAGTAATTATAAAAATCACAGCATTACAAAGGCTTTTCCCATTAATAGGTAATCTTTCTTTCTTCATGGTGGTAGACAACTTCAGAAGGGTTGGGTAGCTACAGTTCTCTGCTGGACTAAAAGAAAACTGATTGCTTTTATTCAGCTTTTTTTAAAAAAAAAAACACCTTTTAAATTTGCTACTATTTTTTCTTCTTTCTCTCTTTCTTCCTGGGTGACAATATTTTCCCTTTCCTGGGTGATCATTTTCCTTCTCAGCCACCATCAAATTACACCTATTGTTAGTATACTACAAAAGATCTTATATTTAACAAATTGTAGTGATGTTTCAAAATGGTGTGCTCTTCACATACAGAGATCATACCTTCAAGGAGTTCTTCATTAGATGTTTCGCCTTTCAAGAGGATTTTCATTTTTAAGAAAAGCCCAGGAGAACTTAAATGTTCCTATTTTAAACAAAGAAATCACAATGATATTAAAATTGTGGAATGTAAAAGACAATTTTCAAGTAATTGCCTGCTTTATTCAACCACCTTGGGATAACTCATAATCAAAGGAAATCGAAATTACAGAAGACCATATCATAACATTTGTTCTATCCCTGAGGATATTTCCCAATATTTTTTCAATCTAAATGAAATAATATATGGAAAAGAACATGTAAATATTTCCAATGAGTGACAAACATTTAATGACAAGATTAATACTTAAACTGTACAAATCTCAGGCCATATTCTTTGTAAGCAAAACCACAAACCGGCTAGTTTTATTTTCTTTTGAGATTTATTGACTAAGGTCCTTTGCAAACAATGGCGGAATAAAATAGAAAATGTATTGTCTTTTCCATAAGATATGCCTGTCGTGTTTACCATTAATAACAACGTTATTTCTAAATCATTGTTAGTTGGCCCTAAGCCATCTGTGATCTTCCCGGTTCCACTTTCGCCTGACAGGGTACATCTTTAAACAACTTTCTAAGACTAAAAGTACAGTCTAGGCCCACAGAACAGAACTTTTCTCTCTACAAAGCCAATTAACCCCTACATGAACACCGTACTGATTAGCTCCATACTCTGCACATAATTACAGGTATTCATATGTGAGATGTCTTAAAAATAGAAAGTTGGAGAAAGTAAGCACTGGTATTAAAAGGGCTTGCAAATATAGATGACACTAGTACAAAGAATAAACTGAAGTTGCCAATTTTGATTTATTGCATTACCATCTTTCCTGTAGGTTTGTTGAAGTATGTGTTGGATTCAATTCCCTTTTATCTTCAGAGACATAGAGGTCTTCCAGATCTTGGCAACATCTGTTTTCCTTGAGTCTGCTATTCTCACACAAATTTAACATTCTGGTTTTTTTCTACCAAACAATTCCAGATATGATTTTCACTGATTTCATTACCAAACAACCCCAGATAATGGACATTTTACTTCTGTTATCATCATGTCTTCACTTCTGTAAACATTTGCACCGTATATTGTCCATCCTTATTGTCTCTTAAAACTACACTTCCAGAAGTCATGAAGATTGCCTGCTAAATCCATCAGCTTTCTCCCTACTATCAAAATCCTTGTCTTCTCTGTAACTTTTCCCACTGTTATTTCTCATTCTTCATAGCTTTGTTTGTTTGTTTATTTATTTATTCATGATGGAGTCTCACTCTATCGCCCAGGCTGGAGTGTAGTGGCACAATCTCGGCTCACTGCAACCTCCGTCTCCCAGGTTCAAGCAATTCTCCTGCCTCAGCCTCCCGAGTAGCTGGGATTACAGGTACACTCTACCACATCTGGCTCATTTTTGTATTTTTAGTAGAGACGAGGTTTCACCATGTTGGCCAGACTGTTCTCGAACTCCTGACCTCAAGTGATCCACCTGCCTCAGCCTCCCAAAGTGCAGGGATTACAGGCATGAGCCACCAGGCCTGGCTGCTTTTTTTTTTTCATTATTTGAGACAGAGTCTCACTCTGTCTCCCAGGCTGGAGTGCAGTGGTACAAACACGGCTCACTGCAGCCTCCACTTCCTGGGCTCAAGCAATCCTCCTGTCTCAGCCTCCCAATGTGCTGGGATTATAGGCATGAACTACCATGCCTGGCTCCCTTCCTTAGATTTTTGTTTGCTGATTTTTTTCTTTTCACCAGTTACTGAGAAACAGGCTCCAGGTACAACAAACATACAAGATAAGTATTGTGAATCTTGTTTTGCAGGGCCAGATAAAGTTAAGTAACTTACCCATGGTCACACAACTGGTAAGTAGTAGAGCTGAAATTTGAATTCAGATCTCTCTGACTCTAAAGGACATAATCTTTCCATTACAATATGCTGCCTCCCTTGAAGCTCTGTCTATCATGGCAGGCATTACTACACTATCTGGATATTTTGCAAGCTCTAAAGATAATGTACTCATTTCTAGTGTGAAGTGTATCATACACATACACACATACACACACATGAGTATATAAACATATGTATATGCAATGTATATGTATAGTTTACAGAATAATAATAAAACAAACACCGGTGTCCTCACTACCAAGGTTAAGAAACAGATTATTGCCACATAAAAAGCCTCAAATGTATCCTTACCCATAGGCATCCTCCTCACCTCACAGAGGTAAACACCATCCTGAATTTTGTGCAGTAATTCCCTTGCTTTTCTTTATATATACACAATATACAGTTGCTATGGACCGAATGTTTGTGTCTTTCTAAAATTCATATATTGAATATCTAATCCCCAATGTGATGGTATTTTGAGGTGGGGGCTTTGGGAGGTAATTTGGTCATGAGGGCTGAGCCCTCATGAATGGGATAAGTGCCCTTATAAGAAAAGACATGAGAGAGATGAGAGATGATCTCTCTCTCTCTCTCTTTCTCTGCCAAATGAAGATATAGAAAGAAGGTGGCCATCTTCAAACCAAGACAAAGGCCCCCACCAGGAACCAAAAAGGCTGGTATTTTGATCTTGGACATCTCAGTCCCTAGAAGTGTGAGACATAAAGTTCTGTTGCTTAAGCCACCCAGTTTATAGTATTTAGTTATAACAGCTCAAGCTAGCCAACACAATTATTTAGTTTTGCCTACATTTGAACTTCACTTAAACAGAATCATAATGTATCTAAGTTCTTCTGTGATTCCTTTCATTCAAATCATGTTTTTTCAGATTCAACCATGTAGATATGTGAAACTTATTTGTTTTCATTACTATACAGCATGGCTGTCAAAGGGTGGTCCCTGAATCAGCACCATCTGGGAACTTGTAAGAAATGCAAGCCATGGGTTGGAGCCAAGATGGCTGAATAGGAACAGCTCCAGTCTACAGCTCCCAGTGTGAGCAACACAGAAGACAGGTGATTTCTGCATTTCCAACTGAGGTACTGGGTGCATCTCACTGGGGAGTGTTGGATAGTGGGTGCAGGACAGTGGGTGCAGTGCACTGAGCCTGAGCCGAAGCAGGGCGAGGCATCGCCTCACCAGGGAAGCACAAGGGGTCAGGGAATTCCCTTTCCTAGTCAAAGAAAGGAGTGACAGATGGCACCTGGAAAATCAGGTCACTCCCACCATAATACTGCGCACTTCCAACGGTCTTAGCAAACAAAACACCAGGAAATTAAATCCCACCCCTGGCTTGGAGGGTCCTACGCCCACAGAGCCTCGCTCATTGCTAGCACAGCAGTCTGAGATCAAACTGCAAGGCAGCAGCGAGGCTGGGGGAGGGGCGCCCACCATTGCCGAGGCCTGAGTAGGTAAACAAAGAGGCTGGGAAGCTCGAACTGGGTGGAGCCCACTGCAGCTCAAGGAGGCCTGCCTGCCTCTGTAGACTCCACCTCTGGGGGCAGGGCATAGCCAAACAAAAGGCAGCAAAAACTTCTGCAGACTTAACTGTCCCTGTCTGACAGCTTTGAAGACAGTAGTGGTTCTCCCAGCACGCAGCTTGAGATCTGAGAATGGACAGACTGCCTCCTGAAGTGGGTCCCTGACCCCCGAGTAGCCTAACTGGGAGGCACCCCCCAGGAGGGGCAGACTGACACCTCACACGGCCGGGTACTCCTCTGAGACAAAACTTCCAGAGGAACGATCAGGCAGCAACATTTGCTGTTCACCAATATCCGCTGTTCTGCAGCCTCCGCTCTGATACCCAGGCAAACAGGGTCTGGAGTGGACCTCTGGCAAACTCCAATGCACCTGCAGCTGAGGGTCCTGACTGTTAGAAGGAAAACTAACAAACAGAAAGGACATGCACACCAAAACCCCATCTGTTTGTCACCATCATCAAAGACCAAAGGTAGATAAAACCACAAAGATGGGGAAAAAACAGAGCAGAAAAACTGGAAATTCTAAAAATCAGAGCACCTCTCCTCTTCCAAAGGAGCGCAGCTCCTTACCAGCAACAGAACAAAGCTGGATGGAGAATGACTTTGACGAGTTGAGAGAAGGCTTCAGACGATTAAACTACGCCAAGCTAAAGGAGGAAGTTCGAACCCACGGCAAAGAAGTTAAAAACCTTGAAAAAAAATTAGACGAATGGCTAACTAGAATAACCAATACAGAGAAGTCCTTAAAGGACCTGATGGAGCTGAAAACCACAGCACAAGAACTACGTGATGAATGCACAAGCTTCAGTAGCGGATTCGATCAACTGGAAAAAAGGGTATCAGTGATGGAAGATCAAATGAATGAAATGAAGCGAGAAGAGAAGTTTAGAGAAAAAAGAATAAAAAGAAATGAAAAAAGCCTCCAAGAAATATGGGACTATGTGAAAAGACCAAATCTGCGTCTGATTGGTGTACCTGAAAGTGACAGGGAGAATGGAACCAAGTTGCAAAACACTCTGCAGGATACTATCCAGGAGAACTTCCCCAATCTAGCAAGGCAGGCCAGCATTCAGATTCAGGAAATACAGAGAACGCCACAAAGATATGCCTCGAGAAGAGCAACTCCAAGACACATAATTGTCAGATTCACCAAAGTTGAAATGAAGGAAAAAATGTTACGGGCAGCCAGACAGAAAGGTCGGGTTACCCACAAGGGGAAGTCCATCAGACTAACAGCTGATCTCTCGGCAGAAACTCTACAAGCCAGAAGAGAGTGGGGGCCAATATTCAACATTCTTAAAGAAAAGAATTTTCAACCCAAATTTCACGTCCAGCCAAACTAAGCTTCATAAGTGAAGGAGAAATAAAATCCTTTACAGATAAGCAAATGCTGAGAGATTCTGTCACCACCAGGCCTGCCCTAAAAGAGCTCCTGAAAGAAGCACTAAACATGGAAAGGAACAACCGGTACAAGACACTGCAAAAACATGCCAAATTGTAAAGACCATCAAGGCTGAACTGCATCAACTAACGGGCAAAATAACCAGCTAACATCACAATGACAGGATCAAATTCACGCATAACAACATTAACCTTACATGTTAATGCGCTAAATGCTCCAATTAAAAGACACAGACTGGCAAATTGGATAAAGAGTCAAGACCCATCAGTGTGCTGTATTCAGGAAACCCATCTCACGTGCAGAGACACACATAGGCTCAAAATAAAGGGATGGAGGAAGATCTACCAAGCAAATGGAAAACAAACAAAGGCAGGGGTTGCAATCTTACTCTCTGATAATACAGACTTTAAACCAACAAAGATCAAAAGAGACAAAGAAGGCCATTACATAATGGTAAAAGGATCAGTTCAACAAGAAGAGCTAACTATCCTAAATATATATGCACCCAATACAGAAGCACCCAGATTCATAAAGCAAGTCCTTAGAGACCTACAAAGAGACGTAGACTCCCACACAATAATAATGGGAGACTTTAACACCCCACTGTCAACATTAGACAGATCAACACGACAGAAAGTTAACAAGGATATCCAGGAACTGAACTCAGCTCTGCACCAAGCGGACCTAATAGACATCTACAGAACTCTCCAACCCAAATCAACAGAATATACATTCTTTTCTGCACCACACCACACCTATTCCAAAATTGACCACATACTTGGAAGTAAAGCACTCCTCAGCAAATGTAAAACAACAGAAATTATAACAAACAGTCTCTCAGACCACAGTGCAATCAAACTAGAACTCAGGATTAAGAAACTCACTCAAAACCGCTCAACTACATGGAAACTGAACAACCTGCTCCTGAATGACTACTGGGTACATAACAAAATAAAGACAGAAATAAAGACGTTCTCTGAAACCAATGAGAACAAAGACGCAACATACCAGAATCTCTGGGACACATTCAAAGCAGTGTGTAGAGGGAAATTTATAGCACTAAATGCCCACAAGAGAAAGCAGGAAAGATCCAAAATTGACACCCTAGCATCACAATTAAAAGAATTACAGAAGCAAGAGCAAACACATGCAAAAGCTAACAGAAGGCAAGAAATAACTAAGATCAGAGCAGAACTGAAGGAAATAGAGACACAAAAAAGCCTTCAAAAACTCAATGAATCCAGGAGCTGGTTTTTTGAAAAGATCAACAAAATTGATAGACCGCTAGCAAGACTAATAAAGAAGAAAAGAGAGAAGAATCAAATAGACGCAATAAAAAATGATAAAGGGGATATCACCACTGATCCCACAGAAATACAAACTACCATCAGAGAATACTATAAACACCTCCACGCAAATAAACTAGAAAATCTAGAAGAAATGGATAAATTCCTCGATACATACACCCTCCCAAGACTAAACCAGGAAGAAGTTGAACCTCTGAATAGACCAATAACAGGCTCTAAAATTGAGGCAATAATCAATAGCTTACCAACCAAAAAAAGTCCAGGACCAGATGGATTCACAGCCGAATTCTACCAGAGGTACAAGGAGGAGCTGGTACCATTCCTTCTGAAACTATTCCAATCATAGAAAAAGAGAGAATCCTCCCTAACTCATTTTATGAGGCCAGCATCATCCTGATACCAAAGCCGGGCAGAGACACAACCAAAAAAGAGAATTTTAGACCAATATCCCTGATGAACATTGATGCAAAAAACCTCAATAAAATACTGGCAAATTGAATTCAGCAGCACATCAAAAAGCTTATCCACCATGATCAAGTGGACTTCATCCCTGGGATGCGAGGCTGGTTCAACATGTGCAAATCAATAAATGTAATCCAGCATATAAACAGAACCAATGACAAAAACCACATGATTATCTCAATAGATGCAGAAAAGGCCTTTGACAAAATTCAACAACCCTTCATGCTAAAAACTCTGAATAAATTAGGTATTGATGGGATGTATCTCAAAATAATAAGAGCTATCTATGACAAACCCACAGCCTATATCATACTGAATGGGCAAAAACTGGAAGCATTCCCTTTGAAAACTGGCACAAGACAGGGATGCCCTCTCTCACCACTCCTATTCAACATAGTGTTGGAAGTTCTGGCCGGGGCAATCAGGCAGAAGGAAATAAAGGGTATTCAATTAGGAAAAGAGGAAGTCAAATTGTCCCTGTTTGCAGATGACATGATTGTATATCTAGAAAACCCCATCGTCTCAGCCCAAAATCTCCTTAAGCTGATAAGCAACTTCAGCAAAGTCTCAGGACACAAAGTCAATGAGCAAAAATCACAAGCATTCTTATACACCAAAAACAGTCAAACAGAGAGCCAAATCATGAGTGAACTCCCATTCACAGTTGCTTCAAAGAGAATAAAATACCTAGGAATCCAACTTACAAAAGACATGAAGGACCTCTTCAAGAAGAAGTACAAACCACTGCTCAATGAAATAAAAGAGGATACAAACAAATGGAAGAACATTCCATGCTCATGGGTAGGAAGAATCAATATCATGAAAATGGCCATACTGCTCAAGGTAATTTATAGATTCAATGCCATCCCCATCAAGCTACCAATGACTTTCTTCACAGAATTGGAAAAAACTACTTTAAAGTTCCTATGGAACCAAAATAGGGCCTGCATTGCTAAGACAATCCTAAGCCAAAAGAACAAAGCTGGAAGCATCACGCTACCTGACTTCAAACTATACTACAAGGCTACAGTAACCAAAACAGCATAGTACTGGTACCAAAACAGAGATACAGACAAATGGAACAGAACAGAGCCCTCAGAAATAATGCCACACATCTACAACTATCTGACCTTTGACAAATCTGACAAAAACAAGCAATGGGGAAAGGATTCCCAATTTAATAAATGGTGCTGGGAAAACTGGCTAGCCATATGTAGAAAGCTGAAACTGGATCCCTTCCTTACACTTTATACTAAAATTAATTGAAGATGGATTAAAGACTTAAATGTTAGACCTAAAACCATAAAAACCCTAGAAGAAAACTTAGGCAATACCATTCAGGACATAGGCATGGGCAAGGACTTCATGTCTAAAACACCAAAAGCAATGGCAACAAAAGACAAAATTGACAAATGGGATCTAATTAAACTAAAGAGCTTCTGCACAGCAAAAGAAACTATCATGAGGGTGAACAGGCGACCTACAAAATGGGAGAAAATTTTTGCAATCTACTCATCTGACAAAGGGCTAATATCCAGAATCTACAATGAACTGAAACAAATTTACAGGAAGAAAACAAACAACCCCATCAACAAGTTGGTGAAGGATATGAACAGACACTTCTCAAAAGAAGACATTTATACAGCCAAAAAAAACACATGAAAAAATGCTCATCATCATTGGCCATCAGAGAAATGCAAATCAAAACCACAGTGAGATACCATCTCACACCAGTTAGAATGGCATCATTAAAAAGTCAGGAAACAACAGGTGCTGGTGAGGATGTGAAAAAATAGGAACACTTTTACACTACTGGTCGGACTGTAAACTAGTTCAACCATTGTGGAAGTCAGTGTGGCGATTCCTCAGGGATCTAGAACTAGAAATACCATTTGACCCAGCCATCCCATTACTGGGTATATACCCAAAGGACTATAAATCATGCTGCTATAAAGACATACGCACACGTATGTTTATTGCGGCACTATTCACAATAGCAAAGACTTGGAACCAACCCAAATGTCCAACAGTGATAGACTGGATTAAGAAAAAGTGGCACATACACACCATGGAATACTATGCAGCCATAAAAAATGATGAGTTCATGTCCCTTGTGGGGACATGGATGAAGCTGGAAACCATCATTCTCAGCAAACTATCGCAAGGACAAAAAACCAAACACCGCATGTTCTCACTCATAGGTGGGAATTGAACAATGAGAACACATGGACACAGGAAGGGGAACATCACAACCAGGGCCTGTTGTGGGTTGGGGGGAGTGGGGAGGGATAGCATTAGGAGATATACCTAATGTTAAATGACGAGTTAATGGGTGTAGCACACCAACATGGCACAAGTATACATATGTAACATACCTGCACGTCGTGCACATGTACCCTAAAACTTAAAGTATAATTTAAAAAAAAAGAAAAAAAAAGAAATTCAAGCCCCATCCAAAACCTACTAAATGAGAAACTCTGGGAGTATTGCCTAGCAAATTGTATGTGCATGTGTGGGGGAAAATGTGTAAAATAATTATTATTGATTTGCATTATGGAAAGTTTCCAATTCAACATAAATTCTATTATCTGTTTAGTAAGGTAACAAATGAGCAAACTGTGTTTAACAGACACTCTAGGTAATACTTACACAAGCTAAATATTAAGAACAACTGTTGTATAGTACTCTGTTTTATGAATAATTCACACTTTATTTGCACATTCTACTTTGGATATTTAAGCTGTTTCCAACGCAATTGCTATTATGAACAATCCTGGAATCAGCATTCTGTATACCTCTCCTTGTATACAAATGCTAGCGCTTCACTACCTAGGAGTGAAGTTGCTGGGTGGTCCAGTATGATCAAATTTTATTTTATCAAGTAACTTCAAACTGTTTTTTAACGTGGTTGTACAATTCTCAAAAAACTAGGAATGAAGGGAGCTTCCTCAACCTGACAAAGGGCATCTATACTAAACCCACAGCTAACACCATACTTAATGGCAAAATACTGAAAGCTCTCTAAGATTAGGGAAAGATACTGCTCTTGCCAATTCTATTTAACATAGTAATGAATGTTCTTGCTAGAAAAATTAGAAAAGAAAAAGAGACAAAAGGCACGCAGATTGGAAAGCAAGAAGTAAAACTATCTTTATTTACAAAAAATATGATTTTTTTTTTTTGAGACGGAGTTTTGCTCTTGTTGTCCAGGCTGGAGTGCAATGGCACAATCTTGGCTCACTGCAACCTCTCCCTTCTGGATTCAAGTGATTCTCCTGCCTCAGCTTCCCAAATAGCTGGGATTACAGGCATGCACCACCATGTCTGGTTAATTTTGTATTTTTAGTAGAGATGGGGTTTCACCATGTTGGCCGGGTTGGTCTCGAACTCCTGACCTCAAGTGATCCACCCACCTCAGCCTCCCAAAGTACTGGGATTACAGGTGTGAGCCACAGCGTCCGGCCAGAAAATATGATCTTGTATACAGAAAATCCTAAGTAATCCATTAAAAAACTATTAAAGCTAAAAGAACAAGTACAGGAAGATTGTAGGATATAATATCAGTATTTTTTCAATTAATGGCATTTCTATATACTAGCAATGAACAATCCAAAAGTCAAGAAAATAATTCCATTTATAAAAGCATAAAGAAGCAATAAATTTAACAAAAGAAGGACAAAACTTATTTATTGAAAACTACAAAACAATGAATAAATGTTCCTGGATTTGAAAACTTAATATTGTTAAGATAGCAATAATTCCCAAATTGATCTGCAGATTCAACAAATTCCCTACCAAATTCCCAGCTGTCTTCTTTGCAGAAATCAACAAGCTGATTCCAAAATATGAAAATGCAAGAGATTCAGAAGAGCCAAAACAATTCTGAAATAAAAACAAGTCGGAGGGCCATACCAGTGGATGTAAAGTGGTTTCTCATTGTGCTTCTAATTTGCATTCCCTGATAACTAATGATATTGAGTATCTTTTTGTGTACTTATTGGCCACTGGTACGTATTATTTGGAGAATGTCTATTGAGCTCCTTTGCCTCCTTAGCCCATTTTCAATTGGGTTGTTTGTCTTCTTATTGAATAGTAAGAGTTCTTTTTTATATTATGGTTAATAGACAACAGATATATGATTTGCAAATATGTTCTCCCATTCTGTTGGGAGGATCCTATGGATTGTGTCTTCATTTTCTTGATGATTTCCTTTGAAGCAAAAAAATTAATTTTAATGAGACTTAATTTTACCTAATTGTTCTTTTTTGCTTGTGCTTTTGGTGTAGTATCTAAGCACCTATGCCTTTTATATTTATTTCATTGCACTAATACATTTTCAAAGGTAATTTTGTGAAACAACATAGGCATACCAAATTTTAATTTCTCCTTTAAAAATTTACTATCAGATTCAGTTCCAGCAGATATGAAGCAAGACAACTAAGCCTATACCTTCTACTAATTACAACTAAGAACTCTGAACAAGATATAAAAAGCAACAACCTGAGGACTCTTAAAAGTAAACAAAAACAAAGATTGTAGTGAGGCAACAAAACTTGGAGAAGTGAACCATATGGAGGTGGTAAGTTTCCTGAGTTTTTTTCTTTTATCTAATGGCATAGGAAGTTTGTCTTCTAGCTAAGCTCTGAGTGAGGCAAAAAAAAAAAAAAAGTTTGTGTAGATAAGTTTTTTGGTTTGGATAATTTTTTAATGGGCTCTGCCTTCATGTAGATACAGAGTTCAAATTTACATTACTCATGTGGTCCAAAAACCTCCAATCTGAGAAAGTAAAATAAAAGTAACCAAAAGAGTGGTAACTCTTTTACATCTGGCTGATGCCAATAAAAAGTTTCTCTGCAGGGCCATGCTCTCAATCCAGGTTGAATAGGATTCTAAAAACTTAACACTCACTGAACATAAATTAACATATCCATAATTACAAAACAAAGAAGGAAATATTTCATACTAAGCAAGAGTCAGGAGTTCACATGAACAGCGGGATCAAATCGTTTCCAAATAACTTGCCTGTTTCCCATAATAAAGCTCAATAAGATTTATAGTATTACAAAAATATCCAGCAGCCAACGATGTAAAATAGTTGGCACCCAGTGAAAGACAGAGCAGGCAAAAACAATCAATAATGGGGAGATAATAGATGGAAACTAATCTAGAAGTGACATAGATATTAGAATTATCAAAGAAAGACATTAAAAGAGTAAGTATAACTGTATTTCGTATGCTCAAAAATTTAACTAGAGACTTGGAAGATATAAAAATAAACCAAATCAAACTTTTAGAGATAAAAACTACAAAGTCTGAAATGAAAAATATATGGGATGAGATTAACAGATGATTAGACATTGCAGAAGAAAGATTAATGAACTTAAAAGTAATAGCAATACAAAACAGTCCAAAATGAAACAAAAATAACAAATTATGTTTTAAGTGAAAAGAGTATAAGCAAACTATGGCACAACTTCAGGCAGCCTAATACATGGTTAATTAGAGTACTTGGGGGAAAGCAGAAAAAAAATTTGAAGAAATACTGGAACTTTTCAAACATAATGAAAATTATGCTCCTAGACATCCAAAAAATCACAAAGAGCCCCAAGCACGAGAAACGTAAATAAAATTACTTAAAAGCATAACATCAAGTTGCTCAAAACCAATGATAAAAAATCCAAAACTTATTCAGAAAAGAAGACACGCTATATAAAAAAGAACAAACATAAGAATGGCACCATATTTCTCAACAGAAACAACAGAATGAGAATACAGTGGAATGAAATATTTAAAATACCCCCCCCCCAAAAAAAGCTGTCTGGTTTAAATTCTATACCTGGAAAAAATATCATTCAAAAAACAAAGGTGAACCTAACACTCATAATGATGTCTATTATTAAAAAATAGAAGATAACAAGTGCTGCTGAAGACGTGAAGAAATTGCAACCCTTGTGCACTATAGATGGGAATTTAAAATGATACAGTTGCTAAGAAAAATAGTATGGCTGATATGCAGAAAACAGAAACTGGACCCCTTCCTTACACTTTATACAAAAATTAACTCAAAATGGATTAAAGACTTAAATGTAAAACCAAAACAATAAAAACCCTAGAAGAAAACTTAGGCAATACCATTCAGGACATAGGCATAGGCAAAGACTTCATGTCTAAAACACCAAAAGCAATTCCAACAAAAGCCAAAATTGACAAATGGGATCTAATTAAACTAAAGAGCTTCTGCAGGGCAAAAGAAATTATCTTCAGAGTGAACAGGCAATCTACAGAATGGGAGAAAATTTTTACAATCTACCCATCTAACAAAAGTTTAATATCCAGAATCTACAAGGAACTTAAACAAATTTATAAGAAAAAAACAAACAACCCCATCAAAAAGTGGGCAAAGGATATAAACAGACACTTCTCAAAAGAAGACATTTATGCGGCCAACAAACATGAAAAAAAGCTCATCATCACTGGTCATTAAAGAAATGCAAATCAAAACCACAATGAGATAACATCTCACGACAGTTAAAATGACAATTATTAAAAAGTCAGGAAACAACAGATGCTGGTAAGGTTGTGGAGAAATAGGAACGCTCTTACACTTTTGGTGGTAGTGTAAATTAGTTCAACCATTGTAAAAGACAGTGTGGTGATTCCTCAAGGATCTAGAACCAGAAATACCATTTGTCCCAGCAATCCCATTACTGGGTATATACCCGAAGGATTATAAGTCATTCTGCTGTAAAGACACAGGTACACGTATATTTATTGCAGCACTATTTACAATAGCAAGGACTTGGAACCAACCCAAATACCCATCAATGATAGACTGGATAAAGAAAATGTGGCACATATACAGCATGGAATACTATGCAGCCATAAAAAAGAATGAGTTCATGTCCTTTGCAGGGACATGGATGAAGCTGGAAACCATCATTCTCAGCAAACTAACACAGGAACAGAAAACCAAACACCACATGTTCTCACTCATAAGTGGGAGTAGAACAATGAGAACACATGGACACAGGGAGGGGAACATCCACACACTAGGGCCTGTTAGGGGGTGGGAGGCACGGGGAGGGAGAGGATTAGGACAAATACCTAATGCAGGCAAGGGCTTAAAACCTAGGTGACGGGTTGATAGGTGCAGCAAACCACCATGGCACATGTATACCTATGTAACAAACCTGCACATTCTGCACATGTATCCTAGAACTTAAAGTAAAATTTAAAAAAAGAAAATATTCCTGTCTATAAATATTTCTACATTAATTTTTTAATTTTAATGTTGAACAAGTTTTTCAGCATTAAATAACCCCATCCACATAACATAAATTTCAGGAAAATATAGTTCAAGTAAATGCTCTGTTTGACAAATTTAACATTCTGGTTGATCGAGCTATTCATTTTCATGCTTCCACTCTGTTGAAAAAAACCTTTCTAAAGTGTATCAGTATATTTAATTGCCTTATTAAGTAAAACACATTGATCCTAATTGAATCTCTCTTATTTTATTTCATTTCTTTTTTTTTTTTTTTTTGAGACGGAGACTTGCTCTGTCACCAGGCTGGAATGCAGTGGTGCGATCTCGGCTCACTGCAACCTCTGCCTCCTGGGTTCAAGCGATTCTCCTGCCTCAGCCTCCCGAGTAGCTGGGACTGCAGGCACATGCCACCACACCTGGCTAACTTTTGTATTTTTAGTAAAGATGGGGTTTCACCATGTTGACCAGGATGGTTTCGATCTCTTGACCTTGTGATCTGCCTGCCTCAGCCTCCCAAAGTGCTGGGATTACAGGCATGAGCCACCGCACCCAGCCTGAATCTATTTTTAAAGGGTCACCAGCCTTTCAGTGTTCCTTGTCCAGGAGTGTAGATATATACACATTTTGTTTTGTTTGTTTTAGAGATGGGGTCTTGCTATTATGTTGCCCAGGCTGAAGTGCAGTGACTATTCATAGATGCAATCATAGTGCACTGCAGCCTTGAACTCCTGGCCTCAAGCAAATCTCCCACATTGGCCTCCTGAGCAACTGGAAATACAGGCATGTGTCACCACGCCCGCTTTGTATTCATGTTTTTAGGTATGTGTGAACATGAGCTGAAAGTCAACCACTGGAGTTGTTTTTAAAATTAAATCCCATTATTCTGCGTATTTTATCATTTACTTCTTCATCCTAAAAACTCACAGTAGAGACATCCCTTTCTGTTTCACAGAAAAGAAAATTTTCTCAAAAATCTCTGGTGTTCAAAGAAGTATATTTGTTTTAGTCTGTTCATGCTGCTATAACAAAATACCATAAACTAGATACTTTACAAACAACAGATATTGATTTCTCACAGTTCTGAAGGCTGGGAACTCCAACATCAAGGTGCTCGCAGATTCGGTGTCTGGTGAGGGCCTGCTTACTCAAAGACAGTGCCTTCTCATGTCCTCACATGATAAAAGGGGTGAACAAACTCCTGTGGACCTCTTTTATAAGGGCAGTAATACCATTCAAGAGGGGTTTGCCCAATGACTTTATCATCTCCCAAAGTCCCCACCTTTTTTATTTTTACGTCCATTCTACACCAAAAAGTCCCCACCTCTTAATATCATCACTTTGGGGGTTAAGATTTCAACATAGGAATTTGCGGGGACACAAACATTCAGATTATAGCAATATTTTATTTTTCCTTTCTGTGCTATAGAAGAGATTATAACAATCTGTGAGAGTAAATGCTGAAGCAAATGTCTAAACTGGATTTCAAAATGTGATCAAGACTTCAAAAAATACATTAAGTTAGTATTCAAAAATACAAGCCCCATACCTTGTTTGCTAGGTTTACAGCATTGAGAGCCTTATCATAATATTTGGTGTCATCCCAATCCAAATAATTCGTGGCTAATAGCCGTAGAACTTTAGCCTGTAAGAAAAAAAAAAAGAAAAAAAGCACATATCTGATGGTTAAACTTCAATACAACAGCTGACTAGCACTCCCACAGTGACAGGCATCTTCTCAAACATAAGTCATCTTTATGAAATAGCATTTCCTTAAGCGACCACAGTCTTGGAATATGTCTCATCATTATGCTACCCATATAAAATATTGTCTAAGAATGTTACAGTAATGGCTATATTCCTGGCTTATTTACATTTAATATAATTATGTTAATATAATTATTTTCTTAACAGTATTTAACGTATTTTATCATCCCCCCTTTTAAAATAAGGAAACTGAGGCAGAGCAATATTTCATTTAATCAGCTTACCACCACATTATTATCGTGGAACAACTCTAAGAATTTATAAGCTCCCCCAAATGACTTTTATGGAGTAAATATGGCATTTCTGAGAAATACTGTAGCTATTTCATAACAGTGAAAGTGTCAAATCATCCAAAAGACGTAACAAAATGAACGAATCTCACAATGTATGTTTTAAAAAAGCCAGACATAAAACAGGACAACTGTATGATTCCATTTATACAAAGCTCAAAAACAGTCAAAAATAATCTAGAGTAGTAAAAGTCAGAATGGTGTTTTTTTGTTCTTGGAAGTAGAGGTGGGTATTAACTAGAATGGGGCCAAGGGAACTTTTGGGGGTGTTGGGAAGTTTTTGTATCTTGATCTGTATGGTGTAATATACAAGACTACTATATATTAAAACTCATCAAGCTGTACACTTGAGACTTGTGAAGTTTACTGTATATAAATTACACCTCAAATAAATGACTGCTGGCATGAAATAAAAAATTACTGCATAGTATTACCTCACTAAACTTACAATATGGAATATGAATATTCCATTTTAATCAAGCTTGTATCCTATCTTCCATCCTTATTTCCTTCTTAGACATCTCCCATCTAGATCCCTTGCCTGGAGTCATTTTCTTCCTCCCTTTTAACTGTGTGGACCCCAAAAAGGCCTGTCTCCTACCAAAAGGCTCCTACAACTACTCTAGCTAATCTTGATAATCTCCTTTTCTATATGCCCTTCTGCATACTTCAGGTCAGTACCACAAAGTTTATCATTATCTTCCCAAATTGTTTCACTTCTAGTAGTGTTTTTTAAATTCTATTTTTCTTCATTGAAGTATAAAAGACTTACAGAAAAGTATAAAAATCTCAAGAGCTCTATGCTCTTATGAATTCTAGGCTCTACGAATTTTCCCAAAGTAAACACATGTATGTTAACAACAAAAAAGTTAAGAAACAGAACATTAACAGCAACAAGCCCACTCATGCTTCTTTTCAGACCCTGTTTCAAATAGGGGTAACCAATTCCCTGATGTCCAACACCATATATTCATTTTGACTGTTCTTGGCATTTACATTTATGGAATCATACAGTAAGTACTACTTTGTATCTTGCTTCATTTGTTCAATATTATAGGTGAGAACATCCATATCGTTGCAATTATTATAGTTAATTGAGTCTCACTGTTATATAATAAGTGACAATGTCACTATATATAAATATAAATATTATATATTTATATATAAATAATTTATTTAATTGTGGTAAAATACACATAACATAAAATTGACCATCTTAAACTTTTTTTAAA
Organism: Homo sapiens; assembly: GCF_000001405.40. Classification (NCBI taxonomy): domain Eukaryota; kingdom Metazoa; phylum Chordata; class Mammalia; order Primates; family Hominidae; genus Homo; species Homo sapiens. The sequence goes on from NC_000023.11 coordinate 70,742,441, forward strand.
ATCTTAGGCCAGGTGCAGTGGCTCATGCCTGTAATCCTAGAACCTTGGGAGGCCAAGGTGGGAGGATCACTTGAGGCCAGGTGTTTGAGACCAGCCCAGGCAACAAAGTGAGACCCCCGTCTCTATAAAAAATTAAAAATTGGCCAGATGTGGTGGAGTGTACCTGTAGTCCCAGCTACTCAGTAGGTTAAGAAGGGAGGACTGCTTGAGCCCAGGAGTTTGAAGGTTACAGTGAGCTGATCACACCACTGCCCTCCAGCCTGGGTGACAAGACCCTGTCTCAAAAAAAAATTTTTTTTGGAGATGGAGTCTTACTATGTTGCCCAGATGGAATGCAGTGGCTATTCACAGGCATGATCACAGCTCATTGCAGCCTCAAACTCCTGGTTTCATGCAATCCTCCTGGCTTAGCCTCCTGAGTAGCTGGGACTACAGGTACACACCACTGCACCCGGCTCCATGACCATCTTAAACATTTTTAAGTGTACAGTTCAGTAGTATTAAGTATATTCACACTCTTGTGCAATCATTACCAGCATCCATCTCGAGAACTCTCTTACCTTGCAAAACTGAAACTCTATACCCACTAAACAATAGTTCCCAATTCTCCCCTCTCCCTACCCCCTAAAACCACCATTTTACTTTCTGTCTCTATGAATTTGACTACTCTACATACCTCACATAAGTGGAACCATACATTATCTGTCTTTTTGTGACTGGCTTGTTTCACTCAGCGTAGTCTCCTCACAGTTAACCCATGTTGTAGCATGTGTCAGATTTCTTTCTTTATTAAGCCAGGATAATATTTCATTGTAGTCACTTGTACTAGTTTTATCCTTTAATCATAAGTTCCTTAAGGGCAGAAGCTACATTTTATGCTTCTCTTTTATTCCCCATATATTACAGTGGTAAATACATTAAAAAGGTATCCAGTTACATTTTGATTAATATGCTGTAATAGTAAGAATCAAATGGATATTCAAAAGATTCCATTTTGCTATAGAATGTAGTAATTTTACATCACATTTATTTACACAATCACATTTTGCTTGATTACATATTAAGATTAATTTCCATATCCAAGCACGTTCTGTCTGGGCAGTTGGGGAAAAATCTGCAACTTCAAAATATGCAATAAGAAAAGTTAAAACTAGGCCAGGCACGGTAGCTCACTCCTGTAATCCCAGCACTTTGAGAGGCCAAGGTGGGCAAATCACCTGAGGTCAGGAGTTCCAGACCAGCCTGGCCAACATGGCAGAACCCCGTCTCTGCTAAAAACACAAAAATTATCCAGGTGTGGTGGCTCATGCCTGTAGTCCTAGCTACTTGGGAGGCTGAGGCACCAGAATCGCTTGAACCTGGGAGGCAGAGGTTGCAGTGATCCCACCACTGCATTCCAGCCTGGGCAACAGAGCGAGACTCTATCTCAAAACACACACACACACACACACACACACACACACACACACACACAGAAAAGAAAGTTAAAATTTACATACCCAAACATTGTTCAAAGCACTCTACATATATTAATTCATGGGTACATGCCTATGAGTTAGATTATATTATTATATAAATATACAAAAACAAATACACTGAGATGTTAAATGTTGTGCCCAATAGCTAATCTACTCATAAATGGGGAGTACGCTATTATAATTTTATAACAATAAAATAAAGCAGGTTATTCAACCTATTTCTACAATATTTAACATGATCCTTACCAGCATTTCTGGCCCAGTAGATTTCTTATCCATCTTCCCAATATCATAGCTTTGGCTATCATTAAAAAGGAAAAAAAATATATATATATATATAAACATATATCCATTTCAAATTATATATAATTTTCAAGATTATATATTACTAAGAAGACATGGTATAAGCATACTTTATTCCAACTTTTCTGTTTTGCACTACAACAGATTATTATCCATATGATATAATGATATAAAGCAATACTTTCTAACTGTAGAAAACAATTTCCTTAGGAGATACCCAATAAATCAACACTACAATTATATTGATGCCTTTTTCCATTTGGCTATATATATAGCATTGAATATATATAATATATACTGCACTAAATAGGTATAATTTAATATACTGCCTTAAATATATATAACTTAATATGCTACATTAAATATATATAATTTACTGCATTAAATTATTATAATACATACTGCATTAAAATACTTTACAAGTGTATACAAGCTCTTAGTTGGCCATTTAAAGTTGAAGGAATATAAATATATATTTATTTATTAATGATTTACTTAGTTATTTTCGAGATGGAGTCTCATTCTGTCACCCAGGCTGGAGTGCAGTGGCACGATCTTGACTCATTGCAACCTCCATCTCCCAAGTTCAAGCGATTCTCCTGCCTCAGCCTCCCAAGTAGCTAGGATTATAGGAACTCATCACCATGCGTGGCTAATTTTTTTTTTTTTTTGTATTTTTAGTAGAGATAGGGTTTCACCATGTTGGCCAGGTTGGTCTCGAACTCCGGAGCTCAAGTGATCCACCAGCCTCAGCCTCCCAAAGTGTTGGGCCCGACCCCGAATAAGTATAAATATATATTTAAAATAAAACAAATACAGTTGTTTTCACAGAAACAAACGCTTTAGCAATATTCATTAAGTCTCACACCACCCTTCTGAAGCACTATTAGCTCCATTTTGCGGCTGACTAAACCAATATAGAAATAAAATTATTTCTGATATTTCCTAGATTGGTATCGAAAATGAGGGTGAGGGGTTGGGGAGCAGAGAAATTTGATTTTCAGTTCTCTGCTTTAATTATCAAACCATATTATCTATGGGACATTCCAGTAACCACAAATAATATATTAATACTAGTTTCAAGGTTTCAAAACCTAATACCTACAAAGCAAATCAAAGATTATTCACCATAAAATTAGTATTCCAAGGGAGTATGTCAATAAAATGTTGGTGAACTGAACTAACTTGAAGACAATACTTTGAAATATTCCTTAAAAAAAAAAAAACTCTAGGCCAATGACAGTGGCTCACACCTGTAATTCCAGCACTTTGGGATCCTGAGGCGGTTGGATCACTTGAGGTCAGGAGTTTGAGACAAGCTTGGCCAACATGGTGAAACCCCGTCTCTACTAATAATACAAAAATTAGCCGGAGTGATGGCACATGCCTGTAATCTCAGCTACTTGGGAGACTGAGGCATGATTATCGCTTAAACCTAGGAGGTGGAGGTCGCAGTGAGCCAATACTGTGCCACTGCACTCCAGCCTGGGCGACAGAGTGAAACTGTGTCTCGAAATAAATAAATAAATATAAATAAACATAAACTATAAATGACCCAGAACTACCAAACTGAGTTTTCAGATTGCTAACAAAGATATAATGCTGGCTTAGTCATTGTAAGCCCTATTTCATAGAGGTCTCCTTTAGTACATTAACCTTATACTTCCACTTTTTTAAATAACCAGTGAGGGGTGGAACTTCTGCAATGGTGATATAAGGAGCTCTTTAGACACTCTCCCCAGCGAAACAACCACTCATCTGGAAAATTCATTAAAACAACCACTTAGTCTCTGAAAATTGAAATTGTCCTAAGGGCACACAGAAAATGGAAAACATTTATTCATGAAAATAAACTAAATCTCAGTATAACCAGTGAGAGTCTATGGCATTTGAACTATAAACTGCTCCCATCTATACTGGCTCCATGTGATGGAAGCTGCTCCAGATGGGTGCAGCCAAGAAGATAGGAATTCCCTCTCCCGCCAGCTCCTAAAATCCTAGGCTATGGTTTCACCTGCAGAGAAGCAGGCTGCCAGACTATCTTGCCATTCTCAGGCCTGTGTCATGGAAGTGTTCTGGGCAAGTACGATGGAGAGGACTGGCTTTTCTTTGCCCACTCAGCTCTCACTCTTAGGGTAAGGATTCTACCCCAAATGTGACAGGTCAAGAATACTGAGATCCTGATCATCTTTACTCCAGCTGGCTCATCAGGCAGAGGTTTCATGTCAAAAGGGCACACTAAGAAGACCAAGGGCTACCATACCGCCAGAATTTACTAATTTACTAATATGGTAGGGGTGCCATTTCAAGAGAAGCATGCCATGAGCCCAGCTCTAGTCGTGTGGCACAGAGGTTCTGACCAGAAAGAAAGAACAGAAGCAAAGAGGAAGAACTCTGCATCTCTTCCTGAGGGGAATGATGTATTTAAAACAGAGCATGGAGAAGATCATGTCTAAGGACACTGCTGAAAACAATGGAGATCTTGATAGTGAGCAATTAAGAGGGAGCTGGTAGCTCCATGATAATGGTAGCAATAAGGGAAACAGCAGACCAACCAGAAGGTTACCAGAGAATCAGGGAAACAGCCAAGAAGAAAACCTCTGGGGTCACACTTATCTCTAGGGGTCCAGAAGACTGTGCCCATGTGCCATTCTGCACCCACTCACGCACAATCAGAGAAAGTGTTGGGGCAAACTGAAAAGCATTACCCAAGGCATAAACAGATCTATCAGCAAAGTACCTTGAGCCTCATTGGCTCAAGGGGCTTAAGCAGATCGTCTGACCAAACACCAACTGAAAGGTAAGCTAAGATCCAGGGAACCCAGCTTAAAAATCAAATCGACCTCATACTGAGGGATCTGGGAGACTGTGCACATGCTCAAGACTGCTTTCTTGGGTATGAGCAGATAAAGAATCTACAAGCTATTAGTCCCCGACTGAATTAGTCTCTCCCAGAACTATAAAAGCAGTCTCTAAACAAACATACATCCAGGAAAGGATGAAAAAATCTAACTGGCTAAGTGAGCTTCAGCACAACCTTTAGCCAGTAAGTGAACTATGTGGATGCAGGGGTGACTCCATAAGAAGTCATGAAAAGATAAAAACAAGGGGAAAAATTCTGAGCAGGAATATTAGAGGCCACACAGTGTGTGGAAAATAAATTCCACCAAATTAGTCCAGCCAAGTGACTGAACAAATAAATGACTAAACAAACAATAAAAACAATAAGCCCCAGAAAGAGGAGAAACTGTATCTAGACTTGCTACAATATATTTTCCAAAATGTCTAGTGTTTAACAAAACATTGTAAGACATACAATTAAAAAGTGTGACCTACACAGAAGAAAAAAAGCAAAAGAAACTTCCTTTGAGGAGGCCCCAATGTTGCACTTAATAGAAAAAGACTTCAAAGCAACTTTTATAATTACGTCCAAAGAATTTTTTAAAATCGTGTTTAAAAATTAAAGGAAGGTCTGATAACAATGACTCATCATATGGAGAATATGAGTGTATCAGTTAAGAGATAGAAATTATTATTTTTTTATATATTTTTTATTATACTTTAAGTTCTAGGGTACATGTGCACAACCTGCAGGTTTGTTACAAATGTATACATGTGCCATGTTGGTGTGCTGCACCCACTAACTCGTTATTTACATTAGGTATATCTCCTAATGCTTATTATTTTTTAAAAAAGAAACAAATGGAAATTCTGGAGTTGAAAAGTACAATAACTGAAATGAAAAATTCAGCAGATTGGAGCAGGCAAAAGAAACAATAAACTAACCTGAAGAGCAATAGAAACGATACAAATCTGAGGAACAAACAGAAAAAAAAATGAAGAAAAATGAACATGGGCTCAGAAAAATGTAAGACACCATTAAGCACACCAACATATACATAATGGGAGTACCAGAAGAAAAGAAAGAAAAGGACAAATAAATATTCAAAGAAATGATGGTCTTAAAACTCTCCAAATTTGATGAAAAACAATAATCGACACATCCAAGAAGCTCAATGAAATTCAACAGGATAAGCATTAAAAAAGCTACATCCAGACACATGATGAGCGAAAATTATTGAACATCAAAGATGAAGAGAAAATCTTGAAAACAGTAAGAGAAAAATGACTCATCACATAAAGGGGAGTAACAATAAGATTAACAGCTGACACCCCTCAGAGTTCATGGAGTAAAGAAGGCAAAAAGGATGTATTCAAACATCTGTGAAATTTGTTGCCATTGCTTTTGGTGTTTTAGACATGAAGTCCTTGCCCATGCCTATGTCCTGAATGGTAATGCCTAGGTTTTCTTTAGGGTTTTTATGGTTTTAGGTCTAACATTTAAGTCTTTAATCCATCTTGAATTGATTTTTGTATAAGGTGTAAGGAAGGGATCCAGTTTCAGCTTTCTACATATGGCTAGCCAGTTTTCCCAGCACCATTTATTAAATAGGTAATCCTTTCCCCATTGCTTGTTTTTCTCAGGTTTGTCAAAGATCAGATAGTTGTAGATATGCGGCGTTATTTCTGAGGGCTCTGTTCTGTTCCATTGATCTATATCTCTGTTTTGGTACCAGTACCATGCTGTTTTGGTTACTGTAGCCTTGTAGTATAGTTTGAAGTCAGGTAGTGTGATGCCTCCAGCTTTGTTCTTTTGGCTTAGGATTGACTTGGCAATGCGGGCTCTTTTTTGGTTCCATATGAACTTTAAAGTAGTTTTTTCCAAATCTGTGAAGAAAGGCATTGGTAGCTTGATGGGGATGGCATTGAATCTGTAAATTACCTTGGGCAGTATGGCCATTTTCACGATATCGATTCTTCCTACCCATGAGCATGGAATGTTCTTCCATTTGTTTGTATCCTCTTTTATTTCATTGAGCAGTGGTTTGTAGTTCTCCTTGAAGAGGTCCTTCACATCCCTTGTAAGTTGGATTCCTAGGTATTTTATTCTCTTTGAAGCAATTTTCAATGGGAGTTCACTCATGATTTGGCTCTCTGTTTGTCTGTTGTTGGTGTATAAGAATGCTTGTGATTTTTGTACATTGATTTTGTATCCTGAGACTTTGCTGAAGTTGCTTATCAGCTTAAGGAGATTTTGGGCTGAGACGATGGGGTTTTCTAGATATACAATCATGTCGTCTGCAAACAGGGAAAATTTGACTTCCTCTTTTCCTAATTGAACACCTTTTATTTCCTTCTCCTGCCTAATTGCCCTGGCCAGAACTTCCAACACCATGTTGAATAGGAGTGGTGAGAGAGGGCATCCCTGTCTTGTGCCAGTTTTCAAAGGGAATGCTTCCAGTGTTTGCCCATTCAGTATGATATTGGCTGTGGGTTTGTCATAGATAGCTCTTATTATTTTGAAATACGTCCCATCAATACCTAATTTATTGAGAGTTTTTAGCATGAAGGGTTGTTGAATTTTGTCAAAGGCTTTTTCTGCATCTATTGAGATAATCATGTGGTTTTTGTCTTTGGCTCTGTTTATATGCTGGATTACATTTATTGATTTGCGTATATTGAACCAGCCTTGCATCCCAGGGATGAAGCCCACTTGATCATGGTGGATAAGCTTTTTGATGTGCTGCTGGATTTGTTTTGCCAGTATTTTATCGAGGATTTTTGCATCAATGTTCATCAAGGATATGGGTCTAAAATTCTCTTTTTTTGTTGTGTCTCTGCCTGGCTTTGGTATCAAATGGGATCTAATTAAACTAAAGAGCTTCTGCACAGCAAAAGAAACTACCATCAGAGTGAACAGGCAACCTACAAAATGGGAGAAAATTTTCGCAACCTACTCATATGACAAAGGGCTAATATCCAGAATCTACAAAGAACTCAAGCAAATTTACAAGAAAAAAACAAACAACCCCATCAAAAAGTGGGCGAAGGACATGAACAGACACTTCTCAAAAGAAGACATTTATGCAGCCAAAAGATACGTGAAAAAATGCTCATCATCACTGGCCATCAGAGAAATGCAAATCAAAACCACAATGAGATACCATCTCACACCAGTTAGAATGGCAATCATTAAAAAGTCAGGAAACAACAGGTGCTGGAGAGGATGTGGAGAAATAGGAACGCTTCTACACTGTTGGTGGGACTGTAAACTAGTTCAACCATTGTGGAAGTCAGTGTGGTGATTCCTCAGGGATCTAGAACTGGAAATACCATTTGACCCAGCCATCCCATTACTGGGTATATAGCCAAAGGACTATAAATCATGCTGCTATAAAGACACGCATACGTATGTTTATTGCGGCATTATTCACAATAGCAAAGACTTGGAACCAACCCAAATGTCCAACAATGATAGACTGGTTTAAGAAAATGTGGCACATATACACCATGGAATACTATGCAGCCATAAAAAATGATGAGTTCATGTCCTTTGTAGGGACATGGATGAAATTGGAAATCATCATTCTCAGTAAACTATCGCAAGAACAAAAAACCAAACACCGCATATTCTCACTCATAGGTGGGAATTGAACAATGAGATCACATGGACACAGGAAGGGGAATATCACACTCTGGGCACTGCTGTGGGGTGGGGGTAGGGGGGAGGGATAGCATTGGGAGATATACCTAATGCTAGATGACGAGTTAGTGGGTGCAGCGCACCAGCATGGCACATGTATACATATGTAACTAACCTGCACAATGTGCACATGTATCCTAAAACTTAAAGTATAATAAAAAAAAAAAAATATATATATATATATATATATATATATATATAAAAGTCAGGACACAACAGGTGCTGGAGAGGATGTGGAGAAATAGGAACACTTTTATACTGTTGGTGGGACTGTAAACTAGTTCAACCATTGTGGAAGACAGTGTGGCGATACCTCAAGGATCTAGAACTAGAAATACCATTTGACCTAGCCCTCCCATTACTGGGTATATACCCAAAGGATTATAAACCATGCTGCTATAAAAAGACACATGCACACGTATGTTTATTGCGGCACTATTCACAATAGCAAAGATATGGAACCAACCCAAATGTCCAACAATGATAGACTGGATTAAGAAAATGTGGCACATATACACCATGGAATACTATGCAACCATAAAAAACGATGAGTTCATGTCCTTTGTAGGGACATGGATGAAGCTGGAAACCATCATTCTCAGCAAACTATCGCAAGGACAAAAAACCAAACACCACATGTTCTCACTCATAGGTGGGAATTGAACAATGAGAACACATGGACACAGGAAGGGGAGCATCACACACCAGGGCCTGTTGTGGGGTGGGGGGAGGGGGGAGGGATAGCATTAGGAGATATACCTAATGTTAAATGACGAGTTACTGTGTGCAGCACACCAACATGGCACATGTATACATATGTAACTAACCTGCATGCTGTGCACTTGTACCCTAAAACTTAAAGTATAATAAACAAAAAAAAGAAAAAAAAATCTGTGAAATTAGAATCTTATATCTAGAAAAGCTATCTTTCAAAATTAAGAGTAAATAAATACATTCCCAGGTAAGCAAAAAGTGAGAGAATTTCTTGTTAGCCAATCTGTCTTATAAGAAATACAAAAGGAGGTTCTTCATGCTGAAAGCAAGTGACACTAGAGAATAATTTGAATTCATATGAAAAAATAAACAGGGCTAGTAATTATGGAGGTAATTATAAAAGAAAGTATGATTATATATGTCTTCTACTTTCCTTTCTTAATTTATTTAAAAAGCAACTGTGTAAAAAAATTCTTAAGGTGTATTACTGGGGCATAACATTTGTAATATATTCGATAACGATTAACACAAAAGAGCAGATTGGGTGGGAAAGAAATTCAGGAAATTACACCAGATGGTAGTTCAAATCTAAAAGAAGAAATGAAGTGAACCAAAAGTTATAAGAAGGTTGAAAATTTAAAAACACAATAAATATGTTTGTGTTCTGTTTTATGTCTCATCTTCTTTAAAATACATAAGATTTTGCAAAGCAATAATTATAACCATGCATACTTGAGTTTTTAAACATATATAGACATAGTAAGTATAATAATAATCACCAAAAAAGAAAAGAGAATAAAGCTATGAAGTAGTAAAGCTTTTATCACCTGAAGTCAGGAGTTGGAGACCAGCTTGGCCAGCATGGAGAAACCCCTTCTCTACCAAAAATACAAAAATTAGCCGGGCGTGGTGGCACAGGCCTGTAATCCCAGCTGTTCGGGAGGCTGAGGCAAGAGAATTGCTTGAACCCGGGGGGCGGAGATTGCAGTGAGCCGAGATGGCACCACTGCATCCCAGCCTGGGTGACAGAGCGATACTCTGTCTCAAAAAAAAAAAAAAAAAAAAAGAAAAGAAAAAGACAAGAAAACGTAATCCAAAAAATGTTACAAAAATTAAAATAGTATACTATAAAATATTCACCTAAGATCAGCAATTCCAGAGGTGGAACAAGATGATGGAATAGAAGGCTCCACCAATCGTCCCTCCTGCTGCAAAGACACCAATTTAACAACTATCTACACAAAAAAATCACCTTCCTAAGAACCAGAAATCAGGTGGAAACTCACAGTACCTGGTTTTAACTTCATATTGCTAAAAGAGGCACTAAAGAGGTAGAAAAACAGTCTTGAATCGCAGAAGCCACCCTTTTCCCGTCCCCTGGCAGTGGCGGTGGTGCAAAGAGCATTGCTGTATGCTGGGGGAAGGAGAGCACAACAATTATGAGGCATTGAACTCACTGCTGCTCCATTATAGCAGAAAGAAAAGCAGGACCAATCTCAGCTGACGCCTGCCCGTGGAGGGGGTGTTTAAACCAGCCCGAGTCAGAATGGAATTGCTGATCCTAGCAGTCAGACCTTGAGATCCCACAAGCCCCGCCACCGTGGGCTAAAGTACTGTGGGTCGGTAAATGAACTTTAAAGGCAGCCTAGGCCACAAAGACTGCAACTCCTAAGAGAGTCCTAGTGCTGAACTAAGCCCAGAGTCACCGGAATTTGGGTGGGGGGGGTGGGCGGCGAGGGGGGCGGGGAGGGCGTGCAAACTACTGAGACACCAGCCAGGGTGGCTAGAGAGTGCTGATATCACCTCTCTCCTAACCCCAGGCTGCACAGCTCAACAAGACTCCAAAAGAGACCCCTTCCTTCCATTTAAGGAGAGAAAATCGAAGAGTGGGGAGAACTTTGTCTTGCATCTTGGATACCAGCTCAGCTACAGTAGGATAGGGCCTGGGTCAGGGTTGTGAGGCCCCCTTTCAGATCCTAGCTCCTGAACATTTTTCTAAACAAATCCTGGGCCAGCAGGGAACCCACTACCTTGAAGGGAAGGACCCAGTTCTGGCATCATTCATCACCTGCTAACAAAGAGTCCTTGGGCCCTGAATAACCAACAGTGACACCCAGGTACTACATCAAGGGCATTAAGTGAGCCTCAGACTGGCTGGCTTCAGGTGAGACTCAGTGCATTACTAGCTGTGGTGGATATGAGGCGAAACTCCTTTTGCTTGAGAAAAACAGGGGGAAAAATAAAGGGGACTGTGTCTTGCACTTCGAATACCAGCTCAACCACAGCAGGATAGGACAAGGGTTAGGGTTGTGAGGCCTCCTCTCCAGGTCCTAGCTCCCGGACATTTCTGCACAAACCCTGGGCCAGAAGAGAACCCTCTCTTGAAGGAAAGGACCTAGTTCTAGAATCATTCATCATCTGCTAACCAAAGAGCCCTTGGGCCCTGAATAACCAGCAGTGATAGTCAGGTCCTACGTCGAGGACTTCGGGTGAGACCCTGAGACTTGCTGACTTCAGGTGAGACTCAGCACATTCCCAGCTGTGGTGGCTTCAGGGAGAGGCCCTTCTGCTTCAGAAAAATAGAGGGAAACGTAAAGGGGACTGTGTCTTGCATCTTAGGTACCAGCTCAGCCACAGGGAAGTAGAGCACCAAGCAAGCTCTTAGGGTCCCCAATTCCAGGATTGGCTCTTGAATGGCATTTCTGGACCGTGAGTGAGAAGGGAGCCGGGTGCTGTGAAGGGTGAGTCCCAGACCAGGCAGCATTCACCAAAAGCTGACTGAAGAGCCCTTGGGCCTTAAGGAAACAGTGGTCAGCAGTAGTCAGGCAGTACTCCTTGTGGCCTGGGATGGCAGTTGCCACAAGGTGAGGTTCCTCTGCCTTTGGAAAGGGGGAGGGAAGAGTGGGAGGGATTGCATCTTGTGGTTTAACTGACAGCTCAGTCACAGTAAAATATAATAGAGCACTGGGTAAATATCTAAGGTTTCTGACTCTAGTCCCTGGCTCCCAAATGGCACTTCTGTACTCTTCTGTGGTGTGGGGGAACTCACTGCCCTGAAGGGAAGAACACAGGCCTGGCTGGCTTTGCTACCTACTGACTATAGAGCCCCACAGTCTTGAGCAAACATAGGTGGTAGGTAGAGAGTGGTTACAGCAAACCTTGGGTGAGACCCAGTGCTGTGCTGGCTTCAAGTATGACCCAGCACAGTCAAAGTGGTAGTGCTTGTGTCACTAAACCCCAAGTTTCAGGTAGCTCAGGAGAGAGAGAGAGAGAGAAAGAGAGAAAGAGAGAAAGAGAGAGAGAGAGAGAGACTCTGTTTAGGAGAAAGTAAGGGAAGAAAACAAGAGCCTCTGCTTGGTAATCCAGAGAATTCTCCCAGATTTTGCCCAAGACCATCAAGGTAGTACCTCTATATGTCTACAAGAACCAGAGCATTAGTGGGCTTGGGATGCCCCCTAAAACAGATATAGCTCAGATCACAACACTCAAGTCCTTCTGAACATGGGGAAAGCCTTCCCAAGAAGGGTGGATACAAACAAGCCAAGACTGTGAAGTCTAAAATAAATACCTAACACTAAAATGCCCAGACACTGAAGAACATCTACAAGTATCAAGACAATCCGGGAATACATGGCCACATCAAGTAAAATGCACCAGAAACCAATCCTGGAGAAACAGAGACATGTGACCTTTCAGACAGGGAATTGAAAATAGCTGTTTTGAGGAAACTCGAAGAAATTCAAGATAACACAGAGAAGGGATTCAGAATCCTATCAGATAAACTTAACAAGTTTTTGTTAAGTTTTAACAGACAAATTTATTTGAAATTAAAAGAATAAAGCAGAAATTCTGGAGCTGTGCAGAAATTCTGGAGTTGTAAACTGCAATTGGCATAATGAACAAGACTGCATCAGAATCTTTAAATAGCAGAATTGATCAAGTAGAAGAAAGAATTAGTGAGCTTGAAGACGGGCTATTTGAAAATATACGGTCAGAGGAGACAAAAGAGAAAAGAATAAAAAACAATGAAGCAGACCTACAAGATCTAGAAAATAGCCTCAAAAGGGCAAATCTAAGTATCATTGGCCTTAAAGAAGAAGCAGAGAAAGAGATAAGATTAGAAAGTTTATTCAAAGTGGGGAGGCTTCCAAGATGGCTGAGTAAAAACAGCTCCAGTCTGCAGCTCCCAGCAAGATTGATGCAGAAGATGAGTGATTTCTGCATTTCCAACTGAGGTACCTGGTTTATCTCATTGAGACTGGTTGGACAGTGGATGCAGCCCACGGAGGGCGAACCAAAGCAGGGCAGTGCATCGCCTCAACCGGGAAGCACAAGGGGTCTGGGGACTTTCCTTTCCTAGCCAAGGGAAGCCATGACAGTCTGTACCTGGAGGAATGGTATACTCCTGCCCAAATACTGTGCTTTTCCTACAGTCTTCACAACCGGCAGACCAGGAAGTTCCCTCCCGTGCTTGGCTCGGCGGGTCCCATGCCCAAGGAGCCTTGCTCACTGCTAGCGCAGCATCTAAGATCAACCTGCGGCTCAGCAGCTTGGCGGGGGGAGGGGTGTTGCCATTGCTGAGGCTTGAGTAGGCGGTTTTGTGCTCACCGTGAAAACAAAGAGGCCAGGAAGCTCGAACTGGGCGGAGCCCACTGCAGCTCAGCAAGGCCTACTGCCTTGCTGTAGATTCCACCTTTGTGGGCAGGGCATAGCAGAACAAAAGGCAGCAGATAGCTTTGGCAGACCTAAACGTCCCTGTCTGACAGCTCTGAAGAGAGCAGTGGTTCTCCCAGCATGGTGTTCAGGTTCAGAGAACGGGCAGACTGCCTCCTCAAGTGGGTCCCAGATCCCTGTGTAGCCTGACTGGGAGACACCTCCCAGTAGGGGCTAACAGACACCTCATACAGGTGGGTGCCCCTCTGGGACAAAGCTTCCAGAGGAAGGATCAAGCAGCAATATTTGCTATTCTGCAGCCTCCACTGGTGATCCCAGGCAAACAGGGTCTGGAGTGGACCTCCAGCAAACTCCAACAGACCTGCAGCTGAGGGGCTCGACTGTTAGAAGGAAAACTAACAGAAAGGAATAGCACCAACATCAACAAAAAGGACATCTACGCCAAAACCCCATCTGTAGGTCACCAACATCAAAGACCAAAGGTAGATAAAACCACAAAGATGGGGAGAAACCAGAGCAGAAAAGCTGAAAATTCCAAAAACCAGAGTGCCTCTTCTCCTCCAAAGGATTGGAGCTTCTCACCAGCAAAGGAACAAAACTGGATGGAGAAAGAGTTTGACAAGTTGACAGAAGTAGGCTTCAGAAGGTTGGTAATAACAAATTTCTCCAAGCTAAAGGAGCATGTTCTAACCCATCGCAAGGAAGCTAAAAGCCTTGAAAAAAGGTTAGACAACTGGCTAACCAGAATAAACAGTGTAGAGAAGACCTTAAATTAGCTGATGGAGCTGAAAACCACAGCACGAAAACTTCATTACACATGCACAAGCTTTGATAGCTGATTCAATCAAGTGGAAGGAACGATAACAGTGATTGAAGATCAAATTAATGAAATAAAGTGAGAAAACAAAGTTAGAGAGAAAAGAGTGAAAAGAAACGGACAAATTCTCCAAGAAATATGGGACTATGTGAAAAGACCAAATCTACGTTTGACTGGTGTTCCTGAAACTGACGGGGAGAATGGATCCAAGTTAGAAAACACTCTTCAGGATATTATCCAGGAGACCTTCCCCAACCTAGCAAGGCAGGTCAACATTCAAATTCAGGAAATACAGAGAATACCACAAAGATACTCGTTGAGAAGAGCAACCCCAAGACACACAATTGTCAGATTCACCAAGGTTGAAATGAAGGAAAAAAACATTAAGGGCAGCCAGAAAGAAAGGTCAGGTTACCCACAAAGGGAAGCCCATCAGACTAATAGCGGATCTCTCAGCACAAACCCTACAAGCCAGAAGACAGTGACAGCCAATATTAAACATTTTTAAAGAGAAGAATTTTCAACCCAGAATTTCATATCCAGCCAAACTAAGCTTCATAAGTGAAGGAGAAATAAAATCTTTTACAGACAAGTAAATGCTGAGACATTTTGTCACCACCAGGCCTGTCTTATAAGAGCTCCTGAAGGAAGCACTAAACATGGAAAGGAACAACCGGTACCAGCCACTGCAAAAACATGCCAAATTGTAAAGACCGTCTATGCTAGGAAAAAACTGCATCAATTAACAGGCAAAATAACCAGCTAACATCATAATGACAGGATCAAATTCACTCATAACAATATGAACCTTAAATGTAAATGAGCTGAATACCCCAATTAAAAGACACAGACTGGCAAATTGGATAAAGAGTCAAGACCCATCATTGTGCTGTATTCAGGAGACCCATCTCACGTGCTGAGACAAACATAGGCTCAAAATAAAGGGATGGAGGAAGATTTACCAAGCAAATGGAAAGCAGAAAAAAAAGCAGGGGTTGCAATCCTAGTCTCTGATAAAACACACTTCAAACCAACAAAGATCAAAAGAGACAAATAAGGCCATTACATAATGGTAAAAGGATCAGTTCAACAAGAAGAGCTAACTATCCTAAATATATATGCACCCAATACAGCAGCACCCAGATTCATAAAGCAAGTCCTTAGAGACCTACAAAGAGACTTAGACTCCCACACAATAATAATGGGAGACTTTAACAACCCACTGTCAATATTAGACAGATCAACATGACAGAAAGTTAACAAGGATATTCGGGACTTGAACTCAGCTCTGGACCAAACAGGCCTAATGGACATCTACAGAACTCTCCACCCCAAATCAACAGAATATACATTCTTCTCAGCACCACATCGCACTTATTCTAAAATTGACCACATCATTGGAAGTACAACACTCTTCAGCAAACACAAAAGAAAAGAAATCACAACAGTCTCTCAGACCACAGTGCAATCAAATTAGAACTCAGGATGAAGAAACTCACTCAAAACACACAACTACATGGAAACTGAACAACCTGCTCCTGAATGACTACTGGGTAAATAACAAAATGAAGGCAGAAATAAAGATGTTCTTTGAAACCAATAAGACAAAGACACAATACACCAGAATCTCTGGGACACATTTAAAGCAGTGTGAAGAGGGAAATTTATAGCACTAAATGCCCACAAGAAAAAGCAAGAAAGATCTAAAATTGACACCCTAACATCACAATTGAAAGAACTAGAGAAGCAAGTGCAAACAAATTCAAAAGCTAGCAGAAGGCAAGAAATAACTAAGATCAGAGCAGAACTGAAGGAAACAGAGACACAAAAAACCCTTCAAAAAATCAATGAATCCAGGAGCTGGTTTCTTGAAAATCAACAAAATAGATAGACTGCTAGCAAGACTAATAAAGAAGAAAAGAAAGAAGAATCAAATAGACACAATAAAAAATGATAAAGGGGACATCACCACTGATCCCACAGAAATACAAACTACCATCAGAGAATACTATAAACACCTCTACACAAATATACTAGAAAATCTAGAAGAAATGATAAATTCCTGGACACATAAACCCTCCCAAGACTAAACCAGGAAGAAGTTGAATTTCTGAATAGACCAATAACAGGTTCCAAAATTGAGGCAATAATTAATATAGCCTACCAACCAAAAAAAGTCCAGGACCAGACGGACTCACAGCCAAATTCTATCAGAGGTACAAAGAGGAGCTGGTACCATTCCCTCTGAAACTATTCCAATCAATAGAAAAAGAGGGACTCCTCCCTAACTCATTTTATGAGGCCAACATCATACTGACACCAAAGCCTGGCAGGGACACAACAAAAAAACAGAATTTTAGACCAATAGCCCTGCTGAACATCGATGCGAAAATCCTCAATAAAATACTGGCAAACCAAATCCAGCAGCACATCAAAAAGCTTATCAATCAGGACCAAGTCAGCTTCACCCCTGGGATGCAAGGCTGGTTCATGCAAATCAATAAATGTAATCCATCACATAAACAGAACCAACAACAAAAACCATATGATTATCTCAATAAATGCAGAAAAGGCCTTTGACAAAATTCAACAGCCCTTCATGCTAAAAATTCTCAATAAACTAGGTATTGATGGAACATATCTCAAAATAATAAGAGCTATTTATGACGAACCCACAGCCAATATCATATTGAATGGGCAAAAACTGGAAGCATTCCCTTTGAAAACCGGCACAAGACAAGGATGCCCTCTCTCACCACTCCTATTCAACATAATGTTGGAAGTTCTGGCCAGGACAATCAGGCAAGAGAAAGAAATAAAGAGTATTCAATTAGGAAAAGAGGAAGTCAAATTGTCGCTGTTTGCAGATGACATGATTGTATATTTAGAAAACCCCATCCTCTCAGCCCTAAATCTCCTTAAACTGATAAACAACTTCAGCCAAGTCTCAGGATATAAAATCAATGTGCAAAAATCACAAGCATTCTTATACACCAAGTACAGACAAACAGAGAGCCAAATCATGAGTGAACTCCCATTCACAATTACTACAAAGAGAATAAAATACCTAAGAATCCAACTAACAAGGGATGTGAAGGACCTCTTCAAGGAGAACTACAAACCACTGCTCAAGGAAATAAAAGAGGACACAAACAAATGGAAGAACATTCCATGCTCATGGATAGGAATAATCAATATCATGAAAATAGCCATACTGCCAAGGTAATTTATAGATTCAATGCCATCCCCATCAAGCTACCAATGACTTTCTTCACAGAATTGGAAAAAACTACTTTAAAGTTTATATGGAACCAAAAAAGAGCCCACATTACCAAGACAATCCTAAGCAAAAAGAACAAAGCTGCAGGCATCATGCTACCTGACTTCAAACTATATTACAAGGCCACAATAACCAAAACAGCATGATACTGGTACCAAAACAGAGATATAGACCAATGGAACAGAACAGAGGCTTCAGACACCACACATCTACAACCATCTGATCTTTGACAAACCTGACAAAAACAAGCAATGGGGAAAGGATTCCCTATTTAATAATTGGTGCTGGGAAAACTGGCTAGCCATATGTAGAAAGCTGAAACTGGATCCCTTCCTTATAGCTTATAGAAAAATTAACTCAAGATGGATTAAAGACTTAAACGTAAGACCTAAAACCATAAAAACCCTAGAAGAAAACCTAGGCAATACCATTCAGGACATAGGCATGCGCAAAGACTTCATGACTAAAACACCAAAAGCAATGGCAACAAAAGCAAAAATTGACAAATGGGATCTAATTGAACTAAAGAGCTTCTGCACGGCAGAAGATACTATCATCAGAGTGAACAGGCAGCCTACAGAATGGGAGAAAATTTTTGCAATCTACCCATCTGACAAAGGGCTAATGTCCAGAATCTACAAAGAACTTAAACAAATTTACAAGAAAAACAGCAACAACCCCATGAAAAAGTAGGCAAAGGATATGAACAGACACTTCTCAAAAGAAAACATTTATGCAGCGAACAGACATATGAAAACATGCTCATCATCACTGGCCATCAGAGAAATGCAAATCGAAACCACAATGAGATGCCATCTCACACCAGTTAGAATGGTGATCACTAAAAGGTCAGGAAACAACAGATGCTGGAGAGGATATGGAGAAATAGGAACGCTTTTACACTGTTACTAGGAGTGTAAACTAGTTCAACCATTGTGGAAGACAGTGTGGCGATTCCTCAAGGATCTAGAACTAGAAATACCATTTGACCCAGCCATCCCATTAGTGGGTATATACCCAAAGGATTATAAATCACGCTACTATAAAGACACATGCACACATATGTTTATTGTGGCACCATTTACAATAGCAAAGACTTGGAACCAACCCAAATGTCCATCAATGATAGACTGGATTAAGAAAATGTGGCACATATACACCATGGAACACTATGCAGCCATAAAAAAGGATGAGTTCATGTCCTTTGTAGGGACATGGATGAAGCTGGATACCATCATTCTCAGCAAACTATCACAAGGACAGAAAACCAAACACCGCATGTTCTCACTCATAAGTGGGAGTTGATCAATGAGAACACATGGACACAGGGTGGGGAACATCACACAATAGCATTAAGAGAAATACCTAATGTAAATGACTAGTTGATGGGTGCAGCAAACCAACATGGCATATGTATACCTATGTAACAAACCTGCATGTTGTTCACATGTACCCTTAGAACTTAAAGCATAATAAAAAAAGAAAGAAAGTTTATTCAAAGGGATAATAATAGAGAACTTCCCAAACCTAGAAGGAGATATCAATATCCAAATACAAAGCAGTTATAGAACACCAGATTTAACCCAAAGAACGCTACCTCAAGTATTTAAAAATCAAACTCCTAAAGCCCAATGATAAAGAAAGGATCTTAAAAGCAGTAAGAGAAAAGAAAAAAACAACATACAATGGAGCTCCAATACATCAAGCAGACTTTTCAATGGAAACCTTACAGGCCAGGAGACAGTAGCATGATGTATTTAAACTGTTGAAGGAAAAGAACTTTTATCCTAAAATAGTATATCCAGCAAAAATATCCTTTAAACATGAAGGAGAAATGAAAACTTTCCCAGACAAACAAAAGCTGAGGAATTTCATGAACACCAGACCTGTCCTGCAAGAAATGCTGAAGAGAGTACTTCAATCAGAAAGAAAAGGATGTTCGTGAGCAGTAAGTAATCACTTGAAGATACAAAACTCACTGGTAATATAAGTACACAGAAAAACACAGAATATTATGACACTGTAACTGTGGTGTGCAAACTACTTTTATCTTAAGTAGAAAGACTAAATAACGAACCAATCAAAAATAATAACTACAACAACTTTTCAAGACACAGACAGTACAATAAGATATAAACAGGAAAAAAACGTTTAAAAGCAGGGGGTCGAAGCTCCTAAAGCAGGAACCGGGCTGCACAGCAGGAGATGAGTGGCGGGGCAAGTGAGCATTCCTGCCTGAGCTCCACCTTCTGGCAGATCAGCAGCAGCATTAGATTATCATAGGAGCACGAACCCTATTGTGAACTGCGCATGCAAGGGATCTAGGCTGCACACTCCTTATAAGGATCTAATACTTAATGATCTGAGATGAAAGAGTTTCATCCAGAAACCATTCCCCACCCCCGATCCCCCACCGCCGCTCCATGGAAAAACTGTCTTCCACGAAACTGGTCCCTGGTGCCAAAAAGGTTGGGGACTGCTGCCTTAAAGAATTAAAATGAGGGCCAGGCATGATGGCTCATGCCTGTAATCCCAGCACTTTGGGAGGCTGAGGGGGCAGATCACTTGAGCTCAGGAGTCCGAGACCAGCCTGAGCAACATGGAAAAATCCCATCTCTACAAAAAATACAAAAATTAGCCAAGTGTGGTGGTGTGTGCCTGTACTCCCAGCAACTCAGGAGGCTGAGGTGGGAGGATGGCTTGAGCCTGGGAGGCACAGGTTGCAGTGAGCCAAGATCGTACCACTGCACTCCAGCCTGGAAGACAGAGCCAGACCTTGTCTCAAAACAAAAAACAAAGCAAAACAAAAATCTAAAATTAGAACTACCATTCGATCCAGCAATCCCACTACTGGGTATATACCCAAAGGAAAATAAATCATACGAAAAAACACATACACATTTTTATAGCAGCACAATTCACAATAGCAAAAAATATGGAGCCAACCTAAATGACCATCAACCAATGAGTGGATAAAGAAAATGTATATACACCATAGAATACTACCCAGCCATAAAACAGAACAAAATAATGGCCTTTGCAGCAACTTGGATGGACTTGGAGGCCATTATTCTAAGTGAAGTGACTCAGGAATGGAAAACCAAGTCTCGTATCTTCTCACTTATAAGTGGGAGTTAAACTATGAGGATGCAAAAACATAAGAATGATATGATGGACTTTGGGGACTCAGATGGAGGAAGATGGAAGGGGGCTTAGGGATAAAAAATTACATATTGGGTACAGTGTACACTGCTTAGGTGTCGGGTATGCCAAAATCTCAGAAAAAACACTAAAGAACTTGCTCATGTAACCAAAAACTACCTGTTCGAAAAAAAAAACTATTGAAATAAAATAAAAAATTAAAAAAAATAGTTATAGTGGTGGGTGGCAGAAATATCTCATGCCAATGGACACCAAAAAAGAGCAGGAGTGCTGATATTTATATCACACAAAATAGGTGTCAAGACAAAAACTATAAGAAGAGACAAAGAAGGTCACTATATAACGATAAAGGGAACAATTCCACAAGAGGATATAACAATTTTAAATATATATGCACCCAACACTGGAGCACCCAGATATATAAAGCAAATATTATCAGAGATAAAGAGAAACATAGACTTCATACAATAATAGCTGTAGATGTCAACACCCCACTTTCGGCATTGGACAGATCTTCCAGACAGAAAATCAAAAAGAAGCATCAGACTTAATTTGCACTATAGAACATATGGATCTAATGGATATTTACAGAACATTTCATCCAACAGCTGCAGAATACACATTCTTTTCCTCAGCACATGGATCATTCTCAAAGACAGACCAAATGTTAGGTCACAAAACAAGTTGTAAACACGCAAAAATTCAAAATAATACCAAGCATCTCTGACCACAATGGAATAAAATTAGAAACCAACAACAACAAGAATTTTGGAAACTATACAAATACATGAAAATTAAACAATATGCTCCTGAGTGACCGTGGGTCAATGAAGAAATTAAGAAGAAAGCTGAAAATTTTCTGGAAACAAATAATGGAAACATCACATACCAAAATGTATGGAATACAGCAAAAGAAATGCTAAGAGGGAAGTTTATAGCTATAACTCCCTACATCAAAAAAGAAGAAAATTTTCAAATAAACAACCTAACAATACACCTTTAAGGACTAGAAAAGCAAGAACAAACCAAACCCAAAATTAGCAGAAGAAAAGAAATAATACAGGTCAGAGCAGAAATAAATAAAATTGAAATAAAGAAAATAACACATAAGTTCAATGAAACAAAAATGCGGTTTTTTGAAAAGTTAAACAAAATTGACAAAACTTTAGCCAGACTATCTAAGAAAAAAATACAGAAGATACAAATATTAAAATCACAGATCAAAGAGGAGACACAACTGATACCACAAAAATTCAAAGGATAATTAGTGGCCACTATGAACAGCTATATGCCAATTAATTGAAAAATTTAAAGAAATGAAAAAATTTCTAGAAGCAAACAACCTACCAAGTTTGAAGCATAAAGAAATCCAAAACCTGAACACACCAACAACAAGTAATGAGATCAAAGCTATAATAAAAAGTCTCCCAGTAAAGAAAAGCTGGGGACCCAATGACTTTACTGCTGAATTCTATAAAATATTTAAAGAACTAATACTAATCCTACTCAAACTGTTCTGAAAAATAGAGGAGGAGGGAATATATCCAAACTCATTCTACGAGGCCAGTATTACCCTGATACCAACCAGATAAAGATGCATCAAAAAAAGAAAACTACAGGCCAATATATCTGATGAATATTGATGCAAAAATCCTCGACAAAATATTAGCAAATCAAATTCAGCAATATATGGCCGAGTGCGGTGGCTCACACCTGTAATCCCAGCAGTTTGGGAGGCCGAGGCAGGCGAATCACTTAAGGCCAGGAGTTCGAGACTAGCCTGGCCAACATGGTGAAACCCCATCTCTACTAAAACCACAGAAATTAGCTGGGCGTGGTGGCACAAGCCTGTAATCCCAGCTACTCGGGTGGCTGAGGCACGAGAATCACTTGAACTCAGGAAGCAGAGGTTGCAGTGAATGGAGATCATGCCACTGCACTCCAGCACTCCAGCCTGGGTGACAGAGCAAGACTTTGTCTCAAAACAACAACAACAACAAGCCCAATATATTAAAAAGATCATCATGACCAAGTGTGATCCACCCTTGGGATGCAAACATCGTTCAACATATACAAATCAATCAATGTGATACATCATATCAACAGAATGAAGGATAAAAACCATATGATCATTTCAATTGATGCTGAAAAAGCATTTGAGAAAATCCAACATCCCTTCATGATATAAACCCTCAAAAAAACTGGGGATACAAGGAACATAACTTAACATAATAAAAGCCATATATAACAGACCCACAGCTAGTATCATAAGGAATGGGGAAGAACTGAAAGCCTTTCCTCTAAGATCTGGAACACAACAAGGATGCCCACTGTCATCACTATTATTCAACATACTACTGGAAGTCTTAGCTAAAGCAATCAGAAAAGAAGAAATGACGAACATCCACTTTGGAAAAAAAGAAGTCAAATTATCTTTGCTTGCAGAAGATATAATGTCACATTTGGAAAAACCTAAAGACTACACCAAAAACTATTAAAACTGATTTAAAAGTTCAGTAAAGTTGCAGGATACAAAATCAACATATAAAAATCAGTAGCATTTCTATAAGCCAAGAGTGAACAATGTGAAAAAGATATAAAAGAAGTAATCCTATTTACAATAGCCACAAATAAAATTAAACATCTATGAATTAACCAAAGAAGTGAAAGATCCCTATAATGACAACTATAAAACACTGATGAAATAAATTGAAGAGGACCGGGCATGGTGTCTCACACCTGTAATCCCAGCACTTTGGGAGGCTGAGGAAGGCAGATCACTTGAAGTCAGGAGTTCCAGAACAACCTGGCCAACATGGTGAAACCCTGGCTCTACTAAAAATATAAAACTTAGCTGGGCATGGTGGTGCGTGCCTGTAATCTCAGCTACTTGGGAGGCTGTGGCAGAAGAATCACTTGAACCCAGGTGGTAGAAGTTGCAGTGAGCTGAGATTGCGCCACTACACTCCAGCCTGGGTGACAGAGCAAGACTCTGTCTCAAAAAAAGAAAAAAAAAAGAAAGAAGCTCCATCTCAGAAAAAGAAAGAAAGAAAGAAATTAAAGAGGACACCAAAAAGTGGAAAGATATTACATGTTAATGAATTGGAAGAACCAATACTGTTAACATGTCCATACTACCCAAAGCAATCTACAGATTTGCTGCAATCCCTATCAAAATACCAATGACATTCTTCATAGAAATAGAAAAAAAAAATCCTGAAATGTATATGGAACCACAAAACACCCAGAATAGTCAAAGCTATCCTAAGCGAAAAGAACAAATCTGGAGGAATCACACTACCTGACTACCAATTATACTAAAGAGCTATAGTAACCAAAATAGCATGGTACTGGCATGAAAACAGACACATAGACCAATGGAACAGAATAGAGATCCCAGAAACAAATCCACACACCTAACAGTGAACTCATTTTGAGTGTCAAGCACATACACTGGAGAAAAGAAAGAGTCTTGAAGAAATGGTGCTGGGGAATCCAATATGCAGAAGAATGAAACTAGACCCCTATCTCTCATCATATACAAAAATCAAATAAAAATAGATTAAAGACTTAAATCTAACTCCTCAAACTATGAAACTACTACAAGAAAACATTGGAGAAAATCTCTATAACATCAGTCTGGGCAAAGATTTCTTAAGTAATACCCCACAAGCACTGACACAAAAGCAAAAATGGACAACTGGGATCACATCAAGTTTAAAATCTTCTGCACAGCAAAGGAAGCAATAAACAAAATGAAGAGACGACCCACAGAACTGAAGAAAATGTGTGCAAATTACCCATCTAATAAGGGGTTAATGAGCAGAATATATAAGAAGCTTAAATAACTCTACAGGGGAAAATCTGATGATCCAATCAAAAAATGAGGAAACGATTTAGACATTTCTCACAGAAGACACACAAATGGCAGGCAGACACATGAAAGATGCTCAACGTCATTGATCATCAGAACAATGCAAATCAAAACTACAATGAGATATCATCTCCACTCAGTTAAAATGGCTTATATCCAAAAGACAGGCAATAACAAATGCTGGTGAGGGTGTGGAGAAAAGGGGTGGAGAAAAGGGAACCCTTGCACAATGTTGGCAGGGATGTAAATTAGTACAACCACTATGGAGAACAGTTTGGAGTTTCCTCAAAAAACTAAAAATTGAGCTACCATATGATCCAGCAACCCCACTGCTGGTTATATACCCAGAAGAAAGGAAATCAGTATATTGAAGAGATATCTGCACTCCTATGTTTGTTGCAGCACTGTTCACAATAGCCAAGATTTGGAAACAACCTAAGTATCCACGGATAGATGAATGGATAAAGAAATGTGGTACATTTATACAGTGGAGTCTTATTTAGCCATAAAAAAGAGTGAGATTCTGTCATTTGCAACAACATAAATGAATCTGGAGATCATTATGTTAAGTGAAATAAGCCAGGCACGGAAAGACAAACATCACATGTTCTCACTTATTTGTGGGACCTAAAAATCAAAGCAATTGAACACATGGACACAGAGAGTAGAAGGATGGTTACCAGAGGCTGGAAAGGGTTTGGGGGTGGTTTGGTGAGGGGAGGTGAGGATGATTAATGGTTATAAAAAATAGTTTAAAAGAAGGAATAAAACCTACTATTTGATAGCGCAACAGGGAGAGTATAGTCAAGAAGAACTCAACTGAACATTTTAAAATAACTAAAATAGTATAATTGGATTGTTTGTAACACAAAGGATAAATGCTCGAAGGCATAGATAGCCCATTTTCCATGATGTGATTATTTCACATTGCATGCCTGTATTGAAGCATCTCATGTATCCCATAAATATGTATACCTAATATGTACCCACAAAAATTAAAAATAAATAAAATATCTAGCCAAAATAATTAATAATAATAGATGGAACAACTAGACAGAACATCAAAAAGTATATATAAGACTTGAAGAACACTATAAATCTACTAGACCTAATAGACATCGGTAGCGCACTTGAATTAGTCCATTTTCACACTGCCATAAAGAACTGTCTAAGACAGGGTAATTTATAAAGAAAAGAGGTTTAATTGACTCACAGTTCCACATGACTGGGGAGGCCTCGGGAAACATACAGTCATGGCAGAAATAGAAGCAGGTACATGTTACATGGCAGCAGGCAAGAGAGAGAGGGCAAAGGGGGAAGAGCCCCTGATAAAACCATCAGATCTCATGAGAACTCACTATCATGAGAACAGCATGGAGGAAACCAGCCCCATGATCCAATCACCTCCCACCAGGTCTCTCTCTTGACATGTGGGGATTACAATTCGAGATGAGAGTTGGGTGGAGACACAGAGCCAAACCATATCAACAATCCACCCAATAATAGCAGACTATAAATTCTTAATTGCACATAGAACATTCTTCAGAATAGAACATATCCTAGGCCATAAAAGGCCATAGTAGATTTAACAGTTCCTTGTCTACATTGAATTAAATTAGAAATCAAGAACAAAAAAGAAATGAGGAAATTACCAAGTGTGAAAATCTAACAACACACGTCTACATAACCAAATGGGTCAAAGAATAAATTACAAGGGGAATTAGAAAATACCTTGAGATGAACAAAAAGGAAAATGCACACACCAAAACTTAGGAGGTACAACTAAAGCAACAGTTAAAGGAAAATGTATAGCTATAAACATCAGTAATTTTTAAAAGATCTCAAATCAATATGCTAACCTTTCACCTTAGGAAAAGGGAAAAGGAAGAGCAAACTAAGCATAAATCAAGCACAGAGGGGGGAAATTATAGATTACAATGGAAATAAATGAAATTGATCACTAAAAAACAATAGAGAAAAATCAACAAACTCAAAAGTTTATGCTTTCAATATATCAAAAAATGGACACCTTTAGCAACACTGACCAAGAAAAGAAGAGAGAAGGCTCAAATTACTACAATCAAGAATAAAAGAAAGGACATCACTACTGACCTTTAGAGAAAAACTATTCCTAAAAGACTAGAGATCTATTGTTCCAACTATGTGCCCTCAAACAAGTCTCAAGCTCCCTAAATTTAGATTTCCTTATCTGTACAAAGATGAGTTAATCTAAATCAGTCATTTTCAAACATTTTCTAAGAAGGTGAATCATTTTTTCAAACAAAATCTTACAAGGACATATATAAAAAACTGATTAAAGCCTAACTTCTCTATTTGAAGCAACATGAGAATCTGAGAATTGTGGAAAAGACTCTTCTTTCTCTTAAAGGAGGTCCTGAGGCTCTTCTGGTAGAATATAAGGACACCACAGAACATAATCTCTAAATTACTAAATAGGTGATCTGTAAGATTTCTTCCAGCTCTAAAGAGTTATCTATATTAAATTATTTTCCGTATTGAAAATGCTATTATACAATTCATTATGTTTCCACTAGATGGTGCTAATACCTACCTTTCCATTAAAAATAAGCCTTGTATAGGCTGATTTTTAGTTAATAATTTTATCACCGTATATGTAAACCCTTAGCTTTTCAAAGAACTACTATATTTCTTCTGTTATCCTCATTCCATGCCTGTGACACACATAATATTGCACCTATTTTTCAGGTGAGGATATTGTGGTACATAGTAGTTAACTGAGTGATTCAAGGTCACAGTTTATCATTAACAAATTTTCTGCCAGCTCTGAGACCTTCCCTTAGATCACATTGCCTAATAATGTCAGATTCTCAGGGCCTCAGGCTGAGAAGAGAAGGGAAAATAAAGGAATGAACATTAAGTACATTAAAACTGGTACAAACGTCCTTTGGCCTTGTGGGATGGAACATCAATATTTGTGCACGTAAATACATTTATAATTTCTTTGTTATTTCCTTTATTTCTCAATATAAGACCTCTGGTGATATATATTCCTACCTAAATATAGTAAAGGCAAAACAATAATAAATAAACATATCCCCTATTTAAATACTATCCTTAGGGTAAATATAATAGTTCTTTTAAATGCAGTATAGAAATTACATAATCTGGGAGAGGGGAGGGATAGCATTGGGAGATATACCTAATGCTAGATGATGAGTTAGTGGGTGCAGCGCACCAGCATGGCACATGTATACATATGTAACTAACCTGCACAATGTGCACATGTACCCTAAAACTTAAAGTATAATAATAAAAGAAAAAAAAGACAAATATTTAAGTTCATGGATATATATCCCAATTACATTGATTTGATGTTTTACAAAGTATATAAATATATTAAATTATCACATGTTCCCTGAAAAGATGTATACCTGTTATGTACAAATACAAATTTAAAATAAAAAAAAAGAAATTACGTAATCTAGGTTTACCAAACCTAAGCACTATGAATTTAGAAAGCAACAGTATATTTTTTGCTGGGTTTTTCTTTTAACTCAAAGAGGTATACAATAAGTTTTATACAGGCAGAAAAGAGACACACTTCCCTCCAAACTCAGAGATATTCCGTCAAGAAAAAAAACTATTCCTGACCAATAGAAAGCAACTCACATTACTTAC
The DNA here is from genome assembly GCF_000001405.40 of Homo sapiens. Taxonomy (NCBI): domain Eukaryota; kingdom Metazoa; phylum Chordata; class Mammalia; order Primates; family Hominidae; genus Homo; species Homo sapiens. The sequence continues at coordinate 70,770,947 of NC_000023.11, forward strand.
CAACAGAGACAGGTTTCAGATTAGTATATAGATAATTTTAAATGGTGCTGGAAAAGGATCTCAAAAATTTACTCCTCCCCTAACATACTGCCTACACAATCGTTTACTAACATCCCCAAAATCTAGCAGCAATAAATTTACGTGTTTGTTTAAAAAAAGATAATATAAACTGTAACCATAAAAGAAGGATGCTGAAAAAACTATGATCTGGTTGTATCCCTATTGGGAGAAAAGCAGCACAGAGCTCCCTTTCTCTGCATTGAGAAATACTCTCATTTTTGTTAACCTACAAAGAACTCTCTTCTTCAAGAATTTATAAGCATAAGGACCTAGTCTCTAACCTATAAGTCAAAGAAGTAATGTCATTAAATCTCATTTATTATGGTCAATGTTATATTATTTTTTACAGAACATCTTCAGGGTTTTATCCAACTCTCTTGGATGTTGTCCAATTCAAATGTCTTCTGTTATTTTACCAATTTATCTCATTGTCTCTAATATAACAGGAGATCACCAATTACAAATTTTCCTGTGTATACTCTTTGGCTTTACTTCATTCCATTAATCTTTTTTAAATGCAATCTATTTTGAAAAAAACTTAAAAAAAACTCCTTAAATCTTCCAAATCCATTTCAATGATTCTGTTTTTGAGTATGGAATAGATGCTCACTTTACAATCCATAATACATATTTTTGTGATGCTTAAGATTTTATGACAACCACAAATAACTTTTTTAATAAGCAAAGAAGTTTTAAACTATATTTTTACTGTATCTATGTCTGGAACTCTTCCATTTTGACTGTTCCCTACATTTAATTTACCATAACTAGAAAATAGGAGGTCTTAGGCCCACCACTATGGACCCAGACTTCAAGCCTGCCCCAGCGCCAAGTTAGCTCCTATTGCCCAAAGCTCCAGGCTTGCCTCATGAACCCAGCCTCCAGGCGTGTCCCAGTTATGGACCCACCCCCATAGCCCCAGGCTCTAGGCTTATCCCAACAGGAGACTGACCACATTAGCCTCAGTGCTAGATCAGTCCTCATGGCACGAAGCTTTATGCTGGCCTCTTACCCAAGTTCATGGCCTGCCTCAGTGCCAGGATGGACCACACAAACCCAGATTCCAGGCTGGCCATGCAGACACAGGCACTAGGTCAGCATACCTGAGAACTCCAGCAGAAAATTTGCCCATGGTCTTCATGAGATGACCCACCCAGAATCACTAGACAGGCAGACTGGTAAAGGGCTTTCCCTGCTGAAGCAAGTCTGTAAATATTGAAAAAGTGTGCCTATTTGTTTAAATGTGCAGATACCAACTCAAGGCCACAAAGATAAAAAATAATCAAGGCCAGGTGTGGTGGCTCATACCTATAATCCCAGCACTTTGGGAGGCTGTGGTGGGAGGATCACTTTAGTTCAGGAATTCAAGACCAGCCTGGGCAACTTAGGGAGGCCCCATCTATACAAAAATTTAAAAATTAGTCAGGCATGGTGACGCACACCTGTGGTCCCAGCAGATATGGGAGGCTGAGGTGGGAAGATTCTTTGGGCCTAGGAGGTTGAGGCTGCAGTGAGTCGTGATCACAACACTGCACTGCAGCCTGGTGACAGAGTGAGACCTTGTTTAAAAAAATTCTTTTTAAATAATAATCAAGGAAACGACACCACCAAAGGAATAAATTAAAGCACCAGTCACCAATTCTAAAGAAATGAGTATCTATAAACTGCCTGAAAAAGAATTCAAAATAATCACCTTAAAGGAGCTCAGTTAATTACAAGCGAACACAGACAACTAAACAAAACCAGAAAATATATAAGCAAAATAAGAAGAGGTTCAAAAACAAGAAACATAAAAAAGAATGAAACAGAAATTTTGGAGCAGGACAATACAATGATGAAACTAAAAACGGCCATACAGAGAGCTTCAACAGAAGACTCTCTGAAGCAGAATAATCAGCAAACTCAAAGACAGGCCATTTGAAATTACCCAATCAGAGGGACAAAAAAAGAATGAAAAAGAGTGAAGAAAGCCTATGGAATTTATGGGACTCCATAAAGGAAAACAAACAAGCAACAACAACAACAAAAAAAACACTATAGGAATCCCAGGAGGATTCATAAAAAGGATATAGAAAGAGAAAGGGTCAGACAGCTTAGTTAAATAAGGGAATGACAGAAAACTTCCGCAATCTGGACAACAAAGAGAACATCCAGACCATGAAGCCCAAAGAAAGCCAAATAAATTTAATGTAAAGAGATCTTCACTAAGACATAATATAACCAAATTAATAAAAGTCAAAAAAAAAGGGAGAATCATGAAAGTAATAAGAGAAAAGTGACTTATATAAAAGGCAATCTCCATAAGACTATCCATAAGACTATCACCAGATTTCTCGGCAGAAACCTTGCAGGCCAAAAGGGGTTGGGAATGATACATTCTACATGCTGAAAGAAAAAAAACTGCCTAGAAGAATATTGTAATATAGTCAGTAAAGCTATGTTTCAAAAATAAAGAAGAAATTATTTCCCAGACAAACAAAAAGCTGTGGGAGTTCATCACCACTGTCCCACAAAAAATGATGAAGAGAGTTCCTCAAGTTATTAATAAAAGAAAAGGATGCTAACAAACAATATGAAAACATATAAATGTATAAAACTCACCATAAAGGTAAGAATATACTCAAACTCACAATATTCTAATATTGTAATGGTGGTACATAAATCACTTTTAACTATACTATGAAAGTTAAAAGATAAGGAGCTTCAAGATGGCTAACTAAAGGCATCTCATACTCACCTCCTCCACTAATAAGAACCAAAATAGTACATAATAATACTTCAATAGATCATCCAAGAGAGAACACTGAAATTCAACAGAGAAGTTACAGGAAAAACCTAAAGCAAAAAAGGAGACGGAGGTGAGGCAGCTTGCTTGGCCAAGATTGGCTGCGAGCTGAGAGAGAGACTCCCCAATGCAGAGAAAGAGTGAGAGACCCCAAATGGACCACATCCCCATTGTGGACTCTTGCAATCCTAGCCACAGGAACGCCCCTAGACCCTTGTAGGCCCTGAAAATAACATAGAGAGCTGCCTAGAAACCACACAACAGCACTGTTCCAGACAGGGAACTTGGCTGGGTCCCACACTCCTAAATCAGGAGCAGATACAGCAAGATATCATTTTGAAAGCCCAGCCCACAACAGACTGCGCACTGTCCTGGGGCCCAGCAGCACCAGGGCTCGGGTGGGAGTGAAGCACAAACTACAAAGAATAAATGTACCTCAATGTGATAAAGGCCATATTTGACAAACCCACAGCTAACATCATAAAAAAAAAAAAAAAACTGGAAGCTTTTCTTCCAACAACTGGAACAAAACAAGAACGTCCACTATCACCACTCCTATTCAAAATAGTACTGGAAGTTGTAGCCAGAGCAATCAGGCAAAAGAAAAAAATAAAAGGCATCCGAACTGGAAAAGAGGAAGTCCTTGCTGATGATATGATCTTATGTCTAGAAAAACCTCAAGACTCCATAAAAAACTCCTAGATCTAATAAATAACTTTGGTAAACTTGCAGAATACAAAATCAACATACAAAAATCAGCAGCATTTCTATACAACATTAATGAACTAGCTGAGAAAGAAATCAAGAAAAATACCCCATTTAAAACAGCTACAAAAAATGCCTAGTAATAAATTTAATCAAGGAGGTGAAAGTTCTCTACAAGTAGAACTAAAAAGCACTGGTGAAAGAGTTTAAAGGAAACATTTAAAAAAAAGATATCCCATGTTCATGGGTCAGAAGAGTGTATATTATTAAAGTGACCAAACTGTCCAAAGTAATCAGATTTAATGCAATCCCTATCAAAATACCAATGTCATTTTTCACAGAATTAGAAAAAATAATCCTAAAAAAGAACTTGAATAGCCAAAGCAATCCTGAGCAAAAACAACAACAACAACAACAAACAAAGCTGGCAGCATCATATTACCTGACTCAAAATATATTACAAACCTGTATTAACCAAAACAACATGATATTGGTATAAAAACAACACATAGACCAATGGAACAAAACAGATAATCCAGAAATAACTCCACATATTTACAGCCAACTAATTTTTGACAAAGCAATCAAGAACATAAATTGGTCTCTTCAATAAATGGTGCTAGGAAAATTAGATATCCATATGCAGGAGAAAAAAATTGAACCCCTGTCTCTCACCATATACAAAAATCAACCCAAGATAGATTAAAGACTTAAATGTAAGACCTAAAACTATAAAACTACTAGAAGAAAACATAGGGAAAATGCTTCAGGACATTGGTCTAGGCAAAGATGATATGGCTACAACCTCAAAAAGACAACAAAAACACGAATAGACAAATGGTACCATATTAAATTAAAAGGCTTCTACACAGCAAAAGAAACAATAACAAATTAAAGAGACAACCTGTTGAATAGGACAAAAATATTTGCAAACTATTCATTCTACAAGGGACTAATATCTGGAATATACAACATATTCAAACACCTCAACAATTAAAAAAAATCTCATTAAAAAGTGAGGTAAAGGACATGAACAGACATTATTCAAAAGAAGACATACAAGGCTGGGTGCGGTGGCTCACTCCTGTAATCGAGGAGTTTGAGACCAGCCTGCCCAGCACGGTGAAACCCCATCTCTACTAAAAATACAAAAATTAGCTGGGTGTGGTGATGCACGCCTGTGATCCCAGCTACTCAGGAGGCTGAGGCAGGAGAATCGCCTGAACCCAGGAGGTGAAGGTTGCAGTGAGCCGAGATCACGCCACTGCACTGCAACCTGGGTGACAGAGCGAGACTCCGTCTCAAAAAAAAAAAGGCATACAAATGGCCAAACAAGTATATGAACAAATTTTCAATATCACTAATCATGAGGGAAATGCAAATCAAAACCACAATGCAATATCATCTTACCCCACCCAGTCAGAATGCCTATTATTAAAAAGACAAAAGTTAATGGATGGTGGCAAGGATGCAGAGAAAAGGGAATTCTTATGCACTGTTGATGAGAATGTAAATTAGTACAAGCACTATGGAGAAGAGCGTGGAGATTTCTCAGAAAAAAAAAAAACAAACTTATAATAGAACTATATATGATATAGCAATCCCACTACTGGGTATTTATCTGAAGGAAAGGAAATTAGTATATCAAAGGGATACTTAAACTTGCATGTTTGTTGCAGCACTATTCACAATAGAAAAAATATGTAATCAACCTAAGTGTCCATCAACAGATGAATGGATGAAGAAAATGTGGTACATATACACAACAGAGTACTATTCAGCCATAAAAAGAATAAGATCCATGCCTGTAATCCCAGCACTTTGGGGGGCCGAGGTGGGTGGATTGTTTGAGTCCAGGAGTTCGAGACCAACCTGGGCAACATTGTGAAACCCTGTCTCTACTAAAAATAGAAAAATTTAGCCAGGCGTGGTGGTGCACGCCTGTGGTCCCAGCTACTCGGGAGGCTGAGATGGGAGAATCATCTGAGCCCGGAAAGTTGAGGCCACAGTGAGCCAAGACTGCATCACTGTACTCCAGCCTGGGCAACCAGCGTGAGACCCTGTCTTGGAAAAAAAAAAAAAAAGAAGAAGAATGAGATACAGTCATTTGCAATAACATGGATGGAACTGGAGGTCATTATGTTAAGTGAAGCCAGGCATAGAAAGACAAATATCATATGTTCTCACTCAGAAGTGGGAGCTAAAAATGTGGATCTCATGGAGGTAGAAAATAGAATGATAATACCAGAATCTAGGAAAGGTGTGTGGGTGGGAGAGGGGAGAAAAGGGGAGGTTGGTTAATGGTTACAAATATATAGTTGGAAGGAATAAGTTCTAATGTTCAATAGCAGAGTCAGGCAACAATTTCAGATAGCTAGAAGAGAAGACTTGAAATGTTTCCAACATATAGAAATGATAAATACTCAAGGTGATGGATACCCCAAATACCCCGACTTTATCATTACACATTCTACATACGTAACAAACAGTTACATGGACCCCATACATATGTAAAGTGTTATATTCTTTTATTTATTTATTATTATTATTATTTTTTTTTTTGTAGAGAGGAGGTTTTGCCATGTTGCCCAGGCTGGTCTTGAACTCCTGGGCTGAGGCATTCTACCTACCTCAGTCTCCCAAAGTGCTGGGATTACAGCCAGGAGCCACCATGCCCAGCTTATGTTCAATTTGTTTAAAATTCAAAGAAAAAAGTATTTAAAGTAACTACAGTTACATTAACTTGTTCATTAATACAAAATATGATGTAAACTGTGACATCAAAAAACAAAATGTAGAGGGGAAGGAATAAAATGTGGAGCTTTTTATGTGATCATAATTAAGTTTTTATCAGCTTAAAATAAACTGGTGGCCAGGCGCAGTGGCTCACGCCTGTAATCCCAGCACTTTGGGAGGCCGAGGCAGGCAGATCACCTGAGGTCAGGAGTTCGAGACCAGCCTGACCAACATGGAGAAACCCCCGTCTCTACTAAAAATACAAAATTAGCTGGGCGTGGTGGCGCAAGCCTGTAATCCCAGCTACTCGGGAGGCTGAGGCAGGAGAATTACTTGAACCCAGGAGGCAGACGTTGCGGTGAGCCGATATCACATCATTGCACTCCAGCCTGGGCACCAAGAGCAAAACTCCATCTCAAAAAATAACAGCAATTATAAATAATAAATAAATAAATAAACTGGTATAAGATGTCTTACATAACTGTCATGGCAACCACAGGCAAAATATTATAGCTGATACACACAAAATAAAGAAGAAGGGATCAAACCATACCACTATAAAAAAAAAATCAAGTCACAAAGGAAGACAGCAAGAAGGGAAGAGCAAAGAAACTATAAAACATTCAGGAAACAACTAATAAAATGACAATAGTTAAGTCCTTACTTATCAATAATTAATTTAACTGTAATGGATTAATTTCTCCAACCAAAAGACACAAACTGGCTGAATGGATAAAACAACAAATCTATTTCCTTCCTACAAGATACTCACTTTAGCTTTAAGGACACACATAGGCTGAAAGTGAAGGGATGGAAAAAATACATTCCATGCAAATAGCAACCAAAAGAGAGCAGGGTTGGGTATACTTATATCAGAAAAAAATAGAATTTATGTCAAAAACTGTCACCAGAGACAAAGAAGGGCATTATATAATGATAAAGGAGTCAATTCATCAAGAGGATATAACAGTTGTAAATATATATCTACTTAACATCACCTAAAATATAAACCAAGTATCAACATGACTGAAGGGAGAAATAAACAGCAATACAACAATAGTAGGAGACTTCAGTACCCCACTTTGAAAACAGAATAGATCTATGAAAAAGAAAATCAGTAAGTACTAATGGTCTGAATGTTTGTGTTCCCCCACAATTCCTATGTTGAAATCCTAACCACAAAGATGATAGTATTAGAAAGTGGGGCTTTAAAACAAACAAACAACAACAACAACAACAAAAAACAGGGCCTCACTCTGTTACCCAAGCTGGAGTACACTGACACTATCATAGCTCACTGTAGCCTCAACCTCCCAGATGCAAGCAACCCTCCCATCTCAGCCTCCCAAGGAGCTGGAACTACAGATGCAGGCTACCACACCAGGCTATGTTTTGTTTGTTTGTTTGTTTGTTTTTGTTTTTTGTTTGTTTGTTTGTTTTTCTGGTAGAGACAAGGTCTTGCTACGATGCCTAGGCTGGTCTCAAACTCCTGGGCTCAAGCGATCCTTGAGCTTTTAAAATTTTGAAATTTAAAAAAAACTAAAATCATATCAAGTATCCTTTCTGACCAAAATGGTATGAAACTAGAAATCAATAACAGGAAGAATTTTGGAAAAATCACAAATACATGGAAATTAAACACCATGCTCATGAACAATCAGCAGGTCAATGAATAACTTAAAAGGGAAATTTAAAAGCATCTAGAGGTGGCTCATGCCTGCAATCTCATCATTTCAGGAGGCCCAGGCAGGAAGCTTTCTTGAGATTAGTCTAGGCAACATGGCAAGAACCTGTCACTACAAACATATATATATGTATGTACACATTTTAAAAATTAAAAAAAAATTTTAAGTACCTTCAGACAAATGAAAATAAAAACAATCCATACCAAAACTAATAGGAAGCTGGGCATGGTGGCTCACGCCTGTAATCCCAGCACTTTGGGAGGCCGAGGTGGGTGGATCATGAGGTCAGGAGTTCTAGACCAGCCTGGCCAAGATGGTGAAACCCCGTCCCTATTAAAAATACAAAAATTAGCCAAGAGTGGTCGTGGGTGCCTGTAATCCCAGCTACTCGGGAGGCTGAGGGAGGAGAATTGCTTGAACCCAGTAGGTGAAGGTTGCAGTGAGCTGAGATCATGCCACTGCACTCCAGCCTTGGCAACAGAGTGAGACCCCGTCTCAAAAAAAAAAAAAAAAAAGAAAGTTTACAGCAATAAATGCCTACATCAAAAAAGAAATATCTCAAATAAACAACGTTGCTCCTCGAGGAACTAGAATAAGAACAAAGCCCAAAGTTAACAGGCAGAAAAAAAATAAAGATCAGAGCAGAAATGAATAAAATAGAGGCCAAAAAAATACAATAGATCAACGAAACTAAAAGTTGGTTTTCTAAAAGGATAAAATTGTCAAGCATTTAGCAAAACCAAGATATAGAGAGTAATCAAATAAAATCAGAAATGAGAGAGGAGATGTTACAACTGATATCAAGAATAAAGAATCATAAGAGACTGCTATGAACAATTACAATTATACATCAACAAACTAGATAACCTAGAAGAAATGGATAAATTCCTAGATATATACAACATATCAAGATTGAATCAGAAAATCTGAACAAATAATGATTAAAAATTAAATCCAGTAATAAAATGTCTTCATTCAAAGAAAAGCCAAGGACCTGATGGGTTCACTGCTGAATTTCTAAAATATTTTTTAAAAAACTAATTATAAAACATATATTAAAAACATTTGGCCAGGCACAGTGGCTCATGCCTGTAATCCCAGCACCTTGGGAGGCCGAGGTGTGCAGATTGCCTGAGGTCAGGAGTTTGAGACCAGCAACCAGCCTGGCCAACATGATGAAAGCTTGTCTCTACTAAAAATACAAAAACTAGCCAGGCATGGCTACACATGCCTGTAATCCCAGCTACTTGGGAGGCTGAGACAGGAGAATCGCTTGAACCTGGGAGGCAAAGGTTGCAGTAAGCCAAGATCCTTCCACTGCACTCCAGCCTGGGTGACAGAGCAAGACTCCATCACGCACACACAAAAAAAAGACAAGACAAGAAAAACATTTATAAAATAAGGAATGCCAGGTTTTCCATTCAAAGATGGCCAAATAGGAAGAGCTCTGCTCTGCAGCGCCCAGCGTGATCGACGCAGAAGATGGGTGATTTCTGCATTTCCAGCTGAGGTACATGGTTCATCTCATTGGGACTGGTTGGACAGTGGGTGTAGCCCATGGAGGGTGAACCAAAGCAGGGTGGAGCGTTGACTCATGGGGGAAGCACAGGGGGTCTGAGGACTTCCCTTTCCTAGCCAAGGGAAGCTGTGACAGTCTGTACCTGGAGGAACAGTACACTCCTGCCCAAATACTGTGCCTTTCCCACAGTCTTCACAACCGGCAGACCAGGAAATTCCCTCTCGTGCCTGGCTTGGAGGGTCCCCGCCCATGGAGCCTTGCTCACTGCTAGCGCATCAGTTTGAGTTCTAACTGCAAGGCTGCAGCCTGGCTGGGGGAGGGGCATCTGCCATTGCTGAGGCTTGAGTAGGTAAACAAAGCGGCTGGGAAGCTCAAGCTGGTCGGAGCCCACCGCAGCTCAGCAAGGCCCACTGCCTCTATAGACTCCACCTCTGTGGACAGGGCAGAGCTGAACAAAAGGCAGCAGAAACTTCTGCACACTTAAAAGTCCCTGTCTGACAGCTCTGAAGAGAGCAGTGGTTCTCCCAGCACAGTGTTTGAGCTCGGAGAATGGACAGACTGCCTCCTCAAGTGGGTCCCTGACCCCCGTGTAGCCTAAATGTGAGACACCTCCCAGTAAGGGCCAACAGACACCTCATATAGGCAGATGCCCCTCTGGGATGAAGCTTCCAGAGAAAGGATCAGGCAGCAATATTTGCTATTCTGCAGCCTCCGCTGGTGATACCCAGGCAAACAGGGTCTGGAGTGGACCTCCAGCAAACTCCAACAGACCTGCAGCTGAGGGACCTCACTGGTAGAAGGAAAACTAACAAACAGAAAGAAATAGCATCAACATCAACAAAAAGGACATCTACACCAAAACTCCATCTGTAGGTCACCAACATCAAATACCAAAGGTAGATGAAAACCACAAAGATGGGGAGAAACCAGAGCAGAAAAACTGAAAATTCTAAAAACCAGAGAGCCTCTTCTCCTCCAAAGGATCACAGCTCCTCACCGGCAATGGAACAAAGCTGGATGGAGAATGACTTTCATGAGTTCACAGAATTAGGCTTCAGAAGGTCAGTAATAACAAACTTCTCCAAGCTAAGAAGCATGTTCCAATCCATCTCAAGGAAGCTAAAAATCTTGAAAAAAGGTTAGTCGGATGGCTAACTAGAACAAACAGTGTAGAGAAGACCTTAAATGACCTAATGGAGCTGAAAACCATAGCACGAAAACTTCGTGACACATGTACAGGCTTCAGTAGCTGATTCGATCAAGTGGAAGAGAGGGTACCACTGATTGAAGATCAAATTAATGAAATAAAGTGAGAAGACAAGTTTAGAGAAAAAAGAGTAAAAAGAAATGAACAAAATCTCCAAGAAATATGGGACCATGTGAAAAGACCAAATCTACGTTTGATTGGTGTCCCTGAAACTGAGGTGGAGAATGGAACCAAGCTGGATAACACTCTTCAGGATATTATCCAGGAGAACTTCCCCAACCTAGCAAGGTAGGTGAACATTCAAATTCAGGGAAATACAGAGAACACCACAAAGATACCCCTCAAGAAGAGCAACCACAAGACACATAATTGTCAGATTCACCAAGGTTGAAATGAAGGAAAAAATTTTAAGGGCAGCCAGAAAGAAAGGTTGGGTTACCCACAAAGGGAAGCCCATCAGACTAACAGCTGATCTCTTGGCACAAACCCTATAAGCCCGAAGAGAATGGCGGCCAATATTCAACATTCTTAAAGAAAAGAATTTTCAACCCAGAATTTCATATCCAGCCAAACTAAGCTTCATAAGTGAAGGAGAAATAAAATCCTTTACAGACAAGCAAATGCTAAGACATTTTGTCACCACCAAGCTTGCCTTACAAGAGCTCCTGAAGGAAGCACTAAACATGGAAAGGAACAACTGGTACCAGCCACTGCAAAAACATGCCAAATTGTAAAGACCATCGATGTTAGGAAGAAACTGCATCAATTAACGGGCAAACTAACCAGCTAACATCATAGTGACGGGATTAAATTCACACATAACAATATTAACCTTAAATGTAAATGGGCTAAATGCCCCAATTAAAAGACACAGACTGGCAAATTGGATAAAGAGTCAAGACCCATCAGTGTGCTGTGTTCAGGAGACCCATCTTACGTGCAGAGACACACATAAGCTCAAAATTTAAAAATAGAGGAAGATCTACCAAGCAAATGGAAAGCAAAAAAAAAAAAAAAAAAAAACAGGGGTTGCAATCCTAGTCTCTGATAAAACACACTTTAAACCAGTAAAGATCAAAAAAGACAAAGAAGGCCATTACATAATGGTAAAAGGATCAATAAAACAAGAAGAGCTAACTATCTTAAATATATATGCACCCAATACAGGAGCATCCATATTCACAAAACAATCCTTAGAGACCTACAAAGAGACTTAGACTCCCACACAATAATAATGGGAGACTTTAACACCCCACTGTCAATATTAGACAGATCAACAAGACAGATGGTTAACAAGGATATCCAGGACTTTGAACTCAGCTCTGGACCAATTGGACCTAATAGACACCTACAGAACTCTCCACCCCAAATCAACAGAATATACATTCTTCTCAGCACCACATCGCACTTATTCTAAAATTGACCACATAATTGGAAGTAAAGCACTCCTCAGCAAATGTAAAAGAACAGAAATCACAAGAAACTGTCTCTCAGACCACAGTGCAATCAAATTAGAACTCAGGATTAAGAAACTCACTCAAAACACACAACTACATGGGAACTGAACAACCTGCTCCTCAATGACTACTGGGTAAATAACAAAATGAAGGCAGAATTAAAGATGTTTTTTGAAGCCAATGAGAACAAAGACACAACATACCAGAATCTCTGGGGCACATTTAAAGCAGTGTGTAGAGGGAAATTTATACCACTAAACGCCCACAAGAGAAAGCAGGAAAGATCTAAAATCGACATCCTAACATCACAATTAAAAGAACTAGAGAAGCAAGAGCAAACAAATTCAAAGTTAGCAGAAGGCAAGAAATAACTAAGATCAGAGCAGAACTGAAGGAGAGACACAAAAATCCCTTCAAAACATCAATGAATCCAAGAGCTGGATTTTTGAAAAGATCAACAAAATTGATAGACCGCTAGCAAGACTAACAAAGAAGAAAAGAAAGAAGAATCAAATAGACGCTATAAAAAATGACAAAGGGGATATCACCACTGATCCCACAGAAATACAAACTGCCATCAGAGAATACTATAAACACATCTATGCAAATAAACAAGAAAATCTCGAGGGAATGGATAAATTCCTGGACACTTACATCCTCCCAAGACTAAACCAGGAAGAAGTTGAATCTCCGAATAGGTGAATAACAGGTTCTGAAATTGAGGCAATAATTGATAGCCTACCAACCAAAAAAAAGTCCAGGACCAGATGGACTCACAGCCGAATTCTACCAGAGGTACAAAGAGGAGCTGGTCCATTCCTTCTGAAACTATTCCAATCAATAGAAAAAGAGGGAAACCTCCCTATCTCATTTTATGAGGTCAGCATCATCCTGATACAAAAGCCTGGCAGAGACACAACAAAAAAAAAGAGAATTTTAGACCAATATCCCTGACGAACATTGATGCAAAAATCCTCAATAAAATATTGGCAAACCGAATCCAGCAGCACATCAAAAAGCTTATCCACTACGATCAAGTCAGCTTCATCTCTGGGATGCAAGGCTGGTTGAACGTATGCAAATCAATAAATGTAATCCATCACATAAAGAGAACCAATGACAAAAACCACATGATTATCGCAATAGATGCAGAAAAGGCCTTCAACAAAATTCAACAGCTCTTCATGCTAAAAACTCTCAATAAACTAGGTATTGATGGAACGTATCTCAAAAAAATAAGAGCTATTTCTGACAAAACCCACAGCCAATATCATACTGAATGGGCAACAACTGAAAGCATTTCCTTTGAAAACCGGCACAAGACAAAGATGCCCTCTCTCACCACTCCTATTCAACATAATGTTGGAAGTTCTGGCTAGGGCAATTAGGCAGGAGAAAGAAATAAAGGGTATTCAATTAGGAAAAGAGGAAGTCAAATTGTCTCTGTTTGCAGGTGACATGATTGTATATTTAGAAAACCCCATCATCTCTGCCCAAAATCTCTTTAAGCTGATAAGCAACTTCAGCAAAGTCTCAGGATACAAAATCAATGTACAAAAATCACAAGCATTCTTATACACCAAGTACAAACAGAGAGCCAAATCATGAGTGAACTCCCATTCACAATTGCTGCAAAGAGAATAAAATACCTAGGAATCCAACTTACAAGGGATGTGAAGGACCTCTTCAAGGAGAACTACAAACCACTGCTCCACGAAATAAAAGAGGATACAAAGAAATGGAAGAACATTCCATGCTCATGGGTAGGAAGAATCAATACCGTGAAAATGGCCATACTGCCCAAGGTAATTTATAGATTCAATGCCATCCCCATTAAGCTACCAATGACTTTCTTCACAGAATTGGAAAAAACTACTTTAAAGTTTATATGGAAACAGAAAAGAGCCCACATTGCCAAGACAATCCTAAGCAAAAAGAACAAAGCTGGAGGCATCACACTACCTGACTTCAAACTATACTACAAGTCTACAGTAACCAAAACAGCATGACACTGGTACTAAAGCAGATATATAGACCAATGGAACAGAACAGAGGCCTCAGAAATAATACCACACATGTACAACCATCTGATCTTTGACAAACCTGACAAAAACAAGAAATGGGAAAGGATTCCCTATTTAATAAATAGTGCTGGGAAAACTGGCTAGCCATATGTGGAAAGCTGAAACTGGATCCCTTCCATACAGCTTATACAAAAATTAATTCAAGATGGATTAAATGTTAGACCTGAAACCATAAAAAACCTAGAAGAAAATCTAGGCAATACCATTCAGGGCATAGGCACTGGCAAAGACTTCATGACTAAAACACCAAAAGCTATGGCAACAAAAGCCAAAATTGACAAATGGGATCTAATTAAACTAAAGAGCTTCTGCACAGCAAAAGAAACCACCATCAGAGTGAAGAGGCAACCTACAAAATGGGAGAAAATTTTCACAACCTACTCATCTGACAAAGGGCTAATACGCAGAATCTACAATGTACTCAAACAAATTTACAAGAAAAAATCAAACAGCCCCATCAAAAAGTGGGTGAAGGATATGAACAGACACTTCTCAAAAGAAAACATTTATGCAGCCAACAGACACATGAAAAAATGCTCATCATCACTGGCCATCAGAGAAATGCAAATCAAAACCACAATGAGATACCATCTCACACCCGTTAGAATAGAGATCATTAAAAAGTCAGGAAACAACAGGTGCTGGTAAGGTTGTGGAAAAATAGGAACGCTTTTACACTGTTGGTGGGAGTGTAAATTACTTCAACCATTGTGGAAGACAGTGTGGCGATTCCTCAAGGATCTAGAACTAGAAATAGCATTTGACCCAGCGATCCCATTACTGGGTATATACCCAAAGGATTATAAATCATGCTACTATAAAGATACGTGCACACATATGTTTATTGTGGCACTATTCACAATAGTAAAGACTTGGAACCAACCCAAATGTCCATCAATGATAGACTGGATTAAGAAAATATGGCACATATACAGCATGGAATACTATGCAGCCATAAAAAAGGATGAGTTCATGTCCTTTGTAGGGACATGGATGAAGCTGGAAACCATCATTCTGAGCAAACTATCACAAGGACAGAAAACCAAACACCACATGTTCTCACTCATAGGTGGGAATTGAACCATGAGAACACTTGGACACAGGGTGGGGAACATCACACACCAGGGCCTGTCAGGAGGTGGTGGGCTTGGGGGAGGGATAGCATTAGGAGAAATACCTAATGTAAATGATGAGTTGATGGGTGCAGCAAACCAACATGGCACATGTATACCTATGTAGCAAACTTGCACATTGTGCATGCACATGTACCGTAGAACTTGAAGTATAATAAAATAAATAGATAAATAAATAATAGAATGAATGGCAATCCTTCCCAAACTCTTCCAAAAAATCAGAAGGGGGAATGCTTCCAAACTTTATTAACAAGATTAGCGTTACCCTGATACCAAATCCAGACAAGGACATTCCAAGAAAAGAAAATTACAGACCAATAACCTTGATGAACATAGATGCAAATATCCTCAACAAAATACTAGCAACTGAATTCAACAACACATTAAAAGGATCATTCACTATGATCAGGTGGGATTTATTCCTGAGATGGAATAGTTCAAAATATGCAAAACGTAAATGTGGTATGTCACATTAACAGAGTAAAGGACAAAAAACATATGATCCTCTGATTTGATGTGGAAAAAGCATCTGACTGTCCCGGTGTGGTGACTCACACCTATAATCCCAGCACCGTGGGAGGCCAAAGCGGGCGGATTGCCTGAGGTCAGGAGTTCGAAACCAGCCTGACCAACTTGGAGAAACCCCATCTCTACTAAAAATACAAAATTAGCCAGGCATGGTGGCTCATGCCTGTAATTCCAGCCACTCGGGAGGCTGAGGCAGGAGAATCACTTGAACCTGGGAGAAGGAGGTTGCAGTGAGCCAAGATTGTGCCATTGCACTCCAGCCTGGGCAACAAAAGCAAAACTCCATCCCAAATAAATAAATAAAGCATCTGACAAAATTCAACATTTTTTCATTATAAAACTCTCACCAAATTAGATATAAAAAGAACGTATCTTAACACAATAAAGTCCATATATAAGAAACCCACAGCTAACATTATACTCAACAGTAAAAAACTGAAACCTTTACTCTAAGATCTAGAACAAGACAAGGAATCCCCCTCTTGCCACTTTTTTTCTTTTTTTTAGATGGAGTCTAGCTTTGTCACCAGGTTGGAGTGCAGTGGCACAATCTCAACTCATTGCAACCTCCACCTCCCAGGTTCAAATGATTCTTCTGCCTCAGACTCCCAAGTATCTGGGATTATAGGCACATGCTGCCACACCCAGCTAATTTTTGTACTTTTACTAGAGACGGGGTTTCACCATGTTGGCCAGGATGGTCTCAATCTCCTGACCTCGTGATCCGCCCACCTCGGCCTTCCAAAGTGCTGGGATTACAGATATGAGCCACTGCACCCGGCCCCCTCTTGCCATTTCGATCCAACATAATATTGGAAGTCCTCACCAGAGCAATTAAGCAAAAGAAAGAAAGTAAAAGACATCCAAACAAGAAAGGAAGAAGTGAAATTGTATCAGATGCTGACAACATGATTTTATATTAGAAAATCCTGAATACTCCACCAAAAAACTGTTAAGAATGAATAAAAAAATACAGTAAAGTTGCAAAATGCAAATTGTACATGCAAAAATCAATAGTGTTTCTAGGCACGATCAATGAACTATCCAAAAATGAAATAAAGAGAACAATCTAACTTATAATAGCTACAAAAAAATCCAATACCTAGAAATAAATTTAACCAAGGAAGTGAAAGGCATGTATACTGAAAACTATAAACTGAAAAAAAAAACTGAAAACACAAATGGAAAGATACCCCATGTTCATGGATTGAAAGAATTCATATTGTTACAATATCCATACTACCAAAAGTGATATGCAGATTCAATGCAATCCCTATAAAAATTCCAATATCAATTTTCATAGAAATGGGAAAACGACACTAAAATGTGTATGGATCCACAAAAAACACCAATTAGCAAATGCTACAATGAGCAAAAAGAATACAGCTGGATGGTTCACACAACCTAATTTCAAACTATATTACAAAGCTATAGTAATTAAAACAACATGGTAGTGGCATAAAAATAGACGTGTCAACCAATGGAACAGAATAGAGAGCCCAGAAATGAACCCACACATGTGTGGTCAATTGGTTTTCAACAAAGGTGCCAAGAATATGCAATGAAAAAAGGATAGTCTCTTCAACAAATGATGTTGGGAAAGCTGGATATCCACACACAGAAGAATGAAATTTAAACCTTCTCTCCCACCACGTACAAAAATCAACTTAAAATGGATTAAAGACCTAAATGTAATTCTTCCAAAATACAAAAAAAACCAATACTTCCAAACTCTTTTAACAGGGTCAGCATTACCCTGATACTAAAGCCAGACAAAGACATTCCAAGAAAATAAAACTACAATAACCCTGATGATCAGAAAATGTAAATCTCTTGGGAAACACACACACACACACACACACACACACACACACACACACACACAGGGGAAAAACTACATGGCCTGGTCTGGGCAATGTTTTCTTGGATTTGACCACAAAAGCACAGGAAACAAAGGCAAAAAGAGACAAGTGGGGTTATATCAAGCTAAAAAGCTTTTGCACAGCAATGAAAGCAATTAACAGTGCAAAGAGTCAACCTACAGATTGGGAGAAAGTATTTCTAATCCATATATCCAGTAAGGGTTTTGATTATATATATATATATATATATATATATATATATATATAGAGAGAGAGAGAGAGAGAGAGAGAGAGAGAGAGAGAGAGAGCAAGAAAACAAATAATCCAAATAAATAATGGGCAAAAAGCCAGGCATGGTGGCACACATCTATAATCCTAGCTACTCCAGAGGCTGATGCAGGAGGATTGCTTGAGCACAGGAGTACGAGACCAGCACAAGACCACTTTGGGAAATACAACACGACCCTGTCTCAAAAAAAAAAAAGTTGGCAAGAAAAGTGAATACACATTTCTCAAAAGAACACATACAAATGGCCAACAGATATATGAAAAAATGCTCAAAATCGCTACACATTAGGGAAGCTCAAATTAAAACCACAGTGAGGGCAGGTGTGGTGGCTCACGCCTGTAATCCCAAACTTTGGGAGGCCAAGGCAAGCAAATCACCTGAGCTTAGGAGTTTGAGACCAGCCTGGCCAACATGGCAAAACCCTGTCTCTACTAAAAATACAAAAATTAGCTAGGCATGGTGGCAGGCGCCTGTGATCCCAGCTACTCGGGAAGCTGAAGCACGATAATCACTTGAACCCTGGAGGCGGAGGTTGAAGTGAGCCGAGAGCAAGACTCTGTCTCAAACAAACAAACAAACAAAAAACCCACAATGAGATATCACCTCATACCTGTCAGAATGATTATGGGGAGACGAAAGATAACAAGAGTTGGCAAGGATGTGAAAAAAGGAAACCCTTGTACATTGTCAATGAGAATGTAAATTAGTACAAACATTATGGAAAACTGTATAGAAGTTCCTCAACAAACTAAAAATAAAATTACTATATGATGCAGCTTTTGGGTATTTACCCCAAATATTTGAAGTCAGTTTGTCAAAGAGACGTCTACACTTCTGGGTTCACTGCAACGCTACTCACAATAGCCAAGTTACACAATCCACCTAAGTGTCCCTCAACAAATAAATGGATTAAAAAATGTAGCATTATATACACAATGGAATACTATTCAGCCTTTAAAAGAATGGAAAAACTGTGATTTGTGACAACATGGATGAACCAGGAAGATATTATGCTAAGTGAAATAAGTCCAGCACGGAGAGTCAAATACCACATGTTTTAAATTGTACCTGGAATCTAAAACAACTGAACTCGTACAAGCACAGAGTAGAATGGTGGTTACAGAGACAGAGCTGTGGAGAGAATGTAGAGATGATGATTAAAAAGTACAAACTTGGATAAGGAACAAGATGGTTCAAGACACAGCTGGGAAGCACCTCTCTCACCAAGAGAAACCAAATATCAAGTAAACCATCACACTTCAAACACATCTTTTGAGAGAAAACACTGAAAGTCAACAGAGAGGCAACACAGACACTGACTTGGAAGAGGCACAGGAAACTGGGAACTCCGCATGGAGTCACCAAGCACCAGGACCAGCTCTCAGCCTTCAACAGGTCCTAAGGAAGGGGTAAATGAAGGAATTATGAGTCAACACACTCCCACCACGGACCTCTGGGATCCTAGCTACAAGAGATTCCACAAACTCCATAGACATTTAAATTGGCAGGGTAAAATGCCAGGAGAGTAGACAGAGGCAGAGCTCAAGCCTGCGCAGAGCCCAGAAGGTTCTGCATGCAAGGCAGCTGCAGTAAAACACGACCCTGATGACTGCTGGGCCAAGAGAGAGGATAGAGCAGAGATGGCTTTCCTGCAGTACTGGAGTGCATCTGATCTGCATGCCCCTCTGTCGGCAACACCTCCCAAGGCTCCTGCCTGGATTCTCCTACAAGAGCAAGCACACAGCATAGCCTCCACTGCCCTGCCTGAGTGCTTTGCCAGTGGCTTGGGTGCACTTCAGCCCCGCTAGGACAGCTAGTGTTCAACTATGAGGGGCCAGAGTACAAAGCTGCAGGCCCAGTCCCAATCCTGCATCGTTTGAGCACACAGGTCAGAAGTTTCAAGAATGGCAAGTTGGATAAAAAACAAGACCCAATCATTTGCTGTCTTTTTTTTATTATTATACTTTAAGTTTTAGGGTACATGTGCACAACATGCAGGTTTGTTACATATGTATACCGTGGCACATATACACCATGGAATACTATGCAGCCATAAAAATGATGAGTTCATGTCCTTTGTAGGGACATGGATGAAGCTGGAAACCATCATCTGCTATCTTTAAGAGATGCATCTCACATGTAATGACACCTACAGGCTCAAAGTAAAGTGATGGAGAAAGATCTATCATAAAAACAGAAAAAAAAGCAGGGGTCACTATTCTTATATCAGATAAAACAGACTTTAAACCAACAATAGTCAAAAAGGACAAAGGACATTACATAACAATAAAGGATTCAATTCAACAAGAAGACTTAATTATCCTAAATATATATACACCCAACATTAGAGAACGCTGATTCATAAAACAAGTACTTCTAGACCTATGAATAGCCTCAGTCACACAATAATAAGGGGAACTTCAAGAACCCACTGACAGCGTTAGACAGATCATCAAGGCAGAAAACTTATGAGGAAATTCTGCACTTAAATTCAACACTTGAACAATTGGACCTAATAGATTTCTACAAAATATGTCACTCAGCAACCATGGAACACACATTCTTCTCATCTGCATGCAGAACATACTCTAAGATTGACCACATGTTCGGGCATAAAGCACATCTCAATGAATTCAAACAAACTGAAATCATACCAAGCATACACTCAGACCACAGTGCAATAAAAATAGAAATGAATACCAAAGAAGATCCCTTAAAACCACACAATTACCTGGAAATTAAGCACAACTTGTTACTGAGTGATTTCAGGTAAACAATAAAATTAAGGCAGAAATAAAAAATACTTTGAAATTAATTAAGATACACGACATGCCAAAATCTCTGGGATGGGCCATGCAGTGGCTCACGCCTGTAATCCCAGCACTTTGGGAGGCCGAGGCGGGTGGATCACTTGAGGTCAGGAGTTGAAGACCAGCCTGACCAACATGAAGAAACTCCGTCTCTACCAAAAATGCAAAATTAGCCGGGCATGGTGGCACATGCCTGTAATTCCAGCTACTCGAGAGGCTGAGGCAGGAGAATCACTTGAACCCAGGAGGCAGAGGTTGTGGTGAGCCGAGATTGCGCCATTGCACTCCAGCACGGGCAACAAGAGCAAAACTCCGTCTCAAAAAAAAAAAAAAAATTAGCCAGGCATGGTACACGCCTGTAGTTCCAGCTATGCAGGAGGCTGAGGCAGGAGAATCGCTTTAACCCAGGAGGCAGAGGTTGCAGTGAGCCAAGATGGTCCCACTGCACTCCAGCCTGAGCTACAGGGCAAGGCTCTGTCTCAAAAAAAAAAAAAAAAAAAAAAAAAAAAATATATATATATATATATATATATATATATATATATATATATACACACACAAATATATATCTGGGATGCAGCAAAAGCAGTGTTAAGAGGAAAGTTTATAGCATGAAATGCCTGTATCAAGAAGTTAGAAAGATCTAAAATTAACAATGTAACATCACAACTAGAGGAATTAGAAAAACAAAAACAAACTAACCTCAAAGCTAACAAAAGAAAAAAAAATGACTAAAACCATAGCAAAACTGAATAAAATTGAGATGTAAAACTGTATACAAAAGATCAACGAAACCAAAACTTGGTTTTATTTGAAAGAATAAACAAGATTCACAGACTGGTAGCTAAATTAACAAAGAAAATAGAGAAAGAAGATCAACAACGACAAAAACAACAATGACAACAAAGCCCTGGACCTAGAATTTACATCCAAATTCTACCAGGCATGCAAAGAAGAGCTGGTACCAATCCTACTGAAAATATTCCAAAATATCAAAGAGGAGAGACTCCTCCGTAATTCATTCTACGATGCATCATCCTGATGGTGGCATCATCCTGATACCTAAATCTGGCAGGAACAACAAAAAACAAAACTTCCAGCCAATATCACTGATGAACATCAATGCAAAAATCCTCAACAAAATACTAGCAAACTGAATCCAGCAACACATTAAAAAGTTAATTCACCACGATCAAGTAGGCTTTATTCCTGGGATACAAGATTGGTTCAATATATTCAAATCAATGAATGTGACTGACCACATAAACAGAATTAAAAACAAAAACCACATGATCATCTCTAATAGTCACAGAAAATGCATTCAATAAAATCCAACACCCATTCATGATAAAAAACCCCCAATACACTAGGCATCAAAGGAACATATCTCAAAATAATAAGAGCCATCTATGACAAACCCACGGCCAACATCATAATGAACAGGCCAAAACTAGGAACATTTCCCTTGAGAACTGGAACAAACAAGGACGCCCACACTCACCACTTCTATTCAACATAGTACTGTGGTGTAGTTTGAATGTCCCTGCCCAAATCTCATGTTGACTTGTAATCTCCAGTGTTGGAGATAGGGCCTGCTGGAAGATGTTTGGATCATGGGGGCATATCTCTCATGAATGGCTTAGCCCATCCCCTTGGTGATGAGTGAATGAGTTCTCACGAAATCTGGTTTTGTAGAAGTGGGTGGCACTTTCCCTCCCACCCTCACTCTCTTTCTTCTGCTTTTGCCGGGTGAAATGTCTGCTCCCGCTTCACCTTCTGCCATGAGAAAAAGCTTTCTGAGGCCTTACCAGAAGCAGATGACAGCACTATGTTTCCTGTACAGCCTACAGAACCATGAACCAATTAAACCTTTTTTCTTATAAATTAAAACAGTCTCAAGTATTTATAGCAAACAAGAATGGCCTAATACGTACTATATATCCTAGCCAGACCGATCAGGCAAGAGAAAGAAATTAAAAGCATCCAAATAGGAAAAGAAGAAGTCAAACTATCTCCCTTCACTGACATTATGATTCTATAACTAGAAAGCACTAAAGCCTCCAAAAAAAAAAAAGGCTCTTAGAACTAATAAATGACTTCAGTAAAATTTCAGGATACAAAATAAATGTAGAGGGAGATAGAGCAAGATGGCCAAATGGAAGTCTCCACTGATCATTCTCCCTGCAGGAGCACCAAACTTGACAACTATCTGCACAAAAAAAGCAATTTTGTAGGAACCAAAAATCAGGTGAGTGGTCACAGTGCCTGGTCTTAACTTCATATAACTGAAAGAGGCACTGAAGAGGGTAGGAAAGACAGTCTTGAATTGCCCACACCATCCCTTCCCCATTCACAGCCACATAATGGGAAGAATCTGTGCGTTTGGGGGATAGAGAGTGCAATGATTGTGAGACTCTGCATCGCAACTCAGTGCCGCCCTTTCACAGCAGAAAACACTAGGCACAAATCAGTTGACGTCAATGGAGAGCACATTTAGACCAGCCCTAGTCAGAGGGCAATCATCCATTCCAGTAATTGGAACTTGAGTTGTAGCAAGCCTCATTGCTGTCGGCTAAAGTGCATTGGGGTCCTAAATAAACCTGAAAGGCAGTCTAGGCCACAAGGCAAGTCCTTGTGGGTATGGAGTCAGTAAACTTAGGGGGCATGTGAGACACCAGCCTGGGTGGCCAAGGGAGTGCCTACCCTGCCCCTCCCCCAAGCCCAGGCAGCACAGGTTGCAGCTCCAAGAGACCCCCTTCCTTCTGCTTGAGGAGAGGAAAGGGAAGAGTAAACAGGGCTTGGTCTTGCAATTTGGATAACAACTCTGCTATGGTAGGATAGGACACCAGGAAGAGTCATGAGACACCCATTCCAAGCCCTAGCTACTGGATAACATTTCTAGACACAACCAGGGCCAGAAGGGGATCTGCTGCCTTGAAAGGAAAGACCAGGTCCTGAAAGGATTCATCACCCACTGGCTAGAAAGCCAACACATTTTGAACAATCAGCAGCGATAGCCAAGTAGTGCATACCATAGATGGGCCTTGGGTGAGAATCTGAGATGTGCTGGCTTCAGGTGTGAGCCAACACATTCCCAGCTATGGTGGCTATGGGGAGAGTCTCCTTCTGCTTGACAAAAAAAAGGGGAAGATGAAAGGGGACTTTATCTTGCAGCTTAGGTACCAGGTCAGCCACAGTGGGGTAGAGCACCAAGCAGTCTCTTGGGTCCCCAATTCCAGACCTTGACTCTTGGATGGCATTTCTGGACCTACCCTGGGCCAGAGAGAAGTGCACTGCCTTGCAAGATGAGTCCCAGACCCGGCACCATTCATCACAAGCTGACTGAAGAGCCCTTGGGCCTTCAGTGAACATCAGTGGAGCCTGGCAGTACTCCCCACGGGCCTGTGACAGTGGTGGCCATAGGAAGATACTCCTCTGCTTGTGGAAAGAGGAGGGAAGAGTAGAAAAAAACTTTTTCTTGTGGCTTGGGTGCCAGATCAGCCACAGTAAAAAGGAGCACCAGGTAGCTCCCTAAGGATTCTGACTCCAGGCCCTTGTTCCTGGCCAGCATCTTTGCACCCACCAGGAGCCAGGGGGAACTTGCTGCCCTGAATTGAAGGACACAAGCCTGGCAAGCTTCATCGCCTCACCTGCTATTAGAGCCCTCGTTCATTAAGCAAACATAGGTGGTAGCCAGGTAGCAGATTACAGCAGGCCTTGGGTGAGACCCAGTACTACGCTGGCTTCAGGTCAGACACAGCAGTCCCAGGGGTAGTGGCCACAGGGGTGCTTGTATCACTCCTCCCCTAGCTCCAGACAGTTCAATACAGAAAAACAGACTCCATTTGTTAGAGAGAAAGCAAGGGAAGAGAACAAAGAGTCTCTGCTTGGTAATCCAGAGAATTTTTCTGGACCCCATCCAACACCACCAAGGTGAGACCTCTAAAAGTCTGCAAGACTCACAGTGTTACTGGGCTTGGGGTGCCTTCTAAGGCAGATACGGCTGCTGTGACCAAAAACATAGCACACAACATGCAAATCCCTTCAAATATTAGAAAGTCTTCCCAAAAATGATGGATACAAATAAGCCCAGACTGCAAAGACTACAGTAAATACCTAACTCTTCACTGTCCAGACACCAACAAATATCCACAAGCCTCAAGACCATCCAGGAAAACATGCCCTTACCAAATGAACTAAATAAGGCACCAGGGACCAATCCCAGAGTGACAGAGATATGTGACCTTTCAGGCAGAGAATTCAAATTAGCCCTTTTGAGGAAACAAAAAAATTCAGGATAACACAGAGAAGGAATTCAGAATCCTATCAGATATATCTAACAAAGTGATTGAAATAATTACAAAGAATCAAGCAGAAATTCTGGAATAGAAAAATGCAATTGATATACTGATATCAGAGTATCTTAATAGTGCAACTGAACAAGTAGATGAAATAAGTAGTGACCTTGAAGACAGGCTATTAAAAATACAAGTCAGGGGAGACAAAAGAAAAAAGAATGAAGTATTCCTACAAGATCTAGAATATAGCCTCATAAAGGGCAAATATAAGAATCACTGACCTTAAAGAGGAGGTAGAGAAAGATATAGTGGTAGATAGTTTATTCAAAGGGATAATAACAGAGAACTTCCCAAACCTAGAGAGATATCAATATTCAAGTAACAGATTATAGAACACCAGGTGGATTTAAGCCAAAGAAGACTACCTTGTGGCATCAGTCTTGGAAAATAATTTATGACTAAGTCCTCACCAAAAGCAATTGCAACAAAACCAAAACTTGACAAGTGGGACCTAATTAAACTAAAGAACTGCTGCACAGCAAAAGAAACTATCAACAGAGTAAACAGACAACCTACAGAATGGGAGTAAATACTTGCAAGCTATGCATCCAACAAAGGTCTAATACCCAGAATCTTTAAGGAATTTAAATAATTCAACAAGCAAAATATAACCCCATTAAAAAGTGGGGGTTAAAAAGACATGAACAGACAATTCTCAAAAGAAGACATACAAGTGGTCAACAAACATATGAAAAAATGCTCAGCATCACTAGTCATCAGAGAAATGCAAATCAAAACCACAATGAGATACCATCTCACACCAGTCGAAGTGGTTTTTATTAAAAAGTCAAAGAATAACAGGTGTTAGCTGGGCTGCAGAGAAAAGGGAATTCTTTTACACTGTTGGTGGGGATGTAAATTAGTTCAGCCACTGTGGAAAGCAGTTTGGAGATTTCTCAAAGAACTTAAAACAGAACTACTATTTGATTCCACAATTTCATTACTGGGGATACAGCCAAAAGAAAACAAATTGTTGTACCAAAAAGACACATGCACCTGTATGTTCATTGCAGCACTATTCACAATAGTAAAGACATGGAACCAACCTTGCTGCCCATCAATGGCAGAATGCATAAGGTAAATGTGGTACATATACACCATGAAATACTATGTAGCCATTTAAAAAGAATGAAATCATGTCCTATGCAGCAACACGGATGCAGCTGGAGGCCTTAAGTTAACAAACACAGAAACATAAAATAATGTTAAGGTGACTGAATCAGTAATCAAAAATCTCACAACCAAGGAAAACACAGGGCCAAATGCCTTCACTGGTGAATTCTACTAAATATTTAAGAAAAACTTAACGCCAATCCTTCTCAAACTCTTCCCTAAAAATGAAGAGGAAAGAACCTATCCACACTCATTCTATGAGGCCAGCATTACCCTAATATCAAAGCCAGACAAGGACATGACAAAAAAACTATCCCTGATGAACACAGATGAAAAAATCCTTAACAAAATACTAGCAAACCAAATACAGCACGATCAACTAGGATTTATTCCTCAGATATGAGGGTGGGGGTGGTTCAGCATATAAAAATCAATAAATGTGATACACCATTTGAACAGAATAAAGGATAAAAATCATATAGTCATCTTGATAGATGCAGAAAAATCTTCTGTTACAAAATTCATCCTTTCAAGATTAAAAAAAAATTTCAAAAAATTAGGAATAGAAGGAATGTACCTCATCATAATAAAAATCATGCAACAAGTCCACAGTTAACATCATACTAGATGGTAAAAAGGTTAAAACATTTCCTCTAACATAGGAAAAAAGCAAAGCAAAGATGCCCACTCTCACCACTTCTATTCAACATTGTACTAGAAGTCTTAGCCAGAGCAATTAGGCAAGATGAGGGGGGGGGAAAGGCATTCAAATTTGAAAGGAAGAAGTAAAATTGTTTGCAGATGACATAATCTTATATTAGAAAACCTTAAAATGCTACCAAAAAACTGTCAGAACTAATAAATTCAATAAAGTTGCAAATCACAAAATCAACATAAAAATCAGTAGCTTTTATATGCAAACAATGAACTATACCCAAAAATTAAGAAAACAATCCCATTTATAATAGTGTCAAAAAATAAAATACTTATGAGTAAATTTAACCAAGGAGGTGAAAGACTTGCACACTGAAAACTATAAAACACTGAAGAAAGAAATTGAAGAAAACACAAATAAAGGGACAGATATCCTGTGTTCATAGATTGGAAGACTTAATATTTTTAAATGTCCATACTACCTAAAGCATTCTACAGATTCAGTCTTATCCCTGTCAACATGACAATGGCATTTTCACAGAAGCAGAAAAAATAATCCTCAAATTTATATGGAATCACAAAAGACCTAAATAGCCAAAGCAATCTTGAGCAAAAAGAACAAAGCTGGAGCCATCACATTTCCTGATTTCAAAATACACTAGACATCTAATAGTCATTAAAACAGCATGGTATGGACATTTTAAAAAGACATACAGACCAATGGAATAGAATAGAATATCTAGAACAAAATCCACATATTTATGGGCAACTGATGATCAACAAAGTTGCCAAGAACATACAATGGGGAAAAGAGAGTTTCTCCAATAAATGGTGTTGGAAAAACCTGGATATCCACATACAGAAGAATAAAATTGGAACCTTATCTCCCACCTTATGCAAAAAATCAATTAAAAATGGATTACAGACTTAAATGTAAGACCAGAAACTGTAAAATTACTAGAAGAAAACTGGGGGAAAGCTTATTGATATTGTATGGGAAATTATTTTTTAGATATGACCCCCAAAGTACAGACAACAAAAACAAAAATAGACAAATGGAATTACATCTAACTAAATACCATGTACAACTGCAAAGGAAACAATTAACAGAGTGAAGAGACAGCCTGTGGAATTGCAGAATATTATGAGACCTCAAAAAACTTTTGGAAAAATGGAATTAAAAGATTAAAATATAAATTTTATTTATCAACATAAGCTCCATCAAGTTTAAGATACCTTTGTGATACTAGCCATTTAGTCCATCCATAAAGAACTGAGGAATTTAGCTATGTCAATGCAATCTTTTTCACATTTCACATTAACTGAGGAAAAATGGGTGCCTTTTACAGATTTTTTAAGATTAGGAAACAAAAAGAAGTCAGAAGGAGCCAAATCATGTCTGTAAGGTGGATGCCTAATGTTTTTCCATTGAAATTCACAAGATTACTTTTGTTTGATGACAGGAATGAGCAGGAACATTGTTGTGGTGAAGGACACTGGTGAAGCTTTTCAGGCATTTTCCTGCTAAAATTTTGGCTTTCTGAAAAAACTCTCATAATAAGCAGACATTATCATTCTTTGGCCCTCCAGAAAAATCACCAGGCAAAATGCCTTGAGCATCCCAAAAAACTGTTGCTATGATCTTTACTCTTGACAGAGCTGCTTTTGCTTTGACTAGACCACTTCCACTTCTTGGTAGCCACTGCTTTTATTGTAATTTCTCTTTGGGATCATACTGGTAAAGCCATGTTCATCTCTTGTTACAATTCTTTGAAGAAATGCTTCAGGATTTTGATCCCACTTGTTTAAAATTTCCAATGAAAGCTCTGCTCTTATCTGCCGCTGATCTGGGCACAATGGTTTTGGCACCCATTGAGTTTGCTCCACTTCAATTTTTTCAGTCAGATTTGTATAAGCAGAACAAATTGAGATGTCTATGGTGTTGGCTATTATTTGTACTATTAATCATCACTCCTCTTCAATTAGAGCACAAACGATTAATTTTTTCCTCACAAATTGTTGTGTACAGCCTGCTGCTGCAGGTTTCATCTTCAACATCATTTCGTCCCTTCTTTTTTTTTTAACAACATAATGAGTTTATATTTAATATAGTACTTCTCCCCATGGGGATGTTACTCAATTAATTAATATAAAGTTTTTTAACATTAAATATCTTCTCCATTTCAATGTAAATATAAAGTGTTTTTTTAAAGCAAACCAAGTACCACATGTTCTCACTTGTAAGTGGGAGCTAAATGATGCGAACTCATGAACACAAAGAAGAGAACAATAGATACTGAGGTCTACTTGAGGGTGGAGGGTGGGAGGAGGGAGAGGAGTAAAAAATATAACTATTGGGTACTGGGCTTAATACCTGGGTGATGAAATAATCTGTACAACAAACTCCCATGACATGAGTTTACCTATGTAACAAACTTTCACATGTACCCCAAACCTAAAATAAAAGTTTAAAATGATAAATATAAAAATAAAGGATTTTTTTACATTAACTCTTTTCTCCACTTCAATGTTAGATACACTGAATGCATTTTTCTAAATGTTTTTTCTCCAGAGATAAAAGCATCTATGTTTGGCTATTTGATATTTAAATACAATATTAACTTGGGCAATAACAAAAGTCTAATGAAAATATGGAGAAAAGACTCCTCAATGATTCAGGAGGCAGTGATTATAACTGAACAGTGGTGATTTCTTAGGATTCTGGGCAAGAACTTCCTTCTTCCTATTTCATGTGCTTTTTTTTTTTTTTTTTTTTTTTGAGACAAGATCTCACTCTGTCACCAAGGCTGTACTGCAGTGGTGTGATGATGACTCACTGCAGCCTCGACCTCCTGGGTTCAAGTGATCCTCCCACCTCAGCCTTTCAAGTAGCTGGGACTACAGGCGCATGCCACCATGCCCAGCTTAGATAATTAGAAAACTATGAAATATTACTTATGTAAATGTCAACCATCTTACTTCTTGAACCCCCTTTCTAAGCAGCAAATACAAATTATAGGCTTAATTTTTCAGTGCATTATTTATTGTAAGGAAAACATTTTTTCTTATACATAGCAATTTGCTCTCATTTTATGGAAAACAACTAAGAATGTGGAACTCCCCTATTTACTGTTTCTTGGAAATTTTCAAACACCAAAGCTCAAGTTTAGCCTCACTAGTCCAAAGGTTTTCAGGGCAAAGTTTGATTTGGGATGCCCTTCAAAGTCATATCTGTCCATTTCTCTTTTGTGCACATACCCCCAAGCAAGCACAAATGCCTGTAATGCTGAGAACCACACCCAACATGACAGCAATTGCATTTCTGGCTTCTACTGCTTCAACAACAGGCAGCAACAAAAGCAGTAAAATGAGGACTAAGAGCCATTGTGTTGAAACAGAAGTCATGATGGTGGAATTTTGATGGCTGAATCTTGATGGCTGAAGTTTCCAAAGAAATAGTATATATATAATTCTACCTGACTGGAAATGTTCCCTTCCTGGAGCTCTGGATGCTGAGGCTAAGGGGTTCCACATGACACTGCCTTCCAGGAAGCAGCCATTACAGGAATCTCATTCCTTCTTCAAAGGAGTTATCCATTTGAAAATTTCTGATTTCTTTGGGGCATTGTCTCCATGAATGCTCTCTTTTTCCTTTCTTTCCTTTCTTTTCTTTCTTTTCCTTCTTTTCTTTTATTTTCTTTCTTTCTTTCTTTCTTTCTTTCTTTCTTTCTTTCTTTCTTTCTTTCTTTCTTTCTTCTCTCTTTCTTAAAAGGAGATCTAGTGTACAGCTTGGTAACTATAGTTCATAATACTGCATTGTACACTTGAAATTTGCTGAGAGTAGATATTAAATATTCTCACCACACACACAAAAAAAAGGCAACTCAGACAATTGGACCTCAGAGTAATCTAACAGTTGCTAAGGGAAGTTGTACTCTAGAGAAGTATTCCAGCTCATAAAGGAAAAGTAAAATGACACAATTAGAATACTATTATTTTACAAACACTGATGAAATAAAGAATCCAGGCAATGATCACTGATGGCTGCTAATATCGCAAAAAACAAAACAACTAACATACAAGACCCCTGATGGACATACACCACACCACCTGTGAAATACTTCTGCCAAAAAATCTGGTAAGAGCCTTTAGAATCTTAATTACTAATTTGTAGGAAATACAGAGAACACAGAAAAAATAAACATGTTAAGGAACAGGGGCACAAACAGCAAAATTCAAAATGCAGGAAGCTACCTGACTTCTTTAACAAATACATTGCAAGGAAAAAAAGGAAGAAACCTAGGATTAAAGTAGACATAAGAGACACCTTAATCAATCACAGTATATAGGCCTTGACAAATCAATTGTATAAGATTTTATGAGACAATCAGTGAAATTTGAACAATGTGTGTTTGATGATTACTAATAAAATTCTGTTATAATGACATGTGAGAAAAAAATGGTAACTATGTGAGGTGATGGATATGATAATCAACTTGATCGTAGTAATCATTTCACAGTGTATATATATATATCAAAACATCACATTGTACACTATTAAATACATACAATTTTAATTTGTCAATTATACCTCAACGAAGCTTGAGGGGAAAAGAAAGTAGTAGGAGGTCTTCTTACTTCAAAAGGAAAATAGTGAGCTTCTCAAGTGTTTATCAGCCACAGAGATGTCTGATATTGCTGTAGGTCAGCAGTGCCAAGGAATACAGTTAAATGACTTAGAAATAAAACTACTAGAGATAAATGAAAAATCACCCAGAATTAAGAATATGACTAAGGTTTGGAAAGTAGAGCATTTTTCTCCCAGGGAAAAAAATCTGCGAAGTCTTTCTGGTTAATAAATGTAACCCTAAAGCCTTTTGAGTTGAACTTATTTGTGTTAATATGCAATTCTTCTTTGTAGAATACAAATTTGTTACAATGAAATTTCTGTATACCTTTTCTGAAAAGCCAAGTTCAGCATAATATATGTCCTAATCATTAGATAGGACTTTAAGAGCTAAACACAATTTAAATTCCACCAGAACAATGGAGGCCACTAACAAGTTGTCTAGATTGTGAGGGAAATTTCTCTATCAACAATCTCTTCTCATCTACTTAGCCCTGCCTTCTGCCAGGAGCAGACATAGGAGCTCAGTACTGCAAGACTTACGAAAGAGGAGGAGAAGGAGGAAAAAATGGTATTTTATTAAACAAACAAACAAAAAAACTCTTAAATATATTATTTCCAAACCTTGCATTCGGATTTCAAAAATCTGAAATTTTGTATTTTATAAAGGTCTAAGAGAATTTGTCATTTAATACATTGAGGCAAATACGTTGACAATCCACAGTAAAGCGAGCTGAAGGAATTTTAATTTCATTCATAATTACAGCAGCTTTCTCTTAACCTGTGGTATCTCTAAGGGAACACGATCAAAAGAGTGTGGCAGAAAGCAAGGAGAGCAGCAGCTATTTATGAACTTTTCTTAGCAAAAGAAAAGGCAGGAGGGTGATAAAAACTCAGAAAGGTCCTGCACTGAGATGTTAACAAAAATCAAGGGAAATAAATGAGCTTTTTAAACAATACCCACTACCACTCTTTACGTTTAGTATTGCTCTAGGCTTCAATTTCAAAAAAATTCGAATATACTACAGCATTTTTATATATTATCATTTGTGAAAAATGAGGTTTTTACTTTTAGACTGAATGGGTACTTCCAAATTATATATAACCTCTAGTCTAAGATATTCACTGTTCTCAAAAGAGTTAAGCCTGTAGAATGTGTACTCATTTTCCATGACCTCCTTCTGGTATAAAATTTACAGAAAACGGTGCTTAATTAGCAGCTATTCATCTCTGCTTGCATCACCAACTGCTGCCAACAGTTTTTTTAACATGTGGATATAAAGCATGAAGAAATTATTCCAAAGGGTCAGGCGCAGTGGCTCACACCTGTAATTCCAGCAGTTTGGGAAGCTGACGTGGGAGGATAACTTTAGGCCAGAGTTTGAGACCACCGTGGTTTATATAGCGAGGCTCCGCCTCTACAAAAAAACAATGTTTTTTTTTTTTAATTGTTCCAAAGATTTAAAGATGTAGATGTTTGTTTTTATGACATTTTATTTGGGAACTTAGTAAGTAATCCATGCTTGATCCGACTGTGATACATTTTAGAATAAACTAGTGGAATGGCCACAAGAGAGTCCATCTCTAATAAATAGCAAACATCACGTAGAGATAGTAGCAGCAGTTTCCGTTTGTTAAGCAGTTTCTGTTTTCCAGGCATGTTACTGAATACTCTATAATACATGCATTATCATATGTAAACCCCACAACAATTCTAAATAAAGTATCACAATATTTAACAATTTAACACTAAGGTCTTAGATGACAACAAATTCTGACAGTCAGTCTACTGTTAGAAAAACTATTCACTGTGCTACAATTCCTACAGTTAATAATACTGATAATTATTTTTGCCTCTTTTTAGACATTAAAATATGATAATTCCTTTTAAAACATTTGTGAATATTTCACCAGGTTATTTTTATATTCCCAAAAGATGTGCAAGAAAAAATGAAGCAGAAAGATTAAAATCATATGTAATTACTAGGGCTAAAATTAAAGTTTTTCTTCTTTTCTTCAATATTATTCTAGTGATGTGAACACAAAAGACTCATACTGGTGCTATATAAATTTGTTATTTATTTAGATTTTTATGAAAATATCATTGTGGGTCAGATTATATTCCTACAAATATAGCCGCTAAGATATTCTAGTTTATAATATGGATGTCTCATCAACATATTTTCTTTCCATGAGATTCTTTAGAAAATGATAACAGATAAGAAGTCAAAAACCAATGGCGTATGTGCAAATAACCTACAAGTCATGCCATGTCAGGCCTCAACCTACTGTTATGACCAGTTCCTAGAGAACATTTATTTTTATGACTCCTAACTCACCCTCATTCTTGGCATAAACTCCAAGCTCACATCTAGTCTTAAGCTTCCAGAAGCCATCCATGGCACCAGCATCCTTTTTTTTTTTTTTTTTTTTTTTGGATCTCCCTATTCCTGCCTTCTTGGCATACTGGTCTTTTGATACATTGATGCCATAAACTTTGTGAGTGTTCTACTCCCAAATACTGTCAAATACTGGAATAGAACTCCAGCCTGTTCTATTAGGAATAGTTCTTTATATAGAGTTTGATCAATCTTTGGGCTTTAAAAAGTCTCTTATATAAGTCATTTGCATCAACATTTTGCTAGTGATAGATATGTCTGAGTATTATAATCTCAGTGCCCAGATTTGTATTTATTTTGTTAAATGACAAACATCATATTCACAAAAGTTAGACTATAGTTAATCATAGGAGTATCCCCAAATAACTAGAACTAATCCTGCACTCAGAAAGGGTAAACATTTAGTGAATTGATTTGATATATTTTACTCCATGATCCATTTTTTTTTCTTTTTTTTTTTTTTGAGACGGAGTCTCTCTGTCGCTCAGGCTGGAGTGCAGCGGTGCGATATCGGCTCACTGCAAGCTGCATCTCCCTGGTTCAAGCGATTCTCCTGCCTCAGCCTCCCGAGTAGCTGGGATTACAGGCCTGTGCCACCACACCCGCCTAATTTTTGTATTTTTAGTAGAGATGGGGTTTTGCCATGTTGGCCAGGCTGGTCTTGAACTCCTGACCTCAGGTGATCTGCCCACCTTGGCCTCCCAAAGTGCTGGGATTACAGGTGTGAGCCACCATGCCCAGCCTCCTCCATAATCTCCTGATATTCAAAGCACTGCACCTTATGTGACATCTCCACAAAAATACATTTTTCACATATATTCATTTAACTAACAATTATTGAGTATCTACTGTGTGTCAGAATCTGTGCTGGGCCTAGGTTTTCAGTGAAAGAAAGGGTTCTTGCACATTTCCTATATTTTTGTATAATTTTCTTGATATTTCCAGATAAAGCACAACACTCCAAATCTTAGTATAGTACTCAGCATACAGCGTTAAATATATACTTACTTGACTGATATTAAAATGCCAAAATTCATCTAAGACTAATAATTTTAGCCAATACTACTCCCAATCACACCTCCACCTTATACTCTGGTGTTGCCAGACAACAATAAGTATCAAAGCAACAACAACAAAATTTTCTATACTCTTGATAGAGATATAAAGGAGGAATGAAGAGAGAGGAGTAAGCTCTTATATTAAGAAGAGAACACTGGTCAGGCGTGGTGGCTCACGCCTGTAATCCCAGCACGTTGAGAGACCGAGGCAGGTGGATTGCCTGAGCTCAAGAGTTTGAGAACAGCCTGGGCAACATGGCGAAACCCCTTCTCTACCAAAGATATTAAAAATTAGCCACGCATGCTGGCACATGCCTGTGGTCCCAGCTACTTGGAAGGCTGAGGTCAGAGGATCGCTTGAGCCCAGAAGGCAGAGGTTGCAGTGAGCAGAGATCATGCCATTGCACTCCAGCCTAGGTGACAGAGAGAGATACGAAAAAAAAAAGAAGAAAAAAAGAAAGAAAGGAAAAAAGAAAGAAAGAATGAAGGAAGGAAGGAAGAACACATTTTTCTATGAACTGACAATGTGTAAGAATAATAAACAATACATGTTAAAAGAGTAAATAAATATAGCATGTTGGCTTCTGAAGTCAGAGAAGGTTTAAACTGCCAAAGTACTCTACAGTAAATATTAACTGACATCTATGATAATATTCCCGAGTTTACATTCAGTTTTTTGTTTATGTTACCTAAGCCAGAAAGAACTTTCTTCATATTTATTATTCTTCTGGGTTTCTACTCCAAAGTTGTAACAGAGATGATGAAGACTTGAAGTCTGCAATATAAAAAAAATGCATTAGATTCATGATTTCCTTAAATCCCAACACACTTTGGGAGGCCGAGGTGGCAGTGAGCCATGACGGTGCCACATCACTCCAGCCTAGGAGACAGAGCAAAACTCCGTCTCAAAAAACAAACAAACAAAAACATACTTAATGTGTCCTATACATCAAAATAAGCTTCCTTATCAAAACTTCTCAATTTGTATAAAGAAGAACTGCAAAACATTCAGGTTGGAGAATTAGTTATGTATGAAAAAGTATTACAATAAATTACTAATAGAAGTTAAAAGATGCTTTGTAACAGGAAATGAGAAACCCAATCATTGCCCAGCCAAAGGGCAGGCTAAAACCCTGCTTTTGGTTGCCAGATCCAGTTAAAGGCACTAGAGCAGGGAGTATATTCAAAGACAAAAAATCACTATTGACGAGGAGTGAGGTTGGGAAATGAATGATTTTTTTTTTTCAAAATTGAGACAATTCTAAAAATTCTGAAGTTCTAAAATGTGTCCAAAGCACTATCTAGTCAAAAGACGTATTTAGAAATAGTTTCATGGACACTCTTTAGCATCAACAATCATTTTCTTTACATAAATTAGCATTGAGATGAAAGTAGGAACAAGTATATGAATGTTGCCTTAGGAATCAGCATCTCAGTCCCTGCATTAATGCCATGTTTTACATAATTTTCATCTCTCAAAATACTGGGAAATGGCATAGGAGAAATTTTGATGCTAATAATTTATCCAAATATCCCCTCAGCATTTATAGAAACCACCTATCTAGAGAATTTGATTATACCCATATAAAAAGTCTTTTATAAGTTTTACCCGAGTAAGACTACAGAAGCAGATCCTCAACTAAGAATCCAAGATCTGAAGCAAGTTATTCATAAGTAATGTATAAAGACCTGTCTTGCTTCAAAAAAGTTTCCCTTTGAATTACAGTACATTCACATAGCAGAAGTTCAATATGCATGTCTGAGCACATTAGACCTACTATATATTTGAATCTAAAATAAAGAATAGGCCAGGCACGGTGGCTCACACCTGTAATCCGAGCGCTTTGAGAGACCAAGACAGGTGGATCACTTGAGGCCAGGAGTTCAAGATCAGCCTGGCCAACATGGCGAAACCCCGTCTCCACTAAAAATACAAAAATTAGCCAGGCGTGGTGGCAGGTGCCTGTAATCCGGGCTACTCAGGAGGCTGAGGCAGGACAATCTCTTGAACCCAGGAGGCGGAGGTTGCAGTAAGCCGAGATCGTGCCACTGCACTCACTCCAGCCTGGATGACAGAGTGAGACTCTGTCTCAAAAAAAAAAAAAAAAAAAAAAAAAAAAAAAAAAAAGAATGAATGAATAAGACCAAGTATTTGATAGCACTACAGAGTGACTATGGTCAATAATAATTTAATTATAAATTTTAAGCTGGGCACCGTGGCTCAAGCCTGAAATCCCAGCACTTTGGGAGGCCAAGGTGGGTGGGTCACTTGAGGTCAGGAGTTTGAGACCAGCCTGGCCAACATGGTGAAACTCTGTCTCTACTAAAAATAGAAAAATTAGTTGGGCGTGGTGGTGGGCACCTGTAATCCCAGCTACTTGGGTGGCTGAGGCAGGAGAATCGCTTGAACCCGGAAGGCAGAGGTTGCAGTGAGCTGAGATCATGCCACCGCACTCCAGCCTGGGCAACAGAGAGAGATTCCATCTCAAAATAATAATAATTATTATTATTATATAAATAATATACATTTAAAAATAACTAACATAGTTCAGTTGGATTGTTTGTAACACAAAGGATAAATGCCTGAAGGGATGAATACTCCATTTTCCATGACGTGATTATTATCAATTGCATGCTTACATCAAAACCTTAATGTACCCCATAAATAGATACATCTATCATATACCCACAAAAGTAAAAATTTTATATTTAAAAAAAGTAAAAGAAAATAAAATTGCAACACATTTCTCAGTAGTCAAATCAGAAGCTAGATGAGAATCTAACTGATGTTTTCAAAATACTCAGGAAAAATTATTTCCAAGTCCAAATTTTATATCCAGTGAAAGCATAAATTATGATGGTACAATAAAAATATGTTTAGACATGCAAACTCTTCAAACAATTTTCATTTCATGCAACCTTTCTCAAGAAGCTACTGGAGGATATGCCCCACAAAATTTAGGGAGTAAAATCAGAAAAAGAAAGACACAGGATTCAAGAAACAGGGTTACAATCTATGAGGGAGTTGAAAGGAATTCCCAAGTCAATGGAGGAGGAAAATCTCAAAACGATAACTGAACAGGATGCTTACACAACAATCTGTACAGATAAGAGAAGATCAGAAACTATGACAGTTATTTCTTTAAGCAAGTGAAAGTGATAAAATAACTAATACATTCTAACATACTAAAAAGAAGTTTACATAATTAGGGAAGAAACAATACCAAGTACATGAAATACTAAGTAGTCAGGAAAACCAATATAATTAACTCCAGGGAAAAACAAACTTTTGTGCAAGAAAAGAAAAGAAAAGTAATCATGGTACTTTATATGATTCAACTATGATAGTATTCATATAAACACTGGAGTGTAAACACTAAATATTAATCTAACCAAAGTTATGGTAAACTATATAGAGATGATGGAGTGACAGGAAGTGAGCATATGTGTTGGGGGTAGAGGGAAAAAGAAAAGAAACTAAATTCACCTTCTAAAGTGGGAAGTCAATATATAATATCTAAAAGTAAAAAAATCAAGCAGCACAGCAGTATAAGAACACTATGTAGATACATGGAGGTAAATACAAAAAGAGCCAACTAAAATAACTGAAAGTAGCTGTTACGTGAGATAAAAATAAGTCCAAAAGTCAGGATGGGTACTGGTGATCTTGGTTTTTCGGGGTTAGTTTTGTTTTGTTTTTTGAGATAGAGTCACTCCGTCGCCCAGGCTGGAGTGCAGTGGTGCGTTCTCGGCTCACTGCAACCTCTGCCTCCGAGGTTCAACCCATTCTCGTGCCTCAGCCACCCGAATAGCCAAAATTACAGGCACCCGCCACCAAGCCTGGCTAATTTTTCATAGGTACTGGTGATTTTGTAAAAAGACCTGTAAACTTATTTTACTCTTTAAACTATGTATAGATACACACTGATAAAAAAGAATTACATGCAACAAGTAGGCATTAAAAAGTAATATGAACAGACACTTCTCAAAAGAAGACATTTATGCGACCAACAAACACATGAAAAAATGCTCATCATCACTGGCCATCAGAGAAATGCAAATCAAAACCACAATGAGATACCATCTCACGACAGTTAAAATGGTGATCATTAAAAAGTCAGGAAACAACAGATGCTGGAGAGGATGTGGAGAAATAGGAACGCTTTTCCACTGTTGGTGGGGGTGTAAATTAGTTCAACCATTGTGGAAGACAGTGTGGTGATTCCTCAAAGATCTAGAACCAGAAATACTATTTGACCCAGCAATCCCATTACTGGGTATATAGCCAAAAGATTATAAATCATTCTATCATAAAGACACATACACACGTATGTTTATTTCAACACTGTTCACAATAGCAAAGACTTGGAACCAACCCAAATGCCCATCAATGATAGACTGGATAAAGAAAATGTGGCACATATACACCATGGAATACTATGCAGCCATAAAAAAGAATGAGTTCATGTTCTTTGCAGGGACATGGATGAAGCTGAAAACCATCATTCTCAGCAACCTGACACAGGAACAGAAAACCAAACACCGCATGTTCTCACTCATAAGTGGGAGCTGAACAATGAGAACACATGGACACAGGGAGGGGAACATCATACACTGGGGCCTGTTGAGGGGTGAGGAGGTATGGGAGGGATAGCATTAGGAGAAATACCTAATGTAGATGACGGGTTAATGGATGCAGCAAACCACCATGGCACGTGTACATCTATGTAACAAACCTGCACATTCTGCACATTTATCCCAGAACTTAAAGTATTAAAAAAAAAAAGTAAACCCCATACTTTAAAAAATAACAGTGACAACCTGAGCTAAAAATCAACATTGGTATTTGTTAGAATGAATAATAAATGTTCTAATGGCTACATAAAGAGCCTCAAAACATGGACAAATCTAACCAAGCTTTCCATATACCGTAGATATTTAGTTTAAAAGTATATGACTCACTTAAAATTTACAGAACATGTCGTTACAAATATTCCAATGAGTCATTTTTTAAAATTTTTTTATTATACTTTAAGTTCTAGGGTACATGTGCACAACGTGCATGTTTGCTACATATGCATACATGTGCCATGTTGGTGTGCTGCACCCATTAACTCATCATTTACATTAGGTATATCTCCTAATGCGATCCCTCCCCCCTGCCCCCACCCCACAACAGGCCCCAGCGTCTGATGTTCCCCTTCCTGTGTCCAAGTGTTCTCATTGTTCAATTCTCACCTATGAGTGAGAACATGCAGTGTTTGGTTTTTTGTCTTTGTGACAGTTTGCTGAGAATGATGGTTTCCAGCTTCACCCATGTCCC
Organism: Homo sapiens; assembly: GCF_000001405.40. Lineage (NCBI taxonomy): Eukaryota > Metazoa > Chordata > Mammalia > Primates > Hominidae > Homo > Homo sapiens. The sequence continues at coordinate 70,811,339 of NC_000023.11, forward strand.
TGCAAAGGACATGAACTCATCCTTTTCTATGGCTGCATAGTATTTCATGGTGTATATGTGCCATATTTTCTTAATCCAGACTATCACTGATGGACATTTGGGTTGGTTCCAAGTCTTTGCTATTGTGAATAGTGCCGCAATAAACATATGTCAGCATGTGTCTTTATAGCAGCATGATTTATAATCTTTTGGGTATATACCCAGTAATGGGATGGCTGGGTCAAATGGTATTTCTAGTTCAAGATCCCTGAGGAATCGCCACACTGTCTTCCACAATGGTTGAACTAGTTTACAGTCCCACCAACAGTGTAAAAGTGTTCCTATTTCTCCACATCCTCTCCAGCACCTGTTGTTTCCTGACTTTTTAATGATCGCCATTCTAACTGGTGTGAGATGGTATCTCATTGTGGTTTTGATTTGCATTTCTCTGATGGCCAGTGATGATGAGCATTTTTTCATGTGTCTGTTGGCTGCATAAATGTCTTCTTTTGAGAAGTGTCTGTTCATATCCTTTGCCCACTTGTTGATGGGGTTGTTTGTTTATTTCTTGTAAATTTGTTTGAGTTCTTTGTAGATTCTGGGTATTTGCCCTTTGTCAGATAAGTAGATTGCAAAAATTTTCTCCCATTCTGTACGCTGCCTGTTCACTCTGATGGTAGTTTATTTTGCTGTGCAGAAGCTCTTTAGTTTAATTAGATCCCATTTGTCAGTTTTGGCTTTTGTTGCCATTGTTTTTGGCGTTTTAGACATGAAGTCCTTGCCCATGCCTATGTCCTGAATGGTATTGCCTAGGTTTTCTTCTAGGCAATACCATTCTAGGTTTTCATGGTTTTAGGACTAATATTTAAGTCTTTAATCCATCTTGAATTAATTTTTTTTTTTTTGAGACGGAGTCTCACTCTGTCACCCAGGCTAGATTACAGTGGCGCACGATCTCCGCTCACTGCAAGCTCCGCCTCTTGGGTTCACATCATTCTCCTGCCTCAGCCTTCTGAGTAGCTGGGACTACAGGCGCACCCACCACCAGGCCGGCTAATTTTTTGTATTTTCAGTAGACACGGGGTTTCACCGTGTTAGCCAGGATGGTCTCGATCTCCTGACCTCGTGATCTGCCCGTCTCGGCCTCCCAAAGTGCTGGGATTACAGGCATGAGCCACCGCGCCTGGCCCTTGAATTAATTTTTGCATACGGTGTAAGGAAGGGATCCAGTTTCAGCTTTCTACATATGGCTGGCCAGTTTTCCCAGCACCATTTATTAAATAGGGAACCGAAGGAGATAGAGACACAAAAAACCCTTCAAAAAATTAATGAATCCAGGAGCTGGTTTTTTGAAAAGATCAACAAAATTGATAGATCGCTAGCAAGGCTAATAAAGAAGAAAAGAGAGAAGAATCAAATAGATGCAATAAAAAATGATAAAGGGGATATCACCACCGATCCCACAGAAATACAAACTACCATCAGAGAATACTATAAATACCTCTACGCAAATAAACTAGAAAATCTAGAAGAAATGGATAAATTCCTCAACATATACACTCTCCCAAAACTACACCAGGAAGAAGTTGAATCTCTGAATAGACCAATAACAGGCTCTAAAATTGAGGCAATAATTAATAGCCTACCAACCAAAAAAAGTCCAGGACCAGACGGAGTCACAGCTGAATTCTACCAGAGGTACAAGGAGGAGCTGGTACCATTCCTTCTGAAACCATTTCAATCAATAGAAAAAGAAGGAATCCTCCCTAACTCATTTCATGAGGCCAGCATCATCCTGATACCAAAGCCTGGCAGAGACACAACAAAAAAAAGAGAATTTTAGACCAATAACCCTGAGGAACATCAATGCAAAAATCCTCAATAAAATACTGGCAAACCAAATCCAGCAGCACATCCAAAAGCTTATCTATCATGATCAAGTGGGCTTCATCCCTGGGATGCAAGGCTGGTTCAACATACGCAAATCAATGAATGTAATCCAGCATATAAACAGAACCAAAGACAAAAACCACATGATTATCTCAATAGATGCAGAAAAGGCCTTTGACAAAATTCAACAGCCCTTCATGCTAAAAACTCTCAATAAATTAGGTATTGATGGGATGTATCTTGAAATAATAAGAGCTATTTATGACAAACCCACAGCCAATATCATACTGAATGGGCAAACACTGGAAGCATTCCCTTTGAAAACTGGCACAAGAGAGGGATGCCCTCTCTCACCACTCCTATTCAACATAGTGTTGGAAGTTCTGGCCAGGGCAATCAGGCAGGAGAAAGAAATAAAGGGTATCCAATTAGGAAAAGAGGAAGTCAAATTGTCCCTGTTTGCAGATGACATGATTGTATATCTAGAAAACCCCATCGTCTCAGCCCAAAATCTCCTTAAGCTGATAAGCAACTTCAGTAAAGTCTCAGGATACAAAATCAATGTGCAAAAATCACAAGCATTCTTATACACCAATAACAGACAAACAGAGAGCCAAATCATGAGTGAACTCCCATTCACAATTCCTTCAAAGAGAATAAAATACCTAAGAATCCAACTTACAAGGGATGTGAAGGACCTCTACAAGGAGAACTACAAATCACTGCTCAGTGAAACATAAGAGGACACAAACAAATGGAAGAACACATTCCATGCTCATGGATAGGAATAATCAATATCATGAAAATGGTCATACTGCCCAAGGTAATTTATAGATTCAATGCCATCCCCATCAAGCTACCAATGACTTTCTTCACAGAATTGGAAAAAACTACTTTAAAGTTCATATGGAACCAAAAAAGAGCCCGCATTGCCAAGTCAGTCCTCAGCCAAAAGAACAAAGTTGAAAGCATCACACCACCTGACTTCAAACTATACTACAAGGCTACAGTAACCAAAACAGCATGGTACTGGTACCAAAACAGAGATACAGACCAATGGAACAGAACAGAGCCCTCAGAAATAATACCACACATCTACAACCATCCGATCTTTGACAAACCTGACAAAAACCAGTGAGTCATTTTTAAGGCTCAAATGATTTTGAGTTTGGAATGAAACTAGATAACCTTAAGTGATTAGGCTCTCCCAGATACGTAAAGCAGTGGGCAGAAAGGTCTACAGAAAGCAAATATATGCCTACTAGCCCATAATAGGCAGAAAACTGAGTTTTACATCAAAAGGAGTAATTCATTTATGTGCCAAGAGATTCAATGTTACTACAGAGAGAAATGTACAGAATATTTACACGTTATCTTTCAAATATTTGGCTACAAAATGGTAAATTTAGGCAAAAGAGAATAAAAGAATTGTAATAGAGTAAGCAACCTAGACCTCATTTAGAAGCTTTGTGTCCCACAGAGCAGCAATGAAATCTAGCTGAATCTTGAACGAATTACTTCAAAGAGTTTCAGACATCAATTGGCCATTTCCTTTGCATAAATAAAAGCTTCACAATGAAGTAAAACTCTATACATAAGATAACTTCTAGAAGAAACTAAAGATAGAAATAAAAGATAACAAAGCAAGCCAAAGCATACAAACTACTCAAAATAAAATTCTGATTAACAGGAGAAAGAGGTAAAGAATTAAGTAAACAAGCTGCTCCCAGAGAATTTTATTATAAAAAATACATACATAGGAACACATACCCTCTGCACTATGGCTCAGGGCTTCCCTAAATTGAGGACTAGGAATTTTTACACTGAAGTGATCTTTGAGACCATGTTGTCATACACTCTCACTTTACAGATGAGAATACTGATTTTCAAAGCAGTGAAATGTCTCACAACTAGCGATACTAATGAGTAGCTCCTCCTACAAGGCTGTACACAGATCATGAGCATTGTCTTGAGTAATTAATTACAAGAGTCTCAAATATCAAAGAAAGAATCCCTATGTTCCACTTATAAAAGTAAGTATATGCAAACATTTTTTAAAATAAATGTTCAAAATATAAGAATTTTCTAACTCTCACTAAATCAGGAAGTTCCATTAAATAAAACATTACTGTGTCCTAGTTATTCCAGTTAATACATTTATTACTATAAACTTATAGAAGCTGGACACTAAACCATTACAGTAGTTCCCCCCATCCATGGTTTTCCCTCCTGCCATGGCTTCGGTTACCCAAGGAAAGAAGGGTGAGTATAATAAAATAAGGTATTTTAAAAGAGAGAGAGATCACATTCACATAAATTTTATTATAGGATATTGTTATAATTATTCTATTTTATTAGTAGTATTCATTTCTTACAGTGTCAATTTATAAATTAAAATTTATCAGAGGTATGTATATATACGAAAAAACATAGTATATATAGGATTTGGTACTATCCGCAGTTTCAGGTATCCACTGGACATCTTGGAACATGTCCCCCACGGATAAGGGGGGACTACTGCATTGCTATCCATTTCATCGCTTGATTTCACGCTTCTGTCAAACTTCTACAAGTGCTGTGTGGCATATATTTACTTTAAAATAGAAGTTAATTAGATTTGACTTGCTTAAGAGTATGTTTTTTGGTTTTGATTTTTTAGGACTTCACAAAATCATCTTAAAAGTATTAAGGACATCTTTTTAAAATTTTATTTAATTTTTTTAACTTTTTATTTCCATAGGTTATTGGAGAACAGGTGGTGTTTGTTTACATGAGTAAGTTCTTTGGTGGTGATTTGTGAGATTTTGGTGTACCCATCAACCGAGTAGTATAAACTGCACCCAGTTTGTAGTCTTTTATCCCTCATCCCCTTCCCACCCTTTCCCCCTGAGTCCCCAAAGTCCACTGTGTCATTCTTATGCCTTTGCATCCTCACATCTTAGCTCCCACTTATGAGTGAGAACATACGATGTTTGGTTTTCCATTCCTGAGTTACTTCGCTTAGAATAATAGTCTCCAATAGGATTAGAGGCATACTGATGTCATCACCCATTACTCCATGACTGGCATCCATTTTTTATGTACTTTCTCTTCCTATAGCAGTGGCCACTTGAATAACAGGTATTTTTAAAATTTATTTTTATAGTTCTATAATTTTCCAGGGGGACAGAGATTCTGAGGACTGAGTGGTCTCCCCGATAAGATTCTATGCAATCAGTCTAGTATAAGAAAGTATTATCTTGCCTGTAATCCCAGCATTTTGGGAGGCTGAGGCAGGCAGATCACTTGAGGTCAGGAGTTTGAGACCAGCCTGGCCAACATGGTAAAACCCCCAGCCCTACTAAAAATACAAAAATTAGCCAGGCACAATGGGTCATGTCTGTAATCCCAGCTACTCAGGAGGCTGAGGCAGGACAATCGCTTGAACCTGGGAGGCGGCAGTTGCAGTGAGCCAAGATCGTGCCACTGCACTCCAGCCTGGGTGACAGAGTGAGTGAGACTCTGTCTCAAAAAAAAAAAAAAAGTATTATTCTTCCATCCAGGAGATGAGCATGTAGATTCAGAGCCCAAATAGGGTGAGAGAACATAGACATGAAATAATGGTAAGGTAAAGGGAGTCAGAGTAGAAGGAAGAGGGTAAGCACCCAGGGAAAGAAACCCAAAATGAAGAATCAGAGAATGAGCATGGAGAAGAGGGCATCCTCACAGTGAATAGAGTGGCAGAGAATATGGAAGACTGGTAACATACAGGGGTACTGATTAAATACATAAATACATTAAGGATAATTGAAGCCAAGTTTTTTGTTGTTGGAGAAGAGAATTAGAAACATGAAAAGGGAGAAAATTAGGATGAATATTTTGTTGTTGGATTGAAACAGACGATATCATGGTTTTCAGTATATTAGAGATGATAGAAGATAGATAGATAATAAATAATATAGATAAATGTAATGGAAATGTATGAGTGTATATAATATAGATATATATACATACACACACACATATTTATATACACATACACATACACACACACACACATATATATATACACACACACACACACACACACACACACACACATATGCTCTTTCCACTGTGAGGGTCTGAGAGAGCAGTGACATCCCAAAAGCAATAAGGATGCGTAATGCCCAGATCTTGGCTTCTAAATAAGATTTTCTACTAAAATAAATAAGGTCTCCTGAGATACATAGTTAATTTCATGGCTTGATCAAGAAAGCACACACGTGCCTGTAGTCCCAGAAGGCTGAGGTGGGAAGATTGCTTGAGCCCGGGAAATCGAGGCTGCAGTGAGCTAAAAATACAAAAATTAGCCGGGCGTGGTGGGACACGCCTGTAATGGCAGCTACTCAGGAGGCTGAGGCAGGAGAACCCCTTGAACCCAGGTGGCAGTAGTTGCAGTGAGCCAAGATCATGCCGCTGCACTCCAGCCTGGGTGACTCAGCCTAGGTGACAGAGAGAGTGAGATCACATCACTGCACTCCAGCCTGGGTGACAGAGTGAGACCCTGTCTCAAAAAAGGAAAGAGGAAAAAGGAAAAGAAAGGAAAGGAAAAGGAAGGAAAGGAATGAAAAAGAAAGGAAAAAAAAGGAAAGGAAAGGAATACAAAATAAGCCTGTAATATTTTATTGTGCCCGAAAGGAATGACGTGCTCAAAAGTAATGGCAACACGTAAAAAACACATAGAAGTCAAGTAACACCAGCAAGATGGCAGACTAAGAGCTCCCAGCCCTAGTGTCTCCACAAAAGCAATGATTTAACAACTATATACAGGCAAAAACAGCTCTCAGAGAGCTCCAGAGCCTGTAATCCCAGCACTTTGGAAGGCCGAGGTGGGCGGATCACTTAAACCCAGGAGATCAAGTCCAGCCAGGGCAACATGGCGAAACCCCATCTCTATAAAAAATACAAAAATTATCCAGGCGTGGTGACGCGCGCCTGGAATCCCAGCTACACAGGAGGGAGGTGGGGCTGGCTGAGGTGGGAGGATCACTTGAGCCCAGGAGGTCCAGGCTGCAGTGAGCCGCTTTTGCACCACTGCACTCCAGTCTGGGTGACAAGGTGAGACCCTGTCTTGAAAAAAAGAAAAAGAAGAAGAAGAAGCTGAAGCAACCCACTGGAACACAAAATCTGAGGATAACCACATAGAAAACAGTAGGAAGAACAGAACAGTTTTATTTTGCCTGCATCACCCCATGCCCTAGGCCAGGGTAGCTCAATACTTAGAGGTATTCCTTCAGCTATGAGTTCCAAAGTGAAGGAAAAGGAGAACAGGAAAATTCCAGAAGCCTTCCACTGAGGACTATTTCAGCCTTCAGAGTGGAGGACCCCCACAGTCTTTGCCAAAGTGGACCTCAGCTGCTGGAGCCACCCAAAGCCCACAACCAATGCACCTGGAGCCTGTGATACTGCTCCCCCAAGGTGATCTCAAGCATCCCCCTTTGAGCTGGTGGCACCACGCACTCCCTAGCCCTAGAACCACCACATATCCCTGGGATTAGCATTCTTGCATGCATCCAGAACCAGCACCACCACACACCTCACCAATCTAGCACACCTGCACACACCCACAGGTGAAGGTTTTTCCCTACCAAAACCAGTCCACAATGTCTGCAAGAGGTGATTACTTCTAAAGTCTTAGAAACATGCAGCCTAACAACACTGAACCAAGAAGAAATAGAAACAATAGACCAATAACAAATAAAGAGATTGAATCAATAATTTTAAAATGCCCCAGAAAAAAAAATCCCAGTACTAAATGGCTTCTCTGGTGTATTCTACCAAACATTCAAAGAAGAATTAATATCAATCCTTCTCAAACTCTTCCAAAAAATAAAAGAAGAGGGAATATTTCCAAATTCATTTTATGAAATCAGCATTACTCTGATACCAAAGCAAGACAAGGACACCAGAAGAAAACTGCAGGCCAATTTCCCTGATGAACACAGATGCAAAAATCCTCGATAAAATACTAAGAAACTGAATCCAACAAGGATATTAAAAGGATCATACACCACAATCCAGTGAGATTTATCCCTGGAATGCAAGCATGGTTCAACACGTGAAAATCAATGTGATATATACTATATTAACAAAATGAAAGATTAAAACCACATGATTATCTCAATAGATGCAGAAAAAGCATTTGACAAAATTCAACATCCATTAAACTGAACACTCTCAACAAAATAGGTATACGAGGAACATAACTCAATACAAAGGGCCATAAATGAAAAGCCCACAGCTAACATCATAATTGATGGGAAAAACTGAAAGCTTTTCCTCCACGATCTAGTACAAGGCAAGGAAGCCCATCCCTCAACACTTCTATTCAACATAGTACTAGAAGTCCCAGCAACAGCAATTAGGAAAGAAAAAGAAAAAAGCACCCAAATGAGAAGGAAGGGTAAAATCATCTGTGCTTGCCAATGACATGATCATATATTTCGAGAATCCTAAAAACTCAACCAAAAAAAAGTTAGAACTAATAAACAAATTAAAGTAACATGATACAAAATCAACATACAAGTATCAGTGACGTTTCTATACACTAAAAACAAACTATCCAAGAAGAAAATTAAGAAAACAATCCACTTACAATAACAACAAAAAACAAAATACTTAGCAATAAACTTAAAGAGGTGAAAGACTTCTACATTGAAAATTGTAAAGCATCAATGAAGGAAATTAAAGGGCACATAGATAAATGGAAATACATCCCACATTCACAGATTGGAATAATTAATATTGTTAAAATGTCCATACTACCTAAAATGATCTACAGATTCAATGTAATACTATCAAAATCTGAATGGCATTCTTTACAGATAGGAAAAACAATCCTAAAATTCATATAAAATCATAAAAGAATCCAAATAGCCAAAGAAATCTTGCGCAAGAAGTACAAACCCAGGAGCATCATGCTTCCTCATTTCAAAATTTATTACAAAGCTATAGTAATCAAAACAGTATGGTACTAGAATAAGAACAAACATATACACTAATGGAATAGAATAGAAGAGCCAGAAATAAATCCACACATTCACAGGCAACTGATCTTCAACATGAGTGCCAAGAACACACAATGAAGAAAAGACAGTCTCTTCAGTCAGTGTTGATGGATATCAACATGCAAAATAATGAAATTGGACCCTTATATCACACTGTATACAAAAATCAACTCAGAATAAGTTAAAGACTTTGTATTAGGCTGTTCTCGCATTGCTATAAAGAAATACTTGAGACTAAGTAATTTATAAAGAAAAGAGGTTTATTAATTGGCTCATGGTTCTGCAGGCTGTACAAGAATGGCACCAACAGCTTCTCAGCTTCTGATGAGGGCCTCAGGAAGCTTATAATCATGGCCAGCTTCTGGTGAGAGCCTCAGGAAGGCAAAGGGGAGTAAACATGTCCCATGGCAAGAACGGGAGCAAGACAGTGAGGAGGGAGGTGCCACACACTTTTCTAAACAACAAGATCTCGTGTGAACTCTGAGTGAGAACTCACTTACTATTGTGAGGAATAGCACCAAGCTATTCATAAGGGATCCTCCCCCATGATCCAATCACCTCCCACCAGGCCCCACCTCCAACATTGGAGATTACGCTTCAACATGAGATTCTGAGGGACAAATATCCAAGCCATATCAGACTTAATACCTGAAACCGTAAAACTTTTAGAAGAAAACAAGGGAAAAGCTTCTTGACATTCATCCTGGCAATGAGTTTTTGTATATGACTCTAATAGCACAGGCACCAAAAACAAAAATAGACAAGTGGGATTGCATCAAACTAAAATGCTTCTGCACAGCAAAGAAACCCCATCAACAGAGTGAAAAAGCATCCTACAAAATGAGACAAAATATTTGCAAACCATATATCTGATGAGGAATTAATGTGCAAGATATGTAAGGAACTCATACAACTCAATAGCAAAACAAAAAACAAAACAAAACAAAACAAAAACCAGATAGCTCAATTTAAAAATGGGCAAATGATCTGAATAGACCATTTCTTCAAAGAAAATATACAAATGGCCAACAGGTGTATGAAAAAGTGTTGAACATTACTAATTGATATGGTTTGGCTCTGTGTCCCCACCCAAATCTCTTGTTGAATTGTAACCCCCAGTGTTGGGGGAGAGGCCTGGTGGGAGGTGATTGGATCATAGGGGTGGATTTCCCTTTTGCTGTTGTCATGATAATGAGTTCTCATGAGATTTAGTTGTTTGAAAGTGTGTAGCACTTCCCCCTTCACTCTCTCTTCCTTCTGCTCCAGCCATGTAGGATGCGCCAGCTTCCCCTTCACCATCTGCCATGATTGTAAGTTTCCAGAGCCCCTGCCACCCCAAGCCTTGCTTCCTGTACAGCCTGTAGAACCGTGAGCCAATTAAACCTCTTTTCTTTATAAATTACCCAGTCTCTGGTAGTTCTTTATAGCAATGTGAGAACGAACTAATACACTAATCATCAGAAAAATTCAAATCAACACCACGATGGGACATCACCTCACACCTGTTTGTATGACTATTATCAAAAAGTCAAAAGATAATGTGTCATTGAGGAATGGAGAAAAGGGAGCCCTTGTACACTGTTGGCAATGTAAATCTGTACAATCATTATGCAAAATAGTAGGAAGGTTAATAAAAAATAATAAAACTACTATATGATATAGCCATTTCACTTCTAGGTACAGTCATCTTTCAGTATCTGCTGGGGATTTGTTCCAGGACCCTCTGTGGATACCAAAATCCACAGATACTCAAGTCCCTTATATAAAATGGCATAGTATTTGCATATAACCTACAAACATCCTCCTATATACTTTACATCATCTCTAGATTACTTATAATATCTAATACAATGAATATGCTATGTAAATAGTTGTTATACTGTATTATTTAGGGAATAATATAAATAATACAGTATAACAACTGTATTAGGTAGGAATAGGAAAGTAGTAGGAAAAAAGTATCTACATGTTTGGTACAGATGCAACCATCCTTTTTTCCCAAGTATTTTCAATCCCCAGTTGGTTAAATACATGGATGTGGAACCCAGGGTCACAGAGGGCTAACTGTATGTATGCAAAGGAACTAAAATCAGGATTTTGAGATATCTGCACTCACATATTCATTGCAGCATTATTCACAATACCCAAGATATGGAAACAACCTAATACCTGTTGATGGATAAATGGATAAAGAAAATATGGTATGTATATACACACACACAGGATATACATATGCATGTATATACAAAATGTGGTATGTATATATACACACACACACAGGATATTGTATATACGTATATATATGTATGTATCTATATACACACACACACACCCATATCGGCCTTAGTCAGTTTGTGTCACTATAAAGGAATACCTGAGGAAGAGTAACTTTTTTTCACATTTTCTGTCACTCCTAGGGTAATTTATTTTAAAACGAGGTTTATTTGATTAACGGTTTTGCAGGCTGTACAAGGTGGTGCCAGTATCTGCTTCTGATGAGGGCTTCAGGCTGCTTCCACTCATGGTAGAAGGCAAAGAGAAGCTAGCCTGCGCAGAAATCACATGGCTAGAGAGTGGAAGCAAGACAGAGAGCAGAGGGAGATGACAGGCTCTTTTAAATAACCAGCTCTAGCAGGAACTAATAGAGAGAACTCACTCATTACCATGAGGACTGCACCAAGCCATTCATGAGAGATCTGCCTTCATCACCTTCATGATGCAAACACCTCCCACTAAGCCCCACCTCCAACATTAGGGATGAAATTTCAACATGAGATTTGGTTGGGGGGTGGGGGGCGGGTGGCGTCAAACATTGAACCCATACCACAGCCTTAAAAGAAAAGGAAATTGTCTCATTTGAAACTATATGGATAAATCTGGATGACATTATGCTAAATGAAATAAGCCAGGCACAGAAAAGCAAATACTACATGATCTCACTTATATGTAAAATGAAAAGAGTCAAACTTACAAAAGCAGAGAATAAAATGGTGGCTGCCAGGGGCTCAGGGGAAGGGGAAATAGGGCGATGTTAGATAAAGCATACAAAGTTTCAGTTATATAAGATGAATAAGTTCTGGAGATCTAATGCACAGCATGGTGACTATAGTTAATAACATTGTGTTGTGTATTGTATAGGTGATTTTTTTCTAAGAGACTATATCTTAAGTGTTCTCACCACAAAAAAAAAGGTAACTATGTGAGGTGATGAATATGTTCATTACCTTTATCACAGTGATCATTCCAAAATATGTATGTATATCAAAACATCAAGTTGTTCACCTTAAATACATAATAATTTTTATTTGTCAATTCTACCAAAATAAATATTTCAAAAAAAAGACAAGTTCAGGCCGGAAACTGAAAGGACACAAATAGATCACCAGGCTAGTAAACCACCCTGCCATTCCAAAAAAGACATACAAATCAGCTTAAAGGGCCTCTTAATGGCCAAATGTAGAAAGAGTTAACCATCAAAATAGTGTTTTAGACCGGGTGCAGTGGCTCACTCCTGTAATCCCAGCACTTTGGGAGGGCAAGGAAGGCAGATCACTTGAAATCAGGAGTTCGAGACCAGCCTGGCCAACATGATAAAACCCTGTCTCTACTAAAAAAAAAATACAAAGATTAGCCAGGCATAGTGGTGCATGCCCGCATGCCTGTAGTCCCGGCTACTTGGGAGGCTGAGGCAGGAGAATCACTTAAATCTGAAAGATGGAGGTTACAGTGAGCCGAGATCATGCCACTGCACTCCAGCCTGGGCGACATAGTGAGATTCCATCTCAAAAAATAAAAATAATAAATAAATAAATAGTGTTTTAGTTTTGGGTAAGATAAAGTAAGTATGCACCACCCTTTATCTCCCACTGAATGTAACTATAAACCTCGACAGAATGCACTTAGCTATTTGAGGACTCTGAGAAAATAATAGCAGAAGGCAAATAAAGGAAGAACACCAGAATTCAAGTTAACACCAAACTGGTGGTAAGTTTACCATTCTTTTCCTCTAATATCCCCTGGCCTAAACTTAATGCAGCCAGAAACTCAGAAGCGAATGCTGTGGTACAGACTGAGGGTGCTTCTCTACTTCTGGCTTGAATTGCTCAGAGAAAGTGCAAATATTCAATTTTGGTTTTTATTTCATCTTTCTTCCATTCTCTTGTGCTCAGGCCCTAGGCAATCCCATGGTGGCAACAGCAGTGGTAGCCAGGGGAAACCAAAATACTCAAAACTTTGAGAGAGGAAAACCTTACTGTCCATTCACTGCAGCAGTAGTTCCCACAGGATGGGGCAAACTCCCACTGCTTTTTTTCCTCTGCCTGTGTCTTCCTACTGCTTGGCCCCAGTCACAGTGCAACTGCAGATTATGGATAGCTATTGGTTAGAGGACTGAAAAGGACAGCTCAGAGAACCAGAAACTACCAAGAAGATCATAGAGAGAGAGAGAGAGGAGCTCAGAAAAGCAACAAAATAAAGTTGATTAAGTTCAAGGCTTATCCTACAACCTTAATAACCAGGAATCTCAACCTAATTTACATAACAAAAACTTTGATAACTGAGCTAACAGATAAACCTCTGCCAAGTACCAGGACTGATCAATGAGTGTTGCATACGCAAGACAAACCTGAAGCACACTGCAAAATTGAAACAACATTGAAACCATAACCCACAAAAAATGAGTTTAAAATTTGCCTGAATCTACCAGATTGATTACCTGCTATAATAAAAATATCGACACTCTCCCAGAATTTAGACAAGACCCAGAAGCCAAAAATGTAATATAGAAAATGTATAGGGGTTGGGTGTGTTGGCTCATGCTTGTAATCCCAGCACTTTAGGAGGCGGAGGCGGGCAGATCACTTGAGGTCAATTCTGAGACCAGCCTGGCCAACATGGCGAAACCCTGTCTCTACTAAAAATACAAAAATTAGCTGGGCATGGTGGTGTACGCTTGTAATCCCAGCTACTAGGGAGGCTGAGGCAGGAAAAGCGCTTGAACCCGGGAAATGGAGGTTGCAGTGAGCTGAGATCATGCCACCGCACTCCAGCCTGGGCCACAGAGGGAGACTCAGTCTCAAAAAACAAATATATATACACATATATTTATATATATGTATATATATATATTGTTCAATAAAAAACTACTCGGTATATGACAATGCTTGAAAATCTCAACATACATAAGAAAAGACAATCATAGAAAGATGATATGAATGTTAAAACTATCTGATAAGGGCTTTAAATCAGATGTTTTAAAACTGTTTGAACAAATAATTATAAACACTCATGAAATAAATAGAAAAATATAGTCTCAGTAAAGAAATGAGTCAGCAAATTACAACCTGTGGGCCAATATGGATGGTGAGATTTTAAAAGTTTTTACATTCTTAAAGGATCTTTTTTAAGTTTAGAGCAGCATACAAGAATTGACGAAATGTTTTTCCAGTAAAATCACTTTGGCCGGGTGTGGTGGCTCACGCCTATAATCCCAGCACTTTGGGAGGCCAAGGTGGGTGGATCACCTGAGGTCAGGAGTTCAAGACCAGCCTGGCCAACATGGTGAAACCACATCTCTACTAAAAATACAAAAAATTAGCTGGACGTAGTGGCAGGAGCCTGTAATCCCAGCTACTTTGGGAGACTGAGGTGAGAGAATGGCTTGAACCCGGGAGACAGAGGTTGCAGTGAGCTGAGATCGCGCCACTGCACTCCAGCCTGGGTGCAAAAGAGTGAGACTCAGTCTCAGATAAAATAAATAAATAAATAATCACCTTATAAGAGATGTTGGCCTGGCGCAGTGGCTCACGCCTGTAATTCCAGCACTTTGGGAGGCCACGGTGGGTGGCTCACCTGAGGTCAGGAGTTCGAGATCAGCCTGACCAACATAATGAAACCCCCCCAACGTCTCTACTAAAAATACAAAAAAGTAGCTGGGCATGGTGGCTCATGCCTGTAATCCCAGCTACTTGGGAGGCTAAGGCAGGAGGATCGTTTGAACCCGGGAGGCGAAGGTTGCAGTGAGCCAAGACTGTGCCATTGCACTCCAGCCTGGGCAACAAGAGCGAAACTCCTTGTCAAAAAAAAAAAAAAAGCTAAAATAAGGGTGGGGCAAGATCATGGAATAAAAGCCTGCATTGTTTGTACCCTCCACTGGAACACCAAATTTTAACAACTGTCTGCACACAGAAAAGCACAATCACAAGAACCAAAACCAGGTGAACACTCACAGTACCCGGTTTTAACTACATATTGTGGAAAGAGGCATTGAAGAGGGCAGGATAAACAGTCTTCAATCTCCAAGGCCACCCCTCCCCGCTTCCCTGGCAGCAGCTATGCAGTGCAGAGAGAGAATCTGTGCACATTGCAGAGGAAGAGCACAGCAGCTGGGGAACTTTACATTGAACTCAGTGCTGCACAGTCACAGTAGAGAAAAAAGTCATGCTGGGTTCAGCCAGCGCTTGTGCACAGAGGGAGTGTTTGGACCAGCCTTAGCCACAGGAGAATTACCCTCATCCCAGTGGTGGGAACTTGAGTTTCTTGGCAAGCCTCGTCACTGTGGGCTGAAGTGCTCTGGGGTCCTACATAAACTTGAGTGGCAGTCTAGGGCACAAGGACTGCAATTCCTAGGCAACTCCTAGTGTAAGGCTGGGCTTAGAGCCAGTGAACTTGCCACGTGACCTAGGGAGACAACAGCTGGCACAGCAAAGGGAGGGCTTGCACCATCCCTTCCCCAACCCCAGGCAATAAAGCTCGTAGCAATGAAAGTGACTCCTTCCTTCTGCCTAAGTAGAGGGAAGGGAAGAGTAAAGAGGACTTTGTCTAGCATCTTGGATACCAGCTCAGCCACAGTAGGACAGGGCACTGGGCAGAGTAGTGAGGCCCCCATTCCAGGACCTAGCTCTCAAACCACATTTCTAGACACATCCTGGGCCAAAAGGGAACCCACTGCCTTGAAGGAAAGGATCCAGTCCTGGCAGGATTAATCACCTGCTGACTAAAGAACCCTTGGTATAACCCTGGAATAACCATTAACGACCCAGGGAGTACACCATGGGCCTTGGGCTCTGAGAAGTGCTGGCTTCAGGGGACACCCAGCACATTCCCAGCTGTGGTGGCTCCAGTGAAAGACTCCTTTTGTTTGAGAAAAGCCCAGGAAAAGTAAAGAGGACTTTGTACTGCACTCTAGGTACCAGCTTGGCTCTTGGGGTCCCCAAATCCAGGTGTAGCCTCTTGGACAGTATTTCTCGTCCTGGGCCACAGGAGAGCCCACTGCCCTGAAGGGTGAGTCCCAGGCCTGGCAGCATTCACCACAAGCTGATGGAAGAGACCTTGGGTTTTATGTGAACATCAGTGGTGGCCTAGCAGAACACCCCATGGACCACTGATGGTGGCGGCCACAGGGAGAGACTCCTCTGCCTGTGGAAAGGGAGGGAAGAGTGGGAAGGGCTTTGTATTGTGATTTGAGTGCCAGCTTAACTGCAGTAGAATAAAACAGGTAAATTGCTCAAGTTTCTGACTCCAATCCCTGGCTCCCAGAGAGCATCTTTGGACACACCTGGGTTGTGGGGGAACTCACCATCCTAAAGGGAAGGGCCTTCCTTGGGCAAGGTCCAGTGCTGTGCTGGCTTCAAGTCTGACACAGCACAGGCCCAGTGCTTGCATCACCACACCCCCAGCTCAACACAGAGACAGTGACTCCATATGTTTCAGAGAAAGTAAGGGTAAAGAACAAGAGTTTCTGCCTGGTAATCCAGAGAATTCTTTCAGATGTTATCCAAGGTCATCAAGGAGTACCCTTTATGGGTCTACAAGAAACACAGCATTATTAGGCTTGGGGTCCAAGTCTCTTTGAATAACTGGAAGGCCTTCCCAAGAAGGACTGGCATGAGCAAGCCTAGATTGAGAAGACTACAATAAATACCTAACTCTTCAATGCCCAGACACCGATGAATATCTACAAGCATCAACACCATCCAGGAAAACATGACTTCACCAAATGAATTAAATATGGCACCAGGGACCAGTTCTGCAGAAACAGAGATATGTGACTTTTCGGACAGAAAATTCAAAATAGCTATTTTGAAGAAACTGCAAGAAATTTGAAATAACACAAAGAAGGAATTCAGAATTCTATCAGATAAATTTAACAAAGAGACTGAAATAATTTAAAAGAATCAAGCAGAAATGCTGGAGTTGAAAATGCAATTGACATGCTTAAGAATGCATCAGTCTCTTAGCAGCAGAATTGATCAAGCAGAAGAAAACTAGTGAGCTTCAAGACAGGCTATTTGAAAATACACAATCAGAGGAGACAAAAGAAAAAAAATAAAAAAGCATGAAGCATACCTACATGATCTAGAAAATAGCCTCAAAAGGGTAAATCTAAGATCCATTGGCCTTAAAGAGGAGGTAGGGAAAGAGCTATGGGTAAGAAGTTTATTCGAAGAGATAATATCAGAGAATATCCCAAACCTGGAGAAAGATATCAACATTCAAGTATAAGAAGGTTATAGAACACTAAGCAGATTTAACCCAAAGAAGAACACCTCAAGGCATTTAATAATCAAACTCCCAAAGGTCAAGGATAAAGAAAGAATCCCAAAAACAGTAAAAGAGAAGAAAAAAAATCACATACAATCGAACTTCAATACATCTGGCAGCCAACTTATCAGCAGAAACTTTACAGGCCAGGAAAGAGAGGCATGACATATTTAAAGTGCTGAAGGAGAAAAAAAAATGTTTACCCTAGGATAGTATATCCAGCAGAAAGTATCCTTCAAACATGAGGGAGAAATAAAGACTTTCCCAGACAAACAAAAGCTGAGGGATTTCATGAACACCAGACCTGTCCTACAAGAAATGCTAAAGGGAGTTGTTCAATCTGAAAGAAAAGGATGTTAATGAGCAAGAAGAAATCACCTGAAGGTACAAAACTCATGGGTAATAGTAAGCACAAGGCTGGACAGCTGGAAACAGTGGCTCATGCCTGTAATCCCAGCACTTTGGGAGGCCGAGGCAGGTGGATCGCCTGAGGTCAGGAGTTCGAGACCAGCCTGACCAATATGGTGAAACCCCGTCTCTACTAAAAATACAAAAATTATCCGGGTGTGGTGGCATGCACCTGTAGTTCCAGCTACTTGGGAGGCTGAGGCAGGAGAATTACTTGAACCCAGGAGGCGGATGTTGCAGTGAGCCAAGATCATGCCACTGCACTCCAGCCTGGGTGACAGAGCAACATTCCGTCTCAAAAAAAAAAAAAAAAAAAAACAGTAAGCACACAGAAAAAGACAGAATGGTATCACACTGAAATTGTGGGGTGTAAACTTCTCTTGACTTAAGTAGAAAGAATAAATGATGAACCAAACAGAAATAATAACCACAACAACTTTTCAAAACATGGACAGTACCATAAGACATAAAGAAAAACAAAAAAAGTTAATCAGGGGAACAAAGTTAAAGTGTAGAGTTTTTATTAGTTTGTGTGTGTGTGTGTGTGTATGTGTGTGTTTGGCTCTTTGTTAATACAATCAGTGTTACACTGTCATCAATTTAAAATAATGGATTATAAGATAGCATTTGCAAGGCTCACGGTAACCTGAAACTGAAAAACAACGAAAATAAAAAAATAAAAAGGAAGAAATTAAATCATACCACCAGTGAAAATCGCCTTCACTAAAAGGAAGACAGGAAAGAAAGAAATATAATAGAATAAAAAATAGAAAACCAAAAACAATCAGAAAACAAATAACAAAGTGGCAGGAGTAAGTCTTTACTTATCAGTAATAACACTGAATGTAAATAGACTAAACTCTCCAATCAAAGGACATAGAGTGGCTGAATGGATTAAAAAAAAACAAGACCCAATGATCTCTTGCCTATAAGAAACACATTTCCCCTATGAAGATACACACAGATTGAAAATAAACGGATGGAAAAAGATATTCCATGACAACGGAAACCACGAAAGAGCAGGAGTACCTATACTTATATCAGACAAAATGGATTTCAAGACAAAAACTTTAAGGAGAGAGAAAAAAAGGTCACTATATAAGGATAAAGGGGAAAATTCAGCAAGAGGCTATAACAATTTTACATACACATGCACCCAACACTGGAGCACTCAGATATATAAAGCAATTATTAGAGGGAAAGAGAGAGATAGACCCCTGGTCAATGATTTTTTTGGATATGACCCCCACAGGTGACAAAAGCAAAAATAGGCAAATGAGATTGCACCAAACCAAAATGCTCTGCACAGCAAAGGAAACAATCAACAGAGTGAAGAGACAACCTACAGAATAGGAGAAAATATCCACAAATCACACGTCTGATAAAGAGTTAATCTCCAAAATATACAAGGAACTCAAACACTGCAATAGCAAATAAACAAATAACCCAATGAAAAAATGGGCAAAAGACCTGAATAGATATTTATCTAAGGAAGACATACAAATCAGCAACAGGTATGTGAAAAAATGCTCAACATCACTAACCATCAGGGAAATGCAAATTAAAATCACAATGAGATATCACCTCACATCTGTTAGAATGTCTATTATCAAAAAGACAAAAGATAAGTGTTGGCAAGGGCATGGAGAAAAGGAAACTTTGTACACTGCTGGTGGGAATGTAAATTAGTATACCCATTACAGAAAACAGTATAGAGGTTGCTCAAAAAATTAAAAATGTAACTACCATATGATCCAGCAATCTCACTTCTGGATATATACCCAAGGGAAATAAAATAAGTATCTTTAAGAGATATCTGCAATCCCTTGTTCACTGCAGCATTATTTACAATAGCCAAGCTATGGAATCAACCTAAGGGTCCAACAAGAGATGAATGGGTAAAGAAAATGTGGTATTTATATACAATAGAATACTATTCAGCCATAAAAAAGAAGGAAATCCTGTCATTTGTGATAACACAGATGAACCTGGAGGACATTAAGCTAAGTGAAATAAGCCAGCCGCAGAAAGACAAATACTGCATGATCTCACTTATATGTGGATTCTGAAAAAGCTGAGTTCATAGAAGTAGAGAGTAGAAAGGTGGTTGCCAGGGGGTTGGGGAATGGATGAGGAGATATTGGTCAAAGGGTACAAAGTGTCCAAGCACAGTGGCTCCCGTCTATAATCCCAGTACTTTGGGTGGCTGGGGCAAGAGGACTGCCTGAGCCCAGGAGTTCAAGATCAGCCTGCATAACATAGTGAAACCCCCATCTCTACAAAAAAATAAAACAACTAGCCAGCCTTGGTGGCACGCACCTGTAGTCCCAGCTACTCGAGAGGCTGAGGTGGGAGGATCACTTTAGCCGAGGAGGTTGAGGCTGCAGTGAGCCAGGATCATGCCACTGCACTCCAGCCTGGCGACAGAGCAATACTCTATCTCTTCAAATAAAAGGGGAGGGGTTACAAAGTTTCATTTAGGCCGTATGAATAAGTTCTGGGGCTGTACTGTACAGCACAGTGACTACAGTTAATATTATAATAATGTATTGTATACTTGAAAATTGCTAAGAAAGTAGATCTTAAATATTTCTCCACAAAAAAAACCTGTGTGAGTTGATGAATATATAAATTGGCTTGATTGTGGTGATCTTTTCACAATGTATATCAAAATATTATGTTATATACCATAAATATATACAAATTTTGTCAATTATACCCCCAATAAAGCTAGAAAAATGGAGGAAAAAAGAATAAAGATGGTGAAAGTAGAATGAGAAATTTGATTTGCCATAGTTTCAGTGTATCACTCACGAAATGATACAGGTTTACAGTGAAAAAACCTGAAAGACACGATCTTAATCAAGAGATCAAAGCTAGCACCACCAATAATAGTATAAATCAATCCTGTATACCACCCAATAGGAAGCCATGAGTAGAACATAGAATTTCTTCTGTGGTTTTCTGGCCTCAAATTCACAACCTGTTCTAATCATGAGGAAACTTTGGCTAAACCCACATTAAATCACATGCTACAAAATGACTGATCTGTAATCTTCAAAACTGCCAAGATCATGAATAACAAGGCAAGAATGAGGAGGTGTTCCAGATTTCCAGATTGAAGGAGACTGAAGACTATGTATAATTCTAGATTGAAACCATTTTCTATATAGAACATTATTGGAAAATTTGAATGACGTTTCCAAGCAAAGGATATACAGGAGTTCTTTGTACTATTCTTATAACTTTTCTATAAATATGAAATTGTTTTAAAAGTTTTTAAAGCCTAGAAGAATGTCTGATGTGACATATAACAGGCAACATATAAATGTTTACTGAATTAAGCTCTACATTATGACACCCAATTTGGGGAAAAAATAAGACCAATCTCACAAATAGGTACGATGTATGCAATACTGGGAACATTCTCCCTAATATCCAATTATATCTCCATTATTAATCCCTCTGTGATAGTAAAGACTGAAGTAGGCATAGGCGCTGAAATAGGAGAGAAAGAATGGAAAGGGAAGATAAAATGAAAAAGCAAAAAACTATGTATTTAGGAATTTTCATGAGATCCAGTCCAGGATGCAGGCTTTATCCTATCAAATCTCTCACATCTCCAAATCCCAGTATAGAAAAATACTATGGCAGTAAGATGATTAACTGCTATCAACCTTGTCAGCAGACAAACTCATTTTTTTCTTTCTTTTGTTGTATAGCATGAATATGGAGCAAATGTTATCAAAATGATTTGACAATAAAAGACAAAGCAAAGAAAATTTTAAGAAATATTCCATATCAGCCAGGTGTGGTGGCTCACGCCTGTAATCCCAGTACTTTGGGAGGCTGAGGTGGGTGGATCACTTGAGGCCAGGAGCTCCAGAGCAGCCTGCCCAACATAGCAAAACCCTGTCTGTACTAAAAATACAAAAAGTAGCCAGGTGTGGTGGCGCAGGCCTGTAATCCCAGCTACTCAGGAGGCTGAGGCACAAGAATCACTTGAACCCGGGAGGTGGAGGTTGCAGTGAGCTGAGATCACATCACTGCACTCCAGCCTGGGTGACAGAGTGAGACTCCATCTCAGAAAAAAAAAAAAGAAAAGAAAAGAAAAGAAAAGAAAAGAAAAAAAAGAAATATTCCATATAGCTTTTTCAAATGCCCTTTCTGGTAAAGAACAAAGGAAGCAAAATATTTCAAAGATCAGCTACTTATGTGGAACTGATCTCAAATAGAATCTCCAAAAGGTTGCATGAAGTAGTAATGATTCTTCCTGGAACTTGATATAGCATATTTTCAAACTCTTGGAGAATGCAGACTTCACTCACCATCTGGGGGAGCCTCATCAACATATCTTTACATTGCAGTACACACATAGATGCTCTTTGAAAATCCCCTTGAGCAACTGCCTGAAAAAGATAAAGAATGTCAATAATTGGTTAAAATGACAAGGTTATTTGTCTCTAAGTCAATTTTAGCATATTTTAACTAGTGTTTAAAAGTCTTATTTTGTTTTCTAATATTTTTAGCAATACTAGTTGTTCAAGCTAAACAGATAGCTTGCTCAAAATACAGAAGAATAAGTGGTAATCTTTGGTGACACAGAGTTGATACTGAATGAGCAGGAGTCATTTACTTTTTTCTGGAAATGCAAAAACTGGTTGTACTGCCTTATGTTATTATACTATGACATAATGCCAGGTCTACTAGATGCTTCTGCAACTTGAATAGCTCTTCTATTCACTTCTACATTAGAGGAATTAAGCTAAACAGCAGTCTTTGTCTTAAAGCAAGATCACAATAACCTCATAGTCTGAACTGCTATGTATATCCACTACAAAAAGCAGCTTATCAATTAGCCAGACATGGTGGCACACACCTATGGTCCCAGCTACTTTAGAGGCTGAGGCGGGAAAATTGCTCAAGTCCAGTAGTTCGAAGCTGCAGTAAGCTAAGAAGATACCTCTCTACTCCTGCCACAGATGACAGAGCAAAACCCCATCTCTTAAAAAAAAAAAAAATTTTAAGAAAAAAGAAAAGCAGCTTCGTACAATCTCATCATGAAGCCAAAAGAGCCGCTCTGCCATTTATCATGTGTAACTTTGAGCCTTAAGCTCTCACAGATTGTTTCCTCATCCATAAAGTGAGGAGACTGTACTAGACTATCTGCAGGGTTCCTTTCAGTTCTACCATTCTATGTCTGAACACCCCCAAATGAATGTAAACATCAATCACACATACTTTAGCACTTGTAGAAGAGGCTTGTTTCAGCCATTGAAGAACTTAGTTGGCCAGGAGCAGTGGCTCACGCCTATAATCCCAGCACCTAGGGAGGCCAAGGTGGGTGGATCACCTGAGGTCAGCAGTCTGAGACCAGCTTGACCAACATGGTGAAATCCCGTCTCTACCAAAAAACAAACAAACAAAACAAAACAAAACAAAACAAAACAACCCAAACACAAATTAGCTGGGTGTGGTGGTGGGCACCTGCAATCCAGCTACTCGGGAGGCGGAGGTTGCAGCGAGCTGAGATCGAGCCATTGCACTCCAGCCTGGGAGACAGAGCGAGACTCTGTCACAAAAAAAAAAAAAAGGCTGACACAGCATTTTTTAAGAAAAACATGGATACATACAAGGAAATAATAAAGTACTACACTTGCTATTTTCTTTCTTCTCTTCTTTACGTGGTGTCAAATATTATTGTGCTTTGAATAATAAAAGAATTGAGTAGACAGAAGAAAATATAAACAACGTAAGACACCAGCTTCTCTCTAGTTTTCTCTTCTAACTGCTGAATAGTAAGCCTGACATCTTGCTGAGTAGATACTCTCTTATAAGGCTTTAATACTAGATATTATTAAAGGGGAAAATAAATTGCTAACACAAGTGCCTCAATAAGCCAAATCTCTATATAGAGATTAGAAAATAATATTCCTGTCTACACTATATTCTATGAATACTTGCTGATTAAATCATTATTCAAGGTGGAGAAAATCTTACTATAAAAGAGAAATGCTGAGTGACAACACCATATCAGAGGATAGATGTTGCTGTCTGTTCTTATAACATATAAAACAATATGAGACTTTAATGTTCAAACAACCCATAAAGTGTCTATCATTACTCAGATTTTATCTTAGAGAAATCAAAGCTCTAATAATTCAGGCTACTTTTGAAAATTTATTCATCTTCTTATGACTAGAAACAAATATTTCAAGCCCAAAAGATAAAGATTTAAAGTAAAAGAAGTCTTAAAGAAGAGGCAGCACAATACAGTGCTGTAGTAACCTTTTGTGAGCATCAGACTCACCAGTGGAGCTTTCTGAAAATCACATGCCCAGCTCTCACAACTTGGGGAGACTGTGATTCATTAGATCTGGAGTGATGTCCTGCGTATACTGATGTAGTGAAAAGAATATGAGCTTTGCATTCCCAGTTTTTCCACTTCTTGGCTCAGTGAACTTAGGTAAGTCACAATCTCTTTGAGGCTCTATTTTGTTAACTATAAAATAGGGACAGTAATGTCTACAATATAGGATTGATTTTTATGAGGATCAAATGGGATCACAGATGTGAAAGCATTTCATAAACTGTAAGTCAGTATTCAAAAATGTGTACATTTGGGGCAATCAAAACTACCATCAGGGCTGGGCCCAGTGGCTCACCCCTGTAATCCCAGCACTTTGGGAGGCCAAGGTAGACTGATCACCTGAGGCCAGGAGTTCGAGACCAGCCTGTCCAACATGGCAAAACCCTGTCTCTACTAAAAATACAAAAAGTAGCTAGCTAGGCATGGTGGTGCGTGCCTGTAATCTCAGCTACTTGGGAGGCTGAGGCAGGAGAATCGCTTGAACCCGGGAAGCAGAGGCTGCAGTGAGCCGAGATGGCGCAATATTGCCTGGGCAATAGAGTGAGACTCTGTCTCAAAAAAAAAAAAAAAAAAGACAATATATTAAAATGGCAATACTCCCCGAGTTGATCTATAAATTTAATCCAATTCCATTAAAATTCCAGTTGGCCTTTTTTGCAGAAATTAACATGCTGATCTTAAAATTCAAATGGAAATTTAAGAAACCCAGGGCTAGGTGAAACATTCTGAGACATGACACCAAAAGCATGATCCATAAAAGAAAAAGAAATCAATCAACTGGACTTCATCAAAACTGTATTCTGTGACCCTATTAAAAAGGACAAAAAGACAAGCTACAACAAGACAATATTCGCGAATATTTATCTGACAAGGGAATCACATCTAGAATATATAAATAATCCTGTAAATTCAACAGTAAACTATCAAACAATCCAAATAGAAAATAGACAAGAAAAATGACAGATATTTTGCCTAAAGGGAGATACAGATGGCAAATAAGTAAATGAAAGGATGTTCAACATCATTAGCCATTAGAGAAATGCAAATTAAAACCACAATGAGATATCACTATATACCTATTAGGATAGCTACAATAAAAAAATTGGTCACAATACCAAATGCTGTCAAGGATGCAAAGAAATGGGATCTCTCATACATTACTGGTAAGAATCTAAATGGTGGCCGGGTGCAGTGGCTCACACCTGTAATCCCAGTACTTTGGGAGGCCTAGGTGGGTGGATCACCTGAGGTCAGCAGTTTGAGACAAGCCTGGCCAAGATGGCAAAGCCCCATTTCTACTAAAAATACAAAAATTAGCCAGGCATGGTGGCACGCACCTGTAGTCTCAGCCACTCGGGAGGCTGAGGCAGGAGAATCACTTGAGCCTGGGAGGCGGAGGTTGCAGTGAGCTGAGATCATGCCACAGCACTCCACCCTGGGTGACAGAGTGAGACTCTGTCTCAAAAGAAAACAAGAAAACAAAACAAAACACAGAATGTAAAATGGCATGGCCACTCTAGAAAACAGTTGGCAGTTTCTAAAAAAAAAATAAAACTAAATATACCCTTTATGTCCACACAAAAACCTGTATGGAAATGTTCATGCCAACTTATTTACAATAGCCAAAAATTGGAAACAACCCAAATTCTTTCAATGGTGAATGGCTAAACAAATTGGTACATCCATAGCATAGAATTCTACATAGCAATAAAAAGAGAACAGGGCTTGGCACGTTGACTCATGCCTGTAATCCCAGCACTTTGATAGGCAGAGGTGGGTGGATCACTTGAGGCCAGGAGTTTGAAACCAGCCTGGCCAACTTGGTGAAACGCCATCTATACTAAAAAATACAAAAAAATTAGCCAGGCAAGGTGGCACATGCCTGTAATCTCACGCTACTTGGGAGGCTGAGGCAGGAGAATCACTTGAACTCAGGAGGCAGTAGTTGCAGTGAGCCGAGATCACGCCATTGCACTCCAGCCTAGGCAACAGAGTGAGACTCTCTGTCTCAAAAACAAACAAACAAACAAAAAGAACAAACTATTAACACATAAAAAGACAAGGACGGATCGCAAAAAAAAAAATGCTGAGTGAAAACAACCAATATGAAATGGTTACATAGTGTAATATTACATTTATATAATGTTCTTAAAATGACAAAATTATAGAGATGGAGACTAGGTTTTGGTTGCCTGAGGTTTTGGATGATGGGAAAGGGGTATCCCTATAAAGGGGTTATGTAAAGAATCTGTGTGGTAATGAAACTGTTCTGTATCTTGATTGTGGTGGTGGTAGTGAACATGAATCTTCACCTACACATGTGCTGAAATTGTATAGAGCTCTATAAACACATGCAAACACACACAAGTGAGTTCATGTAAAACTGGTGAAATCTAAATAAGGTCTGTGGATTGTATCAATGTCTATTTCCTGGTTTTATATTGCACTATATGTATGCAAGATTTTGCTACTGGCAAAAAGCTGGGTGAAGGGTACACAGATCTCTCTTTACTATTTTTGTAGTTTCCTGCAAATCTATGCTTATTTCAAAATTTTAAAAAATTTTTAGAAACACATTTGTTGGCCAGGCACGGTAGCTCACACCTGCAATCCCAGTGCTTTGGGAGGCCGAGGTGGGTGGATCACCTGAGGTCAGGAGTTCAAGACCAGCCTGGTCAACACGGTGAAACACCATCTGTACTAAAAATACAAAATTTAGCCTAGCATGGTGGCGGCTGTCTGTAGTCCCAGCTAGCTACTCGGGAGGCTGAGGCAGGATAATCGCTTGAACCCAGGAGGTGGAGGTTGCAGTGAGCCAAGATGGCACTACTGCCCTCCAGCCTGGGCAACGGAGCAAGACTTGGTCTCAGAACAAATAAAATAAAATAAAATCACATTTGTTTAATACCACCACCAATTTCATCAGAAAAGACTAAGTATTAGAGGGGGAGGAGCCAAGATGGCCGAATAGGAACAGCTCCAGTCTACAGCTCCCAGTGTGAGCGACGCAGAAGATGGGTGATTTCTGCATTTCCAACTGAGGTACCGGGTTCATCTCACTGGGGAGTGCCAGACAGTAGGTGCAGGACAGTGGGTGCAGCAAACTGTGCGCAAGCCAAAGCAGGGCGAGGCATCGCCTCACCAGGGAAGCACAAGGGGTCAGGGAATTCCCTTTCCTAGTCAAAGAAAGCAGTGACAGATGGCACCTGGAAAATCGGGTCACTCCCACCCTAATACTGCGCTTTTCCAACGGGCTTAAAAAATGGCACACCAGGAGATTATATCCCGCACATGGCTCAGAGGGTCCTACACCCATGGAGTCTCGCTCATTGCTAGCACAGCAGTCCGAGATCAAACTGCAAGGTGGCAGCGAGGCTCGGGGAGGGGCACCCACCATTGCTGAGTTAGTTGTTTGATTAGGTAAACAAAGCAGCCGGGAAGCTCGAACTGGGTGGAGCCCACCACAGCTCAAGGAGGCCTGCCTGCCTCTGTAGGCTCCACCTCTGGGAGCAGGGCACAGACAAACAAAAAGACAGCAGTAACCTATGCAGACTTAAATGTCCCTCTCTGACAGCTTTGAAGAGAGTAGTGGTTCTCCCAGCACGCAGCTTGAGATCTGGGAACGGGCAGACTGCCTCCTCAAGTGGGTCCCTGACCCCCAAGTAGCCTAACTGGGAGGCACCCCCAGGAGGGGCGGACTGACACCTCACACGGCCGGGTACCCCTCTGAGACAAAACTTCCAGAGGAGCGATCAGGCAGCAGCATCTGCAGTTCACCAATATCTGCTGTTCTGCAGCCACCACTGCTGATACCCAGGCAAACAGGGTCTGGAGTGGACCTCTAGCAAACTCCAACAGACCTGCAGCTGAGGGCCCTGTCTGTTAGAAGGAAAACTAACAAACAGAAAGGACATCCACATCAAAAACTCATCTGTAGGTCACCATCATCAAAGAACAAAGGTAGATAAAACCACAAAGATGGGAAAAAAACAGAGCAGAAAAACTGGAAACTCTAAAAGTCAGAGCGCCTCTCCTCCTCCAAAGGAATGCAGCTCCTCACCAGCAATGGAACAAAGCTGGACGAAGAATGACTTTGACGAGCTGAGAGAAGAAGGCTTCAGGCAATCAAACTACTCTGAGCTACAGGAGGAAATTCGAACCAATAGCAAAGAAGTTAAAAGCTTTGAAAAAAAATTAGGCGAACGGATACTAGAATAACCAATGCAGAGAAGTCCTTCAAGGACCTGATGGAGCTGAAAACCAAGGCACGAGAGCTACGTGATGAACGCAGAAGCCTCAGTAGCCGATGCGATCAACTGGAAGAAAGGGTATCAGTGATGGAAGATGAAATGAAGCGAGAAGAGAAGTTTAGAGAAAAAAGAATAAAAAGAAATGAACAAAGCCTCCAAGAAATATGGGACTATTGAAAAGACCAAATCTACGTCTGATTGGTGTAGCTGAAAGTGATGGGGAGAATGGAACCAAGTTGGAAAACACTCTGCAGGATATTATCCAGGAGAAATTCCCCAATCTACCAAGGCAGGCCAACATTCAAATTCAGGAAATACAGAGAACACCACAAAGATACTCCTCGAGAAGAGCAAGTCCAAGACACATAATTGTCAGATTCACCAAAGTTGAAATGAAGGAAAAAACGTTAAGGGCAGCCAGAGAGAAAGGTCGGGTTACCCACAAAGGGAAGCCCATCAGACTAACAGCTGATCTCTCTGCAGAAACTCTACAAGCCAGAAGAGAGTGGGGACCAATATTCAACATTCTTAAAGGGAAGAATTTTCAACCCACAATCTCATATCCAGCCAAACTAACCTTCATAAGTGAAGGAGAAATAAAATACTTTACAGACAAGCAAATGCTGAGAGATTTTGTCACCACCAGGCCTGCCCTAAAAGAGCTCCTGAAGGAAGCGCTAAACATGGAAAGGAACAACTGGTACCAGCCACTGCAAAAACATACCAAATTGTAAACGCCATCAAGGCTAGGAAAAAACTGCATCAACTATCGAGCAAAATGACCAGCTAACATCATAATGACAGGATCAAATTCACACATAACAATATTAACCTTAAATGTAAATGGGCTAAATGCTCCAATTAAAAGACACAGACTGGCAAATTGGATAAAGAGTCAAGACCCATCAGTGTGCTGTATTCAGGAAAGCCATCTCATGTGCAGAGACACACATAGGCTCAAAATAAAGGGATGGAGGAAGATCTACCAAGCAAATGGAAAACAAACAAAGGCAGGGGTTGCAATCCTAGTCTCTGCTAAAACAGACTTTAAACCAACAAAGATCAAAAGAGACAAAGAAGGCCATTACATAATGGTAAAGGGATCAATTCAACAAGAAGAACTAACTATCCTAAATATATATGCACCCAATACAGGAGCACCCAGATTCATAAAGCAAGTCCTGAGTGACCTACAAAGAGACTTAGACTCCCACACAATAATAATGGGAGACTTTAACACCCCACTGTCAACATTAGACAGATCAATAAGACAGAAAGTTAACAAGGATACCCAGGAATTGAACTCAGCTTTGCACCAAGCGGACCTAATAGACATCTACAGAACTCTCCACCCCAAATCAACAGAATATACATTCTTTTCAGCACCACACCACACCTATTCCAAAATTGACCACATAGTTGGAAGTAAAGCACTCCTCAGCAAATGTAAAAGAACAGAAATTATAACAAACTGTCTCTCAGACCACAGTGCAATCAAACTAGAACTCAGGATTAAGAAACTGACTCAAAACCGCTCAACTACATGGAAACTGAACAACCTGCTCCTGAATGACTACTCGGTACATAATGAAATGAAGGCAGAAATAAAGATGTTCTTTGAAACCAACGAGAACAAAGACACAACATACCAGAATCTCTGGGACACATTCAAAGCAGTGTGTAGAGGGAAACTTATAGCACTAAATGCCCACAAGAGGAAGCAGAAAAGATCCAAAATTGACACCCTAACATCACAATTAAAAGAACTAGAAAAGCAAGAGCAAACACATTCAAAAGCTAGCAGAAGGCAAGAAATAACTAAAATCAGAGCAGAACTGAAGGAAATAGAGACACAAAAAACCCTTCAAAAAATTAATGAATCCAGGAGCTGGTTTTTTGAAAAGATCAACGAAATTGATAGACCGCTAGCAAGACTAATAAAGAAGAAAAGAGAGAAGAATCAATTAGACGCAATAAAAAATGATAAAGGGGATATCACCACCGATCCCACAGAAATACAAACTACCATCAGAGAATACTACAAACACCTCTACGCAAATAAACTAGAAAATCTAGAAGAAATGGATAAACTCCTCGACACATACACCCTCCCAAGACTAAACCAGGAAGAAGTTGAATCTCTGAATAGACCAATAACAGGCTCTGAAATTGTGGCAATAATCAACAGCTTACCAACCAAAAAAAGTCCAGGACCAGATGGATTCACAGCCGAATTCTACCAGAGGTACAAGGAGGAGCTGGTACCATTCCTTCTGAAACTATTCCAATCAATAGAAAAAGAGGGAATCCTCCCTAACTCATTTTATGAGGCCAGCATCATCCTGATACCAAAGCCTGGCAGAGACACAACAAAAAAAGAGAATTTTAGACCAATATCCTTGATGAACATTGATGCAAAAATCCTCAGTAAAATACTCACAAACCGAATTCAGCAGCACATCAAAAAGCTTATCCACCATGATTAAGTGGGCTTCATCCCTGGGATGCAAGGCTGATTCAACATACGCAAATCAATAAATGTAATCCAGCATATAAACAGAACCAAAGACAAAAACCACATGATTATCTCAATAGATGCAGAAAAGGCCTTTGACAAAATTCAACAACACTTCATGCTAAAAACTCTCAATAAATTAGGTATTCATGGGACATATCTCCAAATAATAAGAGCTATCTATGACAAACCCACAGCCAATATCATACTGAATGGGCAAACACTGGAAGCATTCCCTTTGAAAACTGACACAAGACAGGGATGCCCTCTCTCACCACTCCTATTCAACATAGTGTTGGAAGTGCTGGCCAAGGCAATTAGGCAGGAGAAGGAAATAAAGGGTATTCAATTAGGAAAAGAGGAAGTCAAATTGTCCCTGTTTGTAGATGACATGATTGTACATCTAGAAAACCCCATCATCTCAGCCCAAAATCTCCTCAAGCTGATAAACAACTTCAGCAAAGTCTCCGGACACAAAATCAATGTACAAAAATCACAAGCATTCTTATACACCAATAACAGACAACAGAGCCAAATCATGAGTGAACTCCCATTCACAATTGCTTCAAAGAGAATAAAATACCTAGGAATCCAACTTACAAGGGATGTGAAGGACCTCTTCAAGGAGAACTACAAACCACTGCTCAGTGAAATAAAAGAGGATACAAACAAATGGAAGAACATTCCATGCTCATGGGTAGAAAGAATCAATATCGTGAAAATGGCCATACTGCCCAAGGTAATTTATAGTTTCAATGCCATCCCCATCAAGCTACCAACAACTTTCTTCACAGAATTGGAAAAAACTACTTTAAAGTTCATACGGAACCAAAAAGAGCCCACATTGCCAAGACAATCCTAAGCCAGAAGAACAAAGCTGGAGGCATCATGCTACCTGACTTCAAACTATACTACAAGGCTACAGTAACCAAAACAGCATGGTACTGGTACCAAAACAGAACAGAGCCCTCAGAAATAATGCCGCATATCTACAACTATCTGATCTTTGACAAACCTGACAAAAACAAGCAATGGGGAAAGGATTCCCTATTTAATAAATGGTGCTGGGAAAACTGGCTAGCCATATGTAGAAAGCTGAAGCTGGATCCCTTCCTTACACCTTATACAAAAATTAATTCAAGATGGATTAAAGACTTAAACATTAGACCTAAAACCATAAAACCCCTAGAAGAAAACCTAGGCAATACCATTCAGGACATAGGCATGGGCAAGGACTTCATGTCTAAAACACCAAAAGCAATGGCAACAAAAGCCAAAATTGACAAATGGGATCCAATTAAACTAAAGAGCTTCTGCACAGCAAAAGGAACTACCATCAGAGTGAACAGGCAACCTACAAAATGGGAGAAAATTTTTGCAATCTACTCATCTGACAAAGGGCTAATATCCAGAATCTACAATGAACTCAAACAAATTTACAAGAAAAAAACTAACAATACCATCAACAAGTGGGCGAAGGATATGAAGAGGAGACACTTCTCAAAAGAAGACATTTATGCAGCCAAAAAACACATGAAAAAATGCTCATCATCACTGGCCATCAGAGAAATGCAAATCAAAACCACAATGAGATACCATCTCACACCAGTTAGAATGGCATCATTAAAAAGTCAGGAAACAACAGGTGCTGGAGAGGATGTGGAGAAATAGGAATGCTTTTACACTGTTGGTGGGACTGTAAACTAGTTCAACCATTGTGGAAGTCAGTGTGGCGATTCCTCAGGGATCTAGAACTAGAAATACCATTTGACCCAGCCATCCCATTACTGGGTATATACCCAAAGGATTATAAATCATGCTGCTATAAAGACACATGCACACGTATGTTTATAGCGGCACTATTCACAATAGCAAAGACTTGGAAGCAACCTAAATGTCCAATAACGATAGACTGGATTAAGAAAATGTGGCACATATACACCATGGAATACTATGCAGCCATAAAAAAGGATGAGTTCATGTCCTTTGTAGGGACATGGATGAAACTGGAAGCCATCATTCTCAGCAAACTATCGCAAGGACAAAAAACCAAACACCGCATGTTCTCACTCATAGTTGGGAATTGAACAATGAGAACCCATGGACACAGGAAGGGGAACATCACACACCGGAGACTGTTGTGGGGTGGGGGGAGGGGGGAGGGATAGCATTAGGGGATATACCTAATGCTAAATGACGAGTTAATGGGTGCAGCACACCAACATGGCACATGTACACATATGTAACAAACCTGCACGTTGTGCACATGTACCCTAAAACTTAAAGTACAATAATAATAAAATAAAAAAAAAGACTTTGTATTTAGGCAGTGGCTCATACCTGTAGTCCCAGCACTTTGGGAGGCCAAGGCAGGTGGATAACTTGAGGCCAGGAGCTCGAGACCGGCCTGGCCAACATGGGGAAACCCCCATCTCTACTAGAAATACCAAAACAAAACAAAACAAAAAAGCCAGCAGTGGTGGTGTGCGCCTGTAATCCCAGCTACCTCCCAGGCTGAGGCATGAGAACCGCTTGAACCCGGGAGGCAGAGGCTGCAGTGAGCTGAGACTGTGCCACTGCACTCCAACCTGTGTGGCAGAATGAGACTGCCTCAAAAAAAAAAAAGACTAAGTATTTAGAAGCTACCAAGCTCATGGTAGAAGTACACATTTTCTAAAATTTCAGTTTTTACCTAAAAGCTCAAACTTTTTCACTGGCAAAAAATACTGTCAATTGTTTTCCCAGAAGTCACATGCTAACCTAAGTGTCCATCAACAGATGAATGGATGAAGAATGCAAAATGGTACATATACACAATAGAGTCCTATTCACTTGGTTCATTTTATTTTATCTTTTACTTTTGAGAGGGAATCTCACTGTCACCCAGGCTGAAGTGCAGTGGCATCATCTCTGCTCACTGCAACCTCTGTCTCCCGAATTCAAGCGATTCTCCTGCCTCAGTCTCCCAAGGAGCTGAAATTACAGGCACCTGACACCATGCCCAGCCCACGTTTATATTTTTAGTAGAGACGGGGTTTTACCATTTTGGCCAGGCTGGTCTTGAACTCCTGACCTCAGGCGATCCGCCCGCCTCGGCCTCCCAAAGTGATGGGATTACAGGCAGGGGCCACTGCGCCTGGCCCACTTCATTCATTTTTATGAAAACATCTGCTAAATAGCCAAGTTTATGTGTCAGTCATTCTTGAAATTAAAAATAGTTAATCCAGGCAGGGCACACTGGGTCACGCCCGTAATCCCAGCACTTTGGGAGGCTGAAGTGGGCAGATCACCTGAGGTCAGGAGTTCGAGACCCGCCTGGCCAACATGGCAAAATTCCATCTCTACTAAAAATACAAAAATTAGCCAGGCATGGTGATGCGCACCTGTAGTCCCAGCTACTCGGGAGGCTGAGGCAGGAGAATCGCTTGAACCCAGGAGGTGGAGTTTGCAGTGAGCCAAGATTGTGCCATTGCATTCCAGCCTGGGTGACAGAGCAAGACTCCATCACACACGCACACACAAAATAGTTAATTCGGCTCACAAATTAAACAATCACTTAAGAGCCTCTCCTCCAGATAACCATCACACTTCGATATGCAACAAAAGTGCTATATGAGTGTTTCCCTTTTCATCACACATATTAAAATGATATGTGTTCAAGGGCCCAAGATTTAATAAAATTAATCATCTTTACTCGCTTATCAAGGATGGTTTTGTGTAAAACTGGCATCCTTTTTATTTATTTATTTTTTAAATGAAAACCACTCAGATTGCATCCTTTCCTTCCCAGTCTCCCAAAGGAAGAAAAGAACGATCATCAATGGCAAATGGCAGTTGCAGCAAAGCAACATCAAGAGCCGGCTTTACACTTAGGAGATAATGCTGCACCTCTTCTTTGTGGTTTTCAGTGCTATACACGTTCAGAGAAACTTCTCTAGTAACAAACTATAGAAATGATCCCTGAAAGTATAGTCTTAAGACTGGCATTCTTCTTAAAGTAAGAGTATAGCAGTGATGAATAAAAAGATGACTAGTCTGTATGCTAGTGCCACTATCCTGATTCATGTTGAAGTGCCAGCAATCTTACCCATCATTGCTTTGCATCACCAGAGCAAATGCTAAAACAGCAAAAAATAGGCAAATAATGTTTTAGAATTATTATAAAATAGTTTTGACCTCCCAGAACCTCCCACCATAACTTCTTCCATTGCCTCGCCACCCATTCAGTCCTTAAACCCTTACAGTCTATTTTCTACTATTATCTTATGATATAGTTGGAATATTTGTCCCTTCCAAATCTCATGTTGAAATGTGATGCCCCAGGTCAGGCATGGTCGCTCACGCCTGTAATCCCAGCAGTTTGGGAGGCCAAGGTGGGTGGATTGCTTGAGGCGAGGAGTTCAAGGCCAGCCTGGCCAACATGGCGAAACCCTGTCTCTACTAAAAATACAAAAATTAGCCGGGCGTGGTGGCATGTGACTGTAATCCCAGCTACTCTGGAGGCTGAGGCATGAGAATAGCTTGAACCCAGGAGGCAGAGATTTCAGTGAGCTGAGATCACGCCACTGCACTACAACCTAGGCAACAGAGCAAGACTCTGTCTCAAAAAAAAAGGAAGAAAGAAAGAGATGTGATGCCCCAATTTTGGAGGTAAGGCCCAGTGGGAGGTGTTTAGGACATGGAGTCAGATCTCTCATGAATGACTTGGCTCTCTCCCCACAGTAACAGTGAGTTCTTGCTCTAGTAGTTCCTCTAAGATGGCATTGTTCGAAAGAGTCTGGTATCACCCTCCCCTGTATCTCTTTTTCCCTCTCTTGTCATGTGACATGCCTGCTCCCCTTCGACTTTTGGCATGATTGGAAGCTTACTGAAGTCCCTGGCCAGAAGCAGATGCTGGCATATGCTTCTTGTACAGTGTGCAGAACCGTGAGCAAGAATAAATCTTTTCTTTATAAATTACCCAGCCTCAAGTATGCCATTATAGCAATACAAAACGAACTAAGACACCTTACTACTGAAACTGCTTTCTATGGTCACTATCATCTTCCTAAACGTCAGGTCCAATGGCGTTTATTCCGACCTCATTTTCTTTTATTTCTCTGAAGCACTGGCCACTGTTGATCATCCTTTTCTCCAAACTCTCTTCTCGTGAATGACCCACACTGTTCTAGTCCTCTTTCATCTCTGGTATTCCTTCTTTTTCGTTTGCTCTGCTTTTTGAAATTTTAATGTAATTAAATTTAATTTTTTAAAGACAGGGATTCACTCTATCACCCAGGCTGGAGTGCCGTGGTGTAATCATGGCTCACTGCAGCCTCAATCTGTGATCCTCCTGTTTCAGCCTCCCATGAAGCTGAGACCACAGGCATGTGCCACCATGCCTGGCTAATTTTTTTTCTTTTCTCACAGAGATAGGGTCTAGCTATGTTGCCCATGCTGGTCTTGAACTCCTGACCTCAAATGATCCTCCCACCTTGGCCTCCCAAAGTGCTGGGATTACAGGTGTGAGCCACCATGCCTAGCAGTGTTTGCTCTACTTTCGACTGCACTCTCCCACCTCCCAACAACATGTAAATGTTTGTGGAATGAACAGGCTTTATTATCCTCCCTTTCCTGCCTCCAAAGATTCAATGGTTCAAGTCCTTCTCACTGAGCATAAATGATTGCTTCCTTTATATGTCTCCTGTATCTGTCCCTTCTTTCCCATTCTCATTGGTACTACTATAGTACAGGCTTTCACCAGTTCATGCTTACACTATGCCTTGATTCTGTTCACTTTTCAATCAATTCTAAACACGATTACAGGTTACTCTTCACTAGGTGCCACCAAACCTCTTCCTAAACACTTTCAATCACCCCAGTACCTTTAGGAAAATATCAAAAGTATTTTTTCAAAGAGGTATATTTGGGCTTTCTCAACCTGGCCCTACTTATTTCTCCAGACTTAGCACTCATTGTGCCCTTGCAAAATACTTTCCTTCAGATAAACTGATCACACTGTTCCTTAAACGTGGCATGCACATTTCTGCCTATATGACTTTGCTCTGCCTGGAATATTCTGTGCCCTCTTCCCCACTTTCCTAAGTCTGTTTCTTCCTTCAAAGTTCAAATCATGCTCTAAATCCTGTGTGTCTTCTACAACCCAGTCCACAATAATCTCCCCACTTTTCTACACTCTTGTAGCACTTGCCTGTACTGGTGTTTTTCAGTCTTTCACATTTTACATACTACTGATCACTCTTTTGATAGGATGGGGGGTGCAAAAAGATCAGAAAGGAATAATAGGGGGAGAGCAGATTCATTTGTACCACACACATTTACATAATATATATTATATGCTACGTACTATGCTAGAAGCTGACAATGCAGATTAATTTTTTTACATTACTACTTTTTTAACTACTAGGAAAGATGGTGAACCAAAGTCCTTGATATAATAGAGAAAGCTGGCTTTCACTTGGCTTGTATCTCCAGGATAGCCTCCATCATAGTCTTTATAGGTAAGCTCATAGCCCCTTCCTCAGTGTGACCCTGTCAGCTTCTACAAGTGGTCCTACTTTAAATAGGGGAGGGAGCAGAAGCAAAACATACGACCCTTGCATCTGCAGATGATGCACACTGCAGAAAGAGGCATTGCCAGTAACCAAGGGAAATGGGGAATTAGGAGAAACACCAAGATCTATAGTTATTTTTACAATTCTAAAAGATTACAGAAGGGTAATCTGGCACTTGCATACACAGAAAAGTATCCTTCACCTTGCAAGTGGATATAGGGATTGAGGAAAAATAAAATGTTAACAATTGTTAGGAAGGTCATGTGACCACTTTAGACAAAGTCTGTGTCCCACCTAACCTAAGTCATTCATTTGGCACTTAATATTTTTCTTTTTCCAGTTTTAGAAAATGTATTCATGACCTATCTCTCAAACTAGCTTATAATTTTCTTAAGGAAAATGACCATATATTACATCTCCACTCACACATAGCACTGAACACTGCATGTAGATCACTTATCTGTACAACTATTATAGTACCCAATTTTTTCTATCTTGCATATGCATCCTTTATCTCACCAATTAAACTATAATCCTTGAGGATAGGATATGTGATTATTTGCATTATTCCACAAAACCTAGCATAGTAGTCTGTTCATAGAAGATATTCCTTGTCTGTTGAATAACTTAATAAATAATAAAGCAATTATCTAACTGGTTAAATGGTAGGTGCCTAGAGAAAGATAAGGCCTCTCAGGAGCTTTATTAGGACAGAGAAAACTCATTATCAAACACCGCTATTAACCGCCATTTTAAAGATGTCTTCTCCCAAGCAAATATCAACAAAACTCATAAACTCTAATGGTGCGAATGTCTTAGAAATGAAAAATTAACTTAGAGCAAAAGGAATTAGCCTTCACCACAACTTCTGAAGATGTCATCACTTATCAAAGTCAAGAATTATATAGTTCTCATTACTGATTATAACAACTAACACTTTTAACCAGCTATATAAAGATGCCATTTAGATATCAACATCCACCACACTGAACAAATGCTACAAGACTTTCTGAAATCATAGGATCTTGGTGTTAAAAGGGACTTAAGGGTCATAGTAGTCAAATTTCCTACCAAATGAAGGAATTCCTTCTGCAATGTATAATTCTTAGGATATTCACACCTTTGCTTACAAATTTCCAGTGAAAACAGATTTAAAATCTTGCAGGAAAGCTATTCCATTATAGGATTACTATCACTGATAAAAGGCTACTCCTTATATTAAGCCAAAATCTGTCTTCCTATAATTTCTACCCATTGTTCTTCATTCCATCCTGTGGAGTTTAATTCCTTTTTAATACAATAGTCCTTAAAATATTCAAAGAGAGCTATCATTCCTACTGTCTTCTTTTTCTGAGACAAACATCACTATATTCTCCAAATATTTTTCATATATTTTGTACACCAACCCAGTGATTTTAAAATGTGATGCCTAGAAGTTATCACAATATTCAAAATGTGAATTAACTACCTAGATGAGGACACTATGTATCTATTAACATAGCCTAGGACTGTGCTAGCTTTTTTTGCAGTTACGTCACATCACTGATTTAAGTTTGAGCTTGTGGACAATTAAAACACATAGGTCTGGCCAGTCGCAGTGGTTCATGCCTGTAATTCCAGCACTTTGGGAGGGCAAGGTGGGAGAATCACTTGAGCCCAGGAGTTCAAGAACAGCCTAGACAACATAGTAAAACCCTCCCTCTACAAAAAAAAAAAAAAAATGTTTATTTAATTAGCCAGGCACAGTGGCATACACCCATAGTCTTACCTACTCGGGAGGTTGAGGGAGGAGGATCCCTTGAGCCCAGGAGGTTGAGGCTGCAGTGAGCTATGATTGGGCCACATTACTCCAGCCTGGGCAACAAAGCAAGATCCTGTCTCTAAAACAACAACAAAAATACCACACATAGGTCTGGCCAGGCATGGTGGCTCACGCCTGTAATCCCAGCACTTTGAGAGGCCAAGGTGAGAGGACTGCTTGAGGCCAGGAGTTTGATACCAGCCTGGGCAACATAGCAAAACCTTGTCTCTACAAAAAAAAGATAAAAATAAATAAATGAGAGAAAATTAAACAAAACCTAAATAAATGAAAAGACATCCCATGTTCATGGATCAGAACACAATATTCTTATGATAACAATATCCCCCAAATTGTTGTATAAATTCAATGCTATCCCTATCAAAATTCCAGCTGGCTTCTGTACACCAATTGAAAAGCTGATCCTAACATTCATATGGAAATGTAAGGGACCCAGAAAAGTCCAAACACTCTTTAAAAAGAACAAAACTGGAGGACTTGCAATTCCCAATTTTGAAACTTACTACATAGCTACAGTAATCAAGACAAGTGTGGTACCAGCATAAGGCTAGATATACAGATAAATGGAATAGAATCAAGAGTCCAGAAGTAAACCCTCCCACTTATGATAAATTGATTTTTGACAAAGGTGCTAAGGTCATTCAATATGGGGAAAGAATAGTCTTCTCAACAAATGGTACTGGGACAATTGAATAGCCACATGCAAAAGAATGAAGTTAGACCACTACTTCACATTATACCTGAAAATTTACGTAAAATGGACCACAGATCTAAGTGTAAGTGCTAAAACTATAAAACCTTTAGATGTAGAGAAGGTGGAGCCCTCATATACTACTGGGGGAAGTGTAATAAAATAGTTCAGCCACTATGGAAAACATTCTGGCAGTTTCTCAAAAGGTTAAACACAGACTTAGAGTTACCATGCTACCCAACAATTCCACCCTTAGTTATATACCAAAGAAAATTAAAAACATACACACACACACACACACACACACACACACACACAGAGTAAATGAATGTTCACATTAGAATTATTCACAATAGACAAAAATTGGAAACCACTCAAATGTTCATCAATAGATGAATGGATAAACAAAACATGGCATATTCATACAGTGAAACATGCAACAACACTGATGAACCCTGAAAACAATTATGCTAAATGAAAGAAGCTAATCACAAAAGACCACTTATTG
Source organism: Homo sapiens (assembly GCF_000001405.40). NCBI lineage: Eukaryota > Metazoa > Chordata > Mammalia > Primates > Hominidae > Homo > Homo sapiens. The sequence goes on from NC_000023.11 coordinate 70,851,892, forward strand.
CATGATTATATTAATATGAAATGTCCAAAATAGGCATATCTATAGAAACAGAAAATAAATTCACGGTTGCTAGAGCTAGGGTCAGAAGCAATGAGGAATGACTGCTAATGCTGATGGGGATGTCTTTTTGGGGTGACAAACATGTTTTAAACTTAGCTTGTGGTGAATATTGCACAATTCTGTGAATATACTAAATTACTGAATTACACAGTGTAAATGGGTGAATTTTATGGTATATGAATTATATCTCAGTAAATATGTCAAAAAATAAAAAAGGGGACTTTTCTTTTTCATTGTTGTTTTGTTTGTTTGTTTTTTGAGACACAGTCTAGCTCTGTCACCCAGGCTGGAGTGCAGTGGCACAATCATAGCTCACTGTCACCTGGGTTCAAGGAATCCTTCTGCCTCAGACTCCCTAGTAGCTGGAACTACAGGTGCACACCACCAAGCCTGGCTAATTTTTCACTTTTATTTTTTGGTAGAGATGGGGGTCTTACTATGCTGCCCAGGTTGGTCACCAATTCCTGGGCTCAAGCAATCTTTCCGCTTCAGGCTCCCAAAGTGCTGGGATTACAGGCACGAGCCACCATGCCCAGCTGGGGATTTTTCATTTCCAGAATTGCGTAATAACAGAAAGCAAACTCATCATAGCTCAAATGCACACCTAAGTGTATGATGGCAAAAGGAGGAAACCCACAAGATAAACAGAGGTAAAGTATAACTTTAAACAGTGTATGATCTCAGCAGACTTTTAGAAAGCATCAATAGACAACTCAGAACAACTGCAAATGAGAAGGCTCTTTTCAGGCAAATATTTTAGGCAGACTGTGAATGTAAGAGAGAGTCACAGAGACAGGTGTTTCAAGTAGGGATTGCTGCCATAAATAAATGACAGATGTTACATGCAGGGGGTGAAAATGATGTTTAGCTGTATATCAGTCTTCTCACCCTTAGCCACCCCATAGATTCCAATCAGCATTAGTAACATCACCTTCAGATATAACAGAGATAAAAAGGTCAAATTAATATCCTATAAAAGGCCAGTGACATCTGACTTTCTTCCAATAGGCTATATATCATCACTTTTACTTTTACATATGGAAAATGCCCCACTGGAAGACCCTGGTGCCCACGATACCTACTGACTCTGCTTGGTAAGAAAGCACTCTGAAGTGGTCACTCTCAACAGTAATCTTCTCCATGGTCAAGTCAGCCTCAGGGGAGCTCCTTTGAATTAATTTGACGTATAATTGCTCCAGACTCTGGAAAATAAACCCACAGTACAATGTAACAATGAGAATAACCACAGATGTTACTACTAATAATTGCCTCAGCTAAAAGTCAATGGTAACTTACGGCCACAGCAGCTTGAAAACATTCATCAGCGATTAGAAAATTTCCAGCATCCAACCATTCTTTTCCTATTCTCATATTCATCTAGAAGAGAGAAATTAGAAAATAATTTTTAAAAATTCATACCTCCCCCAAATTGGTGGGGGAATATTGGAGAAAATATTGAATCCTCTGTCCATATTCAGTCTTATAACTCACAGAAAACAAAAAGCAACAGTTAGCATTTGTTAGAGTTCTGTGTTCTACTTTGAACTCCACAATTTAAAAGAAATGGTCATAAAGACAAAAATAATAGCAAAAATTAATAGACTTAAAAACACATCTTCTGAGGAAATATTAAAAGAAAACGTTGAAGTAACTTAGATAGGAAGAGAAAGTTCTGAAAACTTAATGCTTCACATACTTGAAGAAAGGCATATGATAAGCATTAGACTACTGGGGTTCTAGTTTTTAATTCCATCTGCAATAAAATTTGGATTAATCCAACAAATGTTTATTAAGTACCTTTATATTCCAGTCTCACTGAAGGAGCTCACAGTATTGTAACTGGTAGATATCCCAACATGCACAAAAATGCAAAATGTGGAAACAGCCCTGGATGCGAACAGTAGGAACATCAGGCAATAGGCCTCCCCAAGAAAGGTATCTTCCTCCCTCCTCTCCAGAAAGGAACAGAGAGTACAATTACTTTGGCTGGACAGAAACAGAGTTCTAGGTGGCTGACAACACAGGTTAATGAAAAACATCCAGTCCTACCTCTTCATCAGTCACTGGATTCAGGTTATAGTACACAGTGTGACACAATATTCATAGAAGATCATCACAGAATTTCAAATCAAATATGAGCAAGAATTACCAAACAATTGAGGGAAACCAATGCCATGAAAGGACATCACACTCAACAAACAGAATAACTGAGAAAATAGAATTGAGAGAGCTAGCAGATGGAAACATACAGAGATACCAAATTATAATCCACAGAGTTAAATAATAGTCACAATCAATAACATGCCTTTTCAGTTTTCATTATTAGGGATCAACAAAGCCCAAAATGCAAATGTTAGAGGTGACAGAAGGTGGAAGGTTAAAGGGAAAGAGAGATAGAAAGAATGGAAATATCCTCACAAAGTAGCAAGTAAAGAGATAAACTCCAAATTTGATTTTAAAAAAAAAAGAAAGAAAAGTTTAAATATATGACTTAGGGCTGAGCATGGTGTGGCTCACGCCTGTAATCCTAGCAGTTTGTGAGGCTGAGGTGAAAGGATGACTTCAGGCCAGGAATTCAAGACCGGCCTGAGCAACATAACATAGCAAGACCCTGTCTCTACAAAAAATTTAAAAATTCATTGGGCATGGTGGTGCACACCTGTGGTCTCAGCTATTAGGGAGGCTGAGGCAGGAAGATTGCTTGAGCCTGGGAGGTGAAGGCTGCAGTGAGCCATGATCATGCCACTGCACTCCAGCCTGGGCAACAGGCAAGACCCTGTTTCAAAAAAAAAAAAAAGCATATGTTATTTTAGGCCAGGCGCCGTGGCTCATGCCTGTAATCCCAGCATTTTGGGAGGCCGAGGTGGACGAATTTCTTAAGCTCAGGAGTTCGAGACCAGCCTGGGCAATACGGTGAGACCCCCATCTCTGCTAAAAATACAAAAAATTAGCTGGGCATGGTGGTGCACACCTGTGGTCCCAGCTACTTGGGAGGCTGAGATGAGAGGATTGCTTGAGCCCGGGGTGCCAAGGTTGCAGTGAGCCAAGATCGCGCCATTGCACTCTAGCCTGGGTGACAGAGCAAGACCCTGTCTCAATAAAAAGTATACTTTTGAAATATATACAAAAAATTATATGTGTGTATATAAAAATATATATAATTAAGTTTTAAAAGACAGCCAACAGATAAATTTAAAATAGTATAATATAACTAACAAAAATTGAGAGGGGATGGGGAGGTAACATGATATAATATGAGATAAATCCTCATCCATCATAATAGCAAATAAATAGATCATAAATAAAGCTGATAAATCAATAATTAGTTATTGGCCAGACATGGTGGCTCACGCCTGTAACCCTAGCACTTTGGGAGGCCGAGGCGGGTGGAAAGCCTGAGCTCAGTAGTTTGAGACCAGCCTGGGCAATATGGCAAAACCCCATCTCTACTAAAAATACAAAAAATTAGCTGGGCGTGGTGGTGCATGCCTGTAGCCCCAGCTCCTCAGGAGACTGAGGCACAAGAATCACTTGAGCCCAGAAGGTGGAGGTTGTAGTGAGCTGAGATCATGCCACTGCACTCCAGCTTGGGCGATAGAGTGAGACTCTGTCTCAAAAAAAAAAAAAAGAATTAGTTATTGTTACAAGCAGAATTATGTCCCTTCAAAGTCCTACACTGTAGCCCTAACCTCCAACACCTCAGAATGTAACTGTATTTGCAGATAGGGGCTTTAAGAAGTGATTGCATTAAAATGAGGCCATTAGGGCGGGCCCTAATCTCATCTGACTGGTATCTTTATAACCAGAGGAAATTTGGACACACAAATGGGCACGAAAAATGAGCACACACAGAGGAAAGGCCATGTGAGAGGACACAGCAAGAAGGCGAACATCTGCAAGCCAAGGAAAGAGTACTCAGAAGAAATCAAACTTGCTGACACCTTAATCTTGAACTTCTAGCCTCCAAAACTGTGGGAAAATAAATATCTGTTGTTTAAGCCAACCAACCTGTGATATTGTGTTATGGCAGCCCTAGCAAACCAATACAGTGATACAAGCATATGACTAAGATACATAGAGGGAACCATGAGAGTGAAAACAGAAATGGTTATAGTAATAGCCTTAAAAGTGGCAAAGACATAGGCACAAGGCAATTCATTGCAGCATCCAAATGTCCATCAAGGGAGGCTGGTTGAACATAATAAGGTACATACAGCAATTGAAATACAGCTATTAAAAATAAGGAATATCTCTATATATTTCTATGGAGTAATCCCTAGGATATAATGTTAAACGAGGGGGAAAAAATCAGGTGAAGAAGAGTATATATGGACTGTTACCATTTATCTAAGAAAATGGCGGAATGAGGGGAGATATGAGTATATATTTGTCTGCTTATAAACACATATTTTATATAAATTTTGTACATATATTTTAAAATATTTTATATTTTGAAATATAAAAATACATTATATAATCTCTTACATGAAATGGTGTAATATTTGCATATAACCTATACACATCTTCCCATGTACTATAAATCATCTCTAGATGATTTAATACAATATAAATGCTATGTGAATAGTTGTTATACTGTATTTTTATTTGTATTATTTTTTATTGTATTGTTATCTTTTTAAGACTTTTTTGGTAATATTTTCAATCCATGATTGGTTGAATCCAAGGATTCAGAAACATACTGCCTATAAATTATTCTGACAAAAATCAAACCTGTATCAGAACAAGCTTCTAGATCTAATTATCAGTTTACAGAAAATAAGGGTTAAAGGAAACGATGGACTATTAAGTGACACCATGAAGAAGCACCAGAACCCAGAATTTAGAAAACTCTATAGGACAACCTCATTTCTTCAACAAATAAATCCGTTCAACAGATTTTTTTTTTAAAAAAAAGAGAAGAAAACATGTAGTTTCATTAAAACAGACATATTAACAAAATACAAAGTATGGATTATCTTTGGTCCTGATTTTAAGAAACCAATTGGAGAGGGGGTGGGAGGACTAGATATTTGATTTGGGGAAATCTTTGTTAGGTTTTATCAGGTGTGGTAAAGTGAACTGGGTTTGTTGAATATAAAAATACATTGTCTTGGGGGACGTGGGGAAGCACTGGGACACGATTACAGGGTTGGGCAGGCCCCATCTGGGAGGAGTTCATGGGTGAGTCCTGGGTCTCCTGCCTCCTGAGGAGATGGATAAAGATGGGCTTCCTCTCATGGGAGTCAGGCGTAGACTTGATCAAGGTGCCAGCTATTCAGCAGAAAAGAATGGTGGCTTTTCTAAACCAAAATGTGGTACACACTGTATAGTGCCTCAATCGCTCTTCTACATTTAGTGAGGAGAAACTGGCAAACCTTTATCTTGGTATCCAGCAAATTGAAACAATTCTCAATACTGTAGATGCAAAGTTGTCATCTATACCAGGCCTAGATGATGTCACATTTGAAGTATCTCCTTCAAGTGCCACTAGTGTCACAAATGGATCACATTCTGAAGTCACCTCAGAGTAATCACAGCAGGACAGTACATTAAGACTCTGGACCACAGGAAAGTTAAGTATCAGCAGGAAATATCTTAACTGTAGCTAAAGATTCAAGATATGTCATATATCTCAAAATGGTTCAAGTGAGTGTACCAGTGATGGCAATAAGAAAAATGATATCAGAAGGACTAGACCCAGATCTTCTTGAGAGGTCAGGTGCTCCAGTGCCTGATGGCAAAAGTGAAAATCCTGCAGAACAAAGTTCAGATAGCGAATCTTCTTTTAGTGACTAAGCTTAATTTTGATAAGAATTACATGTGCATGTGTATTGCAAAATTGTGGAACCAACCCAAATGCCCATCAATCAACAAGTGGATAAAAAAACTGTGGTATATATATATAACTGAATACTATGCAGCCATAAAAAGGAAAGAATTAACAGAATTTGCAGTGACCTGGATGAGATTGGAGACTATTATTCTAAGTGAAGTAACTCAGGAATGGAAAATCAAACATCGTATGTTCTCACTGACATGTGGGAGCTAAGCTACGAGGATGCAAAGACATAAAAATGATACAATGGACTTTGGGGATTTGGAGGGAAGAGTGGGAGGGGGGCAAGGGATAAAAGACTACAAATACGATGCCTTGTATACTGCTTGGGTGATGGGTGCACCAAAATCTCACAAATCACCACTAAAGAACTTACTCATGGCCGGATGCAGTGGCTCACACCTGTAATCCCAGCACTTTGGGAGGCCAAGGTAGGTAGATCACGAGGTCAGGAGTTCAAGACCAGCCTGGCCAAGATGGTAAAACTCCGTCTCTACTAAAAATACAAAAATTAGCCGGGTGCAGTGGCCTGTAATCCCAGCTTCTCAGGAGGCTGAGGCAGGAGAATTGCTTGAACCCAGGTGGCAGAGGTTGCAGTGAGCCAAGATCATGCCACTGCACTCCAGCCTGGGCGACAGAGTGAGACTCCATCTCAAGAAAAAAAAAAAAAGAAGAAGAAGAACTTACATAACCAAATACTACCTGTACCCCAATAATTTATGGAAAAAATAGAAAATAAATAAATAAATAAATGTGTAGGGGTACATTTACATTCTATAAGAGATTGAACTCTCTTAGTCATAAAAACATCAAATGGCCACATATACACCACCAAGCATCCTCTATGTTTAAAAAAATTAAGCATTTACAAGCTGAAAAAAAATACATTGTCTTTTAGAAACACACACTGAAATATTTATGGGCAAAATTATACATGTTGAATTTGCTTGAAAATAATCCAGTGGGTTGGCCAGGCGCGGTGGCTCATGCCTGTAATCCCAGAACTTTGGGAAGCCAAGGTGGGCGGATCACCTGAGCTCAGGAGTTCGTGACCAGCCTGGCCAACATGGTGAAACCCCATCTCTACTAAAAATACAAAAATTAGCTGGGTGTGGTGGTGGGCGCCTGTAATTCCAGCTACTCGGGAGGCTGAGGCAGGAGAATCACTTGAACCCAGGACGCAGGGGTTACAGTGAGCTGAGATCGTGCCACTGCACTCCAGCCTGAGTGACAGAGCGAGACTCTATCTCAAAAAAATAAAAAATAATAAAAATAATCCAGTGGGGCCAGGAGTTTGCTATTTGAGGAGATATAGAAGAAACAAGAGTGGCCATGAGTTGATGATTACTCTAACTGAGTGATGGGTAAATGGAGGGAATCATTGTACTGTCTTACCTTTTTTATATATGTTTGAGCTTTTTTACATAATAAAATATTTTAAAACACTGGGAAAAATATTTTTCCACTAAAAAAATGTATTTGCCTCTAAGGAGCAAGAGAACAGATAGGGCTGGGTGTGGTGGCTCACTCCTGTAATCCCAGCACTTTGGGAGGCCGGGGCGGGTGGATCACTTGAGGTCAGGAGTTCAAGACCAGCCTGGCCAACATGGTGAAACCCTGTCTCTACTTAAAAAAAAAAAAAAAATTAGCTGGGCATGGTGGCAAACACCTGTAATCCCAGTTACTCGGGAAGCTGAGGCAGGAGAACTGCTTGAACCTGAGAGGTGGAGGCTGCAGTGAGCCGAGAACACACCACTGCACTCCAGCCTGGGCAACAGAGTGAGATCCTGTCCAAAAAAAAAAAAAAAAAAAAAGAGAGAACAGATAGATGGAGCAGAAAATCACTTTTTATTACTTTAATTACTTTTCTGAACAATTTAATTTTACATAAACATACATTTGTATTTTGGGGGGTGGAAATAAATGTTTAAAAAATTAATCTTTTAGGCCAGGCGCAGTGGCTCATGCCTGTAATCCCAGCACTTTGGGAGGCCAAGGTGAGCAGATCACCTGAGATCAGGAGTTCAAGACCAGCCTGACCAACATGGTGAAACCCTGTCTCTACTAAAAATACAAAAATTAGCTAGGTGTGGTGGCGCATGCCTGTAATCCCAGCTACTCAGGAGGCTGAGGCAGGAGAATTGCTTGAACCCAGGAGATGGAGGTTGCAGCGAGCCCAGATCACACCACTGCATTCCAGCCAGGGTGACTCCCTCTCAAAATAAAAATTATAAGGAAAAAATCTTTTAAATAACAGAAATGCAAGAGGAAGACTTCCACTTTCAGCCATGATGGAATAGCTCAATTCAAACTGACTGTCCCACTCTAAACAACCCTAAAAGCTGGACAAAATATAACTGTGTGAAGGCATTGGAGTGGCTACAATCTTTGAAAGAAGGAAAACACACAAGGTGAACCCTGCATTCAACTCAGTTTTATCATATTATATATGATACAGGATTTATCAGACTGTTGTCATAGCATTTTACATGGACAAATTCTACCACTATGTATTTACACATATATTTTATAGTTTACAAAGCATTTTTCACAAAAACTCTAATTTTAACTCTATAACACTCTAAGGTAGATATTACTATTTTCATCTTACAAAAGAGAAAACTAAGTAATCTTCCAATGTCACATAGCTAGTAAGCGGCAGACCTAACCTAGGTCTTGAGACTTCAAATCCTGTACCCTTTTCCTTATTTACTTAGTGCTTCAAATTTTTCATTTGAAAAACTCATTTAGAACTAAGTATTACCATTCCCTTAGATGAAGAAACAGTTACTCTATCAAGTTAGAGATGAGAAAAGTAAAAAATAAATCATCAACCCAGAATTATAAGTTCAGTATTTGGTTCACTGAACCACCGTAATTACTACAGTATTCTGAGAACTTTAGCGTAGTAAATATACCATTATAAAAGGAACACTGAAAAGGAACACCATCAAAAAAGGATAGCACTAAAAGATTCAACCCCCTTCCAGTTTCACACTAACTTTACCATTTTCATAGAAGTAACAACCATCTCATTTCATCTCCACTTTCTCCTAAATTAAGACTTACCATAATCAGTCGTTGAATACTTTGTTCTGAGGCAAATGAGGCTTCACACATACTCAGCAACTTGCAAGCAACATAATGTACTGCAAAACAGTAATTAGACAATGATAAACACAAAACATTCATTCTCCTTTTATATACACCAAAGAGAAAAGACAATTGAAGGAAGCCAGTTTTGTTGTTATTAAAAATAAAAATTGTAAAGGCCTTTTTTTTTTTTTTTTTTGAGACGGAGTCTCGCTCTGTCGCCCAGGCTGGAGTGCAGTGGCGGGATCTCGGCTCACTGCAAGCTCCGCCTCCCGGGTTCACGCCATTCTCCTGCCTCAGCCTCCCAAGTAGCTGGGACTACAGGCGCCCGCCACTACGCCCGGCTAATTTTTTGTATTTTTAGTAGAGACGGGGTTTCACCGTTTTAGCCGGGATGGTCTCGATCTCCTGACCTCGTGATCCGCCCGCCTCGGCCTCCCAAAGTGCTGGGATTACAGGCGTGAGCCACTGCGCCCGGCCTGTAAAGGACTTTTTAAAAAATCAATTTTCAAAAGTAAATGACCTAAAACTTATTAAATGAATCATTTACTGAATGTTTCAGTAAGAGATTTATTTATTTATTTATTTATTTATTTATTTTTGAGATGGAGTCTCACTCTGTCGCCCAGGATGGAGTGCAGTGACGCATGATCTTGGCTCACTACAGCCTCCACCTCCCAGGTTCCAGTGATTCCCCTGCCTCAGCCTCCCGAGTAGCTGGGATTACAGGCATGCGCCACCACGCCCAGCTAATTTTTGTATTTTTAGTAGAGACGGGGACTCACCACGTTGACCAGGCTGGTCTTGAACTCCTGACCTCAGGTGATCCACCAGCCTCGGCTTCCCAAAGTGCTGGGATTACAGGTGTGAGCCACCACAACCGGCCCAGAGAGATATTTAATACTTAAATTTTAATTTCTTAAGGTCTTAAGTCCCAAAGACTCACTAAAAATACCTGATTCCACATGATGCTCTTGTGTATACCATGTTAACAGAAAAATAATTGTAAATTCAATTGATCTAAAGCTGTTCAACATCTGACAAAATCTCTGGACATCAGAATAGTTTTCGATTTCTCTCCTAAAATGTGAAACTTTCTAAATATATATATATTTTTTTCTGTAGAGAGGGGGTCTCGCTCTGTCACTCACCCAAGCTAGAATACAGTGGCATGATCATAGCTCACTGCAGCCTCAAATTCCTGGGCTCAAGCAATCCTCCCAACCTCAGCCTCCCAAAGTGCTGGGATTATAGGTGTGAGCCACCACACCTGGCCTAAACATATTCTTTTCTGTAGATGTCATAACAGTTCTTAAAGTATAATTTAGAAGATACAGACTACTTCATTATATAACTCATTTTCCCTGAAAATAGGGAAGTTTGAATAATTATAACCTCTTTATTTCTCTAGTTTATTTCAGCATAAAACATATTCAAGTTTTAAAAAACAGCTTCACAAATAAATGAACTAGTCACCTTTATGTTAGATGTCAGCAGCCATTCTACCTATGCTAACACCACTTCTAATTAATAGTCCTTTGAAAAAGAGATTTGTCTAGCGGAAATTACAGGGTAATTGAAATGGTCAGATTTTTATTGCCCATCATAAAGTGTAAAATTTATTCATCACTTAACAAAATTAATTCATTCTAAAAAACACTTTTGGTAAAATAATTACTAATCATATATTTATACTGACTTGAATTTCCAGTTCTGAAAATTTTTGAAAATGTTTCTTTTTGGCTGGGCATGGTGGCTCACACCTGTAACCCCAACACTTTAAGAGGCTGAGGTGGGTAAATCACCTGAGCTCAGGAGTTCAAGACCAGCCTGACCAACATGGTGTAACCACATCTCTAGTAAAAATACAAAAAAAAAAAAAAAATTAGCTGGGAGTGGTGGTGCATACCTGTAATCCCAGCTACTAGAGAGACTGAGGCAGGAAAGTCTCTTCAACCTGGGAGGCGGAAGTTGCAGTGAGTTGAGATCATGCCATTGCATTCCAGCCTGGGCAATAAGAACACAACTCCAACTCAAAAAAAAAAAAAAAGAAGAGGGGAAGTTCGGACTGGGCAGAACTCAACACAGTGCGACAAAGCGGCTGTGGCCAGACTGCCTCTCTAGATTCCTCCTCACTGGGCAGGGCATCTCTGAAAGAAAGGTAGCAGCCCCAGTCATGGGCTTATAGATACAACTCCCATCACCCTGGGAGAGAGCACCTGGGGGAAGGGGCGTCTGTGGGCACAGCTTCAGTGAACTTAAACTTTCCTGCCTGCCGGCTCTGAAGAGAGCAGCTGATCCTAACAAGGAGGATCCTCCCAGCACAGCACTCAAGCTCTGACAAGGGACAGACTCTGCCTCCTCAAGTGGGTCCCTGACCCCCGTGCCTCCTGACTGGGAGAGACCTCCCAACAGGGGTCGAGAAAAACCTCATACAGAAAAGCTCCAGCTGGCATTAGGCTGGTGCCCCGCTGGGACAAAGTTTCCAGAGGAAGGAGCAGGCAGCAATCTTTGCTGTTCTGCAGCCTCCACTAGTGATAACCAGGTGAACAGGGTCTGGAGTGGACCTCCAGCAAACTGCAGCAGACCTGCAGAAGAGGGGCCTGACTCTTAGAAGAAAAACTAACAAATGGAAAGCAACAACATCAACATCAACAAAAAGGACCCCCACACAAAAACCCCATCCAAAGATCATCAGCCTCAAAGATCAAAAAGGTAGATAAATCCACGAAGATGAGGAAAAACCAGTGCAAAAATGCTGAAAATTCCAAAAACCAGAATGCCTCTTCCCCTCAAAATGATCGCAACTCCTCTCCAGCAAGGGCACAAAACTGCACAGAGAATGAGTTTGACAAATTGACAGAAGTAGGCTCCAGAAGGTGGGTATAACAAATTCCTCTGAGCTAAAGGAGCATGTTCTACCCAATGCAAGGAAGCTAAGAACCTTGATAAAAGGTTACAGGAACTGCTAACTAGAATAACCAGTTTAGAGAGGAGCATAAATTAACTGATGAGCTGAAAAACAGCAGGAGAACTTCGTGAAGCATACACACGTATCAACAGCCAAATCAATCAAGCGAAGAAAGGATGTCAGAGATTGAAGACCGTTGAAGACCAACTTACTGAAATAAGGCGTGAAGACAAGATGAGAGAAAAAAGAGTGAAAAGGAACAAACAAAGCCTCCAAGAAATATGGGACTATGTGAAAAGACCAAACGTATGATTGATTGGTGTACCTGAAAGTGACAGGGAGAATGGAACCCAGCTGAAAAACACAATTCAGGATATTATCCAGGAGAACTTCCCCAACCTGGCAAGGCAAGCCAACATTCAACTTCAGGAAATATGGAGAACACCACTAAGATACTCCTCAAGAAGAGCAACCCCAAGACACATAATCATCAGATTCTCCAAGGTTGAAATGAAAGAAAACATATTAAGGGCAGCCAGAGAGAAAGGTCAGGTTACCCACAAAGGGAAGCCCATCAGAATAACAGTGGATCTCTCTGCAGAAATCCTACAAGCCAGAAGACAGTGGGGGCCAATATTCAACATTTTTAAAGAAAAGAATTTTCAGCGGGGTGCAGTGGCTCACACCTGTAATCCCAGCACTTTGGGAGGCCGAGGTGGGCGGATCACAAGGTCAGGAGTTCGAGACCAGCCTGGCGAATACAGTGAAACCCTTTCTATACTAAAAATACAAAAAAAAAAATTAGCTGGGCATGGTGGCACACACCTGTAGTCTCAGCTACTCGGGAGGCTGAGGCAGAAGAATCACTCAAACCCGGGAGGCAGGGGTTGCAGTGAGCCGAGATCATGCCACTGCACTCCAGCCTGGGTGACAGAGCGAGATGCCATCTCAAAAAAAAAAAAAAAAAAGAAAAGAAAAGAATTTTCAACCCAGAATTTCATATCCAGCCAAAATAAGCTTCACGAGCAAAAGAGATTTCCAAACAAGCAAATGCTGTTGGATTTTGTGACCACCAGGCCTGCCTTACAAGAGCTCCTGAAGGAAGCACTAAATATGGAAAGAAAAAACCGGTAACAGCCGCGGCAAAAACATACCAAAATATAAAGACCAATGGCACTATGAAGAAACTGCATCAATTAACGAGCAAAATAACCAGCTAGCATCATGATGACAGGATGAAATTCACACATAACAATATTAACCTTAAATGTAAATGGGCTAAATGCTCCAATTAAAAGACACAGACCGGCAAATTGGATAACGAGTCAAGACCCATCAGTGTGCTGTATTCAGGAGAACCATCTCACACACAGAGACACACATAGGCTCAAAATAAACGGATGGAGGAAGATCTACCAAGCAAATGGAAAACAAAAAAAGCAGGGGTTGCAATCCTAGTCTGATAAAACACACTTTAAACCAACAAAGATCAAAAGAGACAAAGAAGGGCATTACATAATGGTAAAGGGATCAATTCAACAAGAAGAGCTAACTATCCTAAATATATATGCACCCAATACAGGGGCACCCAGATTCATAAAGCAAGTTCTTAGAGACCTACAAAGAGACTTAAACTCCCACACAATAATAGCGGGAGATTTTAACACCCCACTGTCAATATTAGACAGATCAACGAGACAGAAAATTAACAAGGATATTCAGGACTTGAACTCAGCTCTGGAGAAAGCAGACCTAATAGACATCTACAGAACTCTCCACCTCAAATCAACAGAATATACATTCTTCTCAGCACCATATAGCACTTATTCTAAAATCGACCACATAATTGGAAGTAAAACACTCCTCAGCAAATGCAAAAGAACGGAAATCAAAACAGTCTCTCAGAACACAGTGCAATCAAATTAGAACTCAGGATTAAGAAACTCACTCAAAACCGCACAACTACATGGAAATTGAACAACCTGTTCCTGAATGACTACTGGGTAAATAACGAAATTAAGGCAGAAATAGTGAAGTTCTTTGAAACCAATGAGAACAAAGAGACAACATACCAGAATCTCTGGGACACAGCTAAAGCAGTGTTAAGTGGGAAATTTACAGCACTAAATGCCCACATCGGAAAGCTGGAAAGATCTGAAATCAACACCCGAACATCACAATTAAAAGAACTAGAGAAGCAAGAGCAAACAAATTCAAAAGCCACCAGAAGACAAGAAATAACTAAGATCAGAGCAGAACTGAAGGAGATAGAGACACAAAAAACCCTTCAAAAAAATCAATGAATCCAGGAGCTGATTTTCTGAAAAGATTAAGCAAATAGATACACCGCTAACCAGATTAATAAAGTAGAAAAGAGAGAAGAATCAATTAGACAGTAAAAATGATAAAGGGGCTATCACCACTGATCCCACAGAAATACAGACTACCATCAGAGAATACTATAAACACCTATACACAAATAAACTAGAAAATCTAGAAGAAATGGATAAATTCCTGGATGCATACACTCTCCCAAGACAAAACCAGAAGATGTCGAATCCCTGAATAGACCACTAACAAGTTCTGAAATTGAGACAGTAATTAATAGCCTACCAACCAAAAAAAAAAAAAAATCCCAGGACCAGACAGATTCACAGCTGAATCCTACCAGAGGTACAAAGAGGGGCTGGTACCATTCCTTCTGAAACTATTCCAATCAATAGAAAAAAAGGGACTCCTCCCTAACTGATTTTATGAGGCCAGCATCATCCTGATACCAAAACCTGGCAGAGACACAACAGAAAAGAAAATTTCAGGCCAATATCCCTGATGAACATCAATGCGAAAATCCTCAATAAAATACTGGCAAATCGAATCCAGCAGCACATCAAAAAGCTTATCTACCACGATCAAGTCAGCTTCATCCCTGGGATGCAAGGCTGGTTCAACATAGGCAAATCAGTAAACGTAATCCGTCGCATAAACAGAACCAATGACAAAAACCACATGATTATCTCAATAGATGCAGAAAAGGCCTTCAATAAAATTCAAAACCATTTCATGCTAAAAACTCTCATATCTCAAAATAATAAGAGCTATTTATGACAAACCCATAGCCAATATCATACTGAATGGGCAAAAGCTGGAAGCTTTCCTGTGGAAAACTGGCACAAGACAAGGATGCCCTCTCTCACTACTCCCATTCAACACAGTATTGAAAGTTCTGGCCAGGGCAATCAGGCAAGAGAAAGAAATAAAGCGTATTCAATTAGGAAGAGTGGAAGTCAAATTGTCTGTGTTTGCAGATGACATAATTGTATATTTAGACAATACCATCATCCCAGCCCAAAAACTCCTTAAGCTGATAAGCAACTTCAGCAAAGTCTCAGGATACAAAATCAATATGTAAAAATCACAAGCATTCCCATACACCAATAATAGACAAGCAGACAGCCAAATCATGAGTGAACTCCCATTCACAACTGCTACACAGAGAATAAAATACCTAGGAATGCAACTTACAAGGAATGTGAAGGATCTCTTCAAGGAGAACTACAAACCACTGCTCAAGGAAATAAGAGAGGACACAAACAAATGGAAAAAAATTCCATGCTCATGGATAGGAAAGATTAATATCATGAAAATGGCCATACTGCCCAAAGTAATTTATAGATTCAATGCTATTCCCATCAAGCTACCACTGACTTTCTTCACAGAACTAGAAAAAACTACTTTAAATTTCATATGGAACCAAAAAAGAGCCCGTGTAGCCAAGACAATCCTAAGCAAAAAGAACAAAACTGGAGGCATCACACTACCTGACTTCAAACTATACTACAAGGCTACAGTAACCAAAACAGCATGATACTGGTACCAAAACAAATATATATACACCAATGGAACAGAACAGAGGCTTCAGAAATAACACCACCCATCTACAACCATTCGATCTTCAACAAACTTGACAAAAAAAAAGCAATGGGGGAAGGATTCCCTATTTAATAAATGTGTTGGGAAAACTGGCTAGCCATATGCAGAAAACAGAAACTGGATTCTTTCCTTACACCTTATAAAAAAATTAACTCAACATGGATTAAAGACTTAAACATAAGACCTAAAACCATAAAAACCCTAGAAGAAAATGTAGGCAATACCATTCAAGACATGGGCATGGGCAAAGACTTCATGACTAAAACACCAAAAGCAATTGCAGCAAAAGCCAAAATTGAAAAATGGGATCTAATTAAACTAAAGAGCTTCTGCACAGGAAAAGAAACTATCGTCAGGGTGAACAGGCAACCTACAGAATGGGAGAAAATTTTTGCCATCTATCCGTCTGACAAAGGTCTAATATCCAGAATCTACAAGGAACTTAAACAAATTTACAAGAAAAAAACAAACAACCCCATCAAAAAGTAGGCGAAGGATATGAACAGCCACTTCTCAAAAGAAGACATTTTTGAGGCCAAAAAAACATATTAAAAAAGCTCATCATCACTGGTCATTAGAGAAATGCAAATGAAAACCACAATGAGGTACCATCTCACTCCAGTTAGAATGCTGATCATTAAAAAGTCAGAAACAAGAGATGCTGGTGAGGATGCGGAGAAATAGGAACGCTTTTACACTGTTGGTGGGAGTGTAAATTAGTTCAACCATTGTAGAAGACAATGTGGCGATTCCTCTGGTTTCTAGAACCAGAAATACCATTTTGACCCAGCAATCCCATTACTGAGTATACACCCAAAGGATTATAAATCATTCTTCTATAAAGACACAGGCACACGCATGTTTATTGCAGCACTATTTACAATAGCAAAGACTTGGAACCAACCCAAATGCTCATCAATGATAGACTGGATAAAGAAAATGTGGCACATATACACCATGGAATACTATGCAGACATACAAAAGAATGAGTGCATGTCCTTTGCGGGGACATGGATGAAACTGGAAACCATCACTGTCAGCAAACTAACACAGGAACAGAAAACCAAACACTAAATGTTCTCACTCATAAGTGGGAGTTGAACAATGAGAACACATGGACAAGGGAGGGGAACATCACATACCCGGGCCTGTCAGCGGGTGGGGGCAAAGGGAGGGAGAGCATTAGGACGCATACCTAATGCATGCGGGGCTTAAAACCTAGATGACAGGTTGATAGGTGCAGCAAATCACCATGGCACATGTATACCTATGTAACAAGCCTGCGTGTTCTGCACACATATCCCAGAACTTAAAGTAAAATAAAATAAAATAAAATAAAATAAAATAAAATAAAATAAAATAAAATAAAATAAAATAAAATAAAATAAAATAAAACAAAATAAAATAAAGAAAAGAAAAAGAAAATGTTTCCTTTCTTTATTCCAAAGTTCCAAAGTTTGCTAATCCTTCAGTATTTTCAAAGACTCTGATCTCTCAATTATTGCCCCTTTCTAAAAGTATCTTGAGTACCTCCCTCTCAACTTATTCCTTCTTCTCTACCTTCAAACGTACCCATCTCCTTACCTTGAAAAAAAAAATCAACTAACCCCACTATGCTTCAAGCTTGCATCCCATTTCTCCTCTTCCTTTGATTGACAAGCTTCTTGAATTGAAAAGTCTGTCTACTAGCTCTACTGTCTTGCTACCCACTCATCTCCTTAAATGTCCACAATCTGTTTTGCATCCTTACCACTTTACTAAAACTGCACTCCCAAAGATCACCTTCCTTAACTTCATAGCAACATTTCAAAATGGCCATAACCTTTTTGAAAAATATTACTCCCTTGGAGTTTCAGACCAGCCTAAGCAACATGGCAAAACCTGTATCTACAAAAAATACAAAAATTAGTAAGGTGTGATGCCACATGCCTTGTAGTCCCAGCTACTCGGGAAGCTGAGGTAGGAGGTTGACCTGAGCCCAGGAGGCAGGGGTTGCAGTGAGTCAATATTGCACCACTGCACTCCAACCTGGGTGACAGAGCCAGATCCTGTCTCAAAAAAAAAAAAATTACCCTCTTGGCCTGAAATATCCTGGTCCTTGTGTGGGAAATATCTTAGTCTAAGAACTTTGTCTGCTCCAATCCTGACATTCATAATCCAGCTGTTTATAGTTATCACCAATAAGTCTTCAAGCCAAAGGCAGCTGAGGCTGAAACAGAATGCTACTTCCATATAAAGATGTTTTCTTTGTTGCTGTTGCTCCATCTTGTCTTCTCACCAGCCTGTTCTTGACCTCTCTATATTATAAACATCTTGGTTACATAATTGGTGACTGATACCTTTGAACATCCGCTTTACTCTGCTCTACCCACAGCCTGAAATTGAATTGACTTTAGATAAACACGGGGTTATACCCTCTGACATTTATAAATTTTTAAATTATTGTTTATCTAGCTTTAAACTATTCCTTCCGAAATCCTCAAGCATAATTTAAGATTGGTATCTTTGTTCTGGTATCTTACCTTTTCCCTTTCATTTACTATGTACCATAACATGGTACGAGAACCCTATACGGAGAATGCACTCAATAAATGACTAATAAATATCCTGTAGAATTTTTTTTTGTTTTTATGAGAGGGAGTCTTGCTCTGTTGCCCAGGCTGGAGTGCAGTGGCGCAATCTCGGCTCGCTGCAAGCTCTGCCTCCTGGGTTCACGCCATTCTCCTGCCTCGGCCTCCTGAGCAGCTGGGACCACAGGAGCCCACCACCACGCATGGCTAATTTTTCATATTTTTAGTAGAGACGGAGTTTCACTGTGTTAGTCAGGATGGTCTCAATCTCCTGACCTCGTGATCCACCTGCTTCAGCCTCCCAAAGTGCTGGGATTACAGGCGTGAGCCACTGTGCCTGGCCAATCTCCTGTAGAATTTTTTGACTGTTCCTTTTGGTCATCTATCCCTATTCTTTTTATTTTAACTTTGAAGCTGGTAGATTCAGAGTTAAAATCTCACTACTTTGTTCTTCTCTCAATACCACTGATTCTTAAATTTTGGTGTGCATGAGAATTCCTGAGACATTTTTTCAAATTATAGACATGCCCAGGTTTCATCCTGAACCTAAATGAATCAAAACCACCAATGGAAGGGCCTGGGCATCTGTATTTTTCACAGGCTTCACAGGTGATTCTGATTTTTTGGGGGGAGGGGGAGGGACGGAGTTTCACTCTTGTCGCCCAGGATGGAGTGCAATGGTGCGATCTCAGCTCACTGCAACCTCCACCTCCAGGGTTCAAGCGATTCTCCTGCTTCAGCCTCCCAAGTAGCTGGGATTACAAGCACACACCACCATGCCCGACTAATTTTTGTATTTTTAATAGAGACGGGGTTTCACTACGTTGGCCAGGCTGGTCTTGAACTCCTGATCTCAGGTGATCCACTCACCTAGGCCTCCCAAAGTGCTGGGATTATAGGCGTGAGCCACCGCTACCAGCCTGATTCTGATTTATACCAATATTTAAGAACCACTGCTCTTTATTTTTTTCCTCAAAGAACTCAACTACTCTTCTGTCTTCAACTACCACCTCTGTGTAAATCATTGCCAAATCTGTAGGCTCAGTCCTGACCTTTCTCATAAGCTCTAGTCTCACATCTCCAACCTTATTGTCATCTCAAATGCAACAGGTCTAAAACTAAAACTTACAAGTCATTCATCTACTTCTGACTTTCCTGTTCATTGTTCCATAATTCCTCCAAATAATAAAGAATTATAGCTTATAAATCTTCATGACTTATTTCATCACATCCAGGCACACTAAATTTGTTTTTAAGGAAACAAAATATATTCCAATAAACATATTTTTGAAACAAAATTATTTTAATTTGGAGGCCTCCTGCGCTGATAATCTATTCTCCACTGTATCAAAAAAAGTATGATACACATAACAAGCACCCAAATATCTGATTAAGAACTGCTACGTGAAATGAGACAGTACATGGGACTCTCTTCTTTACTGTCTCTTGTCCCCTCTCTTATCCTTCCCTTTTCTTCTCTTATCTCTTGCTTTTCCCTCTTCTTCTCTCCCCTCTTGCCTTTCTCCTCTTCTTGCTTCCCCCTTTTTTCTCCACTTTCCCCACCCATTTAGTATTTTTCCTCTTACAGCACCCCCCCTTTTTTTTAACAGTCTCTTTTCTCTTCCCTAGCTCTCTCATCTCCCTGGCCCTAACCCCATCAACACTGTGTGGTTCTGCCCTCACCCCTTGCCGTCCCTTAAAAAAAAAAAAGAAAAAGAAAAAAAGAAATGAGACAGTACATGGGAAGAGGCTGTGACACCCACTTCATCTACCATATCCCTATCTGATAAGCAGTAAACAGCTAAAGCAATACTTCCTCATATGCAGAATGGTAGGAGTTAAGAATTAACGCACTTTAATATCACACGGTTCACCTGTGTACTAAGTTTCTTCCACTGATAAATTCCTAGCTCTTACCTCCCCATAACTACAGGATCTGAGGCTCCTGGGAGCAATGATATCAATTTATCTAAGAGTTAAAGAGCTAGAACTGTTCTCTAAACATGCTAATAGAGTGGACTCATGAGCAAGTATATTCTTGATTATATTAAGCACAATTACCCTATATCTACACGGAAGTTGTATACAGTTTTGTTCATATTCACAAAGATAAATAGTTAGTAGTAAATTATATTTGTTGCATACAGACAAAAGTCATTTGTCTTTACAATGTCAAGCAGTCCAGAGGTTCACCCTTTGGTATGTTACTTCAATGTATCCTTTATAATTGGCAATATACTTCCCATAAATGCATTTGCTGTCACTATGCCTGTTGAAAATCACTAACTGTCAGCACACTAGACTTTGCCCATTTAGCTAAAGCACTAGAACATTGCCAGACAGTGGACCACATTCAAAGCATCCAAGAAGATGAGTTTAGTTTGAGATTTTTGGTTTTTTTGTTCTTGTTGTTTGCTCTCACAGGTAGAAATCATTTCTATAGTTTCTCAGTAACTCATTCCAATGTTTATCAATCCATCTCCTGAGGAAACTATTCTTTACACTTTTTAAAATCTGAATATGTCATATGGCAACACTTATTCTATTATTAATAGAGGGGAAACTACTATTTGATGGTCCTTCAGAACCCTGAAGATTTTGATCATCTCCATGAGAAATAATCCATGTCCTTTAACATTTCTTTAAGTTCTCACTGTCCCACCTTTTAATCATCTTTGTTGTTCACCTCCTGACTATTTCTTGCAGTGATATCTTTAAACGTTTGTTAATAAGGAGCTAACCTCTGAAAAAAAAATCATAAAACTGAGGGAGGCCATTTGCTTGAGAAACCATTGTTCCTGGGTTGTTTTGTTTGTCTTTTAACAAATCTCTATCTAAGAATGGGTCAAAACATTATTTAAACTGCAGGAATACTACCCAATATATAGTAAGAACACGCCTCATAATACATGTCACAATATGTATACATACATCTAATTTTCTGCTCTTCATTTACAAGCCAACCTCCTCCTATGGTAAGTGCCCAGTTCCATAGGTTTACTGCCATTTCTTCAATCTGGTCAAAGAGAAACATTTCCTTAGTTAGTTAAAATACTGGCCACCTCCAACGGTATTTTCATTCTTGAATGTTGTATGCTTATGTAACTATTGTGGGTCATTTCCAGGCCCTCCATAATCTAGTCGCATTCTACCTCTCCCCGCAAAAACTTACCCACTGTTAGAGTAATTATCTATTTCCTGAACACAACTTGTTCATTCCTATCAATGTGTCTTTATTCATACTATTGATATACCTTCACCTGATATACCTCCTCCCTTTGTTTTTATGTAACTCAAATCCATTTCAGTCTCACCAACAACATAAATGAAGCTTTCAGCAACCATTACAGTCTACGTTGTTCTTTCTTCTTTGAATTCATATATTCATTAAGTTGTATACAATTTGGCAATTAATTATATTACTTTGTATCATTTATTCTTTGTTTTATTTCTTTTCTTTAACCCAATTTATGCACAGCAGTGGTACAAAATGTATGTTAGTTTTAAGTCTTTTCTTCCATGCCACTTTTCTCACTTACCATTTCACATTTTTCTGATGAGCTTCAGTTTAAACAGATGATTTATTTAACATGTGATATAGTTTGGATATTTTTCCCCTGAGAATCTCATATCAAAATTTGATCCCCAATGTTGGATGTGGGGCTGATGGGAGGTACTTGGGTCACGGGGATGGATCCCTCATTGTCTTGGTGCTGTCCTCACAGTAATGAGTGAGTTCTCAGTCTATTAGTTACTGCAAGATCTGATTCTTAAAAAAGAGCCTGGTACCTCCTCCTTTCTCTTTCCTCCTCTCTCATCATGTGATGCCTGCTCCCTTTCCCCTTCCAACATGATTGGAAACTTCCAGAGGCCCTCACTGGAAGCAGATGCCAGTGCCATGCTTCTTATATGATCTGCAGAACCATGAGCCAAATAAACTTCTTTTCCTTATCAATTACCCAGCCTCAGGTATTTCCTTTATAGCAATGCAAACAGCCTAATGCAGCATGGTTGTCATTTCACTTATTATTCTGGGGCTAATTATCATGTCCATCTCCATCACATAGTATCCTCAATGCCACAGTTGATCAAATGATGACTTCCTTTTTTTTTTTTTTTTTTTTTTTGGAGACAGAGTCTCATTTTGTTGCCCAAGCTGGAGTGCAATGGCGTGATCTCGGCTCACTGCAACCACCACCTCCCGGGTTCAAGTGATTCTCCCACCTCAGCCTCCCAAGTAGCTGGGATTACAGGCACCCACCATAATGCCTGGCTAATTTTTGTATTTTTACTTGAGATGGGGTTTCACCATGTAGGCCAGACTGGTCTCGAACTCCTGACCTCAGGTGATCCGCCCGCCTCAACCTCCCAAAGTGCTGGGATTACAGGCATGAGCCACCACACCCGGCTGACTTTCATACTAAGTATTATTTCATTTGTATCACTAAAAACACATGGAGTTAATAACTGCACTCCAAATTACCCAGAAGAACAAATGATTTGACATATTATGATGGGAAATGAGCATCCAGACTAAATAGCTTAAAGAAGCTACTTGTTTGGCATTTTGGAAAGCAATTTGGCAACATATAAAAATGTTCGCCTGGGTGCGGTGGCTCACACCTGTAATCCCAGCACTTTGGGAGGCCGAGGCGGTCGGATTGCCTGAGGTCAGGTGTTCGAGACCAGCCTGGCCAACATGGTCAAACCCTGTCTCTACTAAAATATACAAAAATTAGTCGTGCGTGGTGGCAGGTGCCTGTAATCCCAGCTACTCGGGAGGCTGAGGCATGAGAATCACTTGACCCCAGGAGGCGGAGGTTGCAGTGAGCCAAGATCATGCCACTGTACTCCAGCCTGGGCGAGACAGAGCGAGACTCTGTCTCAATAAAAATAAATAAATGAGTAAATAAATAAATAAACAAATAAAGTTCATATCTTTTGTCCCAATAGTTGCACTTTTGAGACTTTATCCTAAGAAATAGATGAAAATGTGTGGGGGGATAATCTTTGCACTTAATAGTGTTCTTCATATCATTATTTATAATAGTGAAAAATGAGGAACAATATGAGAAACAATATAAATATCCAATAATAAAGAAATAGGTGAATTATGATAACCTTCCTTGATGGAATAGTATTCATCCATTTAAAATAGTGGTCATGGCCAGACATGGTGGCTCACGCCTGTAATCCCAGCACTCTGGGAGGCCGAGGCAGGTGGATCACTTGAGGTCAAGAGTTCGAGACCAGCCTGGCCAACTTGGTGAAACCCCGTCTCTACTAAAAATACAAAAAAAAAAAAAAAAATAGCCAGGTGTGGTGGTGCACACCTGTAGTCTCAGCTACTCGGGAGGCTGAGGCAGAAGAATCACTTAAACCTGAGAGGTGGAGGTTGCAGTGAGCCGAGATCGTGCCACTGCACTCCAGCCTGGGCGACAGAGCGAGACTCTGCCTCAAAAAAATAAAAATAAAAACAAAAATAAAATAAAATAGTGGTCATGAAAACTATGTTTTTAACACGGGAAAATATTTATTACATGTCTAGTGAAAAAGGAAAGAAGGAAAGATACAAAACTGTATGTACAGAAAGTTGTACATATGCAAATCTTACCCCAAAGAAGAACTTCAATAAAATATTGGATTCTAGTTAATGATATGCACACTAAAACATTTAGGGGGGAAGTGTACTGTTGTCAGCAACTCATTTTAAAATGCACCCAAAAAATAAGATGCGCTAATGGACAAATGTATATGTGATGAAGCGAATATGGTAAAATGTTTACAACTGTAGAATGTAAGTGGCTGTTACATAGGTGTCCAGTGTAATATTCTTTCAACTTTTCTGTTTGAAAATGTTTATTTTAAAATGTTGGGAAAACAGAGCAAATTGCCTTTTATGATGCCAGAAATATTACATGTACAGTATAATTATAGCTAAATAACATTTAAACTGTAAAACTATTAAAGAAAATACATTAAAATAATAGTAGTTATATTGAAGTGGTGTGTTTGCATGTGATTTTGTATCCATTTTTTTAAACTTTCTGTGAAGTTATGTTACTTTATGATTTTAAATAAATTCTTGTATTTTCTCATATTGTGTTAGAAAGGATAAGATAAACTATGACTGTAAATACTTCATAATCAGAAAACATATTTATTCAACACATATATATTAAGCACCTAAGATGTGGCAGGTTTTGTCTTAGGTTTACATAAATGTATAATGATAAGCATGGTAAATACATGCTGCAAACAGAAGTAAATAATATGAAGATTAGACTTTCCAGAAAGAAAATAAATTCAAGGCATTTCCAAAACCAAGCAGATCTTCTTCAAAAATAAGACCAAACTCTTATGGCTCATGCCTGTAATTCTAACACTGGGAGGCCAAAGAGGGCAGATTGCTTGAGCTCAGGATTTCAAGACTAGCCTGTGCAACATGGAGAAACCCCATCTCTATGAAAAATACAAAAAATTAGCTGGGTATGGTGGCACATGCCTGCAGTCCCAGCTACTCGGAGGGCTGAGGGGGATCACTTGAGCCTAGGAGGTCGAGGATGCAGTGAGCTGAGATCATGCAACTGCACTCCAAACCAAGACACTGTCTCAAAAAACAAACAAACAAACAAACAAACCCAAACTCTTGGAATCTTATAATTTGTTTTCACTAACAGCTAAGTACAGTAAGAGGTTATGATCTAAAAAGAGATTTACCACCGGGCACAGTGGCTCACACCTGTAATCCCAGCACTTTGGGAGGCCGAGGTGGGTGGATCTCTTGAGGCCAGGAGTTCGAAACCAGCCTGGCCAACATGGCAAAAACACATCTCTACTAAAAACACAAAAATTAGCCAGGTGTGGTGGCGCCTGCCTGTAATCCCAGCTACTTGGGTGGCTGAGGCACGAGAACTGCTTCAAACCAGGAGGCAGAGGTTGCAGTGAACTGAGATCCTGACACTGCACTCCAGCCTGGGCAACAGAGTGTGATTGTCTTAAAAAAAAAAAACAAAAACAAAAACAAAAACTGAGATACCACCTCACAGTCACTAGGATGACTACTATCAATAAAAAAACAGAACAACAAGTATTG
The DNA here is from genome assembly GCF_000001405.40 of Homo sapiens. NCBI lineage: Eukaryota > Metazoa > Chordata > Mammalia > Primates > Hominidae > Homo > Homo sapiens. Next base: position 70,877,388 of record NC_000023.11, read on the forward strand.
GTGATAATGTGAAGAAACTGGTACCCTTGTTCACTACTAATAGAAATGTAAAATGGTATAGTTGCTATGGAAAACAGTATGGTGGTTCCTCAAAAAATTAAAAACAGAATTGCCATATGATACAGCAATTCCAATTCTGGGTATATATCCAAAAGAATTAAATGCAGGGACTTGAACAGAAATTTCCATACCAATGCTCATAGCAACATTATTCACAATAGGCAAAAGGTAGATGCAACCCAAGTGTCCATCAACAAATGAATGGATAAACAAAATGTGGTACACACATACAATGGATTATTCAGTCTTAAAAAGGAAGGAAATTCTGACACATGCTGCAACATGAATGAACCTTGAAGACATTATACTAAGAGAAATAAACCAGCCACAAAAAGACAATTATTACATGATTCCACTTACATGAGGTACTGAGAGTAGTCAAATTTATAGAGAGAGAAAGTAGAATGGTGGTTGACAAGCTGATCCCAAAATTCGTAAGAATTTTAGAGGGCAAGGGGGAGTTGTTTAATGGATATAGAGTTTCAGTTTTGCAAGACGAAAAGGGTTCTAGATAATAGCTGCACAATGTGAACATACTTAACACAAGGGAACTATACACCTAAAGATAGTTAAGATGGTAAATTTTGTGTTATGTGTATTTTACCGCAATAAAAAACACAATGAGATAACACTTCATACCCACTAGAATGACTATAATCAAAAAGACAAATAATGACAAATGTCAGCAAGGAGGTGGAAAAACTGGATCCCTCTATCCCTCTTTTTTTTTTTTTTTTTTTTTTGAGACGGAGTCTCGCTCTGTCACCCAGGCTGGAGTGCAGTGGTGCAATCTCGGCTCACTGCAAGCTCCGCCTTCTGGGTTCACGCCATTCTCCTGCCTCAGCCTCCCAAGTAGCTGGGACTACAGGCGCCTGCCACCACGCCCGGCTAATTTTTGTATTTTTAGTAGAGACAGGGTTTCACTGTGTTAGCCAGGATGGTCTCGATCTCCTGACCTTGTGATCTGCCCGCCTCGGCGTCCCAAAGTGCTGGGATTACAGGCGTGAGTCACCGTGCCCAGCCAACTGGATCCCTCTTATATTGCTAGTGGGAATGTAAAATGGTGCGGCCACTTTGGAAAACAATCTGGCAGCAGCAAACCAACATGGCACATGTATACATATGTAACAAACCTGCCCGTTGTGCACATGTACCCTAGAACTTAAAATTTAAAAAAAGTAAAAAAAAAAAAAAGTTTAGAGTTAACACATGGCCCAGCAATTTCATTCTTAGGTACAAACCTAAGAAAAATGAAAACATAAAAATCTGTACATGAGTATTTATAGCAGCATTATTCATAATAGCCAAAAGGTGGAAGCAATTTCATTCTTAGGTACAAACCTAAGAAAAATGAAAACATAAAAATCTGTACATGAGTATTTATAGCAGCATTATTCATAATAGCCAAAAGGTGGAAGCAATGAAAACGTTCATGAATAGATGAATGGACAAACAAAATATGGTATATCCATACAATGGGATATTATTCAGTCATAAAAATGTATGAAGTACAAATACATGCAACAATATGGATGAACTTTGAAAACATCTTGCTAAGTGAAAACAGTCAGTAAACCACACATTGTATGATTCTATTTATATAAAATGTCCTCATTAGGCAAAACCATAGAGACCAAAAGTAGATTAGTGGTTGCCTAGGGCTGAGGGTGAGGGAGGGAAGAGGATGGGAGGAAATGGAGAGTGTTTGTGAACGGGTGTGCGGTTTCTTTTTGAGGTGATGAAAATATTCTAAAATTAACTAACTGTGGTGATAGGTGCACAACAACTCTGTGAAATACTAAAAACTATTGAATTGTATACTTGAAATGGGTGAATTGCATGGTATGTAAATTATATCTAAATAAAGGTATTTATATATACATAAACACATATATACATATATAGATACTTATATATATAAAGAGGAAGAGAGATTTACAGTAAACTTTCCTCTCACCTTTCCATACAAGTAGTCACCAAAATGGAAGTATTTGCCCAAGGTAAATATTCTCAAAAGTGTTTCAAGCCTCAAGACAGCTTCCATATTAAGTAAGTAACAGACCTTCATTTAAACATTAGAAAATTACCCCCAAAAAAAGCACTTCTGAAGGCTTATAGTCAACTGAGTTCTCCACTACTGGGTGGCTCCACTACTTTGTTGCAAAGGGAAGGAAAAGAGAACTAGTATGTGCCCAGGACCTTATATATGTTATTTTGTTTACTATTCATAACAACACTTGGAGGTGGGTATTACTATTATCATTTAACAGGTGAGAAAACTGAAGCCTGGGGAGGTTAATAAATATTAATAATAAATAACATTGCTAATAAATAAATAAATAATAAATATTAAACGAGCACATATGTTCCCATTGGTTTCTAAAATTTTTCCCCCTAAATTAGGTGTGAACATCCAAAAATAGATTTTTATATGTTTAGCAATGGTTAAGCATGAAGACTACTTTTTTACCTATATAATACATTGGTTAAAATGAAGAATCATCGAAACTTATCATAAACAGAATTATTTTTATACTAACCTGAATGTCTGTTATTTCAGCCATAGACTCCCTGTTGATATTTGCTATGTCGCTGAAGAGTCTATCAATTGCCTCTGGTATGTTAGGTGAATTATCATTTGTAACCAGGTTTTCAACAACTTCTGAAATGACAATGGATGATAAATGTGCTGTGAACTATTACCATTGGCTAAATGTAGCAAATCATTTTTAAATCTATGTCTAAATCATTGGCCAAATGAATACAGCATGAAGGAACTTGATCCTTAGAGTAAAACCAAACTGGAGATTTAAAGTTTCTTTAAGCTAGAGTATAATTTTCAAATAAAATTTGCATTCTTTGGGAGTCACTTGTTTATAACTTAATCATTACTCATTCTCAGAAAGTAAAATGCATTGACTTCACAAATAGTAATGTTATTAGGTAATATTAAAAGTACAAAACAGGCCAAGCATGGTGGCACACGTCTTTAGCCCTAGCTAGTCCAAAGGCTGAGGTAGGAGGATCACTTGAGTCCAGGAGTTCAAGGCTACAGTGAGCTACGATCCTGCCACTGTACTCCATGCAGCATGGGCTACAGAGTGAGACCCTTTCTCTAAAACAAACAAACAAAAACCCTGCAAAACTGAACTTAACAGTGTCTTCAAAACCAGAAAATGTAGAAATTCTGAAAGAAGTTCTGAATATGTGCCCTGTAAAACTGAAAAACTTACTAATATTTTCAAGCATTAGACAGACATAGCTAACTGCTGGCTCTGAAGTCTTGAACTTACTTTGCAAGAAAAAAATGACATGCTCAATTAGCAACATTAACCAGATATTGAATCTGCACAAATGATGTCACCATTTTCTAAATGGTCTGAGCTCCAGACTCCAAATAGCTGAATCTTACCAGGCCATGGAATTCCTTCAAACCCAAGCATTAGCTGGGCAGGATGCTCCACGCCTGTAGTACCAACTACTCAGGAGGCTGTGGCAGGAGGATCCCTTGAGCCCAGGAGTTTGAAACAGGCTGGGCAACATAGCAAGACATCATCCAAAAAAAAAAAAAAAAAAAAAAAAACTAAAACTAAAACTAGACCGGGCCCAGTGGCTCATGCTTGTAATCCCAGCACATTGGGAGGCGGAGGCAGGCAGATCACTTCAGGCCAGGAATTCAAGACCAGCTTGCTCAGCATGGCAAAACCCCATCCCTATTAAAAATACAAAAATTAGCTAGGCGTGGTGTGCCCGCCTGTAATCCCAGCTACTGGGGTGGCTGAGGCATAAGAATTGCTTGAGCCTGGGAGGTTGAGGTTGTACTTAGCTCAGATCATGCCACTGAATTCCAGCCTGGGCAACAGAGCAAGACTGTGTCTCAAAAAAAAAAAAAAAACTAAAACTAAACAATAAGCATGATGTAGAATCACAATTGATGCCCTTCATATTATCAAAATTGAGGTTTTTTTCAAACTCGTGACAGAAATGTCCATAAGCTACATATTTCTAATTTCTTGCAACATTCTTGAGCCTCAAATTAGCAAAAATGTTAATATTCATAACAGTACTATAAAAGCACCTTCTAAAAGATTTTTAAGCTGCTAAAATAAACAGAACTTTTACCTTGCTACAGTAAAAAATAAATCAGCTACAAAAATTTCAGTTAAACAAATGCTTGAGGTGATGGATATCCTATTTACCCTGATGTGATTATTACACATTCTATGTCTGTATCAAAATATCTCATGTATCCTATAAATATATACACCTACTATGTACGTATAAAAATAAAAATTAAAAATTAAAATTCTAGCTAAACATAAGACTATAGATTCCAATAAAGACGTCACAAAGCAAATTAAAAAGTATTTAAAATTCACACATTTTAAATACTTTAGGTGAAAAACTATATATGAAAAGAAAAATACAAAAATTAGCCAGGCACGGTGGCACATACCTGCAGTCCCAGCTACTCCAGAAGGTGAGACAGGAGAATCTCTTGAACCCAGGAGGCAGAGGTTGCAGTGAGCTGAGATCGGCCACTGCACTCCAGCCTGGGCAACAGAACAAGACTCCATCTCAAAAAAAAAAAAAAAAAGAAAAAGAAAAAAGAAAAAAGAAACCCTCTATCTTTCTTTTTCCCATAAGTTGTTTAATGGAAAGACTGATGTTAAATATCTTGACTCCTCTAAGATTAGGTAAGTATTGGGCTGAGGGGCATATATTTATATAGCCCTTACTCAAAATATTGGTAACAGAATCAGGGAGATTTTAAAATTGATGTTTTTAAAAATACAAATATTGTTTAAAGAACAGATTTTTAAAAATATTTTTGAGAAGAAAACAAAACCCCAATATAAACTTTCGTTTGTTTGTTTTGTTTTGTTTTTAAGACAGAGTCTTACTCTGTCACCTAGGCTGAAGTACAGTGGGGGATCTTGGCTCACTGCAATCTCCGCCTCCCAGGTTCAAGCAATTCTCCTGCCTCAGCCTGCTGAGTAGCTGGGACTACAAGCACATGCCACCAATATACGTTTTAAAAAAAACATCCTGGCCAGCCGTGGTGGCTCATGCCTGTAATCCTAACAGTTTGGGAGGCTGAGGCAGGTAGATTGCTTGAGCTCAGGAGTTTGAGACCAGCCTGGGGAACACAGTGAGACTTCATCTCCATAAAAAACTTAAAAATTATCTGGGTGTGGTGGCTCACACCTGTAGTTCCAGCTACTCGGTGGCTGAGGTGAGAGGATCACTCCAGCCCAGGAGGTGGAAGCTGCAGTTAAGCTATGATCATGCCACGGCACTCCAGCTGGGTGACAGAGCAAGACCTTGTCTCTCAAAAAAAAAAAAATCCTAAGATGTTATTGTAGAATACCAATAATAGTTTCTGGTTACATAGTTTATGAGACTATGAAGACATATATTTTGATTTGTGAATGTTCTCTTAAGTGGTTAATGTTTTATTAACTCATTTTTGTCTAAATAATTCTGGTCCTTTCAAAACATATTTTCAGTGTTATTCAGCTGAGCAATTTCACCGACACCAGCTGAGGCAATGACAGCATTGCAGTCCTTTAAGGATAAAATGCAGTCAGCAAAGCTGGGTAAGTGATAGAGATCACATAGCTGAAAGGTTGAGAGTTACACTATAAAGAAGAGATTTGCATCTGGGAGAAGCTCAGAAAATAAATTCTATTTTTTGTTTTTGTTTTTGTTTTTGTTTTGAGACAGGGTCTTGCTATGTTGCCCAGCCTGGCCTGAAACTCTTGGGCTTAAGTGATCCTCCCATCCAAGTAGCTGGCATTACAGGTGTGTGCCACTGCATCCGATGAAAAGAACTTCTATAAATGCAGTCTACAGCTGGGCAAAGTGTCTCGCGCTTGTAATTCCAGCAATTTGGGAGGCCAAGGCAAGGGGATTGCTTGAGCCCAGGAGTTCGAGACTACCCTGGGCAATATAGACAGACCCCATCTTTACAAATAAATAAATAAAATTAGCCAGGCATGGTAGCCCACACCTGTGGTCCCAGCTACTCGGGTGGTTGAGGTGGGAGGATCGCTTGAGCCTAGGAGGTTGAAACTACAGTGAGTTGTGATCACGCCATTGCACTCCAGCCTAAGCGGCAGAGACTGTCTCAAATACAAAATGCAGTCTACTCCTGAGATGAGAAGACAGCAAACTGTATTAAGGTTTTGTCAAGCAAGATTGTACGTTTTGAAAAAAATTATTAAATTATCTTCCTGGCTACAAAAAGAAACTATGATTTACAACAGATTTTAGTCCATTTAATTTAAATGAGATGCATTCTAGTTAAAACTGGGGGTTCACTCGATTGAGGCAGCCACGTTAATCTGTATCAATTAATTCTGATTAAGTAGATAACATTCTAGGTACCGTATAATAGAAAATAAACATTTTCCCTGTCCTTGAGGAAGGGAGCTTCTGTTACAACATGCAAAAATCTATCAACTGTCCTGCCAAGTCTTTCCCTGTGACCTCCATCAGCTCAACCAGTCATTCAAAAGCCAAAGCAGCTCAAAGACCTGCCAAAATCAATTCAAGATTTTACTCCAAGTCACAATAATTATATGCAACTTCTTTAGTGAGAAAAGAACCAGAAATGACAATAAAATTAACATTTGCATATTGCTTTCCAGTCTCGAAGCTTTTTCATATGCATTCTCATTTAATCTTCAATCTATTCTGTAAGGAAGATATTTTTATTTCATAAGATGTGGAAACTAAGTTTTAACAAAATGAAGTGACTTTTTAAAAATCAGGCCTTTTTGCTGGATAAAGTGACTTCTTGATGGTGATAAAATAGAAAGTAGTAAGCTAGGACTTGAATTCAGGCTTTCTGATTTGAAATCCTGTACTTTCCACTATACTGGTTCTATCAGGAAGGATCTGGAACAAGTGATAAGCTAGGACACTCAGACAACTGAAAAACAGCAGAAAGGAAAGAAATGAGCCAAAAGCATTCAGAGCACTACACTATAGCTCTGATTGTGGGCTAAAGAAAACTATTCAAACTGCAGAGGTTGGTTTGAATGAGGACAGCCAAAATATCCAAAACAGTGTCAAAAGGGTCTGGCAAAATCAGGCAAACAGGTTTAGTCATAGACTAAAATTACATTGTAAATCGTAATTTCTATCCACGGTCACAAAGATAATAATTTTTCCTATATAATGTTCCAGGAAGTCCCAAATGACAAATTGGATATGGTACAAGAGAATCCAAGCAGCAAGTCATAAAGCAGAAGTCAGATGGAACTGTATGTACCATAGTTCCAACAGATCTATTCACAGCAGTGTATTGTAGTTCTGAGCAGTGTCCTGATCCTGGAGAGTTAACTAGGGATGGATGCAGGGCAGGCTAACCTCATGAAAATCATGACAAGCAGAAATGATACACCTCCACAGATGAAAAGCTCCAGCTCTCTGCTTCCTGGTGGGGAGGGAAAAGAGTTGATCTGTGCCTCTAGTGCCCCAACTTCTCCAGGGCTGCCAAAAGAACTTGCATATATCTCTCTAGTTTTGAGGCTCAGATGGGTCCGGCAAACTCTAGCTGCTCAGGGGAGAATGGGAGACAGTGGCTTGAGCTGGTACATGCCATAGCTCTCCACTCTGGCTCAGCCCAGAACAAGCAGACAAAAACTATAGCTTCCAGCTTCTCTCTGGGGAGAGAAAGAGGTGGTAGAGGCCCCCAGAATCTCTGCCAAGCCTAATTGGGGGGGCCCTTCTCCTGTACAAGACAAGCCCATGAAGAATGAGAGAGGTGCCTTAACACAGGCACCAACAGTGGGTCAAGGAAAATGAAAAACCAGGCAAAGATGTTCCAAACAAAGGAACAAGATAATCTCCATAAACCAACCCTAATAAATAGAGTTATATAATTTACCTGACAGAGAATTAAAACAACTCTCATGAAGATGCTCACTGAGGTCAAGAGAGCAATGCATGAACAAAGTGAGAATTTCAACAGAGATAGAAAATATTTTAAAGTACCAAAAATTTCTCCAAGAAGATATACAAATGGCCAACAGGTATATGGAAAAAATCTCAACATCACTAATCATCAGGGAAATGCAAACTAAAATTTAAAATTACAATGATATATCACCTCACATCCATTAAGATAACCACTATCAAAAAATAGAAAATAAGGCCAGGCGCAGTGGCTTATGCCTGTAATCCCAGCACATTGGGAGGCCGAGGCAGGTGGATCACTTGAGGTCAGGAGTTCGAGACCAGCCTGAGCAACATGGTGAAACCCCGTCTCTACCAAAAATACAAAAATTAGCTGGGCACGGTGGCACCACCTGTAGTGCCAGGTACTTGGGAGGCTGAAGCAGGAGAATTGCTCAAACCTGTAAGACAGAGGTTGCAGTGAGCCAAGATCGAGCCACTACACTCCATCCTGGGTAAGAGTGAGACACTGCCACAAAAAAAAAAAAAAAAGAAAAAGAAAGAAAGAAAGAAAGAAAGAAAAAATAAGAAGTATTGGTGAGGATGTAGAGAAATTGGAACTCTTGTACACTGTTGGTAGGATGGTAAAATGGTGCAGCTGCTATGGAACACAGTATGAAGGTTCTTCAAAAAATTAAAAATACAACTCGCATATGATACAGCAATTACACTTCTGGGTATTTATCCACATGAATTGAAATCAGGGTCTTGAAGAGATATTAGCACTCCCATGTTCACTGTAGCACTATTCACAATAGCCAAGATGTGGAAATGATGCAAATGTCCACCAGCAAATGAATGGATAAAGAAAATGTGGTATATACATACAATAAAATGCCATTTAGTCTTCAAAAAGAAGGAAATTCCATAATATGTGACAATATGGATGAACCTTGAGGACATTATACTAAGTGAAATAAGCTAGTCACAAGACAAATACTGCATGGTTCCACTTACATGAAATACCTAAAATAGTCAAATTCATAGAACCAAAGAGTAGAATGGTGGTTTCCAAGGGCTGGGGGAAAGGGGTAATAGGGAGTTACTAAGCAACGGGCATAATGTTTCAGTCAAGCAAGATGAATAAGCAATACAGATCTGCTATACAATACTATACTTACAGTCAATAATGTATACTTAAAGTTTTGCTGACAGCAAATCTCATATTAAACGTTCTTACCACAATAAAAAAAGAAATGATACAACTCCAAAGCTAAACAGGTGCATAGAATATGCCCCTAGTATGTTAAAGCTCAAATCTGATGGCCAGTATAACTTAATCCAAACCAACAGCTTCCCTACTCTACAATGGTACTATTCTTTCTTCCTTTGAATAGAACAGGCTCAGAGAATAGAGCAAACCTAAACCTACAAACTGGGCTCATCGGAAGATAAAGCAATGTTAAGTTTTGGAAGGCAATTGGCTGGGGGTGGAGGGAGGCAAGAGCTGACAATATCATGCTAATCACAAAGGAATTTCCAACTTGATTCTGGTGAGGAAACCTATCTAGTCACATTCAAAACACTAAACTTTAGAGACTAAAGGATAGCTGTGAATGCGCTGGTTCACACCTGAAGCCAACACATCTCAGAGTCTCGCCCAAGGCCCACAGCAGCAAGGCCCACAGTGGGTATGTACTCCCTGGTTATCATTGATGGTTATTCAGGGCCCAAGGGCTCTTTAGTTAGCAGGTGATGAATCCTACCAGGTCTGTATCCTTCCCTTCAAGGCAGTGCATTCACAGCTGTGGTGGCTACAGGGAGAGACCCCTTCTGCTTAAGAAAAGCAGATGGAGGAGTAAGTCTTGAGCTTAGGTGCCACCTTGGCCACAGTAGGGAAAAACACCAAGCAGGCTCTTGGGGTCCAGGATTCCAGTCCTTGGCTCTTGGACACCGTCTCTGGACCTAACCTGGGTCAGAGAAGAGCCCACTATCCTGAATGATGAGTCCCAGGCCTGGAAGATTCACCAGAAGCTGACTGAAGAGCCCTTGGGCCTTAAGTAAACATCGGCAGTAGCCTGGCATTACTCCCCATGGGCCTGTAGTGGTGGGCATAGGGATAGACTCCTTTGCCTGGGGAAAAAGGAGGGAAGAGTGGGAAGGACTTTGTCTGGGGGTTTCAACACCAGCTCAACCACAGTAGATTAGTGCACCAGGTAGATGTCTAAGGTTTCCATCTCCAGGTCCCGGCTCCCAGACAGCATCTCTGGACCCACCCAGGGCCTGGGAGAACTCCATACCCTTAAGAGAAAGACAAAAGGCTGGCTGGCTTCACCACCTGCTGGTTGTAGAGCTCTAGGGCCTTGAGTGAACAAAGGTGGTAGCAGCGGGCCTTGGTTACAAAGGTGGTTACAGCAGGCCTTGGGGGAGACCCAGTACTGTGCTGGCTTCAGGTTTGACCCAGTACAGTCTTGGCAGTGGTGGCCATGGGGATGCTTCTGTCACCCCTCCCCCAGATCCAGGCTTCCAGAACAGAGAGGGAGACTCTGGGAGAAAGTAAGAGAAAAGCCTCTGCTGGGTAATCTAGAGAATGCTTCTGGATCTTATGGAAGGCCACCAAGGTGGTATCTCTACGAGTCTGCAAGAAACAAAGCATTACTGTACTTGGGGTGCCCCCTAAAGCAGATACAGCTTAGATCACAACACCAAAGTCTTTTCATATATCTGGAAAGCCTTCCAAAGAAGGACAGGTACAAATAAGCCCAGACAGTAAAGATTGCAATAAAGACCTAACTCTTCAATGCCCAGACACCAAAGAACATCTACTAGCATCAACACCATCCAGGAAAACATGACCTCACCAAATGAACTAAATAAGGCACTAGGGACCAACCTGGAGAAACAAGAGACATGTGACCTTTCAGAGAGATAATTCAAAATAGCTGTGTTGAGGAAACTCAAAGAAATTCAATATAACACAGAGAAGGAATTTAGAATTCTATCAGCTAAATTTAGCAAAGAGATTGAAATACTTTAAATTAATCAAACAGAAATTCTGAACTAAAAATGCAACTAGCATACTGAAGAAAGCATCAGAGTCCTTTAATAGCAAAATTGATCAAGCAAAAGAAAGATTTAGTGAGCTTGAAGACAGGCTGTTTGAAAATACATAGTCAGAGGAGACAAAAGAAAAAAGAATAAAAAACAATGAAGCACACCTGCAGGATCTAGAAAATAGCCACAAAAGAGCAAAGCTAATAGTTATTGGCCTTAAAGATGAGGAAGAGAAAGACATAGGGATAGAAAGTTTATTCAAAGGGATAACAGAGAACTTCCCAAACTTAGAGAAAGATATCAATATCCAAGTACAAAAAGGTTATAGAACACCAAGTAGATTTAACCCAAGAAAACCACCTTAAGGCATGTAACAATAATCAAACCCCCAAAGCTCAAGGATAAAGAAAAGATCCTAAAAGCAGCAAGAGAAAAGAAACAAATCACATGAAATGGAGCTCCAATATGTCTGGCAGCAGACTTTTCAGTGGAAACCTTATAGGCCAGGAGAGACTGGCATGACATATTTAAAGTGCTGTGGGAAAAAAACTTTTACCCTAGAATAGTATATCCAGTGAAAATATCCTTCAAATGTGAAGGAGAAAGACTTTCCCAGACAAACAAAAGCTGAGGGATTTCATCAACACCAGACCTGCCTTACAAGAAATGCTAAAGAGAGGATTTTGATCCTCTCTTATAATAATAATGAGCAATAAAAAATCATCTGGGCCAGGCACAGTGGCTCATCCCTGTAATCCCAGCACTTTGGGAGGCCGAGGTGGGTGGATCACCTGAGCTCAGGAGTTTGAGACGAGCCTGGCCAACATGGTGAAACCCCATCTCTACTAAAAAGAACAAAAATTAGCCAGGAGTGGTGGCAGACATCTGTAATCCCAGCTATTTGGGAGGGTGAGGCAGGAGAATCGCTTGAACCCAGGAGGCGGTGGTTGCAGTGAGCCGAGTCTGCACCATTGCACTCCAGCCTGGGAGACAAGAGTGAGACTCCATCTCAAAAAAAAAAATTATCTTGAGGTACAAACCTCACTGGTAATAGTAAGTACAAAAAAAAAGTAACACTGTTATAACACAATTATTATAACACTGTAACTGTGGTGTGTAAACTACTCTAAGTAGAATGAATAAACAATGAACCAATGAAAAATAACAACTACAACTTTTCCAGAAATAGTACAATAAGATATAAATAAAAACAACAAAAAAGTTAAAAAGCAGGAGGATGAAGTTAAGGCATAAGGTTTTTATTAGTTTTCTTTTTCCCTGTTTGTTTATGCAGAGTGCTAAGTTGTTATCAAGTTAAAATAATGGGTTATAAGATAGTATTTGCAAGACTCGTGGTAACTACAAACCTAAAAATATACAATGAACACACAAAAAATAAAAAGCAAGAAACTAAATCATATCACTAGAGAAAATCACCTTCACTGAAGGAAGACAGGAAGGAAAGAAGGAAGAGAAGACCACAAAACAACCAGAAAATAAATAACAAAATGGCATGAGTAAGTTCTTATCAATAATAACATTTAATGTAAATGGATTAACCTCTCAAATCAAAAGACATAGAGTGGCTAAATTGAGAAAACAAAACCCATTGATCCCTTGCCTACAAGAAACACACTTCACATATAAAGACACACACAGACTGAAAATAAAGGGATGGAAAGATATTCCATGCCAATGGAAACCAAAAAAGAGCAGGAGTACCGATACTTATGTCAGAAAAAACAGATTTCATGAAAAAAACTAAAAAGAGACAAAGGTCATTATATACTGATAAAGAGGTTAATTCAGGATTCCATTCCAAGATGGTCAAATAGGAACAGCTCTGGTCTGCAGCTCCCAACGTGATCGACACAGAAGACGGGTGATTTCTGCATTTCCAACTGAGGTACCTGGTTCATCTCATTGGGACTGGTTGGACAGTGTGTGCAGCCCACGGAGGGTGAGCCAAAGCAGGGCAGGGCATCACCTCACCAAAAAGGGCAAGGGGTCACCCAAAAAGGGCAAGGGATTTCCCTTTCCTAGCCAAGGGAAGCCATGACAGACGGTACCTGGAAAAACGGGACACTCCTGCCCAACTACTCTGCTTTTCCAACGGTCTTAGCAAACAGCACACCAGGAGATTGTGTTCCATGCCTGGCTTGGCAGGTCCCACGACAACAAAGCCTTGATCACTGCTAGGGCAGCAGTTTGAGATCAAACTGCAAGGCAGCAGCCTAGCAGGGGGAGGGGGGTCTGCCATTGCTGAGGCTTGAGTAGGTAAACAAAGCAGCTGGGGAAACTAAAACTCAGCAGAGCCCACCGCAGCTCAGCAAGGCTGGCTGCCTCTGTAGACTCCACCTCTGGGGGCAGGGCAGAGCTGAACAAAAGGCAGCAGAAACTTCTGCACACTTAAACGTCCCTGTCTGACAGCTCTGAAGAGAGCAGTGGTTCTCCCAGCACAGTGTTTGAGCTCAGAGAATGGACAGACTGCCTCCTCAAGTGGGTCCCTGACCCCCGTGTAGCCTAAATGGGAGATGCCTCCCAGTAGGGGCCGACTGACATCTCATACAGGCGGGTGCCCCTCTGGGATGAAGCTTCCAGGGGAAGGATAAGGCAGCAATATTTGCTGTTCTGCAATACTTGCTGTTCTGCAGCCTCTGCTACTGATACCCAGGCAAACAGGGTCTGGAGTGGACCTCCAGCAAACTCCAACAGACCTGCAGCTGAGGGACCTGACTGGTAGAAGGAAAACTAGCAAACAGAAAGGAATAGCATCAACATCAACAAAAAGGACATCTACACCAAAACCCCATTTGTAGGTCACCAACATCAAAGACCAAAGGTAGATAAAACCACAAAGATGGGGAGAAACCAGAGCAGACAAGCTGAAAATTCTAAAAACCAGAGTGCCTCTCCTCCTCCAAAGGATCGCAGCTCCTCACCAACAATGGAACAAAGCTGGATGGAGAATGACTTTGACGAGCTGACAGAAGTAGACTTCAAAAGGTCAGTAATAACAAACTTCTCCAAGCTAAAGGAGGATGTTCAAACCCATCGCAAGGAAGCTAAAAACCTTGAAAAAAAGATTAGATGAATGGCTAACTAGAATAAACTGTGTAGAGAAGACCTTAAGTGACCTGATGGAGCTGAAAACATGGCACGAGAACTACGTGATGCATGCACAAGCTTCAATAGCCGATCCGATCAAGTAGAAGAAAGGGTATCAGTGATTGAAGATCAAATTAATGAAATAAAGCAAGAAAAAAAGGTTAGAGAAAAAAGAGTGAAAAGGAATGAACAAAGCCTCCAAGAAATATGGGACTATGTGAAAAGATCCAACTTACGATTGATTGGTGTACCTGAAAGTGATGGGGAGAAAGGAACCAAGTTGGAAAACACACTTCAGGATATTACCCAGGAGAACTTCCCCAACCTAGCAAGGCAGCCCAACATTCAAATTCAGAAAATATGGAAAACACTACTAAGATAGTCCTTGAGAAGAGCAACATCAAGACACACAATCGTCAGATTCTCCAAGGTTGAAACGAAGGAAAACATGTTAAGGGCAGCCAGAGAGAAAGATCAGGTTACCCACAAAGGGAAGCCCATCAGAATAACAGTGGATCTCTCTACAGAAACCCTACAAGCCAGAAGAGAGTGGGGGCCAATATTCAACATTCTTAAAGAAAATAATTTTCAACCCAGAATTTCATATCCAGCCAAAATAAGCTTCATAAGCAAAAATAAATAAATAAATAAAAATAAATAAAATCCTTTCCAGACAAGCAAATGCTGAGGGATTTTGTCACCACCGGGCCTGCCTTACAAGAGCTCCTGAAGGAAGCACTAAATATGGAAAGGAAAAACTGGTACCAGCCACTGCAAAAACACACCAAAATATAAAGACCAACAACACTATGAAGAAACTGCATTAACTAATGAGCAAAATAACCAGATAGCATCATGTTGACAGGATCAAATTCACACATAACAATGTTAACCTTAAATGTAAATGGGCTAAATGCCCCAATTAAAAGACACAGACTAGCCAGGCGCAGTGGCTCACGCCTGTAATCCCAGCACTTTGGGAGGCTGAGGCGGGTGGATCAAGAGGTCAGGAGTTCAAGACCAGCTGGGCCAACATAGTGAAACCCTGTCTCTACTAAAAATACAAAAAATTGCTGGGCGTGGTGGCACACGTCTGTAATCCCAGCTACTTGGGAGGCTGAGGCAATAGAATCCCTTGAACCTGGGAGGCGGAGGTTGCAGTGAGATGAGATCGACCCACTGCACTCCAGCCTGGGAGACAAAGCAAGACTTAGTCTCAAAAAAAAAAAAAGACACATACTGGCAAATTGGATAAAGAGTCAAGACCCATCACTGTGCTGTATTCAGGAGATCAATCTCACGTGCAAAGACACACAGAAGCTCAAAATAAAGGGATGGAGGGTTATTTACCAAGCAAATGGAAAGCAAAAAAAAAGCAGGGGTTGCAATCCTAGTCTCTGATAAAACACACTTTAAACCAACAAAGATCAAAAAAGATGAGGGCATTACATAATGGTAAAAAGATCAATACAACAAGAAGAGCTAACTATCCTAAATATATATGCACCCAATACAGGAGCACCCAGATTCATAAAGGAAGTTGTTAGAGACCTACAAAGAGACTTAGACTCCCACACAATAATAGTGGGAGACTTCAACACCCCACTGTCAATATTAGACAGATCAACGAGACAGAAAATTAACAAGGATATTCAGGACTTGAACTCAACTCTAGACCAAGTGGAGCTAATAGACATCTACAGAACACTCCACCCCAAATCAACAGAATATACATTCTTCTCGGCACCACATAGCACTTATTCTAAAATTGACCACATAATTGGAAGTAAAATACTCCTCAGCAAATGCAAAAGAACGGAAATCATAACAAAAGAAAGGAAATCATAACAAACAGTCTCTCAGAACACAGTGCAATCAAATTAGAACTCAGGGTTAAGAAACTCACTCAAAACCACACAACTATATGGAAATTGAACAACCTGCTCCTGAATGACTACTGGGTAATAACGAAATTAAGGCAGAAATAATGAAGTTGTTTGAAACCAATGAGAGCAAAGAGACAACATACCAGGGTTGTTGTGCTGGGACACAGCTAAAGCAGTGTTAAGTGGGAAATTTATAGTACTAAGTGCCCACATCGGAAAGCTGGATAGATCTGAAATTGACACCCAAACATCACAATTAAAAGAACTAGAGAAGCAAGAGCAAACAAATTCAAAAGCCACCAGAAGACAAGAAATAACTAAGATCAGAGCAGAACTGAAGGAGATAGAGACACAAAAAACCCTTCAAAAAATCATTGAGTCCAGGAGCTGGTTTTTTGAAAAGATTAACAGAATAGATAGACCACTAGCTAGACTAATAAAGAAGAAAAGAGAGAAGAATCAAATAGATAATAAAAAATTATAAAGAGGCTATCACCACTGGTCCCACAGAAATACAAATTACCATCAGAGAATACAATAAACATCTCTACACAAATAAACTAGAAAATCTAGAAGAAATGGATGAATTCCTGCACACATACACCTCCCAAGACTAAATCAGGAAGAAGTCAAATCCCTGAATAGACCAATAACAAGTTCTGAAATTGAGGCAGTAATTAATAGCCTAGCAACCAAAAAAATCCCAGGACCAGACAGATTCACAGCTGAATTCTACCAGAGGTACAAAGAGGAGCTGGTACCATTCCTTCCGAAACTATTCCAAACAATAGAAAAAGAGAGACTACTCCCTAACTCATTTTATGAGGCCAGCATCATCCTGATACCAAAACCTGGCAGAGACACACACACGAAAAAAGAAAATTTCAGGCCAATATCACTGATGAACACTGATGCAAAAATCCTTAATAAAATATTGGTAAACCAGGCCAGGCGCAGTGGCTCACACCTGTAATCCCAGCACTTTGGGAGGCCAAGGCAAGCAGATCATGAGGTCAAGAGATCGAGACCATCCTGGCCAACCTGGTGAAGCCCCGTCTCTACTAAGAATACAAAAATCAGCTAGGCGTGGTGGCGCATGCCTGTAGTCCCAGCTACTCGGGAGGCTGAGGCAGGAGAATCACTTGAACCCGGGAGGAAGAGGTTGCAGTGAGCCAAGATTGCGCCACTGCCCTCTAGCCTGGCGACAGAGCGAGACTCCGTCTAAAAAAAAAAAAAAATACTGGCAAACCAAATCCAGCAGCACATCAAAAAGGCTTATCCACCACGATCAAGTCGGCTTCATCCCGGGGATGCAAGGCTGGTTCAACATACGCAAATCGATAAACATAATCCATCACATAAACAGAACCAATGACAGAAAGCACATGATTATCTCAATAGATGCAGAAAAAGCCTTTAATAAAATTCAACAGCCCTTCATGCTAAAAACTCTCAATAAACTAGGTATTGATGGAACATATCTCAAAATAATAAGAGCTATTTATGACAACCCACAGTCAATATCATACTGAATGGGTAAAAGCTGGAAGCATTCCCTTTGAAAACTGGCACAAGACAAGGATGCCCTTTCTCACCACTCCTATTCAACATAGTGTTGGAAGTTCTGGCCAGGTCAATGAGGCAAGAAAAAGAAATTAGTGGTATTCAAATAGGAAGAGAGGAAGCCAAATTATCTCTGTTTGCAGATGACATGATTGTATATTTAGACAACCCCATCATCTCAGCCCAAATACTCCTTAAGGTGATAAGCAACTTCAGCATATAAAATCAATGTGCAAAAATCACAAGCATTCCTATATACCAATAATAGACAAGCAGAGAACCAAATCATGAGTGAAATCCCATTCACAATTGCTACAAAAAGAATAAAATATCTAGGAATACAACTTACAAGGAATGTGAAGGATCTCTTCAAGGAGAACTACAAACCACTGCTCAAGGAAATAAGCGGGGACACAAACAAATGGAAAAAAATTCCATGCTCATGGATAAGAAGAATAAATATCATGAAAATGGGCATACTGACCTAAGTAATTTATAGATTCAATGCTATTCCTACTAAGCTATCATTGACTTTCTTTGCAGAATTAGAAAAACTACTTTAAATTTCATATGGAACCAAAAAAGAGCCTGTATAGCCAAGACAATCCTAAGCAAAAAGAACAAAGCTGGAGGCATCACGCTGTCTTACCTCAAATTATACTAATAGGCTACAATAACCAAAACAGCATGGTACTGGTACCAAAACAGATATATAGACCAATGGAACAGAACAGAAGCTTCAGAAATAACACCACACATCTACAACCATCTGATCTTCAACAAACTTGACAAAAGCAAGCAATGGGGAAAGGATTCCCTATTTAATAAATGGTGCCAGGAAAACTGGCTAGCCATACGCAGAAAACAGAAACCGGATCCCTTCCCTACACCTTATACAAAAATTAACTCAAGATGGATTAAAGACTTAAATGTAAAACCTAAAACCATAAAAGCCCTAGAAGAAAACCTACACAATACCACTCAGGACATGGGCATGGGCAAAGACTTCATGACTAAAACACCAAAGCAATGGCAAGAAAAGCCAAAATTGACAAATTGAATCTAATTAAACTAAAGAGTTTCTGCACAGCCAAAGAAACTACCATCAGAGTGAACAGGCAACCTACAGAATTGGGAGAAAATTTTTGCAATCTATCCATCCGACAAAGGTCTAATATCCAGAATCTACAAGGACCTTAAACAAATTTACAAGAAAAAAACAACCCCATCAAAAAGTGGGCAAAGGATATAAACAGACACTTCTCAAAAGAAGACATTTATGCGGCCAGCAAACATATGAAAAAAAGTTAATCATCACTGGTCATTAGAGAAATGCAAATGAAAACCACAATGAGATACCATCTCACACCAGCTAGAATGGCGATTATTAAAAAGTCAGGAAACAACAGATGCTGGAGAGGATGCAGAGAAATAGGTACACTTTTACACTGTTGGTGGGAGTGTAAATTAGTTCAACCATTGTGGAAGACAATGTGGCAATTCCTCAAGGATCTAGAACCAGAAATACCATTTGACCCAGCAATCCCATTAGTGATTATACACCCAAAGGGTTATAAATCATGCTGCTATAAAGCCACAGGCACATGTATGTTTACTGCAGCACTATTTACAATAGCGAAGACTTGGAACCAACCCAAACGCCCATCAATGATAGAATGGATAAAGAAAATGTAGCACATCTACACCATGGAATACTATGCAGTCATAAAAAAAGAATGAGTTCATGTCCTTTGCAGGGACATGGATGAAGCTGGAAACCATCATTCTCAGCAAACTAACACAGGAACAGAAAACCAAACACCACATGTTCTCACTCATAAGTAGGAGTTAAGCATGAGAACACATGGACACAGGGAGGGGAACATCACACACCAGGGCCCATCAGGTGGTGGGGGCCAAAGGGAGGGAGAGCCTTAGGACAAATACTTGAGGTCAGGAGTTCAAGACCAGCCTGGCCAACGTGGTGAAACCCCATCTCTACTAAAAATACAAAAAAAAATAGCCAGATGTGGTGGCGTGCACCTGCAGTCCCAGCTACTCAGGAGGCTGAGGCAAGAGGATCGCTTGAACCCAAGAAGCAGAGGTTGTAGTGAGCCGAGATCACGACACTGCACTCTAGCCTGGGCAACAGAGTAAGACTCCGTCTCAAAAATAGATATATATTATATATAACATATATATTTTTATATATATGTTATATATAATATATGTTATATATTATATATATATAACATATATATATGTTTTATATATATATACAGAGAGTAACTCTTGGTGATAGTGTTGCTATCCTTGTGGGCAATATGAATGAAACAGACAAGAGTTGGCTTGGCACAGTGGCTCATGCCTGTAATCCCAACACTTTGGGAGGCCGAGGCAGGCAGATCACGAGGTCAGGAGTTCGAAAGCAGCCTGGCCAATATGGTAAAACCCCGTCTCTACTAAAAATACAAAAATTAGCTGGGCGTAGTGGCATGCACCTGTAGTCCCAGCTACTTGGGAGGCTGAGGCAGAAGAATCGCTTGAACACAGGAGGCGGAGGTTGCAGTGAGCCGAGATCATGCCACTGCACTCCAGCCTGGACAACAGAGACAGACTCCATCTAAGGAAAGAAAGAAAGAAAAAAGGAAGGAAGGAAGGAAGGAAGGAAGGAAGGAAGGAAGGAAGGAAGGAAGGAAGGAAAACAAAGAAAGAAAAAGAAAGAAAGAAAGAAAGAAAGAAAGAAAGAAAGAAAGAAAGAAAGAAAGAAAGAAAAGAGACAAGAGTTATTTTATTCAATCATTCAATAAAACTTTAATGATAACCAAGTACTTTGTTAAGCACCAAAGATATGACATGAACAAGACACAGTCTCATACATGCATCAATGAACCAACTTTTTAAAGTTCTAAATCACCTTAAAATTCCAGTAATACACTCTAATTTTATAATTGATTAAAATAAAGCATGGAGAAGTTAACTAACTTGGCCAAGATCAAAGCTATTAGCAACTCAGCCCTGAACAGAATCCAAGGAAACTGCACCCTTTCTGCTTTGGCTGATGTCTACGTGTCTCCTTGTAAAATTTAGTTCAACAAACATTTCTTGAATGCCTGGTGTCTTGCTAGGAATATAAAGATGAGTGAAGCAGTCTATGCCATCATGAGGATTGCACTACCAAAGGTAATTACATTCTAAAAATTATAGTAGTAATCAGTCATGAGATCAAAGTAGGATGAAGGGAAAAAATTAAAAATAAATAAAAATTTAAAAATTATAATATAATGTAATAAGTGCTGTGAGTGGAAGACGCTACAGCAATGTAAAAGGATTGCATAAATGCCCATTTGAGGGATGGAATATAGGAATAGCAGGATAAGCTTCACTGAAGTGTTACTTGAGGTGGGGCTGAAGGATGAGTTAGAGATTTCCAGGCAGATACTGAGGGAAAGGAACACGCCAGAGGGCAAAGCACAGAGGTGTGAAAAAGCACAATGAATTCAAACAAGCATAAGCAGTTATGTATGGCTGGAGAAAACACCATTAGAAAGGTATACAGGGGCCAGAACTTGGAAGACACTGTATGGCATACTAAGAAAGTTCAATTCTGTGGGTCACTCAATGTCTTTATTTTATAAACTGTATTTTTTTTTTTTTTTTGAGATGGAGTCTCACTCTGTCGGCCAGGCTGGAGTGCAGTGGCGCAATCTCAGCTCACTGCAAGCTCCGCCTCCCGGGTTCACGCCATTCTCCTGCCTCAGCCTCCCGAGTAGCTGGGACTACAGGTGCCCGCCAGCACACTCAGCTAATTTTTTGTATTTTTAGTAGAGACGGGGTTTCACAGTGTTAGCCAGGATGGTCTCGATCTCCTGACCTCATGATCCACCAGCCTCGGCCTCCCAAAGTGCTGGGATTACAGGCGTGAGCCACGGCACCCGGCCATAAACTGTACTATTCCCCCTAATAGGTGCATACCAGGTGGCATCAGTGATTATCTCACTGATTATCTGTAAGATTTCTGTACAGGCTGTAAAATAAGTATGCTCATGATTCTAAACTATGTGGCCCTGTCTTGGGATATTTCCTAATAACTCTGTCATTCTTAATCTGAGGATCCCATTGTTGTATTTAAAGGAAAAGATAGTTCAGGGAAGATTACAAATAAAGTCCTTTGAGATTCAATGAAAGCCAATTATCTTGACTGAGTTTTACTACTAAACTTTTTAGTCTAGATCTGCACTCTCTAATATGGTAGCAATATATGGCTACTGAGCACTTAAAATGTGGCTAGTTCAAATTGGGATGTGCTTTAATTGTAAAATACACATGGGTTTCAAAGACTTAGTTTAAAATAAGAAAGTAAAATATCTCAGCAATTTTGTATACTGATTATATGCTGGAACAAAAATGTATGAATATGCTGGGCTATAGCATTAAAATTATTATTATATTAAAAATTAATTTCACCTATTTATTTTTACTTTTTAAACGTGATTACTAGAAAATTTTAAGTTACATTTCTAACTCACATTATATTTCTACTGGACAGGGCTGGTATTGAGTATACATTGGAACTATATTCTGAAGACTTGATGAAACAAATTAGCTAATGTCTACCTCCCTAACAATCATCATAAATATAATAGAAAAAGAAAATATAGAGGCTGGGCACCGTGGCTCACACCTGTAATCCCAGCACCTCCTGTAATCTGGAGGCCGAGGCAAGCAGATCACTTGAGCTCAGGAGTTCAAGACCAGCCTGGGCAACATGGCAAAATCCAGTCTTTACAAAACATACAAATATTAGCCAGGCGTGGTGGTGCATACCTATACGTTCATGCCACTGCACTCCAGCCTGGGTGACAAAGAGAGGTCCTGTATTAAAAAAAAAAAAAAAAAAAAAAAAAGGACCAGGTGTGGTGGCTCATGCCTGTAATCTCAGCATTTTGGGAGGCTGAGGCAGGCAGCTCACCTGAGGTCAGGAGTTTCACCATGTTGGCCAGAACAGCCTGGCCAACATGGTGAAACCCGGTCTCTACTAAAAATATTTTTTTAAAAATAGCCAGGAGTGGTGGTGCACGCCTGTAATCCCAGCTACTTGGGAGGCTGAGGCACGAGAATCACTTAAACTTGGGAGGCAGAGGTTGCAATGAGCCGAGATGGTGCAACTGCACTCCAGCCTGGGCAACAGAGTGAGGCTCTGTCTCAAAACAAACAAAAAATTAATTAATTAATTAGTTAAAATAAAAATACAAAAATTAGCCAAGTGTGATGGTGGGTGCCTGTAATCCCAGCTACTTGGGAGGCTGAGGCAGGAGAATCGCTTGAACCCGGGAGGCGGAGGTTGCAGGGTCACAGTGAACAGAGATCGTGCCACTGCGCTCCAGCCTGGGCTACAGAGGGAGACTCTATCTCAAAAAAAAAAAAAAAAAAAGAAGAAGAAGAAGAAAATTGAAAATTTTCTTGAAACAAATGATAATGGAAACACAGCATACCAAAACGTATGGGATACAGAGTGAAGTTTATCACTATGAGTGCCTACATCAAAAAAGAGGAAAAACTCCGAACAACCTAATGATGCATCTTAAACAACTAGAAAAGCAAAAGCAAACCAAACCCAAAGTTAGTTGAAGAAAAGAAATAATAAAGACCAGAATAGAAATAAACGAAATTAAAATGAAAATATATATATATAAAAGATCAGTGAAGCCCAGTAGTGGTGACTCATGCCTATAATCCCAGCAGTTTGGGAGGCTGAGGTGGGTGGATCACTTGAGGCCAGGAGTTCGAGAGCAGCCTGGCCATCACAGCAAAACCCTGTCTCTACTAAAAATACAGAAATTAGCCTGGCATGCCTGCAGTCATAGCTACTCAGGAGGCTGAAGCACAAGAATTGCTTGCGCCTGGGAGGTGGAGGTTGCAGTGAGCTGAGATTATGCCACTGCACTCCAGCCTGGGCAATGGAGTGAGACTCTGCCTCAAAAAAAGAAAGAAAGAAAAATCTAGAAAAAAGGCCAGTAGGCAGGCAGATCGCTTGAGCTCAGGAGCTCAGGAGACCAGCCTGGGAAACATGGTGAAACCCTGTCTCTACCAAAAATACAAAAATTAGTCAGGAATGGTGGCGCATGCCTATATTCCCTCAGGAAACTGAGGCGGGAGGATCGCTTGAACCTAGGAGGATAGCGCCACTGCACTACAGCCTGGCAATAGAGTGAGACCTTGTCTAAATAAATAAATAAATACTTAAAAAAGACTGAGGGATTTGGGGGGCAAAAAGTTCAAAATGAATAACTAGCGTGGTATGAAAGAAAGAAAAAGCAAATTCAGTCTTAGCTATATTATTATCTAAAGAGAAAAATCATCAGTCCTAAATCTAAAGAGAAAGATTACAGGCGTGCATCACTTAAGGACAGGGATACATTCCAGAAATGTGTAATTTGGTGATTTTTGTCATTGTCCCAACATCATAGAGCAGTGGTCCTCAACCTTCTTGGCACCAGGGACCAGTTTTGTAGAAGACAATTTTTCCACGGATGGTGGGGGGATGGTTTCGGGATGAAACTGTTCTACCTCAGATCAACAGGCATTAGTTAGATTTTCATAAGGAGCATGCAACCTAGATCCCTCGTGTGGGCAGTTCAGGCTCCTGTGAGAATCTAATGCCACTGGCCACTGATCTGACAGGAGGCGGAGCTCAGGCGGTAATGCTTGCTGGCCCAGGGCTCATCTCCTGCTGTGCAGCCAGGTTCCTAACAGGCCAGAGACAGGTAATGGTCCGTGGCCCAGGGGTTGAGGACCCCGTCATAGAGTGTACTTACACAAGATGGTATAGCCTACTACACATCTAGGCTATATGGTATAGCCTATTGCTTCTAGGCTACAAACCTATAACTCATGTTACTGTAGTGAATACTGCAGGCAACTGTAACACAATGATAAGTATTTGTGTATTTAAACATATCTAAACCTAGAAAAGGTAAGTAAAAATATAAAAGATTAAAAATGACTGGGTACGGTGGCTCACAGCTGTAATCCTAGCACTTCGGGACACCGAGGAAGGAGGATCGCTTGAGCCCAGGAGTTCGAAACCAACCTGGGCAACATAGGGAGATCCCGTCTCCACAGAAAAATTAAAAATTATCTGGGCATGGTGGTGCATGCCTGTGATTCCCGGCTACTCAAGATGTTGAGGTGGGAGGATTACTTGGGCCCAGGAGGTAGAAGCTGTGGTGAGCCACGATCACACCACTGCACACCAGCCTGGGTGAGAGAGTGAGACCCTACCTCAAATAACATAATAATAAATTTTTATAAGATAAAAAAAGGTACACCTGTATAGGGCACTTACCATGAGTGGAGCTTGCAGACCTGGAAGTTGCTCTGGGTGAGTCAGTGAGTGAGTGGTGAATATATGTGAAGGTCTAGGACATTACTGTACACTACTGTAGACTTTATAAACTCTGCACACTTAGGCTACACTCAGTTTATAAAAGAATATGTTTCTTTCTCCAATAATAAATTTACCTTAGCTTACTGTAACTTTTTTACTTTATAAGCTTTGTTTGTTTGTTTGTTTGAGATGGGGTCTCACTCTGTCACTGGGGCTGCAATGCAGTGGTGCGATCTCGGCTCACTGCAACCTCTGCCTCCCAGGCTCAAGCAATCCTCCCACCTCAACCTATGGAGTAGCTGGGACCACAGAGTAGCTGGAACCACAGGCACGTGCCACCATGCCATGATAATTTTTTGTATTTTTGGTAGAGACAGGGTTTCACCATGATACCCAGGCCAGTCTCGAACTCCTGAGCTCAAGTGATCTGCCCGCCTCAACCTCCCAAAGTACAAACTTTTTAATTATTTTTAACTTTTTAACGCTTTTGTAGTAACACTTAGCTTAAAGCACAAACATTATACAGCTGTACAAAAATATTTTCTTTCTTTATATCCCTATTCTATAAGCTTTTTTCTGTTAACATTATTAATTTTACTTTTTAAACTTTTTGTTAAAAACTAAGACACAAACACATACATTATTAGCCTAGGCCTACACAGGCTCAGGATCATCACTATCACTGTCTTCCACCTCCACGTTTTGTCCCACTGGAAGTTCTTCAGGGGCAATAAAATGCATGGACCTGTCACCTACTGCGATAATAGTGCCTTCTGGAATACCTCCTGAAGGAACTGCCTGAGGCCATTTTACAGTTAACTTTATTTTTTATAAATAGAAGGAGTACACTCTAAGATGATGATAAAAAAATAGTATAAGATAGCATAGTATGGTATAGTGAATACATAAACCAGTAGCATAGTCATTTATTATCACCATCAAGTATTATGTACTGTACATAAATGTACGTGCTATAGTTTTAAACAACTGGCAGCACAGTAGATTTGTTTACACCAGCATCACCACAAACACATGAATAAAGCATTGCTCTACAACTTTATAACAGCTCTGACATCACTAGGGGATAGGAACTTTTCAGCTCCATTAAAATCTTCTGGGACCACTGTTGTATATGCTGTCCTTTATTGACTGAAATGTCATTATGCAGCACATGACTGTATTTTATGCTGATCATATCAAACATAGAGAATTGTGTTCTATTCTGGGTACCACACTTTAAGAAATAACACGAAAAGGATAGAGCATGTTTAAAGGATAGCACACAAAATGATAAGGGGACTAGAAACCAGGTAATATCAGGAATGTTTGAACAAACTGAGAATGCTCAATCTGAAGACACTTTCCGGGGTACAAGATAAGTTATCTTCAAATAGTTGAAGATGACATGCAGAAAAGGAGTTACATTTATTTAGCCCCAGTGGGTGTAATTATCTAGACAAATTTCTATTCCTTCCTGGTCTTGAATTTTTTTTTTAAGACAGGATCTCACTCTGTCACCCAAGCTGGAGCAATCAAGGCTCACTGCAGGCTCCACCTCCTAGGCTCAAGCGATCCTCCCACCTCTGGCTCCTGAGACTACTACAGGCATGCAACACCACATCCAGCTTTTTTTTTTTTTTTTTTTTTTTTGGTGAAGACAGGGTCTCTGTTGCCCAGGCTGGTCTCAAACTCATGGGCTCAAGTATTCCTCCCGCCTCAGCCTCCCAAAGTGCTGCGATTACAGGCGTGAGCCACCAGGCCTGGCCTTGGTCTTGAAAATTTATTGAGATTGGTGATACAAAAAAGACTGGTGTTATGTCAATTCTCCCTAAGAAGGAATGAACTATAGCCATTGCTAAAAGCCATTGGATAGGCTTTTATGCTCCATTTTTATAAAACTTGACTAAAAAGTTTATGTGTGCATAAGAGAAAACTCAAACAGCCAGTAAATCTATGAAAGTACACCAACTTCACTAGTTATCAGGAAAATATAAGTCAAAACAACACCCATGTAAGATGATAACATTTGGGAAAATGAAACTGCCTGAAGAGTATATGGGAACTCTCTGCACTATCTCTGCAACTTTTCTGTAAATCTAAAATTATTCCAAAGTAAAATGGTAAATAAAAATGACAACAGTCTTCAAAATTGTAAAATTTTAAAAGTCTGACAATATCAAATATTAGTAAGGATATGGGGAAAAGGGAGTTTGAATTAAGACCATTTTGGACAGCAATTTGGCAATATCTATAAAGTTAAAGATGCTCATAGCTTTTGACTCAGCAGTTACACTCCCAAATGTAAACTCTAGAACTGCACTGTCCAATATGGTAGCCACTAGCCACATGTGACTATTGAGCACTTGAAATGTGGCTGATCCAAAATGAGATGTGCTTTAAGTATAAAATACATGCCAGACTTCAAAGACTTTGTACCAAAAAATGTAGAATGTAAAATAACTTATTAATAATTTGTATATTGATTATGTTATAATAACATTTTTGATACACTGAGTTAAAAAAATTAGATCATTAAAATTATTTTCATCTGTTTAAACATTTTTAATATGACTACTAGAAAATATAAAATTTTTTGTTTTTGCACCATGTCAGTTGGACGGCACTGCCCTAGAGCCTCACCTACCAGTAGCTCAAGAAATAAATCAAGGCCGGGTGCAGTGGCTCAAGGCCAGGAGCAGTGGCTCTCACCTGTAATCCTAGCACTTTGGGAGGCCGAGGCGGGCAGATTGCCTGAGCTCAGGAGTTCCAGACCAGCCTGGGCAACACAGCGAAACCCCATCTCTACTAAACTACAAAAAATTAGCCAGGCGTGGCGGCATGCACCTGTAGCCCCAGCTACGCGGGAGGCTGAGTCGGAAGAATTGCTTGAACCCGGGAGGCGTGGAAGTTGCAGTGAGCCGAGATCGTGCCACTACACTCCAGCCTGGACGACAGAGTGAGACTCTGTCTCAAAAGAAAAAAAAAATCAGTCAATGTATTGAGGTAGTGAGTCATACCCAGCATTTCTTTTCAGTCAGACCTTTGCTGAATACCCAGCATTTTTTTAATGAGAAAAATAGAATAGAAAATATCATAGTGTACTGCATGTAATGAGGATAAAATTTTGTTTTATTAAACTTTTGACACAGTATGTATGTACTGGGATGTAATCAAAACATTTTCTTGCCATGAGTGGTAGTCAAAGATGTTTTTGAAAGTTTCTGTTAAACTCTCAGAAACACAGTGTTCGTTGTAGCATTGTTGTTTTTAACAGCAAATATTTGAAACCATTTTTATGTCCAACAAAGGAGACTGAATGAATAAATTGTGGTACATTTAGGTTCAATGAAATACTACTCATCAGCAGTGGAAATAAATGAACTAAAAGTATTCATATGGGTAAATATTAAAAACACAGCCTGGCACAGTGACTCACGCCTGTAATCCTAAGACTTTGGGAGGCTGAGGCAGGCAGATCACCTGAGGTCAGGAGTTTGAGACCAGCCTGGCCAACATGGTGAAACCCCGTTTCTACTAAAAATACAAAAAATTAGCCGGGCATGGTGGCACGTGCCTGTAATCCCAGCTACTCGAGAGGCTGAGGCAGGAGAATCGCTTGAACCTGGAAGGCAGAGGTTGCAGTGAGCCGAGGTCACACCATTGCACTCCAGCTTGGGCAACAAGAGCAAAACTCTGTCTCAAAAAAAAAAAAAAAAAAAAAAAAAAAAAAAAAAAAAATATATATATATATATATATATATATATATATATATATATATATCACAATGCTGAGCAAAAAAAGGAAAAAAGAAGACAAGCTGCAGGAAAAAGAAATATAAAATAACTATTTATATAAAATTTAAAAAGAAAAATGGTACATGTAATCTTTTAGTTCTTTGAAATATCTGAAGCATATGGCAAGCTTAAGATTTGACAAAACTCAGTGGTAGGTACACAGATGTTCATTATATTATTTTCTATACTTTTCTGTGTGATTCAAATATTTATGTAAATACAAAGTCTCAAATATTATCAACTTAAGAGTCATAATCCCTATTCCATCTTTATACCTTTAAGATATTTTATCCTAATTTAAAACTTAAAGTAGATAGTAGCAGGCTTTATTGTTATTGTTTTAAAATAACAAATATTGGCCTGGCATGGTGGCTCACACCTGTAATCCCAGCACTTTGGGAGGCCGAGGCAGGTGTATCAACTGAAGTCAGGAGTTCGAGACCAGCTTGACCGACATGGTGAAACCCTGTCTCTACTAAATGCAAAAAATTAGCCAGGCATGGTGGCGCGGGCCTGTAGTCCCAGCTACTTGGGAGGCTGAGGCAGAAGAATCGCTTGAACTCAGGAGGCAGAGGTTGCAGTGAGCCAAGATGGCACCACTGCACTCCAGCCTGGGCAACAAGAGCAAAACTGTCTCAACAAACAAACAAACAAAACAAGCAAACAAAAAAAAGTATTAACAAAATGTTGACCTAAACTTTTTAAAATCATAGATTTGTAGCCACATTTCTTACCACATATTTCATTATTATATGAATGTGAAGGTACCACAGGTCTCATTATTCCCCAAAAACAAAGATAGTACCACAAACTCTCCTATATCTAGCACAGTTGAGGAATCTGGTGTTCTGGTCAGTCAAATTGCTTTTGTTTATTGAGAGTTCCCATAAATAGCAAACATGGATTACCAATTTTCAAAAGAATTAAGACACAATAAAATGTACTTAAGTCTAAAACTACACAGGATATAATTTATTTTTCACGGATGATTATGGAAAGGAACTCCAAGATCTTGCAGTAATTTTTTAAACTTATTTTTATTGCAATAGATTTATCTTCCAGATTAAACGTTTTATTTTGCATGCCATAAAAATCCTGAAAAAAAAACAAGTTATGAATTGTGAATTCTGTCTCCCTACACTAGTTCATAAAAAGGTTCCCAATGTGTTAAAAATAGACATTGTTTCTGGTACATAAATGAGAAAACCTGGTGCTATGGACACTGCAGAAAGACAAAACTCAGAAACAAAATATTTAGATTTTTTTTTTTTTTTTTGAGACGGAGTCTCACTCTGTCGCCCAGGCTGGAGCGCAGTGGCGCAGTCTCTGCTCACTGCAAACTCTGCCTCCCAGGTTCAAGCGATTCTCTTGCCTCAGCCTCCTGAGTAGCTGGGATTACCACGCCCAACTAATTTTTGTATGTTTAGTAGAGACGCGGTTTCACCATGTTGGTCAGGCTGGTCTCGAGCCCCTGACCTCGTGATCCGCCCGCCTCGGCCTCCCAAAGTGCTGAGATTACAGGCGTGAGCCACCGCGCCCAGCAATATTTAGATCTTAAAGCAGCAGTTTGACACTATTTTGTACTACCACGTAGAGCTACGTACCTTTAAAGTCCATGGAAAAAAAATCATCATTGTCCATTTTTAAATCTCTGGCTCAAGCCTGTGAAATAATAACATATTTTAATACTCTGTTTTATCCTCTAGTTTCTCAACAAATTTCTTTCCAGTGAAATGTTTCCCGTTACTTGTTATCCAAAGGGAGAAAAAAAGGCTGAGTAAAGTTAAAAGCCCATGAAAGGGCTTTTGTGAGGGGCAGGGCCAGGCTGCCAAGTTACATAAAAGGGACCTTTTCTTACCATAAGTCTGCCTGGCAACGGGGGAAATGGAGCTGAGTGGTACCCTGTTATTGGTCTGGCTGGGTCTCGCTGCTTCTTCCTAATTGGCTCAAAATCCGCTTCCGCTACCAACCGCACATTCAAAGCATCCAATCACTCACGGTCCTTTTTCCCGCTCTGTGAGAACGCTAGCACCTTCAGTATCCTGCCCCCAACGGTCATGAACAGTCCTGCTTCAACGTAATTTAGGTCCTTCAGCATCTAAACAACAATAACTACTATCTCCGGTTTTCAGTGGCCCACCACAACTCCCCATACTCCTCCATCCTCATCAAAAAACATTACATTGCCCCCAACGGTCATCAACAGTCCCGCTTCAACGTAATTTAGGTCCTTTAGCATCTAAACTACAGTAACTACTATCTCCGGTTTTCAGTGGCCCACCACCGCTCCCCATACTCCTCAATCCTCGTCCAAAAACATTACATTTGCCCATCTTCGTTCGCCTTGAGAGCGACGAGCAGTTCTGTAGTACAAAGTCACTGCCTTAGGGCCGCTCTAAAAAGTTTTGGCCTAATGGCTATAATATATTCTTGCTAGTTATAAACTACCCAACTAACTTGTGCTTGAAGCCTATTCTACCCCTTCCTGCCCACTAAACCACTCACCTCAGCCGCAGCCACCAATGCCGCCCTGCTCTCTCCACAACCTCCGTCCACAGCGCACGAGGACGTTCAGAAAACTCCGCCCCCTAGCGACGCTAGCGGTGTCACGCTAGGCCACTAAAGCCACTCCCACTTGGCCTTTACGCTGTGTCACGGAGCCTAAGCCTTGCGACCCAGTCTAGACCTTAGATCCTGGGGATGCAGTTCAGAGAGTCAGTCACTTGGTGAGTTCAGGGTGAGAATAACTGAGAGTAAGCAAATATGATGTAATTCTGAAAGCATAAGACAATGAATTGAGGGAAAAGTGCAGATGGCCAGGATTACCAAAAGGAGAGCAGGACTTCACACACACAAAAAAAAGAACAGAAAAAGAAATAAAGCAAGTAGACATTGTTGATCACTGGTTATGCAAGAGTGGCAAAGGTCAGAAATAGCAGAAATATTAGAAGCTGAGGAGACTAGTCGAGGCCAGCCTGATCAACAAGCCAGACTGCACCTGAACCAAAAAAAAAAAAAAAAAATCCAGGTGTGGTGGCACACGCCTGTAGTTCCAGCTACTTGGGAGGCTGAGGTGGAAGGATCATTTGAGCCTGAGAGTTTAGGTCCAATAAGCCATGATCCCACCACTGCACTCCAGCCTGGGAGACAGCGAGATCATGTCTCTTAAAAATAAAAAATAAGTCGGGGGCAGTGGCTCACGCCTGTAATCCCAACACTTTGGGAGGCCAAGGCAGGCGGATCACCTGAGATCGGGTGCTCCAGACCAGCCTGACAAACATGGAGAAACCCCGTCTCTACTAAAAACACAAAATTAGCTGGGCGTGGTGGTGCATGCCTATAATGCCAGCTACTTGGGAGGTTGAGGCAGGAGGGAGAATCGCTTGAACCCGGGAGGCAGAGGTTGTGGTGAGCCGAGACATTGCACTCCAGCCTGGGCAACAAGAGCAAAACTCCGTCTCAAAAAATAAATAAATAAATAGGCCGAGCACGGTGGCTCACGCCTGTAATCCCAACACTTTCGGAGGCCGAGGCGGGTAGATCACCTGAGGTCGGGAGTTGGAGACCGGCCTGACCGACATGGCAAAACCCCGTCTCTACTAAAAAAAAAAATACAAAATTGGCTGGATGTGCTGGCGCATGCCTGTAACCAGCTACTCGGGAGGCTGAGGCAGGAGAATCGCTTGAACCCGGGAGGCAGAGGTTGCGGTGAGCCGAGATCGCGCCATTGCACTCCAGCCTGGGCAACAAGAGCGAAACTCCGTCTCAAAAAATAAATAAATAAACAGGCCCAGCGCGGTGGCTCACGCCTGTAATCCCAGCACTTTGGGAGGCTGACGCAGGCGGATCACCTGAGGTCGGGAGTTGGAGACCGGCCTGCCCAACATGAAGAAACTCCGTCTCTACTAAAAAATTACAAAATTAGCCAGGCGTGGTGACACATGTCTGTAACCAGCTACTCGGGAGGCTGAGGCAGGAGAATCTCTTGAACC
Organism: Homo sapiens; assembly: GCF_000001405.40. NCBI lineage: Eukaryota > Metazoa > Chordata > Mammalia > Primates > Hominidae > Homo > Homo sapiens. Next base: position 70,910,141 of record NC_000023.11, read on the forward strand.
TGGGAGGCGGAGGTTGCGGTGAGCCAAGATGGCACCATTGCACTTCAGCCTGGGCAACAAGAGCGAAACTCCGTCTCAAAAAAAATGAAAATAAAATAAATAAAAATAAAAAATAAAAATAAAAAAAGCCTTTTAGTTCCAAGACGTTTCTGTTGCCCTGCCTTTGTCCAATCATTAGGAAACTAGGAGACTCCCCTGCAGTCTCACAGCAAGCTCGCATGTCCCACCCATCTCCAAACCAAATGGCTTGAGGGGTGGAATATGTAAGTAAAAATTTGATTCCAGCTAAATCTAAGCATGATGCTAATCTCCACTCAGAGATAACAGTGTGAAAACATGATGCCTCCAGATTTGTAGACAAACACAGAATCAAAACATTAATAAGCCTCCCACTTCTTCCTATATACCCCTCTTTTAAGCCTTGTGCACCTCAGGCCAGATATGGAGCTGGCTAACAGGATAAAGAAGAGAGATTGTGGCTCCAGTTTCTGGGAACATTAACAGAGTTCCTTCCTGATCCTGAAAGTCTCAGAATCAGTCATTAGATCTCGTGGACAAGATGAGGTTACTAAAAGTAATTTATTTTCCCTCTTCAAAATTGTATCTAGATTGCATAGTACAATGAAGAAAAATGGGAAAACAGAAAGTACTGCTATTAATTCCTCTTCTTTTGCATCCTGCAGTTTGGTATGTCTTTATTTCATAACCCTCGATTGCCATATTAGGGAAAGAATTCTGGTGAAAAGGAGCAGTGGAGTATGCCACAGTTGACTGACTCTCCATGCACCATATACTGTGTGGCCTTGAGCCAGCTTTAAGAATCTTAGCATCTAAATTGGGCATGGTGATTCACACCTGTAATCCCAACACTTTGGGAAGCTGAGGCAGAAGGAATCCTTGAGCCCAGGAGTTCAAGACCAGCCTGGGCAACATAGTGAGACCTTGTCTCCATACAAAAAAAGATAATAATAATAATTAAAATTTAAAAAGAGGCTTAGTGCAGTGGCTCACACCTGTAATCCCAGCACTTTGGGAGGCCAGGGTGGGAGGATCACTTCAGCCCAGGAGTTTGAGACCAGCCTGGGCAAAACAATGAGACCACATCTCTAATTTTATTTATTTATTTATTTTTTGAAATGGAGTCTCGCTCTGTCACCCAGGCTGGAGTGCAATGGTGCGATCTCAGCTCACTGCAACCTCTGCCTCCTGGGTTCAAGAGATTATCCTGCCTCAGCCTCCTAAGTAGCTGGGATTACAGGCACCCGCCACAAAGCCCAGACAATTATGGTATTTTTAGTAGAGATGGGGTTTCACCATGTTAGTCAGGCTGGTTTCGAACTCCTGACCTCAGGTGATCCATCCGCCTCAGCCTCCCAAAGTGCTGGGATTACAGGTGTGAGCCACCGTGCCCAGCCTCTATTTAAAAAAATACGTATATATTAAAACAATCTTAGCACCTCAATTTCCTCATATGTACAATGGGAATAAAAGTAATTCTAGGCTTCTGGTTCAATAGAATAATGCACATAAAGCATCTAGAACAATGGGTGGCTGGCATATAGTAGTAGTCACTTAACAAATGTTAGTTCCCATTATCATTTCCCATTTCCTGGTTGACAAACTTCCTACTTCCATTATCCCACCTAAACCCCTGGTTCCACCATAGCTTCTTTGTTCATGGATGAACAGATGAACAAGTAAGGTGATAATTAGAACTCAGCTCTCAAGACTACAAGCAGCCCTTTCACATGCATCTTAGAGTTCTTAATGATTAATAACGTCTGCGGTAGAATGGATATTATACTATTCAGCATTATATAAGGCATATAGGAATCACATGATTCTATTGATGAATACCAGTTGTAAATATGACTCCAAAGTTAGGGCTACTGAGCTGACGCCAGTGCACTGAAAGGGCCAGTGAATAAAGGAAAATGTACGGAAAGGGTGAAAACCCTGATAATACATGGATATCTTCAAATTTTTTTTTGTTTGTTTTTATCCAGATGGCCTTCCTAGATGTTACAAGTAAATGAAAATTAAAAGAAACAGAAGAAAAAAGTAAAAGAGAGAGAAAAGGAGAGCAGATAAAAGAAGCAGGTACATATTGAGGTGGATAAGCAAGAGTGAGCAGTAAAATGCCATTAAGTAGCACTCAACATGCTGTGGATTATCTTCCTTTACCCTCCTAACATAAGCTATAAGTTTTCTGTCCTACCCTTTAACAAAATGTTACAGAAATGGTGAAATACATGGTACATAAGATGGTTGAACAGCTTGGACTCTAATGAGAGCCTATTAAAACTCTCATCAATAGAGTGGATTAAAAGACAGTTAGCAACCAAGAACACAAATTAGTTAATAAAGTAGCATTACGCCCTGTTAAAAGAAGAGAAAGACTTCCAGAATAAACATGCAATTACAGTCAGGAAAATTCTAAAAACAAAATCATTAATGGAGGGAGGAAGAGGAGCTTGTTCTTCCAGATATTAAAACTATTGCAAATAAAATTGTGTGGTAATAGTGCAGACAGATAAATGAACAGAATAGAGTCCAGAAACAGACCCAAATATACATAGAAATTATTGAAATCAGTGGGGCAAAGAATTATTCAAGAAAAAGTGTTGAAATGACTTTAGAGCCATTTGTTAAAAAAAAAAACTAGATCCTTACCTCTCATTTCATATACCAAAATAAATTCTACATTAATCAAAAATTAAATCCAATCATAAAATTTCTATTAAAAATAGGTGTGAATATCTTATAGCTTTATTAATATACTAAGACGTAGTAGTTTTTTTTTTTTAATTTTACCTAGTTGGCAAGATCTAAATATGATCTGGAAACCCAAATCAAAAAGGGAAAACAGTAAGTTTTACTGCATAAAAAATAACTCTTCTGAGTGGCACTATAAGCAAGGTTGAAAGACAAACCACAGACTAAAAAAAGATTTTTTCAACATATGTAACAGATAAAGACTTAACATCTCTAACATAAAAAGAGCTCTTCAAATTAAAAAGAAAAAGACAAATACTCTAGTAAATAAAAGCTCATAGGACATGATCAGACAAATTACACAGGAAGAGTACAACCAACAAACACATAAAAAGATACTCGGTTGGGCAAGAAGGCGCATGCCTGTAATCCCAGCACTTTGGCAGGCCGAGGTGGGAGGATTGCTTGAGTCCAGGAGCTTGAGACCAGCCTGGGGAATGTTGTGAGACTTCGTCTCTATGCAAAATTAGCCAGGCCTGGTGATGCACACTTGTAGTCCCAACTACTCTGGAGTTTGAGGTGAGAGGATTGCTTGAGCCCAGGAGGTGGAGGTTGCAGTGAGCAGAGAACACACCATTGCACTCCAGCCTGGGCGACAGAGTGACCCCTGGCTCAAATATTAATTAATTAATTAATTAAAAAATTTAAAAAAATAAAATAAAAAAGATACTCAACCTCACTAGTAATCGTAGAAATTCAAATTAAAGCAAGGTAAAATTTTCATCTATCTGATTGGCAAAAGTTAAAAAGATTAAGAAAACCTTAAATTTGTCAAAATATACAAAACAGGCACTCTTGGGCACTGTAAGTAGGAATACAAATTAAATTAATGCAACTTTCTGGAAGAAAGGCAGTTTGGCAATATATATCAAAATCTTAAATGTGTGTACCCTGTCACCCAACAATTACCCTTTTAGGATTTTTCCAAAAGAAGAAATTGGAAAAATTTGCAAAGACAGATTAACGGAAACATTCACTGAAGCATTGTAAACCACATAAATGTTCACCAGCAGACTACTGGTGAAGTTATACAACTACGTTAGTTGTATATGGAACATATATTATGGTTTGGAATACATATACAACCTTTAAAAACTGTTGTGATGGGCCGGGCACAGTGGCTCATGCCTGTAATCCCAGCACTTTGGGAGGCCGAGGCAGGTGAATCACCTGGGGTCAGGAGCTCCAGACCAGCCTGGCCAACATGGTGAAACCCTGTCTCTACTAAAAATAAAAAAATTAGCTGGGCATGGTGGTGGGTCCCTGTATTCCCAGCTACGAGGGAGGCTAAGGCAGGAGAATCGCTTGAACCTGAGAGGTGGAGGTTGCAGGGAGCCAAGATCGTGACACGCACTCCAGCCTGGGCGACAAAGAGAGACTCCATCTCAAAAAAAAAAAAAAAAGAAAGAAAGAGGAAGAAAAAGTAAAACTGTTGTGATGGTTCAAATCTGGGTGCCCCCTCAAAAAAAAAAAAAAAAAAGAATGGTTGCAGAAACAACCGGGCTTAATGCCTCACATCTATAACCCCAGCACTTTGGGAGACGGAGATAAGAGGGCCACTTGAGACCAGTCAACACTTTTTAATTCAGTGTTGACTAGCCTGGACAACAATTTATAACAATTTCATAGTTATAAAACTAGGGACATGTCTACATTCTACTGTTGAGATTTTAGAAGAAAAATGTTTTCAGAAAAGGTACGTATTTATGTAAAATCGAATGCATATTTAAACAAAAATGTCTGGAAGAGTATTTACCAAAATGTCAACAATGTTTATCTCTGAGTGGTGAGATTTGGGAGAATTTTACTTTATTTATATTTTTCAGTTTTTTGTTTTGTTTTGTTTTGTTTTGTTTTGCAAAGTCTTGCTCTGTTGCCCAGGTTGGAGTGCAATGGCACAATCTCGGCTCACTGCAACCTCCGCCTCCCAGGTTCAAGCGATTTTCCTGCCTCAGCTCCCCGAGTAGCTGGGACTACCGGCGCACGCCACCACGCCCAGCTAACTTTTTAAAAATTATTTTTAGTAGAGACGGGGTTTCACCATGTTGGCCAGGATGGTCTCAATCTCTTGACCTTGTGATCTGCCTGTCTCAGCCTCCCAAAGTGCTGGGATTACAGGCGTGAGCCACTGCGCCCAGCTGATTTTTGTTTTGTTTTGTTTTGTTTTGTTTTGTTTTTGAGACAGGGTCTCACTCTGTTGCCCAGGCTGTTGTGCAGTGGCACAATCTCAGCTCACTGCAACCTCCACCTCTCTGGTTCAAGTGATTCTCCTGCCTCAGCCTCGCAAGTAGCTAGGACTACAGGCATGCACCACCACACCCAGCTCATTTTTGTATTTTTGGTAGAGACGGAGTTTCACCATGTTGGCCAGGCTGGTCTTGAACTCTTGACCTCAGGGGATCCACCTGCCTTGGCCTCCCAAAGTGCTGGGATTACAGACATGAGCTACAGCACCCAGCCCCATTTTTCAGTGTTTTTAAATTTTCTACAATAAACACATATTTTTATCATTAGGGAGAAAAAGAGACACTATTTTCATTTTTTAAAACCCACAGGAAAATGAAGGAGTTCTTATCTGATGGGCATGCATTTTCTCAATAAAGTATGAGGCAAAGTCAACAGCAGAGAGTAGGAGGGAGAGATCTGAAGAATGTGAATAAGGTAAGTGAGTGGTTTTAGAGAGTTGGAGAATTAAGAGTAAAGGGGGATTTTTAGCTATGTTGAAGACCTAGTTGATTAAGCTTGACTATCATTAACCTGCCCATTGTGTGATTGCCTCCACCAATCCTGAACTATACAGGTTAAAGTATAAAGAAGATGAATGTGTGGATTCCTCCAGGAGGTGGGTGGAGGGGAACTATGGAGTATTGTGTAGGCAGTTGAAGGTATTTGCAAGAGTCATAATAATAAATTCAGGAATTTAAGTGAAAAAGGGAGCAAGCAAAGTTTGGAGGAGGCTGGGTGCAGTGGCTCATGCCTATAATCTCAATACTTTGGGAGGCCGAGGTGGGAGGATCACTTGAGCCCAGGAGTTCCAGACCAGCCTAGGCAACAGGTTTGTCTCATAAAAAGAAATTAGCCGGACATGGTGGCCAGTGCCTGTAGTCCCAACTACTTGGAAGGCTGAGGTGGAAGCATCTCTTGAGCCCAGGAGGTCGAGGCTGCAGTGAGCTGTGATCATGCCGCTGCACTCCAGCCTGGGTGACAGAGTGAGATCATGTCTCAAAAAAAAAACAACAACAACAACAAGGATTGGAGGAGTGATGAAAAGAGAGAAAGTGTGTGTGGTAGGAGGGGCAGTGAATTGGAGGCTTCATGAAGCCAGAGAATTGTAGTGGGGTTACTTGAGCCAGTGAGCTAGAAAAGCTTGGGAAGTTTTAGAAAGAAAACTTAATGTGGGGGTTTTTGGCTTATTTTTAATTGAAAAATAATAATTGTATATATTTATAGGATATAATGTGATGTTTCAATACACGTATATGTTGTGCAATGATCAAATCAGGGTAATTAGCATATCTGTCACCTCAAATATTTATCATTTCTTCACAGTAAGAACATTTAAAATCCTCTTTTAGCTATTTTGGAATATACATTAGTTGTTTGTTTGTTTGTTTGTTTGAGACAGGGTCTCACTCTATTGCCTAGGCTGGAGTGCAGTGGCACAATTACAGCTCACTGCAGCCTCCACCTCCCAGGCTCGGGTGATCCTCCTGCCTCAGGCTCCCAAGTAGCTGTGATCACAGAGGTGCACCACCGCACTCGACTAATTTTTTTTTTTCTAGAGACAGGGTCTCACTATGTTGCCCAGGTGGTCTCAAACTCCTGGGCTCAAACGACTCTCCCCACTTCACCTCCCAAAGTGCTGGAATTACAGGCATGAGCCACTGCACCTGGCCCACAATACATTATAATTGATGACAGTCATCTTGCTGTGCAATAGAACACCGTAACTTATTCCTGCTATCTAGCTATAACTTTGTACCCATTGGGCAATATCTCCCCTTTTACCATCCACCTCCCCACTCCCTCCAGCCTCTGGTAACCACCATTCTACCCTCTACTTCTACGAGTTTGACTTATTTAGATTCCACATATAGGTGAAATAATATGGTATTTGTCTTTCTGTGTCAGGTTTATTTCACCTCACTTAACATAATGTCATCTAGGTTCATCCATGTTGTAACGAATGACAGAATTTTCTCAAACTCCTGACCTCAATGATCCACCCACCTCGGTCTCCCAAAGTGCTGGGATTACAGATGTGAGCCACTGCACCCAGCCACAAATGACAGAATTTTATATATATATACTATATACATTTATAAATATATATAGTATATATATATTATAATATATAGTATATATATTATAATATATAATATATATATTATAATATATAATATATAATATATATATTATAATATATAATATATAATATATGTAGTGTATATATATTATATATACTATATATTATATATATTATATATTATATATTATATATATTATATATAATACATATTATATATAATATATATAATATATATAATAATATAATATATTATATATTATATATTATATAATATTATGTATATAATATATATTATATATTATATAATATATGTATTATATAATATATATTATATATATTATATATTATATAATATATGTATTATATAATATATATTATATATATTATATATTATATTATATTATATATATATATTTCATATATATATATATATATATTTTTGAGATGGAGTCTCACTCTGTTGCCCAGGCTGGAGTGCAGTGGCACAGTCTCAGCTCACTGCAACCTCTGCCTCCCAGGTTCAAGCGATTCTCCTGCCTCAGCCTCCCAAGTAGCTGGGATTACAGGCGCCTGCCACCACGCCCGGCTAATTTTTTGTATTTTCAGTAGAGACAGGGTTTCACCATGTTGGTCAAGCGGTCTTGAACTCCTGACCTCATGATCCGCCCACCATGGCCTCCCAAAGTGCTGGGATTACAGGCATGAGCCACCACGCCTGGCTGTATACCACATTTTTTAATCCATTCATCCCTTGATGGATACATAGATTGTTTCCATATCTTGGCTGTTGTGCATAATGCTGCAATGAACAAGGGAGTGCAAACATCTCTTCGGCATACCGATTTCAATTCCTTTGGGAATATCCCCAGTTGTGGAATTACTGGATTATATGGTAATTCTATTCTTAGTTTTTTGAGGAACTTTCATACTGTTTTCCAAAATAGCCATACTAATTTACAATACCACCAACAGTTTATAAGCGTTCTCTTTTCTCTACTTCCTCGCCAGTATTTATCTTTCACCTTTTTAATAATAGACAATCTAACAGGAGTGACATAAAATATCTCCTTGTGCTTTTAATTTGCATTTCTCTGATGATTAGAGATGTTGAATTGCTTCTTGGCCTTTTGGCTAAGATCATGGGTATGTTATCTCTTTTGTTTGTTTTGTTTTGTTTTGTTTTGTTTTGTTTTGTTCTGGGGTTTTTGTTGTTGTTGTTTGAGGCAGGTTCTCACTCTGTCACCCAGGCTGGAGTGCAGTGGCGCAATCATAGCTCACTGCAGCCTCGGCCTCCTGGTCTCAAGCAGTCTTCCCACCTCAGCCTCCCAAGTAACTGGGACCACAGGCATGTACCACCACGCCCAGCTAATTTTTTTTTCTTTTTTTTTGGTGGAGACAGAGTCTCCCTATGTTGCTCAGGCTGGTCTGGGCTGAAGAGATCCTCTGGCCTCGCACTCCCAACCTGCTGGGATTACAGATGTGGGCCATCACACTCAGCCTGTATGACTTCTTTTGAGAAATATGCTTTGCCCACTTTTAATAGAGTTGTTTGTTTTCTTATTATTAAGCAGTTGGAGCTCCTTGTATATTTTAGATATTAGCCCCTTACCCAATGTATAATTTGCAAATATTTTTTCCAGTTCATGGGTTGTCTCCACTCTAGTGCAGTTTTTTTAGTTTGAGGCAATCCCATTTGCTTTTCTTTTTTTTTTTTTTTTTTGAGACGGAGTCTGCTCTGTCGCCCAGGCTGCATGCAGTGGTGCGATCTCGGCTCACTGCAGCCTCCACCTCCCAGGTTCAAGCGATTCTCCTGCCTCAGCCTCCTGAGAAGCTGGGATTACAGGCATGCCCCACCATGCCAGGCTAGTTTTTTTTTTGTATTTTTAATAGAGACGGGGTTTCACCATATTGGTCAGGCTGGTCTCGAACTCCTGACCTCTTGATCTGCCAGCCTCAGCCTCCCAAAGTTCTGGGATTACAGGTATGAGCCACCGTGCCTGGCCCCCATTTGCTTTTGTTGTCTGTGCTTTTGAGGTCATATCAAAAAAATCTCTGCCCAGACTAATGTCATGGAACTTTTCCTCTGTTTTCTTCTGGTAGTTTTAATTTTGCTTCTTTTCTTTTCTTTTCTTCTCTTTTCTTTTCTTTTTTTTTTTTTTTAAGACAGAGTCTCGCTCTGTCATCCAGACCGGAGTGCAGCAGCGCAATCTTGGCTCACTGCAACCTCTGCATCCTGGGTTCAAGTGATTCTCATGCCTCAGCCTCTCAAGTAGCTGGGATTAGAGGTGTGCGCCACCATGCCTGGCTAATTTTTGTATTTTTAGTAGCAATGGGGTTTCACCATGTTGGCCAGGCTGGTCTCAAACTCCTGACCTCAGGTAATCTGTCTGCCTCAGCCTCCCAAAGTGCTGAAATTACAGGCATGAGCCACTGGGCCCAGACAAATTTTATAATTTTAAGCCTTACATTTAAGTCTTTAATCCATTTTGAGTTGATTCTTATATAACGGATGAGATAACGGTCCATTTTTACTCTTCTGTATGTAGATATCCAGTTTTCTCAACTCAATTTATTAAAGAGACTGCCCTTTCCCCTTTTTGTGTTCTTGGTACCTGTTGCAAATTAATTCACCATAGATTTGTGGGTTTATTTCTGGGCTCTCTATCTAATTCCACTGGTCAATGCATCTGTTTTTATCCTAATATCATGCTGCTTGATTACTGCTATAGTTTGGATGCCTTTCTCTTCCAAATCCCTTTTTTTTTTTTTTTTTTGAGACAAAGTCTTGCTCTGTCGCCCAGGCTGGGGTGCAATGGTGCGATCTCAGCTTACTGCAACCTCTGTCTCCTGGGTTCAAGCGATTTTCTTGCCTCAGCCTCCTGAGTAGCTGGAATTACAGATGTGTGTCACCACACCCGCTAATTTTGTATTTTTAGCAGAGATGGGGTTTCACCATGTTGGCCAGGCTGGTCTTGAACTTCTGACCTCAGGTGATCCTCTTGCCTCAGCCTCCCAAAATGCTGGGATTACAGGCTTGAGCCACCACGCTCAGCCTCTCCTCCAAATCTAATGTTGAAATTTGATCCCCGGTGTTGGAGATGGGGCCTAATGGGAGGTGTCTGGGTAATGAGGGCAGATCCCTCATGAATAGATTATTGCCCTCCTTCCGGAATGTGGGGGAAATGAGTTCTTTATTACTTCCCAGGATAGCTGGTTGCTAAAAACAACTTAGCATCTCCCCTCACTCCTCTTGCTTCCTTTCACCATGTGATCTCTGCACGTGTAGGCTCCCCTTCTGCCAAGAGTGGAAGCAGCCCGAGGTTCCTACCAGATGCCAAATCTTGAACTTTTCCAAGCAAGATAATTACTATAGCTTTGTAATATATTTTGAAATGCAGTAGAGTGATGCCTCCAGCTTTGTTCTTTTTGGTAAAAAGATTACTTTGGCTACTCAGGATCTTTTGTGCAGAATTTAATGTTTCAATTAGTAATTTCAGAGGCCCGCGTTCTTGCAAGATCTAGGCTATGAGTACATAACAAGGTAGCAGAGGTGGAAGGAATTATATGATCAAATCACAGAACCACTGCCTCCTTCACCTATCTTAACACTCATCCAAACACTTATTGCCATTCAATTGCAGGCCCTCGAATTAATGGTCCTCAAGAGTCTCACTGGAAGGCCGGGTGAGGTGGCTCACGCCTGTAATCCCAGCATTTTGGGAGGCTAAGGCGGGCAAATCACTTGAGGTCAGGAGTTCGAGACCAGCCTGGCCAACATGGCAAAACCCCGTCTCTACTAAAAATACAAAAATTAGCCTGGCAAGGTGGCACACACCTGTAATCCCAGCTACTCAGGAGGCTGAGGCAGGAGAATCACTTGAGCCTGGAAGGCGGAGGTTGCAGTGAGCTGAGATTGCACCACTGCACTCCAACCTGAGCGACAGATCGAGACTCCAGTCAAAAAAAAAAAAAAAAAAAAAAGAGTCTCACTGGAACCTACCTTTTCTGCCTTATTTTTCCACTTCATCCCTTCAAAATCCTAGGCTCCAGGCAAGATGAATTATAAGCTTTCCCATCTTTTTGCCTTTGTACACAAGATTCCATCCTCCTGGATGCTGTCACTCCAATTCACTAAATTACACATTTTACCTATTCTTTAAGCTTTAGCTTAAAAGCCTTGACCTCTGTGAAGCCTTCCCAGAACTACTTGCAAGAACTCCGTCATGTGAATTCTCATGATACTTCATGCATACCTCTCTTAAGGCATTTATTATTTCCTATTTTGTGTCTTTGTACTTATTTGATTCAATGTGATCTCTCTCTTCTTGTGGAGATTAAGATTAGACCATGCCTAAAGCAATTTTCAATTCCATCTTCAAGCATGGTACCCAACTGTATGAATGTTTCCAAAGTGTGGTATGTGTGATTATTTTACACAGCCAAACATTTTTTAATAGTGAGATATTTCTTTAAATGTATATTAGAAAAATATTAAATACTTTTTTTTACTTATGATCATGGTAAAATGTTTTCCTTTTAAAATAAGTATATTTAAGCTTTAAAATATGGTTTTTTTTTAATACTCAGTACAGGAACTACACAGGTAGAGAAAAATTCATGAAGGTTATACTCAGATATCTGAAACACTGCACTGAATGGAAACTGACTAGAGAACCAAATCACAGAACCACTTCCTCCTTCACATGAGAGTTATCTAAACAGCAGTACCAGGATGTATCAGTGCTCCCTATTGACAATCTTCTTTAAGTATATAAATGCAAGAATCACCCACCTTAAAAAAAAAAAAAACTCTCCTTCAATTCCCTCCAGCTACTGCCTGAAATGCTAACCTATAGCCCCTTGTGTCCACTTCCTCACCCTCTATTCACTCAACCCACTGCAGCACAGCTTCCACCCCCAGCACCTGACATTTGAAATGAGCAACTATCTCCTAACCGACAAAAACCAGTGAACCCTGTTCTGTCCTTATCTTATTTAACTCGGCTCTCTAGGCAGCATTTGGCATTGTGGACTTGGGGCATTGCCTATTCATTGTTCCTGAAAAGTTCTTTCCTCCGTAGACTTCCACACACTCTCCTGTCTTTTCAGTCATCCCTTCTTCAACTCCTTTATTGAATCCCCCTCCTTTGTCTATCCCTTAAATGTTAGAGTTTCCCTAATCTTTTACTATTAAGATCATCATAAAAGGAATGAAAATAGTAATGTTTGCACACAGTAAAAAAAAAAAAAGGAAAAAAGGAAAAAGTACAGAAGAGAAACCGGAGGTTAACAGTTTCTTATATATATATATTTTTCCAGAAAAAAAAAATGATGTGTAAGTACATTCTCTTTTGTTCTTTCACAAATATTCTGCACCTTGTGACTTGAGTTTTGTTTTCATTTTTACTTAACAGAGTATCTTGAAGGTCTTTTGTATCACCTATTGGCACATACAATTCTCTTATTCTCTTAATGGCTGCTTAAGTATTCCCCAAATTAATGTATTGGAACTAATTTAACTAGTTTCTTGCTGATGCACATTAGCTAGCTTCCAAGTTTTATGCTGTTATTAGCAATGCCACAGTAAACACCCTTATACACATGTAAATTTTTAAAATGTTTATACATATGTAAATTTTTAAAATTCCTATAATTTTTTAAATTCCTATAAAAGTAAACATCCTTCCCAGCTACTGGAGAGGCTGAGGTGGGAAGATCTCTTGGATCTCAGGAGTTCCAGGCTGCATTGAGCTGTGATTGCACCACTGCACTCCAGCCTGGGTAACAGAATGAGACCCGGTCTCAAAAAAAAAAGAAAAAGAAAAGTAAACATCCTTGTACGTATGTAAATTTTTTCTATACATATGTAAATTTTAAAATTCAGGTGGTGGGGTGGAATTGTCAGACGAAAAGGAACGTGTTTTTAATTCTTATCATCAAATTGCCCTCCACAAAACTTAACAAGAATGTACAGCACCATCATGCATGAGACTGCCTGTTTACCCTCACTTTTGCCTCACTTTCTTTATTGCCTCACTTTTGCCTAGTCATCTAAATTTGTTTGTCAGTCTGTAAGGTAAGAACTAACACCTCATGTTTGTTTTCATTCGTACTTCTTTAATAGTGAAGTTGAGCATGCCTCTTCTATTTGTTGGTGTTTTATATTCTTTTCTGAAAACTATTTACATCCTTTGCTAATTTTTCTATCAGGTTGTTCACTTCTTTCCTATTGATCTGTAAGAGCTGTTTGTGTATAAAGGAAATTATACAATTTGTGCCGCAAAATATATTTTTTCTTTTGATTTAGTTTATTTTGCCCGAAGGTCATCTTTGGCCCCACACAGATTCTATCACATTATATTTGTCCTCTGAGTTGTTGACTCCTAAATCTATAACTTTAGCCCAGACCTCTATCCTAGCTCCAAATTTCAACTGCAGGACTGTATATCTTCATCTATATATGAAGCTAAAAGCACATGTATGTTTATAAACTCATCATACCTGGAACTGAATTATTATTTTCCAAATATTCTTTTCCTCTTATGCTCCCTTATATTAGTTAATGGTTTGATCATTCACCTAGAAACTTTACCTGGATGTCACTCACTTCTTTTTTACCCCCTGCATTCAACTGATCAAAATTCTGAAATATTTTGCCCAAATGACTGCAGTCAGTTACTACTAGCAATGTTGCATAGTGGTTAGAGTATAAGCTGCAGAGTCAAACAAAACTGGGCTTCTTTCCTGGCTCTGACCTTTCTACATTATGTGACCTAAAGCGTATTTCTCACCTAAAGCCTGTTTCTTCATCTGCAAAAAATAACTATCTTAACATCTATTTCACAGGGTTATTGAAAAGACTTAATGAGATTGTATGCAGAGTAATGGAATATAATAAATGCTCAATAAATGGTAGCTATTATCTTCCTGCTCTAGCTTGTCCCACTCACTTCCAAGCCATCTTCCTTGCTGCTGCCAGACTCACACTCACAAATCCAACCATCCCCCTGCTTAGAGTTGTCCAGTGACTCCCCACCTTTTTTTTTTTCTTTTTTGAAACAGAGTCTCACTCTGTCACCCAGGCAGAAGTACAGTGGCACTATCACAGCTCACTACAGACTCAACTTCCCAGGCTCAAGGGATCCCTTCCACCTCAGCCTCCTGAGTAGCTGGGACTATAGATGTGCACCACCACGTCCAGCTAATTTTTTCTATTTTTTTGTAGAAACAGGGTCTCACTATATTGCCCAGGTTGGCCTGCAACTCCTGAGCTCAAGCGATCCGGCCACCTCAGCCTCCCAGTGTTGGGATTACAGGCGTGAGCCACCGCACCTGGCCTTCCCACTTCTTTTTCTCTGCACACACACTTATAACATCTAAATTCCTTAGTATACAAGGCCATGTATACAGCCTTTTATCTTTTACCACAGCTGCATATGTGCTACCCTCCAGCTACATTAAACTGTATGCCACACCCCAAACACAATTTGAATGTTTTTTCATACTTCCGTGGTTTCTTGCACACTGTACACTGACAGCCAAGCCCTTCCCTCAGTCCACTTCTTAAGCATCTACTGCAGACTCAGTTCAAGCATGTCCTTCTTTGTGCTTCCACAGCACTCTGCACTGCCCTGGTACAAATCACACTGTTTTGTAGTCATATTTACCTGCTTGTCTCCTCCACAAGATTGTGAGTTCCTTAAGGGTGGGGATTATGTTTTATTCACATTTGTATCCCCAGCACCCACCACAGGACCTAACGTTTTATAGGAGCTTCACCTATGTTTGTTGAATAAATGGATGAATGAATAGTTCTCGTTCTGAGCAGAGCTCTGACCTCTATTTTCCTACTACTTCTGCAGCAAACAGTATCCATATATTAATATATGTGGTCCCTTACCAAACCCCCTGACTATCCACCCCTCCTCCCAGCAGTGCCAAACACCGCAGCCAAAATTTCTGATGCTCAGGCAGTTACAGGAGTGTGGGACTGGTCCAACTAGAAGAGGTGGAACAGAAGCCAATAGTTTCAGTGTAGGCCCTAACCAATGTCAGTGTTGCTATCAGAGTCCACCCCAAATCCCAGAGACAAGTGTTGCTGTCTACTTATCCAGAACCTAACCTTAAGTGTAATGAGGGGAAAACATATCTCAAGACCATTCCTTTAAGTGTGACTGGACTGGATGGCTACCTACTTACACCACCCTCCTCAAACCCTGATTCAACAAGAAGCACCCACAGGCACAGCAGATGCTTTTGTGGTAACTGAAGAAAACACAAAGGACACTTCTCTGAGGCTCTTCACTCTTAAAAGTCAGGCTCTACATCTTTAGCAAGCAAAAAACAGGACACAGTTTATTTTTCTACTTTCTTTTAATATCATTTTTTAAAGTTGGTAAGCAGCTAGACATCATTTAGAAGCAGACGGGTTAAAATAGACAAGAAATAGCAAAGACACATCCTTCACATCGTACAGAACTGTATTAGTATCCACCACCACCATCACAGGGGAGGGCTAGCTGTCACTGGGGTCAGGAGTACTCTCCATTATTGTGCAGGGGACCAGACAGCATTTAGGTGTGACGATGTCAAACTGAGTGGACATAGAGAGTGCCGGGATCAAGGTCTACAGTTTTGGCTCTAGACTTGCGTGAGGGTTGGTTACTCTTAATCTCTTCCAGGCTGTGCTGGATCCCATAGCCGAAGTAGATAGCAAAGCCTAGTGGGGAAAGGTAGCTGTGAGGTGGGGGTGTAAAGGCTTCATAGGTTTCCTACTTGAGACCAAGAGGGAAAGGAGCTGGGCTAGGACACCAAAGAAGCCTACTCTTCCCAAGTGGATACCTACCAATCAGCATCCAGACCCCAAATCGGGCCCAGGTACCAGCTGTCATCTGCATCATAAGGTAAATATTCACAAAGATGCTCATTAGTGGGAGGAGAGGCAAAGCAGGCACCTGAAAACAAAGTAAAATCTTCTTTGTACATACCACAGGTTGACCTAGAAAGAGATCCCTATCCTATGCAGGCCAGAAAAGGGTGAGTCCAACTCTTACTTGTCCTCTGCATTTCAGTAGCTGCTCATTTAGCATACCTCATGAGACTCCAAGAATATGCAGTTTGGGTAAATGGAACTGGAAAGGAACTAAAGAGGGTCAGAGAAGAAGTCTTTGGCCTAGGTACCTCCTATATCTTCCCTTTCATGTTCAATTAAAGAATATCTATGAACTTTATTAGACCTCAAGATATCTGGAGCCTATTCTCCCAAGATGGGCTGGCAAGGAAAAAAGACAGAGTTCATTTACCTTAAAGTGAAGGGGAGTGGAACTCTGTGGCTGTCTCCAGATGACCACAATGATCCCAATAATGAGCAGCAGGAGCAGCACAACCACTGCAGTCCACAGCAGGTCTCCAGAAAGCAATGGAACTGACCACTGGGCCAGCACCAGGCAAAGAGCAGTCAGCAGGACAGCTTCAAAGGTCAAGTTGAGAGACATCAAAACCAACTCTTAAGACCAACATGCTAAGACATTAGAAACCCTGTTCCAAGGAGAGTCGCTCTCTCTCTAGTTCTTCCTCAGCCACCAAATGCCACACACTTCGACCCAATCACGCTGATCTCAGAGCCACCCCAGAAAAATTCCACTGCTCACCAAGCAATGAGGAACAAACATAGACAATTTGGCCAGAGAGTGGAGTGGGGATGGAGTTGAGTGGGAAAAATAGTCCCCATAGGGTCAACTTCTCTGATTCAGTAGTTATTGCCTCCTCCTGCAACTCCACTTCTTCCCCAGTCTTTGTCTCCTGATCAGGTTGATACCTGAGGCAAAAGTAAGATGGCAGTATTAAGAACAACCTTTACTCACTTTATCATCTTCTCCCAGGCAGCTTAACCTTCCTCATCACCATTAAGGGAAGTTCTTTTTGGCAGGGTGAGATACCCAGATTCCTCAAAGAAAGTTGGAATAATGAAGGCGAAGGAGGAAAGAGGAGCAGATCTCCATCATTCCTCATCCAAGAATAAAAATCCAAATCACAGTATGCAGAGGAAGAGTCTCACCTGAGGATGAGAACACAAATCGACACCAGGGAGTAAGCAAGCAGGGTCCCAATTGACATGAGGTCCACAAGATCAGTGAGTTTGAAGAGGAATGCCATGAATGCTAAAATTAATAGGCAGGAAACAAGAAATGAGAGAAGGGAGTGGCAAAGTTAAAGAAGTTGGCGAAACAACTAAGGGAAGGGGAAAGAGGGTCTGTTACCTGCAATAATGCCAGAGACCACGGTGGCTATGATTGGGGTGCGTGTGCCGGTGTGGATCCGAGCAAGTACACGGAACAGGAGGCCATCCTCTGCCATCGCGTAGATCACCCGAGGCATGGGGAACATGGAGCCCAGGAGGCTGGAGAGGAGAATGCCCAGGGTGGCATGAGTTGACTGGGATCTCTCTTCCCAAGACTGTATGTTTAAAGAGTCTCCACTTTCCCCTCACAGCCCTTTTAAGGGGTATTCTCTGGTACTGAATGCTATAACCTGAGACTCTGACAGCAGAAGAAAACAAACATTTGATACTGACCTGGTAGAAAGAGCACAGAGGGAGCCAACAGCCACAACATAGCGGGCAGGAGCCCATCCAATGTAGAGAAATGCCTCAGGCAAAGGGCTCTCAGGCTGAAGCTGGTAGTAAGGCATCATCAGGGTGAGTGCAGAAGAGACAGCAAAATACGCCAAAAAGCAGACAGACAGTGAGATCACAATGCCCATCGGGATGGAACGCTGGGGATTCTGGGCTTCTTCTCCTGAAGGAAGGGCGTAAGGTTCTAAATTAGGGAAGCAGGCCCACTCCTCTACCACCCCCAGTCTGCATACAGCCTGGGCACACACTGTGCCCAAGCCCCAAACAGAATGGAATGACTGTGTTACCAGTGGTAGCAATACAGTCGAAACCAACAAATGCATAGAAACAGGTCGCTGCTCCACGGAGAATTCCCTCGAAGCCGAAAGGCACAAATCCTCCAGAGCCCAGAGGACCCAAGCTAGAGTGGAAGAAGGGTTGGAGAAGGTAAGGGTGTGTTCAGCCAACTCTGTATCTTTTCTCTAATGCCAAACCAGTTAGCTAGGTCTTCAAAGCCCAGCCTCCCATTTTTTCCCATCCCCATCCAGAATCCTTCAGCAGATCCCCTTCTTCCCCTTCATTTTCCCAGCTCTGCAGCTCCTAAGAGTGACCATCTAACCTATAGGTGTCATTGAGTTCAGCCATGGCCAATTCGTAGTCCTCTTCTGTGAGCTTCCAGTTGTGCACGTCCCCCTTAACGAAGCCAGAGATCATGACGAACCCAAGAACCAAAAGGTTCACGCCTGTGAACACTTTGGTAACCAGGGCCGACTCACTAGCCCCGAGAGCCAACAATCCTGTGGGAGAAATGCATTCAGGACTCCCAGAAAGTCTTCAGTCCAAGCTTTGTTTCCCTGCCTCTAGGTTCCTTCCCAGCTTTTCTTCTTCCCCACCATTATCACCTCCCTTAAGCCTTTCTCAGGCCCATCCCCCATCCTTATCCCTGGCCCCAAGGACTAGCCCCTCCTGGCCCAACCCCCACCATTATACCCTGCTCTTTGCCTCACCAGTGAGCAGCAACACGAGGCCCAAAGCAAAGAAATCTGGATATTCTGCAAGGACATGGGGCACGTGCAGTGCAATGGACCCCTGCAGAGTCTTAGAGATGTGGTTCCCAATCAGGTTGTCAAAAGCAGAGCTCCAGGCCCGGGCCACACTGGCTGTACCTGGTGTAGCAGAGAGAGAAACATGTGGCCAAGTTCCCTTCTTCCCAGACCCCAGGCTCACACAAGTCCCTGCCTTTTTCACCTATTCTTACTTTTGTTTTGTTTTGAGACCAAGTCTCACTCTGTCACCCAGGATGGAGTGCAGTGGCACAATCTCCTCTCCCTGCAACCTCTGCCTCCTAGGTTCAAGAGATTCTCCTGCCTCAACCTCCTGAGTAGTTGGGACTACAGGTGTAAGCCACCCTGCGCGGCTAACTTTTGTATTTTTAGTAGAGACAGGGTTTCACCAGGTTGGCCAGGCTGGTCTTGAACTCCTGACCTCAGGTGATCTGTCTGCCTCGGCTTCCCAAAGTGTTGGGATTATAGGCGTGAGCCACTGCACCTGGCCTATTATTACTTTTTAAGAACCAAAACCATTCACTTAATTAAGGAAACCAGGACGGAGATGGATAGAATGAGCAATTTCTCCACACCTTCAACACCCCCCCCCAGACCCCCAGCAAACCCGCACATTTAGGGAGATTGAGGTCCTGTGAATAATATAAAGAATACTTCCACCCAGATTTCCTGACCAAAAACCCCTTTGCTGGCTGTGCAGTTCCCTCCCTCCCCCACCATATCTCACCAATGACATAGGAGAGGATGAGGTTCCAGCCAGTGGTGAAGGCCCAGAGTTCACCCACAGTGACATAGCTGTAGAGATATGCCGAACCAGAACGGGGAACCCGGGCACCAAACTCCGCATAGCACAGCCCAGCCAACACAGAAGACAGGGCAGCCACCAAAAAGCAGATCACAATGGATGGCCCTGCTTTATCTTTGGCCACCTCGCCAGCTAGGACATACACGCCTGCACCCAATGTGCTGCCCACACCCAGGGCCACTAAATCCAGGGTGCTTAGGCATCTGGCAAGGCGAGTCTCAGCCATGCCTGACTCCAGTGTACGTCTGCGTACCAGCTTTTGACCAAATCTGCGAAATGCTTGCCACGGCATCCTAGCAGGAATTGAAGAAGATGATCTGGTGAAAAACAAGACAAAAACCCCTCGACAGGGCTCATTATCCCTAAACTCTGAAAGCGAATTACAAGACCCCCTCCACCAAGCAAAGGAGCTATTGGGAAATGAGGACGGGGATATGGAAGGGACAAAGGCAAGTCACTTTACCTCTAACCTCAGTTTCTTCATAAACAAGTAGGAATTACAATACCTTACAAGGTTTTTGGAAGGGCTAATTTCAGAAATGGCACGTGAAAGCCCCCTGAAGTAGAGTGGCTGGCGCCTAGTAAGTGCTCAATCAATATTAGGTCTCTTTCTCTTGCCAGAAACTGATAGGGTTTATCCTAATCTCAACCCAGGAATCTTGAAACCTAATGTGTCAGTTCCTTGGCCTGTGGCTATTTGGGAATTAAACAGAGCTCCACCCAGGGGCTTCCCCCGGGGCTTCAAACAGACACAGCCCCCAGACCCCCCAGAGGGAGAGGGGACCAACCTCGCTGCAGATTAAAAGTGAGCACCGACTCAATTCCATCCCTCCTCACCAAGCCCACACTGCTCAACTAGCGCAGCTGTCGCCCAGGGGAGTAAGCAAATGTTCCCCTACTTCCTCCCAAGCCCTGCTAGGCTGACCTGCAAGCATCAACAGCGAGGCGGGGCTTCGACATCTAAAGATTTGGAGATGCGCCCCCAGAGGGGCCCCAGGGCAGCCCGAGATTGCTCGCACTCTCCTCTCAGCAGAGAGGAAGGGTTCCACCCGATGCCCCCCGACTCAGGTCCCAGATTTTCCTGCCCCCATCTAGAAATGGTTTGGAGCTGGGGTGGAGACGGGAGCCCTAACTCCCGGGGCGGGGGTCTCGCCAGCAACAGGTCACGGCCCCGTTGATGCAACTGCATGCCATGGTTGCCAGAGAATCCTAGGTACGCCCGGACCCTCGCCGTCCCCCCTCCGACACACGTGTGGGTCCCCAACGCTTACCAGAGAGCTGTTGCAAACCTAGGGAGCACAGAGTCTTGGACTGGGCTCGGTGAGGCGGAGTTAAGCCGAGTTGGGTTGGAGCTGCCGAGTTCGGCCGCTCAGGCTTCAAAGCTGCGGCTTGGGGTCGTTGCGCGCCAAGCGCCCCTTATATACACCAGGAGGCGGAGCCGGTAACGTCATGGGATCCCACCCCCAATCCTCCTCGCTACACACAATACACACACACACACACACACACACACACACACACACACACAACACACACACTTCTTGGCTTTGCAAAAGGATTGCGTGGGGCCTGAGACTGCGTCCCATCCTCACTAGCAAGCCTGGCGTGCCGGGGAGCGAGAAAAGGGGGAGGGCAGTCTTTTCCCATTTGTCTCGCTGGTCGTCAGAACAGGACAATAAGAGGCTTCCTGGCCAAAGAACCCATGAGATTTTCCACCTCTGTGCCCTGTTAGGACCAGTGATTCTGGGCAGGAATGGGGAAGGTAGGTGGGGTGTGATGGGGGGGAGTTGGGTGCGTGTGTGTGTGTGTGTGTG
Organism: Homo sapiens; assembly: GCF_000001405.40. Taxonomy (NCBI): domain Eukaryota; kingdom Metazoa; phylum Chordata; class Mammalia; order Primates; family Hominidae; genus Homo; species Homo sapiens. Next base: position 70,931,520 of record NC_000023.11, read on the forward strand.
TGTGTGTGTGTGTGTGTGTGTCAGGAGTGAAGCGGAACACAGCAGGGGAGTCTCCACCTCACTCTCAGTCTTTCTTCCTTAGCTTTCTTGTCTACACATCTGACCCTGACCCTTCAGCTCTCACGCTCAGCTGTGGGTGTTTCTAATGCAGGCAGCAGGAGAATGGAAGATGATTTCAAGCCACCTGTATACAGATAATTAATCCAGTCTAAATTGATTTATAGGCCCCAATCTCTCTATAATGTGTCTCCAGCTGCCTATAAATATTAAACTATTAAATGTGAAATTCTGACAATACCAACATCTTGGAGGAGGAAGCTTGTTTAGTTCCATTTTATTGATGTGTAAGCTGAGGCTCAGAGGCATGACTTGTTTGACACCACACCATAATTATTGTTGACCACCTTTGATAAAACCTGGCCTGTTGGACTTCAATGCCTGCCTCCCGTAGGCACCATATCTTATTCAAATGAACAAGAAGAGGGATGTGGCCACAAGGAAAGACAAACAGGGAGAGGCATCAGCAGCAGGGTAGGTCCGTTTAGGCTAGGAGATACTAGGAAACAGAAAAGGACCCGAAGAATCTACGAATGATCACATTGGGTCAGATCCATAATCCATCTGACCCAATCAATTCTTACTCATAAGAAAGCACCAAAGGTTGTGAAAGTGTGGTCCCTGCTCCACCAAGACATCTTGGGGACTAAGGATGGACTCAAATATCCTTGCTTCTTTTAATGATCCATGATGAATATATTACCCATGAATCTAAAATCTAAATCCGTTCTGAAAGAATTGGTATTTTCAACCAGCTGCAGCTCCATTTGGCATTCATTAAGTATTTATTGAGCATTTATTGAGCACTATGTGTAGTAGCTGGTACAGCAATGAAGAGACTATGAAGGAAACATAAAATAAAATCCTTGCCCTCCTAGTCCTAATCTAACTAGGGAAAGAAAACACACACTATACAACTGAAACCTTATTACATAGACGTTAGGAGTGCTGTGTTTGGAATTGCACCTAGGTTAAACTCACAGCTCAGCCACTGTGGATTACCTAACATCCCTGAGCCTCAGTTTCTGGACATAATATACATATTTCACAAGGTTGTTGTGATGCTTAGATGAGATTATGAAGTCAAGTCTTCCTGCCTGGCACATGGAAAGTACTCAAGAAAAACTTGATACATATTTGGAACGATATATTAGTGTATATGATCTGGTTGCTTAGATTAGGTGATTGATTGGATTATGAGATTGATTATTTATCACAGAGATAAAATCCAAATGCCATGAAATCCAGTCTTTTAAAGAGTACAATTCAATAGGATTTAGTATACAGTCACAGAGTTGTGTATCCATCACTACAATCAGTTTTAGAACATTTCATCATTCCAAAAAGAAACCCTGTACCCATTCCCAGACACTCCCCATTTTCTCCCAATCCCCTCACCGTATCCCTAGGCAACCACAAATCAATTTTTTTGCCTCTGTAAATTTGCCTAGATGTTGGTCAAAGGATGTAGAGTTTCAGTTATGCAAGATGACTAAGTTCTGGGGATCTAACGTGCAGCATGGTCATTATAGTTATAACACTGTATTATGCTTGATACAGTTAATAGTATTGTATATTCATGTATATACTTGAAATTTGCTGAGAATAGAGCATAAATGTTCTTATCACATCAAAAAATAGTAATTATGTGAGGTGAGGGATATGTTAATTAGCCTCATTATGATAATCATTTCACTATATTATACATATATAAAAACATCATGTTGTACACTTTTAAAAATATACAATTTTTATTTACAACTATACTTCAATAAAGCCAAAAATAAAATGAATAAATAAAATGTAATTCAGTTGAGGGAAAAAAAGAAAGAAAACCACCATTTTGCACTCACCAAAGTAATAACTGATTCAGGCAAGGATAATCAATAGATGATCCTGGGTGTTGGGAAGCAAAATATTCACATGACCTCAAAATACCACCCAACAGATTATAGTTTAATTATAAAGGGAAAGGTCCTGTATTAGGGTTTTTTGTTTTGTGTTTTTTGTTTGTTTTGTTTTGTTTTTGAGACAGAGTCTCACTCTATCGCCCAGGCTGGTGCAGTGGTGCGATCTTGGCTCACTGCAATCTCTGCCTCCCAGGTTCAAGCGATCCGCCTGCCTCAGCCTCCCGAGCAGCTGGGACTACAGGCATGCGCCACCATGCCCAGCTAATTTTTGTACTTTTAGTAGAGACAGAGTTTCACCATGTTGGCCAGGCTGGCTTCGAACTCCTGACCTTAAGTGATCTGCCCTCCTCAGCCTCCCAAAGTGCTGAGATTACAGGTGTGAGCCACTGCACTGGCCAGTTGGTAACTTTAATTACCTCTGCAAAAGCCCATTTTCCATACAGTGAAACATATTCACTGCTCTAACAAGCACCAAGGGAAAAAGTCACGGGGGCCAATATTCTTCCTACAACAGTAACTTTATAATGGAGAAATCTGGTGGAAAACACCTTAGCTAAGTGATCAAGTTTAGCACCACAAATAATGGGGCAAACTGACATTATATGCCAGCAGATGTGATGCAATGAGAAGTACATATCATCCATGACATATTTTTGCCAAAAACGTTTAACCCTGAAACTAGTTGTGAGGATGTAACCAGAAAAATCCAGATTGTAAGACATTCTATATGACAAAAGACAACTAGCTAGAGTTCTGCAAATGTCTTGAAAGATTTTTTGCCAGGCACGGTGGCTCACACTTGTAATCCCAGCACTTTGGGAGGCTAAGGCGTGTGGATCACCTGAGGTCAGGAGTTCGAGACCAGCCTGACCAACATGGAGAAACCCCATCTCTACTAAAAATACAAAAATTAGCCGGGTGTGATGACGCTTGCCTGTAATCCCAGCTACTCGGGAGGCTGAGGCAGGAGAATCGCTTGAACCTGGGAGGCGGAGGTTGCAGGTGAGCCGAGATCATGCCATTGCACTCCAGCCTGGGCAACAACAGCAAAACTCTGTCTCAAAAAAACCAGAAAAGAAAAAGAAAGATTTTTTTTTTTTAGGTAGGGGGACTGTTCTAAAGGAACTAAAGGAGACTGAGAGTCATGACACTATGAAGTGCATGGTCCCCAGCTGGAACTTGGATTGGAATTCTAAAAAAACATCTATAAAGGAGATGATTGGGACTATAGCAGAAATTTGAATGTGGCCTGTATATTAGCTAATGATACTGTATCAATATTAATTTCTTGTGCATGATAACAATATTGAGGTTATGTAGGAAAGAATGTCCTTGTTCTTAGGAGATATGTGCTAAATATTTAGGGATGAAGTGTAATAAACTTGAAAATGGCTCGGCAAAAATAATGTGTGTGTGCATGTGTGTGGAGAGAGACAGAGCAAATGTGACAAATGTTGAAAAGTGGTGAATCTAGGTGAACAATATGGGTATTGCTTATACTACTCAAATTATCCATATATTTGATTTTCTTTTAATTAAAAGTTGAGGCCAGGCACGGTGGCTTATGCCTGTAATTCCAGCACTTTGGAAGGCCAAGGTGGGTGGATCTCTTGAGCTCAGGAGTTTGAGACCAGCCTGGGCAACATGGCGAAACCCTGTCCCTACTAAAAATACAAAAATTAGCCAGGCATGGTGGTGCGTGCCTGCAGTCCCAGCTACTCGGTAGGCTGAAATGAGAGAATCACTTGAGCCTGGGAGGTCAAGGCTGCAGTAAACTGAGATCACTCCACTGCACTCCATCAACAAAGCAAGACCCTGTCTCAAAAAAGAAAAAGAAATTAAAAGTTTAGAAATGACCACACTTTCCTAGATGATATCCCATTTTTTCTACATAACTCTTAATATATTTTGAATTTCCTTTGATATACAAAATGTGAAATATATATACATATGTAACTTGAATTTTTGCCAAAATACAAATCAGTCAGTCTAACACAATTCATTACTCATTCTTCGACTTTGATGATATGTACTTTATCATGTATTAAATTCTTAAATATACTAGCATATATTTCTAGATTTTCTATTTTTCCATTTGTGACTGAATTTATGCTAGCATGTTAAATTTATTTATTTATTTATTTATTTTAGTCCCAGTTCCAGTTTTAGCACATTAAAATTAGCTTTTAATTTAAAAATTACAGAAGCAGGCCAGATGCTGCAGCTCACACCTCTAATCCCAGCAGTTTGGGAGGCTGAGGCAGGAGGATCACTTGAGGCCAGGAGCTCAAGACCAGCCTGAGCAACATAGCTAAATCCTACCTCTACAAAAAAATAGCTGGGAATGGTGGTTTGTGCCTGTAGCCGTAGCTACTGGGGAGGCTGAGGCAGGAGGATCTTTTGAGCCCAGGAGTATGAGGCTGCAGTAAGCTATGATTGCACCACTGTTCTCCAGCCTGGGCAACAGAGCAAGACACTGTCTCAAAAAAAAAAAATTACAAGAGCAAAACATGTTCATGTGACAGAGTGAGAGAATATAAAATAAAAAGTAAAAATCTCCTCCCACCCAATGTGATATCCCTACTGTTTTTTGTTTGTTTGTTTGTTTTGTTTTGTTTGTTTTTGAGACGGAGTCTCGCTCTGTCACCCAGGCTGGAGTGCAGTGGCGTCATCTCGGCTCACTGCAACCTCCGCCTCCCGGGTTCAAGCAATTCTCTGCCTCAGCCTCCCGAGTAGCTGGGGTTACAGGCGCCCACTACCATGCCCAGCTAATTTTTGTATTTTTAGTAGAGACGGGGTTTTGCCATCTTGGCCAGGCTGGTCTTGAACTCCCGACCTCGTGATCCACCTGCCTCAGCCTCCCAAAGTGCTGGGATTACAGGCATGAGCCACTGCATCCAGCTGATATCCCTACTGTTAACAGTTTATTTTTCTTTCTTCCAGATTCTGTACCTATACAAGAAAATACATGGAATACAAAGACATATATCCTTTTAAAAATACAAATATGACATTGCATACATATTCTTTTGCCCTTTATTCTTTTTTTTTCTTAAAAGTATATTTTGGACTGCTTACCAGATCAGCAGTCATGGATCCACCTCACTCTTTTGTTTGTTTGTTTTGAGACAGAATCTCGCTCTGTTGCCCAGGCTGGAGTGTAGTGGCGCAAGATCTTGGCTCACTGCAATCTCCACCTCCCGGGTTCAAGCGATTCTCCTGCCTCAGCCTCCTGAGTAGCTGAGATTACAGGTGTCTGCCACCACTCCCGGCTAATTTTTGTATTTTTAGTAGAGATGGGGTTTCACCACATTGGCCAGGCTGGTCTTGAATTCCTGATCTCAAGTGATCCACCTGCCTCAGCCTCCCAAAGTGTTAAGATTACAGGCGTGAGCCATCGCAACCGGCCCACTTCACTCTTAAATGGCTGTCTAAGTGTTCTGCAGTATGGTTGGTCCTTCATTTATTTAACCAGTCCCCTATTTATGCACGTTCATGTGGTTTCCAGTTTCTTCTCCCAACACAACATTGTAAATAATAGATGCTTTACTATGTTTTAATATTTGTTAAGCAAGACTTAACTTTTATAAAGTACTCCAAGCAGTTTATCTTTCAAAGTAAAACAGTTATTTTATAGTCAGTTCTGCTATAACGATTGTTTTTATTCCAAGGCAATTGATATATTAGGCAACAATTAGAGCAGAATGTGAATTTTGCCTTTGCTTATGTGCAATGTGCAATTTCATCATCAGGAAATAGGCAAATGCGGAAAACTGTGTCCAGTTAAACCAAGCCACGCAGTTATGCACATAGTGAGCACATGCATGCACTGCAAACATCTAACAGCTACATCAGTTCATCATGTGTTATGAGCCACATCCATCCATATCTGGGGCTATAACTTTTGGGCTTGGTGGTTTTTTTTTTTGTTGTTTTTTTTTTGTCTGAGACAAGGTCTCACTCTGTCACCCAGGCTGGAGTGCAATGGCATGATCACGGCTCACCACAGCCGCTACCCCCCGGGCTCAGGTGATCCTGATCCTCCCAACTCAGCCTCCCAAGTAGCTGGGATTACAGGCGTGCACTACCATGCGTGGCTAATTTTTGTGTTTTTAGTAGAGATGGGGTTTCGCCATGTTGTCTAGGCTGGTCTGGACCTCCTGAGCTCAAGGAATCTGCCCACCTCAGCCTCCCAAAGTGCTGAGATTACAGGCATGAGCCATGGCACCTGGCCTAATATTCTTACATTTAGTTTTTCTATCCAGAAACAAAAGATGTCTCTTTATTTAAGTTATTTTACATTTATCAGTTAAGTTTTGTAGTTTTTCTTAGGTCATATCTCTCATTGAGTTTATTTTAAAAATATTACATATATATATTTCTTAGTGTCAGGCCTAGGATCTCTTTTATTATATTTTCTAATTGGTTATTTATGACATACAAGATTGCTACTGGATTTTGTATATTTTTCTTTTTTTTATTATTATTATACTTTAAGTTTTAGGGTACATGTGCACAATGTGCCGCTTAGTTACATATGTATACATGTGCCATGCTGGGGTGCTGCACCCATTAACTCGTCATTTAACATTAGGTATATCTCCTAATCCTATCCCTCCCCCCTCCCCCCACCCCACAACAGTCCCCAGAGTGTGATGTTCCCCTTCCTGTGTCCATGTGTTCTCATTGTTCAATTCCCACCTATGAGTGAGAACATGTGGTGTTTGGTTTTTTGTCCTTGCGATAGTTTGCTGAGAATGATGATTTCCAATTTCATCCATGTCCCTACAAAGGACATGAACTCATCATTTTTTATGGCTGCGTAGTATTCCATGGTGTATATGTGCCACATTTTCTTAATCCAATCTATCATTGTTGGACATTTGGGTTGGTTCCAAGTCTTTGCTATTGTGAATAGTGCCACAATAAACATACATGTGCATGTGTCTTTATAGCAGCCTGATTTATAGTCCTTTGGGTATATACCCAGTAATGGGATGGCTGGGTCAAATGGTATTTCTAGTTCTAGATCCCTGAGGAATCGCCACACTGACTTCCACAATGGTTGAACTAGTTTACAGTCCCACCAACAGTGTAAAAGTATTCCTATTTCTCCACATCCTCTCCAGCACCTGTTGTTTCCTGACTTTTTAATGATTGCCATTCTAACTGGTGTGAGATGGTATCTCATTGTGGTTTTGATTTGCATTTCTCTGATGGCCAGTGATGATGAGCATTTTTTCACGTGTCTTTTGGCTGCATCAGTGTCTTCTTTTGAGAAGTGTTTGTCATATCCTTTGCCCACTTTTTGATGGGGTTGTTTTTTTTTTCTTGTAAATTTGTTTGAGTTCATTGTAGATTCTGGATATTAGCCCTTTGTCAGATGAGTAGGTTGCAAAAATTTTCTCCCATTTTGTAGGTTGCCTGTTCACTCTGATGGTAGTTTCTTTTGCTGTGCAGAAGCTCTTTAGTTTAATTAGATCCCATTTGTCAATTTTGGCTTTGGTTGCCATTGCTTTTGGTGTTTTAGACATGAAGTCCTTGCCCATGCCTATGTCCTGAATGGTAATGCCTAGGTTTTCCTCTAGAGTTTTTACGGTTTTAGGTCTAACGTTTAAGTCTTTAATCCATCTTGAATTAATTTTTGTATAAGGTGTAAGGAAGGGATCCAGTTTCAGCTTTCTACATATGGCTAGCCAGATTTCCCAGCACCATTTATTAAATAGGGAATCCTTTCCCCATTGCTTGTTTTTCTCAGGTTTGTCAAAGATCAGATAGTTGTAGATATGTGGCGTTATTTCTGAGGGCTCTGTTCTGTTCCATTGATCTATATCTCTGTTTTGGTACCAGTACCATGCTGTTTTGGTTACTGTAGCTTTGTAGTATAGTTTGAAGTCAGGTAGCGTGATGCCTCCAGCTTTGTTCTTTTGGCTTAGGGTTGACTTGGCGATGCGGGCTCTTTTTTGGTTCCAAATGAACTTTAAAGTAGTTTTTTCCAATTCTGTGAAGAAAGTCATTGGTAGCTTGATGGGGATGGCATTGAATCTATAAATTACCTTGGGCAGTATGGCCATTTTCACGATATTGATTCTTCCTACCCATGAGCATGGAATGTTCTTCCATTTGTTTGTATCCTCTTTTATTTCGTTGAGCAGTGGTTTGTAGTTCTCCTTGAAGAGGTCCTTCACATCCCTTGTAAGTTGGATTCCTAGGTATTTTATTCTCTTTGAAGCAATTGTGAATGGGAGTTCACTCATGATTTGGCTCTCTGTTTGTCTGTTATTGGTGTATAAGAATGCTTGTGATTTTTGTACATTGATTTTGTGTCCTGAGACTTTGCTGAAGTTGCTTATCAGCTTAAGGAGATTTTGGGCTGAGACAATGGGGTTTTCTAGATATACAATCATGTCATCTGCAAACAGAGACAATTTGACTTCCTCTTTTCCTAATTGAATACCCTTTATTTCCTTCTCCTGCCTAATTGCCCTGGCCAGAACTTCCAACACTATGTTGAATAGGAGTGGTGAGAGAGGGCATCCCTGTCTTGTGCCAGTTTTCAAAGGGAATGCTTCCAGTTTTTGCCCATTCAGTATGATATTGGCTGTGGGTTTGTCATAAATAGCTCCTATTATTTTGAGATACGTCCTATCAATACCTAATTTATTGAGAGTTTTTAGCATGAAGTGTTGTTGAATTTTGTCAAAGGCCTTTTCTGCATCTATTGAGATAATCATGTGGTTTTTGTCTTTGGCTGTTTATATGCTGGATTACATTTACTGATTTGCATATATGGAACCAGCCTTGCATCCCAGGGATGAAGCCCACTTCATCATGGTGGATAGGCTTTTTGATGTGCTGCTGGATTTGGTTTGCCAGTATTTTATTGAGGATTTTTGCATCAATGTTCATCAAGGATATTGGTCTAAAATTCTCTTTTTTGGTTGTGTCTCTGCCCAGCTTTGGTATCAGGATGATGCTGGCCTCATAAAATGAGTTAGGGAGGATTCCCTCTTTTTCTATTGATTGGAATAGTTTCAGAAGGAATGCTACCAGTTCCTCCTTGTACCTCTGGTAGAATTCGGCTGTGAATCCATCTGGTCCTGGATTCTTTTTGGTTGGTAAGCTATTGATTATTGCCACAATTTCAGATCCTGTTATTGATCTATTCAGAGATTCAACTTCTTCCTGGTTTAGTCTTGGAAGAGTGTATGTGTCGAGGAATTTATCCATTTCTTCTAGATTTTCTAGTTTATTTGCGTAGAGGTGTTTGTAGTATTCTCTGATGGTAGTTTGTATTTCTGTGGGATCAGTGGTAATATCTCCTTTATCATTTTTTATTGCATCTATTTGATTCTTCTCTCTTTTTTTCTTTATTAGTCTTGCTAGTGGTCTATCAATTTTGTTGATCCTTTCAAAAAACGAGCTCCCGGATTCATTAATTTTTTGAAGGGTTTTTTACGTCTCTATTTCCTTCAGTTCTGCTCTGATTTTAGTTATTTCTTGCCTTCTGCTAGCTTTTGAATGTGTTTGCTCTTGCTTTTCTAGTTCTTTTAATTGTGATGTTAGGGTGTCAATTTTGGATCTTTCCTGCTTTCTCTTGTGGGCATTTAGTGCTATAAATTTCCCTCTACACACTGCTTTGAATGTGTCCCAGAGATTCTGGTATGTTGTGTCTTTGTTCTCTTTGATTTCAAAGAACATCTTTATTTCTGTCTTTATTTTGTTATGTACCCAGTAGTCATTCAGGAGCAGGTTGTTCAGTTTCCGTGTAGTTGAGCAGTTTTGAGTGAGTTTCTTAATCCTGAGTTCTAGTTTGATTGCACTGTGATCTGAGAGACAGTTTGTTATAATTTCTGTTCTTTTACATTTGCTGAGGAGTGCTTTACTTCCAACTATGTGGTCAATTTTGGAATAGGTGTGGTGTGGTGCTGAAAAGAATGTGTATTCTGTTAATTTGGGGTGGAGAGTTCTGTAGATGTCTATTAGGTCCGCTTGGTGCAGAGCTGAGTTCAATTCCTGGGTATCCTTGTTAACTTTCTGTCTCATTGATCTGTCTAATGTTGACAGTGTGGTGTTAAAGTCTCCCATTATTATTGTGTGGGAGTCTAAGTCTCTTTGTAGGTCACTCAGGACTTGCTTTATGAATCTGGGTGCTCCTGTATTGGGTGCATATATATTTAGGATAGTTAGCTCTTCTTGTTGAATTGATCCCTTTACCATTATGTAATGGCCTTCTGTGTCTCTTTTGATCTTTGTTGGTTTAAAGTCTGTTTTAGCAGAGACTAGGATTGCAACCCCTGCCTTTGTTTGTTTTCCATTTGCTTGGTAGATCTTCCTCCATCCTTTTATTTTGAGCCTATGTGTGTCTCTGCATGTGAGATGGGTCTCCTGAATACAGCACACTGATGGGTCTTGACTCTTTATCCAATTTGCCAGTCTGTGTCTTTTAATTGGAGCATTTAGTCCATTTACACTTAAAGTTAATATTGTTATGTGTGAATTTGGTCCTGTCATTATGATGTTAGCTGGTTATTTTGCTCGTTAGTTGATGCAGTTTCTTCCTAGTCTCGATGGTCTTTACATTTTGGCATGATTTTGCAGTGGCTGGTACCGGTTGTTCCTTTCCATGTTTAGTGCTTCCTTCAGGAGCTCTTTTAGGGCAGGCCTGGTGGTGACAAAATCTCTCAGCATTTGCTTTCTGTAAGTATTTTATTTCTCCTTCACTTATGAAGCTTAGTTTGGCTGGATATGAAATTCTGGGTTGAAAATTCTTTTCTTTAAGAATGTTGAATATTGGCCCCCACTCTCTTCTGGCTTGTAGAGTTTCTGCTGAGAGATCCACTGTTAGTCTGATGGGCTTCCTTTTGTGGGTAACCCGACCTTTCTGTCTGGCTGCCCTTAACATATTTTCCTTCATTTCAACTTTGGTGAATCTGACAATTATGTGTCTTGGAGTTGCTCTTCTCGAGGAGTATCTTTGTGGTGTTCTCTGTATTTCTTGAACGTGAATGTTGGCCTGCCTTGCTAGATTGGGGAAGTTCTCCTGGATAATATCCTGCAGAGTGTTTTCCAACTTGGTTCCATTCTCCCCATCACTTTCAGGTACACCAATCAGATGTAGATTTGGTCTTTTCACATAGTCCCATATTTCTTGGAGGCTTTGTTCATTTCTTTTTATTCTTTTTTCTCTAAACTTCCCTTCTCGCTTCATTTCATTCATTTCGTCTTCCATCACTGATACCCTTTCTTCCAGTTGATCGCATCGGCTCCTGAGGCTTCTGCATTCTTCATGTAGTTCTTGAGCCTTGGTTTTCAGCTCCATCAGCTCCTTTAAGCACTTCTCTGTATTGGTTATTCTAGTTATACATTCGTCTAAATTTTTTTCAAAGTTTTCAACTTCTTTGCCTTTGGTTTGAATTTCCTCCTGTAGCTCAGAGTAGTTTGATCGTCTGAAGCCTTCTTCTCTCACCTCGTCAAAGTCATTCTCCGTCCAGCTTTGTTCCGTTGCTGGTAAGGAACTGCATTCCTTTGGAGGAGGAGAGGCACTCTGCTTTTTAGAGTTTCCAGTTTTTCTGCTCTGTTTTTTCCCCATCTTTGTGGTTTTATCTACTTTTGGTCTTTGATGATGGTAATGTACAGATGAGTTTTTGGTGTGGATGTCCTTTCTGTTTGTTAGTTTTCCTTCTAACAGACAGGACCCTCAGCTGCAGGTCTGTTGGAGTTTGGTAGAGGTCCACTCCAGACCCTGTTTGCCTGGGTATCAGCAGCGGTGGCTGCAGAACTGCTGATTTTCATCAACCGCGAATGCTGCTGTCTGATCGTTCCTCTGCAAGTTTTGTCTCAGAGGAGTACCTGGCCTTGTGAGGTGTCAGTCTGCCCCTGCTGGGGCTTGCCTCCCACTTAGGCTGCTCAGGGGTCAGGGGTCAGGGACCCACTTGAGGAGGCAGTCTGGCCATTCTCAGATCTCCAGCTGTGTGCTGGGAGAACCACTGCTCTCTTCAAAGCTGTCAGACAGGGACATTTAAGTCTGCAGAGGTTACTGCTGTCTTTTTGTTGGTCTGTGCCCTGCCCCCAGAGGTGGAGCCTACAGGGGCAGGCAGGCCCCCTTGAGCTGTGGTGGGCTCACCCAGTTCGAGCTTCCTGGCTGCTTTGTTTACCTAAGCGAGCCTGGGCAATGGCGGGCGCCCCTCCCCCAGCCTCGCTGCCATCTTACAGTTTGATCTCAGACTGCTGTGCTAGCAATCAGCAAGACTCCGTGGGCGTAGGACCCTCCAGCCAGGTGCGAGATATAATTTCCTGGTGGGCCGTTTCCTAAGCCCATCGGAAAAGCTCCGTATTCGGGTGGGAGTGACCCGATTTTCCAGGTGCCGTCTGTCACCCCTTTCCTTGACCAGGAAAGGGAACTACCTGACCCCTTGCACTTCCCGAGTGAGGCAATGCCTCGCCCTGCTTCGGCTCGCACACAGTGTGCTGCACCCACTGTCCTGCACCCACTGTCTGGCACTCCCTAGTGAGATGAACCTGGTACCTCAGATGGAAATGCAGGAATCACCCATCTTCTGCGTCGCTCATGCTGGGAGCTGTAGACCAGAGTTGTTCCTATTTGGCCATCCTGGCTCCTCCCCTGGATTTTGTATATTTTTCTTATTTGGAGAACACTTAGGCATACAACTGCATCATCTGCAAGTATTTTTGTCTCTTCTTTTCTAATAATGATTCCTCTTATTTCTGTTTCAAATCTTATTGCGCTAGCCAGAACACCCAATACAATATTAAATAATAATGACAATAACGGACATCCTTATTTTATTTTCAATTTAAAAGGGAGTAAGAGTGACTGTTGGTTTGGAAGTCTCCTTACCACATGAAGAAAATGTTTATTTCTATTTTTTTAAATTATTTTATTAGAAATGGGTGTTTGCAACACTATTCCACATAAGATGTTTTCTTTCATTTTCAATTCTCTCTCTTTTGTTTGGTATTACGGTAGCCACAGCTGAACCTTTCTAACCTCTAGGCTTTTGCCCATGCTTTTTCTTTTACCCAAAATGTCCTTTCCTTTCTGTTCTAAAAAATGCCAACTCATGTTTCAAGACTGTATTACACTGGTCCAGGCAAGGTGGCTCACGCTTGTAATCCCAGCACTTTGGGAGGCTGAGGCAGGTGGATTGCCTGTGCTCAGGATTTCGAGGCCAGCTTGGGCAACATGGTGAAACCCTGTCTCTACTAAAATACAAAACATTAGCCATGCATGGTGGCGCATGCCTGTAGTCCCAGCTACTCGGGAGGCTGAGGTGGGAGAATTGCTTCAACTGGGGAGGCAGAGGTTGCAGTGAGCCGAGATGGCATTGCTGCACGCCAGCTTGGAAGACAGAGTGAGACTCTGTCTTTAAAAAAAAAAAAAAGAAAGAACTATATGGGCTTACTATGGTTTGGAAGTTTGTCCTCCAAGCCTCATGTTGAAATTTGATCCCCAATATTGGAGATGGGGCCTACTGGGAGGTATTTGGATCATGGGGGCAAATCCCTCATAAATAAATTAATGCCCCTCCCTTGGGGGTGAGTGAGTTCTAGTTCTGTTAGTTCCTACAAGAGCTGGTTGTTAAAAACAGGCTGGCACGTGCCAGCTCCCCTTCACCTTCTGCCATGAGTGGAAGCAGCTGAGGCCCTCATCAGATGCCCAGTCTTGAACTTTTCCAGGCATCAGAATTGTAAGCCAAATAAACCTCTTTTCTTTATAAATTAGCCTCAGGCAGTTCTTTACAGCAACACTAAATGGACTAAGACAAGGCTCATATAACTGGTAAGTGTAAGGAAAAATGTCACTTTAGGAACAAGGTTGAAACACTGTCATCAAGACTCCCTTCTTCCAGGTCCTATTCCTCTTTGCTTATCACAGCTTGTGATATAGATGTGGTATATCCTTACAGCTTGTGATCCAAAAGAAAGACTCACTAGACCCCAGTGACTTTGTCCATATATCACATTTCATATGATGACCCTGGCTGGCCCTGCATGAGACCTGTGGCCACCCCAAAGTTATGGGATGCTATGAATAGTCAAGTCGAGGTCATGTGCCCACCTCTGCACTTAGGAGTGGAGTGTAAGGAACTCTTATGCACAGTCCCAATAGAATTGTATATGACAGAGAGGGGCAGATCTCCACAGGTCAGAGGAGATAGATGTCTGCTGTTATAGAGTGAACCACTTTTTTCTCTTTCTGCCTCTTCACTACCCCTCTCTAGAGAAAAAAAAAGTTGACTAACCTGACTAATGAATTTGAGAGAAGGTACTGGGTAATGTGTGGCTCAGCTTTTCCTGGTTCCCACTTTTGAAGCCATCCTGTCTGCAAAGAGGGTGCATTCTGATTTGCTCTCTGTGAGGGTGGCCTAGCTTACCCACCTAAGTCAGTCAGTCTCTCTAATTCAGGGCAGAGGGTGTTTAAAAGGCCTGCTTGGCCAGAGATCTAAAGCCATGTCCACCAACAATTTCATCAGTAAGAATGCTAACATTTTGATCTCCATTTACTTGTCGCTTATGACTTATATCTCAATTGGTTCAAAACTAAGAAGGAGAAAAGGGGGGATTATATACGGACGTAATCCTTAACATGAAAACCTTAACATCCTGCTTCCCTCAAACCTGTGAAATTGGCACATTACCTATCTGACATGAAGAAAAAATAAAATAAACAAAAACATTAATATCCACTACAAAGTCCCATCTCAAATATCACTTCTGTGAAGGCATACCTGACTCCTCTCACTTCCAAGGTAGTTTGTTCATTTCTTGTTCCTCTGTTTATATGGCTAATACAGCACTTCTTAGATTAAAGAATAATTGTGTTAATATATTTTCCCCCACTAGGCAGCCTTCTCAAATGTAGAGATCATTTTATTACTCTTCCAATCCCAGCATCTGGTATCTTACTAAGTGCTTGTCTTTATGTGGGGAAAAAGGATATTTTCTTTCCTTTTTAATTACGTTTGACATAAAGCCTTCTCAAAAAGTTTTTAGAAGTTTAATTAGATTTCATTCACTTATTTCTCATCTATCTGCCTACTTATTAGCCTTTTAATAAACTCTTAATATTAGGAATGCTAACCCTCTAATGAAAACCATGTTGTCCTTCACCTAGATTATGTCTCCTTAATTACAGATTCTACAAGTTTGCCTCATGGAAGGGAGCCAATATGATCTGAGCACCTGCAGATAAGAGAAAAGGCACTTGAGGAGGAGTGGTTGAGTTAGATGAACCAGCTGCTTCTGAAGAAGGGGCAGACGTATGTACGTTTTAAAGCTGAGAGCTGTGAAGGAAGAAAGAGCCCCTAAAAGACAGGAATAAGAAGACACAAACATACTGTGTAGGAAATGGAGGTCATTCTAAAGCTATCTGGAAACAGTCACCATGGTGACTGTGCTCACGTAGTGAGACATAATAATACCATAGTAGGGTGAACCTGGCAGACCATTGCAATACAAGTTTCCTGCTTTGACATCTTATGTAGTCTGGTCCCATAGAAAGAGAAAAACAGCAGTCTAAAGTACAATATATGGATGCTTTAATTTCAACATCTTCTCAGGATGGGAATTTGCAATTAGATGTCAAAGGAGGAGTGTCTTACTTCATTTGCATTGCTATAAACGAATACCTGAGGCTGGGTAATTTATAAAGAAAAAAAGATTTATTTGGCTTATGGTTCTGCAAGCTGCAAGAAGCGTAACATCAGCATCTGTTTCTGGTGAGGGCCTCAGGGTGCTTTTACTCATGGTGGAAGGCAAAGGGAAGCAGGCATCACATGGCAAGAGAGGAAGGAAGAGACAGCGGAAGGAGGTGCCGCTCTTTCAACAATCAGCTACTTTTGATGGTCAATGTTAGGTGTCAACTTGACTGCACTGAGGGATTGCCCAGATGGCTGGTGAAGCATTGTTTTGGGGTGTGTCTGTGAGGGTGTTTCCAGAGAAGATTGGCATGTGAGTCAGCTGACTAGGAGAGGAAGACCCACCCTCAATGTAGGCAGGCACCATCCAGTCAGCCGCTGGTGGGTCATAAACAAAGCAAGTGGAAGAAGGGAGATATTCAGCTTGCTTAGTTTCCTCTTTTTCTCTCCCTTTGAGAGCAGGATGCTTTTATTCCTCCTGCCCTTGCACATCAGACTCTAGGATTTCAGCCTTTGGACTCTAGGACTTACACCAGTACCTCCTGAGGGCTGTCAGGCCTTTGGCCTCAGACTCGGGGCTGTACTGCTGGCTTCCCAGGTTTTGAGGCATTCAGATTTGGACTAAGCCACACTGCTGGCTTTTCTCATTACCCAGCTTGCTGATGGCCTGTAGTGGAACTTCACCTTTGCAATCGTGTGAGCCAATTCTTTCTAATAAACTTATATATATAAACTAACAGATAAGCTTTATATATATATATATATATATATGCATACACACATATATACATATATACATATACATATACATATATATATATATATATATATATATATATATATATATATCCTTTTGGTTCTATCCCTCTGGATAACTCTGACTAATACAGATTTTGGTACCAAGAGTAGAGTGTTGCTATAACGATACCTAAAAATATGGAAGTGACTTTGGAATTGGGTAATGGGCAGAGATTGGAAGAGTTTGGAGGGCTCAGAGGAAGACAAGAAGATGAAGAAAATTTGGTACATCTTAGAGACTGGTTAAGTGGTTGTGACCAAAATGCTGATAGTGATATGGGCAGTGAAGGCAAGCAAACGAGGTCCCAGATGGAAATGAGAAACTTATTGGGAACTGGAGCAAAGGTCACCATGTTAAGCTTCAGCAAAGAATTTGACTGCATGTGTCCATGCCTTAGGACTTTCTGGAAGGCTAAACTTAAGAGTGATGACCTAGGGTATCTGGTGGAAGAAAAAAAAATTTTTTTTGAGCCAGCATATTGCTCTGTTGTCCAGGCTGAAGTACAGTGGCAGGATCATACCTTACTGTAGCCTCAAACTCCTGGGCTCAAGCAATTCTCCTGCCTCAGCCTCCTAAGTAGCTTGGGACTACAGGCACATACCACTATGCCCAGCCATTTTTTTTTCCATTTTTTGTAGAGACAGGGTCTTGCCATGTTTCCAGGCTGGTCTGGAACTCCTGGGCTTAAGCAATCATCCCGCCTTGGCGAAATGAGATCTCAGCTCACTGCAACCTGCAACCCAGTGTTGGGATTACAGGCATGAGCCACTGTGCCCAGACTGGTGGAAGAAATTTCTAAGCAGCAATGTGTTCAAGAAGTGGCATGGCTGCATCTAACAGCCTGAGATCAGATATGGGAGCAAAATTTAAGTTGGAACTTGTAATTAAAAGAGAAGCAGGGGCCAGGCATGGTGGCTCACACTTGTAATTCCAGCACTTTGGGGAGGTGAGGTGGGAGGATCACTTGAGCCCAGGAGTTTGAGACCAGCCTAGGCAACATAGTGAGGCCTTATCTCTACAAAAAATTTTAAAAGTATGGTAGCGGGCACCTTTAATCCCAGCTACTCAGAAGGATAAGGCTGAAGGATCGATTGAGCCTGGGTGGTGGAGGCTGCAGTGAACCATGATCACACCACTGCACACCAACCTGGGCAACAGGGTGAGACCCTGTCTCAAAACATTTGTTTAAATTATTAATAAAAGAGAAGCAGGGCATTAGAATTTGGAAAATTCACTAAAATGAGGCCAGTAGGGTGGGCTGTAATCCAATCTGACTGGTGTCCTTATAAGAGGAAATTTAAACATACAAAGAAACACCAGAGACACATACACACAGAGAATAGACCATGTGAGGACACAGCAAGAAGGAGACCATTTGCAAGCCAAGAAGAAAGGCCTCAGGAGAAACCAACCTTCTGATACCTTGATCTTGGACTTCTAGTCTCCAGAACTGTGAAGAAATTAATTTCTGTTGTTTAAGCCACTCCGTCTGTGCTATTTTGTTATGGCAGCCCTAGCAAACTAAAATACTTGCCATTGAACATTTTTCAAAATCTACTGTGTTATCCTTTTGTGGTATCCTAAAATAACTATTCCTTATTATTATAAATTTATGTTGTTCTCACATTTTCGCTATGATAAGCAATGCTTCAATGAATGGGAAATTGGATATTCTTAGACATATTTTTCATCAAATAAGAATAGCTAGATTAACTCCCTTTCTACACTCTAGAGAAATTTCTGACTGCTCTCAAGATCAACCCTAGTGATATACTAACAAATTCTCATTTTGGTTCCATTATTTCTATTCTTTACATAGAGACCAACTTTCTGGTAATCTAAAACAGATAATAACATGATCAAGTAAATTCATTTTCTTTTCCTTTTCTGTTTTTTGTTTTGTTTTGTTTTTCTGAGACAGGGTCTCGCTCTGTTGCCCAGGCTGAAGTGTGGTGGTGTGATCACAGCTCACTGCAGCCGGCTCAAGCAATCCTCCCACATCAGCCTCCCAAGTGTCTGGGAATACAAGCACACAATACCATGCCCAGCTTTTTTTTTTTTTTTTTTTTTTTTTTTTTACTTTTTATAGAGACAGGGTCTCACCATGTTATGCAGGCTGGTCTGGAGCTCCTGGGCTCAAGTGATCCTCCCTCCCACCTAGGCAACCCAAAGTGCTGGGATTACAGGTGTGGGTCACTGCACCCGGCCACAAAAAGAATTACTGAGCTTCTGTTACATGTCAGGCACTGTGCTAAGAAGTGAAAAGTCAAGTTCCTTATCTTCAATGAGTTCATAGTCTAGTATGGAAGATGAGCATGTAAGCAGATAATTACAATGCATTGTAATAAGGGCTATTAGATCTCAAAAGAAAGAACAACCTACAGAATGGCCGAAAAAAAAAAAGCCATCCAGGAAAAATTCACAGAAGAGAAGATGAAACCTATCAAATAATCTACAGGCTAGAACACTGATTCCAAACCAAGAAGGTGAAATTTAATGGCAATAAATATTTAAGAAGCCATATATTCAGTTTTAAAACTTGACCACACAGGGATAAGATGGAATGAACTGACTTAAAATGATATGAAGAAAAACTGGAGGTATTCATTGATAACAAGTTGTAAATGTGCCAACAATTTCAATGTGCTAATTTTCTACTGCTGTGTAACAAACTGCCACAAATTTAGCAGTTTAAAATTATCCCAGCACAGATTAGCTAGGTCCTCTGCTCGGGGTCCCACCAGGCTGAAATCAAGATGTAGGCCAGGGTTGGAGTCTGAGCTGGAGCTTGGGATGCTCTTCCAAGTTCATGTGGTTGTTGACAGAATTTAGTTTCTTCTGGTTGTAGGACTGAGACCCTCAGCTCCTAAAGGCTGTAGCAGTTCCCCACCAAATGGCCCACTCTACAGGTAGTTTATATCATAGCAATTTGCACCTTCAAGGTTAGCAGGAGAATTTCACTCACTCCATTCTGCTGAGATAGAGTTGTTGTTGTTGTTGCTGTTGTTGTTATTGTTGTTTTTGACACAGGGTCTCACTGTGTCACCCAGGCTAGAGTGCAGTGATGAGATCTCAGCTCACTGCAACCTCTGCTTCCCAGACTCAAGTGATTCTCCAGCCTCAGCCTCCCTAGTAGCTGAGACTGCAGGCATGAGCCGCCATGCCTGGCTAATTTTTTTGTATTTTTTGTAGAAACAGGGTTTCGCCATGTTGCCCAGGCTGCTCTCGAACTCCTGAGCTCAAAGCAATCCGCCCACCTCTGCCTCCCAAAGTGCTGGGATTACAGGCATAAGCCACTGCACCTAGCCTGAGATAGAGTTTTATATAACTTAATGCAATCATCAGAGTGACATCCCATCACCTTTGCCATATTCTATGGATTAGAAGCAAGTCACAAGTTCTGTCTGCACTCAAGAGAAGGAGATTATACAAGGTGTGACTCATTGGGGGTCACCTTAGGGTATGTCTGCCACAGTAAAACAGGTACTAAATATGATAAGGTACAAAAAGTATCATATTTTTCATTCAAACAGCATTTACAATCTACAATGGGCCAGGAAGTATGTTAGGCACTGGAGATACAGAAAAGAAAACATCATCCCTGTCCTTGAGGACAAATGGGTAGCTATCCGGAAATAAGTAACTTGGATCCATAGACACATCTTACACCAAAATACACCAAAATAAAAAATTAAAATATAAAAATGAAGCTGATGGCCGGCTGCGGTGGCTCACACCTGTAATCCTAGCACTTTGGGAGGCCGAGTCAGGTGGATTGCTTGAGTTCAGGAGTTAGAGACCAGCCTGGCAAACACACTGAAATCCCACCTCTACAAAAAATACAAAACTGAGCCAGGCATGGTGGTGCATGCCTGTAGCCTCAGCTACTCAGGAGGCTGAGGTGGGAGGATCACTTACACCCAGGAGGTGGAGGTTGCAGTGAGCCATGATCATGCCACTGCACTCCAGCCTGGGTGGCAGAGCCAGGCCCTGTCTCAAAAAAGAAAATAATAATAAAAATGAAGCTGACACTGGGCACACTGCCTATGGGTTAGCCCTGCTCTACAAGGAGCAGCACAAAAAGCAAAAAAATGAAACCATTCCCAATACATACAAATGAAAAAATACTCGAGGTGATGGACACATCAAATACCCTGACTTGATCATTGCACACTCTATGCGCATAACAAAATATTACATGTACCCCATAAATATGTACAAATATTATGTATTAATTTAAAAATGTTTTAAATGAAACCACAACTAACCATAATTGCACTAGTAGGTATCATGGAAGATTGTAGTTAATTATCTCAAACAGGGAGGAGAGATACCCTTCTAAGCATAAACCAAACCTAGAAATCATAGAAGAAAGGATTGACGGATTTGACCATATAAAAATAAAAGAAATTCTAAATGGCAAAAGCTATGACAGCAAGATTAAAAAAAAACAAAGGACATGCTGAGTGAAACAATTTGCAATTCATGTGGCAAAAGGCTAATTTCCCTAATATACAAAGAACTCCTACAAATCAATAAGAAAAAAACCATCATCCCAATTTTAAAATGAACAAAAGACAGAAATAGCAAACAGTAAAATAAATGCATGGCCCATAAGCTCATGAAAACATCCTTAACTTCACTCATAATAGGAAAAATACAAAGTAATACTATATTTAAAAACCATTTTTCAGCCGGGTATGGTGGTTCACATATGTAATCCCAGCATTTTGGGAGGCTGAGGCAGGAGGATCACTTGAGGCCAGGAGTTCAAGACCAGCCTGTGCAACATAGTGAGACCCATCTTTCCAAAAAAATAAAAAATTAGCTGGGTGTGGTAGCACGTGCCTGTAGTCCCAGCTACTTGCAAGTGTGAAATGGGAAGATTGATTGAGCTCATGAGGTGGAGTTTGCAGTGAGCCAAGATCACACCACTGCACTCCAGCCTTGGTGATGGAGTGAGATCCTATCTCAAAAAAAAAAAAAAAAAAAAAAAAACCCACCATTTTTCAATATAACAAACTGATGGCCAGAGTATGAGGAAATAGATACTCCCTTATATTACTGGTGAAACCATCAATAGAGGGCAATTTGGCAACATCTATTAAAGTTATTTATATTCATACAATTTGACCCAACAAAAGAAATTTGTCTTACAGATATACTAGCAATATATAAAGGGTTATTAATAGCAGCATTGTTTTTAATGGCAAAGTATTTCAAATGACCTAAATGTCAACCAGTATGGAACTAGTTAAATAAAGTATGGTTCTTTCAGTGTAATACAGTGGAGTTATTTTTAAAATGGGGGAGATTCCACTTCCAAATGTCAGTGTGAGGAGCTCCACAGATCCACTCCCCTGTGAAACTCCCTAGTTGGTAAAAATTACTTACTTACACACACACACACACACACTTAAACTCTCTGGAAATTGCCCTAAGGGCATAGAGCAAATGAAGAAATATTTATGCAAGAAAACCTACTAAATCACAGTAAGAAGAAGAGTCTGGGATACTTGAGCAATGACCCACACACTACCCGACCCCAGTTCAGCATGATGGAAACTCCACTCCACTCCAGGCAGATATAACCAAGAAGACAGGACATCCTCTCCTGCTTGATCCCGGTCAAAGGCTATAATATCTCCCCAGGAAAGGCAGACCTCCAGCATTTCTCAACCACCCCAGCTCCAGCAGGAGAAGCTAAATTCCTGGCAATTCAGGCCAAGAGGGCTGCCCTCCTCCACCCACCCCCCACTCATAGGTCAGAGGCTCTACTCAGGTGCAGCAGGACAAAAATACTGCAGCCCTGATGGCCCTTGTCCCAGCTGCCTTAAAGGGCAGAGGTTCTACACTGGCAAGCCAATAAGACTACAGGCTACTGGCCTTTCCCAATGCTCTGCTAATTAAACACAGGTGACATTCCAAGAAGAACAAGCCAGTGTCCCCACCCCATTTCCAGAGTAGAGGCTCAGAGATGTAGCCTGTAGGGGAAGAAGCAATGCTCAAGAACTATTTTTATTTTTCATTTTCTTTGAAATGGAGTTTTCTTCTTGTTGCCCAAGCTGGAGTGCAATGGCGCCATCTTGGCTCACTGCAACCTCTGCCTCCCGGGTTCAAGCAATTCTCCTGCCTCAGCCTCCCGAGTAGCTGGGGTTACAGGTGCCCGCTGCCACGCCCAGCTGATTTTTATATTTTTAGTAGTAGAGATGGGGTTTCACCATGTTGGCCAGACTGGTCTTGAACTCCTAACCTCAGGTGATCCACCCGCCTCTGCCTCCCAAAGTGCTAGGATTACAGGTGTGAAGCACTGCACTCGGCCAAGAACTATTTTTGAAAACCACAACTGGCCTCATGCAGTGGCTTATGCCTGTAATCCCAGCACTTTGGGTGACCAAGGTGGGCGGATCACAAGGTCAGGAGTTCAAGACCAGCCTGGCCAACAAGTTCAACCCCATCTCTACTAAAAATACAAAAATTAGCCCGGTGTGGTGGCGGGCACCTGTAATCCCAGCTACTAGCGGGGCTGAGGCAGGAGAATTGCTTGAACCTGGGAGGCAGAGGTTGCAGTGAGCCGAGATCATGCCCCTGCACACAGCCTGGGTGACAGAGAAAGACTGTCTCAGGAAAAAAAAAAAAAAAAAAAAAAAAAAAAGCAAAAAGCACAACTAACATACTTTAATGGTCAAAAGTTTGTTGGCCGGGCATGGTGGCTGATGCCTGTAATCCCAGCACTTTGGGAGGCTGAGGTGGGTGGATCACGAGGTCAAGAGTTCAAGACCAACTTGGCCAAGATGGTGAAACCCCGTCTCTACTAACAATACAAAAATTAGCCGTGCACGGTGACAGGCACCTGTAATCCCAGCTACTCGGGAGGCTGAGGCAGGAGAATCACTTAAACCTGGGGTGGGGGCGGTGGCGGAGGTTGCAGTGAGCTGAGATTACGCCACTGCACTCCAGCCTGGGAGGCAGAGTGAGAATCCGTCTCAAAAAAACAAAAAAAAAGTTAAATGTTCTTCTCCTAAGATCAAGAACAAGACAAGAATGTCCACTCATGCCACTTCTATTCCTCATTGTACTAGAAGTTCTAACCAGGGCAATTAGGCAAGATAACTAAATATTTGGTTGGTGCAAAAGTAATTGCGGTTTTGCCATTACTTTTAGTAAAAGGCACCTTGATTGAAAAGGAAGAAGTAAACTATCTCTATTTGCAGATGACATGATCTTGCATATAGAAAATCCCAAAAAATCCACTAAGAACCAATAAAACTAATAAACAGGTTCATCCAGGTTGTGAGGTACAAAATCAATATACAAAAATCAATTGTATTTCTATACAGAATCAATAAACAAACTAAAAATGAAATAAAAAATAATTCCATTCATAACAGCATCAAAAAGAATTAAATGCTTTGGAATAAATTTATCAAAAGAAATGTAAAACTTACTCTGAAAACTACAAAGCATTGTTAAAAGAAATTGAAGACCTAAATAAATGGAAAAATATGACATGTTCATGGATCAGAAGACTTGATATTGTTAAGATGGCAATACTCCCTAAATTGATCTACAGACTTAGAGCAACAGCCATCGAAATTCCAATTGGCTTCTTTGCAGAAACTGGTAAAGTGATCCTAAAATTTGTTTGGAAATTTGAGAGCCCCAGAATAGTCAAAACAGTTTTGAAAAATATGAACAAAGTTGGAGGACTCACACTTCCCAATTTCAAAACTTACTACAAAGCTACAGTAATCTATACAATGTGATACTACCATAAGGACAGACAGATCAACGGAATACAGTTCAGAGTCCAGAAATAAACGCTCTCATTTAGAGTCAATTGGTTTTTGACAAGGGTGCCAAGACAATGCAATAGGAGAAAGAGTAACCTTTTAAACAAATGGTGGTGGGACAATTAGATCTCCACATAAAAAAGAATGAAGCTGGACCCCCTTACCTCACACTGTATACAAAAACTAACTGAAAATGGATCAAAGACCTAAATATAAGCACCAGAAGTATAAAACTTTTATAAGCAAACATAGGTATAAATCTTCATGACCTTGGATTTGGCAATGGATTCTTAGATATGACACCAAAACCACAAGCAACAGAATTTAAACAATAGATAAACTGGACATCATGAAAATTTAAAACTTTTTTATTTTTATTTTTGAGATGGAGTCTCACTCTGTTGCCCAAACTGGAGTGCAGTGGCACAATCTTGGCTCACTGCAACCTCTGCCTCCTGGGTTCAAGTGATTGTCCTGCCTCAGCCTCCCAAATAGCTAGGACTACAGGTATGCGCCACCACCCCCGGCTAGTTTTTTTTTGTATTTTTAGTAGAGACAGAGTTTCACCATGTTGGTCAGGCTGGTCTCCAACTCCTGACCTCAAATGATCCGCCCGCCTCGGCCTCCCAAAGTGCTGGGATTACAGGCGTGAGCCACCGTGCCCGGCCGAAAATTAAAAACTTTTGTTCTTCAAAGAATATCATCAAGAAAAGACAACCCATGGAATAGGAGAAAATATTTGCAAATGATATATCTGATCAGAGATGTGTCTCTAGAATATATTTAATATATATAGAATATATTTAAAACTAGATATCTAGAATATATATATAGAGAGAATGCATTTTTTTACTATTATCAAAAAAAAAAAACAGAAAATAACAAGTGTTGGAAAAGATGTGAAGAAATGGGAACCCTTGTGCATTGCTGCTGGGAATATAAAATTGTGCAACCACTGTGGAAAATAAAATGGCAATTCCTCAAATAATTAAGCACAGAATTACCATATTATCCAGCAATCTCACTTCTGTGTATATACCCAAAATAAGTGAAAGCTGGGACTTGAACAGATATTTGTACACCCATGTTCATATCAGCAAATCAAAAGGTGGAAGCAACTCAAGTGCTCATTGACAGATAAATAGATAAATTAAATGTAGTATATTCATACAATGGAATATTACTCAGCCCTTAAAAGGAAGGAAATATGGACACATGCTACAACTCGAAGATAAAACTAGATAAAAGTCGAAGACATTATGCTAAAGGAAATAAACCAGTAACAAAAGGACAAATATCATATGATTCCTCTTATATGAGGTTCCTAAGAGTAGTCAAATACATAGAGACAGAAAGTAGAATGGTAGTTGCCAGGAGCTGCGGAGAGGAGGGAATGGAAAGTTAGTATTTTTAATGGATACAAAGTTTCAGTTGGGAAGATGAAAAAGTTCTGGAAATGGATGGTGATGATGGTTGCACAACAATGGAATGTACTTAACGCCATAGAACTGTATATTTAAAAATGGTTTAAATGGTAAATTTTATATTGTGTATACTTTACCACAATAAAAATAAGATGATGCAATTTTAAAATAGGCAAAGCATCTAAATAGACATTTCTTCAAAGAAGATATGCAAATAACCAACAAGAACAGGAAAAGATGGTCAATATCACTAGTCAACAGAAAAATCCAAATCAGAGCCACAGTGAGATACCACTTCACACTCACTAGGACTGCTACGATCAAAAAGACAGATAATAAAAAGTATTGATGAAGATTTCGTTAATTGAAACCCTCATACACTACTGGTGGGAATGTAAAATAGTACAGCCTCTGCAGAAAACAGTTTGGCAGTTCCTCGAAAGGTTAAACATAGGACTACCATATGACCCAGCAATTCTACTCCTAGGTATATACTCAAGAAAAATAAAAACAGATGTTCACAAAAAATTTGTACACCAATATTGATAGCAACATTATTAATAATAGCCCAAAATAGAAACCACTCAAATGTTCATCAGTTGATGAATGGATAAATAAAATGTGGTATGTCCATACAATCAAATATTATTCAATATAAAGTAATAAAATACTAATACATGTCACAACATGAACTTTAAAAACTATATGCTAAGTGAAAGAAGTCAGTCACAAAAAACCACATACTCTACAATTGCATTTATATGAAATGTCCATAATAGTCAAATATATAGAGACAGGAAGTAGATCAATGGCTGCCAGGGGCTGAGAGGTTTGGGAGGAAATGAGGAATGATTGCTCATGGGTATAGGTTTCTTTTTGAGGTGATAAAAATGTTCTAAAATTGATTGGTGTGCCAGGTGTAGTGGCAAGGGGCCTGCAGTCCCAACTACTCAGGAGGCTGAGGTGGGAGGATTGCTTGAACCCAAGAGCTGGAGGCCAGCCTGGCCAACATAGAGGGATCCTGTCTCCAGAAAAAGAAAATAAAATAAAATTAGGTGTTGTGATGGTTGCACAACTCTGTGAATATACTAAAACCTAGTAAATTGTACTCTTAAGTAGGTGAATTGCATGGTATATGAATTATAGCACAATCAAGCTGTGTTTTTTGTTGTTGTTGTTTGTTTGTTTTGTTTGTTTTTGTTTGTTTGTTTGTTTGAGACAGAGTCTTGCTCTGTCTCCCAGGCTGGAGTGCAGTGGCATGATCTCGGCGTACTGCAACCTCTGCCTCCCAAGTTCAAGCGATTTTTCCCGCTCAGCTTCCCAAGTAGCTGGGATTACAGGTGCACGCAACCATGCCCGGCTAATTTTTGTATTTTTTTTTAGTAGAGACGGGGTTTCACCATGTTAGCCAGGCTAGTCTCGAGCTCCTGACCTCAGGTGATCCGCCCCCATCAGCCTCCCAAAGTGTTGGGATTACAGGCATGAGCCATCGCACTGGGCCAAGCTGTGTTTTTTTAAAGATATGGGTGAAATTATTTTAAACGAGGGAGCTCTTTAGGTTTAGAGATACATATATCCAATCGATAGAAAGACATAGATATAGATATATAGATCTCCAATACATATTGTTAAGTGAAAAGAGATGTAAGGCAGCATGTAAGAAATGTACCATTTCTAAGCCAGGCGCTGTGGCTCACTCCTGTAATCCCAGCATTTTGGGAGGCTGAGGCGGGTGGATCACCTGAGGTCAGGAGTTCGAGACCAACCTGGCTAACATGACAAAACCCCGTCTCTACTAAAAATACAAAAATTAGCCAGGCATGGTGGCAGGAGCCTGTAATCCCAGCTACTTGGGAGGCTGAGGCAGGAGAATCGCTTGAACCTGGGAGGCGGAGGTTGCAGTAACCTGAGATCACGCCATTGCAATCCAGCCTGGGCAACAAGAGTGAAACTCCATCTCAAAAAAAAAAAAAAAAAAAAAAATTCCATTTCTCTAAAAAGGAGGAAAAATTCTATATACATGCACAATTGCTTATATATGAATAGTTTATCTCTACAGCTTTTCTCAACAAGTGTTCAAAGAACAAAGCCCTAAAGAAAATTATTTTTGTGGCTATTTTCTAATTCCTCCAAGAACTGCACATAACTAATGCCATTCTAGATGCATAGGAGATAAGTTTATTCATTACACACAATGGATGCCAGAGGGCATCAGGCCTGGGCTGCAAAAGAATACCAAAGTAACTGAAAATCCTGGTTGCCACTGGAATAAGGATGGGAAGGAATTTTTTTTCCTAGTATGCCCTTTCACACCTTATGAATTTTGACCCAAAAAACAAATATTAATTTTAAAAATTTTAATTGAAGTTTATCTATGAAAAAGGAACAAAATAGATTTAACTAAAGGTGGATATAGAATTAATGAAGTCTCAGAGGCCGGGCGCGGTGGCTCACGCCTGTAATCCCAGCACTTTGGGAGGCCGAGGCGGGCGGATCACGAGGTCAGGAGATCGAGACCATCCTGGCTAACACGGTGAAACCCCATCTCTACTAAAAATACAAAAAATTTCCAGGCTTGGTGGCACGTGCCTGTAGTCCCAGCTACTTGGAAGGCTGAGGCAGGAGGAGAATCGTTTGAACCCGGGAGGTGGAGGTTGCAGTGAGCTGAGATCGCGCCACTGCACTCCAGCCTGGGCGACAGAGCGAGACTCCGTCTCAAAAAAAAAAAAAAAAAAGAATTAATGAAGTCTCATTTCTTCTCACAAGACTGTGGCTACTAAAGCATGTTTACTGGCTGCGGCTGAGAATCTAGTGGAGATGGAAAAGTTGAAGATAAAAGAAAGAAGAAAAAATAATATCGACCTAGCCATGTGCCTGTAGAGATGGGAAGATATAGTACTCCAAGCACACACAAATGTAACTAAATGGTGTGGTAGGGGAGCTGGTATTTGGCTTTAATTTTCAGGACATCTTCAGAGTGGGAGGATAGAGAAGGCAGCCTAAGAGAGGTGAAGGAAGTTTGAAAGAGCATCTATGGGGAATGGGAGCAAAAGGTGCCTAGTTATAGTAAAAGGTCTGCTAGGTCATTGTGGTTCCACTGTATTTCAAAGGCGGCAGAGGGTCATGCATTTCACTTGAGGCTTCACATCTGAGTAGAGCCACTGCAAACTACAGTGCAAGTTCAAGTTAAGGCAACTAAGATGGGACGTTTTTGGGAAACCTTGTAACATGGGGACTGGCTAAAGAAGTTAGAACTATTGAACTTGAATAAAATGAATCTAAAACGAGGCATGTGAGAAAAAGGCCACAGATAATAGCCAAATATGTGATGGTTTGCCATATAAAACAAGACAGAATTAGGAGATCATCTAGCTCTAAAATTCTGTGATTTCTCTTCCCAAACAGACAATAAACAATCACTGGTTGTTGAATGAATGTATATAAGTACTGAAAACAGACTGGAGAGATGGGAAGGGTCATAATGCAGTGGATTAAGGAGTGAATGGAAAAGAAGGAAAAAAAAGAGCAAATGCAGACTACTCTTCTGAGAAGCTAGGCTATAAAGGAAAAGAGAAAATGAAATTTAGCTAAACAGAAATGCAGAATTCAGGAAGAGAAGAATGATAATATCTAATAGCATATTTCATTGATTCAAAGATGCACATTTCTTCATGTTTTTAAAATTTCTGAAATTGGGACGCATCTTACAATTAATGGAATCTCACGTTTGCTGTCGGCTAGCAGCAGTTGTGATGTAGTTGTCATTGCCTGACACCTTCTGGTAAGATCAAAAAAGCACCAGCGTCAAAACTTGCATAATAGATGTCAGCAACTTAGAAGAAAACAATAATAGGACACAATTTTTTCCCCCGGAAATCCTCAGTGTTCTTAATGACAAAGAGAATAATATTTTATGGAAAACTCAGAACATGTTGACTGAGTCAAACAGTAATTCGAAGTCAGATCTCCAAATGTAAAAATATTTTAGAAATACTTTAACCAGTTTTATTTATTTCCTTTCAATGTTCCTTGCAACATATGCAGGATAGTGATATATGATAAAAATCCATTTCTAAATAAGTCTTTTAAAAAAAAGAGAGAGACAGTGTTTTGCCATGTTGCCTAGGCTGGTCTCAAATTCCTGGGACCAAGCAACCCATTCGCTTCAACCTCCCAAAGTGCTGGGATTACAGGCATGAGCCACCGTGCCCAGCTCCTAAACAAGTCTTAAACAGAACCTACAATAATTATAAAATATAAATTCTAGATGCTAAAATTGTCTTGTGTTATAATTTATTTATTTACTTAGAGACTGCATCTCTCTCTGTCATGCAGGCTGGAGGGCAGCTGGCACAAGCATAGCTCACTGCTGCCTTGAACTCCTGGCCTCAAGAGAATCTCCTGCCTCAGCCTCCCAAAGTGCTGGGAACACCGTGCCCAGCCTTGTGTTATAATTTAGTTGGCAGTATTTTGTTCTTTATTAACGGTGCATAAAATATGGGTGCATCTTATAGTCAATGATTTTCAGATTAGATGAAATAAAATAATACTACATCTTGAACAATATCTATCAAAGTACCATATTAGTAGGTGCAAAAATGCTCATTTATTAGGCATTAACATATTCATTCAACAAATATTCACAGAGCATTTACTACATACCAGGTACTGGATGCTGAACATAAAATGGTCAATAATGCATAGTTCTATAGTTCTCATTCTTATGAGCTTAATCACTAGGTAGGACAGTGGCTCCCAAATTGGTCCCTCAGAATTAGTTCCTCAAGATACTTCCAGAAAAAATAGTTCTATGGTCAGATTAATCTGAGAAATGTCACATACTAAGTTCACTTCTTCACAATGTAATTATCACATTAAAGGCTTTTTAAAAATCCTGTGGTAAAGGAGGTTGCTTAATTTGGTTTCACCCTACATATTCCAAACTTATTAATGATGTAAACCCAGATTCAGAATTGTGATACATAATATAAAAAGAGCTCCTACAAATCTATGGGAAAAAGACAAACAATATACGCAAAGGACATCAATAGGCAACCAACGGAAAAAAAATTGGTTAATGACCAATATATCTGAAAAAAACGCTCAACTTCACTCACAATTAAGAAATACAAATTAAAACAATGAGTGAGCCAATTTTTCCTCATCATATTGGCAAAGATGAAAAAAGATTAATGATAATGTGTTGTGAAGATGTAGGGAAGAAATTTCCACTTTTTGCTGTTTTGAGTGTGTGAAGGGGATCAATGTTTTAAGAGAATGATTTGGCAATATCTACCAATTTTACTTCTATGAATTTATCTTATAGAAATACTTGCACAGGTGCCCAAAGATTTACGTACAAAAGATGTCCACTATAACATTGCTTGAATAGTGAAAAACTGGAAAGAACCCAAATGTCCATCACCTGGGCATTTAATAAACTATATTACATCCACACAAAGGTCTACTATAAAGCCATTATAAAGATAAGAGAGTTCTAAATGAAGATGTCTGATTGAAGATGTCTGATTAAAGATATGTGCTTATCTCCCTCCCTTTTGACATCCCATTAAAATGGTAATAAAAGAATAAGCCCTTAAGAGTGAAGAAAATGGGCTTAACAAATTTTTGGAAGATTGGAAGTGTGTCAACTGATGAAACAGAATGGAACAAGCCAACGTGCCTGGCAGAATCCCAGAGAGGTTCCTGTTTCAGAGCTAGGAAGTGCTCAAGGTCAAAATAAGAAGGGAGTCCGAAAACTAGGGGGTGAACTGAAAACCTGTGAAAGAAGTGCCCCCCAGCCCTAAAGGCCAACCCTTTTGGAGGTGCTTATCATGCAAAAGGAATCGTGCTGGAAAAAGTAGGAGTTGAAGCCAAACAGCCAAATTCTGCCATTAGGAAGTGTGTAAGGGTCCAGCTGATCAAGAATGGCAAGAAAATCACAGCCTTTGTACCCAACGACGGTTGCTTAAACTTTATTGAGGAAAATGATGAAGTTCTGGTTGCTGGATTTGGTCGCAAAGGTCATGCTGTTGGTGATATTCCTGGAGTCCGCTTTAAGGTTGTCAAAGTAGCCAATGTTTCTCTTTTGGCCCTATACAAAGGCAAGAAGGAAAGACCAAGATCATAAATATTAATGGTGAAAACCCTGTAGTAATAAATTTTCATATGCCAAAAAAAAAAAAAAAAGAAGTGCCCCCATTGGCTCCTTATGATCCCCCCACCCATCATCCCCATATTTAGCATAGTTAGCCCAATCTTTATCTCCTAGCCAAAAAAAAAGGAGGGAAGGGAAGGGAAGGGAAGGGAGAAAAGAAAAGGAAAGAAGAGAAAAGAAAGAAAAGAAAAGGAAAGAAAGGAAAGGAAAGGAAACTGGAGGACTCAACAGAAATAGAATAAGCTGCCTAAAGAAAACTAAGGATCATGTAGGTGCTAGTGCCACAGAGCAAAATAAAATTCTTCCTAATTTGGCATTTGAGGGCCTCCAGCCTAAAGGCAGCTTCCCTAACCTAAGTCTAAAAGAGAAAGTCATATGTAGAAAGCTGAAACTGGATCCCTTCCTTACACCTTATACAAAAATTAATTCAAGATGGATCAAAGACTTACATGTTAGACCTAAAACCATAAAAACCCTAGAAGAAAACCTAGGCATTACCATTCAGGACATAGGCATGGGCAAGGACTTCATGTCTAAAACACCAAAAGCAATGGCAACAAAAGCCAAAATTGACAAATGGGATCTAACTAAACTAAAGAGCTTCTGCACAGCAAAAGAAACTACCATCAGAGTGAACAGGCAACCTACAAAATGGGAGAAAATTTTCACAACCTACTCATCTGACAAAGGGCTAATATCCAGAATCTACAATGAACTCAAACAAATTTACAAGAAAAAAACAAACAACCCCATCAAAAAGTGGGCAAAGGATATGAACAGACATTTCTCAAAAGAAGACATTTATGCAGCCAAAAGACACGTGAAAAAATGCTCATCATCACTGGCCATCAGGGAAATGCAAATCAAAACCACAATGAGATACCATCTCACACCAGTTAGAATGGCAATCATTAAAAAGTCAGGAAACAACAGGTGCTGGAGAGGATGTGGAGAAATAGGAACACTTTTACGCTGTTGGTGGGACTGTAAACTAGTTCAACCATTGTGGAAGTCAGTATGGCGATTCCTCAGGGATCTAGAACTAGAAATACCATTTGACCCAGCCATCCCATTACTGGGTGTATACCCAAAGGACTATAAATCATGCTGCTATAAAGACACATGCACATGTATGTTTATTGTGGCACTATTCACAATAGCAAAGACTTGGAACAAACCCAAATGCCCAACAATGATAGACTGGATTAAGAAAATGTGGCACATATACACCATGGAATACTACACAGCCATAAAAAAGGATGAGTTCATGTCCTTTGTAGGGACATGGATGAAATTGGAAATCATCATTCTCAGTAAACTATCACAAGGACAAAAAACCAAACACCGCATGTTCTCACTCATAGATGGGAATTGAACAATGAGAACACATGGACACAGGAAGGGGAACATCACACTCTGGGGACTGTTGTGGGGTGGGGGGAGGGGGGAGGGATAGCATTAGGAGATATACCTAATGCTAAATGACGAGTTAATGGGTGCAGCACACCAACACGGCACATGTATACATATGTAACTAACCTGCACATTGTGCACATGTACCCTAAAACTTAAAGTATAATAATAATAAAAAATAAATAAAAAATAAAAAAATAAAAGAGAAAGTCGCTAGTCACAAGTCCTGACCAGTTACACAGATGTCTTAGTTAGACTCCCTATCCAGGGGAAAACCCCAGTGAGAAAATGGATCTGCATATATAAAGTAGAGAAACCTGTATCAACTACCTATTGCTTCATTTTTAAATATGAAGAAACAAAGACTACCAGAAATATGAAGAAAAATAGCATATAAAAAGAAACGCCAAGATAAACAAGCAGAATTTACCTGGAGGGAACAGAGATACTTCAGAGTAGATTGCAAGGATCTAATAAGATCAAAGGAGGGGAAAAAGTCCACACCTAGACACTATATCACTTTACACTATCAGGAATAAAAAGAAAATTGTAACTGCTTCCAGAAAGGAAAAGTAGGTCACTCATAAAGAAATAAAAAGCAGATTTCTCATTAACAACACCGGATGTGAGACCACTTTAAAATTCTGAGGGAAAATTACTCTGAAGTTAGAATTAAAAACCTATCCAAAGCCGGGCACGGTGGCTCACGCCTGTAATCCCAGCACTTTGGGAGGCCGAGGCAGGTGGATCACAAGGTCAAGAGATCAAGACCATCCTGGCCAACATGGTGAAACCCCATCTCTACTAAAAATACAAAAATTAGCTGGGCGTGGTGGTGCACGCCTGTAGTCCCAGCTACTCGGGAGGCTGAGGCAGGAGAATCACTTGAACCTGGGAGGCAGACATTGCAGTGAGCCAAGATCGCGCCATTGCACTCCAGCCTGGCGACAGAGCGAGACTCCATCTCAAAAAAATTAATAAAAAATAAAAAAAAAACAGCCAAATCATCATAAGCATGTACTCTAACAAAACCTGGGTAAATGCAAGAAAGGAAAAAACATGGGAAGCAAGAAATAGTGGATAACTCGTAAATCCAATGAGAGAAAAGTTCTAAGGTTAAAAATTATAAAGTAGGTCTGAAAAGCAATCAGTCCAATTTAGAATAAGAAACCAGTGCTACAGATCTGAACAGACATTTCTCAAAAGAAGACATACAAATGGCCAATAGGTATATGAAAAAATCCTCAACATCACTACTCATCAGGGAAATGCAAATCAAAGCCACAGTGAGATATCATCTCAGCTAGAATGACTATCACTAAAAAGACAAAAAATATCAAATGCTGGTGAAAATACAAAGAAAAGATAACTCTTACACGCTGTCAGTGGGAATGCTAACTAGTATAGCCATTATGGAAAACAGTATGGAAGTTTCTCAAAAAACCAAAAATAAAACTACCATACAACCCAGCAATCCCACTACTGGGTATCAAAAGGAAAGGAAATCACACATATCAAAGGCATATGTGCACCCCCATATTTATTGCAGCACTATTCACAATGACCAAGATATGGAATCAACTTATGTCCATCAACAGATGAATGGCAGATGAATGGATAAATAAAATGTGGTATATATACACAGTGGAATACTATCTATCCCTAAAAAATAATGAAATCCTGTCATTTGCAGCAACATGGATGGAACTGGAGGAATACATTATATTGAGTGATTTAAGTCAGGCACAGAAAGACAAATATCACAGGTTCTCATTCATATTTGGGAGCTGGAAAAATTGATGTCATGGTGATAAAGAGTAGAATGATAGTTACCAGAGACTGGGAAGTGTATGGGAAGGGAATGAAGAGAGACTAGTTAGTGGGTACAAACACCATTAGAAGGAGTAAGTGCTAGTGTTCCATAGCATAGTAGGGTGACTATGGTTAATAATATATTGTATATTTCAAAATAGCTAGAAGAGAAGATTTGAAATGTTCCCAACACAAAGAAATGACAAATGTTCAGGGCGACAAATGTCCTGAATATCCTGATTTGATCATTATGCATTGTATGCATGTGTCAAAATATCAAATGTACCCCCAAAATATGTACAAATATTATGTATCAATTAAAAAAGAAACCAGTGCTATAGAAAGAATGTCTTCAAGAAGAATGAAATAGGCCAGGTGCAGTGGCTCATGCCTGTAATCCCAGCACTTTGGGAGGTTGAGGTAGGAGGATCACTTGAGCTCAGGAGTTCAAGACCAGCCTAGGCAATATAGTGAGACCCCCTTTCGATTAAGAAAAAAGAAGAAGAAGAATGAAATAGATTCCAACCAATGAGTAGACTGAGTAAGAAGCTGGAAAATATTAATGATGTGAAGAAGTCAGCTGGGCATGGTAGCTCATGCCTGTAATCTCAGTACTTTGGGAGGCCGAGGTGAGAGGATCACTTGAGCCAGGAGTTCAAGACAAGTCTGGGCAACATAGTGAGACTCTGTCTCTACCAAAAAAAAAAAGAAAAGAAAGAAAGAAATTAGCTGAGTGCTGTGGCATGTGCCTGTAGTCCCAGCTAATCAGGAGGCCAAGGTGGGGGGATCACTTGAGCCCGACAGGTGGAGGCTGTAGTGAGCCATGATCGTGCAACTGCACTCCAGCCTGGGTGACAGAGTGAGACTCTGTATCAGAAAAAAAAAAAGAAGAAGAAGAAGTCATGTCTCTTTTCTCAAAAAGAAAATACAAAAGGCAATTAGAAACTCCAGGAAAAACAAATAAATAAAAACTATACCAGAAAATAATGACAGAAATATGAAACAAAATTTCCATTCCTGATAATATGGTGGATTAGGATCTGCACCAACCCTCTCACAGAAAATCACTTAAGAGATTGGATAAAGCATAAAATAACTTATTTAAAAATATCAAAGGACTGATAAGATGATAAAGAATTATCAAGATAAAAGGGAATTCATACCCTGTTACATACAGACGTGTGGTATACTGAAGCTGCTTTTGGCATGAGAGTATCTACAAAACTTGGCAACCTTCAGCTAAATTACCCATAGACCCTTAGGTCCATCCAAGGTGGGAAGACTAAAAGGAGGTCCTCTTTCTGTACCCTTGGGTCTTAGTTGGATTCAGAAAGGGCTACAACCTTAAGTAAGGGTAGATTAGAACGTTATCCCACCCCACCTTACTCCCCAGTCCAAAGGGACTGAAGGAAAAGTTGCCTTTGCTCTGAACAGAGTAGAGGGGATAAATAAGTCCCTGAGAAATTGAACAATAAGCTGGTCCTTGCACAAGTTTACAGTTAAAACATACACCACTGGTGGTCTAAAAATCTTAAATTAGTTTACACAGTCAGAGACTAGCACTGCCCATAAGTACCTAGCAGAAGCAAACACAACTTTCTGAAAAAATGCTCCTTTACCCTATGACTCAAAAAATTCCGACAAATAATTTTCCAAGAAAAATGAGCAGCTCACTGTCAAAAATTACTAAAACTCTCTCTCTCACCAGAAAGTTTAAATTATTTTTAAAAATACTGGCCAGGCATGGTGGCTCACGTCTGTAATCCCAACACTTTAGGAGGCCAAGGCAGGAGGATTGCTTGAGCCCAAGAGTTCAAGACTAGCCTGGGCAACATGGTGAAACCACATCTCTACCAAAAAATACAAAAATTAGCAGAGTGTGGTAGCCCACACCTGTAGTTCCAGCTATCTGGAAGGCTGAGGTGAAAGGATCACTTGAGCCCAGGAGGCAGAGGTTGCAGTGAGCCAAAATTGCACCGTGTCAAAAAAAAAAAAAAAAAAAAACCTAAAATGCCAATTTTTGGTAAGGATGTGGAGCAACCTGAACTCTCATAATTACTAGCAGGAGTGTAAATTGATAGAACCACTTTGGAAACCTACTTGGCAGTATCTAATAAGGCCAAACATACAAGTACCCTGTGACCCAGAAATTCCACTCCAAGGCAAACACTAAACAGCGATGAGTGCATATATCCATCACGAGATATGCACAAGAATATTCTGCTTTATTCACAATAGCCAAACATTAAAAAGTACCCAAATGTCCATCAATAGAATTAATGGTGGCATATCCATAAGAAGAAATACTAGCATTAAAAAGGAACAAACTATTGATATAGGCAACAACATGAATGAATCTCTAAAACATTATTCTGAGCAAAAGAACCCAGACACAGAAAAGTACATACTGTTCAATTCCACTTGTATGCATTCTAGAACAGGCAAATCTATAGTAACAGGAAGCAGATAAATGGTTGCCTCGGACCATGGTTGGGGAGGATTGACTGAGAAGGGGCACAAGTGAACTTTCTGGAATGCTAGAAATATTCTCTCTTGTTGGTGATGATGATTACACAGGAGTATTGATTTGTCAAAACTCATAAAACTGTACATGTAATATAGGTACATTTTATTGTCAATAAATAACACTTCAAAAGTTGATTTAAATGGATTTTAGAATGTGTAAAATTGAGAAATATAATAATTGCAATGAAAACTTAATGGGCAGGAGAAGCTGGGTGAGGTGGCTTGTGCCTGTAATCACAGCTACTCGGGAGGCTGAGGCGGAAAGATCACTTGAGGCCAGGAGTTCGAGACATGTCTAAGCAACATAACCAGATGCCATCTCTAAAAATAAATAAATAAAGATTAGCCAGGCTTGGTGGCACAAACCTGTAGTCCCAGCTACTTAGGAGGCTGAGGCAGGAGGATTGCTTGAGCCCAGGAATTCAAGGCTGCAGTGAGCTATGATAATGCCAACTGCACTCCAGCCTGTGTGACACAGCAAGAGCCTGTCTCTAAAATAATAATTTTTAAAAATGGACAAAAGGATTCTTGGGAGTTGGTGGAGATGGCATAGTTTTTAAAAATAAATGTCGGAAAGAAAAGAATATCCCTCAACCCTCCCTGCCATAAAGACAGAGAAAATGGGATAGCAAAACCAAAACTCCCCAAAGAGCCAAAGTTACTCACTGGGAAGCCTAGAGGGACAATTTGAGGACAACAGCTGAAACTGGAAGAGGCTACGCATATTCCAGTAGCAGGTAAGACCTAAAGAGGTTGGAACAATTTGGGTGTGACCGCCCAATAGGTTCTTCTTGCCTGCTGCCCAAATAGAGCCGATTTATCAAAGTAAGTGAATTACAATAGAGAAGGAGCTTAATTCACGTAGAGCTGGCTGAACTGAAGACCAGAGTTTTATTATTACTCACGTCAATCTCCCAGAGAATTTGGGAGCTAGGGCTTTTCAAAGGTAGTTTGGGGGAAGGGGTGGGGGTGGCTAGGCAATGGGTGCTTGCTACTGATTGGTTGGGTGTGCAATCATAGGGGTATGGTTTTCCTGATCTCTGAGTCGCTTCTGGGTGGGGCCGTAAGAGTGGCTGACGAGAGTCCAGGTGGCGCCATCGATATCAGACATGCAAAAAACCTGAAAAGAGACCTCAAAAGACCAATCTTAGGTTCTACAATAGTGATATTATCTGCAGGAGTAATTGGGGAAGATGCATATCGTGTGACCTCCAAAATAAGGGCTGGAAATCATTTATGTTTGCACCTTGGTAGAATTCAGGCTCCTTTATCCTCTCAGCCTGGTGGTCTCTCATTAGCTTTACAAAGGTGGTTGAGTTTTGGGGAAGGGCTATTATCATTTAAACTATAAGCTAAATGTCTCCCAAAGTTAGTTTGGCCTAAGCCCAGGAATAATTAAGGGCAGCTTTAAGGCCAAAGGCAAGATGGGGTTAGCCAGCTCAGATCTCCTTCACTGCCATAATTTTCTCAGTGTTAGAATTTTTGCAAAGGCAGTTTCACGGGTCTGGAACAGTGTGAGCCCCATGCACTCTCAAAACTAACCAGCTAAAGCTCCATTCCAGGACAAATCCCCACATTGAAAAGAAACTGCTGGGAATAGAATCCAAACATAGCAGCACAGCAAAAGAAGGTTCAGATGAAAGTGGAGGAGTAAAACAGCGCCAAGATATCTGAGAAAGAAAGTTGCTACATTTTAAAAAACTACACAAAAGCAACAGAAGAGGGAGCTAAAAGCCATGAAATTAGAAAATCTATTCTGAACCCAGCCTTCTACAAGAAAAAAAAACTCCTATAGAAATGGTCAACAGAAAGGGTCAAGGTTGCATTTATTATAAGAATAAAGAGAATAAGGAGAATAACAGCCTTTGACAATGAAAGCATGGCAGAAATACATGACTACAAAACATAAAAACTATAATCTACTATTTCAAAACAAGTAAAAAGACGTTAAAAATGATACAAGATATGAAATAACAAAATAAATCAGAACTAGAAAAACTCAAAAAATGAGTAATAGGACTAAATAAATAATTGAAAATAAAAGAAAACAATCAGAAATGAATTCTAAACTAGAAGGATCTCAAGAGCAAATAAACACAAAACATAATGCCTTAAGAGAAACAGAAGATGAAAAGAAATAAATTTTTAAAACAAAAAGAATAGAAAAAAAGAGATAAAAGGATTTGAGAGAAAGTGATACATTTAAAAGACAGTTAAAGAAAATCCAACATACATAGAAGAAAACCAAAGCAAGGGAAAATAATAAATAATAAAGACTATAAGAAAGTTTTCCTGAAACAACTTTATTTTAAATTTTTTTAAATTGTTTTGATCAGCTCTATGTCACAATGAAACAATTTTTAACAAAGACTTGAAACTATATATATATGTATATATATATATATATATATATATTTTTTTTTTTTTTTTTTGAGACAGAGTCTTGCTCTGTTGCCCAGGCTGGGGTGCGATGGCATGATCTTGGCTCACTGCAACCTCCGCCTCCCAGCTTCACACAATTCTCCTGTCTCAGCCTCCTGAGTAGCTGGGATTACAGGCACCCGCCACCATGCCTGGCTAATTTTTTATATTTTTAGTAGAGACGGGATTTCACCATGTTGGCCAGGCTGGTCTTGAACTCCTCACCTCAGGTGATCCACCTGCCTCGGCAACCCAAAGTGCTGGGATTACAGGCGTGAGCCACTGCACCCAGCCTAAAACAATATATTAAAAAGACAGTTCGTGTGCCTGAGAAAATCATCCCAAAATGACCAACATTGAAATATATTCTAGTAAAAT
The DNA here is from genome assembly GCF_000001405.40 of Homo sapiens. NCBI lineage: Eukaryota > Metazoa > Chordata > Mammalia > Primates > Hominidae > Homo > Homo sapiens. The sequence goes on from NC_000023.11 coordinate 70,971,871, forward strand.
TAATGGACTTTAAAGAAAAAAAAATGCATCCAGGCAAAGAGAACAATGGAAAGAAAATAAGCCAGTCATCAGATACATTAACAGCAATGCTTTATGCCATAAGAAAATAAGGTAGCATATTCAAGTACATTTCAGGAAAGAAAATGTGAGTCAATTATTAAAAAGTCAAAGAAATAACAGATGCTGGTGAGGTCGCAGAGAAAAGGGAATGCTTATATACTGCTGGTAGGGATGTAAATTAGTTCAGCCATTGTGGAAAGTAGTGTGGTGATTTCTCAAAGAACTTAAAACAAAATTACCATTCGACTCAGCAATCCCATTATTAGGTATATACACAAAAGAATATAAATAGTTCTACCATAAAGACACATACAGACATATGTTCATCACAGCACTATTCACAATAGCAAAGACATGGAATCAAACTAAATCCTCATCAATGGTAGACTAGATAAAGAAAATGTGGTACATATACACCATGGGATATTGCACAGCCATAAAAAGGAACAAGACTATGTCCTTTACAGGAACATGGATGGAGCTGGAGGCTATTAGCCTTAGCAAACTAACGCAGGAACAGAAAACCAAATACCACATTTCTTACTTATAAGTGGGAGCTAAATGATGAGAACACATGGACACATAGAGGGGAACAACAAATGCGCTATCTGGGGCCTACTAGAGGGTAGAGGGTGAGAGGAAGGAGAGGAGCAGAAAAAATAACTATTGGGTATTAGGCTTAGTATCTGGCTGATGAAATAATCTATATACAAACCCCTATGGCACGAGTTTACCTATATAACAAACCTGCACATTTACCCTGGAACCTAAAATAAAAGTTGGAAAAAAAAATGTGAGCCAAAGACTTTTCTATCCAGCCAAATTGACTGTTATGGGCTAAATTGTGTCCTTCACCCCAAATGCATATGTTGATTCCCTAACTCCCAATACCTCAGAATGAGACTGTATTTGGATATTGGGCCTTTAAAAGAGGTGATTTTTTTTTTTTTGAGACAGAGTCTAGCTCTGTCACCCAGGCTAGAGTGCAGTGGTGCGATCAGCCTCCCAAGTACCTGAGACTACAGGTGTGCACCACCACACCTGGCTAATTTTTGTACTTTTTAGTAGAGATGGGGTTTTGCCATGTTGCCTAGGCTGGTCTTGAACTCCTGGCCTCAAGTGATCCACCTATCTCAGCCTCCCAAAGTGCTGGGATTACAGGTGTGAGCCACTGCACCGGCCCAAAAGAGGTGATTAAAATGAAGCTGCTAGGTGGGCACTAATCCAAACTCACTAGTGTCTTTATAAGAAGAGGAGGCCAGGCAGGGTGGCTCACACTTGTAATCCCAGCACTTTGGGAGGCTGAGGCCAGAGGATCATTCGAGCCCAGGAGTTTGAGACCAGGCTAGGCAACATAGGGAGACACTGTCTCTACAAAAATTTTTTAAAAAGTTAGCCAGGCATGGTGGCACAGGTCTGTAGTCCCAGTTCCTTGAGAAGCTGAGGTGGGAGAATCGCTTGAGTCTGGAAGGTCAAGGCTACAGTGACGCATTTTGATCATGCCACTGCACTCTAGCCTGGGTGACTCAGCAAGGCCCTGTCTCAAAAAATAAAATAAAATAAAAATAAATATAGAAAGAAGAAATGTAGACTCACAAAGACACCAGGGAAAAGACCATGTGGGGACACAGCAAGAGGCAGCCATCTGCAAGCCAAGGGGAGAAGCCTCTGAGAAACCAAACCTTCCAAATACCCCAATTTTGGACTTCTAGCCTCCAGAACTGTGAGAAAATACATTTCTGTTTTTGTCATTCAATCTGTAATTTTGTCATGTCAACCTTAGCAAATTAATACACTGGCTTTCCAGGATAGAGGCTACAAACTATTAACAATCCACAATCACATAGGAAATGTTGCTCCTGTGAACCCTTCCTGAGGAATCTATTATGGAACAAAGTCCAGAAAGGCAAAATAACTAGAAATACAATGACATAAGGACTGTTGGTGAACATTAAATAAACTTAATAAACACACAAGGATACTTGTAGAAGTAAGATTCAGTGAAGGTTCTCAGAGTACAGTATGTAATCACTAAAGATGGGAAAAGAGTGAAGAGATGATATGCAAAAAACATTTCAAATTGTTTTCATAATCATATTGGTGGTGGTAGTACTAATATTACTATGCTGAGACAGTTGTGTGTATTACAGGGGATAAAGCAAATGAGTAGTTATGTGATATTTGAATGTATTATCCTGTATGTCCTTGGGAACCAAGATTCTCAAGTGTGAAAGGAGATTCAAATGTAAGATAGTTAAGGAAAACCCCATAGACCTGAATTTGAATTAAAATTATCATTGCGCTGGCCTGGTGCTATGACTCATGCCTGTAATCCCAACACTTTGGGAGGCTGAGGCGAGTGGATCACTTCAGGTCAGGAGTTTAAGACCAGCCTGGTCAACATGGTGAAACCCTGTCCCTACTAAAATTACAAAAATTAGCCGGGCGTGGTGGCGCACACCTATAATCCCAGCTACTGACAGGAGAATCACTTGAACCCGGGAGGCAGAGGTTGTGGTGAGCCGAGATCGCACCATTGCACTCCAGCCTGGGCAACAAGAGCAAACCTCTGTCTCAAAATAAATAAATAAAATAAAATAAAATAATCACTGTGAATTCATGAGGCATTTTCTTCTTTAAAAAGTTTAGAAACAATGACCAGCCCAGTAGCTATGAGCATTGCTACCATCAAGACTGTAGCCTTGAAATACCATTCTTCACTAAAAAGAAACCAGGGCTTTTTGGAGAATGGCTGATTCCAGGTCTGGGACAGGGAATTTACAAGATAAGCCCAAAATACCAACTATATTGGTGGTATAAATCCACAAGTTCATAATGATTCTGTTTTTTTAAATTACTGAAAATTTTAGAATGATAGAAAACCAACTCAATATTTTTGAAAATGTTAAAGGGAAAAATCAAGCATTTATCTTGCTTTTCCTTAAAAACTATACTATTGGGCAACCAAATAATAGACGAGAGGATGTTTCTCTTTAATGATTAATAACGGAATTAGAATATCACTGTTTTACAGCCGAGCACAGGGGCTCACGCCTGCAATCCCAGCACTTTGGGAGGCCAAGGCGAGTGGATCATCTGAGGTCAGGAGTTCAAGACGGGCCTGGCCAACATGGTGAAACCCCATCTCTACTAAAAATACAAAAATTAGCTGGGGGTGGTGGCACACGCCTGTAATCCCAGCACTTTGGGAGGCCAAGGTGGGTGGATCACCTGAGGTCAGAAGTTGGAGAGCAGGCTGGCCAACTTGGTGAAGCACCGTCTCCACTAAAAACACAAAAATTAGCTGGGTGTGGTGGCACACACCTGTAATCCCAGTTACTTGGGAGGCTGAGGCAGGAGAATTGCTTGAACCTGGGAATCAGAGGTTGCAGTGAGCCGCGATCGTGCCACTGCACTCCAGCCTGGGTGACAGAGTGAGACTCCACCTCAAAAAAAAAAAAAATCCAAAATACATATATTTTTGAGGCAGAGAAGTATGGTGGGCAATAAAAAAGACTTTCAAGCATAAAATATATCCTATTAGGACAAAATTCTGTGGGAGAAGTGGAATGGAATCATAGTTTTTTGTTGTTGTTGTTTTAGAGGTAGGATTTTGCTATGTTGCCCAGGCTGGACTAGGCGTGTGAGCTTATGCAATCTTCCCACCTCAGTTTCCTGAGTAGCTAGGACTATAGGCATGTGCGCCACTGTGCCCAGTTGGAAGTAATAGTTAAAAGAAAAAAACTGAATATTGCAAAATACTATTAAAGAATGTTTGCTTGTGTACTTTAAAATGGATGATAATATGTATGTGATAATATGGCTATAAAATGCAAAGAAAATTTTGACGCAGAAGAAGAAACAAACAGAAAAAAAACTACAATCATAGTAAATTTAAGACAGCTGTTTCAGTAACTAACAGAACAAGCAGAAAACAATAAGCATAAATTTAAACAAAAGTTCAAATATGAATAAAAGAAGAAAATCACAAGAGAACATATGTAGTATGATTCCATTTATATACAGTTCAAAATCAGGCAAAACTAAACTATATTATTTAGGGATACATTCTCAGATGGCAAAATTATTATTTTTTATTTGAGGGAATAGTTATCACGAAATTCATGACTGTGGTTACCTGGCAGAGGCGGTGGGGAGTAGAAAGAGATGGGTAGAATCAGGGAGGGACACTTGACAATTTCTTTTTTCATTTAAACTGTTACATTTATACAGCCTCCTGTATTTATTGTTTTCCATACACAATCGCCAAGGGAAAATGGCCGTATAGCACTCCCCTGAGTTGGGGTAGTGAGAAATCCAGACCCTGAGATAGAATCTTCTCCAGCTTGGAAAGACAGAATCTTGATAAGCATGTATAACAAGAAGAAAATATGAAGCAGACTAAAATGTGGTATGATTTTGGATGGAGTGTAAGAAGAGAGTTCATCTGACCTTGACTCTAGGAATATTCTTCAAGTAGCACAGAAATCATGACATTGTGCCACTAGAAAAGAAAGTGTAATCCTAAAACCCTTCCTGTCTCTGCAGTGAAAAACATTTATATAGTTGTAATACTGCAAATATTGCTTATTGCTTTACAACTTTTAGCATCAACCTATAAACAATGCATGGAAAAATTAATTACCGTTACCCAACAGATTGTAACTGTTCTTAACCTTGACAAGGTAGAAGTTAAGATATACCTAATGTGGAGGTGGGAGAGAAGTTGGGAGAAAAGGTATGGGGAATTCATAACTTCCTCTTACATAATGGGAAGTCAACAAATACAATCAGAGTTGACAGAATAAGAAATACAATTTTATTTTATTTTATTTTATTTTATTTTATTTTTTTTATTTTTGAGACGGGGTACTCAACCACCATGCCAGGCTTAAAGTTTTATTTTTTAATGTTACAAAGTTAATCTATAGAAACACTAAAAGTAATATAACTATGAAAATTGGAGTAGAGGCTGGGCACGGTGGCTCACGCCTGTAATCCCGGCACTTTGGGAGGCTGAGGCAGGCAGATAACCTGAGGTCAGGGAATCAAGACCAGCCTGGCCAACATGGTGAAATCCCGTCTCTACTAAAAATACAAAAATTAGCTGGGTGTGGTGGCAGGTGCCTGTAATCCCAGGTACTTGGGAGCTGAGGCAGGAGAATCACTTGAACCCAGGAGGCAGAGGTTGCAAGTAAGCGGAGATCGCACCATTGCACTCCAGCCTGGGCAACAAGGTGAAACTCCATCTTTAAAAAAAAAAAAAAAAAAAAAATTGAAGTAGGGAGTGGAGACAGGGATTAGTATAAGAGAGCTAGATCTACCAGTTTTATTTTTAGTTTTTGAAGAAACCTCCATACCGTTTTCCATAATGCCTGTACTAATTTACATTCCCATAAACAGTATACAAGAGTTTCCTGTTCTCTGCATCTTCGCCAGCATTTGCTTTTTTTTTTTTTTTTTTTTGTCTTTTTGATGATAGCCATTCCAACTGGGATGAGATGATATCTCATTGTGGTTGTGATGTGCATTTCCCTGATTAGTACAGATGTTAAGCATTTTTTCATATACTTCTTGGCCATTTGTGTCTTCTTTTGAGATGTCTCTATTCAGATTTTTTGCCTTTTTTTTTTTTTTTTTTTTTTTTGGAACAGTGTCTTGCTCTGTCATCCCAGCTGGAGTGTGCAGTGGTGCAGTCATAGCTCATGGCAGCCTGGTACTCCTTAGCTCAAATGATTCTCCTGCCTGAGCCTCTCAGGTAGCTAGGACTACAGGCATGCACCACCATGCTTGGCTAATTTTTTTATTTTTATTTTTGTAGAGACAGGGTCTTGTTATGTTGCCCAGGCTGGTCTCAAACTCCTGGCCTCAAGCAGTCTTGCTGCCCTGGCCTCCCTGTCCTAAGTTCTGGGATTACAGGTGTAAACCACTGTGCTGGGACCTATTTTTTTTGTTTGTTTTTTTGAGACGGAGTTTCGCTTTTGTTGCCCAGGCTGGAGTGCAATGGCATGGTCTCGGCTCACTGCAACCTCCACCTGCTGGGTTCAAGTGATTCTCTTGCCTCAGCCTCCTGAGTAGCTGGGATTACAGGCATCTGCGACCATGCCCGGCTAATTTTTGTATTTTTAGTAGAGACGGGGTTTCACCATGTTGGTCAGGCTGGTCTCGAACTCCTGACCTTAAGTGATCCACCCGTCTCAGTCTCTCAAAACACTAGGATCATCAGCGTGAGCCACCACGCCCAGCATCACATAATACTTTTATAATTAATGAAAACAACCACTAAAGAAAATTAAAAAAAAAAAACTGTGATAATCTCATAATTGTCAAGGGTCATAAATGTCTCATACATGTCAAGAATCCTTTAGTTTATAAAAGGAGGCATTCTCGTTGACCTAATTAAAATTGAGCAATGACTAACACTAGGTTTTGGTAAATTGTAAGAATAAGTTTCCCAAACTGAATTTTAGATTGTTTTTGCATTACTGCTCAAAATCCATAGTTTTGAATAGCTAGCACGCTATTGTTATCAATAAAAATTCATATATCTTCACACATGGATTTCTGATCAGGCAGTTACCTTCTTTTTAGCCATTTTCCCCCTTCTGCTTTGCTACTTTGAGGGGAAGACTTCACAGATGCAACGTCTTGTCTTTCACCATTTAACCTATATGCCAGTGGTTCTCAGAAGTGTAGTGTCTGAACCAGCATATGCAAATTCTCAGACCCCATCCAAACCTACTGAATCAGAATCTCTAGGGATGGGGCCCAGCAATCCGTGTTTTAATAAACTCTCTATACAGAGTTGCTAGATAAAATACAGGACACTCACTGAGTTTGAATTTCAGATGAACAGTGAATAAATTTTTAGTATAAAAGTTTGCAATATTTGAGACACACATTCAACTTCAAATTTAACTGGGAATGCTAGTTTTTGTTTGTTTTTTGTTTGCTTTTCTCAGTCTGGGAACCTGAGCTTTGAGAAATTCTGATCCACACTGAAGTTTGAGAACGACTTGGGTAGAGGCAAGACAAAGGCATTGGATTTAGACAGACCTGACTCCACCACTTTTTGAAAACTATGGATGGAATTCCACAAATATGACTATGACTGGCATTTCCCTACGACAAAGGAGACCGTGGCAGAGAAGCAGAGATGAGAATGGAGAGCCAACCAACCTCAGGGCCTAGAGTTCAGTTTGGTAGCAGAAAGGGCCTGGATTTCACCAGAAAATTCAAACACACTCTAAGTGACTACCATTCTACTGCCCATAGGATGCTATTTTCACACCAAGCACAACGTTGGACGATATGGTTGAAAGGGTGGGGGTAGGGGTGGGGTTTGCAAGGGAAGGGAAAACAGAAATCTCCTGTAGAGAGGGAAGAGTATAAAGGGCACAGAAAAAGGGCAATGACTTAGAACTGGTCAAGGTCAATTTGTGTTCACATCAGGCTGTCTACCATTGACTTTGTAGCGAGAAAAGACTGGGGAAGAGTCACTCTCTTTGAAATGAAGAACTTCCTGGGCAGTACTGGCTTTGTCCTGTGAGCCTCTAAAGCAGTGGTTTTCATTCCGGAGTGATTTTAACTTCCAGCAATGTCCGAAGACATTTTTAGTCGTCAAAGCATTCCGGGAAGAGGAGCATGCTACTGACATCTAGTGGGTAGAGGCCAGATACTGCTACATCGTACAAAGCACAGGACAGCACCCTCACACACACCAAAGAATTAGCCAGCAGCAAATGTCAAGTTTCAAAGCTGAGAAACTCTGTTCTAAAGCAGATTGGGGCCACGTGTGGTGGCTCACCCCTGTAATCCCAGCACTTTTGGAGGCCAAGGCGGGCGGATCACCTGAGGTCAGGAGTTCGAGATCAGCCTGGCCAACATGGTGAAACCCTGTCTCTACTAAAAATACAAAAATTAGCCGGGTGTGGTGGTGCATGCCTGTAGTCCCAGCTACTTGGGAGGCTGAGGCAAGAGAATCGCTTGAACCCAGGAGGCAGAGGTTGCAGTCAGCCAAGATCGCACCATTGCACTCCAGCCTGGGGAAAAAAAAAAAGAAAAAAGAAAGAGACAGAGAGAGAGAGAGGGAGAGAGAGAGGAAAGAAAGAAAGAGAGAGAGAAAGAGGAAAGAGAGAAAGAGAGCGAGAAAGAAAGAAAAAGAAAGAAAGAAAGAAAAGAGAAAGAAAGAAAGAAAAGAGAAAGAAAGAAAGCCAGCCAGTTGGTGCAGAGGAAGAGCTACCCTCTTCCTGCAGTCTCACCCCTTAACCCAAACCACTGACTCTCCTCTAGAACAGGCTATTTTATGCATGCACATTCCCATGAGTCTCAAAAAGGGAGGTCGTGAACTTGGGCACTCTCTAAGCCTTAGTATCTTAACCTGTAAAATATGGATAAAAATATTTACAATCATAGAATTGTTGCAAGAATTAGATGAGGTAATTTAACAGTTTAGATTCAAACATTTATTGAGTAGCTACACTATATGCCAGGTATTGAGAGTACAATCTTTGCTATTAAGGTTTTAAGTCTAATGAGTTTTAAGGCACATTTTCAAAGGCTAATTTCTTTCACACACACCCCTCACCCATGCCCTCCCCCTTCATTATTAGAGAGGGGCCTAATACTCTTTCTTCCTCGCCAGAGAACTGAAAGGAAGATCAGAATGAATACCTATTATGAAGAACAGCTACATGTATTCCCATTACCAGCTTGTACTATTTTGATGATGCTTCTCATGCATTCCAAACATTGCACTGAAGCCAATGTATTGTCTTTAGTAATCAAAAGAAGTTCAGTTAGCTGTTTAGGGTTGGTATCTGCTGTCTTCTCAAAATTGACTATTACCTATGAACATGGTCAGGAAATAAAAAGCAAGCTCATCCTTTCTCTGACCTCGACTTACATGGCTCATAAAATTCTGCTCTGGGAAGGCTTCAAGAAGCAAGGGAAGCTTCTTAGATTACTAGAATATTTAGGTGCTCTTCCAACATTCCCACTTGCTCATGAAATGGAATGAGAGAAAGAGGGGGAAAAGAGGACTCAACAGTGATATTCAGGTTTTAGGACTGAGCAACTAAGTGATAGAGTGCCTTTTACTGAGATTGGAAAGTCTTAGGGAGAAGTAAGTTTGGAAGGGAAATCAGGAGTTCTATTTTGGACATTAAAAAAAAAAAAATCTCCTGGCCGGGCGCGGTGGCTCACACCTGTAATCCCAGTACTTTGAAAGGCCAAGGTGGGTGGATCACCTAAGGTCAGGAGCCCGAGACCTACCTGACTAACATGGTGAAACCCCGTCTCTACTAAAAATACAAAAATTAGCCGGGCGTGGTAGCATATGCCTGTGATCCCAGCTACCCCAGAGGCTCAGGCAGGAGAATTGCTTGAACCTGGGAGGCAGAGGTTGCAGTGAGCCAAGATCATGCCATTGCACTCCAGCCTAGGCAACAAGAGGGAAACTCCGTTTAAAAAAAAAAATCTCCTGGCCAGACGTGGTGGCATGCTTTTATGCTTTTAATCTCACCACTTTAGGAGGCCAAGGTGGGAAGATTGCTTGAGCCCAGGAGTTCAAGACCAGCATGGCAACAAAGTGAGACACCATTTTTACAAAAAATCAAAACATTAGCCAGGCACGGTCCATACACCTGTGGTCCCAACTACATGGTGAGCTGAGGCAGGAGGATTGCTTGAGCCCAGGAGGCTGCAATGAGCTGTGATGGCACCACTGCACTGCAGTCTGGGCGACAGAACCAGACCCTGTCTCAATGAACATAAATTAATTAAAATTAAAATTAAAAAACAAAAAAACTCTTCCTCTTATGTCTCTAATCTCTCCTTCTGTCAGCCTGTACAAATGGTGAAGTCTCTTGTTTCTTAAAACAAATGAAGCCTTTCCCAAACCTTATAATCCCTCTAACTATCACCCTCTTTCCTTTCCTTTATATCCAAACTTCTTTAAAGGATCATCTTAGCTGAGTGTAGTGGCCGATGCCTGTAATCCCAGAATTTTAGGAGGCCGAGGCAGTAGGATCACCTGAGGCCAGGAGTTCGAGACCAGCCTGGGCAACATGGTGAAACCCCATCTCTACCCAAAATACAAAAATTATCCAGGCATGGTGGTGCACGCCTGTAGTCCCAGGTACTCGGGAGGCTGAGGCAGGAGAATCTCTTGAACCCGGAAGGCAGAGGTTGCAGTGAACCAAGATTGCGCCACTGCACTCCAGCCTGGGCGACAGAGCGAGACTCCATCTCAACAAAAACAACAACAACAACAACAAAAAGAAAATTAACAACAAAAACAGATCATCTATTTCTCATTATATCTACTTCCTCGCTTCTGAGTCTGTACTTGACTCCTGGTTTCTGCCCCTACCATATTATTGGAACTACCCTCACTACCCTCACCACAAATAATGCCATAATTGACAAATCTAACAATTACTTTTCAGTCCTAATCTCACAGGGCCTCTCAGTAGCCTTGGAAATAGCTAATCACATCCTCTTTGAAAATTTCTCCTCTCTTGGCTTCTCTGGTATCACTCTTTCCTGCTTCTCTTTCTCCTCTATGACTTTTCCTTCTGACATTCTTCCTGGTTCCTCTCTATTTGCTGCTTAAATATTGAACTTGCAGGGCTTCTTTTCAGCTCTTTTCTTACTTTATAGTTTCTTTCAAAGATAATCTTATCTTCCAGATCCCATTTAGATGATTTTGGCTGTCATCTATAAACTGTCAACTCCCAAATTGCTGTCTTCAGACTTTTATTCTGTTTGGAACTACAGGCTCATATTTTGTTTTTGTTTGTTTGTTTGTGTTTGTTTTTGTTTTTGAGATAGAGTCTCACTGTGTCACCCAGGATGGATTGCAGTGGCATAATCTTGACTTACCACAACCTCCACTTCCTGGGTTCAAGTGATCCTCCCACCTCAGCCTCCTGAGTAGCTGGGGCTACAGGTGCATACCATAATGCCAGGCTAATTCTTGCTTTTTTGTAGAGACGGGTTTTCGCCATGTTGCCCAAGCTGGTCTCAAACTCCTGCAGGCTCATATTTTGAATTGCCTACTAGATGGGTCCATCTAGATGTTCCTAGGTGTCTCAAACTGAACACACTCAAAATTAAAATCTAAACAAGGCAATTTAGGGAAGAAATTCAAGTCGCCAAAAACATGTGAAAAGCTACTCAACCTCACCTTATAGTCAAGGAAATGCAAATTAAGGCAATGCATGCAATATTTCTGACAAAGACTGGGCAAAATTCATGAGAATAATGGCATCCGGTGTTAGTGAAGATTCAGGGACACAGGCACTCTTGTACACTGCTGGCAGAAGTATGACTTGCTGTATCCTTTTAGGAAAGTAATCTAAAAATATCTATTAAAACATAAAATACATATATGTTCCTCTTACGCCAAGGAAATCCCCACACAAGTCCATTAAGGTGCTTGTATGAGGATGCTCGTCAGATCGTTGTTTGTGATAACAGGAAGTTGGAGGTAATCTGATTGCCCATCACTGGATAAATGAATAGGGAAAATGTGGCAGATATATATCTTAGAGTACTACGCAGCAGTTAGAAGGAATGCATTAGATATATACCTAGCAACAGGAATGGCTTTTACAACAGAATGCTGAGTGAAAAAGGAAACATTGACATGTCTAACACAATACAATTTATGTAAATTAAAATACACACATAGGCCAGGTGCCAGTGGCTCATGCCTGTAATCCCAGCATGTTGGGAGGCTGAGGCGAGCAGACCATTCGAGGTAGGAGTTCGAGAGCAGCATGGCCAACATGGTGAAACCCCGTCTCTACCGAAAAAATAAATAAATAAATAAAAATAAAAATTAGCTGGGCGTGGTGGCACACACCTGTAATCCCAGCTACTTGGGAGGCTGAGGCAGGGGAATCACTTAAACCTGGGAGGCAGAGGCTGAAGTGAACTAAGATCATGCCACTGCACTCCAGCCTGGGTGACAGAGCGAGACTCTATCTCAAAAAAAAAAAATTAAAAAAAAATACACACATAAAATAACAAATTGTACTTTTAAGAATACATTCAGGCTTGGTGCAGTGGCTCATGCCTGTAATCCCAGCACTTTAGGAAGCCAAGGCAGGCAGCTCACTTGAACCCAGGTGTTCAAGAACAGCCTGGGCAACATGGCAAAACCCCAGCTCTATTTTAAAAATTCAAAAATGAGCCGGATGTGGTGGCACATGCCTGTAGTTCCAGCTACTTGGGAGGCTGAGGTGGGAGAATCACCTGAGCCTGGAAGGTTGAGGCTGCAGTGAGCCATGATCACTCCACTGCACTCCAGCTTGGGTGACAGATGAGACCCTGTCTCCAAAAAAAAAAAACACACAAAAAAACAAAAGTATACATTCAAACAAAAGGATATACATTAAAGAATGGTTGTCTATGAGGTGGAGAGGGCACGGGGATGGGGAATGAGAATGAAAGATAATATATACATATTTTTTCTACTCCTAATAAGTCTTATAAAAGAGAATATATAAGGGAGGAACCTAACATGGATCAATAATGATAATATGCTATAAACTGAGGAATATGATTAACTCAACCTGCATCGCTGAGGAACTCCCCAAATTAATAAAATTCTCTTTGACCCTATGGTTTGTTTCCATTTTTTTGCCGTCAATAATAATGCCACAGTAAATATCCTCTACATGGATATCTTTGTATTGGTGATTATATTTCTGTAGAATATATTTTTAACTTGTGGTATCTCCACATATGGGATAGTACGCAGAATGAGTTACAAAGAAATCCATGCCAAGACGCATCATAATTAAACATAAGGAAACAGGCCAGGCACAGTGGCTCATGCCTGTAATCCCAGCACTTTGGGAGGTGGAGGCAAGTGGATCACCTGAGGTCAGGGGTTCGAGAGCAGCCTGACCAACATGGTGAAACCCCGTCTCTACGAAAATTACAAAAATTAGCCGGGCATGGTGGCACACACCTGTAATCCCAGCTACTTGGGAGGCTGAGGCAGGAAAATCGCTTGAACCCGGGAGATGGAGGTTGCAGTGAGCCGAGATCACGCCACTGCACTCCAGCCTGGGTGACAACAGCGAAACTCCGTCTCAAGAAAGAAAGAGAGGAAGGAAGGAAGGAAGGAGGGAAGGAAGGAAGGAAGGAAGGAAGGAAGGAAGGAAGGAAGGAAGGAAGGAAGGAAGGATCTTGAAGTCAGGTAAAGAGAAAAGATGCATCACTTACAGCAGAACACCAATTGCAATGAGAGCAGATTTCGCAAATGAACCCATATGGGCCAGAATAAAGTGGCACAACATTTGTTTTAGAGCAGAAAGAAGAGAATTGTCAGATTAGGGCAGAAAGTATACAAGATAAGGCTGGAACATCTCGTAGTGCCAGAAAGTAAGGAAGTGCTCAAAAGAAAAAAAAAGACAATGATAGGATGTAAAAGGGACACAGGAGGCAACTAAAAGAGCTTCTAATGTCCAAAGTTAGAACAATATGAACAATAAAATATAGTATTGTATTATAACCTAAAGTATAAAATACATATCTGCCTGAGCGTGGTGGCTCATACCTGTAATCCCAGCACTTTGGGAGGCCAAAGCAGGTGGATCACTTGAGCTCAGGAGTTCAAGACCAGCTTGGGAAACATGGTGAAACCCCATCTCTACAAAAATTACAAAAATTAGCTGGGTGCAGGGGCGTCCGCCTGTAGTCCCAGCTACTTGGGAAGCTGAGGTGGGAGAATCACTTGAACCCGGAGGCAGAAGTGAGCTGTGATCACACCACTGCACTCCAGCCTTGGCAACAAAACAAAACCCTGTCTCAAACAAACAAACAAACAAACAAACAAACAAACAAACCCAAACATAACCCATGAGTTCATACTGTTGTAAACAAATGACTTGATCAGATGGATTGCTGGATGGCTGAATGGATAGATAGATAGTGTCTTAGTCCATTTTCTGCTACTATAACAGTATAACATAGACTGGGTAGTTTAATAAGAACAGACATTTATTTGGCTCATGATTCTGGAGGCTGGGATTCTGGAGGCTGTTGGCGCCATTTGGTAAGGGTCATCTTATGATGAAAGGGCAAACGAACATGTGAGACAGAGAGGAAGGGGTATGAACTTATCAGAAGGGGTATGAACTTATCAGGAGCCCACTCCTGAGATAACAGCATTAATTTTTTCAGGAGGGCAAAGCCTTCATGGTCTAATTACCTCTTAAAGACCTCACTTCTTTAACTACATTTCCAATGCATGAACTTTTGGGGACACATTCAAACTATAACCGATAGATAGATGATAGATAGATAGATGATAGATAGATAGATAGATAGATAGATAGATAGATAGATAGATAGATAGATATAGATAGATAGAGATACATTTCCCATGTACAATTCTAAATAGTTTACATAGGTACTCTGCCCTCAAGGAGGTGGAGCATAGCTCTATTCCTTCAGTTTGAATGCACATAGTGACTTCTAAGAGTATAGTATGGCCGGGCGTGGTGGCTCATGCCTGTAATCCCAGCACTCTGGGAGGCCAAGGGAGGTGGATCACCTGAGGTCAGGAGTTTGAGACCAGCCTGACCAACATGGAGAAACCCGGTCTCTACTAAAAATACAAAATTAGCTGGGCATGGTGGCACATGCCTGTAATCCCAGCTACTTGGGAGGCTGAGGCAGGAGAATCGCTTGAACCTAGGAAGCAGAGGTTGCAGTGAGCCAAGATCGTGCCATTGCACTCTAGCCTGGGCAACAAGAGCGAAACTCCATCTCAAAAGTATAGTATGGAAAAGGAGAAAAAGAATAACTTTACTATGGAGAAACCTGACAAAGACTACTTCAGTCAGGTGATCAAGATCAACATCGATAGTATGTATCTGTGATATGATGTGATTAAAATGACACTTCTGTGCTCTTCCTCCCTAAAATCCATAACCTCAGTTTAATCATGAGACAAGTGTATTAGTTCGATCTCACACTGCTATGAAGAAATACCTGAGACTGGGTAATTTATAAAGGAAAGGGGCTTAATTGACTCAGAGTTCCACATGGCTGGGAAGGCCTCAGGAAACTTACAATCATGGTTGAAGGCAAAGGAGAAGCAAGCACCTTCTGCACAGGGTGGCAGGACGGAGTGAGTGCAAGGAGGGGAAATGCCAGATGCTTATAAAACCATCAGATCTCATGAGACTCACTATCACAAGAACAGCATGGGGGAAACCGCCCCCATGATCCAATTACCTCCACCTGCTCCCACCATTGACACATGGGGATTATGGGGATTACAATTCAAGGTGAGATTTGGATGGGGAGCCATCCAAACCATATCAGAGCCAAACCATATCAACAGACATCAGACAAATTTGAATATTTTATAAAACAACTGACAAGTACTTCTCAAACTATCAAGGTCATCAAAAACAATAAACACCTGAGAAACTGTCATAGCCAAGGGGAGCCTAAGGAGACATGACGACTAAATGTAATGCAGTGTTCCAGATGATATTCTGGAGCAGATAAAGGACATTACGTGGCCCTGCATGGTGGTTCATGCCTGTAATCCCAGCACTTTGGGAGGCCAAGGTGGGAGGATCACTTGAGGCCAGGAGTTCCAGTCCAGCCTGGGCAGCATAGGTAGACCACATCTCTTCTAGAAATTTTTAAAAAATTATCCTGGCATGGTGGCATGTACCTGAAGCCTCAGCTACTCAGGAGACTAGGGCAAGAGGATCACTTGGGCCCAGGAGTTCAAGGCTGCAGTGAGCTATGATCATACCACTGCACTCCAGCCTAGGCAATAGAGGAAGACCTTGCTGCTAAACATAATTTTTTAAAGTACATTAGGTAAAAACTAAGGAACTCTGAATAAAGTATGGACTTTAATAATGATGTATTAATATTGCTTCATTAATTGTAACAAATGTACTATATTAATATAAGTGGTTAATAATAGGAGAAACTGGATGCAGGGTATATGGAAACTCTCTGTACGATCTTTGCAATGTTTTTATAAATCTAAAACTGTTCTAATAAAGACATACCTTCAGATAAAGGAAAATTAAGTGAATTTGTTGTTAACAAACCTACCCTTAAAGAATGGCTAAAAGGCTGGACAAGGTGGCTCACGCTTGTAATCCCAGCACTTTGAGAGGCCGAGGCAGGTGGATCGCCTGAGATCAGGAGTTTGAGACCAGCCTGGCCAACATGGTGAAACCCCGTCTCTACTAAAAATAAAAAATTTAGCCAGATGTGATAGTGTGTGCCTATAATCCCAGCTACTTGGGAGGCTGAGGCAGGAGAATCGTTTGAACCCAGGAGGTGGAGGTTGCAGTGAGCTGAGATCATGCCACTGCACTCCAGCCTGGGTGACAGAGCTAGACTCTGTCTCAAAAAAAAAAAAAAAAAAGGTCAAGAGCAAGCCAGTAGTGTGAGACAGTAATCTTTGATTGAAGTGTACTGCTCCTTGCGGAGCACGGCTACCTCATAGGCAGCGCACCAGGGTTGGCAAGGTCTGGGTTCTTGGCAACTGTATTTATACTCAGACCCACTTTCAGTTACATGCAAATTAAGGGGTGGGTGAATGCAAATTACTGAGTGGGTTATTTAGAATTTTCTAGGAAAGAGGCGATAACTTCCAGGTTATTGCTATGGAAAGGGTGGTAACTTCCGGGTTGTTGCCATGACATTTGTAAACTGTCATGGCCTGGTGCGAGTGCCTTATATCAATAAGCAATGAAAGCAGCTAGGGGGGTGGGCACGGTGGTTCATGCCTGTAATCCCAGCATTTTGGGAGGCCAAGGCAAGTGGATCACGAGGTCAAGAGTTCGAGACCAACCTGGCCAACATGGTGAAACCCCATCTCTCCTAAGAATACAAAAATTAGCTGGGCGTGGTGGCGCATGCCTGTAATCCCAGCTACTCGGGAGGCTGAGGCAGGAGAATGACTTGAACCCGGGAGGCAGAGGTTGCAGTGAGCCAAGATCACACTACTGCCCTCCAGCCCGGGCAACAGAGCAAGACTCTGTCTTGGAAAAAAAAAAAAAAAGCAGCTAGGGATCACTTTTGTTGCCATCTGCTGTTTCCTGCGGGTTTCTTCACTTTATCCTGTCTGGACCATATCCTGTTTTGGTCAGCAGGGTTGTGACCAGAAAACAAGTACTGCCAGTCTCCCACCTCAGTATAGTTATGAATTTTTAGAGAGCCCGTAGAGGGAACTTTCTGATGGTCCCCAAACATTCCATGTTCTTTCATCTCTCTCTGCCTTTCCTCATGCTGTTCTCTCTAATGTCTGCCTAGTACATTTCTCCTTATGCTTCAATACTCAACTATCTCTTCCATGAAGGTTTTTTTTTTGAGACGGAGTTTCTCTCTTGTTGCCCAGGCTGGAGTGCAATGGCACGATCTCGGCTCACTGCAACCTCTGCCTCCCAGGTTCAAGCAATTCTCCTGCCTCAGTCTTCTAAGTAGCTGGGATTACAGGCATGTGCCACCACACCTGGCTAATTTTGTATTTTTAGTAGAGACAGGGTTTCACCATGTTGGCCAGGCTGGTCTCAAATTCCTGACCTCAGGTGATTCACCCCCTTCAGCCTCTCAAAGTGCTGGGATTACAGGCATGAGCCACCATGCTCGGCCGAGGATTTTTTTCTAACACTGTTAGCCTCCCATACTGTGTTCCCATAGCACCTCTATTCTTGTTCTTATGCTTTGCAATATGGCAATTATTTGTTCATATGTTTGTTTCCCCCACAGAATTATAAACTCTTCCTGTACAGGGGCTAAATCTTACACAACTTCTTATCCCAAAGTCTCACAAAATACCTGGCATAAGTAAGTACTCATAAATTCTAAGTTGAATGAAAAGATCAAAGTTTGGAATCTAGAGCCAAGGAGCACATTCCCTAAAGGCAGATCTGTTTTTCATGTTATTAATGCTTCCTTTCTTCTTTTAGATATCACCTCTGGTCACCTGGAAAAGAACACAAAGGCCAAAGTCATAAAGGTTTCAGGAATAGGAACAGAGCAGATTAGAATGGTCTGGTTTATTTCATTTAGCGTAATGTCCTCAAAGTTTATTCACGTAGCATATGTCAGAATTTCCTTCCTTTCTAAGGCTGAATAATATTCCATTGTGTACCACATTTCATTTATCCATTCGTCCATTGATGGACATTTGGGTTGCTTCTACCTTTCGGCTATTCTGAATGATGCTGCTGTGAACGTGGTTGTACAGATACCTGTTCAAGTCCCTGCGCTAATTCTTACAGGCATATACTCAGAAGTGAAATTGCTGTTTGTCATCTTAATCATATTTTATATTTTGTTTCTCAACTTGCATTTTCCCCAAATGTGTTACTTTAAATAGAAAAAAAGTTACTAACAAGGAAAGATTTAAAATGCTACACACATTTAAGAACCATTAATTAATACATTTCTTTCTGGTCTATTGGCCACAGAATTCAAGTTAGTTCTGAATCTGATCATCTTTGGATGAACCGACAAAATTGAGTTTCTGGACCTACAAAACAACAGATCAGGCCCTGGTCTAGGAAATACCACAGAGATACTGTGGCATCTTTAAGGCTCAGTCTAACGCAGCCTGGTGGCACCTAATTTCTCTGTAAGTTGCAATGTTGGTGACTGCAACTTTAGGAATAGTGAATACCAAATTTAGAAATAAGTGGTTCCCAATCCCCTTTCCATTTATTACATTCCTGAATGAATTTCAGAGTTGGAAGACACATTAGAAGTCAATAAGAATAATCCTTTTATAAAACATTCTACCTGAAATGAATGGGCCTTCTGAAAGTGCTTTTAGTCTGTAGATGTTTGACCTCTAAAGACATTATTCAGGGTGTGGGTCACTTAAGAAATATAATTACAAGGTTAGTGTTGTTTGTATAGAGTAGTATTTCAGGAGATTATCTCAAACACTATATAATACCATTTATACTGGGAAAGCTATCTTCTCTGTTCTATGGAGTGGGAACCTTCACCATAAGCTTGTATCTCAGGCTGACTACAGAGCTCATTTCCTCTTTTTTATGAATTTTATTTAAAACATCCTTTGTTCTTTATTTAAAGTTATTTGGCTTTATTTTTTAATTTTTAATCTTGAGGGTGCATAGTAGGTGTATATATTTATGGGGTGAGTGAGATATTTTCCTATAGGCATATAATACATAATAATCATACCATTGTAAATGGAATATCCATCACCACAAACATTTATCCTGCTTTGTGTTACAAACAATCCAATTATACTCTTTTAGTTACTTTTAAATGTATGATAAGTTATTGTGACTGTAGTCACTCTGTTGTGCTATCAAATACTAGATCTTATTTATTCTATCCAACCGTATTTTTTTACCAATTAATCGTTCCCACTGCCCCCACCACTACCCTCCCAAGCCTCTGATAACTATCCTTCTACTCTCTATCTCCAGGGTCAATTGTTTTCATTTTCTGCCCCCTCAAATAAGTGAAAACACATCAAGTTTGTCTTTCTGTGCCTGGCTTATTTCACTTAACATAATGTCCTCCAATTCCATCCATATTGTTGCAAATGACAGGATCTCATTCTTTTTTATGGCTGAACAGTACTCCATTGTGTATATGTAGCACTTTCTTTATCCACTCATCTGTTGATGGACACTTAGGTTGCTTCAAAATCTTGGCTATTGTGAATAATGATGCAACAAACATAGGAGTGCAGCTATCTCTTCGGTATACTGATTTCCTTTCTTTGGCGTATATATCCAGCAGTCAGATTGTTGGATCATATGGTAGCTAGCTCTATTTTTAGTTTTTTGAGGAACATCCAAACTGTCCTCTATAGTGGCTGTACTAATTGACATTCCCACCAACAGTGTACAAGGGTTCCTTTTTCTCCATATCCTTGCTAGAATTTATTATTGTCTGTCTTTCGGGTAAAAGACATTTTAACTGGGGTAAGATGATATCTCATTGTAGTTTTGATTTGTACTTCTCTGATGATTGACGTTGAACATCTTTTCATATACCTGTTTGCCATTTGTATGTCTTCTTTTGAGAAATGTCTATTCAGATCTTTTGCCCATTTTAAATCGGATTATTAGATTTTTTTCTATAGAGTTATTTGAGCTTCTTATATATTCTGATTATTAACTCCTCGTCAGACAGATAGTTTGCAAATATTTTCTCCCATTCCGTGGGTTCTCTCCTCACTTTGTTGATTGTGTCCTTTGCTGTACAGAAGTTTTTAACTTGATGTGATCCCATTAGTCCATTTTTGCTTTGGTTGACTGTGCTTGTGGGGTATTCTTCAAGAAATCTTTGCCCAGCCCAACGTCCTGGAGAGTTCCTATATTAGTTATTTTTCACACTGCTGATAAAGACATACCTGAGACTGGGTAATTTATAAAGAAAAAGAGGTTTAATGGACTCACAGTTCCACGTGGCTGGGGAGGCCTCACAATCATGGCAGAAGGTGAAAGACATGTCTTACATAGTGGCAGAAAAGAGAGAATGAGAACCAAGTGAAAGGGGTTTTCCCTTATAAAACCATCAGATCTCATGAGACTTATTCACTGCCACAAGAACAGTATGGGGGAAACCGCCCCATAATTCAATTATCTCCCACTGGGTCCCTCCCACAACACGTGGGAATTATGGGAGCTACAATTCAAGATGAGATTTGGGTGGAGACACAGCCAAACCATATAAATCCCCAATATTTTCTTTTAGTAATTTCATAGTTTGAGGTCTTAGGTTTATGTCTTTAATCCATTTTGATTTGGTTTTTGTATATGGCAAGATAAAGGGATCTAGTTTCATTCTTCTGCATATGGATAGCCAGTTTTCTCAGCAGTATTTATTAAAGAGACTGTCCTTTCCCCTTTGTATGTTCTGGACACTTTTGTTGAAGATTAGTTTACTATAGTTGTATGGATTTGTTTCTGGGTTCTCTATTCTGTTCCATTGGTCTATGTCTGTTTTTATGCCAGTACCATGCTGTTTTGGTTACTATAGCTCTGTAGTATAATTTTTTTTCTTTTTCTTTCTTTTTTTGAGATGAAGTCTCCCTCTGTTGCCCAGGCTGGAGTGCAGTGGTGCAATCTCAACTCACTGCAACCTCCACCTCCTGGGTTCAAGTTATTTTCCTGCCTCAGACTCCCCAGTAGCTGGGATTACAGGTGCCCACCACCACACCTGGCTAATTTTTGTATTTTCAGTAGAGATGGGTTTCATCACATTGGCCATGCTGATCTCGAACTCCTGACCTCAGGTGATCCTCCTGCCTTGGCCTCCTAAAGTGCTGGGATTACAGGCATGAGCCACTGTGCCTGGCCTGTAGTATAATTTGAAGTCAGGTAATGTGATTCCTCCAGTTTTGTTCTTTTTGCTTAGGATAGCTTTGGCTATTCAGGGTCTTTTGTGGTTCCACATAAATTTTAGGATTGTTTTTTCTATTTCTGCGAAGAATGTCATTGGTATTTTGATAAGGATTACATTGAATCTTCAGATTGCTTTTCGTAGTATGACCATTTTAACAATATTGATTCTTTCAGTCCATGAACATGGAATATCTTTCTATATTTTGTATCCTGTTAAATTTATTTCACCAATGTTTTGTAGTTTTTATTGTAGAGATCTTTCACTTCCTTTTATAAGTTAATTCCTATTTAATTTTATGTGCAGCTATTGTAAATGGGGTTACCTTCTTGATTTCTTTTTCAGATTATTCACTGCTGGCATGTAGAAATGCTACTGATTTTTGTATGTTGATTTTATATCCTGTAACTTTATGAATTTGTTATCAGTTCTAATAGTTTTTTGGTGAAGTCTTTAGGTTTTTTCCAAATATAAGATCATATCATTTACAAACAAGTATAATTTGATTTCTTTTCCAATTTGGATACCTTTTATTTCTTTCTCTTGTCTGATTGCTCTAGCTAGGACTTCCAGTACTATGTTGAATAACAGTGTTTACAGTAGTCATCCTTGTTGTGTTCCAGATCTTAGAGTAAAGGCCTTGAGGTTTTCCTCATTCAGTATGATACTAGCTGTGGTCTGTCATATATGGCTTGTGTTGTGTTGAGGTATGTTTCTTCTATACCCAGTTTCTTGAGGATTTTTATCATGAAGGGATGTTGAATTTTATTAAATGTTTTTTCAGCATCAGTTGAAATGATCATATGGTTTCTGTCCTTTGTTCTATTGGTATGACATATCTCATTGATTGATTTGCATACATTAAACCATCCTTGCATCCAGAGATAAATCCCACTTGGCCATGATGAATGATCTTTTAATGTGTTGTTGAATTCGATTTGCTAGTCTTTTTTTGTCTTTTTTTTTTTTTTAGTAGAGACAGGGTCTCACTATGTTGCCCAGTCTGGTCTCAAACTCCTGGCTTCAAGTAATCCTCCCACATTGGCCTCCCAAAGCACTGGGATTGACAGGCATGAGCCATTGCATCTGACTGGTTTGTTAGTATTTTCTTGAGGATTTTTTTTTTTTGAGATAAGATCTCACCCTGTTGCCCAGGCTGGAGTGCAGTGGCACGATCTCAACTCACTGCAACCTCTGCCTCCCAGGTTCAAGCAATTCTCATGGCTCAGCCTCCTGAGTAGCTGGGTTTACAGACGTGCAGCAACACGCCCAGCTAATTTTTGTATTTTTAGTAGAGATGGGGTTTCACCGTGTTGGCCGCGCTGGTCTCAAACTCCTGGCCTCATGTGATCCACCCGCCTCATCCTCCCAAAGTGCTGGGATTACAGGCGTGAGCCACCATGCCTGGCCTTCTTGAGAATTTTTACGTTAACGTTCATCAGGGATACTGGCCTGTAGTTTTCTTTTTCTGAAGTGTCTTTGTCTGGTTTTGGTATCAGGGTAATACTGGCCTTGTAGAGTGTGTTTGAAAATATTCCCTCCTCCTCTGTTATTCAGAATAGTTTGAATAGGATTGGTATTAGTTCTTCTTAAAATGTTTGGTAAAATTCAGCAGTGAAGCCATTGGGCCCCAGGATTATCTTTGCTGGGAGACTTAGTATTATAGCTTCGATCTCATTACTTGTTATTGGTGTGTTCAAGTTTTGGATTTCTTCATGGTTCAATCTTGGGAAGGTGTATATGTCTAGGAATTTATTCATTTCTTCAAGGTTTTCTAACTTATTGGCATATAGTTGCTCATAGTGGCCTCTAATGATCCTTTGAATTTCTGCAGTATCAGTTGTAAAGTCTCCCTTTTCATCTGTGATTTTATTTATTTGGATAATCTCTCTTCTGTTCTTAGTCTGACTAAAGGTTTGTCAATATTGTTTATCTTTTCCAAAAAATACACAACTTTTCATTTCATCAATCTTTTGTATTGTTTTATTTGTTTCAATTTCACTTATTTCTGCTCTGATCATTACTATCTATTTTCTTCTACTAATTTTGGGGTTGTTTTTTCTTGTTTTTCTAGTTTTTCTAGTTCTGTCTCATGCATCATTAGGTTCTATTCTTCAAATAAACCACCTAATGATGCATGTTAAAGAACTAGAAAAGTTCATTTAGGTTGTTTATCTCTTCAACTAGAACTAGGTTGAAGTTTTTTCTAGGTTGGTGCAAAAGTAATTGCGGTTTTTGCCATTGAAAGTGAAAACCATTACTTTTTGCCATTATGTTCAATGGCAAAAACCGCGATTACTTTTGCATCAACCTAATACTTTTTTGACGTAGGTGCTTATAGCTATAAACTTCCCTCTTAGTACTGCTTTCACTGCGTCCCATAGGTTTGGGTATGTTGTGCTTCCATTATCATTTGTTTCAAGAAATTTTTCAGTTTTCTTCTCATTTTTTTTATTGGCCTACTTGTCATTTAAGTGCATGGTGTTTAATTTCCATGTGTTTGTATAGTTTCCAAAATTCCTCTTGTTATTGATTTCTAGTTTTATTCCACTGTGGTCAGAGAATGTACTTGACATAATTTTTTTTTAATGTTTTAAGACTTGTTTTGTGGCCTAACATATAGTCTATCCTTGAGGATGATCCATTTGCTGATGAGAAGATGTGTATTCTGCAGCCATTGGATGAAATGTTCTGTAAATATCTTTTAGATCAGTTTGCAGATCTTAATCTATAGTGCAGATTAAGTCCAATGTTTCTTTGTTGGTTTTCTGTCCAGATGATCTGTCCAATGCTAAAAGTGAGGTGTTGAAGTCTACAGCTATTATTGTATTAGGTTCTGTCTCTTTCTTTAGCTCTAATAATATTCCTTTTGTATATCAGGGTGCTCTGGTGTTGGATGCATATGTATTTAAAATTGTTATATCCTCTTGCTGAATTTATCATTATATAATGACCTTCTTTGTCTCTTTATATATAATGACCTTCTTTGTCTCTTTATATATATTTATATTTATATTATATAATGACCTTCTTTGTCTCTTTATAGTTTTTGTCTTGAAATCTATTTTGTCTGACAGAAGTACAGCTACTCCTTCTCCTTTTTTATTTCCATTGGCATGGAATATCTTTTTCCATCCCTTTATTTTCAGTCTATGTGTGTCTTTATAGGGGAAGTGTGCTTCTTGTAGGCAACAGATCATTGGGTCTTGCTTTTTTTTTATCCATTCAGCCACTCTGTGTCTTTTGATTGGAGAGTTGAGTCCATTTACATTCAATGTTATTATTAAACTGATGACAACTTAACACTAATTGCATGAACAAACAAGGTAACTAACAAACAAGCAAAGAGAAAACTAATAAAAACTCTACACTTTAACCTCATCCTCCAGCCTTATAACTTTTTGTTGTTTCTATTTATATTTTATTGTACTGTTTATGTCTTGAAAAGTTGTCATAGTTATTATTTTTGATCGGTTCATCTTTTAGTCTTTCTACTCAAGATATGAGTATTTATGCATTGCAATTACAATGTTATAATATTTTGTGTTTTTCTGTGTACTTACTGTTACCCGTGAGTTTTGTATTATACCTTCAGATGATTTCTTATTCCTCATTAGTATCCTTTTCTTTCAGACTGAAGAACTCCCTTTAGCATTTCTTGTAAGATAAGTCTGGTTTTGATGAAATCCCTCAGCTTTTGTTTGTCTGGAAAAGTCTTTATTTCTCCTTCATGTTTGAAGGATATTTTTGCCAGATGTACTATTTTAGGGTAAAAGTTTTTTCCTTCAGCACTTTAAATATGTCACGCCACTCTCTCCTGGCCTGTAAGGTTTCCACTGAAAAGTCTGCTGCTGGATATATTGGAGCTCCATTGTATGTTTTTTTTTCTTTCTTTTCTCTTGCTGCTTTTGGTATCTTTTATTTTTATTTTATTATTATTATTTTTTGAGGCAGAGGCTCCCTCTGTCACCCAGACAGAGGGAGTGCAGTGGCACAGTCTCAGCTCACTGCAACCTCCACCTCCCAGGTTCTAGCAATTCTCATGCTTCAGCCTCCTGAATAGCTGGGACTGCAGGGGGAGGGCACCATGCCTGGCTAATATTTTTTTTAATTTTTAGTAGAGACAGGGTTTCACCATGTTAGCCAGGCTGGTCTCGAACTCCTGGCCTCAAGTGACCCACCCACCTTGGCCTCCCAGAGTGTTGGGATTACAGGCATGAGCCACTGTGCCCAGCCTGGATCCTTTCTTATTCTTGACCTTCGGAAGTTTGATTATTAAATCATAGTCTTATTTCAGTTCAATCTACTTGCTGTTCTATAACTCTCTTGAATTCAAGTATTGATAACTTTCTCTAGGTTTGGGAAGTTCTCTGTTATTGTCCCTTTAAATAAACTTTCCACCCCTATCTCTCTCTCCCATCTCTTTATGGCCAATAACTCTTAGACTTGCCCTTTTGAGGCTATTTTCTAGATCTTGTAAGAGTGCTTCATTCTTTTTTATTATTTTTTCTTTGGTCTCCTCTGACTGTGGGTTTTTTTTTCCAAGGTCTTGCTCTTTCACCCAGGCTGTCGTGCAGTGGCACAATCATAGCTCATTGCAGCCTTGAACTCCTAGATTCAAGTGATCCTCCTGCCTCAGCCTCCTGAGTAGCTAAGACTACAGGCACACATGCCACCATACCCAGCTAATTAAAAAAAAATTTTTTATAGAAATGATGCCTTGTTATGTTGCCCAGGCTGGTCTTAAACTCCTGGGCTCAAGTGATCCTCCTGCTTCAGCCTCCCGAAGTGCTGGGATTACAGACATAAGCTACTATGCCTGGCCATGTATTTTCAAATGGCCTGTCTTCAAGCTCATTAATTCTTTCTTCTGCTTGATCAATTCTGCAATTAAGAAACTCTGATTCATTCTTCAGTGTGTCAATTACATTTTTTAACACCAGAATTTCTGCTTGATACTTTTTAATTATTTAAATCTCTGTGTTAAATTTATCTGATAGGATTCTGAATTCCTTATCTGTGTTATCTTGAATTTTCTTGAGTTTCTTCAAAACAGCTATTTCAAATTCTCTGTCCGAAAGATCACATATCTCTGTCTCTCCAGGCTTGGTCCTTGGTGCCTTATTTAGTTCATTTGGGAAGATCATGTTTTCCTAAATGGTCTTCGTGCTTGTGCATGTTCGTCAGTGTCTAAGTATTGAAATGTTAGGTGTTTAGTAGTCTTTGTAGTCTGGGCTTGTTCATACCCGTCCTTCTTGGGAAACTTTCCAGGTATTCGAAGGGACTTTGGGTGTTGTGATCTAAGTTTTTGGTCACTGTAGTCACATCTACGTTAGGGGGCACCCCAAGCTCAGTAACACTGTGGCTCTTGCAGACTCATTGAGGTACTGCCTTGGTGGTCTTGGATCAGATCCGAAAGAATTCTCTGGATTACCAGACAGAAACTTTTTTTCTCTGCCCTTACTTTTACCCAAACAAACAGAGTCTCTCTCTCTCTCTCTCTTCTCTCTCTCTCTCTCTCTCTCTCTCTGTCTCTGTGCCGAGATGCCTGCAGCTGAGGGAGGGCAGAAATGCTTTTTTAAGTTACCACCCAGTTCTAAAGTTGCACTTTGATTAACTTGGTTATTTCCTATGTTTTCATTAGCAACACAGTTGTAAACCACTTCTCCACATAGTTAATCTCATCTCTTAAATGACAGTTATTATTAAAATTTCAATGAGTAATTCTTTTTCTGAGTTCTTAGTTTCCTATATACTTATTACAGCATTAATCATGTTACCTGACAATACCTACTCACTAATCAATTCCCAGTGAGAATTGTTAGACACTTATATCCAGTAGCAAGAAAGAAAAAAATTAAAATCCTTAAGACAAATAGTTAGGGATATGCTTTCAAATCTGGGATGTACAGTAATTGAAAGTGTGAGCCTCCTTGGCAACTCCCAGAGGACATACATTAACAGTAATCAATCCACTGTGTGGCTTGTTACATAAGTACTATAGAAGCCTTGGGAACATTTGGAATCTGACAGAAGCCTTATGGAAGTGGTTCCATGGGGGTTGGCTATTTGCATATTTTCCTCCTATTACAGATAAGGGAAAAAAGACTGAAAGAATATATACCAAAATGTTAATATTGATTATTCCTGGGGAGTAGGGCTGCCAGTTTTCTTTTATTTTTTATCTGTATTATCTAAAATTTCTAAAATAAATATAACTATTATAAGAAAATTCCAAATAATAAAAGTCCAAAAAGATGGTTTGTTTTAACAGTAAGTAAGCTGAGTTGCATTTTCTACCATCTGTTTCAGTCAGGGAAATGAATAACATCTTCTAGGGCAAAGTAACAGGGTAAATGGAGACCCAGAGAAAGACTGATTGTTCTCTATGATAAGCATTCTCTAGAACATAAAAGGAAGTAATGAACAGGACTCCAAGCTTTGTTCTTTTGTGTCTCACTCCCTCTCGATTCTTCTCTGGCTTTGTTCCACACTCTGAACATCCTAAATCAACTTACAAGTGGTGGTCACCAAAAGAATCTACAAGGAAGATTGTCTCTCTAGACTCTGATTCCATCAAATATCCCCTTTCTCTTCTATTTTCCACATTTTCTTATATACCTACAGACAGGCTTAACGTTTCCCCATTCTAAAACAAAGTTAAAACACTATTTCTCCCCTATCTCGTTACAAACTACCATCCTTTCTACCTCCTTCCTTTCATAGCCAGATTTCTGGAACAATTAATCTACAACCACTGTCCTTTCGCCCTGTCCATTTGTTCAATTTGCTGCAGTCTGCCTTCTGCCGTGACTCCAACAAACTTTAAAGGAAAGCTTCCTAGTTGCTGAACTTATTGGCCCATATTTATACAGCCTAAGGCGATTGGTTGCTCTTATTTCCCAGAAGTTCTTCTTGGCCTCTGGGAAGAAAGGAGTGAAATGGGAAGAAATGACACTACTGTCTCTTCATTTTTTTTTCTTACCTTTCCCTTTCAGACTTCCCTCTTCTGTTCAACACTTATTCATTGGGATTCCCTAGGGTTATGTCCTAGTCTCTTATCTTCTTACACCACCTGGAACAAAGTTTATCTACTTACACAGCTTCAACTATCATCTATACAATGACAGATTGCAAAATTTTTTTTACAGTTAAATCTAAGTTGCTTTATTCTTTTTTTTTTTTATATATATACTTTAAGTTTTAGGGTACATGTGCACAATGTGCAGGTTAGTTACATATGTATACATGTGCCATGCTGGTGTGCTGCACCCATTAACTCGTCATTTAACATTAGGTATATCTCCTAATGCTATCCCTCCCCTCTCCCCCGACCCCACAACAGTCCCCAGAGTGTGATGTTCCCCTTCCTGTGTCCATGTGTTCTCATTGTTCAATTCCCATCTATGAGTGAGAACATGCAGTGTTTGGTTTTTTGTCCTTGCGATAGTTTACTGAGAATGATGATTTCCAATTTCATCCATGGAAATTTTTAATAATAGCCTCGAACTCTTGCTTAAGCTCTAGATTTGTATTTCCAAATTACAATTAAGCATCTTTACCTACAGGTTACAAAGAGGTACCCTAAGCTCCACTAGTCTAAAATCAGACTTACCTTCTCTACTGCCACAATTTACTAAATTCTTGAATTACATTCTCATTCACAATCGCAAGCCATGTTCCTAAGCTAGAAGCTTTTGCTTTTGCCTTAATTATCCCTTCTCCCTAACGCTGCACATCTAATCAATCAGCATACAGTCCTGTTGATTTTAACTCATAAATATCATTCTGTCAAGCCTAGCCTTTCCCCCATACTGCCTCGATCTTGGTTCAGACTCTCATAATGTCCAGCTTGGACTATTACGTCTGCTAAGTAGTCCTGCCACCAATCTCTCTCCATTCTACACCTGTTCAACTTCCACACTACTTTCGAAATGATCTTTACAAAACAAAACTCACTCTTTTGACTCCTCGGTGCCTACAGGATAAAACACAACTCCTTGGTCTAGCATGTTAGGATTCAGTCCAGGTTGTTAGCCTCACGCTCTACTCCACCCCCAAACTCCTGCATGCTAAGCTTCTCACCATTCCACAAACACAGCAGGCCCTATAATGTCTCCATGTCTTCACACATTGTATCCTGTCCTCTTAGAATGTCCTTTTCTTTCTTCCTCACCTGACAATGTCCTACTCATCCTTTAGTATGTGTCTTCTTGGGAAAGACAAACTAGCTATTATTTATCAAGGAGTTTTGCTAAACAATTTATGTTCATTAGCTTATTTTAATCCTCAATCAATTCTATAACTACTATTATCATTTTACAGATGAAAAAGCTGAGATTTAAAGGGGCTAAATAGCATTGTCATCTAGTAAATGGTGGGATTTAAATATAGGTCTTCAAAACCTGAACTTTTAACCACTATGCTACAGGCAATGTGTATTAAACATAGTTGATTGTTCTGTTCTCTGTGTTCCCATAGCACTCTGTTCACCACTCTGCAATGGCAGTTACCACACTAGAATGTAATATTTCTGTTTACACAATATCATCCCCCACTAGATGTAAGATACATGGTGATAGAAATAAAATATTGCAGCCGGGCATGGTGGTGTGTGCCTGTAGTCCCAGCTACTCGGGAGGCTGAGGTGGGAGGACTGCTTGAGCCTAGGAGTTCGAGTCTGTAGTGAGCTATGATGGTGCCCCTGCACTCCAGCCTGGGCAATAAGAGTGAGATTGGTCTCAAAAGAAAGAAAGAGAGGAAGGAAGGAAGGAAGGAAGGAAGGGAGGGAGGGAGGGAGGGAGGGAGGGAGGGAGGGAAGAAAGAAAGAAAGAAAAGAAGGAAGGAAAGAAGGAAGGAAGAAAGAAAGAAAAGAAGGAAGGAAAGAAGGAAGGAAGGAAAAGAAAGAAGAAAGGAAGAAAGAAAGAAAGAAAGAAAAGAAAGACTTAACCAATCTTTGTATCTCAGTGTGTTTAGCACATTATAAGTGCTCAATAAATGTTCACTATATAAATGAATTTTGAAACTTCTCTTTGGCAGTAAGTAGCCTTTTGTTTGTTGCCTTGCTTTTTCTTCTTCTGACTGTGTCTGACATGGTTGGGCTGTGTCCTCATCCAAATCTCATCTTGAATTGTAGTTCCCATAATCCCCATATGTCCTGGGAGAGACCAGGTGGAGATAATTGAATCGGGGGGACGGTTTCCCCCATCCTGTTCTCATGATGGTGAGTGAGTTCTCATGAGATCTGATGGTTTTATAAGGGGCTTTTTCCCACCTTTGCTCTGAACTTCTGCTTGCTGCTACCATGTGAAGAAGGACTTGTTTGCTTCCCCCTCCACTATGATTGTAAGTTTCCTGAGGCCTCCCCAGCCATGCTGAACTGTGAGTCCATTAAACTTTTTTCCTTTATAAATTACCTAGTCTCAGGTATGTCTTTATAAGCAGCATGAGAACGGACTAAGACAGTGTCCTTTCATTATTCATTCAACTATGAGCAGTAAATGCTGGCAATTTTTTAAAATTGTGTTTCAGGCTTTGTTATTATTTATATTGCCTTACTACTTACATAGTAACTTTACTATCTTACATTATTAATATACAGGTTTTTAAGTAATATTACTTAAGTGTGTGTACAAAATTTCTTTTTTTAAGAATGAGTTCATGTCCTTTGCAGGGACATGGATGAAGCTGGAAACCATCATTCTCAGCAAACTAACACAGGAACAGAAAACCAAACACCACATGTTCTCACTCATAAATGGGAGTTGAACAATGAGAACACGTGGACACAGAGAGAGAAACATCACACACCAGGGCCTGTCGGGGGTTAAGGGGCAGGGGGATGGAGAGCATTAAGACAAATACCCAATGCATGTGGGGCTTAAAACCTAGATGATGGGTTGATAGGTGCAGCAAACCACCATGGCACATGTATACCTATGTAAAAAACCTGCACATTCTGCACATGTATCCCAGAACTTAGAGTAAAAAAATTTCTTTTTTTTAATATTTTAACTTTTATTTTAGGTTTGAGGTAGATGTACATATTTGCTATATAGGTAACCTCGTGACTCAAGGGTTTGTCGTACAGATTATTTCATTACCTAGGTAGTAAGCATAGTACCCAAGAGTTGTATTTTTTTTCTAAACCTCTCCATCCTCTCATCCTCCTCCCTCAAGTAGGCCCCAGTGTCTGTTGTTTCCCGCTATGTGTCCATGTGTTCTCATTGTTTAGCTCCTACATATAAGTGAGAACATGCAGTGTTTGGTTTTCTGTTCCTGCCTTAGTTTGCAAAGGATAATGGCCTTCAGCTCCATCCATGTTCCTGCAAAGGACATGATCTTGTTCTTTTTATGGCTGTGTAGTGCTCCATGGTGTATATGTACCACATTTTCTTTGCTTTTTTTTTTTTTTTTTTTGAGATGAAGTCTTACTCTGTTGCCCAGGCTGGAGTGCAATGGCGTGATCTTGGTTCACCGCAAACTCTGCCTCCCAGGTTCCAGTGATTCTCCTGCCTCAGCCTCCTGAGTAGCTGGGATTACAGGCATCTGCCACCATGCCCGGCTAATTTTGTATTTCAGTAGAGACAGGGTTTCACCATGTTGATCAGGCTGGTCTCAAAGTCCTGACCTCAGGTTTATCCAACTGCCTCCACCTCCCAAAGTGCTGGGATTACAGGTGTGAGCCACCGTGCCTGGCCACCACATTTTCTTTATCAAGTCTACCATTGCTGGACATTTAGGTTGATTCCATGTCTTTGCTGTTGTGAATACTGCTGCAGTGAACATACGCATGCATGTGCCTTTATTGTTTTGGGTTATACCCAGTAGTGGGATTGCTGGGTCAAATGGTACTTCAGTTTTTAGTTCTTTGAGGAATTGCCACACTGTCTTCCACAATTTACACTCCCATCAGCAGCGTATAAGCATTGCCTTTTCTCCACGACCTTGCCTAATGCTAGCAATTTTGATAGTGTTTCATAAAAATCTCCTTTCATATACTAAGTGAATTCATATGAAGTGATCAACAGAGGAATTGATCAATAAGCTTCCCTCTAAAATGTACTTCTTGAATTAACTTTCTCTCATAGCAGCCTATTCTACTGACATCTTCTCTTTAACCTATTAGTGTTCTCAAGTCTTTGCCCATCTTAAAAAAAAAATCGCATTCCTTCAACTATGCTAGCTACAGTCTGCTTTCCCTATTACTCTTTCCCTTTGCCAAACTTCTTCAAAGGTTAGTCTGCATTTCCACACCTCCCATTTGCTTTTTTGAAATTTAGAAATACTTTAAGCAAACAAAAAAGGGTAGAGAATAATAAAATAAAAACCCATGTACCTAAAACTCAGTTTATTAAAAACTGACATTTTGGCTGGGCGCGGTGGCTTACGCCTGTAATCGCAGCACTTTGGCAGGCCAAGGCGGGTGGATCACCTGAGGTCGGGAGTTTGAGACCAGCCTGACCAACATGCAGAAACCCCGTCTCTATTTAAAATACAAAATCAGCCAGGTGTGGTGGCGCATGCCTGTAATCCCAGCTACTCAGGAGGCTGAGGCAGGAGAATTGCTTGAACCTGGGAGGCAGAGGTTGCGGTGAGTCAAGATCGCGCCGTTGCACTCCAGCCTGGGCAACAATAGCGAAACTCCATCTCAAAACAAAACAAAATAAAACAAAACACGCCTGACATTTTGTCAAATTTCTTTCCTATTTTTTAAAGAAGTAAAACATTATTGATAGAGTAAGCATTATGTGTACCTATCCCATCCCCATCCCTCTTCCTCTTTCCCCAGAGGTGGTCACTATTCAGACTTTGGTATTTCTCATTTCCATGTATGTAATAACTAGTTGACCTCCGCAGCATTTGATCCTATTCATCTTTTTCTACCTTAGAACTTTCACCTCCCTTAGCTTTGACGCCACTATCTCCTTAGTGCTCTGAATCTCTCTCGACCAACAGTCTATACACTACACGAGATGTGAGTAATGACTCCCATTGAACCATTCTTAACTGAACCCATACCTTCAGTATTGGCCATGTGATTTGCTTTGGACAACAGGATATCTACAAATGTGATGCAAACAGAGGCTTGAAAAGCACTTGTACATTGAGGCTTGCCCTCTTGAAATGCTGCCACCGTATGAACAGGTTCAAACCTTCTGGAGAGACCACTGTGGGCACTGTGGCCAATAGCCTGCCAACTGCCAGATGTGTGAGTGAGGTCATCTTAGGTCATCCAGCCCCCACCAACTTGACAGCTGACTGCCACAGCATGAGTGAGCCTAGGCAAGACCAACAGAAGAAATGCCCAGCTGAGTCTAGTCTCAGAATTTAATTATCTACAGAATTTTGAGCAAATAAAATAAATGAAGCCAGTGCAGTGGCTCACGCCTGTAATCCCAGCACTTTGGGAGGCCAAGGTGGGAGGATCGCTTGAGCTCAGGAGTTCAAGACCAGCCTGGGCAACATAGCAAGACTTCGTCTCTACAAAAAAAATAAAAAATAAAAAATTAGCTGGGCATGGTGGCGCACGTCTGTGGTCTCAGCTACTCGAGAGGCTGAGGTGGGAGGATTGCTTGAGCCCAGGAGGTCAAGGCTGCAGTGAGCAGTGATCATGCCACTGCACTCCAGCCTGGGTGACAGAACAAGACCCTGTCTCTAAAACATACATACATAAAATGTTGTTTTAAGTGACTAAGTTTTGGCGTGGTTTAGTTGTATATCCATAATATCATATTATACATATTATATCACAACTTGTTTTTTTTGCTTCTTCATATTGAGATCTTTCCATGTTTACACCTATAGCTGTAGTTCATTCATTTTAAACTAACTTGAACAAAGAGTCCTTTCATATGAATATACCATAATTTATTTATTCATTCACTTACTAATGGACATTTGTGTTTCCAGTTTCTCACTACTACAAGCAATATTGCAATGCACGCTCTTATATGGGTACTTTTTGTACAAGGAATGGAATTACTTAGTCAAAAGGTAGATATCTTCAACTTTGCTATATAGTAATGAGCCACATAACTATATTTCGGTCAATGACAGACCACATATACAATGATGGTCCCATAAAATTATATTACCTTTATTTTAATGTACCTTTTTTATGTTTAGATATAAATGTACCTAAACATAGTTACACAGATACTTACCATGTGCTACAATTGTCTACAGTATTCAATGTAGTAACATGCTGTAAAGGTTTGTAGCCTAGGAGCAATAGACTATGTCATATAGCCTAGATGTGTAGTAAGCTATACCACCTAGGTTTGTGTAAATACACTATGATGTTTGCAAAAGGAAGAAATTGTCTAACGATGCATTTCTCAGAAGATATCCCCATCACTAACCAACACCTAACTGTATATGCCCAACTGCTTTCCAAGAAGGTTGTACATGTCTTCAATCCCTTATCTACAATTTTGAAATCTGAAAATAAACCAAAAGTATTTTTCATGATTTTGGCTTTTTTCACTTTGCTTATGGCGTTTTGGTATTTTTTACTACTTACAATTTTTTCAAGGTTATCAATAATTTTCTTTATGGTTGTGCTTGCCTTACTCTTCCAGCCACTATAAACTGGTTTCTGAACCATACCATTCCAATTATACTGCTCAAGAAGGTCACCAATTGTGCTTAAAAGCCAAATTTCATGAGCGTTTTCAAGTATAATGAAATAACTAGTTGACCTCTGCAGCATTTGATCCTATTCATCTTTTTCTACCTTAGAACTTTCACCTCCCTTAGCTTTGACACCACTATCTCCTTAGTGCTCTGAATCTCTCTCTCAACCAACAGTCTACACACTATTAATGGGATACAGCACTGTGCAGTGGGATTCAGAATTTTCATTAAAATTACCGACAATTCATGTGCTCTCACGTCCAACTGGGTGATGTGCTATGTGTGGTAGGTGTGATATATCATGAAAAACTTACTGTGCAAAAATATTGAGTGTTTCAATTAAGGATTTATTAAGGTAAAAATATATTAATGAGTAATTTCCAAATGAATTCGATACAACAGTGATGTGACATTAATGCCAATGAACTCAGGGAAAAAAGAACTTAGGAGATAAATTATGTATCTGCTACCCCCTACACTAATTGTTACGTGTTCATATCTTTGTTTCTCTCTAAGTGCCTATGTGTCACTTAGACTAGCATATAGTTAGCTGCTGATTGATGTGTATCTTCTCCAAAAGGTAAATTTAGTCACAACATTCTCAATCCAAGCACAAAATAAAGGTCAGATACTGCAAAGAAAAATACCTTATTGTGCAATATTTTACAAACAGCATAGTAATACTTGTTTTAGGCAAGAATCATCAATGAATGCTAGAACTAGTGGGTGAAAGTTTGATGAGAAACAAGATATTCTCAAAATATCTTCCTCAAAGATATTTATTAGTTGCAAAGGGAAGAATAGTACCTTGAGAATGTAGAAAACTGGCAGATCTTTTTAACCAACTGGTGATCAACATTAATATCACCAGTAATGGCACAAATAAATATCATGTGCCTCCTGATATTATGCACTGAGAAGGACACAAATTACTTCTGTACTATTCCTACTGAAAATGCTTAACTTGAATTAAATTGCATGGAAACATCAGACAAACCCAAAATGAGGGACATTCTAAAAAAACTGACCTATGTTCTTCAAAAATATTAATGCCATGAATGACAAAGAAAGGCTAAGGAATATGTTCCAGATTAAAGGAAACTAAAGTTGGTGGTTTCCCAAAATGTTAAATATAGAATTACCATATGACCCAGCAATTCCACTCCTAGGTATATGCCCAAGAGATTCAAAACAAATATTCAAACAAAACCTTGAAAACATATGTTCATAGAAGCACTATTCACAGTAGTGAAAAGGTAAAAACAACCCAAACGTCCATCAGTGGATAACTGGAAAAACAAAATGTAGTGTATCCACACAATGGAATATTTTTCAGCCAGAAAATGGTTGAAGTAATGATACATGCCAAAATGTGGATAAACCTTGAAAATATCATGCTAAGTCAAAGAAGTCAGACACAAAAACCACATATTGGATGATTTCATTTACATGAAATGTCCAGAATAAACAAATCCACAAAGACAGAAAGCACATTGGTGGTTGCCAGGGGCTTGGGAGAAAGCAGGACAAATTACATGTATTTTTTTTTTTTTCTGAGAGAGGGTCTTGCTCTGTCACCCAGGCTGGAGTACAGTGGTGTGACCATGGCTCACTGCAGCCTTGAACTCCCGGGGTCAATCGATCCTCCCATCTCAGCCTCCCAAGTAGTTGGGACTACAGGCATGCACCACCACACCTGGCTAATTTTTGTATTTTTTGTTTTGTTTTTATTTAACTTGTATTTTAAGTTCAGGGTACATGTGCAGGTTTGTTATATAGATAAACTTGTGTCATGGGGGTTTGTTGTACAGGTTATTTTATCACCCAGGTATTAAGCCTAGTACCCATTAGTTATTTTTCCTGATCCTCTCTCTCCTCCCACCCTCCAATAGGCTTCAGTGTGTGTGGTTTTTTTGTTTGTTTGTTTGTTTTTGTTTGTTTTTTGTTTTTGAGATGGAGTCTCGATCTGTCGCCCAGGCTGGAGTGCAGTGGCGCAATCTCGGCTCACTGCAAGCTCCACCTCCCAGGTTCACACTATTTTCCTGCCTCAGACTCCCCAGTAGCTAGCTGGGACTACAGGCACCCGCCACCACGCCCGGCTAATTTTTTTTGTATTTTTAGTAGAGACGGGGTTTCACCATGTTAGCCAGGATGGTCTCGATCTCCTGACCTCCTGATCCACCCGCCTCGGCCTCTCAAAGTGCTGGGATTACAGGCGTGAGCCACCGCACCCAGCCCAGTGTGTGTTGTTTCCCTCTATGAGTCCATGTGTTCTCATCATTCAGCTCCCACTTATAAGTGAGAACATGCGGTATTTGGCTTTCTGTTCCTGCATTAGTTTGCTAAGAATAATGGTCTACAGCTCCATCCATGCTCCTACAAAGGACATGATCTCATTCTTTTTTGTGGCTGTATAGTATTCCATGGTGTATACATACCACATTTTCCTTATCCAGTCTACCATTGATGGGCATTTAGGTTGATTTCATGTCTTTGCTATTGTGATTTGGTCACAATGAACATACATGTGTATGCCTTTAAAACAGAATGGTTTATATTCCTTTGGGTATATACCCAATAAAGAGATTGCTGGGTCTAATGGTATTTCTGTTTTTAGGTCTTTGAGGAATTGCCACACAATCTTCCACAATGATTGAACTAATTTACACTCCCACCAGCAGTATGTAAGTGTTCCTTTTTCTCCACAACCTTGCCAGCAGCTGTTATTTTTTGACTTTTTAATAGTAGCCTGATGTGAGATGGTATCTCATTGTGGTTTTGACTTGCATTTCTGTAATGATCAGTGATGTTGAGCTTTTTTCATATTTTTGTTGGCCACATGTATGTTTTCTTTTGAAACATGTCTGTTTATGACCTTTGTGGGGTTTTGCCATTTTGCCCACCAACCCAAGTCCCACCTCCTCAGTATGCTTTTCAAAAAAAGTATTGTAACCTTGAAAGTACAATGTATCTCAAACTATGGATCACTCCCAAAGTACCTAGCATAGCTCTGGGCATAAAGAACCCAAGTAAGTGCTTTCCCAAACTGATGCATACATAAATTAACAAGAACAAAATTCAGATTATTTAATGAACATAATCTCAATCTCCTTCACTGGCTCCTCATTCTCTGCTCATCCCTTAAACACTATTGTGAAAATGGGGCTTATATTAATACCTACTTCATGTAAGGTTGTTGTGAGAATTGAATGAGTAAGTACATATAAAACATTTAGTATAGTGCCTGCTACATAGTAGGTGCTCAGTAAATGTTAGAAATTATTATATCGCTGTCACTTTTCCCCAAACTTTTGTTATTGCCTGTAGTCTCATTCTTGGTTAATGGTCTCACCATTGACCTAGGCTCCTAAACCTATTTTCATGCCATTTAATGGCTTCAATCCCTTCTTAACTCCTCTCACACTCCCCATATTCACTTAGTCACCAAAGGCCTATTGATCCTTCTTTAAGGATCTGGGCTGGGCACAGTGGCTCACGCCTGTAATCCCAGCACTTTGGGAGGCTGAGGTGGGTGGCTCACCTCTGGTCAGGAGTTTGAGACCAGCCTGGCCAAAATGGTGAAACCCTGTCTCTACTAAAAATAAAAAAAAAATTAGCTGGGCATGGTGGCACGTGCCTGTAATCCCAGCTACTCGGGAGGCTGAGGCAGGAGAATCACTTGAACCCAGAAGGCAGAGGTTGCAGTGAGCCGAGATCACACCATTGCACTCCAGCCTGGGCGATAGAGCAAGAATCCATAAAACAAAACAAAACAAAACAAAACCTCTCTGAATATATCACCTGCTCTCTTTTGTTCAGGCCCTCATTTCTCCCTTGAGAATACCAATGTCCTTCTAGTCTCCCTACCTCTGGCCTTTCCCCTGCCCAGTCTTCTTTATACTGTAACCATCCATCTAAAACACAGTTTACTCTCCCCTTTAAAGCTCCTCAACTGCTACCAGTTATTCACATAGTTTGGCATGCAAGGCTCTTCTGTGCTCTGACCACTGCCTACCTATCCAACTTTACCTTCTATCCAATTCTTTATTCTATACCTATAGTTCAATTATACCAGTCTATTTTCAGTTATAAGAATGGGCCATGCTGTTTCACCCCAGCATACCTGGGTAGTTTAAATTCTTCTTCCTGAAATATCCTTCCTAACTTTGTGCATTTTGTAAATACTTATTCATTCCCTGTTTCCATTTAATTACCTTCTCTGTGAAGATGTCTCAAATCTCACTCTCCATTGTTATACTTTATCACATTTTATGTTTGTTTCCCCTACTACTAGATTGCTCTTATTCCTGAAAAGCAAAAGCCATGTCTTATTCATATATTTATTCTCAATGTTTTGCATAGTATCTAGTACATAGTGTGTTGGGAGGAGATGGTTAGTTAATGACTAAATAAGCCGCCTCTCTGGCCTTATTTCCTACTATCCTACTGGTTCCATGGATACACATAGCACTTTCTAGCCTCTCTCCTTTGCTGCTGCCAATCTCTGTGCCTACAGTGTTTTCCACTACTTCATCTCAACCTACTGAAAACCTATTTTCCATGGGGCAGGTGATTCTTATCTCTTGTTGCTACCTTTTCTGATCACCATGGCTAAAAATGATCTCTTTCTTAGCCCGGTCTCTATTACATGGTGAGATCTTAGGATCAACAAGATCCAAAGATCAATAAGATTTTAGGATAGATAAGATCTAAAGATCAATAATATCCACTCTCTGCCCTCAAGAACTCACTGTCTACCATGGGGGTCCTTAAGCTAGGACAGTGGTTCTTGAAGCCTAGTGAATAAAAGAATTACCTGGTGGGATTGTTCAAGATATTTGAGGCCTACCCTCAAAAGATTCTGATTTAGTAACTCAGGTTGCTTTATAAACAAGCATTCCTAGTGATTCTAATGCAGGTGAATAGTCTGTGCATGTCCTTTGGGAGGTTCATGAACCTGATGAACAACTGTGTAAATATATACGTACATGTGTATTTTTCTAGACAGATTCCACAGTTTATAGTACATCATCTATGACCTCTAAAATAGTTTAAAAGTCACTGATCAAATGGGAAATAGATATGTTAACTGACAGGTTACAAAACAATCCAGCTAAGTGATAGAAGAGAAATATGAATAAAGTGCTGTGGGAATATAGATCAGAAAGCAACTAAGTGTCCCAGAGACAGCTAAGAAAAGCTTCATGTGAGGGTAACATTTTATTTATTTATTATTTATTTGTTTTTAGAGGCAGGATCTCACTCTGTTGCCCAGGCTGGAGTATAGTAGCACAATCATATCACATGAAATCATATCATATGAAATCATATGATTTCATATTGTGAAATCATAGTTCACTGCAGCCTCCAAGTCCTGGGCTCAAGAGGTCCTCTACCTCAGCCTCCCAAATAGCTGTGACTACAGGTGTGCACCACCACAGCCCGCTAATTTTTTTTTTCAGAGATGAAAGTCTCACTACCTTGCCAAGCTGGTCTTAAACCCCTGGCCTCAAGTGATCCTCCTGCCTCAGCCTCCTGTGTAGCTGAGATTATAGGTGTGTTACCAAACCCAGCTTAGGTTAACATTTTAGCAGGATTTTCTAAAGTGAGTATACATTTGCCAAGTGCAGTAGAATGCTGGTAATTCTAGGCATAGGGAACAGGATATGTAAAGACACAGAGATACAAAAAAGAAGTTTTACTTTCAATATGTCTAGAATATTTTGAAAGGAGATACATGTGAATAATGAGACTAGAGACACAGGTAGGGCTTTGTATGCCAAGTTAAATAGTTGCTTTGCTTTGTTTTGTTTTGTTTTGTTTTTCAGAGATAGGCTGGAGTGCAGTGGTGCTCGTAGCTCACTGGAATCTCCAACTCCTAGGCTCAAGTGATCCTCCTGTCTCAGCTTCCCAAGGCACTAAAACTAGAGTGTGCAGTATTTTTTTTTATTTATTTAGTACAGATAGCGTCTCATTCTGTCACCCAGGCTGCTCTCAAACCCCTGGCCTCAACTAATCCTCCTACTTCAGCTTTCCAAAGTGCTGGGATTACAAACATGAGCCACCACGCCTGGCCTGTTAAAGAGTTTTATTCTGTAAATAACAGAGAAACAAGAGTAGTTTTTAAATTAAGGTAAATTAAGGTAAAATTCACCATTTTAACCACTTTATATTTTTTATTTATTTATTTATTTTAGAGACAGGGTCTTGTTCTGTTGCCAAGACTGGAGTACAGTGGCACAATCATAGCTCACTGCAGCCTCACACTCCTGGTCTCAAGTGATCTTACTGCCTCAGCCTCTCAAGTTGCTGGGATCACAAACCCAAGCTACTGTGCCCAGCTAAGTTTTGTATTTTTACTAGAGACGGCGTTTCACCATGTTGGCCAGGCTGGTCTCAAACTCCTGACATCAAGTGATCCACCAGCCTTGGCCTCCCAAAGTGCTGGGAGTATGGTCGTGAGCCACTGCACCTGGCCAGGAGATCTATTGTACATCATGATGACTATAGTGGCTCCCAGGCATTGGGAGAAAAGGAATGAATAGGTGGAGCACAGAGGATTTTTAGGGCAGTGAAACTATTCTGTATGATACTGTAATGGTAGATACATGTCACTAAACATTTGTTGAAACCCATAGAATATATAATACCAAGAGTGAACCCTAATGTAAACTATAGACCTTGGGTAGTAATGATGGTTCATTGATAGTGACAAATATACCACTCTGGTGTGGGATGTTGATAGTAAAAGAGATTGTGCGTGTGTGGACAGGAAGTATACGGGAACTCTCTATACCTTTTGCTCAATTTTGCTGTGAACTAAAACTTCTCTAAAAAATAAAGTGTATGGCCAGAAGCGGTGGCTCATGCTTGTAATCCCAGCACTTTGGGAGGCCAAGGTGGGTGGATCATGAGGTCAGGAGTTCGAGACCAGCCTGGCCAACATGGTAAAACCCCGTCTCTACTAAATACAAAAATTAGCCAGGCGTGGTGGTGCGCGTCTGTAGTCCCAGCTACGCTGGAGGCTGAGGCAGGAGAATCACTTGAACCTGGGAGTTGGAGGTTGCAGTGAGCCAAGATCGCACCATTGCACTCCAGCCTGGGCAACAGAGCAAGACCCTGTCTCAAAAAATTAAAATAAATAAAACAATGTAAAACAATAACAACAAAAAATCCTGTATCTTTAAACTTTATCCCCTATGACTCCTTTTTTAGGCCTCCTGCCCTTTTAGGGCAAATTCTCCTGCCTCAGCCTCCCAAGTAGCTTTTTTAGGCCTCACAAAACTTGGTCCATAAAAACCAGTCCATCCCTTTCCTTGCTATCTAGACTGAGAGGCCTAACTCCTCCTCCTTAACTTTGATAAGCCGTCTGAAAAGCCTCTTTAGTACCTCTTCTTTAGTCTCCCTGTGACACTTCAACTCCCGGCAGCCTGCTTTACTCTACCCAGACAAATAACCTAATGACTTATGTCCAAAAGGTGATCTGAACTGATTAAGGAGGAAACTCTTTTTTCTTAGAGATTGTGTCTCACTATGTTGCCCAGGCTGGTCTCAAACTACTGGTCTGAAGTGATTCTCCCACCTCAGCCTCCTGAGTAGCTGGGACTACAGGTGCGTGCCGCCATGCCCAGCTATCTTTTATACTTTACCATCTTCTCTGTTTTCAACTAGCATGGCCTATCCACCTAACCTGTCCATCGTTTTACTATTTTCCAAAAAATTCAAGATTTGAGTCAAACAGAAACATTAAAAATACTAATGGTAAATACTAAGAATGCTAATGTTGGCTGGGCGCGGTGGCTCATGCCTGTAATCCCAGCACTTTGGGAGGCCGAGGCAGGCAGATCACCTGAGGTCAGGAGTTTGAGACCAGCCTGACCAACATGGATAAACCCCATCTCTACTAAAAATACAAAATTAGCTGGGCGTGGTGGCGCATGCCTGTAATCCCAGCTACTCGGGAGGCTGAGGCAGGAGAATTACTTGAACCCAGGAGGCGGAGGTTGCAGTGAGCCAAGATTGTGCCATTGCATTCCAGCCTGGGCAACAAAAGTGAAACTCCATCTAAAAAATAATAATAATAAAAAGAATGCTCATGTTAAAAGTACTATTCTGGAAGGAAAGTATATTAGTCAGAGTTCTCCTGACTATTATATTATATATATATCCTGAAAGTATATTAGTCAGAGAACCAATAGGATACATATAGATAGATATATGAGAGGGAATTTATTAGGGGAATTGGCACACATGATTATAGAGGCTGAGAAATCCCACAACAGGCCATCTGCAAGCTGGAGACCCCAGGATGCTGATAGCATGGTTCAGTCCAAGTCTGAAGGCCTCAGAACCAGGGAAGCCAATGGCGTGTAACTCTCAGTCGGAGGCCAGAGGCCTGAGAACCGAAGGTTAGGCAGGGAGCACTGGTGTAAGTTCTGGAGTCCAAAGACCGGGGAGACCAGAGTTCTGTTGCCCAAAGCAGGAGACAAATGTATCCCAGCTCCAGCAGATAAATCAACACATTTGCCTTTTTCTCATTTTTTGTTCTCTACAGGTCCCTAACAGATTGAATGATGCCTGCCCACACTAAGGGCAAATCTTCCCCACCTAGTCCACTCAGACTCACACAATCATCTCTTCTGGAAACCCTCACAGACACACTCCAAAATAATGCTTTACCAGGATTCTAGGTATTCCTTAATCCAGTCAAGTTGACATCTAAAATTAACCATCAGAGAAAATATATAGAAGTTCTAATTTCTTACAAACTCAGGAAACAAAAGGGAACTACTTTCCTTCAAATGAGTCTAATTTGCATTCATTATAGCCTGATGTCCAAGAGGCTCTGACCCTTAAACTTCTGTAAGCTGCTCTGACAATAAATAAGTAATTGCATACCTATCTGTGAAGAATAATCCTTCACATGATTCAACTTCCTTCTCATTAACTCTGCTTTCCACTGCCTAATAATAGTGACTATTTACTGAGCTCTAAGTATGTGCCAGGCATCGTGTTGAGTGCTTTATTTTTTTAATTTAATTCTTACAGTAAGTATCAATCCACTTGATAGATGAAGAAACTGAAGTTTGGAGAAAGTAAGTAATATTTCCATGATCAGGCAGCTAGTACACAGAAGAGCCAGGATTCATTCTTTCAACTATTAAATATTAAAGAAATCTTTTTTTGTTGTTAATAAAATTTTTGTGGTTTTATTGTATCGTCTGAACAAATCAATGTCTGGGCGGTGAGGCAGCTGCTTTCTCCTTCCCTTCTTTGGGTTACTAGAGCAACTTCTCCATAGATTTAAAAAAAAAAAAAACAAAGGACAACCTTTTGCATTACTTAAGTCTTTCCAAGGCATGCGCTGGTACAACACAAACTTCTCCCGTCAGAAGCAACTAGTCTAGTGTCCAAACATCATGCACAACACCTCGGTGGCAGCAGCGCACTGCGCCACCCGCCACAGCCTTGCTCATTTGTGCATGATATTTGGAGCATCTGGAGGAGTGGGAATAGTATTGGGAAGAGGAGGGAGGAGGAAACAGTATGAGTGCCTGGCTGAGAGGAGGTCAACCGAAGTTGTGCAGGGCAAGCCTGAACATGTCATTGGTGAAAGCATCGTTGATGTTCTTT
Source organism: Homo sapiens (assembly GCF_000001405.40). Lineage (NCBI taxonomy): Eukaryota > Metazoa > Chordata > Mammalia > Primates > Hominidae > Homo > Homo sapiens. Next base: position 71,016,592 of record NC_000023.11, read on the forward strand.
AATAGGAACATCTGGTGGAAACCCATGATGAGGTCTTCATCCGCCTTAAGCTGACCCACAGCCATGCTGATGATGCAGCTATCTGGCATGGGCTAATGGTCCTGCACCGTGATGCTGTGCTGGATTTTCTGGAACGGAAGGCTAGACAAGTTCTCCACAATGGCAGCTTTCCCTTGGAACTGTTGTCCTTCTCACGTAAGGCATGACGCATCAATGTAAATTGCGCCTAATTGGGTTCTATCGTTATCAAATAACTGGTAGTAATGTTGAATGAAGCTGGATCCAACCTGCTTCCAAATTGGCTTGTCTTCCATTCTGGAGCATCACCCAGCCTCGCGGAGACCCGAGGGGCTGGCATGATGGCGGCAATGGAGGCGGCCAATAAACCTTTAAAATATGATTGGCATCTCTATATAGCCAATATTTCCTTAGAAAAGGGAAATTCATCATAATTAAATTTATATTTATTTAGCTAGTTAGTTATTGCTGAGACAAGGTCTCACTATGTTGCCCAGGCTGATCTCAAACTCCTAGGCTCAAGTGATCCTCCCACCTCAGCCTTCCAAATTGCTGGGATTATAGGCGCAAGCCACCATGCCCAGCCTATAATTAAACTTCTATCCATTTTTAGTATTTTTAGTTTTTTGGGGGTCTTTTTGGGTTTTTTGTTTGTTTTTGAGACAGACAGATATTCATAGATATTTTCACTCTACTGCCCCGGCTAGAGTGCAGTGGTGCCATCATAGCTCACTGCAACCTGAAATTCCTGGGCTCAAGAAATCCTCTAGCCTCAGCCTTCCAAGTAGCTGGGATTACATTAGTGCACCATCATTTCCAGCTAATTTAAAAAGTTTTTTTTAGAAACAGGGTCTCATTATGTTGTCCAGGCTGGTCTCGAACTTCTGACCTCAAGCAATCCTCTCACCTCGGCCTCCCAGAGCGCTAGGATTACAGGCGTGAGTCACCATGCCTGGGCTTCTATTCATTTTAACTTGAAAGCATACTTCCTTTCTATTTAACCTTGCCTTCACAGATATTTTTATTATAGTTCATTGTAAGCTTCTTCATTTTTGAACTCAAGCCAGGTCCCCACACAGGCTTAGTTCTCCTAGTTCTCTCGGTTTTTATAATTAATGACTACCACTCTACTGACTGTGTCCATAACCCCCGGGGCCTCCTCTCTGTTTTGCTGCTTGTAACCCAGGCCTTAACTTGTCCTCTAGGGTCTAAGATTCATATCTATATTTTTCCACATTCCCCTTTTTTATTATTTTTCTTTCTTGTTCTTTTCTACAGAGCCAGAGGACTACTCACCTGGCTAAACCAGAATGACACAGATTGCCTCATAAACTGGAATTCTGACAGCCCAAGAGCACAATATCCCAGGTCACAAATGACAGGACTGTACAAGCAATAGATTTTTTGTGATTTTTTTTTCTGATGGCTGCTAGAATGAAAAATAAAGAAATATTACATCTCTAAGAGTAACCATTAAATTCCTCCATATTACTTCAGAGTAGAAATCAATTTAATAAGTCCCCAGCATGGTGATAAATAATTTTTCTGCTGTTGTCAACCAATATCAAATATACAGTACTAGTATAGAAGCAGCTATAAGGCTCCTTTCCAGCTGATCAACTCCTCTCCTCCACTCCATTGCCAGCAATTATGCACCTCAGTATCCAATTATTCCAATGTTCTTTTATCCTGTAACAAATGGTAGCCAGAACTCAATATGTGCCAGATTATCATCCGGCAATTAATATTCTTAGGGTTTCTTAACTGGAGCTCTACATCTCTGATTCACTCTCATTGTTGCTTTACATTTTCTCTTCTATGCTTCTAGCTATGTATCTTATTTATACAAAGATAAAATTATATCAAATATAGCTAGGGTAATTAAGATGGAACCCTCACACTAAAGCAGATCCTGAGTAGTCCTATATATATTGTGGGTTGCAAATAGTCCTGGAAAAGAATATAAAAAGGTCATTCCAAAAAGTCAATGCATGTTTTTAGAGATGAGTTCTCACTCTGTCACCCAGCGTGGAGTGCAGTGGTGCAATCACAGCTTACTGCAGCCTCAAATTCCTGGGCTCAAGTCATCCTACTGCCTCTGTCTCCTGAGTAACTGGGACTACAGGCACACACCACCATGCCCAGCATCAATACATTTTTTTAAGCTCCAATTTTCTAATTACAAATAGATCAAAAATTCATCACAGTATACTGGATACAGCCCAAGGAAAAATCTGTTTGATACTAAACTGCATTCTTACCAAAATTATGATCTATAGTCAACTTTAATTCTATTGGTGGCATTAATAATTTATCACACATACCAATTTCACATTTGTCATAGTCACAGTATTCCAAAGCTGTCAAATTACTTCCCAGCTACCAATATCAGTTCCCAAATTTCACTGAGATCTAAACAAAACAATTTCAAAAAGTTTCCTTAGTTTACTGTCTAGAGAAATATATATATAATTAATATTATATTATATATATAATATAATATATATTATATATATAATATACTATATATTTTATATATATATATATTTTTTTTTTTTTTTTGAGATGGAGTCTCACTCTGTCGCCCAGGCTGGAGTGCAGTGGTGCGATCTCGGCTCACTGCAAGCTCCGCCACCCAGGTTCATGCCATTCTTCTGCCTCAGCCTCCCAAGTAGCTGTGAGCACAGGTACCCGCCACCATGCCCGGCTAATTTTTTGTATTTTTAGTTGAGACGGGGTTTCACCATGTTAGCCAGGATGGTCTCGATCTCTTGACCTCGTGATCTGCCCACCTTGGCCTCCCAAAGTGCTGGGATTACAGGAGTGAGCCACTGCACCTGGCCAGGAATAATATTTTTAACAATAATGACTCTAGTTATGTTCTGGATTCCAACTAATCACATAGATTCCAATATTATCTTTTTCTTATACAACTAATTGCACCCTATGCTTGAGCCAAAACTAGCCACCATTCCCTAAAACCTTCCAGCTTTTGGTCATGCCCATCCATTCAGCCTCTATCTCATCTTCTTACCTGAACTCTGGTCATCCCAAACCATGAACTGTGCTGCTATTTCCTCCCTGGCAAAGCTCTTCATTTGAGGCTCTTCTTTTCTTTCTTTCTTTCTTTCCTTTCTTTCCTTTCTTTTCTTTCTTCCTTTTTCTTTCTTTCTTTTCTTTCTGACAGTGTTCCTGCTCTATGTTGCCCAGGCTGGCCTCGAACTCCTGGGGCTTGAGTGGTCCTCCCACTTCAGCCTCCCAAGTAGCTGGAATTACAGGTGCACAAACCATGCCCAGCTGAGGCTGTTCATTTTCCTTTGCTCATATCTCCCCATAAGTCAAGATCAGGTTATCATCTTCTTGTATCTTCTTCACTGGATCCCCAAGGTATTATTTTACCATCTTACCTCAATAACCTCTTTCTTCAAAGTTCATAATACTCAATTTTATGACCCTCTCAATGTTAAATGTCAATCTCCAAGTCTCCCCCCAACATTCACTGAGGACTTCAGTACCAACTGTTTTCCTTTTCTCTTCTCATCCTGAAAGTCTTCATTATCCCCCTTGATGATATAACACCCAAACCTCATGGATCCTTGACATAACCTATTCTAACTTCTTCATCTCCATTCCCTTTCAATAATCCATTTCTTTTTTTTTTTTTTTAGGGGAAAGCACAAACTCAGTCTCCCACTACCACACATTATGCAGTCGAGTTTCCTGTATTTGGGGAAATCACAGGGGCCAACACACCCAGAGTGCAATGGATGGGCCTCACCCTGAGAAAACCACCTTTGTGATCATGGTATCTCCCCTGCCAGGTATCAATTATTTGTTGCTGGAGTGACACTTGGAATGGCTCTACTTCCAAAACCAAACACAGAGGGTCCACTCTCAGAACTACTTGTTGTTCTACTTCTCTTAAACCTTATACTCCCTGAATTTACCCTTAAACTGCCTCAAGGCCTTTAATTCATTAACCCTCTTGCCTATTTTCCAAAGCCATCATGTACTTTTGGGTTTTTTGGTTTTTTTTGGCGGGGGGTCTCAAATTCCTTTATTTAAAAAAAATTTATTTCCACAGGTTTTTGGGGAACAGGTGGTGTTTAGTTACATGAGTAAGTTCTTTAGTAGTGATTTATGAGATTTTGGTGTACTCATCACCCGAGCAGTATACACTGCACCATATTTGTAGTCTTTTATCCCTCACCCCCTTCCCACCCTTTCCCCCTGAGTCCCTAAAGTCCATTGCCATCATGTACTTTTGGACTGCATTTCCTTGTCTACTTAGGAAAGAGTCCATGGACAGTGAGACTTCAATAACAGTAACCAACACTCCCTATTCTCCTATCCCCTTGATTTTCCACCATCCCTATTATGTCAATTCTCACCCACAAATCAACCAAACTATTTATATTCTCCATTCCTGCTTACAAAGTACTGCTGAGTAAAATTATATACTCCTGGTCACCAGCTTCCCTTCCATCCTCCACTCCTAACAGAATGTTCTTTTTTTAAAGTTGGCAAATAAAAAGTATATATATTTATGGTATACAATATGATGTTTTGAAATATGTACACATTGTGGAATGGCTAAATTGAGCTAATAAGTAACATATGCATTACATCACATACTTTTTTGTAGTAAGAACACTTAAGAATGATCTTTTAAAACATAAATTAGTGGCCGGGTGCAGTGGCTCACGCCTGTAATCCCAGCACTTTGGGAGGCCAAGGCAGGCAGATCACGAGGTCAAGAGATCGAGACCATCCTGGCCAACATGGTGAAACCCCATCTCTACTAAAAATACAAAAATTAGCTGGGCGTGGTGGCATGCGCCTGTAATCCCAGCTACTCAGGAGGCTGAGGCAGGAGAATCACTTGAACCCGGGAGGCAGAGCTTGCAGTGAGCCAAGATCGGGCCACTGCACTCCAACCTGGTGACAGAGTGAGACTCCGTCTCAAAAAAAAAAAAAACAAAAAAAACCATAAATTAGGCCGGACTTCTGGAATGGCAGAGGAACTCAGCAAATCCTCTCTTCCTTAAAACAATGATAAAACTGGATTAAGAAGCAATTAAGAAAACCTGTGGAACCTTTGGCTAAGAACAGTGGGAGACTACGGGGCTGCTTCCATCTCCCCCACTCCCACTAGGTCCCCTGGAGCTGATTTTACAACGAAAGTCAAGGCAAGCCATAAAAAAATAACAATTTAGATGCTGGAGGGGAATTACTTCATAAAGAACGAGCACCAAAAAAGTCCTATGCCCAGGGGTGTTTAAAACAATAGCAAACTCAATTTCATACAGACACGGGAAGCCAAAATCGCAGTTACCTGAAGTTACAATATTGGTTGGAGCAAGCAACAGAATAGCAGATCTGCCAGAAGTTTACAGAGAGATCCAGAAAACGGGACAGTAATAGTGGGACTTGATAAGCACCTTCAAGGCCCTGGTTGTCTAGGAGGCTGTGTGCATGTGCAAGGCTACACTGAAGTTCAAGGTACCAGAGAGGGGCCTAGTTATTTACATTTCCTTGGCTGAATGTGAGGCCTTGCACAGGCACAGGCACAGGACATGAGAAGGCCTATCAGGAAGTAAAAGTCATGGAGGACATGTAAACTCTCCAAACTTTGAATGTGTTTCCCAACCCACACACAACTTCGTCAGCAAAGGGCAGAAGACATATTGGCCCAAGGTGTTTAAGGACAACCTCCAGCAAATTATTGGCTGACCACTAAGTTATCCTGACCCAGATATGATACCTAGGAAGCCATGCTTAGAAATGAAAAAAATATATATTATTTTATTTTATTTTATTTTTTGAGACAGAGTCTCGCTCTGTTGGCCAGGCTGGAGTGCAGTGGCACAATCTTGGCTCACTGCAACCTCCGTCTCCTGGACTCAAGCAATTCTTCTGCCTCAGCCTCCCAAGTAGTTGGGATTACAGGCATGTGCCACCAAGCCCGGCTAATTTTTGTATTTTTAGTAGAGACGGGGGTTTCACCATGTTGGCCAGGCTGGTCTCCAACTCCTGACCTCAGGTAATCCGCCCACCTCGGCCTCCCAAAGTGCTGGGATTACAGGTGTGAGCCACGGTGCCCGGCCAATTTTTTTTTTAACTGAGCAAAAGTCTGGGTACGGTGGCTAATGCTTGTAATTCCAGCACTTTGGAAGGCTGAGGCAGGAGGATCGCACGAGGCCAGAAGTTCAAGACCAGTCCGGGCAACATAGGGAGACCCCGTCTCCACAAAAAATAAAAATAAAAATTAGCTGGACATGGTGGCATGTGCCTGTGGTCCCAGCTACTTGGGAGGCTGAGGCGGTAGGATCACTTGAGCCCAGGAGATCGAGGCTGCAGTGAGCTGTGATCATACCACTGCACTCCAGCCTGGGCAACAGAATGAGACCCTGTCTCAGAAGGACAGGAGGGGAGGAGGGGAAAAGAGGAAAGGAGAAGAGGACAAGAGAGGAGAAAGAAAATACAACAGAGGGGTGGAGGGGGATGGGGCAAAAAAAAAAAGAGAAAAAAAGGAAAGCTTCAACAATCATTAGGGAGTGGGGATCAGAACGCTGAGCTTAACATTTTGAGGAACTGCCAGACTTTTCCAAAGTAGCTACACTCATTAGGATGTCTATCATAAAAATGAGAGACAATAAGTAAGTGTTGGCAAGGGTGCGGAGAAAACTGAAACCCTCATACTCTGCTGGTGGAAACGTAAAATGGTACAACCAATGTAAAAAGCCTGTGCTTTGGAAAACAATGTACCAGTGCCTCAAAAGGCTAAACATTAGAGTTACTCTATGACCCAAAAAGTGGAAACAACCCAAAATGTCCATCAACTGATGAATGGATAAACAAAGTGTTATATATCCATACAATGGAATATTATTCACCCGTAAAAAGAAGTGAAGTACTGATACATGCTATAACGTGGATGAACCTTGAAAACACTATGCTAAGTGAAAGAAACCAGACACAAAAGACCACATATTATATTATTCCATTTATATGAGATGTCCAGAGTATGCAAATTCATAGAGACAGTAAGTAGATTAATGGCTGCCAGGGGCTGAGGGCAGGGGGAAATGGAAAGTGCGTGCTAATGGGTATAGGGTTTCTTTTTGGTGTGAGGGAAATGTTTTGGAATTAGATAGTGGTGATAGTTGAAACACCTTGTGAATATATTAAAAACCACTGTGTTATACACTCTAAAATGATGAATTTTATGGCATGTGAATTATATTTCAAATTTTAAAAACACCTAGTGCTGAGTGAAAGCAAAAGGCTATATAGCACATGATTTCATTTACATAAAATATCTAGAAAAGGCAAATCTACAGACAGCATATTAGTGATTGCCTGGGGCTACAGATAGGAAGCAGGATTGACTGCAAAAGTGTATAGGGGATCTTTTAGTTTGATGGAAATGTTTTAAAACTGGATTGTGGACATAGTTGCACAACTCTATAAATTTACTAAAAAGTTTTGAATTGTATATTTAAAATAGGTGAATTTTATGCTATGTAAATTAAACTTTAATAAAGCTGTTTAAAAAAAAAGAGAGAGAGAATATAAATCAACTAGGACTCCTTGGAGAAATAGCAAGTCTGAGGCAGGAACTATATAAGCCTTGTGCCAGGAATCAAGCAAGCTATGGAACACTAATGAGTCATGTCAGGAACATACAGGAGGCAACGCATTGGCAAAAGATGGTAAAAATTGAGTATTAACAAGAATAATGAATGCAGTCAATTAAAACCCATTGAATACATTTTTTAATTTTTAATTTTTATGGATACATAAATAGATATACATATTTATTATAGGGTACATGTGATAGACATTTTTTAAAGGGTGGTTAATAAAGACAGGGAAATAACAAACATATACAACTCATTGGATATCATTGAAAGTAAGTAGAGCACCAACTCTTTACTCTGAAAATTGGTAATTAAGGAAAGAATTAATCATGTCTCCTGCCTTCCCTGTAGGAGTAACACAATAGTCCTAGTTGATGAGGGAAAGTTTACTTTCAGAAGAATTCCAACTAGTTAATGTGGAAAACAAAATTAAGGAATCACTATTTTGAAACTACTAGTGAAATGATTAATTCCACCAATGGTCATAACAGATTAAACTATTAAATGAAAAGTTGATGGGAAACATAATGAAGGAGTCAGGCAGGGAGTGGTTGCTCACGCCTATAATCCCAATACTTTGGGAGGCTGAGGTGGAAGGATCACTTAAGCCCAAGAGTTTAAGACCAGCCTGGGCAACATATAGAGATCCTGTCTCCACACACACAAAAATAAATAAACAAACAAATAAATAAATAAATAAAATTTAAAAATTAGCCAGGGCTGGGCGCAGTGGCTCACACCTATAATCCCAGCACTTTGGGAGGCTGAGGCGGGCAGACCACTTGAGGCTAAAAGATCAAGACCAGCCTGGCCAACATGGTGAAACCTCATCTCTACTAAAAGTAAAAAATAAATTAAAAAAAATAGCAGGGTATGGTGGCACACACCTGTAATCCCAGCTACTCAGGTGGCTGAGGCAGGAGACTCACTTGAACCTGGGAGGCGGAAGTTGGCACTGCACTCCAGCCTGGGTGACAGAGTGAGACTTTGTCTCAAAATAATAATAATAATAATTAGCCAGGCAGGGTGGTGCATGCTTGCAGTTCTAGCTATTCAGGAGGCTAAGACAGGAGGATCACTTGAGCCAGGAGATCAAGACTGCAGTGAGCTATGATCACGCCACTGCACTTTAGCCTGGTGACAGAGCAAGACTACATCTCTAAAAATAATAATAATAAGTTAAATAAAATAATGAAGGAATCCAGATGTTACTCATTTATTAAAAATGGAATGGATGTGTGCCTCCAGATGTGATTCAAAGTGAAATACACAGTTACCCCTGTTAAATATTATTGACCAAATGAAGAAAGTTGAATCTGAATATCATCAAGCTTCTAAAGCTAACTTCCATTATAGAAAAATGTGGGATATAAAGGAATAAAGTAAATGACAGCATAAAAAAGAAAACAAACATATCTAAAATGAGGGATATTCTACAGGACCACTGATTCACTTTCTGCAACAAGCCAATGGCTTGACAAAGAAAATGTGAGGCATAGACTGCTCTCAATTAAGAGAGACTGGCTGGGCGTGGTGGCTCATGCCTGTAATAGCAGCACTTTGGGAGGCTGAGGCAGGAGGATCTCTTGAAGCCAGGAGTTCAAGACCAGTCCTGGCAACATAGTGAGACCTTCCCATTTCTACAAAAAAAAAAAAAAAAAATTAAAAAAACAATTAGCTAGGCATCATGATGTGCACCTGTAGTTCCAGTTACTTGGGAGGCTGAGGCAGGAGGATCCCTTGAGCCCAGGAGTTCAAGGTATCAGTGAGCTACGATCATGCTATTGCACTCCAGCCTGGATGACAGAGAGAGACCTTGTCTAAAAGAGAGAGAGAAAGAGAAAGAAACTTAAGGCCGGGCATGGTAGTTCATGCCTATAATACCAACACTTTGGGAGGCCAAGGCAGGAGAATCATTTGAGCCCAGGAATCCAAGGCCAGCCTGGGCAACAGAGTGAGACCTTGTCTCTACCAAAAAAAAAAAAAAAAAAAAAAAAGTAATTAACCAGGAGCCGTGGCATGTACCTGTAGTCCTAGCTACTTGGGAGGCTGAGTCAGGATAATCACTTGAGACCAGGAGTTCAAGGCTGCAGTGAGCTATGATTATGCCACTGCACTCCAGCCTGGGCAACAAAGTAAGACCCTATCTCAAAGGGAAAAAAAATAAATGGAAATAGCTTAAATCTGTAGTGAAATTAAACATTAAGAATCAATGCCAGCCGGGTGAGGTGGCTCACGCCTGTAATCCCAACACTTTGGGAGGCCGAGGCAGGCAGATCTCCTGAGGTCAGGAGTTTGAGACCATCCTGGCTAACATGGTGAAACCCCGTCTCTACTAAAAAGACCAAAAAGTAGCCAGGTGTGGTGGCAGGCACCTGTAGTCCCAGCTACTCGGGAGGCTGAGGCAGGAGAATGGCATGAACCTGGGAGGCAGAGCTTGCAGTGAGCTGAGATCACACCACTGCACTCCAGCCTAGGCAACAGAGCGACATTCAGCCTCAAAAAAAGAAAAAAAAAATTAGCCGGGCGTGGTGGTGAGCGCCTGTAATCCCAGCTACTAGGGAGGCTAAAGCAGGAGAATTGCTTGAATTCGGGAGGCAGAGGTTGCAGTGAGCTGAGATCGTGCCATTGCACTCCAGGCTGGGCAACAAAGCGAGACTCTGTCTCAAAAAAAAAAAAAAAAAAAAAAAAAAAAAAAGAACCAATGCCGTCAAATTCTAAAAGTCCTTGAAATTACTCTGCAGATCCCTTCACATCACCATAAGTATCCATCTACCTCTTCTTCCTCTAATTAAGATTGCTTTTCTCTCAAGTACTGGTACTCAAGTTAAACTTTAAAAACTGTTTTCTTTCATTTCATAACTAATATTACAAAAATATTTTATATTTGTTATTGCTATGTGTAATATTTTATTGACCCTGTGGATTAAGCAAGTTTTTATCTGCTATTCTGGAAACATAACCACTACTTATAAATGGTTTCTCTGACAAAATTGTCCAAAGCTTCAAATCACTAATTTAAATACTTAAATTTTTAAAAATACACAAAAAAATATGCACAAAGAAAAATTCACAAAAGAAACATTTATTCTACTCATCATGTACAAATGGTTATTTTAGGATACCAAAAAGACCTAGTTGGTAAGGGAAAATTATTTACAGAAGAATTTCAGTTAATAGTTGTAGAAGAAGCTGGGCGAGGTGGCTCACACCTCTAATACCAGCACTTTGGGAGGCTGAAGCAGGAGGGTCGCTTGAGCCCAGGAGTTCCAAGTTACAATGAGCCATGATCGTGCCACTGCACTCCAGCTTGGATGACGGAGCAAGACCCTGACTCAAAAAAAAAATAGTGTAGAAGGAATGACAGAACTAGGAAAATCACCATTTGGAATACCCTTATGAAACTAATAATTCAGATAATGATCATCAGTGGATGCTAAGACAATGAGGATGCCTTTCTAACAATGAGGGTAGATGAGAAAGGCAATAAGGACTTTTAAAATAGAAAGATTAAGCTGTCCACAATCTGTACACACTGCTCAGCCATAGTATCACTAAAAGTGGACCAACCAGACATTGGGGTAGCATGTATGAGGGCTTGGATTCAAGAGAAAGAGAGCATGGCATATACCGATCATTGAAAATGGAATTTAGAATTGCTGAGGTACAGAGTGTGAGATGAGGAGTGGTGATAAATGAAGCTGATGCAGGAGCCAGATGTAGGGCCTTGTAAGTCACTTAAAGAATTTTGAATTTTCTCTTAAGGGGACTGGGAAGTCACTGAAGGGTTTTTGTTTTAGAATATATTCTCTGGCTATAGTGTGGGACATGATTTGAGGGTAAAATAAGAGTGGGGGCAAGTAGATGAATTAGGAGACAGTTGCAATAAAGTTTGAGATGACAGTGACCTGGACCAGGGTAGTGGCATTAGGAAAAAAGGTGAAGTATATGGATCCAGTGAATATTTAGCAAATAAACCTGAAAGGATTTGGTGGTAAAATAGAGAGAGGATGGTGTGAAGGTTTTAGACTTGGGGAACTGGGTTGATAGTGCCATTCACTGACATAAGAAACACAAGAGGAGGAGTGGGCTTAGGCTGAGAGGGTGGGGAAGGAAGTAGCTTAGTATGGGAAATAGTGAATTTGCGATGACTATGGAGCATGAAAATAGGCAGATGGCTACCCGGGGTCTGAAGCTCAGAAAAGAGGTCTGGATTGAACATACATTTGTGTGAAGTCAGTGTATAATAAGCAGCTGAAGCCAAGAGAATGGATAAGATGAGCCTAGTCAAAAACAGCAAAGCGGGCAGGCACAGTAGCTCATGCCTGTAATCCCAGCACTTTGGGAGGCCAAGGCAGGCAGATCACTTGAGGTCAGAAGTTTGAGACTAGACTGGCCAATGTGGTGAAACCCCATCTCTACTAAAAATACAAAAATTAGCCAGGTATGGTGGCACGCGCCTGTAATTCCAGCTACTCAGGAGGCTGAGGCACGAGAATCACGCCACTGCACTCCAGCCTGGGTGACAGAGCGAGACCCTGTCTCAAAAAAAAAAAAAAGCAAAGTATAACATGTGACCCTGGAGCCCCATATCTTTTACCTCAAGTAACTTCACACCAGTGGCAGAAGAGAAACCAGATCACAGTGAATTGAAGAGTGGGAGGTGAGGAAAAATAAGGTGAATGAAGGGGAAGAAAGAGAGATGACAGGAACTGAAAGAGGATATGAATTTGTATAGCACCCATTTATGCTGTCCAATTAACCCTTTGCTATATATACTGTCTTATATTATAATATGAATATATGGTATCATCCCCTTCAAAAAATGCCTCACATGCATGTCTAGTCTTCCCAGTAAAATGAAAGCTCCTCATGGAGCTTTTTTAAAATGTCTTTAGGCTGGGCACAGTGGCTCACGCCTTCAGTCCCAGCACTTTAGGAGGCCGAGGCAGGTGGATTGCTTGAGTCCAGGAATTCGAGAGCAGCGTGAGCAACGTGGTAAAATCCCATCTCTATAAAAAATAGAAAAAAATCAGGCAGGTATGGTGGTGCTCACCTGTGGTCCCAGCTATTCGGGAGGCTGAGGTGGGAGGATCACTTGAGCCTGGGAAGTGGAGGTTGCAGTGAGCCAAGATTGTGCCACAGCACTCCAGCCTGGGTGACAGAGTGAGACCCTGTCTCAACAAAAAGAAAAAAAGAAAAAAAAAGTCTTTGAATCCTGTATCCCCCACTGTACATACAGAAGTCAGAGAGCTGTTTGAGATCAGGAGGCTTAGTTGCTGACTATACAAGAACAACCTCCTAGGTAGGCAATATCTTTGTACAAGGTAGTTACTCCAGTGAGGCAGGCAGACAAATTCAGCAGACCAGTCTATATATTAAAAGGTTGATTTGTGAGCACATTTTTTTTTAAAAAGGGAAAAAATGTTTTTTAAAAAAAACAGAAAACAAACAAAAATAAATAAAACAAACGGAGTTTATATCCACAAAGGATATATTAACATCAGATTATATAAGCCTGATAAACTATCTTTCTTGACTCAAGATATTTTTATAAAAAGCCTGACTAACCAGAATTGGGGACAAGAAGTTTAGTGAGAAGAAACTTACTCTTAGCTGTAATGTTTAAATATTTTTATAAGGAGAATGTACTCACATGTTACCTATGTAATTAAACAACAACCGGAAAAAAAAAACCGAAAAGGCTAAAGAAATAAAATGTTATTCTTCCCCTTTCCAGGCTCCTTGCAGATAACCAGGCTTTACCCTTCTATTCATAGATCACTATTTCAGATGGCCAATTTATAAGGCAGTTGAGTAAGTTAGGATTTCTTTACATTATTACATTTCATTCTCTTTTTCCTGAGGCCATATACTCTGGTCTTTGATGGAAACCTAAAAAACATTCCAGTCTCATTAAAAGAAAACCTAGCTCTCTCAGGGTAGATTAATTCTGCAGATGTATGCCTTCAGATAGCTGTTTTTATCCATTTTGTTTCATTTTACTTCATTTTCAGACAGTGACCTTTTCCCATCCTTACTTGCAAATTCTGAGAGCCCCTTTCTATAAGGCACCTTTCCTCCTTTTTAAATAATGTGCAGGAGCACTTGTTGACAGATAGAGCATTAAAAGAAACGGACACATTAATAGGTTTTATCAGTAAGATTTTAGAAGTCTGAACTAGATAACCTCTGTTCCTTACATTTGATGAAGATTCTGATTAAGGTAGAATAGCCTTGGCTGCCTCAAACATTTCTCTTTGCCTCTGGCACCAAGGAGGACACAGACCAAGCCACACCAGGACGATCTCCACTCAAGAATAGCACGTTTGGACTGTGTGAAAGGTCCCCATTTTACAATAAACAAGCTTCCCTATAACTTTGAAACACTAATCCCAGGAAAACACTAGAAATTGGTTCAAGGTAGTATTGTGACAGGTCTGTTGGGTCAGATCCTATATACAACAGCAGGTGAAAGTAGATGAACAGTAGCAATCCCTTATTTGATGGATTGATTTCAACATAGGAAAGGTGTCTAGTCAGGCTGCAAATATTTGAGCTCCGCTCTGCCTTTTTTGATATTTTAAGATAGTCATTTGTATGAAGACACTTAGTGGCATACTAATCAAATTTGCAGATGATAAACTGGAAAAGAAGCTAGTACAACTGGATGACATTCAGGAGTCAAAAGAAGTTTGACAAGCAGGAATGATAAGCTAAATTTCTTAGGCTGAAAAGACAGAGATCAAATTAAAGCCTCATACTAGGTCCTAAAACATAAGCATTTAAGTACCAAATGGATAAATATAGTTGAGTTTTTAGTCTTAGTGATTTCAACTAACTATAGGCTCAACATAATTCAACAGAGTGATCAATGTGGCTGTCAAAAAAAAAAAAAACAAGAAAAGAAAAGAAAAAAAAGCTAACAATTTTGGCCTGCATGAGTAGTAGCATAGGGTCTAGAACAAAGAAAATCACTAACCCACTCTTCTGTACTGATCAGAACATGTACCTGAAATAGTACATTTCATTCTAGATGCCAATCTTTAAAGAGAGATATTCATGAGCTGAAGTATGAACAGAACAGAATAACCAGAATGATGAGGAGATCTTCAAACTCTGCCATGAGAGTAATGGCAGTAAAGGAACTGCAGATGTTTAGCACAGAGAAGACAAGACTTAGTAGAGGAAACCAATGGCCACTGTTTTCAAATATAAAGGGTTGCCCAATAATGAAGGAGACTGTCTCTCGAGCAATTTCCTCAAATAATGAAGTATTCAAGCACAGATCTAAACTCACTTGGTGGAGATATTGGAAGGGATTCAAAAGCCTGGGATAAATCCTAGGTCTCTCAGCTAAAGGAGCCCCAAAGTGATGACACCTCAGTAGCAATAAGTATACCCCAGCACAGAGATCCTGGTTGCTAAATATCATTCCCCACTTAAGGGAGCCAGGCTTCCTTGGAGAAATAGCTGATTCCAAGGTTAGGGCCAGGAAAATACATGATAAGCCTGAAATATTCCTGTTGTCCCAGAAAGTAAGAAAGTGCCAAAGAATGATGGAGGCATGTCAATGGACACAGAAACCAGCTTGAAGAAGCTCCCACTGACCAAATCTGGGCCAATTAGAGCATCAAAATAAACAGTAAAACGTTATAACTCATGTAATAAGTAAGAATCCATGAGTCCATACTGATAATCAATTAATTAATCAATACATAGGGTAAAAGGAAAGCTCTTCTTTACAATTGAATGCCAGCAAATAAGTGTAGAACTAATGATGTATTTAGAAAATCACCATTTTTGAAATATAATAGTAATAACTGATTCAGGCAATAATCAATGAATGTTAAAATCTATTGGCTGAGACTTTGATATGGAATAGGACATTTTATACAGTCTCAAAGTGTCCCCCCACAAATTGCATATTTATTACAAAGGTAAAAATGGTAACTTTAGAGTGGAGAAACCTGGCAGACCCTACTTTAACCAAGTAGTCAAAGTTAATATCACCAATAATGGGGCAAAGTGATATCATGTACCTCCTGTTGCCAATGCACTGAGAACACATCACTTCTGTGATATTCCTACAAAAAGAAGCATAATCTGAATCTAATCATGAGGAAACATTAGACAAACCCAAACTAAGGAACATTATACAAAATATCTGGCCTGTACTCTTCAAAAGTGTCAATGTCAGGAAAGACAAAGAAAAGCTGAGAAACTACTCCAAATTAAAGGCAATTAAAGTGACATGACAACTAAATTCAATGTATAATCCTGGACTGTATTCTGGACTGGGGAAAAATGCTATAAAGGAAATTATTAGGACAAGAGGTAAAAGCTGAATGTGGACAGCAGTGGTATTACATCAATGTTAATTTTCCTGATTTTGATCATTATGCTGTGGTTTTGTAAGAGGATGTCCCTGTTCTCAGGAAAGATATGCTGAAGTATTTAGGAGTATAGGGGCCTTATGTCTCCAGGTTATTCTGATTCAGAGAAAAAATAGATAAAGATAGAGATAGAATGATAAAGCAAATGTGGCAACATGTTAAAAATATATGAATCTGGGTTAAGGGTAAGTGGAAGTTCTTTGTAATATTACTGTAACTTTTCTTTAAGTTTGAAATAATTTTGAAGTTTTTAAAAGCTTTGAATGATTAAAAAAGACAGAAAACTATACTAAATGTTCTCTAAAGTTCTAACAAGGCCATCAGCAAGAGATAAATTCTAAAACTAAGGCTTTTAGCAAAGGAGACAATAATATTAAATAATTTTTAAGACTTAGAAAAGCTACTAACAGATTAAAAATAGGCTTTCTGTAATAGAAATAACATGGTATTTTGTGTCACATAGACCAGGATTCAAATCCTTGCTCTATCATTTATTATTTGTATGATCTTGAACCAAGTCATTTAGCTTTTCTCAGCCTTAATCTCTTTATGTTGTAAAGGCAATACTACCTACTTCTCTAGTTACACACATATATATTTCCCTAACATACAAAAAACTTTTACAAATCATTGCATATCAACATGAAAAAGATGAACACCCCAATAGACAAATGCACAAAGAACAGTCAATTCATGATAAATTATATACAAATAGTCAATAAATACAGTATGTGCAAACCTCACCAGTAATAAAAGAAATGCCAATAAAACTGAAATATAGGTTTGGCACGGTGGCTCAGGCCTGTAATTCCAGCATTTTGGGAGGCCGAGATGGGCAGATCACCTAAGGTCAGGAGTTTGAGACCAGCCTGGCCAACATGGCAAAACCCCATCTCTACTAAAAATATAAAAATTAGCTGGGCGTGGTGGCCTGCACCTGTAATCCCAGCTACTCAGTAGGCTGAGGCAGGAGAATCACTTGAACACAGGAGGCAGAGATTGCAGTGAGCCAAGATCGCACCACTGCACTCCAGCCTGGGCCACCACAGAGTGAGACTCCATCAAAAAAAAAAAAAGCCCACAAAAAAACTGATATATAATTTTTCACCTATTAGGATTGGCACAGAATAAAAAGACATAAAACCCAGTGTTGATGAGAGTATAAGAAAACAGACCAAGCACAGTGGCTCACACCTGTAATCCCAGCACTTTGGGAGGCCAAGGCAGGTGGATCACCTGAGGTCAGGAGTTCGAGGCCAGCCTGGCCAACATGGTGAAACCCCGTCTCTACTAAAAATACAAAAAATTACCTGGGCGTGGTGGCAGGCGCCTGTAATCCCAGCTACTCTGGAGGCTGAGGCAGCAGAATCGCTTGAAGTGGGGAGGCGGGGGTTGCAGTGAGCTGAGATCATGCCATTGCACTCCAGCGTGGGGGACAAGTGCAAAACTCCATCTCAAAAAAAAAAAAGGAAGGAAGGAAGGAAGGAAGAAAGAAAGAAAGGAAGGAAGGAAAGAAAAGAAAAGAAAATGTAGTATTGGTGGTAAGGTAAACTGATACAACCTTTCTAGAAGGCATTTGATAATATTCAGCAAAATCCATCCAGGAACTTCTACATTGAAAACTACATAACATTGCTAAGAGGAATTTTACAAGACTGAAATAAATAGGCTGGGCATGGTGGCTCATGCCTGTAATCCCAGCACTTTGGGAGGTCGAGGCAGGCAGATCACTTGAGCCCAGGAGTTCAAGACCAGCCTGGGCAACACAGTGAAACCCCATCTCTACCAAAAAAACTTGTTCAGGCATGGTGGCACACACCTGTGGTCCCAGCTACTTGGGAGGCTGAAGTGGGAGGATCGCTTGAGCCCGGGTGGTTGAGGCTGCAGTGAGCCATAGTTATGCCACTGCACTCCAGCCTGGGTGACAGAGTGAAACTCCATCTTTAAAAAACAAATAAAAACCTGAAATAAATAGATATACCATGATCATGAGTTAGAAGACACAATATTGTTAAGATGTAAATCCTCCCAGAATTCTTCTATAGATTCAATACAAGAGCAGTCATAATACTACCAGGTTTTTTAAAGAGAAATGGACAAACTGATTCTAAAATGTATATGGAAATGGAAAGGATCTAAAATATCCAAAACGATCTTGAAAAACAACAGCAAAGTTGGAAGACCTATATTCCTGACATTAAGACTTACTATAAAACTACAGTACTTAATAGATAAATAGATCAATGGCACAAAATACAGAGCCCAGAAATAAACTTGCACATATAAAGTCATTGATTTTTGATCAAGCAATGTTGAATTGGGGAAAGGAAAGTCTTTTCAACAAATGGTGCTAGAATAACTGGATATTCATTTGGGAAAAATAAACCTCAACCCCAACCCCACATCACACCCAAAAACCAACTGAAGATGGATCATGACACTAAACATATAATATAAATGCTAAAACTCTAAAGCTTCTAGAAGAAAATCCAGAAGAGAATCTTTGGGACTTAGGGATAAACAAAGATCTTTTAGAACACAGAAAGCTATAGTCATAAAAGAAAAAAAAATGATAAATTAGAATTCACTGAATTTTAAAATCTTCTCATGAAAAACTACTATTAAGAAAATGAATAGGCAAGCACAGACTAAGAGAAAATACTTGAAAAACATATATCTGACAAAGGACTTGTAAGCAGAATATATAAAGAACTCTTACAAATCAATCATTTAAAAATGGATTTAATCCAACTTTAAAATGGACAAAAGATTTGAATAGATATTTAGCAAAGATATTTGAATGGTCAATAAGCACATGAAAAAGTGCTTGACATCATTAATACTCAGGGAAATGCATATTAAAACTACAATGAGCCAGGCACAGTGGCTCACACCTGTAATCTGAGCATTTTGGGAGGCCGAGGCAGGTGGATCACTTGAGCCCAAGAGTTCCAGACCAGCCTGGGCAACATGGTGAAGCCCTGCCTCTACAAAAAACAAAGCAAAAATTAGCTGGGTGTGGTGGCATGGCCTGTAGTCCCAGCTATTTGTACTACTGCACTCCAGCCTGGGATCCTATCTTTGGAAAAAAAAAAAAAAAAAACTACAATGAGATACTACTACACACCCACCAGAATGGCTAAAATGTTAAAAGACTGACCATACCAAGTGTTCGAGAGAATGAAAAACTACTAGAATTCTCATATATTGCTAGTGGGAATAAAAAATGGTACAACCTGTTTAGAGAATTACTTAGAAGTTTCTTATAAATTTAAATACACATCTATCCTATAGTCTAGCAATTCCACTTCTAGGTATTTACAAAAAAAAAAAAAAAAAGGAAGCATATGTTTATAAAAAGACTTGTACCAGAATGTTTACTTCAGCTTTATTCATAGTAGCCAAAAACTGTAAATAATCCAAATGTCCATCAATAATAGAATGGATACGCTGGTTACGGCGGCTCATGCCTGTAATCCCAGCACTTTGGGAGGCCAAGGCAGGACCTAAGGTCAGGAGTTTGAGACCAGCCTGGCCAACATGGTGAAACCCCATCTCTACTAAAAAGTACAAAATTAGCTGGGTGTGGTAGCACATACCTGTAGTCCCAGCTACTCAGGAGGCTGAGACAGGAGAATCGTTTGAATCTGGGAGGTGGAGGCTACAGTGAGCCGAGATCATGCCACTGCACTCCAGCCTGGGCAAGACACAGCAAGACTCTGTCTCAAAAAAAAAAAAAAAAAAAAAAAAAAAAGAACAGAATGGATAAACTAGCATAGTCATACAATAGAATGCTACTCAGCACTGAAAAGGAACAAACTTGATACACACAATAACATGGATAAATCTCAAAAACATTATGCTGAGCAAGGCCAGGTACAGTGGCTCATGCCTGTAATCCCAGCACTTTGGGAGGCCAAGGCAGGTGGATCATTTGAAGCCAGGAGTTCAAGACCAGCCTGACCAACATGGCAAAATCCCATCTCTACTAAAAATACAAAAATTAGCTGAGCATGGTGGCACATCCCTTTAATCCCAACTACTTGGGAGGCTGAGGCACAAGAATTGCTTGAACCTGGGAAGCAGAGGTTGCAGTGAGCTGAGATCGTGCCACTGCATTCCAGCCTGGGTGATGTAATGAGAGTCTGTCTCGAAAATAAATAAAATAAAATAATATTACATTCTCACAATGAAATGCTATACAGCCTTTTTTTATTTTTTAAGAAATGGGATCTCACTACGTTGTCCAGGCTATTCACAGACATGACCATAGGGCACTACAGCCTTGAACTCCTGGACTCAAGCGATCTTTCCACCTCAGCCTCCCAAAGAGCTGAGACTACAGGCACCATACCACTGTGCCCACCTTACAAAGCCACTTAAAACAATAGTGTAATCTATATTCATTGACATAGAAAAATGTCCAAAACGTACTGTTGAGTGAAAAAAAGGATTAAAAACAGCATGAAATAAAGAAAAATAAGTTAAACAAGATATTTTTCACCTATCATGTTGATAAGGATGAAAAAATGATTGATAAATGATAAAGATTGAAAAACGACCTAATTCTGGCAAGTATATGGGGAAAACACATTTTTATATACTGTTAGTGGAGTGTAAATTGGTAGATTCTATAGGGCTATATGACTATACTACTAAAATTGTAAATATGTTTATCATTTCACACAGCAATCCATTTCTAAAAATTTATCCCACAGTAATACTCACAGAGACACACAAAGATTTATGTACAAAGAGTATTGTTTTACATATAATCTATGCACAAAAAAGAATGCAGTAGTATTTGCAACAGTCAAACATTAGAACAATGCCTGTACAGTGAATCTGGCAAAATGAAATAATGGTCCATGTATACAATGGAACACCATGCACCTGTTAAAATCAATGAGTTGGCCGGCGAGGTGGCTCACACCTGTAATCCCAGCACTTTGGGAGGCTGAAGCGGGCAGATCACCTGAGGTCGGGAGTTCGAGACCAGGCTGGTCAACATGGTGAAACCCCATCTCTACTAAAAATACAAAAAATTAGCTGGGTGTGGCGGCAGGCACCTGTAATCCCAGCTACTTGGGAGACTGAGGAGGAAGAATCGCTTGAAACTGGGAGGCGGAGGTTGCAGTGAGCTGAGATCATGCTACTGCACTCCAGCCTGGGCTACAGAGCAAGACTCCATCTCAAAATAAGTAAAATAAAATAAAATAAAATAAAATGAGTTGGTGCTATGTGTAGTGAAACAATAAAAATGTCAAAAATAAAGTTTGGGCCGGGCACAGCGGCTCAGGCCTGTAATCCCAGCACTTTGGGAGGCTGATAGGGGGGGATCACCTGAGGTCAGGGGCTCGAGACCAGCCTGGCCAACATGGTGAAACCCCGTCTCTACTAAAAATACAAAAATTAGCCGGGCATGGTGGCACACACCTGTAGTCCCAGCTACACGGGAGGCTAAGGCAGAAGAATCGCTTAAACCCAGGAGGCGGAGGTTGCAGTGAGCCAAGATTGTGCCACTACCCTCCAGCCTGGATGACAG
This sequence comes from Homo sapiens, assembly GCF_000001405.40. NCBI lineage: Eukaryota > Metazoa > Chordata > Mammalia > Primates > Hominidae > Homo > Homo sapiens. The sequence goes on from NC_000023.11 coordinate 71,038,194, forward strand.
AGCGAGACTCTGTCAAAAAAAAAAAAAAAGTTGTGGACAGAGAATGAGATATTGGAATTGTATATTTTCAGATATAGAGTAATTCTGGGAAATGACAAAATCCAGAATGAGGCTAATAAATTTTCTTGCAGAAGTAGAGTGGAGAAGAGCACTAGAAATGGTCAAGGAGCTGTGAAGGTAGAGTGTTGCTTGGCCAGTTCATCCACAGGAGCATTGTGATGGGCTGGGAGGTAGAGAGCAGATGCTCAAGTCTCCATAGAATATCAGGAAATATTCAAGAAGGCAATAAATGACTACATCGAGAAGGAATAAAAGGTAATATTGCAAAAGGCATGAGCCTTAAAAGAGAGGCCTTTAATGTGAGGGTTGAAAGCAAAGGTCTAGAAGCAGTGATGAAGAGTAGGAATGATGATGACTTCTGGGAAACAAAAATTACAATGATTAATAACTCTCCAGTATCAGTGAGGTATAAGAAAACAGGCATTCATGTATGCTTGGTAAGAAGGTACATTAGAAAAAACTTTCTGGATAAAAATTTGGCAGTATTTATCAATTTTTTTAATGTTTGTGTCATTTGATTCAGCAGTTTCAAATCCACAAATCTATCCTACAAATATATTCACATGTACCCAAACATACATGTATTAGCATTTCACTGTGGCATTGTTTGTAAAACTGGAAACAACCTAAATATTCATCAGTAGGGATATTTGTTCAATCAGTTATGTGAGGCTTTCACTCAAGAACCATAGCAATACAGAGGGCACACCCTGGGAGAGAAGCCGGGTTTCAGTTAAAGCAAGCAAGTGGAGAGAGAATTCAGTGAGGAAATTTAGGGTACAGTAGAGTCTGTCTACAATGGTACCAGTTTTCCAGAAAACATAGTACAAATAATTGGCAAGAGAGGCAATAGTGGGTGGATGATGGAGGGTAAGGAAAAGTGTAGAAGAACAGAAGGAAGCCCAAAGGGGTTCAAGACAGAGTGAACAAAAAGGCAGATGATCAAAAAGGCTTGCAGTATTAATTGGTTTTCAGTTAACTGGACTCTTCAGTCTAAAATGCCCTTCCCGGCCCTTGAAAATCCAGGAAACTCCTACTCATTCTTTAAATCTCAGACCAAAAACTATCTTTTCTATGAAGCCTTCCCTGATGGCCTATGGTCGAATTATGAACAAGTGCAATCCTATTATAGGATTTATTACTTCTGATTAGGAGTATTTAATGTGAAGCTTATGGATAGGCATCAGGGAGCATGTCCAGGTTTAAAATTTATGCAAAATTCTGTGTACATTTGTGCATTTTTCTAGCGGGGAAAGTCCAAAGACTTTTTTTTTTCTTTGCAATTTCACGCTGGTAATTTTTCTTTTTTAAAAGGTAAGCCACTAATAATTTAAGAAAAATATTTAAACCAAAAGTTGCATATTAATATTATACACAAATTGAAACACAAGTGACTTTTAGCACAGTGTATACATGCTTACATAAACTCAAATAGTTACACATTTAAAATAATTTCCATTTAACATATGAAAGTTCTGAAATACATAAAAGCATTAATACTTTCTATAAATCTACAGTTAGAACATCAATTTGCTACAAGCATATAAAAATATCAAGTGCTTTCTTGGAGTTTCCAGTTTCGTCCCTAAAACACAATCTTGGTCATAACAATCTAATTGCATATAAAACTTTAAAAGCAGGCTTGGGCCAAGTGCGGTGGCTCACGCCTGTAATCCCAGCACTTTGGGAGGCAGAGGCGAGCAGATCACCTAAGGTCAGGAGTTCGAGACCAACCTGGCCGACATGGTAAAACCCCGTCTCTACTAAAAATACAAAAATTAGCCAGGCATGGTGGCGCCCACCTGTAATCTCAGCTACTCCAAAGGCCGAGGCAGGAGAATCGCTTAAAACCAGGAGGCAGAGGTTGCAGTGAGCCGAGATCACACCACTGCACTACCAGCCAGGGTGATAGATCGAGACTCCGTCTCAAAAAAAAAAAAAAAGGTTTGAATGAAGTTCTCAAACACTTTGATATATGTTCTTCAGGGACTTCAATTATAAGCAACAGAAATTATAAGTGACTTCAATCCCCATCTTGCTTTAAAATGGACAAGTCTTTGGTTAAAGTTCTATATTTGTGGCATTTATTTTCAATTAAGATGGTCCCCAAACCAATAAGTGGTACTGATATATTAATAGTTCACAAGACTTGATTTAATCTGCTTCTGATGTGTGGAAGGTTACAGATACTCATTTACTGTAATATGTCATTGATAGTTTTGATCTTTCACCCATAAGCAGAGAAATCAATAGATTTATTATTTCTGCCAGTTTTTTGTTATAATCTAAACTGTACAATGATTTTCAGTAACTACAGATACTGCTCCACAGTATATGTGATTATGATTGATAAGATGCAGAGCATTAAACTTAGAGTTAGCTTATTCTGATAAGTCAATATGAGACTGTACAGTAATTCTACATTAGCTATAGTAGGTTGTTAGATAATGCTTATTTTAAAAAACCCCAAACCATTCCATTTACAAAAGAAATTGTTGCAAATGTATAAAACAGTAGATATACAAGGAGAACACCAAACATACTTTATTAGCACAAAAAAGCAGCCATAACAAGGCACAGCAAGCAGAAACACGCATTAGCAGTCAAAGAGTTAGTGTGGCATACAAATAAAGCTTTTTTTTTTTGTAGCCTTGGCAATTGCCATAGGGATGTAAAATAATGTTCTGTAGCAGCAGGTAAGGAAACTATGGAGCACTCACCAGTGGTACAGAACACATTAACAAAAAGACACAAGAATGGATTCAGCCACTTTAGTGCAAAATGTCTAGGACAGAACTGTACATTCAGTTCAGTTACTAAGAAGCAAACACTAGAACTTGATGTAACTTCCAAAAGAGCTCACTCAAGTAGTATTACATTCACAGTAGTATTCAAGTAGTATTACACTCAAGTAGTATTCTAAGTGACAAAGAGGTGTTAAGTAGTTATTTACAGATATAATGGTTGTACAGTACCTTTCAAATCTGCAATTTATGTTTCAGATTTTCCATTGAGAGTAAATTACACTGAAATTCTGTAAATTATACTTAAGCAATTTAGCTATGAGTGTTTACAAAAAAGAGATAAATACTGCCATCCAAATTAGTAATTACAGTTTAACAATAATCTAACATCAGCAACCATTGTAGTTACTATTATCTGATTTGTTTGGGCATCTTCTAGTCGCATTTTCTTCATGATTCACAAAATCATTATGGGCACAGGAGAAGATCCAACTTTTATGAAACAACAATTAGACTGCACATCAACTTTTTTTTTTTTTTGACACCAAGTTTCGCTCTTGTTGCCCTGGCTGGAGTGCAATGGTGCAATCTCGGCTCACTGCAACCTCCGCCTCCCAGGTTCAAGTGATTCTCCTGTCTCAGCCACCCGAGTAGCTGGGATTACAGGCGCCCACCACCACGCACGGCTAATTTTTTGTATTTTTAGTAAAGACGAGGTTTCACCATGTTGGCCAGGCTGGTCTCAAACTCCTGACCTCAGGTGATCTGCCCGCTTTGGCCTCCCAAAGTTCTGGGATTACAGGCATGAGCCACCGCACCCGGTCACATCAACTTTTTAAAAAATCATATGCAAGACTATATTGCAGCAGCTGTTTTAAGTTAAAGTGCTCACTTAAAAACTAATACCTGGCTGGGTGCAGTGGCTCACGCCTGTAATCCCAGCACTTTAGGAGGCTGAGGCAGGCGGATCACGAGGTCAGGAGGTCAAGACTATCCTGGCTAACACGGTGAAACCACGTCTCTACTAAAAATACAAAAAATTAGCCAGGCATGGTGGCGAGCGCCTGTAGTCCCAGGTACTCGGGAGGCTGAGGCAGGAGAATCGCTTGAACCTGGGAGGCAGAGGTTGCAGTGAGCTGAGATCGTGCCACCGCACTCCAGTCTGGGCAACAGAGCAAGACTCCATCTAAAAAACAAACAAACAAACAAAAAAACAAAAAAATATAATACCTAGGGCCTTTAAATAAAATTCTGCTACTAATTTTATAAGTCCAAACTCTTAAGAATGACTATTTAGAAAACCTGGTTTACTTAACAGTATCTTTTGCAGAAGAGAAAGAGTCTGACTATAAACTACATCAACATTTAGGTGAAATGCACTATGCCCTTGTGGCCAGAAAATTACATTTTTTTTTCTAAAAGAAAAGCATTATTTTATTTGTATTGGACTTCTAAAGCTTGATTTATAGTAATTATAAACATCACTACTTTTGGAAGGTTATAGAAAAACTCTTAGAAAAAATAATTTCAAACATTAGTCACACTGTTGAAATACTCATCTGATATTAATAATTTGTTCTTCAGTAAGAAATAGAATTCTTCACAGCAAATGCCCCAGAGTTGCCTCACTCAATTACTACAGCCATTAAAAACCAAACTGTTCGCTAAATAGGCAAACTTGTTTTGTAGTCTTACTCAACACCTGTAGTTTGTTTTTGTTTTTGTTTTGACAGAGTCTCGCTCTGTCTCCCAGACTGGAGTGCAGTGGAGCAATCTTGGCTCACTGCAACCTCCGCCTCCCAGGTTCCAGCAATTCTCCCACTCAGCCTCCCCAGTAGCTGGGATTACAGGCGCCCGCCACCACACCCAGATAATTTTTTGTATTTTCAGTAGAGATGGGGTTTCACCACGTTGCCCAGGCTGGTCTCGAACTCCTAAGCTCAAGTGACCTGCCTGCCTCAGCCTCCCAAAGTGCTGGGATTACAGGTGTGAGCCACTGTGCCCGGCCTGAACACCTGTAGTTCTATCCTCTGTTGTTCCACTAGGCACCACGTTTATCTGGATAAGTAACAGAAGGTTGCATCTGACAGATACTAACACTAAGCTTACATACTGTATGAAAAAACCTAGCACCGTTATGTGTGCTTGCTATAGGTATACATCTGATGCACATGAAAGCAGATGAGATTCACACCCTTTGGGGACAGGAGAGTTTACTTTGCCTTGACTGGTTCTCGTTCTCACTAGTGAACCCTAAATTTTTGTTTATAAAGATACTCTTTTCAAAAATCTTGTAACATTGATGGTAAAGGGAGCCCATTAATTCCATCATATGTAGTACACCTGCAGATTACTGTACAACAGATATACTACAGCTAAAAGGGAAAGTCCTATCTAGTAATATAGTAAGCAACAGTTCAAAAAACATGCAATAACTGGGATCTTTATAATGTTCTTTTCTATTAAACTTTAAGTGCTGGGATACATGTGCAGAACACGCAGGTTTGTTACATAGGTATACATGTGCCATGGTGGTTTGCTGCACTCATCAACCCATCATCTACATTAGGTATTTCTCCTAATGCTATCCCTCCCTAGCTCCCCACCCCCCGACAGGCCCCAGTGTGTGATGTTCCCCTTACAGCCCCCACGCCGTGTCCATGTGTTCTCATTGTTCAACTCCCACTTATGAGTGAGAACATGCGGTGGTTGGTTTTCTGTTCCTGTGTTAAGTTTGCTGAGAATGATGGTTTCCAGCTTCATCCATGTCCCTGCAAAGGACATTAACTCATCCTTTTTTTATGGCTGCTATAATGTTCTTAAAGTCCTGTTACAGTGGAGGAGTGACATAAACAGGGGTCATGGGCATCAAAACCAAAGTTGTGATTACTGCTCAATTCAGGCCTGCAAGGATCTGTTGTAGCCCCAGAAGTTCATAGAGAAGAGGCAGTCCCTTTGCCCAGCATCCCTGAGCAAAAATGTGTCTTCACATTTCCCTTCTAGAAGGGCTTCTGATTCATAACGGTCCATCACTCTCCAATAACAAGGATTCCCTGTAGTCTGAAGCAGTATCTGTAATCAGCCTGTGTGTGGACTTCCCAAGCTCCCTGTCTGCTAACATGGGCATGTACCTCATGCTGCTTCTGCCCTCCATGGCTGCAAACACAGGGTGGCTGTATACTCTTTCAGGTCACAATTAGCATGTGGAACTGCAGAACTGTCCCCACTTATTTCAGTCGTTCCAGGAGCTAACTTTGGTCCCAGTTTATTTAATGGATTAACCTGTGCAGTCGCTTCAAACATATGCATTTGTGCATCGGGAGGGGGATCAACCCCTTCTTCAATACTAAGCAGTCTTCTCTCTCTAAACTATCTTCATCTTCTGTAGAAACCAAATATGGGGCTGGGTGAGGTGGCTCACGCCTGTAATCCCAGCACTTTGGGAGGCCGAGGTGTGCCGATCACCCGAGGTCAGGAGTTCCAGACCAACCTGGCCAACATGGCGAAAATCTGTCTCTATTAAAATACACAAAAATTAGCTGGGCGTGGTGGCAGGCATCTGTAATCCCAGCTACTCAGGAGGCTGAGGCAGGAGAATCACTTGAACCCAGGAGGCAGAGGTTGCAGTGAGCCAAGGTTGTAGTGAGCCAAGATTACACCACTGCACTCCAGCCTGGGCAATGGATTGAGACTCCGTCTCAGAAAAAAAGAAAAAAAAAACCCAAAGATGGATCAAATGCATCAAAAAATGTTGAATGTGGGCTCACAGGAGCTGTATGCTGTTTAATCAAATGCCATTTGGGGGCTAAATCTGAGCCAGCAGGAAAAGGGCATTTCTCCAGCATTCATTCAGAAAAATAGATTTTTCTTTTATTGGAAAAGAGAGGCTTTGACTGCTTGTTATAAGTTCTCATGGGAAAACACAAGCCCACAGTATCCTGCAACCTGTCTCAGAGAGCGACTTCCCTACAGTTCTTCTGGAAACATTGTCCATGTCCTGTACAGAGCTTAGCACCTCTCTCTCCTTTGAAGTCCACTTTGAGTTCTACCAAACTTTTTATCAGTATCCAATGAATCCTGGGTCACTGTAACAGAAATGTTTCTCTTCCCACCCCATGGAGCATGTCAAAAGTAGGAATCTCTTCGTGCAAGTCTTGTTCCTGGGGTAACACAAAAATCATTATCCTTTTTGATACTTATTTCAACAATTTGAGGGATTTCAGTGGCACAATGTTGGTTTCTCTTTGAAGAATTCTTTGAAGGGCCTGGCATGCCAGGTGTAAGGCAACATTTTCTCTTAAGGGATTACTTTGTTGCCGAGCAGCTGAGTCTCCTATATTGATGTTTTTTCTTTTTGACAAATATCTGTCGGAGTTCATATCCAGATTTTCACTACGGCTTCCTCCCTCATGACTGAAGACATTCTGTTACCTGTATTTGAAGTTATTCCACATTTTTTCCCACTTTATCCACTGATTATAAAAATCATTCAGGGCATGTGGGGCAGCCTCATCCAAGGCACCTGCAGCAAGGCAGGACGGACAGAGGCCGCAGTCACCGACAGGGTAAGTCCAACTGCCTTCTGGTGCCACCTGTCCCCTCCGACTGCCCAGCAAGTGCAGCCTGGCTTCCTCCTGACAGAGCTCAGGGAACCCAGCTCTGCTGCCTGCTTCCGCCAGGCCCCCACCCATTCCCCAGCCATTTCCCCCTCTTCACCCATTTCCCCTCCCCCCACAATCCCCCATTCCCAAGTCCACAAGTTTTGTTTTTTTGTTTTTGTTGTTGTTTGAGACAGGGTGTTGCTCTGTTGCCTAGGCTGAAGTGCACTGCAACCTCGACCTCCTGGGCTCAAGCGATCCTCCTACATCAGCCACTTGAGTAGCAGGAACCACAGGCACATGCCGCCATGCCCAGCTAATCTTTTTATTTTTTGTGGAGATGAGGTCTCTCACTATGTTGCCCAGGCTGAAGTCCACCATTTTTAATGAACTGCTGGAACACTTATTGTGGTGTAATTTGCTCATCAAACATTTACTGAGCATTTACTATACATCAGGCACTGCAAATATAGGGATGAAACAAAAATGTCCCTACACTCAAATAAGTTTACAGGCCGGGCGCAGTGGCTCAGGCCAATAATCCCAGCATTTTGGGAGGCCCAAGCAGGAGAATCACTTGAGACCAGGAGTTCAAGACCAGCCTGGGCAGCATAGTGAGACCTCGTCTCTCCAAAAAAAAGAAAAAATAAATGTTAATAGCTGCAGTGAGGTTGAGGCTGCAGTAAGCCGTGGTTGTGCCACTGCACTCCAGCCTGGGTGACAGCAAGACCCTGTCTCAAAAAAAACAAAAGTTTACAGATGAGAAAGAAAGAGAAGTAAACACAGGATTACAAAATAATATAAAACATAAAAGAAGCCTAAATAAAAGGAGAGACATATCATTACTGAAAACTTTAATAAACAGAGGGATATATTATGTTCCTGGTTGGGACAATTTAATAATGTAAAGATATCCACTCTCCCCAAATTAAGCTGAAATTTCAACATAATCTCAACTAAAATCTCAACAACATTTTTTTGGAGAATGTATTGGCTGATTCTAAAAATCCTTGTAGAAGGAAAAGTGAACTAGTTAGGCAAGAAATGTCTGAAAACAACAGGGAAGACTTTATCAGGTATCAAAACTATGATAAAGCCATAGCAGTAATATAAAAAGTGTGATTTTGGCATAAGAACAAACATCAGTGAAACAAAATAGATGGTCCAGAAACAGATTTGTGTGTATAAGGGAATTGGGTATATAATAAAGGTGTCATTTCAAGTCGTTGGAGAAAGTAAATCATATAGTGATGATTACCTATTTGTTAGGTTGGTGCAAAATAAATTTGCCATTTTTAATGGCAAAAACTGCAATAACTTTGCACGAACCTAATATTTGAAAAAGAATTAAGTTATAGCAATATCTCATACCATTCACAAAAGTAACTTCTAAACAGTTTAAAGAATTAAAACCAGCCAGTTGTGGTGGTTCATACTTGTAATCCTAAGACTTCAGGAGGCTGAGGTGAGAGGATCACTAGAGCCCAGGAGTTCAAGACCAGTCTGGACAACATGGCAAAACCCCATCTCTTCAAAAAATACAAAAAACTTAGCCGGGCATGGTGGCCTGCGCCTGTAGTCCCAGCTACTCAGGAGGCTGAGGTGGGAGGATCACCTGAGCCCAGAAGGTTGAGGCTGCGGTGAGCCATGATCGTGCCACTGCACTCTAGCCTGGACAACAAAGTGAGACTCTGTCTCAAAAAAATAATAATAAATAAATAATAACAATAATAATAATATATAGGCCAGGTGTGGTGGCTCACACCTGTAATTGCAACACTTTGGGAGGCCAAGGCGAGCGGATCACCTGAGGTCAGGAGTTCGAGACCAGCCTGGCCAACATGGTGAAACCCTGTCTCTACTAAAAATACAAAAATTAGCTGGATATGGTGGCGGGCACCTGTAATCCCAGCTACTCGGAAGGCTGAGGCAGGAGAATCACTTGAACCTGGGAGTGGGAGGTTGCGGTGAGCCAAGATTACACCACTACATTCCAGCCTGGGTGACAGAGCAAGACTCCGTCTCAAAAAAACAAAATAAATAATAATAATAAAAAACAGGCCAGGCACAGTGGCTCATGCCTGTAATTGCAGCATTTTGGGAGGCCGAGGCAGGCGAATCACCTGAGGTCAGGAGTTCAAGACCAGCCTGGCCAACATGGTGAAACTCCATCTCTACTAAAAATACAAAAATTAGCTGGGCATGGTACTGCACACCTGTAATCCCAGCTACTCGGGAAGCTGAGGCAGGAGAATCGCTTGTACTGGGAGGCAGAGGTTGCAGTGAGCCAAGATCACACCACTGCACTCCAGCCTAGGCGACAAGTGAGACTCCGTCTCAAAAATAATAATAATAATAAATAAAAATAAATAAAAGAAGCCAGTCTTAAAAGGTTATATACTGTATGATTACATGACAGGTTTGAAAAGGCAAAACTATAGTGACAAAAAACAGGCAGTGATTACTGGGAAGTAGAGGGGAGGAGTAGGCTATAAAGGAGAACTGGGAATTTTTTGAGGTGATGAAACTATTCTATATCTTCATTGTATTGGTTGCTACATGACTTTTTTTTTTTTTTTTAGACAGAGTTTCGCTCTTGTTGCCCAGGCTGGAGTGCAATGGCGCGATCTCGGCTCACCGCAACCTCTGCCTCCTGGGTTCAAGCGATTCTCCTGCCTCAGCCTCCTGAGTAGCTGGGATTACAGGCATGCGCCACCACGCCTGGCTAATTTTGTATTTTTAGTAGAGACTGGGTTTCTCCACGTTGGTCAGGCTGCTCTCCAACTCCCGACCTCAGGTGATCCACCCGCCTCGACCTCCCAAAGAGCTGGGATTACAGGCGTGAGCCACCATACCTGGCCAGTTGTTACATGACTTTATGCATTTGTCAGCACCTGCAGAAATGTATACTCAAGATGAATTTTACTGTATGTAAGTTTACCTTAATTAAGAAATGAAAAAGTGTATAATTCCAGCACACATCCATGCATCCATGCGTGCATGAGCATACACACACATTTAGAAATGTATGAGAACAAAGGAACACACAAGGACATTTTCAGAGGTGATGGACATGTTCATTATCTCAATTGTGGTAATAGATACATGGGTGTGTACATATGTCCAAATTCATCAAATTATATACTTTAAGGATGTGCAGTTTAGTGTACATCAATTATACCTCAATAAAGCTGTAAGAAAAAGGGGGGAAGAAACACATGAGAAGAAAATATAAATGAATATGTTTAAAACCTTGGAGCAAGAACAGCCATCTTAAGACTAAAAAAGCAAAAGCTGGGCCAGGTGTAGTGGTTCATGCCTATAATCCCAGCACTTTGGGGGCCGAGGTGGGCGGATCGCTTGAAGTCAGGAGTTAGAGACCACCCTGCGCATCATAGTGAGACCCCATCTCTACAAAAAAAATTTTTTTTTAATTAGCCAGGTGTAGTGGTATGTGCCCATGGTCCCAGCTACTGGGGAGGCTGAGGTGGGAGGATTTCTTGAGCCCAGGAGTTCAAGGCTGCAGTGAGCTATGATTGCACCACTACACTACAACCTGGGTGACAAAGTGAGACTTGTCTCTACAAAAAAACAACAAAAAAGTAAAAGCCATAAAGGAAAGGAATAATATATCTGACTACATCAAAATTTAAAGTTAATAAACATGAAAAAATACTTAAATTCACTAATAATCATAAAACTGTGAATAAAGAGGAGATATTTTTTGCCTGACAGACTAACAAAAGTTTAAGAGATTGATATCAAGTGTTGGCAGGAGTGTAAGGAAACAGGTACTCTCATATACTGTTTTAGTTTTCTTTTTTTGAATATCATTTCTGACACAAAAAAAGGACTCATGTACCATTGTTAGAAGCATTTGGCCTTTTCGAAGAGCAATTTTGCAGTAATAAAATGTAAAATGTACATACTCTTCAATCCAGTAACCCTGTAATTCTACTCTTCAGTACCTACCTTAGAGAAACATTGTCCATAAAAAAGAGTTAATGGCAAATGACAACCCCAAACTGGAATCTACCTCAATCAGTGCTTCTCAAACTATCTGTGGTGACCAGGTGCAGTGGCTCACTCCTGTAATCCCAGCACTTTGGGAGGCCAAGGTGGGAGGACTGCTTGAGGCCAGGAATTCGAGACCAGCCTGGGCAACACAGCAACATCCCATCTTCAGTAAAAAACAAAAATGAAAACTATCTGTGGCAAAAGACCAGGGGTTTGGGGTCTTTTTGTTTGTTTTTTTGTTTGAGACAGGATCTTGCTCTTTTGCCCAGGCTAGAGTGCAGTGGTGTGATGATAGCTCACTGCAGCCTTGACCTCCCAAGCTCAAATAATCCTCCTGCCTCAGCTTCCTGAGTAGCTGGGACTACAGGCACATGCCACCATGCCCAGCTAATTTTTTTTTTTTTTTTTGAGACGGAGTCTTGCTCTGTCACCCAGGCTGGAGTGCAGTGGCGCAATCTCAGTTCACTGCAAGCTCCGCCTTCCAGGTTCACACCATTCTCCTGCCTCAGCCTGAGTAGCCGGGACTACAGGCGCCCACCACCACGCCTGGCTAATTTTTTGTATTTTTAGTAGAGATGGGGTTTCACTGTGTTAGCCAGGATGGTCTCGATCTCCTGACCTCGTGATCCACCCACCTCGGCCTCCGAAAGTGCTGGGATTACAGGCGTGAGCCACCGCGCCCGGCCGTGCCCAGCTAATTTTTAAAATTTTTTGTAGAGATGAGATCTCACTTTGTTGCCCAGGCTGGTCTCAAGTGATCCTCCTGCCTGGGCCTCCCAAAGTGCTGTGATTACAGGCGTGAGCCACCACGCCTGACCCAGCTTGGTTTTTTTTTGTTGTTGTTGTTGTTGTTATTTTTTTGGTAAATTTCCAATCCATCACAGACTGATACCTTTGTAGAGAAAAAACAAATTACTAGAAAAGTGATCATTCACTTAGATGCCATGGCCACATGAAATTGCTATAAAAGGTTTTAAATGCCTATCCTCAGTTCCTATACTAATCTCCTTGTGTACAGGTGACAGTTCACAACTGGCACCAGTCTGTGGAATACAGTTTGAGTAGCACTGATATAAATATCCATCAGAAGGGAAGTGAGAACTACTATATGACCCAGCAATTCCACTTCTGGATATATACCCAAAAGAATTGAAGGCAGAAATGTAAACAGATATTTGTATACCTATATTCATAGTAGCATTGTTCACAATAGACAAAAGGTGGAAACAACCCAGGTGTCCTTGACAGACGAATGGACACACAAAACGTGGTATGTATGTCTGTATATATACACACTTTGGAATATTACTCAACCTACAACATGAATGAACCTTGAACACATTATGCTAAGTGAAATAAGCCAGTCACGGCCTGGCACAGTGGCTCATACCTGTAATCCCAGAATTTGGGGAGGCCAAGGCGGGCAGATCATTTGTGGTCAGAAGTTCAAAACCAGCCTGGCCAACATGGTGAAACTCCATCTCTACTAAAAATACAAAAATCAGCCAGGTGTGGTGGCGCGCATCTCTAGTCCCAGCTACTCTGGAGGCTGAGGTGGGAGAATTGCTTGAGCCCAGGAGGCGGAGGTTGCAGTGAGTAGAAATCACACCACTGCACTCCAGCCTGGGCGACACAGACTCCGTCTCAAAAAAAAGAAATAAGCCAGTCATGAAAATACAAATACTATATGGTTCCACTTATATAAGGTTACCTATAATAGTCAAATTCATAGAAACAGAAAATAGAATGGTGGTTGCTAGGGTTGGGGGTGGGGACAATGGGGAGTTATTGTTTTGAGTTTCAGTTTGGAAGATGAAAAAATTCTGGAAATGGATGGTGGTAATGGTTGTATAACAATGTAAATGTACTTAATGCCACTGAAATGTTTCCTTAAATATGGTTAAAATGGTAAATTTTGTTACATGTACATTTACAATAATATATGTGTGATATACTCAACCAAAACATCCCAATAGATCAAATGTAGAGGCAGATATGAGACTCCAGATGTCCACTATTATTAAGCCAGACATTAATGAGACTTGTAAAAAAAACAAAACAATTTTACTCTTCTCAATAACATTTCTTGCTTTGGAAAAGTTATTTTGCTTTTCTTTTCTTTTTTGAGACAGAGTCTCGCTCTTGTCACCCAGGCTGGAGTGCAATGGCGCGACTCCTGCAACCTCCACCTCCCGGGTTCAAGCAATTCTCCCGCCTCAGCCTCCCGAGTAGCTGGGATTACAGGTGTGTGCCACCACATCGGGCTAATTTTTGTATTTTTAGTAGAGACGGGGTTTCACCATGTTGGCCAGGCTGTTCTCAAACTCCTAACCTCAGGTGATCTGCCTGACTCAGCCTCCCAAAGTGCTGAGATTACAGGCGTGAGCCACCGCACCCAACCAGTTTTAATTTCATTGAATAGAGAGAGCCATAAACCTACATAAACAAATTCTGTTAGGAATGTCAAGGGGTCCTGCAATCAAGAAGTTTGGGAACCACTGCCCTAGAGAAACTGTCATGTTCAGGAATGCTCATAGCAGTACCATTTGTAAAAGCAAAATATTGAAAAAATCTAGTAGTCTATCAATAAGGAAATGGTTAAATAAACTGTTTTATAGCCATACAATGGCATAATACATCACTTTTTTAAAAAAGAAGTAAATCTGCCCGGGTGCGGTTGTTCACACCTGTAATCCCAGCACTTTGGAAGGCCAAGGCGGTTGGATCACTTGAGGTCAGGAGTTTGAGACCAGCCTGGCCAACATGGGGAAACCCCATCTCTACTAAAAAATAAAATAAAATAAAAAGTAAACCTAGATGTACCAAAATAAAAATGTTTCCAAAACACTGAATGAAAAAACTTGTGGGGTATGTACAGTAGGGTATAATTTTTGTTAAAATAAAAACACAACACAACGTATTTTCTACGATAACTAGAAAAAAAGACCTGGAAGGCTGCCAGGATACACACCAAACTGTTAACAGCAGTTACTCTGGGGAAGAGGGAAAGAGGACAAGGATTGTGCGTAATGGCCAAAGTGTTAGCCCCATATATGTATAGTGTTTTGATTTTTTTTTTTTTTACAAGGAGAATGTACTGGTGTAATTAATTAGAAAAATAAATAAAAGCAAGGAGGTCAAGCCCACTGACATTGAGGAAGAAGGGATTTTCTGAGTAGGGGCTGTAAGGGCTAATGTACTTACTGCAGTGGTCTTAGAGCTGATGAGTCTAGGAAGGAACCACAAGGGGTGAAATCAGGCAACAGAGGCGGCAGCTGGCTGAAATGGTGGAGGCCACCTAGATGGCGGAACTTTCTGGGTCACACACTTCCTGCTCCCTTCCTGAGACTTAATACAAAAAAGGCCTTCACAGCAGCAGAGTGCAGCCTCTCCCGCTTCTGCCGCGAATCGGGCCACAATGCTTGCAATAAAGAACTTCATCCTGAGGCCCGCAAAGTATTGTCCCATTCCCTGGTCCCTGATCCCCACTCCCCAGGCCCAGGCCCATGACTTCAACGGCCCCATCTCAGGAAGAGCCCCAGGCTGGCGTTTGTGGAACGAAACCGGCAGCCTAAGGCAGGACCTTCCTAACGGCTGGACAAGCGGACTACGGCTTCATTCACCACGGCACAACCAGAGACATTCTGAGACGCCAGAAGCGTGACCGGGGTAGAGGATACCTAGGTTGCAGGAAAGCGCAGTTACCAAATCGGGCCTCTGGAGCTCCCAGGAAACCCGCTGACAGCTCCAGGGGCGCGGGGCAGGCCTCGCTTTCGAAAGCAGCGCCACAGCGTTCCTATTGGTCTTCCATTCCAGCCAACCAGCAGGTTTCCCTGTGATCCACCCCTCAACTAAGAGGCCAATCAGAAGAGGGTATGTGCTTCCCATTGTGTACGACAGGTATGTGCTTCCCATTGCGTACGACCAATTAAAGCTTATTTCTGATTGACACTTGGACAGCCAACCAGAAGGCCTGGTAATCCGACCTCTTATTATGGTCACCATCATGATCTTGGTCCCCATCCTTGTTCCATCCCTGCCAGGAATCAAACGTATGGATCTGGGAGAAATAACTAGACAAGGGGTCCAAGCTGGAGGGATGGTGGCTCAAGAGACAAAGTAATATTTCCCCGAGTATCAAAGCAGGTTGCCCATGAGGTCAGAAGAGCATGTAGTTGAGCTGTCAGTGCTGCTCTGGGCTTGACCTCAAGTAGTGACAATCTGAAAAAGGTACTGGTTGTGAGAGCGCCTCAGATAATGTTGCTTTGTCACTAGGCTAATCGCTTCATCTTCCCCCAGAGTCAGATGGGAAGAAACTTACAAACACTCAGGGCCTTTAATTAAGTGTGATGGTTTATTTATGGTGAAGAGTGGTCAGTATCCTCAATTAGCAGCAATAGATACTGCCTCTAGAACGACCAAAAGTAAATGTGTGGGGAAACTAAAACCTGACAGTGGTATCATTACAACTAAATGTACCAGAAAATGCAAATTAAAACCATGAAATATGATTTTCACCAAATAGTTTGGATAATTATCAATTATTTAAATTTTTACCACTTTTGGCAAGGAAATTTTTGTGAACAGAATTTCCCCACTTTGGGTGGGGAAACATTCTCATTTGCTGTCACTGGAAGCCTAAACTGCATTCTTTAAGAAAGCAATTTAGCTTTAGCTATCAAAACGTAAAATGAGGCCAGGCGCAGTGGCTCATGCCTGTAATCCCAACACTTTGGGAGGCTGAGGCAGGAGAATCGTTTGAAGCCAGGAGTTCGAGACCAACTTGGGCAACAAAGTGAGACCACCCCCCTCCCCCATCTCTACACACACACACACACACACACACACACACACACACACACAGTAAAAGACACACACACAGTAAAAGGCACACACCTTTTGACCCAGCAATTCCTTCTCTCAAAATCTATCCTACAGAAATACTTACACACTGGAGCAAGGTTATATGTAGCATTATTTATAATAGTGAATGATTGGAGACAAATTTGCATCAATAGGTGAATCATTAAATTGTGATACAACCATACCATGAAATGTTATGCAGTCATTTTTTAAATGAGGTAAATTTCCATGTATTAATGCAAGAGGAGGTCCAGAATACAATGCAAAGTGAAAAAAGTTGCAAAACAGTACATATAATATCCCATTTCATTTAAAAAAAACCTATATACAAATGTGTGGGTATTCATATATGTATATATGTGTATATTAATATATAAACACAAACAGAACAACATCTGGGAAGACACACACCAAATTAAGTTATTCTTGGAGAATGGGAGTGGTGAGAGGGACTAAGGAAAAATCTTTCACTTTTTACTTTACACATTTATGTTTTGCTTGAATTTTGTTGGCTAACATTAATAATTTTTGAATTTTTATCACAATAAAACATTTTAACAAAATAGGCACTTTTGTAATCAGATCAATAGAGTTATAATGTATGTGTTTTAAATAAAAATAGCTCCATGGGGGCTGGGCGTAGTGGCTCACACCTGTAATCAATCCCAGCACTTTGGGAGGTCGAGGTGGGCAGATCATACGGTCAGGAGTTTGAGACCAGCCTGGCCAATATGGTGAAACCCCGCTTCTACTAAAAATACAAAAATTAGCCGGGCGTGGTGGCATGCCCCTGTAGTCCCAGCTACTCTGGAGGCTGAGGCAGGAGAATCGCTTGAACCTGGGAGGCACAGGTTGCAGTGAGCCAAGATCACACCACTGCACTCTGGCCTGAGCGACAGAGCAAGATTCCCTCTCAAAAAATAAATAAATAACGCCATGGGGTGACTACTTCATTTTAAAATTTTAGCTAGAAGACTTAGGATACAATTAGAACAACTGTAAACCAAATCAACTCTGAGTTTCAATGGGGGTATACTCATGACTTGATATAACAGGATGTGGGCAAACAAAATCTAATCAGGATAATCGTTCATTTCTGAAAGAGAAAACTACACTACAGCAAACTCCATCATATAAAGGAAAAATTGTGCTTTCACTTTTTTGGTGGCATCACCTCCAATGTTTACTCAACTCCTTGGCAAGGGTGGGAAATCATAAAAAGCTAGAGATTTAAGATACCTCAGAGATCATTTGGTCAAAATCCCTCATTTAGTCGAAATCCCTCATTGTATAGTTCAGAAAACAGGCCTAAAATGGTGAAGCAATTCAACTAAGGTCCTATAGCTAGCTATATAGCCAATTTTAGAAGTCAGGTTTCTATTCCAGGTCTGGTACTCTTTCTGTTTCTTTTCAGATCTTCCTGAGTCTTCAGTATGATGAAATTATGAAATATTTTTAAATTTTATGATTAGACATCCCTATATTTAAATGTTACAACAAAAATGCCTAACAAAATTAAAATGTACATGCCTCCATTAGTACAGATGATGAAAAGTTCACTGTATCTAGACAAAAAATATTATTGGTATAACATTCTCTTGAAAAGTAATACATAAATCAGGCCAGGTACAGTGGCTTACGCCTGTAATCCCAGCACTTTGGGAGGCCGAGGCAGGCAGATCACTTGAGCTCAGGAGTTCGAAACCAGCCTGGCCAACGTGGTGAAACCCCGTCTCTACTAAAAATACAAAAATTAGCCGGGTATGGTGGTGCCACGCTTGTAGTCCCAGCTACTCGGGAAGCTGAGGCAGGAGGATCGCTTGAACCTGGGAGGCAGAGATTGCAGTGAGCTGAGATCACGCCACTGCACTCCAGCCTGGACAACACTGTGAGACTCCATCTCAAAAAATATATATATACATATTTTTTTTCTGTGAATCTGAATGTATTTTACTGTTTACCTAAGAACTACTGTTTTATCCCAATTTCTAACTGTTCTTCAACTGGCACTGCCTCTTAACCCTTTATCTTTAGTTTCTTTATATCAAGCAGTTGATGACCTATATAAAAACACTTAAAACCACCACAGGAAACACCTATTTAAAGGAAGCCTGCAGTGATTTAAAGAATTCTTTTTTGATGTTGACAATTATCCCTGGTTTGTCTGTTTTATAAGGAATGAGTTCTCTGTTTTTAAATGCATAGACAGACAGGGTATGGACAGAAGAAATAAAATAGGCAACAACTGGTTTTTGTACAAACAAGGTAAAAAAAGAAGATAAGAATGAGGGGTGGTGGGTGGTCAGGAAGGGAGTGGCAGAGAACCACATGCTAAATTAGTCACTAAGACTTTATATTTCAAAAGTAAACTCAAATACTAAGATATATAAATGGAATAACAACTACCTAACCTTCAGGCTGTAATTAAAGTGTTGTCCAATTTAAGACTCTACAACTTGAGGACATGTGAGGGCCTTGGAGAGATTTCAGAATAATAAAAAGATAAAAGGGTTAAAAATGAGCCAAGTAAGGAAAAATTAGAACTTATTATATCTAAGAAGAGAATACTAAGGGTGACTCAACAGTTTTCAAGGATATGAAGAAATATCCATTTCAGTGAGCAGCTGTTCTACATTTCCACAAAAGAAAGTAATTTTACTTAAATTATTACAGCATATATTTCAACATAGAAGTAGGAATATCTTCAACATAGAAGTATCTCATGTAGGATAACTATCAACTCCAGAGAAGCCTGAATGTTATCCACCTCTCCCACCTTTACTGGCTTAATTCCTTGTCTCAAAGAATGGGTCAAAGGGTAGATAAGGCATCTTTGGAATGTGAAGATTTAGACTTCTTTTGGGTCTAGCTATGTTCAAAATTTTTCGTTAGCCTCTGTCCCCCAGGTTCCAGCATAAGGTTAAGCCCTTTCTGCACTATAGATAAAGGGGATTAATTAGTGGTAAACATGCAAATACCCATGTAAATTAGAATTCCTTATCAAAGAAAAGTATGCTTCTCCTCAGTGTTAATGGGTAAGAGGGTTTGGATTTAGGATTCTTGCCTGGCCCAGTTAATGTGCCAAAATGGCCAATTTGACATCCAAGGGAGATTTACCTGGCCTGATATTTTTAAAAAAGAAAAAGACTGGACAACTAACCAGATGTGCCTGAATCTCTTACTCTGTCTCTAGCATTTTCCTGCCTTGTATAGACATCTCTTCATTTTGTTTTGAGGCTGGAGTGCAGTGGTACAATCATGGCTCACTGCATGGCTCACTCCACAACCTCCTGGGCTCAAGCAATCCTCCGGCTTCAGCCTCCCAAGTAGCTGGGACTATCATGTGCCACCATACCTGGCCAGATTTTTAATTTTTTTTTTTTTTTTTTTTTGTAGAGATGAGATCTCACTCGGTTGCCCAGGCTAGTCTCCAACTCCTGGGCTCAAGCAATCCTCCCAAAGTGCTGGGATTACAGGCATAAGCCACCACGCCCAGCTAAACATCTCTTCAACTGAACTCTTAAGGTCTACGAAAAAAGAGAATGTAATATCATATTTTACTTGTACCACAACCACTCCACCCTATCCCCAGCCCTGCTGTTAGCATAGGACCAGACACACAGAAGACTATTAGCACTTGTTAAATGAGTTGTCATCTGTCCAAATTTTTGTTAACACTTTATTTTATAGCTGCTTTTCTATTTATTCTGCAGTTCATTCTCTAACACTGCTGCCTATGAAGGTTGCATCTCTCTTTACCCTTCCTTTCCTTTATTTCACAGAAATACCCATTCTTCCCTATCCCCTCAGATATTTTTAGTCATCTCATTCATGAACTACCAAAAACCTCAACTTCCTCACAGCCCCCACTCTTCTACTTAGAACCAAATACTGCTAAGTAACATTAATTTCCTTTTTTTTTTTCTTTTGAAATTTTTTGTAGAGACAGTGTCTCACTCTGTTGCCCAGGCTAGTCTCAACCTCCTGGGCTCAAGCAATCCTCCTGCCTCAGCCTCCCAAAATGCTGGGATTACAGGCATGAGCCAACCACATTCAGCCTTAATTTGCTAATGTTTTGAACACATCACTTTCTGTACCTTCTTTCCATGTTGAGCTACATCAAAACTAGCTTTGATTTTCTAAATGACAAGACTGCTACCTCCCCTCATTCCAACCCTTGCCAAAACCCACTCTGTGTAGGGAAACCATTTCAGAGCTCACTGGTCAGATGAATATCCACCCACCAAAAGTTCTGAGAGTTCACCCACCTTTCTGCCTGTGTCAAATTTATTTGGGAAAAAAAACAGTGTCAGTTGAGATAAAAAGCCTATAGAAGAAATGTTTGTTGGTGTTGTGTGGGTGTGTCAGAGGATGAACACATGCATGTGTGTTTATGTACATGTATTACATATGCAGACACACACATACACACATACACACACACATATATAATAAATATATTCTGCCCAAATTAGCACAAACCCACAAGCTTAAAAACCAAATCTGCTAAATCTGACTCAAACAACAGGTACTGAGCCTACAGCTACTTCCTGCAAGCAGATGCATTACCTCTGTGACAAAGTCAGTTGTGAGTTGCAAAAAGGATAGGTAAATATCATTAAGATAAGTTAAGATTCTGCTTTCTAAAAAAATTTAAATGCAAAACATTACCTCAGGACACTGGCCACACTGTATGATTTCTGCATAATACCCAGCATATCCTAGACACTAAAGAATACTAAATTTACAACTTAAGCAGGAAAACAGAGGCTTGCTTCACAGTGGTTTAATATGAACAGAGTTGAATATGACATTGTCTGACAGAAGAATGAACAGTTTGCTGAATAAAAGCCCCGAGTCAGGATATATATACACAGCAGAAATGGGGCCTCAGACTCTCAGCACTTGTGCACAATGAAAGAGGAAATCGTTTTTAAAAAATGTCTATAACAGAGGATACAAATCAAAAAGGCAGCAACAACAACATTGGCGAGGTGGGAAAGGGAGCAGAGCCTCTCATTAGGGGCTGCTTAGCCCCTGGCGCAGGCTCAGCAGCTGGAGAGCTGTCTCAGGGAACTTCAACATTTAGATGGGTTCCAAATCCTATGTCAAAATACAATCCTAATCTCTCTGATCAGGGTCAGTCAGAATCAGCAATCCTTTTCCACAGTGCCCTGCATAGAAAACTCCAATCTTTCCATGATAGGGAGTCTAAGCAAAGAGCCCCCACCTCTCACCTGGCACCAAAGTTAACTTACTCTCACCCCACCACTTGGGACAGACGTTGGGCCCCAGCAAACAAACCACCCCCTCCAAGACAGAAACCAGGATAGTTGCCAGCCTCAAGAAGCTGCTTCAAATGTTAAGATTTAGGAAATCCATACCAAGCTGCTATCCATAGTTCAACTTCTGGGGAAAATGCTGGAGTTGCATGAGAAACAAGTGCAGGCAGTTCAATAACCCTGTGACCACGCTGGGGAGGGCAGCAAAAACTCTTGCCCCTGAGCCCCATTCAACAACTCAAAGTGCTTAGGAGAAGTCAGAGACTGTGTGGTTGGTTTGTGTGCTTCTGCCCTGTGGCAGCACTAAATGGGATGGGGGAAAGGAGAATGGAAGGAAGACAGTGTTGATGCCCTTCCCTACCGCGGGTAAGAGCCTAGAAGATAATCCACTCCCACCCTTCAGGGAGTTACCTGGCAGTGGTGAGTTGCCCCCACCCCTCAAGCCACCAAACCTGCAAAGCTAACCCATAAAGTAGCAAGGGCTTAGGGAGGGAGAACTGCTGGCCCATACTGACTCACCAGCTGATGAGCAAAAATAGGCAGCTAGAGTGGGAGCCACAAAGGGAGAGGGGCTAGGCAATAGGAGCTCCCCTACTGCCCTATGGCTTTCTTCTGACTCTGAAGCAGCCATAATGATGGGCCCAGAAAACCCACACACCCTGCTCCATACAACAGACTGCTTGGACTCTAGGAGGATTACTGCCATGGAAAGCAACAAGGGAGAGAGAAAGCAACAAAAGAAACTGTTAAGAAAACTGGGAGCAGGCCTGAAGAAAACAAGGAAAGCTTCTGAGTCTCTACCACCTTTCCAAAAAGGAAAAAATACATGCAGTTAGGAAAGGCAGGGTTTTTCCCTGCTCAGTGTTCTTGGTTAAACCTAAGAGTAAGAAAAATCCCCTGAACTTGCAGCATCAGTATGTATCCAAGTGCCTCACCAGCACAAGCGCCCCCCTCCCCCCAGGTTAGCCTTCTGGCATGGGTAAATGCCCAAGAAATTGCCTTCCAGTCTAATCCCCCCACCCACCCACCCCAACCCCAAGCAAAGGGCATCTGCCTGTGGGTTCCCACCTCTCCTCAGAGAAGAGGATCCTAGCAGAGTGCCCACATGGTGTAGTCAGGTACCAGGGAGCACAATGCCAGACAGTCTATCAGGCCAGGAGATGGGCAGCCAACTTCAGATCAAAGACAGAGAGAGGCTTAGTGTAAAAACCAATGTCATTTCAGCAGGAAAGTAGAGGGCAGGTGGTGAGAGGGGCTCCTACTGGCGCACCTTCCCCGGGACGTAGTTCCTGTCAATTGCCTCCTCTTGCAGGAACATGTGTAGGCAGCGTTCATTCTGAGCCAGTGGGTGCCCAGCAATTCTATAAAGAAACCAGGATGGTTATCAGTAGTATTCAGAATCAGAGAGAATTAGCAGAGGGATGGGGATGTGGACAGGGGAAGAAGGGCAAGGTCAGCCCTGAGGTTCAAGCCAGTAGAGGACAGCAGTAGGGTACCACCTCAACCCTAATATTGTAAAGGGGACGGGGGATAGAGGGGCAAGACAGGGAAATCCCTAGATATAACCAACATGCAGTGCTTTCTCAGGCCCTGACACACAGGATCAGAATCCTACTCAAAGGAATGGAGTTTTACTGTCCAGTCAGCCCACCACACAATTGGCACCACATCATGGTACCCATTATAAAAGGTGAGCTGGGTGCGGTGGCTCACGCCTGTAATCCCAACACTTTGGGAGGCCAAGGCAGGTGGATCACTTAAGGTCAGGAGTTCGAGACCAGTCTGGCCAACATGGTGAAACCCCATCGCTACTAAAAACATGAAAATTAGCTGGGCATGGTGGCCGGCGCCTGTAATCCCTGTTACTCAGGAGGCTGAGGCAGGAGAATCACTTGAACCCAGGAGACGGAGGTTGCAGTGAGCCGAGATCACACCATTGCACTCCAGCCTAGGTGACAGAGTGAGACTCTGTCTCAAATAAATAAATAAGTAAATAAAAATAAAATAAAAGGTGAGGTAAACAAAACATATAGAAAGACTACGATGGCAAAAGTAGCAAGTGGAGCCCCCAGGAACTTGGCTTACTTGTTAATAAACTGCTCGAGGCCCTGCCTCCTTTCTTCGATGAAAGACTCCTCAAAGATCCCTTCATCTCCTCGGAAAGGGAGCTGCCGCTTCAAGGCTTTCCCAGGCAGTGGTGGTACTACAATCTGCAGGCACACACAAAATTCCAGCCACATGGGAGAGAGACAGAGTGGGAATGAGATGGTAAAGCACCGTGTACCTCATTTCTTATTAGGCATAGGGTCCATCCTGTCCCACAGCCAGCAACTTGCAAGAACTAAGACCATAAGAACAGTCAGGATGGCTCAGGTCAAAAATTAATCCGTTTCTGTGGGAAGACAGGTTTACCACCTCAAAAGAAGGAAATAAACTCCAAATAATCCTCACTTTCCTTAACAAGCCACTACCATTCAAGAATTTAGCTAGGATTTTCCTGACACTAGACTTTCCATTTTTAGCACCTACAGGAATTAAGTTGTACAACTTTACTAGCGACTAAGTGAAGTAATACTTTAAAAAAAAAACTTGTCCTGAACTTACCACTTTCTTTTTTTTTTTTTTTTTTTTTTGAGACAGAGTCTTGCTCTGTCATCCAGGCTGGAGTGCAGTGGCACGATCTCAGCTAACTGCAACCTCTGCCTCCCAGGTTCAAGCAATTCCCATGCCTCAGCCTCCCAAGTAGCTGGGATTACAGGCATCCACCACCACACCTGGCTGATTCTTGTATTTTTAGTACAGGCGGGGTTTCACCATGTTGGCCAGGCTGGTCTTGAACTCCTGACATCAGGTGATCCGCCCGCCTCAGCCTCCCAAAGTGCTGGGATTACAGGCGTGAGCCACTGTGCCCAGCCAGAACTTACCACTTTCAAGTTTCAAAAGGTATCCCCCCGATCTAAAATACTGAGATTTGATGGATAAGAATGTGTTCACCCTCTTCATTCCCTTCAAGACTTTATAGACTGTGGTTGTATGCCCACTCAGCCTATGCAGAGCTCCTCCTCCAAAGATGCCACACAGAGAACAAAGCCATACCTTGCTATCTCTCTCCAGCTCATTTTTCAGCCACTCAAAGTCACTGTAGCGCCGCCGTACGCAGGACTCCTTTAGCTTGAAGATAGGTAGGTTTGTCTACATGGAAGGAAAAATTAAAGAAGAAAGATGGTAATGTTCAGCCTGTGGTAGCCACCTGTCTGAGTAACTTGGACAGGTCCCAATGAAGAAATAGCTCCTATGGATCATGCTCCTATAACCCCTTCAAATCACCACCAGGTAAAAACCAACCCTTACCACATCCAACCTTATCATAGCTGATGATCAGAAGTCCCTTGCTGCTTTGAATTTATCCTACAAGTAGACTTGCAGTAGTATGTAAATATGTACATATAAGAGTTTTCACCAGGCTTGGTGGCTCACGCCTGTAATCCCAGCACTTTTGGAGGCCAAGGCAGGCAGATCACTTGAGGTCAAGAGTTCAAGACCAGCCTGGCCAACATGGTGAAACCCTGTCTCTACTAAAAATACAAAAATTAGCCAGGTGTGGCGGCACACACTTGTAATCTCAGCAACTTGTGAGGCTGAGGCAAAAGGATCACTTGAATCCAGGAGGCGGAGGTTGCAGTGAGCCAAGATCACACCACTGCACTCCATCCTGAGAGACAGAGTGAGATTCTGTCTCAAAAAAAAAAAAAAGAGTTTCACTGCATTTTATTATTTATAATAATAATAAATGTCTATGAATAGACAATAGGTTACAATGAATTATGGTATACCTGTATAGTAGAATATTAAATAACTATGAAAAGAATGTGAAAGCCAGGTGCAGTGGCTCACACCTATAATCCCAGCACTTTGGGATGCCGAGGCAAGGGATCACCTGAGCCCAGGAGTTTGAGAGCAGCCTGGGCAACCATAGCAAGATTCCATCTCTACAAAAAGTAAAAAAGCCAGGTGTAGTGGCAGTGCTCGCTTGTGGTCCCAGCTACTCAGGAGGATCACCTGAGCCCAGGAGGTCAAGGCTATGGTGAACTGTGATTATGCTACTGTAATCTGGCACAGAGACTCTGTCTCTCGAAATAAAAATGAAAGATCTCTATGTGCCAGTATGGAAAGATATTAAGTAGTAAAATCAAGGTATAGAACAGTATATATATATAGCTTGCCTCTATTTGTGTTTTAAAAAGGGATGTATATGTATATATTTATACTGATTAATAAAGTATTTATGAAAATATACTGGTAATGGTGATTGACTTTCGAGAGTAAGAGAAGACAACTGGAATGGGTGGAATAGTCACATTTTTCATTGTACAATTTGAATTTATCATGTGTACATATTACATTTTCCTTTAAAAAGTGAATTTAAATTCCCTGTAAAGAGATAAACACATCCAAGGTATGCCTACCTCTGCTCTTCCTGTCCAAATCCTCTCCATTCTACCAGTGCTCACTCAACTCTCACTTCAAACAAAAAAATTTTCTGACAACAACAACTGGATTTATTGGTTTTCCTCCTCTCTGAACTCTTCTGACAGTTATACTTTAGCATTGCCTGATACACTATTGTTTTATGCATCATGTTTGCCTTGTCTAACTAACTAATCTCATTAAGATCAGAAACTATGACTACTTCTGCATCTTCTAAAATGCAGAATATGCAAGTTACTCAATAAATGCTCAATTGATTAATAGAGACTCTATGTGTCTGTTTATCCTCTCCTCATCTAGAAAATGCATAAGAAATCACCATTACAAAAGTTGGCTTACCATAGCTTGCTCCCTGATATAAATCAGCTCATTCCCACATTTTAAACACTGAGAAGATTCCCAAGGCTCTAGTGGCAACACGAATCCCCTGACAGAAAACCCTGATCTTCACTCCTGTCTACAAGTTCTAAATAGAAATGGCCAACCACATGTATTAATACTGACCATATTTACTGCCAGTCAATTCAGGTGAGAGGATGAATAAAATAAACTAGTTATCTCCTTTCTCCACAACTGCCTCTTGGCAGGAAAAGAGCAACTCGAAACTCCATTAGAGCTTCACACAGAACCCACTACATCATGCTTTGTACTCCTTGACACTGGAAATTGTCTTTTCAGGATCCAGTTCTCAAATAGGCCATCAAAAGCCAAATAACTGGCCAATTGTACATTAAACTCCATCCAGGATCGTCAAGGTCCAAGGAATGTCAATAGGTTGAAATGGAGTGAGATTCATATAAAGTAAGATTACTAAACCATTATTTATTTAAAAGAATAAATAAGGGCTGGATGCGGTGGCTCACGCCTGTAATCCCAGCACTTTGGGAGGCGAGGCAGGCAGATCACTTGAGGTCAGGAGTTCGAGACCAGCCTGGCCAACATGGTGAAACCCTGTCTCTACTAAAAACACAAAAATTAGCCAGGTGCTTGTAATCCCAACTACTCAGGAAGGTGAGGCAGGAGAATCGCTTGAACCCAGGAGGCGGAGGCTGCAGTGAGCCGAGATCATGCCACTGCCCTCCAGCCTGGGTGACAGAGCAAGACTTTGTCTCAAAAAAAAAAAAAAAAAAAGAATAAACAAGGCCAGGCGTGGTGGCTCACACCTGTAATCCCAGCACTTTGGGAGACTGAGGTGGATGGATCACTTGAGGTCAGGAGTTCGAGACCAGCCTGGCCAACATGGCGAAACCCCATCTCTACTAAAAATACAAAAATTAGGCCGGGCATGGTGGCTAACACCTATAATCCCAGCACTTTGGGAGGCCGAGGCAAGCGGATCACTTGAGGTCAGGAGTTCGAGACCAGCCTGGCCAACATGGCGAAACCTGTCTCTACTAAAAATACAAAAATTAGCCAGGCGTGGTGGTACATGCCTGTAATCCCAGCTACTTGGGAGGCTGAGGCAGAAGAATCACTTGAACCCGGGAGGCAGAGGTTGCAGTGAGCCGAGATCATGCCACTGCACTCCAGCCTGGGCTACAAGAGCAAAACTCTATCTCAAAAAAAAAAAAAAAAATTAGCCAGGTGTGGTGGCACCATGCCTTATGCCTGTAGTCCCAGCTACTCCAGAGGCTGAGGCAGGAGAATCGCCTGAACCTGGGAGGCATAGGTTGCAGTGAGCTGAGATCATGCCACTGCACTCCAGCCTGGGTGACAGAGCGAGACTCTGTCTCGAAAAAAAAAAAAATTGTGGAAGGGACCGATTAAAAGTTTAGTGAGTAGAAAAATTTTGCATGCTAAAGTTTTGCTACTAAGTGTTGTCAAGGAGACAGAAGTGTAGCAGAAAGAATATGGAGTCAGACATATTTGTGTTCAAATTCCAGCCCTGTCAGTTATAGTTACGTGTACTTGGGCAAGTTACTTAAACTGCATTCCTCCTCAGTTTCCCATGTGTAAAACGAAGTTCTGTAAGGATTAACACAAATTAAAACCTAGTTCAGTGCCTGGTACACAGTAGGCACTAGATGAACAGTCCCTGTTGCTATTAGAATACCTGGAGTAGGGCCAGGCGTGGTGGCTCACGCCTCTAATCCCAGCCCTTTGGGAGGCCGAGGCAGGAGGATCACTTGCGGTCAGCAGTTCAAGACCAGCCTGGCCAACATGGCGAAACCCCGTCTCTATTAAAAATACAAAAATTAGCCAGGCATGGTGGCATGTGCCTGTAATCCCAGCTACTCGGGAGGATGAGGCAGGAGAATTGCTTGAACCCAGGAGGCGGAGGTTGCAGCGAGCCGAGATTGCACCATTGCACGGCAGCCTGGGCAATAGAACGAGACTCCATCTCTTAAAAAAAAAAAAAAAAAAAAAAGAATACCCTGAGTAAAGAGCGATTTCATTCAGAATCCCTAAGACTCTTGGGTAATGCATTGAATGTCTCCAAAACCCCACAGCAGACAGCCCTTATGCTGTACTAGTCATGCCCAAGCTCCCTCAGGTAACTAAGTTCTCCAGCACTGACAATTTCCTGCTTTTATCATATTCTGAAGGACCTAAATTCCATTCTCCCCCAAAGACATGATTTCACATAGTTCTTATATAGACAAGTGTTTCTCATGTTTTGCTATTCACTTTTCTTTCTTCAGTTTGGACTTTGCCAAACTTGGAATCTGGAAATCATAATTTCTCAATAAGATTTCAAAGCCCAAGTAGGAGACCACAATTTCTCATTCAATTCACTCCTTCAACAATGAAAGCACATACACTCTTTTAGTTCTTCAATGCTGTTTGAGCAGGATGCTGTCCACAGAGAATATTCTGGCCTTTTAGTCTGAGAAGAAAACATAAGGAAAACTAGAAAATGATTCTCAAACTGTTTTGCCTATAACCACTTCAAGTGGGCAAAAGATCCTGCAAACCAAGTACTCTATCTGCACATTCCATCCTTGCATTATGGGCTAAGCACTAGAGAGTAAAGTCCTCTATCATGCATGCTGGAAGAAGCCACTCCTGGGCAATTCTGAAATGTCATGTATTAAAGTAACTACAGACCAGGGTCAGAATCCAAAAGGGTAATCTAGGACAGAAAGGGCAAAAAGCCATTCATATACAAAGTACCTAAACGAGAGTCAATAAATACTGAAATAAACATTCTGGATACTTCAAATCTAAAGGATCCACATAGAATGAAAGCAGTGACTGACAAGGCACCAATCCCAGGGCCAGGCCAGGTTTCAAGGCGAGACAGCACGTAGTATCTGCGAAAACTTAAGCATAAAACATTTCTCTCCTTCAGATGCTGATCCGACACAAGTTAGGAAAGCGCTCGGTCTCAAGGAGACTCCCTTTCTTATTTCTGCTCCCACAAGCCTACTGTCTGCCTTTTCTGGAATCTACCTTCCCTTTAATTCAAGGCTTTGCTTTACTCCATTATCCCAGGGAGACCTCATTAGAAAGCAGCCGGCCTTCCTGCCCTCCCTCTTCAGACTTCTCACAACCTAGTTTAGTTATGGAGCTCAGCGATATATCGCCTTGGCTTTCCATCCCCCAGCCCTCTTCCATCCTCCCTCCCTTCCTTCAGTCGCTACAGCCGTGATTCCTATCTCCTTGAATTCCTCACTCTAATCTTTTTCCATCCACCCCACCCTATCCAGCCATGCTTCACTTCCTCATGGGTAGCTTTCCTGCATCCCCGTCCGATGTCTCCCTCAGGAGTTTTCTGCATCCTCCGGCCACAACTGAATCGGCAGACCTCGTTCCAAGCCTATTATACCCCTAACCCCCAAATGACCCCTAAGGCGTCTTCCCCGCCGTTAGTTGCCCCCGCGGTAGCCTCCCTCCCCCCTCCCGCTCGCGCCGCCCGGTCCTCCCTCAGCTGTCTCCCTCACCCCGTGACTCACCCGCATGCGAACCTCATAGGTGGTGAAGCGCGCGCGTCCCACGCCCACCGTCTGAGGATTAAAGATGTCGATCTCCAGGAAGTTACTTGGCGGCCCGTAAGCGTCGGTCAGGTCCTGCGGCTTCGAGTTAAGGCGCCGGGTATCAGCTACTGCCGTGTCCGACATCTTTCCGAAGGAGAGCCTGGGACCGGGGAAAGGGGGTGGGGGACAGAGGCCTGAGGCAGGAGCGCGCACGGCCCCTCCCGCTTGCAAAATAACTAGCCAACCCACAGGCGGCGGCGGCGCGCACGCGCGCCCACGCACGCACGCGCACGCCGCACGGGCCTGGGCCCCGGGCTCTGAATAGCGGCCGTGCTGACTGCTGCGCGCCCTGTAGAGTGGAGGCCATATTCAGGCTTCCGGGTGATGTTTGTGGCCACCCGGGAACCTGCATCCCCAATACGCAGTACCCAATACCCTGCCTAGCAGCACAGGCTGGCTCCGCCAATCGCGGCTCCTCAACCCAAGAAATTGTCTCGTACCGTGTATCAATCAACAGTGGGCACTGCCCCGTGAGCCAGGCTCCTACAGTGATAGGCCGAAGCCCAGTGACCTGAATAAGTCCTGGTTTTCCGCGAAAATAGAAGGGTGGTCTATGGAGGGTGGGGTTCCAACAATAGTACTGAGAACCTATAACGTAGCCGTCCCACCTGTGCCACTGATGGTTTCAGTTCACGCCACACACAATGGCGCACTCAGCACTACGTATGGCGCCAGGAAAGCAGCAAGCAACTAGGATGGGGTAAAGAAAGACATTTCTCTCTTACTTTTCAGGAAAATTGGGCATATCTTACTCCTTGTTGCCACACTCCAGGTGTACTCAATCTTACATTTATCAGCAAATTGAGGGTACTTATTTCATACCTTCTATTTCTACTCCGCAGAACTCCATACTTGGCACTGCTCTGAGGTTGCTTGCAACCCATAATGGAGATAGAATAAATGTTTACATGAGAATATCTATAGAAATATTAATATTTATATGACTAATTTACATATGCTCCACATTAAAGGGTAGACTGGGTGATGATTTCAGGTCATCCTTTCTCCACCTTTCCCCTGCCCTCCTCTACTCAAAAAATATTTCCCATATCACTGATGCCTGAAATTCTTTCAACAGAGTATGAGGCCCTACAATTTCACAATTGCTGTTTAATTCAATTTAACCAATATCCACTAAGCAAATACGTGCCAAGCACCATGCTAAACACTAAAATCCTGGAGTTAAATAAGAGTCCCTGCCCTCAAGGAGTTAACATTCTAGCAAGGGAGACAAGTAAACAAAACTAATATAATGCGACAAATACAAAATAAGTAAATGTTCAAAGCAGCACATAGGAAATGTATAACTGGAAAAATTAGGGGAGGTTCCCCTGGAGGAGGAAACATCTGAGTTTAACAGACATGAAAAGACATAAAGGACAAATAGGAGTGGAAATAGGGAAAGGTAATTTCTGGAATAAGAAACAGCATATGCAGGCCGGGCGCGGTGGCTCACACCTGTAATCCCAGCACTTTGGGAGGCCGAGGCAGGCAGATCACTTGAGGTCAAGAGTTCGAGATCAGCCTGGCCAACATGGTGAAACCCTGTCTCTATTAAAAATACAAAAATTAGCTGGGCATGGTGGCACACGCCTGTAATCCCAGCTACTCAGGAGGCTGAGGCAGGAGAATCGCTTGAACCCGGGAGGCAGAGGTTGCAGTGAGCTGAGATCATGCCACTGCACTCCATCCTGGGCAACAGAGCAAGACTCCATCAAAAAAAGAAAGAAAGAAAAGGAAAAGAAAAGAGAGAGAGAGAGAGAGCGAAAGAAAGAAAGAATACACAAAGTCCTTGCGATAAGAAACAGTGGAGCATTTTTAGGCATTTATCGCCAATTCAGACTGTGTGATGGAAGTGTTTAGAAAGGTAGACTGGCTAGGGATGGGCAGACAAAGGATGATCCGCTTATATTAAGTAAAGGATCTCTGACTTCATGATAGGTGATACAAAGCTTTCTGGTAGGTGATAGGGAGTCCCTGAAGGATCCTAAGCAGGAAAAATACATGATCAGATTTATGTTTTAGAAGAATTGTTTTGTAGACAACATGGAAGGTATATTTAAGTTGAATTATGAAGGTATTGACAATAAGACTCCGAATCAAGTGGTGATGGTGACAATGGAGAGGAGGGAAGAGATAGGAAAGAGATTGAAGAAATAAAATAGATACGACTTGTACGTGATTAGATATGGTGGTAGTATAGTGTAGGGCTTAAATGTGTGACCCATGAACTTAGGCTGCCTGGGTTTAAATCCTTGCTTTCTAGCTGTATAACCATGAGCAAATTATACAAACAGTTTTCCTCATCTGTAAAAAATGAGTTCAGTTTAGATAAATATGGGGTGTCTGTAGAACATCCAGGTGGAGATGTCCAGCGAGTAGCTGGAAATACTGGCCTGGAGCTCGAGGGCGAGGTCAGGGTTAGAGAGATAGAGATATGAGAGTCATCAGCATACCATGTAGAAAGAAAAACATGAAGAGGCAAGGACAGAAGATTTGAAAGTTGGTGAGGGCATGCAGTTTTGGTAGGAATGTGAATCGGTACAATCTTTCTGGGAAATAGATTGGCAGTATGTATTTTTTTTTTAAACTTTGACTTGAAGAAACTTGTAATACTGGTTGTCTCTGGAGAGCAGAACTGGAGAAAAGAAGTCACAGACGGCAGGGAGGGTTGTTTTTCATTAACTGTGTTTAAGTATAATGCCTTTGTATTTTTTATTTTTAATGTTATTTACCAAAATCTTTAACTCAAAAGTTTTACTTCCAATAATTTATCCTCAGAAAATAATCAGATAATCACATAAAGATACCAGTGTAAGGTTCTTGTTTTTAAGAGCAAATAATTGTTCATTTTCTGCAATATTTGTGTAGTCTTTTTTTCTAATTTGTGAATTTGCTTATATAACAAGTATTATAAAGGGGTAGTGGATTTTATATTTTACAAGGCTTTTTATCTTAGTCACTTCCATCATAAATTTCACTATCTTGTGTAAATGGCCTAATTTACAGTTCCCCTATCTATCCATTTAAAATAATTTCTTATGCTTGTTGATACAGAATGATGTCCATGAAAAAGTGAAAAAAGCTGGCAAAAAATATTGTAGTATGATATCACTTGTATTAATGTATATTTTATATATAATAATTAATATAAATAATTATAATTATAAATAATATAATGTAATATATAAATAATATAAACATATAATTATATATAATTAAATATAAATAATTATATATTTATATAATTATTATAGTTTATATTATATATAATTATTATATTTATATATTAATTTATATATATATTTATATTTATATATATTATATATAAATATATAATATTTATATATTATATATATAAATATATAATATTTATATATATTATATATAAATATATAATATTTATATATTTATATTTATATATCTATATCATTATATATAATTATTTATATATAAATATATTTATATATAAATATATAATATATAGATATATAAATATATATATAAATATATATTTATATATATAAATAATTATTTATATATAATTTTTAAAGTCTGGAAAGACATGCACCAAAATGTAGCAGCGGTTACCTCTGTGTGGTGGGGTTTCAGTTGGATTTTATATTTTTATAATTTTCTAAAGGATCTGATTTTTTAACAATAAACTTACATTTATTTTTTAACCAGAAAATGTAAAACTATTTCCATTTGGGAAAACCATTAAAGGGCAGGCACAGAAAAGAACAGCTTGTGGGCCGGGCACGGTGGCTCACGCCTGTAATCCCAGTACTTTGGGAGGCCAAGGCGGGCTGATTGCCTGAGTGCAGGAGTTTGCGACCAGCCTGGGCAACACGGTGAAAACCTGTCTCTACTAAAATACGAAAAATTAGACGGGCGAGGTGGCATGTGCCTGTAGTCCCAGCTACTTGGGAGGCCGAGGCAGGAGAATTGCTTGAACCCGGGAGGCGGAGGTTGCAGTGATCCGAGATCGAGCCACTGCACTCCAGCCAGGGCAACAGAGCAAGACTCCATCTTGGGGAAAAAAAAAAAAAAAAGCTCGTGAAGGAGATCAGGAAGGAGTGGTCAGAGAGGTAGGAAGAGAGCCAGAAGACAATAATGATCTGAAGACAACGAATAAAAATGTTTCTCAAAGGAGCAAATAGGTGGTTAATAGTGTTTAATATAGTAGAAAGGTCAAATAAGATAAGCCCTGAGAAATGTCCACTAGATTAAATAATTACTTAAATGAGAACAGTTTCAGTAGAGTCCTGGGAGTAGAATCCAGATCATAGTGAATTGAGAATTGAATCAGAGGTAAAGAAGTGGAAACATTTAGTAGAGAATCTTTTGAGAAACTTGCCTAAGAAAGAAATGTTGTAGCTAGAGAGCCATGCATAGTCAAAGAAGGATTTGTTTTTTAGGATAGGAGAGATTTAAATATGTTTAGCAGCTAGAGGGACCAATTCCATAGAAAGTTAAATATATAGGTGAGTGACAAGATAAGGCTTAAAATCAAATGGCCCTAGGAGAATTGTGCAAGTTAAATTCACAATGAGGTGTAAATAAATGATAAATGATCTTTGAGGGAAAATTTTGATAGGGTGAAAAGAAGAGGACAGTAGAGGGTACTGGGCTAATTAAGTCCTTTGCATTAATAAGGCAATAACAGCTAGCTGGCTTCCATACACACACACACACACACACACACACACAGAGCACCCTTTTTATTTTTCATGGCAGGCACAGAAGTTCAGAGTTACTAAGTGATGTTGGGTGAAACACAGTTATCCTCTGTACCTCAGTTATCACACATACACACACACACACACACACACACACACACACACACACAAAGAGTAGCTGAGTCAAATCTCTTGACAAACAGGTGACATCAGAACTTGATGTGCACTTTCCTCTCTATTGCGTTTCCTTGACCACAGTGATTCTTGGCCAAAAGGAGTCAAGAATGGGGGCGGTGAGAAATGGAGATTTAGGACCTTTAAATTGTATGGAATCTCATTAGTTCATCATCCTGCCCACAGGCAATACTGTACCTTAATCAAACAGACACCTATTCATCTTCCTGCCCGTACATTTTTCTCAAAGGACATTTCACAATCTCCGACTCGATGTTATGCAACCATACTGAAAAGAACTTCTTTCGATTCTCTCTTCAGGCTGTCCCAAGGAAATGGCAATCAAAAGCCCCTGTAATTTGGGGTGTTTGTGTTCCTGGGAGCAGGAAGCTGGAACTGCAAGGAGGGAGTAAGAGGGGAGGGTCTGGTTGTAAAAACAGGTAGTAGACTGGTGAAAACAAGAGTAGAGCTCATATCCATACAATCTGTATTCCAGGGGATCTGGATTCAGAGCTTAACTGCCTTTCTATGGAGCACCCCATTCCTTTCCACACACACCCATCCAGCTGCCTATTACCATTAGTGATTTGTTCCCTTCTTGACGTTCATTTCACCTGAGGCCTCCCTGGGGATAGTCTACTTTAAACTAAATCCCTTCTGAAAGTTGTCAGTTGTCTCCCTATGTTGATGAAGTGCCCTTTTAACACTCAACCTGCCTACTTAAGTTGGTGATTGTATTTATTTCACAAAAGTATCTCTAAGTCGCCTAGGGGTGAGGGCAATCTGGGAAAAAGTGGCAGCAGCATAAGTGTGTGAGTGTCTATGCATGTTAATGGGGTTGCTAAAGACCTAACCCATCAGCTGACAAGAGTCTGACCTCCAGCTTCCATAGAGGTGTTCATTAATTACATACTTAGTTATCTAGAAACAAGAAGACCTGGAAAGACAATAATGTTGAATTAGCCAGCCTTCTTCCCTTAATAAAAGCTAACATTTATTGAACACTTACTATGTGCCAGGTACTATTTTAAGTGCTTTATATATTTTAACTCAGTTAATCCTCAAAACAATCCTATGACATAGGTGCTATTTTTATATCTGTAGTGTACTGATGAGGCATAGATGGATTAAGCAACTTGCCCAAAATAGTGATAAAATCAGGATTTGAACCCAGTCTGGTTTTTGAGCTCAGGCTTTTAACATGCCTCTCAGAGGAGAATATTTTAGCCCTGTATGTCACCATAAAGAGGAGGGGGGGGAAATATTTTAAAAAGGAAGAAAAAGAACAAAAAAAATGTGATTATGGTGGGAGGGAAATAGAATGACTCTAACAAATGCTGATATAAGCTGCAAATTCCTGCCTAGATGTTGTTCTTCATCTGTTTGGTCTTTAGTCTGACGCTTCATGTGTTGAATTGTATCTTAACTATGAGAACTTCAAGCCTGTTTAATTTCTGCCCATCCTTCAAAGCCCAGTGCAGGTCCCACCTCCTCCATAAAGCCTCCATATCCACCCAGTCTACAGTAACCTGTACTTTAAAAATTGTGTTTACACTTATTGTCTGTAGTGTTCATTTGGCTCTGGCTCACATTCTTAGTTAGCCTCCTGTGCATATATGTCTCATCTTACCAACCACATTGTAAACTCCCTAAGGGAGGGTCTAAGACATATTTTTCTTGCATCTTGCATCCCTATAATTTCTAGCATGGTGTTTTGTAAATAACAGGCACTCAGTAAATATTCATTGGTTGAGTGGTTAAAAAAGATAAGAGACCGCATCTTGGTTAACCTCCACATCATTTAGTGAAGAACTGTGCACTCAATGTGTACTCAATAAACATTAATAATATTACAATCTCATTCAAAAAGCCTTTATGGAGTTTCTACAGTGTGCAGAGAATGGTGCTGTGGGAGTATGAATGAAATAAAAGACACAGCTTCTACCTTTGAAGAGCTTGGCTTGGTTCTCTTCTTCTTAAAGTCTTCTCTTACTACTTCAGTGCATGTTATCACCTTTCTCTGAATTTCTGCTGCATTCAAAGTCAAGACCAGTTATCACTCAATTGGTTTGTCTCCCTCGGTTCAATTGTGAGCCCCTTGAAGGAAATGGACAGCACTGTGCTGGGAACATAATAGAATCACAGAATTGAAAGGGACTTTACAGCTTTCCCTGTCATCAAACTTCCTACCCAATGCAAGAATCCCTTTTACAACACCCCTAATGGAGCTCTTATTTAACTCTATGCTTCCAGTATCAGGAATTAACTGAAATAGGAAACACAGCAGGAAAAGCGTGTTCAGAGGCAAGATAATGAGTTAGATTTTGACTACTTGCAATTTAGTGTCATTGTTAGACAATCAGGCAGAGAAAAACAGCTGAAATTCAAGTCTCAACCTCAGGAGAGAGGTCAAGGCTGAAGAGAGAGATTTGAGAGTCTTGGACACAGAAGTGGTAGTTGAAACTCTAAGATCAAGTAAGACTGCGAAGGACAAGAGAAGAAAAGAGCCAAGAACAAAGTCTCTGAGAATTCCCCTACTTGGAAAGTGACAGGAAAAATCAACAAGGTGGGAGAAGACCTGGAAGGCAAAGGAAAAATTTTAAGGAGAGGCTGGTCACCAGAGTTAATGGAGGATGATGCAATGAAGTTAAAGAGGATGAGACTGAGAAAAAGTTATTTTATCTGGTGATTAAGAAGCCAGACTTGCCAGGCGCGGTGGCTCACACCTGTAATCCCAGCACTTTGGGAGGCCGAGGCGGGTGGATCACCTGAGGTCAGGAGTTCAAGACCAGCCTGACCAACATGGAGAAACCCTGTCTTTACTAAAAATAATAATAAAAAAAAATAGCGAGGTGTGGTGGCGGGCGCCTATAATCCCAGCTACTCAGGCGGCTGAGGCAGGAGAATCGCTTGAATCCGGGGAGCAGAGGTTGCAATGAGCCGAGATCACACCACTTCACTCCAGCCTGGGCAAAAGAGCGAAACTCCGTCTCAAAAAAAGAGGAAAAGAAAAGAAACCGGACTTTTGATGACCTATGACCTAGAAGAGAGCAGTTTCAGTGAAGTAGAGTCTATTTTTGCTTGCTCGTTACCCCTAACACCTAGCAGAGCACCTGGATTGATACATACTTGTTGAGTAAATGAATGAATGGATTGGTGAACTGTAGGTCCTGCCACAAATATAAATAAGGTGGTGGAAAAAGGGGAAAAAGTGGACAAGTTGGCCTTTTTCTCTGAAGCAAGAGGAGAATATGGGTGATGATATACAGAAATATTAAGGTGAAAAAGAAAGAAGTTGAAGTCTATGATTTTACCCCTAAAATATGAAGTAAGTTCATCTGAGAATCTCTTACAGTTTCCATTCTCAGTATGATGGAGTAAATTCTCAATAGATAACATCTGTAAACTCTGGACAAAATACACACACACACACAGATACACACACGCAAGCGCACGCACACACACACATACACACAACTTGAAGGCTCCAGAGAGTGAACAAAAGCAGGCAGATTTCAGAAGGCAATTGGAACTTGGAATAAGAGATCAGCATGGGGTGAGTTTCCCATGTTTTATGGCCTCAGCCTGAGGTCAGGCTGCAATCACTGGCCACATCACTGAAAGTCCATCAGGAAATTCTTATCTTTCTAGCCTGAAGAACCAGAGGACAAAGCCTGGGACAACCACAGTCTCTGGAAAGTGAGGAGATAGCTAAGAAAGGAGAGATTCTGAGAAAAGGAGCCCTAAATTACCTGTATAAATTCTTCCCCAAGGCATATTCTGAACTATGCATGCATAGGGCAGTTTCCATCTAAAACTAAAAGAATGGAACTAAGATTTGAGCTGCCACTAACCACAGGCAAGGCAAAGTACAGTTTGAATCTAAACAAGTTAATTGCCTGCTAAAAGAAACACATCTACCCTCTCGGAGAATATAACAGAATCCAGAATCTCCACAACATAACATACACAATGTCCAGGAACCCCACTAAAATTACTCAATACGGTTATCCATATCCATGGGTTCTGCATCTGTGGATTCAACCAACTGCAGATCAAAAATATTCAAAAAACAGGCCAGGCGCAGGGGCTCACGCCTGTAACCCCAGCACTCTGGGAGGCCGAGGTGGGCAGATCACTTGAGGTCAGAAGTTTGAGACCAGCCTGGGCAATATGAAGAAACCCCATCTCCACCAAAAAATACAAAAATTAGCCAGGCATGGTGGCACATGCCTGTAGTCCCCAGCTACTTGGAAGGCTGAGGCAGGAGAATTGCTTGAACCCAGGAGGCAGAGGTTGCAGTGAGCTGAGATCATGCCACTGCACTCCAGCCTGGGTGACAGAGTGAGACTCTGTCTCAAAAAAAAAAATTCAAAAAACAACAACAAAAATTGCAATACACCAACAAAAACATACTAAAAATAAAAAATAAAGTATAAAAACTATATAGCATTTACATTGTGTTGGGTATTAATAAGTAATCTAAAGATGATTTAAAATATATGAGAGGAGTCTGGGGTGGCTCATGCCTGTAATACCAGCACTTTGGGAGGCCGAGGCAGGCGGATCACCTGAGGTCAGGAGTGTGAGACCAGCCTGACCAACATGGAGAAACCCCATCTCTATCTATCTATCTATCTATCTATCTATCTATCTATCTATCTATCTATCTCTCTATCTATCTACATATATATAATTAGCCGGGTGTGGTGGCACATGCCTGTAATCCCAGCTACTTGGGAGGCTGAGGCAGGAGAATCACTTGAACCTGGGAGGCAGAGGTTGCAGTGAGCCGAGATCATGCCACTGCACTCCAGCCTGGGCGATAGAGTGAGACTCCATCTCAATCAATCAATAAATAAAATAAAATATATGAGAGGATATGTATAGATTATATGCAAAAACTACACCATTTTATATAATGGACTTGAGCATCCTCAGATTTTGGTATCCATAAGAGAGTTCCTGGAATCAATCCCCCATGGATACCAAGGGACAACTGTATGCGAAGAATTAGGAAAATGTGACCCATTCTAAAGGAAAAAGACAATTAATGGAGGCTAACTCAAAGATGAGATTGCTTAATGAGGAGAGAAAAATACCCTGGTAACAAATGAAAAAATTGAAAACCTCAGCAGAGAAAAAGAAAGTATAGGAAAGAACTAAATGAGAATTCCAGAACTAAAAAATACAGTATCTGAAATGAAAATTTAAGTGTATGGAATTAATTGCAGAATGAAATATAACAGAGGAGTCAGTGAACTTGAAGATATCATAATCAAAAGTATTCAATCTCAAGAAGAGAGAGGATTTTTTAAAAATGAACAGAGTCTCAGACAATATCCGAGGTCTAAAATATGTGTGAAGGAGGCTGGCCGTGGTGGCTCATGCCTGTAATCCCAGCACTTTGGGAGGCTGAGGTGGGCGTATCACCTGAGGTCAGGAGTTCGAGACCAGCCTGACCAACAAGGAGAAACCCCGTCTCTACAAAAAATACAAAATTAGCCGGGCATGGTGGTGCATGTCTGTAATCCCAGTTACTCAGGAGGCTGAGGCAGGAGAATCACTTGAACCCAGGAGGCGGAGGTTGCGGTGAGCCAAGATTGCACTCCAGCCTGCTGGGCAACAAGAGCAAAACTCCATCTCAAAAAAAAAAAAAAAAAAAAAAAAAAAAAAAAAAAAAAAAAACTGCTGAGAGCCAAAAAATAAACAAAATCTTGAAAGCAGCCAGAGAAGAACAACACTGCATACAATGATTCAAATTACCATGGACTTCTCCTCAGGAACTATGGAGACTAGACGGCAGTGGGAAAACATCTTTAAATTGGCGGGAAGAAAATGACTGTCAGTCTAGTATACTATATTCTGTAAAAATATCCTTTAAGAATGAAGGCAAAATAATGGCATCTTCAGATAAAAGAGAGTCTCTCACATACTTATAAGACCTTATACTTGCTATTCCCTCTGTCTAGAACACATAGTCTCCTCCCCAGTCCCCTCTGTATCTTTAGCTTGCTAACTCCTACTCATCCTTCACATCTAAGCTTACATGCCACTTTCTCAAGGAAGCCTTCCTGATCCCCCAAGTTCAAATTAGATCTCTTCTTTTATACGTGTATAGCCCCCCATATTTCCCCATCTTAGCACTTATCGTGCTATATGTAATTGCTTGTTTGATTGCTTGTGAACTCCACTAAACTATGTGCTCCATGAGGGGAAGCACTTGGGTTTTTTCTTGCTGGTTTTGTTTTTGTTTTTGTTTTTGTTTTAGATGGAGTCTCGCTCTGTAGCCCAGGCTGGAGTGCAGTGGCACGATCTTGGCTCACTGCAACCTTTGCCTCCTGAGTTCAAGCAATCCTCCCACCTCAGCCTCTAGAGTAGCTGGGACTATAGGCGCACACCACCATGCCCGGCTAACTTTTGTATTTTTGGTAGACATGGTGTTTCTCCATGTTGTCCAGGCTTGTCTTGAACTCCTGGACTCAAGCAATCCACCTGCCTCGACCTCCCAAAGTGCTGGGATTACAGGCATAAGCCACTGCGCCCGGCCTGGTTTTTCTTATTTGTGTATTTACAGTCTCTGGCACACAATAGATGCTCAATCAATATTTATTGAATAAAGGAAAGAATGTCTGATTCCAAAGTATTTTTTTTCTTTCTACTACACCAGGATTCCACAATAGAGAGGGAGGTCCTGACACTACTATAAAATTCACTACTCTTGGCCAGGTGTGGTGGTTTAGCCTGTAATCCCAGCACTTTGGGAGGCTGAGGTGGGAGGATCGCTTGAGCTCAGGAGTTCAAGACTAGCCTGGTCAATATAGTGAGACCCCACTCTCATTTTTAAAAATTTAAAACGGGCCGGGCGCAGTGGCTCATGCCTGTAATCTCAGCACTTTGAGAGGCCGAGGTGGGCAGATCATTTGAGGTCAGGAGTTCGAGACCAGCCTGACCAACATGGTGAAACCCTGTCTCTACTAAAAATACAAAAAAAAAAATTAGCCGTGTGTGGTAGCGCATGCCTATAGTCCCAGCTACTCGGGAGATTGAGGCAGAAGAATCACTTGAACCCGGGAGGTGGAGGTTGCAGTGAGCTGAAACCACACCTCTGCACTCCAGCCTGGGCAACAGGGTGAGACTCCGTCTCAAAAAAAAAAAAATTAAAAACAAAAAATAAATAAAATTCACTACTCTTAAACTTTATGGAGAAATCTACCATTCACTGAAAACCTGCTGCTTTCATTGAACTATCATTTTCCAGTGATTACATAGGCAATTGCTGTTTTGGGACAATCTATATGTGCTTAACATAGATCCCTGGTAATGCTTGTACAAATCCTCATTTTAATACCACTTCAAGATAAATGGGCTGGGTGTGGTGGCTCACCACCTGTAAACCCAGCACTCTGGGAGGCCAAGGTAGGAGGATCTCTTGAGGCCAGAAGTTCGAGACCAGCCTGAGCAACAGAGCGAGACCCCATCTCTATTTTTTCAAAAAAGAAGAAAGATAAATGGCTAAAAATTCAGAAATGATTAACCGATGGTACATCCAACTATAGAATATTATACATGCATGAAAGTTATATTTATGAACCTGTGTAATCATTTGAATACATGCTTATATGTTGAGGAAAAAACAAGAATACAAAATTGTATATACAATGTGATTACAATTTTTAAAAATCCATGTAGGAAAAAATAATACTGGAAAGAAATATACCAAAATATTACCTGTGGTTTTCATTGGGTGATAAGACTACAAGTACTTTGTAAATTTTTTTCTGTATTTTACCATTTTTCTTTAATAAACATGTATTGCTCCTATAGTGGGAGAGGGTTTTTTTTGTTTTTTGTTTTTTGTTTTTTTGAGACGGAGTCTCACTCTGTCACCCAGGCTGGAGTGCAGTGGCGCGATCTCAGCTCACTGCAAGCTCCGCCTCCCAGGTTCACGCCATTCTCCTGCCTTAGCCTCCCGAGTAGCTGGGACTACAGGCACCTGCCACCACGCCCGGCTAACTTTTTTGTATTTTCAGTAGAGATGGGGTTTCACCATGTTTGCCAGGATGGTCTCAATCTCCTGACCTTGTGATCCACCCGCCTCGGCCTCCCAAAGTGCTGGGATTACAGGCGTAAGCCACCGTGCCGGACCGAGGGTCTTTCTTTTTTAAAAGTTGAAGATAGAAAGTCTCAGGGTAGGAAGAAGTCTCTGAGTACACCAAAGCACAAGCACAAGTAAAGCAGGATGGTGTTTAAGCCTCCTTTCTCTTAACTTGTATCTTAATGGCCTGAT
Organism: Homo sapiens; assembly: GCF_000001405.40. NCBI lineage: Eukaryota > Metazoa > Chordata > Mammalia > Primates > Hominidae > Homo > Homo sapiens. The sequence continues at coordinate 71,081,369 of NC_000023.11, forward strand.
ACCATTTATAGATTAACTGAGTGCATGACCTTGTTGAAGGATGCTAAAAGACTGACCCCAGAAAAAGAAGAAAGGGGATCAGCAGTGGAAACTGCCAGAGGCAGAAGGAGAAAGAGACTAAGCAAAGAGATCAGAGAAAGTAAACATAAAAGAAGAGGAAATGGGAGGGGGAGGGAAAGACCAGAGGATAGGTATACTTATATACATCAGGGCCCATATGAAAAAGAGGAGCTAGTAATGGATTTTTATAACAGGCATAGCTAGCATGTTTTTCATGTTATTTTACTATTGTCTGTATTAAGAGTGTATGTATTTGTGCCTTTGAGCCTCTCGCTATTCCTCCTTTCAGCCCACATGTGCTGTCATATCTGCCTGATACTGCCAGGGAAGATCAACTGGACTCTAGACCTGGACATTCTGGAGCCTGCTCTAGGAGCAAATTGCATAACCACATGCCTATCTATGTGAGCTATAGATTTAGCGGGCTATATGGGGCAGTCAGGAACCTTCTGGGTGATAAAGGAGATCTCCATGGGGATTCAGAGAGCCCCACAGGCATTTATGGAAAACAAGAAAGTAGATCAGTTCTGAGTCTAAACCCCATTTATGACACATAACCCGACTAACTGAACAATGCTGGCTCTTAGCCAAGACCATTTTTGTAAGATGTTTATACTCTTCTGTTGATTTTGTGTAATACTTCTGTCATCCTTGAAGCTTTTAGTGGGCTAGTGGGATGATTGATGGGGGATTTTAGTTTATTAAATGTCAAGTGAGGGTGTTGGAATTAGAAATTAATTTCTACATGATTTGGTTTGAGTATAGTTATTTCCCAGAAAGACAGACATTTTAGCAACCTTGTCCTTTCTATATGATAATGAATCTCTTAACCCATCTTGAGGCCAGGAACAAGGAGACTTAACCTTAAAAGAAAGGCATGTAATAGGGCCAAGACAAGATCTCAGCATCATCACTTGACCTTTAGAGAGTGGACACGATTGTCTTGGAGCTTCTGATTATGTAACTTGTAATGTAAAAAAAATTGTGGCTTTAATGACCATTTGCTAGATTATTGCATCATCCAATTTGATAGCCACTAGCCACAAGTGACCAAATTTAAGTTAAAAATTAAATCTCAGTTGCACTGTCCATATTTCAATAGCCACATATGAAAAAAAAGTGGCTATTTTCTTTTTTGTTTTTTGTTTGTTTGTTTGTTTGTTTGAGACAGAGTCTTACTCTGTCGCCCAGGCTGGAGTGCAGCGGCACGATCTCGGCTCACTGCAACCTCCGCTTCCCAGGTTCAAGCGATTCTCCTGCCTCAGCCTCCCAAGGAGCTGAGACTACAGGCATGTGCCACCGTGCCCAGTTAATTTTTTGTATTTTTAGTAGAGACAGGGTTTCACCGCGTTAGCCAGAATAGTCTTGATCTCCTGACCTCGTGATCCACCCACCTTGGCCTCCCAAAGTGCTAGGATTACAGGTGTGGGCCACCACGCCCGGCCCAAAAAGTGGCTACTTTCTAGACAGTGTAGATATAGAACATTTCCACCATTGCAGAAAGTTCAACTTAACAGCACTGTGAATCTAGACTCACAGGATGGTGATCTAGGGACCAGTCATCTCTGCACTGTATGCAGAGATGCAAAGTGACTTATTTTGTCTTACTTCAGGTTGTCTCTTTGCACCAGTGTGCTCTGAGTGACACCAGGGAAATTGATGCAGTTTAGCAGACTTATTAGCATTCTTGCTCTTGCCACAATGTTTTTTTAAAGATAAGAATTCTTTTTTTTTTTTGCTGGCGGTGGGGGGACGTGGAGTCTCCCTTTGTCACCCAGGCTGGAGTGCAGTGGCGTGCAATCTCGGCTCACTGCAACCTCCGAGTTCAAGTGATTCTAGCACCTCAGCATCCCAAGTAGCTGGGACTACAAGTGCGCACCACCATGCCCGGCTAATTTTTTATATTTTTATTTATGTTTTTTTTTTTTTAAGATGGAGTCTTGCTCTGTCACTTAAGCTGAAGTGCAGTGGCACAATCACGGCTCACTGCAACCTCTGTCTCCCAGGTTCAAGTGATTCCCCTGCCTCAGTCTCCCAAGTAGCTGGGACTACAGGGGTGCACCACCATGCCCAGCTAATTTTTATATTTTTAGTAGAGATGGGGTTTCACCATGTTGGACAGACTGGTCTCGAACTCCTGACCTCAGGCAATCTGCCCACCTCAGCCTCCCAGAGTTCTGGGATTACAGGCGTGAGCCAGCGAGCCCAGCCAATTTTCGTATTTTTAGTAGAGATGGGGTTTCACCATGTTGCCCAGGTTGATCTTGAACTCCTTAGCTCAAGTAATCCGCCCGCCTCAGCCTCCCAAAGTGCTGAGACTACAGGTGTGAGCCACTGCACCCAGCCAAAGATGGGAATTCTTTAGGGAATGGCTAAATGAAATGTGTCCTATTCACTAAATTGAATACGATACAGCAGTTAAAGGGAATGAACTAGATGTTTCAATAAGGATAGACCTCAAAAACATTTTTGTGTGAAAAAAGCAAGTTGCCGCCAGACACGGTGACTCACACCTGTAATCCCAGCACTTTGGGAGGCTGAGGAGGGCGGATCACGAGGTCAGGAGATCGAGACCATCCTGGCTAACACAGTGAAACCCGGTCTCTACTAAAAATAAAAAATAAAAAATAAAAAATTAGCTGGGCGTGGTGGCACATGCCTGTAGTTCCAGCTACTTGGGAGGCTGAGGCAGGAGAATGGCGTGAACCCGGGAGGCGGAGTTTGCAGTGAGCCTAGATCGTGCCACTGCACTCCAGCCTGCGGCGACAGAGCGAGACTCCGTCTCAAAAAGAAAAAGAAAAAGAAAAAAGCAAGTTGCCAAATGTAATCATCTATACAAAGAAAAAAACCCCACAAAACAAAACTATGTATTTCCCATGCAAGAGTTTTTTTGTTTGTTTGTTTTTTAAGAGACAGGATCTTGGCCCAGCGTGGTGGCTCACACCTGCAATCCCAGCAGTTTGGGAGGCCGAGGCAGGTGGATCACTTGAGGCCAGGAGTTCGAGACCAGCCTGGCTAACATGGTGAAACCCCATCTCTACTTAAAAAATACAAAAATTAGCCAAGTGTGGTGGCACGCACCTGTAATCCCAGCTACTTGGGAGGCTGAGGCACGAGAATTGCTTGAACCTGGGAGGCGGAGGATCCCTTGAGCTCAGGTGCTCAAGGTTGCAGTGAGCTATGATGGTACCACTGTACTCCAGCCTGGGTGACAGAGTGAGAATCTGTCTCAAAAAAAAAAAAGAGAGAGAGAGAAAGAGAGAGTCTCACTCTGTCACCCAGGCTGGAGTGCAGTGGTACAGCGATACCATCATAGCTCACTGAAGCCTTGGGCACCTGAACTCAAGGGATCCTCCTGCCTCAGCCTCCCAAGTGGCTGGCACAGGTGTATGACCCTGCACCCGGCTAATTTTTAATTTTTTTTGTAGAGACAGGGTCTTGAGATGTTGCACAGGCTGTTCTCATTCTCAAACTCCTATCCTCAAGGGATCCTCCTGCCTCAGCTGCCTAAAGTGCTGGGATTACAGGTGTGAGCCACCATGCCGGCCATTTTTTTTTAAAGGATGGGAAGAATGCATATCAAACTCATGGCAGTGGTTACTTCAAGGACGGGGGAAAGGTGTGTAGGATAAGGGTCCAAAGGTACTTTTAGCTTTTTCTTTAATGTTCTAAATTTTTAAAGGAAAATATGTATTACATGTGTAATTATAATTATTAAAACAGGACATAAATGTATATATATATAAAATATGAATATAAATATGTAAAATATGGTGGTGAAAAAATAAGGGAAGTACACAAAACCCTTTAATAGTTGTGTTAGGATGATAGGATTGAGGCTAATTATTTTCTTTTTCTCTATTTTAAAAAAGTTTTTTTTGTCGTATGGCTGTAATGTTTATACACTAAAAATCTTAAAATAGGTCCAGGCACAGTGGCTCATGACTATAATCCCAACACTTTGGGAGGCTGAGGTGGGAGGATCACTTGAGCCTGGGAGTTTAAGACCAGCCTGGGCAACATAGTGAGACTCCCTCTCTAAAAGAAATAAATTCTTAAAATAAAGTGAAGCTGGCTTTGTGTTGCTGACAAAGTTTTATTATTGCATATTAGGTATAGTTCTTAAGAGGCAATAGGCTCTGCTACATAATTAGTGCCAGAAATAACAGCTTGGTATCATTCATGTAAAAAATTTTAATTGTTCTTAGTGACAGTCTCCAAAATTCAATTGGTCAATATAATACCCCATTCTGCAGCTAATTCATACTGTAAGGCACACTGGGACCCTATAATACCAAAAACCCAAGGTTCCATTGGAGTATTTTGAGACTCTCTTCTTATGCCCATGCCACCTGACTGGTAATGGGCTTTGAAAATTGTTCATATCGAAAATCCCTCCTCTGTGGTACAGAACTCAGATCCAAAAGCTGCTTCCTAAGAAAAATCTGACTTCACCTGCACCCTGCCTCCATGAGGATATGAGGTAAAGCTCTATGCAGACAACAACTCCGGCCAGGCTTCTCAACTTTCGAGCCAGAATGGTAACCCTGTCACCCATCCACCTGTTTATCTGGCTTCCAGAACATATGGATCCTGCCTCAGTCAACAACAGAGCATACCAATACTTCTGATCTTCATCAGAGAATAAATGTACTCTGCCTCTGAGTTCGTGTCAAAAGCCTGGCTATGAGAAGAGATATTTATGGATTATATTGTAAGGGAGATTCTATCCATCCACTCACTCCTTTACATGGCATTTTAAGTTGTGTCCTCAGATCAAGCTGGAGCCCCAGAAGGTTACAGGCCTGACCCATCTGAGCTCAGCCCTGCAGAAGGGCCTCAATGTTACGTCCTTGGCTTTTAGCCAGGGTAGTTACAAGAAAGTAATGTGAAAATCTCTTCTGTGTGTATTATAAAACCGTTACTGAGGACATTGTCCCTTATGTTAATCCCACATAAGAAATTTCTTATGGAATTTAGTGCCAGCAATAGACCATTATGTAGCTGTTAAAAATTACAATTATGGAAAACTAAATGTGAAAACCGGTTTATGATGTGTTCATTGAAAAAAGCAGAACACAAAATGGTATACAGACTCTAATTGCAACCATGTAAAATTATATGTGTCTGTGGATAAGGACTAAAAGCTGATAGGCAATGATGAAAGTTGTATGAGGGCAATGGGATTATAAGTGTTTTGTTTTTTCAAAAAATTTTGTTTGCTATAATCTTGTCTTTTCAATTTGGGGGAGGAAGAATTTAGTAACAGGAAAATCTCTGTCTCTCTTGAGGAATTGCTATGCTTCTTTCTTTCTGATAACAAAAATTGTGTAATTGATTGTGTTTCCCCCTTTCTCCACCCACTGACTACCCAAAAAGGTGAATTTGGTATTCAGTCATCACACCTGAGCTTCCTCTTCCTTTAGAGAAAGGAAGAGGAAGACCAGGCGCGGTGGCTCAAGCCTATAATCCCAGCACTTTGGGAGGCCAAGGTGGGCAGATCACGAGGTCAGGAGTTCGAGACTTAGCCTGGCCAACATGGTAAAACCCCATCTCTACTAAAAATACAAAAAAATTAGCCAGGCATGTTGGTGCACACCTGTAATCCCAGCTACTTAGGAGGCTGAGGCAGGAGAATCGCTTGAACCTGGGAGGCAGAGGTTGCAGTGAGCCGAACTCACGCCACTGCACTCCAGAGCTTGGGCAACACAGCGAGACTCCGTCTAAAAAAAAAAAAAAAAAGAGAAAGGAAGAAATAATTTTCTATTTCTATAATCTTACGACGTTTGTATTCTTCTGGTAAGGTGCTTCAAATCCTTCGTAGAAAGAGGCAAAATATGCCTGGCGCAGTGGCTCACGCCTGTAATCCCAGCACTTTGGGAGGCCGAGGCGGGTGGATCACGAGGTCAGGAGATCTAGACCATCCTGGCTAACACGGTGAAACCCCATCTCTACTAAAAATACAAAAAAAAAAGCCGGGCATGGTGACTGGCACCTGTAGTCCCAGCTACTCAGGAGGCTGAGGCAGGAGAATGGCATGAACCTGGGAGGCGGAGCTTGCAGTGAGCCGAGATCATGCCACTGCACTCCAGCCTGGGCAACAGAGCGAGACTCTGTCTCAACAAAAAAAAAGAGGCAAAATATAAAGCATTTCTCTCAGTTTAAAAGGTACACATGGTCATAGTAAATTGGAAAAATATAAGAAAGGAAAACAGATAACCACTGTTAACACTTTTTGGCATTTCTACCTATCTTTTCTCAATGTACCTTACTAAACAAAATTATGAACATATAGTATATAAAGTATCATATCCTGGTCTTTCCAGGTAACTTAAAATATAAGCATGTTGACCAGGCGTGGTGGCTCATGCCTGTAATCCCAGCACTTTGGGAGGCTGAGGCAGGTGGATCGCTTCAGGTTGGGAGTTTGAGACCAGCCTGGCCAACATGGCGAAAACCCATCTCTACCAAAAATACAAAAATTAGCCAGGTGTGGTGGTGCAAGCCTGTAATCCCAGCTATTCAGGAGGCTGAGGTACGAGAATCATTTGAACCTGTGAGGCACAGGTTGCAGTGAGCCAAGATCGTGCCACTACACTCCAGCCTGGTAACAGAATGAGACCTGTCTCAAAAAAAAAATATATATATATATAGAGAGAGAGACATAGACATATATATATATGGACATATATATATATATATATGGATATATATATATATATATGCATGTTTTTGTGTATTGAAAACTCTCTGGCAAATATCTCTGGAAAAAAAAATCTTTGGTAAATAACTCTGGTAAATATCATGCCAGTAGGACTGTTTTATTTTTTTTCAGGCTGAAGTGCAGTGATGTGATCTTGGCTCACTGCAACCTCCACCTCCCAGGTTCAAGCAATTCTCGTGTCTCAGCCACCCGCATAGCTGGGACTACAGGCATGCACGATCACGCCTGGCTAATGTTTTCTGTTTTTAGTAGAGACGGGGTTTCACCATGTTGGCCAGGCTGGTCTTGAACTCCTGGCCTCAAGTGATCCACCCACCTCGGCCTCCCGAAGTGTTAGGATTACAGGCATGAGGCATGAGCCACTGTACCCGGCTTTTTTTTTTTTTTTTTTTTTGAGACAAGGTTTTACTCTGTTGCCCAGGCTGGAGTGCAGTGGCACAAACATGGCTCACTGCAGCCTCAACCTCCTGGGCTCAAGCCATTCTGCCACCTCAGCCTCCGAAGTAGCTGGGACCACAGGTGCTCACCATCATGCCCAGCTAATTAAAAAGATTTTTTTTTTAGTAGAAATGGAGGTCTCACCATGTTGCCCAGGCTGAGGACTTTCAAAGGTTGGAACCATAGAGCTCTACAGGAAGAGTTAAAGAGGAAGCTCTAAGGTTCCTCGAAACCTGAGAGATTGACTGGACACGGTGGCTGAAGCCTATAAGCCCAGCACTTTGGGAGGCCAAGGCGGGCAGATCACGAGGTCAGGAGTTCAAGACCAGCCTGGTCAACATGATGAAACCCCGTCTCTACTAAAAATACAAAAATTAGTCGGGCGTGTTGGCACGTGCCTGTAATCCCAGCTACTCAGGAGGCTGAGGCAGGAGAATTGCTTGAACCCGGGAGGCGGAGGTTGCAGTGAGCTGAGATCCCACCACTGAATTTCAGCCTGGGCAACAGAGCGAGACTCCGTCTCAAAAACAAAAACAAACAAACAAATAAAAAACCTGAGGAATGAAGCATTGTGGATGTTATTTATGCAGGAGGCTAGGACCAAATTCATGTGGGTGTGAAGTGTAAGCTCAGGGCGACCTAAAATATAAAGGGCAACCTGGGGTCTCGAACCCAGATTGGAGATCACAGAAAATAGGATTTTAGAGCTAGAAGAGACTTTAGAGATCTTCTCATATATCACTCTCATTTTACAAATGAGTAAACCAAAGCCAGAAGAGTGAAACTGACTTGTTTAGGCTCTGGAGTCAGACTGCCTGCATTTGTGCCTCTACTCTACCACTTAGTAATTCTGGACCTTAAGCATGTCTCCTTATCCTAAGTCTCATTTTCCTCTGTGAAATGAAAACAGTACTACCATTGAGTTTATACATTTGTTGTGAGACTAAATGAGATAATCCACATAAAGCACTTAGCATGGTACCTAACACATAATAAAAACCCAATAAATGTTACTTATCAATATTAGTGTAATTAGTATCAATTTTTCAACTAGTTAGTGACAAAACTATGACAAGGACTCAGATCTCCTGACTCAATCTAGTGTTCTTTTCACTGCACCAGAGTTATGTCTATGGTCCAAAAAAGTGGTGCCAACTCAAGTCTATGTGGGGCTGGGCACGGTGGTGGCTCATGCCCATAATCCCAGCACTTTGGGAGGGGCCAAGGCTAGTGGATCACTTGAGGTCAGGGGTTCGAGACCAGCCTGGCCAACATGGTGAAACCCCATCTCTACTAAAAATACACAGAGTTTGCAGTGAGCCGAGATCGCGCCACTGCACTCCAGCTTGGTGACAGAGAGAGACTCCGCCTCAAAAAAAAAAAAATACAAAAATTAGCTGGGCGTGGCAGCGGGTGCCTGTAATCCCAGCTACTCAGAAGGCTGAGGCAGCAGAATTGCTTGAACCTGGGAGGTGGAGGTTGCAGCGAGCCAAGATCACACCATTGTACTCCAGCCTGAGCGACAGAGGAAGACTCCACCTCAAAAAAAAAAAAAAAAAAAAAAAAAAAAAAAGCTATTTGGGGCTAAAATCTGAGTACTTCACTCTAGGGTGCACTTTACGAGCAAGTACCAACCCTGATGTCTGGAAAATAGTAGACCCTTAAGAAATGTTCATTGGCCAGGTACGGTGGTTCACACCTGTAATCCCAGAACTGGGAGGCTGAGACGGACAGATCACTTGAGCTCAGGAGTTTGAGACTAGCATGGGCAAAATGGTGAAACCCCATCTCTATAAAATATACAAAAATTAGCCAGGAATGGTGGCACACATCTGCAGTCCCAGCTACTCAGGAGGCTGAGGCAGGAGAATCACTTGAACCCGGGAGGCAGAGGTTGCAGTGAGCCAAGATCGCACCAGTGCACTCCAGCCTGGACAACAGACTCTGTCTCAGAAAAAAAAAGTCATTAACTGAAAAGATATTTATTTATTTATTTAAGACAGGGTCTCATCCCAGGCTGGAGTGCAGTGGCACCATGATGGCTCACTGTAGCATCGATCTCCCAGGCTCAAGCAATTCTCCCATGTCAGCCTCCCGAGTAGCTGGGATTACAGGCATGAGCCACCATGCCCAGCTAATTTTTTATTTTTTGTAGTGATGGGGTCTCACTATGTTGCCTAGGTTGTGAAAAGATTTTTTAAAACAATAACAGACAGAGTTGGGAGGGTGGCTTCTAAAACAAGGACCAGGTTGGGCATGGTGGCTCACACCTGTAATCCCAGCACTTTTGGAGGCCAAGGTGGGTGGAGCTCAGTAGTTCCAGACCAGCCTGGGCAAAATGACAAAACCCTTTCTCTACCAAAAAATACAAAAAATTAGCCAGGCGTCGTGGTGCACACCTGTGTTCCCAGCCAGTTGGGAGGCTGAGATGGGAGGATCGATTGAACCTGGGAGGTGGAGGTTGCAGTGAGCCAAGATCGCGCCACTGCACTCCAGCCTGGCAATAGAGTGAGACCCTGTCTAAAAAAAAAAAAAAAAAAAAAAAAAAAGACAAGGACTAGAAATCTTTCACAGAAACACATAAGAAAAGACTTAGGGAAGAGAAAAAGCAAATATATGGACGTTCTATATACGTTTGTGAAGATCAGGGACGAATAGAGGTGGTACCTTCTGAGCGTCCTTGAATTTTTTTCATTGTTATTTGTGTTCATCTTTCCATGTGTTTATTAGCAAAAATCCTATAAAAACGCTACATGTGAATTGTGTGTTTCTTCAGAGCTGGGTAGAGTAAGAAGTGGGGAAATGTCAAACTCAATTCAAATTCATAGAGCCAGTTTGGCAAAAGACCTGTGGTAGGGGCGTGGCACCCAAGTAGAAGAGTGGGCGGTGGCAGTGAAAGTCAAGAGAGCCAAACCCCTATGACCTTGAAGAGGAAAAAAAACAAATTGTGAATGGGGGGACATTTGAGAAAATAAACTCTGGGGTTTCAAACTGGGAGAAAAGCCTGTGTCTTCTAAATCCTGCCATTATCTGTTTGTAGCTTACAGCTACGGTGGTTTCTGGGAGCCTCCTATTAATCTTGTTTCCTGCCCAATGTCTTTTTATTTTCCAAGACCATCTTGCTAATTCTGTCTCTTGACTAATGTTATTTTGCAACATTTTCACAGCTGAACAACCCTGACCTCTCTATCTGCATGCTTTAAAGTCATGATGGTGTTTTTACCATCCCACCAATCCTTTAGCTCGTCCTCCTAAATTATCTGGTCCTATGACGTGTGGTCATTTTTATCTGTCCAGGATTTCAAGGTGTACTCTCAACAGTAAAGGCTCCACAAACATCCGTTGATTGATAGTAGAGTTTATAATCTAGTTGGGGAGACAATATGCCCTCATGAAATGAAAAGCCATGTAAGCAGAAGCACAAAGTTAAAGAATACAAGCCGGGCGCAGTGGCTCACGCCTGTAATCCCAGCACTTTGGGAGGCCGAGGCGGGTGGATCACTGAGGTCAGGAGTTCAAGACCAGCCTGGCCAACATGGTGAAACTCCGTCTCTACTAAAAATACAAAAATCAGCCAGGTGTGGTGGCGCTCGCCTGTAATCCCAGCTACCAGGGAGGCTGAAGCAGGAGAATTGCTTGAACCCAAGAAGTGGAAGGTGCAGTGAGCCGATATCGCACCACTGCACTCCAGCCTGGGCGACAAAGCAAGACTCTGTCTCAAAAAAAAAATAAATAAAAAATAAAAATACAAACTGAGTTCATAGAGGTTCAGGAGATGCAAATTGGAGAAGTGGCCTGTCAGGTTGGACTAGTCAGGAAAAGTTTCCAAGGGCAGGTTAGTTTTGAGCTTTGAATTGTAAATTTAAGGAGGTGATGGACATGAGTTGGTGGAGAGGTGGACCTTTTCAAACAAATGCACAAAGAGAGACAATGCAAGATTTAACTCAGGCCAGGACAGGTGCCTGCCCCACCCTGCCATTTCCCTGTCTCAGTAACTCTGCATGATCTGCCATCATAGCTGTTTCAGTTAGAAGAGATCTCCTTGTGACCTAGTGCCACAAGGCTCTCTCCTCTACCAAATTCACCACTCATGCAGCACTTATCAGGCACCCTTAGCTGGGGTGAAGGAAAAAGGGGCATGTGCAGGGAATGTTTGCAGGCATCGTGAGCAACTATGTCTCATCTCTCTAGTCTGGACCTCAGATGGGAATATATGGCCTTTTGTATACACCTAGGTAACAGGTGGAGGACAAATGCATGTTGGAGCAGAAGAAGGCAGGAATATGGAGAACCAATATGGCTATTTTACCATGATCAGGCTAATATCACTTTGGAGGCCCAATGTGCTGCCACCGCTGAAAAATCCTGGGTTGCATGGATATCCTTCTGCACAGGAGGAAGGCCGCATCATCACAGAACACAATAGAAACACTGCAAGTGGCAGACAAGCCAAATTACAGTCCCTGCCCCTCAGAGGTTGCTGTCTAACAGTTGGAACAGGGCCAGGCAAAAAATGCATAGGACATGTTTATTTAAAAGTTGTTAAATGTCCAAATGCTATTTGTGATACTTCATTTAATAAATGATATTTGCCGAGCACTGTGGCTCACACCTGTAATCCCAACACTTTGGGAGGCCAAGGCGGGTGGATCACCAGAGGCCAGGAGTTCAAGACCAGCCTGACCAACATGGTGAAAACCCATCTCTACTAAAAATACAAATATTAGCTGGGAATGGTGGCAGGCACCTGTAATCCCAGCTACTCGGGAGGCTGAGGCAGGAGAATCGTCTGAACCTGGGAGGTGGAGGTTGCAGTGAGCCGAGATTGTGCCATTGCACTCCAGCCTGGGTGACAGAGCGAGACCCTGTCTAAAAAAAAAATAAATAAGAGCTCACAGTTTACTGGGAGAGACAGATAAGTAAACAAATAATTACAATACAATATAGTTTGTGCTATATAACATAAGACTGCACAAAGTGCTTAGGAATGCAGAAAAAAAAGGAGAACTAATCACACCTAAGGGAGACAGGGAAGGCTGAATAGGAGTTTTCCAAAATAAGAGACGTGGAGAGGAATGACAAGAGGGATGATATCCCAGGATGCAGAGAGAAAGGTATAAAAGGGCATGGTATTTCCAGGAAATAGTGTGAAACTCTGCTTGTAACTTAGTGTGCAGGAAAGGTGTGAAGTGGCCTGAATCTGAGGAGCCTGGCATGCCTTGCGAGGGAATTTGAACTTTATCACACAGGCAATGGGGAAAATCAGAGGAAGATTTAACCAGGGAAATTACATGATCAAAAAAACAAAATTTATAGCCAGGTGCGGTGGCTCATGCCTGTAATCCCAGCACTTTCAGAGGCCAAGGCAGGTGGATCACTTGAAGTCAGGAGTTCCAGACCAGCCTGAGCAACACGGTGAAACCCCGTCTCTACAGAAAATACAAAAATTAGCTGGGCGTGGTGGCACATGCCTGTAGTCCCAGCTACTCCCGAGGCTGAGATGGGAGGATTGCTTGAGTGCAGCAGGTCAAGGCTGCAGTGAGCCAAGATCACACCACTGCATTCCAGTCTGAGTGACAGAGCAAGACCCTGTCTCAAAAAAGAAGGAAAGAAGGAAGGAAGGAAGGAAGGAAGGAAGGAAGGAAGGAAGGAAGGAAGGAAGGAGAAAGAAAGAAAGAAAGAAAGAAAGAAAAAGAAAGAAAGAAAGAAAGAAAGAAAGAAAGAAAGAAAGAAGGAAGGAGAAAGAAAGAAGGAAGGAAGGAAGGAAAGAAAGAAAGAAGGAAGGAAAGAAAGAAAGAAATTATACGATCGCATGTAAGTTATATAATCCCAGTTCTGCCTCGTTGGGCAAGTCAATCTCTGAGCATTGTTAGTGTCTTCATCTATAAAATGCGGATAATAGTGGTACCTACCTCATGGGGTTGAATTGAGGAGTAAATGATTGAGGAGTAAATGAACTAATGTTCGTAAAGCAATTTGCACAGAGACTGGCACATAATAAGGGCTCCATAAATTTTAGCCATAATTACCAGACATGTTTCTTAGAACGGTAACCTTGCTGGCAGCTCTGAATATAAACTGTAGTGAGGTAAAGACTGATGGAAGGAGATCCAATTAAGATGATACTGCACCTTTTTTTTTTTTTGACAGGGTGTTATTCTGTCACCCAGGCTGGAGCACAGTGGCATGATCTTGGCTCACTGCAACCTCCACCTCTTGGGTTCAAGCGACTCTCCCACCTCAGCCTCCCAAGTAGCTGGGACTACAGGTGCGTGCCCCACACCAGGCTAATTTTTCTATTTTTAGCAGAGATGGGTTTCACCATGTTGGCCAGGCTGGTCTCAAACTCCTGACCTCAAGTGATCCGCCTGCCTCGACCTCCCAAAGTGCTGATATTACAGGCGTCAGCCACTGCACCCGGCTGATCCTACAATTTAAATGCAGTTATAAATAGGTCTTGAACTGGGATTTGGATGTAGAAAGTTACGGAGATGAAGAAGTAATGGGTAATTACCTCTAAGCTGCTGCTTGGAGCTTGGGAGACTGGGTAGATCAGGACTACCATAAGTCAAATTCAGAGATAAGGGTAGCCAGAGGATAGGGGTGCGGGTGCAGGAACAGATAATGAGTTTGGACCTGTTGAATGAGAAGTGAAGCCGTTGGAGATGTGAACCTGGAGAATATCGGTGTTGAAGGGAAAGCCAGAAGAGCCAGTGGAGGAAACTGATTGGTAAGTGAGACCTCACTGTCAGTGGGAACTGCATATGGGGGGATGAAGGCGGGTGGAGGGAGGAGGAAGGGGGTGAGGAGGAACACCACCGTGGGCTAACCATTTGTTTATGTTACACAAGCCCCCCACCCAACTCTCCAACGTGCATACATCCTATTTTCTAGTCAGTTCCTTGCTTCTTGCTTCTTGGTCTCCTGCATCTTTAAGAGAATAATTTTTTCCCTTTTGCCGTCTCCTAAATGAAGGAGGGAAAGGGCTAGCACCTCTCAATCTGGTCACCTACACGACTCTGAATCACAAGGGAGACAATGGAAAGGGGGAAAGGGCGAAAAACGATTCTTAAGAAAAGAAAGAGTCCGCGACGACTTCTAATAATTAAAGTTCCACCTCGTTATATCCTGCCACGCCGCTCTCCTGCCGCCGTATCGGGCTCCTGGCCGCGAAGCAGGACGGGAGATGTAGTCCTCAAGAGTGACCAGGGTGGCACGACTGCAGAACTCGGTTTCCCGACTGGCTTTCGAGGCGCGTGCGCAGATGGCTGCCCCGGCGAGTGGTAAACAGAGACGTCAGGAGGGGGCTGCTGCTTGGAGCAAAACAAAAGGGAAACCCGGGGGGCGGGGGGTGGGGGGGGTTGATAGGGGAATCGGTGCGGGAATAAGGGAGGCCGCAGCCGCGGGGACCCGGACCCTAGTAAGAGTGGCGAGAAGGGAAGAGGCGGGGGAAGGGGGAGTCAGGGGAGGGGCAAGTGACGCGGGGGAGCGGGGCGTGGGGGAGGGCAGCAATCCGGGTGGAGGAAATTTGGGAGGAGTGTCCGGGGGGCAGCAACTTAAAAGGGGGAGGGAACTGCGGCTAAGGAGACGTTCGGTGATGGGAGCGCAATATATGAGGGGATACAGTGCCTCAGGTTTAAAAGAGCAGGAAGCTGAGTGAGAGGTTGCAGAAAAAGTGTCTTCGCTCGGCAGAGGTTACAGGTGGCATCTCAGAAAGAGCTTTGAGGCTACAGGCTGTAGTCGGGAAGGGGATCGGAGAACTGTGTGAAGGGACAGCTTAGGGACTAGCGTCCTGGGACTAGGGGGAAGTTCGCGACTTTCTGAAGACTGGCAGGAATGTGCCTCCTGGCCCTCGATGCTTCCCCCCTGAGGGGAGGCATCGTGAGGGACTGTGGCAGGCTTCACTGAACGCTGAGCCGGGGAGGTCCAACTCCACGTATGGATCCGGGGAATGAGAATTCAGCCACAGAGGCTGCCGCGATCATAGACCTAGATCCCGACTTCGAACCCCAGAGCCGTCCCCGCTCCTGCACCTGGCCCCTTCCCCGACCAGAGATCGCTAACCAGCCGTCCGAGCCGCCCGAGGTGGAGCCAGATCTGGGGGAAAAGGTACACACGGAGGGGCGCTCAGAGCCGATCCTGTTGCCCTCTCGGCTCCCAGAGCCGGCCGGGGGCCCCCAGCCCGGAATCCTGGGGGCTGTAACAGGTCCTCGGAAGGGAGGCTCCCGCCGGAATGCCTGGGGAAATCAGTCATATGCAGAACTCATCAGCCAGGCCATTGAAAGCGCCCCGGAGAAGCGACTGACACTTGCCCAGATCTACGAGTGGATGGTCCGTACTGTACCCTACTTCAAGGACAAGGGTGACAGCAACAGCTCAGCAGGATGGAAGGTAATTATGACCCTCTTACCTTCTTCCCAACACCATCTACCCCCTGGACCCCCTAGCCTCCCTTACTTCTACTCTGGGGCCCCTTTTACTACCTCCCACCCCCACCCCCTTTGGGAAGCCCAGAGATCCACCTTCAATCTCCAGTTAGACAAACATTTACTTAGTACATAGTATATGCCACACTCGGTGCTTGATGCTGAAGGATCACAGATGAATAAGACACTGTCCCTGCCCTGGAGAAAATTGAATTCTCTGCTCACTGCTCAATATTCGCAGCACTTTGGCTTGGGCTGCCCCAAACACTTATTCCCACAGAGAAGTCTTTATCCTATGTACAGCAGGAACTGTGTGGATTCCCCACATGAACCTACCCTTCCCTCCTCCCCCACCTCCCACCCCAACACCTTTTCTCCCATTCCTGTGGGATTACTTGGATTCCCTGCTTGCCTCCCAGTACCTCAGTGTAGTGGTACTGTTCTAGCACTGCTCTACCCAGGAGGAGGGAGTGCAGTGGCAAAGGGTAAAAACAATAATATTCATGGGGAAAGGTAGCTGATCTCATGCACTAAGAAGAAAAAGGGCTGTGAGCTGCCACTTGGCTCAGCTTACCCTGTGCTGCCAAGAAACTCTCCCTTGTAAGGGGCTATCCAAGTTTTGGGGGGAAGTCATCCTTTACTGTTAAGGAATATTAGTCATGAAGAAGGAGGTAGGGCTCTGACTTTAGAGCACAAAGTTGGGAGTTCTCTTGGCCTTCTGTGAAGAAACTGTGAGAGAATATCTCAAAGGATACTCTGAAAAACTTGTCCTGAGAAAATATGGGGCTGTAATCACAAAATTGGGGAGCCTCAAGCCCTATTGCTGGCTTGTACCTCTCTAGGTGGTGAGGTCAGCATATAACCAAGTACAGAAGGTTGGATGAGCAGAGGAACTTCCCCTAGGTATAGGAGACTGAGGGATCAGATCTGTGCTATCCCTAGGGGCTGGGCAGAACAGAAGATAGGACAGCTGACTGAGACCCTTGGCACTATTTCTGGGTAGACTGCCACGCCACAGTCTCAGCTCATAAAAAGCTCCCCTCCTTGGACCCAGCCTACACAGCTGTTTTTCTTTTCCCTTAGGTTCATTTTCCAGGGTAGAGGAAATAACAAGTTGTTAGTTATATTGTGGGAGTATAGTCCGTCCTTATAATCTACACTTCTGTGGGGCTTTAGAGTTTACAAAGTAGTTTTTAAAGTTTTTATTTTATTAATCTTTACAGCAATTCTGAGATTCCACATTTTACACATTAGGAAACTAGGTACCAAAAGGTTAGGAAATTCACCTAATAACAGCAGGGTGAGGACTTGAACTCAGGTCTAACTATAAATCATATTCTCTAAAAAGAGCCTGGCTTGCTCTAATTGGAATGAGGGCAAAGTCAAATCAGGCTGAGCCTGGGACTTCAAGGCCCCCCCACCCCTCTCTGAGGGGAAGTCTCATGCCTGAACTGGCCTCCCTGATGATATGCCAAGGTTACTCCCACCCCACCAGGGGGCGGCACTCACTTAGAACAAGAAAGTTTAGATTAGGTGGCTTAGGGAGCAATTAGCAGTCACCCCCACCACCCTGCCCTCCAACATGTAAGAGTTATGGGCTTTTGGGAAACTGACCTCTCCAATTAAGAGTCTGTGTACCACTTGCTAGTTCCAAGGCCTAAAGAAGAGGAGACAAACGGGCCTTGTGGCTATTAAGTAGTAGGGAAAGGAATGGATCTTCTCAAGTAGATCCAGAATTAGAGGATAAAAAGAGGAGAAATCATAGTGCCAGGTCATGGTCATTGTGGTCCTTAGTTACTATGAGGTGAGGCCGGATGGACAAGTGCCACTCCTTGAAGGAACATCAGCACAGTTGAAATGCCATTACCTCAGGGTCCCAGGAACACAAGGAGTTCTTTGGCTAAAGAACCCTGGAACAAGAAGCATCATTCCCCAGGCAAAGGTGCTCCTTATCTTAAGAGCACCAGTCAGAGAAACAAGTAGTTTCTGACCGTCCCATGTACTCAGCCTCCTAGTTGCTCTAAGCACTTCTGGGCTCCTCCTGAATTTCTAAACTAAAGACCTCCAAGTGGGAGGTCAAATGCCCCCAAGGTTGAAGAGTTTATGCACAAATTCCTGAGAAATGGGGGAAAGGCACTGGGAAGGAGGTAGGGAAAAGAAGGCAGGTTTCGGGAAGGGGGGTGGCCAGGGGAGGGCCAAACCCCTTGTGTAACTAGCCTGCCCCGCGGCAATCAGTAAATATAAGCTGCACTGGGGGCTGAAGAAGCTGCCAATCTCAGCTCCCTGGGCCACTGGAAAGCATCGTTTCCCTAGTAGAATGTCACCAGTGAGGGAGGAAGGGAAAACATACAGCTTCCAATACCCAAGGCACTGAAGAGCTGGCAGAGCCTCAAGGGGAGCCTCACCATTGTCAACCCAGGGGCAACCCACCAATCAGGTACAAATATTGATTATGTACTGTGAGCTTGAGTAGGTATAGAATATGTGCTGTGAGCTTGGTGCTCTGGGAGGGCTTTGATGGGGGATGTGGGACTGGAGGACATTACACTTGGCACTTACACTCGATGAGACGAATTACATGAAACCATAAGCCACACAATATAAATTGGGTGAAATTGTGTGGCGCAGATTTTAAAAATACTATACTAGAAATTTGGCTGCCAAAGTCAAGCAGCCGCTTTATAAAAGAGGTGGAACTGAAGCTTGGTCTTGACGGAACTAGTAAAACTTAGAGAGGGGAGATCCCTCCTCGGAAAAGAGGGGAGGGGAAGATTGCACCTCACGCATTTGAGGCACAGCAGGAAGCCTGAACCTGAACTGAATGTAGTTGAGGATGTGTGTTGTGGATTGGAAGAAATAAGGCTGGGATTCAGGGAGGGGGGAAAAAGGAATCTTTAAATTCTATAGAGAGCTGGGTGGCCCAAATGCTCTGTGGGGAATGGAGCACCTGCTGTGCTGAGATTCCAGCCCTTCAGCCTATTCAGAGAACTGGCTCTGGGCAGGGCGGGTCCATCCTGGGCTGGTGCTGTACCACTGTCCCGTAAACTCTACCCAAACCTGCACTCAAGGAAAGGGGTGCAATGCTCTTTCCCACCTGAACCTAGTTCTTGCTGGGCAAGGAGCACGTCTCCCCAGTGCCCACCAGCCCCAGGTACCGCTCCCCCCACCCCCCGCAAAACACACACGAAGCCCTGGGAAGAGCAGAGTACCAGGAGCTTTTCCAGGGTGGGCATCCCCCGTGCTCTCTGCAGTGGATTATTACACGTTATCTCCCACCCGCTGTACAGAGAAGTCTGGAGCAGAGGCTGAGCAGCTTGTCTGGGAGCGGGAAATGTGTGTGGTCTCCCCTCACACCCCACCCCCACCCCTACTTCTACCAGTTTTCCCCCCTGGATTCAACTTTCTTTGAGTCTCCAGGAATACCCCTGCTGTGTTCCAGCACCCTTTTATCTTTTATCTTTTTCTCTTTTTTTGTAAATTATTTAAAGTTTTTCTTAAACTTTAATGACCTGGGAAATGAAGCCCCGAAATGAACCCTGCTGCGGTGGTGGCACCAAATCCTAAACCCTAGATCATCAGGGTCCAGCATCCTCTTAGACTTGACCGCTGGCCACTGACCTCCCCTACAGTACCTCACGCCCCTTTCCTGCCATCTCTGCCCCTCCAGAACTCGATCCGCCACAACCTGTCCCTGCACAGCAAGTTCATCAAGGTTCACAACGAGGCCACCGGCAAAAGCTCTTGGTGGATGCTGAACCCTGAGGGAGGCAAGAGCGGCAAAGCCCCCCGCCGCCGGGCCGCCTCCATGGATAGCAGCAGCAAGCTGCTCCGGGGCCGCAGTAAAGCCCCCAAGAAGAAACCATCTGTGCTGCCAGCTCCACCCGAAGGTGCCACTCCAACGAGCCCTGTCGGCCACTTTGCCAAGTGGTCAGGCAGCCCTTGCTCTCGAAACCGTGAAGAAGCCGATATGTGGACCACCTTCCGTCCACGAAGCAGTTCAAATGCCAGCAGTGTCAGCACCCGGCTGTCCCCCTTGAGGCCAGAGTCTGAGGTGCTGGCGGAGGAAATACCAGCTTCAGTCAGCAGTTATGCAGGGGGTGTCCCTCCCACCCTCAATGAAGGTCTAGAGCTGTTAGATGGGCTCAATCTCACCTCTTCCCATTCCCTGCTATCTCGGAGTGGTCTCTCTGGCTTCTCTTTGCAGCATCCTGGGGTTACCGGCCCCTTACACACCTACAGCAGCTCCCTTTTCAGCCCAGCAGAGGGGCCCCTGTCAGCAGGAGAAGGGTGCTTCTCCAGCTCCCAGGCTCTGGAGGCCCTGCTCACCTCTGATACGCCACCACCCCCTGCTGACGTCCTCATGACCCAGGTAGATCCCATTCTGTCCCAGGCTCCGACTCTTCTGTTGCTGGGGGGGCTTCCTTCCTCCAGTAAGCTGGCCACGGGCGTCGGCCTGTGTCCCAAGCCCCTAGAGGCTCCAGGCCCCAGCAGTCTGGTTCCCACCCTTTCTATGATAGCACCACCTCCAGTCATGGCAAGTGCCCCCATCCCCAAGGCTCTGGGGACTCCTGTGCTCACACCCCCTACTGAAGCTGCAAGCCAAGACAGAATGCCTCAGGATCTAGATCTTGATATGTATATGGAGAACCTGGAGTGTGACATGGATAACATCATCAGTGACCTCATGGATGAGGGCGAGGGACTGGACTTCAACTTTGAGCCAGGTACAGTACCCCCTAATCACCACAGCACCTCATAGCCTATTACCACTCCTAGGTGCCCAGCTAGTCCCATGATCTGGGCGAAGGGGAGATTTAGGACAAGTGGTAGCCAGAGCTCCTGGGGAACTGGAGGGAAGATGTCATATTACAGTAGCATAGTTTCCGGATGGGACCTCCAGGCCCCTTAGCTGTGCCCAGCCCTGCAAGGTAGCACAGAAAAGGTATGTGTATGGAAGCGGGTTAGGTGCCACCATCTTCTTTGGTGGGAATCTGGATGATAGAATGTTGGCAAGCCCCAGGTAAGCCTCTTACCTTGTTCTCTGTTTCTTCTTCCCACAGATCCCTGAGTCATGCCTGGAAGCTTTGTCCCCTGCTTCAGATGTGGAGCCAGGCGTGTTCATATCTACTCTTTACCCTTGAGCCCTCCCCAGGAATTTGGGACCCTGCTTTAGAGCTAGGGTGGGGTCTGGTCACACACAGGTGTTGAAGAAATTATAAAGATAAAGCTGCCCCATCTGGGGACGATATGGGGAGGGAGATGGGAGGGGAAAGGGGAGAGGGTTTTTCTCACTGTGCCAATTAGGGGGTAAGGCCCCCTCTCAGGAGCCATCATCGGCTTTCCCCATTCCTACCCACTTAGGCTTTGTAGCAAGATGAGCAATGCTGTTGGAAATGTGAAGTCACCAGTGGCCTTACCCCTGCCTTTGGGAGCAGGATTTTTTTGTAGAGAGTCTTATCTGAGCTGAGCCAGGCTAGCTGGAGCCTGGGATTTCTATGCAGTGGCCCCTTAGGCCAGTGATGTGCGGTGGGTGGGCTGTTTAGGGGATCTGGAAGGGCCAAGGTCTGAGCACTGGAGTGGCTCGCCAGGCCAAATCACCCTTAGAAGGCTGCAGATAACAGAAAGGCTTTTTATAAACTTTTAAAGAAATATAAACACAAATATAGAGATTTTTTAACCATGGCAGGGTGCTAGTGGTGGGCAGAATGCTTTTTTTTCTTTCTGAAGGCTTTGTGATAGTGACATGATACAAACACTACAGACAATAAATATTAGGAGACACAGGGAAGTGGGGAGAGGTGGGGAGTAATAGTAAACACAGGGAAGAGCTCCCCTACGGACCAGGTATAGAGAAAGGTCTATGCAGAAATAGGTTAGAGTTTCCCTAACAAAAAAGCTAACCCAGGTCCCCTCATTCCTTCAACTTGTGCCTGGGAGTGTGTGGTGTTAGGGTGCAGCCACACTCTTCTATGACCCAGCATGGGTTAGTGCTATGGTGGGAGAGTACATTGAAGGCCTGGAATTAGCTTGGGGCCAGGGAAGGGACTGGGAGGGGAGAGAAGAGAAGGAGGGAAGGATTTAGGATGGTAAAGTTAGGTACAGAGACCTCCCTGTTCAAGGCCCCTGACAGCTGTCCCTGCCCTTCTTCCCCTTCCCTGACTGCAGGGGTTATGTGGAAGTGTGTGTGGCAGCAGGCAGCGGGGAGGGGAGGAACAGGGAAGGGGGAGCTGGGGAGCTTGGCTGAGGGTCTGGGAAATGAGCAGGGATGGGGGGGGATGTGGATCAGGTTTACTAGCACCTGCCAGGGAGGCCATCTGGGGCTCCTTCTCCACCCCAGCCCCCAAAGCAGCCCTTCCCCCAGTGCCCTTTGCATCGTCCCCTCCCCCACCCCTGCTGTGGGTTCCCATCATTTCCTGTGTCAGCGCCTGGCCTACCCAGATTGTATCATGTGCTAGATTGGAGTGGGGAAGTGTGTCAAATCAATAAATGAATAAATTCAATAAATGCCTATAACCAGCTCTGGTTTCTGCTGCCTTGCTTCTCCCCTTGGATAAGGGGGAGGGAGGGGAAAAGGCAAAGGGCGGGAGGAAGAAACTGCCCAAAGGCAGAGACATGGAGGAGGGTGGGGGAATTTCACCCCGGGGAGGTGGTGGAGTGTGGGGGTGGAGGGACACCTAACCCCTGCAGGAGTAGGCGGGCTGTGAGATAGGCCTCCCAAGGGGAGGTAGTCTGGTTTGAGAAGACCCCACCCCCTACTCCGTTCCTCAAAGGCTCATTGTACTAGACTTCACAGCCTTCCTCACCCCCACCCATGTGCTTGCCCCAGCCCTCTCCTGCCGCTCCCATCCACCCTCAGAGCCTCCTAGGTGCCTGGGGCGTATGTACTCAAGCCTTAGTGCAGATATTGGGAGAAGGAGTCTTTCTAGAAAAAGAAATCTCACGTTAAATTCCAGTAATTTCACACCTAGTATTACTTCTTTTGCTTGGTGGTTTTATTGAGTTGGCGACCTTTATTCTTCCTGAAGTCTGGTCTGTTCCTAAAGGTCGGAGACTTGCGAGTGGACTTCTTTTTGTCTGATCGTCCTGATTGCTTGGACTAGAAAAAGAAAGTAAGTAAACAAAGAGGCCCCTGCAGGGAAGGTTTCTACAACCCAGGGCCAAAGGAAGGAAAAAAGAAATTGGAGGCAGGAAATTCATCTCAGAGGGCTGGGGTGTAGGAACATTCAGTCGGCTGGTAGGGAGAGGGGGGTGCTGGGGCAGATCACATTTGGCAAGTCTTACCGGGACACTCGCAGGGGGTTCAATTATAACGACCTTCTTGGCTTCTTTCATTTTAAGCATCTGAATTCGTCTCCTCTCCAGGGCATCACATTGTATGCGCAGTGCAACTAAGAACAAGGAAAAGGCACCTGCACCTCTGAGAACTAGAGACCTTACCCTTCCTGATGCTCCCATTCATTGTTCAAACCATCAGCTGGAGCCCCACTTGGCCTAAGATGGAAATGATGGAATGGTGACAGGGAGATATACGGAGAAGATGGCCAAGAAATGGGGGAAGTGGGGAGTAACGCATGCACATTCCACCTGGTGTGAGCTAAACGTCCCTCCTAAAGTGGACCTGGACCCTGCCCGCCTTTTCCTAGGCTCCTATCATCTGACCTACCATATCACGCTAGTCCCACCCTACATTCTCCATCACACAGCTATATACTGTACCCTTCATGTTCTTCCCTCCCCCATCTCACTTCTTACCAAGCAGCCAAGGCTCCGGATTCTTGAGGAGAGGCACAAAAGCTCTGTAAGCATTCTCCAGCCTGGTTCCTGTGAACATAGCCATGTGCTATCTCCAGCCCCTGTCATCCAGTCTCCACCCTTCAGAAGTCCAAGATTCCAGGACCTAACACTAAAGACTACCCGCCAGATGCGGTGGCTCACGCCTGTAATCCCAGCATTTTGGGAGGCCAAGGTGGGCGGATCACTTGAGGTCAGGAGTTCCAGACTAGCCTGGCCAATTCGAGACTAGCCTGGCCAATTTGGTGAAACCCCATCTCTACCAAAAATACAAACAAACAAAAAAAATTAGCTGGGCATGGTGGTGGGCGCCTGTAATCCCAGCTACTCCGGAGGCTGAGGCAGGAGAATCACTTGAACCCAGGAGGCAGAGGTTGCAGTGAGCCAAGATCATGCCACTGTTTCAGCCTGGGTGACAGAGCAAGACTCCATCACAAAAAATAAAATAAATAAATAAATAAAAATAAAGACTACCTTGCCGGGCACAGTGGCTCACGCCTGTAATCCCAGCACTTTGGGAGGCTGAGGTGGGTGGATCACCTGAGGTCAGGAGTTCAAGACCAGCTTGGCCAACATGGTGAAACCCCATCTGCACTAAAAAATTAGTTGGGCCTGGTGGCGGGTGCCTGTAGTCCCAGCTACTCAGGAGGCTAAGACAGGAGAATCGCTTGAACCTGGGAGGCAGAGGTTGCAGTGAGCTGAGATCGCGCCATTGCACTCCAGCCTGGACAACTGGACAACAAGAGCGAAACTCTGTCCCAAAAAAAAAAAAAAAAAAACCTACCTTGAGCTGGTGGATATTTCTTCCCCTTAGGTATGGACCTAGGGGAGAGTATGTGTGAGGTAACCTATTATTATAGAGGCAGTACCCTTCCTTAGGCTGACTAGAGATGGTCAATTTGGATCTGGTTGAGGGTGTTCTGTTGTTTGAGGGTGTTCTGTTTTTTGTTTTAATTTGGTTTTGGTTGTTTTTGGTTTTGGTTTTGGTTTTGGAGGCAGGCTCTTGTTATGTTGCCCAGGCTGGTCTCAAACTCCTGCCCTCTATCGATTCTCCCGCCTTGGCCTCTCAAAGTGCTGAGATTACAAGCATGAGCCACTATGCCCAGCCTTGGATGCCTTGTTTTAAAGATAAGGTTCATAATCTATCTTGAAGGCCTTATTCTATTTCTGGGGAACACTCCTGAGCCTCTACCTGGTGGCCCACGTTCCACCTTACAAACGTAGTAGGTGCTTCGAGCTGTAAGGTATTTGCTGGCATACTCTGCATGATTGGGCTTCATCAGGAAAAGCATCTTCATTTTCCCCGTTTGTTCACACAAATCGATGGTGTCTGGAGGGAGATCACAGGGTAATTGGGGCAGCTAAGGAAAGAGAGTGGGAGCAAAAGGGGCCAGTGATCCTATACAAAATGGGTTGGAGGAAGCTCTAAGGATATGAGGAACTCCCTTCTTGCCAGGAGGAGGGCTTGGGGGTTAGAGATGACCCAACTCCTTCTGACCTTTGGCCATTAGTCCCCTCCCTAAGCTCCTCACTTGTTTTAGGCAACTTTACTTTACTGCGGATGTAATACAGCAACACGACGACAGCACAGTTGGTATTGACCAGAAACTGCTGATTATCTGAGAAGAGATAGGATGGGACACATGGGCCCATTTCTGTGATCTCCACTGCCCTCAGATCCCTCCACCCCCATCCACAGACTCTAGTTCTGTGCTGCCCCTCACCTCCATGTTTGATGAAGATGAACATGCCCTCAAGATCGCCTCACTCTTCACAAAGTGCCCTGATGAGTCATGCAGAAGGAGGGTGTTCTAGAGGCCTTGTGTGGGGCAAATAGGCCTATAGGGTTGGTGGACTAGAGAGGCAGATGGATTTCATAGGCTGAGGATGCCCAGGCTGGACAGGCAGGAGAGAGCTGTTGATAGTTGTGGATAACCAGTATCCCCAGGGGTGGGGCCTGAGACTGCAGTTAAGGGA
This sequence comes from Homo sapiens, assembly GCF_000001405.40. Taxonomy (NCBI): domain Eukaryota; kingdom Metazoa; phylum Chordata; class Mammalia; order Primates; family Hominidae; genus Homo; species Homo sapiens. The sequence goes on from NC_000023.11 coordinate 71,106,785, forward strand.
TTATGAGGTCAGAAGTGGCAGGTGTGGCCAAAAAGTGGAGTAAGGGTAAGGAGAGAAAAACTTGGGTGGGGTATGTTAAAGATTAGTTGGAAAGGGGGGACAACATGGTAAGTCTAACTTTTTTTATTTTTTTTATTTTTTTAGATGGAGTCTCCCTCTGTCGCCCAGGCTGGAGTGCAGTGGCACAATCTTGGCTCACTGCATCCTCTACCTCCTGGGTTCAAGCGATTCTCCTGCCTCAGCCTCCCAAGTAGCTGGAATTACAGGAGCACACCATCACGCCTGGCTAATTTTTGTATTTTTAGTAGAGACGGGGTTTCACCATGTTGGCCAGGCTGGTCTCGATCTCCTGACCTCGTGATCCACCCGCTTTGGCCTCCCAAAGTGCTGGGATTACAGGCGTGAGCCACCACGCCCAGCCCATTGTAAGTCTAACTCTAAACTAAACCCTGGAATGAGTGCAGGGCACCTGGAAAAAAGTCAGTTTCCAGAACAGTACTCTTTCTAGCAAATTGGTAATACTCCTGCCTCCACAGCATGAATGTACTACTCCTTTTTCTTCCCCTCCCACCCTCATTGCATCCCAGGCTTCCCCTGCTCCCCACCCCCATGACAGACATTTTTGATGATTATCAACAGAAACTTTATTTCTCATCGGTTCAGGAACAATCGGAGGGTAGATGGAAAGAGGAAGGGAGGGAAAGAGGGAGGGAGGAAGAATCCTGCGAAAAGGAAGGGCCAGACTGAGGGAGAAGAAAAACATGTTCGGGGCAAAAGGGTAATTCTCAAGTGGGGAATGCCAAATGAAGGGGTGCTTACATGGGGGCACAAAATTCCAAATCAGCCACAGTGGGGTGAGGTGAGTATGAGACGCAGGTGGGTTGAATGAAGGAAAGTTAGTACCACTTAGGGCTACAGGACCCTGGGGTTCTTCTGTCAGAGGATTGGGGTTCAGGTTTCAGGCTTTAGGGTGTAACATGGGGGGGCCCAGTAGGGGCTATGCTGGTTGCATGGGGAGGCCCCAGGCCCCTCCCCAAGGGCCCCTCCTTTTGGGGGAATCTCACTGACGAGGCAGAGTCGTTCACTGTAGTCTGGCTGCAGACTCTCAGCCAGTCCCTTAGACACACCACTCCAGGCCTAAAGACAGATATGTCCAGGTCAGGGGTCAATTAGGGGCAGGAAGTAAAAGACCGAGCTCTGTGCCAAAGGAGTACTCATGATGTCTGCAACCACTGTAATTGATTACAGAAGGGATACACAGGCTCCTGGGCCCCCAATACCAGTTGCCATCTGCCTCATTCAATCTATAATCTGCACTTCTGTGTGTGTCTCTCTCTGTATAGTCCATGCCCCATTTGGTCGGCCACATCCTGACAGTTAGTGCAGGGCCTCCTTCCCTCTCCTCTCTGCCCCCACCCCCACACTCTGTCTGTCTTGCTGGCAGGCAGTTGGCAGTTGATAGACTGCAGCATGCTTATGACAGCGTTCTCACCGAAAAGTTCCCGTGGTATTCAGTAACAAGATCCTCTAGGTTCTTCAGGGTGGGAATTCGGGGCATCGTCCTGACAGGGGAGAAAGAGGGAGCAGGAGCACATAGGTTAAAGCTTTTTTATCACCCTTCTCCCAGTTGTCCCATATGAAATAAAGTGATTCTGTGTTCTCTGTGCCTGTGGCTTCCTTCCATCACCAAACCCTCTTGGGTAATCTCTCATTACTTACTGTCTCATCCTTTACTCCTAAAGACCCTGCAAAACCCTCCTCTGCTATTGTCAGCTACCGTTCCCCTCATTTTTCTGGGCTTCTCCAAATCTCACCGTTCCAGCCAGAAATACACACAGAGAAGGCTGATAATCAATCCCATGGAGCCAACAGAGATAACCACGGCTTCCAATGCAAACAGGAAAGGATTCTCTATAGAAAAAAGAAAAGCAAAGTGGACCTTATATTTGTTGTGCCCCTACTACATGCCAGGCACTGGTGCCAGGCACCGCGCTAAAGACATACTCTCTGTTTAATCCTCACAACAGCTCCTGTGAGGCAGGAACAATTACCTCCATCTTACATCTTAGGAAACAGAATCCAAGAGTTTAGGGATGTGGCCAAGGCCAAAGAGGTAGTATGTGGCACAGCCTAGATCCAGCTGGTTCCAAAGCCATCTTCACCTTGCAGGCTCTCTAGGAATGCTTCAGGGAAATCCTATACATTCTATAGCCCCCTTGAGTACCCCTCAGCCTCCTTCTCAATCCACTCCCCTACTCTAACAACACGCTAACCCAACCCTACACAGAAAAACCTTGATTTCTAGAGGTTGGGGTTAGACAGTGTGGAGAGATGGGGCACCAAGTTTAGGGGCTTTAGTGACAGGGAAGTGGAGCAAAAGACAGTGGTGTTAGAAAGGCTGGGGTGTTGGGCTCATGGATTGGGTCATGTGGGCCCATTTTACCTTTTGAAGTATTGCTCCCCCAGTGGATTGGGTGGCTCCATTCACTCCAATGCTGAGCACTTCCACAGAGTGGGTTAAAGCGGCTCCGAACACGAAACGTGTAGCGTTTCTGCCCATCCACACTAGGCAAGGAGAACTTATGTCTATAATCCACTGATTGTTCCTTGAGGAGAAAGAGGATGAGGGAAAGTGGGTGTCTATGAGAGAAGGGAGAATTAAAACATACTCCTGAACACCCACCAGTGTCATCTCTGCTACTGCCCAGTTTCTCTCTCATCTCTTGACTACTCAAGCCACACTGCTCCCTTCACTGACTTGAATCTAATGCCTCCCCTCTGGATCCCCTTAATGGCTTCCTTTTGTTTACTTGTCTATCTGGTATCAGGAAGAGTATGGGTAGGGAATCCCTAATGAAAACTCACTGGTGTCAGGAATGGTGGCTCACGCCTGTAATCCCAGCACTTTGGGAGGCCGAGGTGGGCAGATCACCTGAGGTCAGGAGTTCAAGACCAGCCTGACCAACATGGCAAAACCCTGTCTTTACTAAAAATACAAAAATTAGCCAGGCATGGTTGTGCATGCTCCCAGCTACTTGGGAGGCTGAAGCAGGAGAATCACTTGAACCAGGGAGACAGAGGTCGCAGTGAGCCCAAGATCGCCCCACTGCACTCAAGCCTGGGCAACAGAGTGAGGCTCTGTCTCAAAAAAAAAAAAAAAAGAAAGAAAGAAAGAAAAGAAAAGAAAAAAAGAAAACTCACTGGAGAAAATAGGGGGGAAAGGAGTTGGAGGAGGGAGGGTAGGGGGTGAGCAGAGAAGCTGGGAGGCAGAGAACAGGAGCTTGATATTAGGTCCTTCTATCTGTCTGGTTGAATCCTTTAGCCCTACTTTCTTGGCCTTAGCTGCTACATTCACGTCCCTAGTCACTCACAGTCCAGCTGTGGTCCCAGTCAGTCCGGTACTGCACCAAGTGCTCCAAACAGTGGTTCAAGAATCTGTTGTTCCAGTTCAGTTCTAGCTGGGATTCACTCAGTTTGTGAAGTGTTAGGTTCTCTGGAGCCCAGGGGATCACTGGAGATATGTGTGCATATGTGGTCATTCCCCTGGCCTAGACAAGTCAGGATCCTGAAGGTAGTGCCCCTAATACCTCCTCCCTTCCCATCATGATCCCCTACCTCCTCTTTTCTGCCCATGTACCCTTATGATAAAAGAACACTACTCTGTAGACTCCAATGTCCCACAGTATCCCTGGTCTCTTGACCCTTTCTTTCCAAATTACCCAGATTCTGCAGTTTTAGCATCTGTGTGGCCTGTCTCCTGGGTTCCCGTGGGTCCTGGAGCTGAACAACAAATGTTTGGTAGAGGTGGATCTCCTTTTTTTGCAACTGACAGCCAGAAGTGATTTCTTCAGAGAATAGATAGTGGCTGCACTTCTGGACTTTATCATTATCCGAGTTCTTGTACCTAGAGGAGAAAGGTTGGAAGGAAGAGGAACAGTGGGGCCAATCTGGGTACTGCAGATATCCAGAGCCTAGCCTCATCTCCCCTCAACCGACTTATGACTTACCCCAGGAGAAAACAGTGGGGTACCTGGGAGACTTGCTACCCTCTCTCTTGGTCTCTGATCCAACCCACCTCTTCTTCATCCCCTCCCCCTCGTCCCTTCTCATACCAATAATGCAGAGTGAGGTTGGTAGGCTGGGGCTCAGAGCTGCTGTTCCAAGTGCAATTCATGTACTCGACATTGAACACAAAACACTGAACCTCTGGGAGGGGCAGAGTGGAAACACTGAGGGAGTCAGTGGGCATAGTGGTCAGGAAGAAATCTAGATTGGGGAGAAAATGAAGGCAGGGAGGGAAAGAGAAATGATGGTCAGAAGGAGGAGGCCAAGCACGGTGGCTCATGTCTGTAATCCTGGTGCTTTGAAAGGCTGAGGCAGGAGGATCACTAGAGGCCAGGAGTTTGAGACCAGCCTAGGCAACATAGTGAGACCCTGCCTCAAAAGAAAGAAAGAAACAAACAAACAAGAAAGAAAGAAGAAGTAGCGTGAGGCAGGGAACCCTCCCCCTTGCCCTTCCCACTCCACTTTTCAATTCTGCCCACATGATTGTAATGGCCAGTGGCAGGCACCAGATCTCTGTACGGCCCCTTCCCACAGCCACCCTTCTCACCAGCCCCCTCCAGTCCCAGATTTCCCACCAGCTGTGGTGTCTTCATTCCCATTGGGCGTCAGAATTGTCGTGTTCAGCCCCACTCCCAGCAGGGGCAGCTGCAGGAATAAGAGGGATGTGAATGGTAATGATGGCTTCAACATGGCGCTTGCTCTTCATTCCCTGGGTGTAGTCTGTCTGTGTCAGGAACCTGGGTCCCTCACCCACTACCCCTCCCCACCCACACGTTTCCTCTGTCATAGCTTCCGGTGGAAAGAACCTTATAAACCAGGGCTTTACAGAGGGTGTGGCAAATATGTGCTGTGTGACACGGGCTAAGTCCTCTAGGAGATTAGGTGCTGCTGTAAGGTGGTAAACAGAAACTAAAGCTGGATATACAATAGTGTCACAGACTCAAAAATCCTCAGCCCACCTAGATCCTGGGAAGGATCTGTTCACTACCACTAGCACCATTCTCAACCACCTTCTCCTCTAAATCATTACCTTCTATAATGGAAGTTCTGAACCCCCACCCCCGACATCACCGTTCTATGCCATGCCTCTTCCTTGACTTGGTCACCCTTAAATCTCTGTCAAAGCTCTACTGTTTTGGGAGGATGGAAAATACCGTCTTGGCTCCTGTGGGCACATATACAGCTGTCTTTCCTCTGATCTAATCCAAACCAGAATACCCACCCTTAGCTGCTGCCTGAGCTGGGTCCCTGTTGAGACTGGCGAGGAAGTGTGACTTATAATACAAAAATATTCTAGAAATGGAGGAACAACAATACTAGCTTCAAGCTTCCCATCTTCCCCCAACTCTGCTTCTCTTCCTGCCTTCCCCACCTCAGTCAATGGTATCGTCACCCTCTCAGTCACCCAGACTTGAAACCTCAGAATCAGCTTCAATTTCTCCCCCTCTCTCACCCAGAGAATATAACCCACTCTGCTTCTGTGGTGTTTCTCCCAACGGTTTCCTCCTTTCCATTACCACAGCCACTCTGCTAAATCAGTCTTTCATTAGCTCTAGTCATGATTCTATCTAGACTCCATCAACTGGCCTCCCTTTCTAAAGGCCCTCTGCTCTCTAATCCATTCTTCATCCTGTTGCCAGTTTTACCTTCCCCGAAAACACAGAGGTGATTGGAGAAGCCACTTACAGAAACTATTTATTCAGCAAACATTTATTACGTTTTTAATATGTGCCAGGCACTGTGCTTATGTTCTGGAAATAGACCAACAAGACATCCTCATATTTCTAGACACTCACAGAAAAGTGGGGAAGACATAAACAAGTAATACAACATAGTGTAACAAGTCCTATAGCATAAATGTAGAGATACTACAAAGTATGTGAGCACAGAAGAGGAAGTAACTAAATTTACCAAGATGGAGAGGGGGATAGTTTAGTGAAGGCTGTGCTGAAGAGGTGCTATTTCAGTGGCATCTTAAAGAATGAGTGTAATTTTACCAGACAGAAAGTGGTGTAGGATATTAAGCAAAGAAAAACAGCACTTGCCTGGGAGTCTCAGGAAAACTGGACTATATGGCCCAGCTTAGTATTTAGTATGTATCTTTAGTATGTATTAGTTTGCTAGGGCTGCCATAAGTTATCCCCAAACTGAGTGGCTTAAACCAACAGAAATTTATTCTCTCGGCTGGGTGCAGTGACTCACGCCTGCAATCCCAGCACTTTGGGAGGCCAAGGCAGGTGGATTGCTTGAGGAGTTCGAGACCAGCCTGGCCAACCTGGTGAAACCCCGTCTCTACTAAAAATACAAAAATTAGCCAGACATGGTGGCAACACCTGTAATCCCAGCTACTCGGGAGGCTGAAACATGAGAATCGCTTGAATCTAGGAGGCAGAGGTTGCAGTGAGCCAAAATTGCGCCACTGCACTCTAGCCTGTGCAACAGAGTGAGACTCCATCTCAAATAAATAAATAAATAAATAAATAAAAATTTTTTAAAAAGGAAAAAAAGGCATTTATTTTCTCACAGTTCTGGAGCCCAGAAGTCCGAAATCAGTGTGGCCAGGGTTGGTCCCTTCTGGAGGCGCTGAGGAAGAAGTTGTTCCATGCCTCTCTTCTAGCTTCTGGTGGCTGCCGTCGATCCTTGGTGCTCCTTGGCTTGTAGACACATCATTCCAATCTCTGCCTCCATCTTTGCATTACCTCTTCTTCTTCTCTGCATCTCCTTTATCCTTCTCTTCTCTTACAGGGACACCTGTCATTGGATTTATGGCCCACCCTAATCCAGGGTGTTCTCTCCTAGGAGCTTTGCCTTAATTACAGCTGCTAAAAGCCTTTTGTCAAAGAAGGTGACATCCACAGGTTCCAAGTGAACATATCTTTTTGGAGGCCACATTCAACCCACTACAGAGGGCATTCTCCAATTTAAAAGTCTTCAAAAGCTACTCATGGCCTTCAGAATAAAGCCCAAGCTCCAATGATCAATTCCAGCCACACTGGATATGTCATACGCATTTCCTTTCTCTGGAATTAGCCTCTTCCTAACTTTCTGTAGGCTAAAATCCTTCAGAAGGCAAAACCCCATCTCTACAAAAATACAAAAATTAGCCACGTTTGGTAGCACTCACCTGTAGTCCCAGCTACTCAGGTGGCTGAGGCACAAGAATCACTTGAACCCAGGAGGCAGAGGTTGCAGTGAACTGAGATCGCACACTGCACTCCAGCCAGAGTGACAGAGCAAGACTCTGCCTAAAAAATAAAATAAATAAAATAAATAAATCCTTCAGGGCTACATGCCTATTAGAATAGCCAAAATGGGCTGGGCAAGGTGGCTCACACCTTGCCTGAAATCCCAGCACTTTGGGAGGCTGAGGCGAGTGGGTTGCTTGAGCCCAGGAGTTGGAGACCAGCCTGGGCAACACAGCAAGATCCCATCTCTTGTTTAAAAAAAAAAAAAAAAAAAAAAGAGGCCGGGCATGGTGGCTCATGCCTGTAATCCCAGCACTTTGGAAGGCCAAGGTGAGTGGATCATTTGAGGTCAGGAGTTCAAGACCAGCCTGGCCTACATGGTGAAACCCCGTCTCTACTAAAAAATACAAAAATTAGCCAGGCAATAGTGGCGCATTCCTGTAATCCCAGCTACTTGAGAGGCTAAGGCAGGAGAACTGCTTGAGCCTGGGAGGCGGAGGTTGCAGTGAGCTGAGATTGCACCACTGCACTCCAGTCTGGGTGACAGAGTGAGACCCTGTCTCAAAAAAAAAAAAAAAAATTGCCCAAATCCGGAACACGGACTACACCAAATGCTGGCAAGGATGTGGAGCAACAGGAACAACTCTCACTTGTTGCTGGGGGAAATGCAAAAATGGTACGGTACAGCCACTGGGGAAGACGGTTTGGCAGTTTCCTATAAAACTAAACATACTCTTTCAGCAATCATGTTCCTTGGTATTAACAAAGGAGTGGAGGCCGGGCGCGGTGGCTCACGCCTGTAATCCCAGCACTTTGGGAGGCTGAGACGGGCGGATCACGAGGTCAGGAGATCGAGACCATCCTGGCTAACACGGTGAAACCCCGTCTCTACTAAAAATACAAAAATTAGCCGGGCATGGTGGCGCGTGCCTGTAGTCCCAGCTACACAGGAGGCTGAGGCAGGAGAATGGCGTGAACCCGGGAGGTGGAGCTTGCAGTGAGTCGAGATCGCGCCACTGCACTCCAGCCTGGGCGACAGAGCGAAACTTCGTCTCAAAAAAAAAAAAAAAAAAAAAAAAAACAAAGGAGTGGAAGACTTGTGTTCACATAAAAACCTGCAGACGGATGTTTATAGCAGTTTCATTCATAATTGCCCAAACTTGGAAGCAACGAAGGTGTCTTTCAGTAGGTTTATGGATAAACTGTGGTACATCCTGAAAGTGAAATATTATTCGGTGCAAAAAGAAATGAGCTATTAAGGCCGTGAAGAGACATGGGAGAAAACTTAAATACATATGACTAAGTGAAAGAAGCCATGCAGAAAAGGCCACCTACTATAGGATTCCAACTATATGACATTCTGGAAAGGGCGAAACTATGGAGACAGTAAAAAGATCAACGGTTGCCAGGGGTTGTCGGAGAGGGAAGGATGAATAGGTGGAGCAGAAAAAGTTTTTAGGTCAGTGAAAATATTCTGTAAGATACTACAATGGTGGACACATGTTATTCTTTGTCCAAACTCACAGACTGTATAAAATAACATCAAGAGTGAACTTTAACGTAAACCATGAACTTTGGGTAATGATGTTCAAGGTAGGTCCATCAACTCTAACGAATATACCATTCTGGTGGGTTTGTTGTTGTTGTTGTTGTTGTTGTTGTTGTTTTGTTTTGTTTTGTTTTGTTTTGAGACAGAGTTTCACTCTGTTGCCCAGGCTGAAGTGCAGTGGGGTCATCATGGCTTACTGCAGCGTCCACCTCCTGAGATCGAGTGATTCTCTCCCCTCGGCCTCCAGAGTAGCTGGGACTACAGGCGCCCGCCCCTAAACCCTGCTAATGTTTTATTTTGCTTTTGGAGAGATAGAGGTTCTACCATGTTGCCCAGGCTGGTCTAGAACTCCTGGGCTCAAGCAATCCACCCATCTCGGCCTCCCAAAGTGGTGGGATTACAGGCATGAGCCACCATGCCTGGCCCACTCTGGTGGGGGATGTCAATGGGGGAGTTTATCTATGTGTGAGGGCAGACAGTATATGGGAATTCTCCATACCTTCCTCTCAATTTTGCTGTGAATCTAAAACTGCTCTAAAAAATTCTTTTATGCTGGGTGCTGTGGCTCATGCCTGTAATCCCAGCACTTTCAGAGGCTGAGGTGGGTGGATCGCTAGAGACCAGGAGTTTAAGTCCAGCCTGGGCAACATAGCAAAACCCTGTCTCCACCAAAAAAAAAAAAAAAAAAAAAAAGCAAAAATTAACCGGGTGTGGTGGCCAGCGCCTGTGATCCTAGATACTTGGGAGGCTGAGGTGGGAGGTTTGCTTGAGCCCAGGAGGTAGAGGTTGCAGTGAAGTGAGATTGCACCACTGCAGTCTAGCCTGGGCCACTGAGTGAGACCTTGTCAAAAAAAAAAAAAAAAGAAAAAAAAAGAAAGAAAAGAAAAATTATCTTTTTAAAAATATCCTTCAGGTTGGTGGCTCACGCCTGTAATCCCAACACTTTGAGAGGTGGAGGCAGGTGGATCACCTGAGGTCGGGAGTTCGAGACCAGCCTGACCAACATAGAGAAACCCCGTCTCTACTAAAAATACAACAACAAAAAAATATTTAGCTGGGCATGGTGGTGCATGCCTGTAATCCCAGCTACTCGGGAGGCTGAGGCAGGAGAATCGCTTGAACCAGGGAGGCAGAGGTTGCAGTAAGCCGAGATTGCGCCATTGCACTCCAGCCTGGGCAACAAGAGCGAAACTCAGTCTCAAAATAAATAAATAAATAAATAAATAAATAAATAAATAAATAAAATATCGTTCAGGCTGAGCGTGGTGGCTCACGCCTGTAATCCCAGCACTTTGGGAGGCCGAGGTGGGCGGATCACTTGAGGTCACGAGTTTGACACCAGCCTGGCCAACATGGAGAAACCCCGTCTCTACTAAAAATACAGAAATTAGCTAGGCATGATGGCGCAAGCCTGTAATCCCAGCTACTGGGGAGGCTGAGGCAAGAGAATCACTTGAACCTGGGAGGCGGAGGTTGCAGTGAACCGAGATCACGCCACTGCACTCCAGCCTGGGCAACAAGAGTGAGACTCCGTCTCAAAACAATAAATAAAATAAAAAATAAAATAAAATAAAAATATCCTTCAGAGTTAGTTCAAATGTTACCTCAGCCTCCTGAGCAGCTGGCATTACAGGCGCCTGCCACCACACAAGCTAATTTTTGTATTTTTAGTAGAGATGGGATTTCACCACGTTGGCCAGGCTGGTCTTGAACTCCTGACCTCAGGTGATTCCCTGCCTTGGCCTCCCAAAGTGCTGGGATTACGGACGTGAGCCACCACTCCCCGCCTTGAATTACTTCTTCTTTCCATTGTGATTCAATAGCATTTTGTTATTTTTGTTACTGGTGTTATTTTTGTTTATTGTTATTTGTTACTTTTGTTACAGCACACTGGCTGTCTTTTCTCTAAAAGGCAATACAAGGCCGGCACAGTGGCGCACGCCTGTAGTCCAGGCTACTGGGAGGCTGAGGCGGGAGGATCGCTGGAGTCCAGAAGGTTGATGCTGCAGTGAGCCGTGATAGCGCCACTGCACTCCAGCCTAGGCGACAGAGGGAGAACCTGCCTCAAAATAAACAAATAGCAATACGACAATAGGATATTGGCTCTGGAATTCAGAATCTTAGTGCCAGCTCTGTTACTCAGTAGCTGTATAATATTGGATAAGTGAATTTTCACACTTTGAAAACCAGCTTCCTCCATCCGCAAAATCGAGCCAATAATAATCCCTAACTCATGAGGCTGTGAGCAGATTAAAGGAGATAGTGTCTGAAAAGCATCTGACACAATAGGTGCCTCTTTAGCTAGACCAAGGGTTCTTAACCTGGAGTTCATGGACCCTTAGGGGATACATGGATGAACTTCAGGGGATCTAAGAATCTAAAGCAACATTTTGCATGTCAATATATGCATATTATTATTATTATTATTATTATTTCTGGGAAGAAGGTCCATAGCTTTCATCAGCACCTTTAAGGGTTTGTGAATCAAAAACGTTAGTATGCGGTACCCTTGGGCAGAAAAACAAACAAGAAAAGGTTAGACAACTCGATGGTAGACCTTGAGGGATTAGAGCCAGCCTTTCAGGGTTTAATAGGTTCTTTCTCATGCATACATAGTTTCTAATGTTCACAATAGCCCCTTGAAGGAGGTGTTAGCGCACCTATTTTTCAGATGCCGGAACTAAGAAACGAACTGATCTGTAATAGACGGAGTTCCTAACCAATGCAAATATTATTGAAGACTTTTCTAGGCCAAAACCGAGCTAGGCTATGGGAACCGAAGTCCAGTCAGAACTCAGCACCACAGAGGCCTCCTTCTTCCCTGGTTTGCATCCCCAGCTCATTCTGCGCCTCCGGAACGTTTCATAGATTTTTGCTGAGTGAAATCGACTTGCTGCCGCCACCGCCGAAAAACTCCCGGGGCACAGAGCTCCGCCCCCACCGGGCCAGGCCCCACCTCCTCTGCAGTCGGTATTGTCCGATGGTTCCCGGCGTACCTCGGCTTCCCTCGGTAGTTTCCGGCAATGGTCGAGAGTTTCTAACGTGCCCCCTTGTTGTCTCTCGGCCGCCGTCCTCTCAACCACCGCCCCCCTTTTCGGCTCCCTCTCCCCCTTCCCGTTCCCCCAGTCAGCCTGGCCCTGCTGGTGCCTCCGGCGCTACGGGCTGGGCAAGATGGCGGCCTTCGGGATCTTGAGCTACGAACACCGGCCCCTGAAGCGGCCGCGGCTGGGGCCTCCCGATGTTTACCCTCAGGACCCCAAACAGAAGGAGGTGCGTTCGAAAATCGGGGCTCTGGAGGGGCCGGGGGCACGCGGTCAGCCTAGGAGGAGGCACTGACGGCTGGGAATGGGGGGCGGGGCGGTTCGGTGAGAGCAAAAGTCCCGAAAGGGGGAAGAGTAAAGTGGGCTGGCGTGGGAGGGCAGGACGGGGGGCGGTGGGGGGTTCCAAGGTATGAATAGGGGGTGGTGTAGGGGCCGCACCAGAGGCGCCCTCCTCCACACACACCTCAGAAAGTTGTCTGAGACAGCTTGGTGGGGTACGGCTGCTCGGCTGTTCGCAAGAGAAGAGTGATGTTTGAGGGCGCGCTGGGTGGCTGGGAATCCTAGTGACCATGGGAGTGAGGGTGGGGTCCAAGTGAACGTAAGGGCCCAGCTTTAAGTAACGATCTGTTCTACACGGAACCCTCCTCCTGCCCTTTCACCTTGTTCCTTCTTTTCTCCTGCCCTACTCTCCCACCCCTTCCCCCTTCCCCTAAGGAAAAAACAACTAAACGCCGCTTTCCTGCCTCAGGATGAACTGACGGCCTTGAATGTAAAACAAGGTTTCAATAACCAGCCTGCTGTCTCTGGGGATGAGCATGGCAGTGCCAAGAACGTCAGCTTCAATCCTGCCAAGGTGAGACAACTCTGCCAGGCTGAAGGAAAAGGCTGGAAGAATCTAAGAAGGAGCAAAGGCCCTGGGTTGGGAAGACTTATAGGGACAACCTAAGTGGCTGAGTTTGCCTTCATGACCTAATACTATCTCATTGGCATTTGCCCAGCAAAAGGCAGGACCACCTGTCTGCCCCTTCTTCCCACCCTGAGGTACACTTTTCTTCCCTCAGATCAGTTCCAACTTCAGCAGCATTATTGCAGAGAAATTACGTTGTAATACCCTTCCTGACACTGGTCGCAGGAAGCCCCAAGTGAACCAGAAGGATAACTTCTGGCTGGTGACTGCACGATCCCAGAGTGCCATTAACACTTGGTTCACTGACTTGGCTGGCACCAAGCCACTCACGCAACTAGCCAAAAAGGTAAGGTACTGTTTCCTGTCCTTCAGGCCAAGGAGGGAGCATGGGGTACCAAGTACCCTCCTATTCCCATATTAAGCTACATGGGTGTCAGCTCATGGGGATAATAGAGACCTCACTATTTGCAATGTCCATCCAGGTCCCCATTTTCAGTAAGAAGGAAGAGGTGTTTGGGTACTTAGCCAAATACACAGTGCCTGTGATGCGGGCTGCCTGGCTCATTAAGATGACCTGTGCCTACTATGCAGCAATCTCTGAGACCAAGGTTAAGAAGAGACATGTTGACCCTTTCATGGGTGAGTAACTCCTAACACCAGGTGTACTGCTGATGGCTTCAAGGAGTGATAGAGACACCCTTGGAACCATCCTCCTTCTTAATCTAGATTCCTTGTTTCTGCTTGTTTCTTGCATTTGTTTGATCAGTAAACACTGAGAAATTTGAGTGTCTACTGTGCGCATATACTGGGCTACAAAGATGTCCGGTGCATAATCTCTGCCCCTAGGATACTAGTAGTCTAACAGGGCTGCTAAGGTATATGTACAAATAACATAATTAAATATAGAAAGTGGTGAATGTCAAGCTAGGAGCAGAAGGTTCTTTGAGTGGACAAAAGATTACTTTCTTATGGGGGTACCCGGAAAGGCTTTAGGAAGGTGGGATTTGACTAGAGACTAAAAGGATGAACTGAATTTACAAATATGGTGATTAGGGGTGGGGGTAAGGTATTCTAAGTAGAAGGATTTTTTTTTTTTTGAGACAGAGCAAGACTCTGTCACCCAGGCTAGAGTGCAGTGGCAGGATCTTGGCTTACTGCAACCTCCACCTCCCGGGTTAAAGTGATTCTCCTGTCTCAGCCTCCCGAGTAGCTGGGATTACAGGCGCCCACCACTGCGCCCGGCTAATTTTTGTATTTTTCTAGAGACGGGGTTTCACCATCTTGGCCAGGCTGGTCTCGAACTCCTGACCTCGTGATCCACCTGCCTCAGCCTCCCAAAGTGCTGGGATTACAGGCATGAGCCACCGCACCCAGCCAGTAGAAGGATATTCTAAGCAGAAGGATAGTATCAAATAGCCCTTTTTCCCTCTTTCCTCCAGAATGGACTCAGATCATCACCAAGTACTTATGGGAGCAGTTACAGAAGATGGCTGAATACTACCGGCCAGGGCCTGCAGGAAGTGGGGGCTGTGGTTCCACGATAGGGCCCTTGCCCCATGATGTAGAGGTGGCAATCCGGCAGTGGGATTACACCGAGAAGCTGGCCATGTTCATGTTTCAGGTAGAGAGTAGGGCATGCTGTGTGGGGCATTGGGTTGAGCTTGAACTTGTACTCTGCCAGTAGAGAACAGAATCTGCCTGCCACCTTGCCCCAGTTGTGGTTCTCTTCATCTTTTCATTTACTTTATCTGCTTCATCTCTAATAGTCCCCTCTTCCCTCCCCTGGTACCCATAGGATGGAATGCTGGACAGACATGAGTTCCTGACCTGGGTGCTTGAGTGTTTTGAGAAGATCCGCCCTGGAGAGGATGAATTGCTTAAACTGCTGCTGCCTCTGCTTCTCCGAGTAAGGCTTGGAATTTTGGTACTGGTGGGGCAGGGGGAGTCTAAGAAGAATTTGAGGAAGAATAAAATGTTAGAGCAGGGTCCCCTGGAGAGAACTAGGGGCTCTGATGGTCGTGTCTTCACAGTACTCTGGGGAATTTGTTCAGTCTGCATACCTGTCCCGCCGGCTTGCCTACTTCTGTACACGGAGACTGGCCCTGCAGCTGGATGGTGTGAGCAGTCACTCATCTCATGTTATATCTGCTCAGTCAACAAGCACGCTACCCACCACCCCTGCTCCTCAGCCCCCAACTAGCAGCACACCCTCGACTCCCTTTAGTGACCTGCTTATGTGCCCTCAGCACCGGCCCCTGGTTTTTGGCCTCAGCTGTATCCTACAGGTAGGTACTAGGCGGGCCCAAGGAAGCATTGAGAGATAGCCTGAGAAGAATCAGGTGCCCATCCCAGAGAATAGGGGTAATTCCAAATTGGATGTGGGAGTAGGTGCTGAGTACTTGCTTGGAGGTTGTTGTTTCTTGGTAATGGGGTGTTAGTCCCCTTTGGGGGTTTTCACCAGCCTCTCTCTCCCTTCCAAGGCTAAATAGTGGGCCCAAAGCCTTTTAGGAAAGTGAGTGAAGGGAGGGGATCGGGGTGGAGTGATGCCTGTCTTGGGGACCCAGTCAGAATAACTTTGGATCTGGAATCTACGGGTTGGGTCTTAGAATGGGATTCCAGAGGGGTAACCATGGTGAATGAGTTGGACTTAGCTGTTTCTATCTGGTAGACCATCCTCCTGTGCTGTCCTAGTGCCTTGGTTTGGCACTACTCACTGACTGATAGCAGAATTAAGACCGGCTCACCACTTGACCACTTGCCTATTGCCCCGTCCAACCTGCCCATGCCAGAGGGTAACAGTGCCTTCACTCAGCAGGTATGTCTGACCACTAGCCTGGTACTCTCAGATTGGGCTATGAGGCTAAATTACTCTTTCAGAAGTAGTGATTTGGAGTCTAGTACTATTCTTCTAGCCTGGGGCTCTGGCCTTTTATATGCCTTGGTACATCCTTGTAGCCTTCCTTTTTAACATTGCAGGTCCGTGCAAAGTTGCGGGAGATCGAGCAGCAGATCAAGGAGCGGGGACAGGCAGTTGAAGTTCGCTGGTCTTTCGATAAATGCCAGGAAGCTACTGCAGGTATGTGTCAGAGAACAGATAATAGGAAATATGTTTGAGGAAAGGATGGGGATAGTAAGGACATGTAGATCTAAGAGCCAGAATGCACCGGGCCTCTGGTTCAGTCCCCTTTACCACTTTTCCTCCTTAGGCTTCACCATTGGACGGGTACTTCATACTTTGGAAGTGCTGGACAGCCATAGTTTTGAACGCTCTGACTTCAGCAACTCTCTTGACTCCCTTTGTAACCGAATCTTTGGATTGGGACCTAGCAAGGATGGGCATGAGGTAAGCGAAAAGGGGAATAGAAGGAGCAAAAAACATTGCAAGAGCAATAATATGTCTGAGAGGGAAGTCATGGTGAGGCATTGAAAGCAGAGCATATCTGCAGAAATGATCTTACTGGGCCCAGGATGTTTTATGATAGAGCCCAGTCTTTAGGAAATTGGAACTCATTTCTTTGTCCCCACCCCTACCTTACTCCTCCTTCTCTTCCTTTGTTCTCCAGATCTCCTCAGATGATGATGCTGTGGTGTCATTGCTATGTGAATGGGCTGTCAGCTGCAAGCGTTCTGGTCGGCATCGTGCTATGGTGGTAGCCAAGCTCCTGGAGAAGAGACAGGCGGAGATTGAGGCTGAGGTTAGAGGGCAGAGATAAGAGAACAAGATTGGCCAATGGGAAGGAATTTACTGCGGTTGGAGACCGAGAGATGGAGGTGGTGGAGGGACCAGAGTTGAAGGTGTGAGAACAGAGTAAAGAAGCAAAAGAGAACCTAAAGGCAAAGTTACGGACGTGAGGCGAAAGTAGAGAAGAGTGGATTGTAGTAAGAGTTAGAGATAACATCAAGGCTTCAGTTGGGAGGTGGTAAAGAACATGGAGGTCAGCAGGGGAATGAAAGTGAAAAGCATGGGGTAGAGGTCAAGCAGGTGGTAGTTTAAGGCCTACACATTGAGGAGTGAAGAAGCAGGTAAAAGTCAGTTCTACAATTTGTTCTGTCATCTTGCAGCGTTGTGGAGAATCAGAAGCCGCAGATGAGAAGGGTTCCATCGCCTCTGGCTCCCTTTCTGCTCCCAGTGCTCCCATTTTCCAGGATGTCCTCCTGCAGTTTCTGGATACACAGGCTCCCATGCTGAGTACGGACCCCTACCACTCTCTAGTTACCTCTGCCTAGACTCAGTTACCCACCACTGTCATCAGAAAGCATAATTAACAGCCCTCTGGTCTATATTTCTCTCTTGGGCTCTATGCAGAATGACTTTTAGATGTAGTTCTAGTGATCCTCTTTAACTGGTCATCTTACAGTTAAACAGAGTAGAGAAATACAGAGAAGGATAAAAACAAGAGCTTGTGATTGAAGCATTTTCACTGCATAAATCGCAACAAAGATGTTACATTCCTTTCTGAGATGATGTGTGGGACAGCATGTGGGGTAACCAACCACACTTTGTCCCTCAACAATTTCTGGGATTTCTATTTGATCACTCTTATTATTGCCTTAGGTGTGTCCCTCTCTCTTTTGGCCCACCTTTTTGTGTTCTCCTAACTTATGTTTCCTCATTCCCTTCCTCCAGCGGACCCTCGAAGTGAGAGTGAGCGGGTGGAATTCTTTAACTTAGTACTGCTGTTCTGTGAACTGATTCGACATGATGTTTTCTCCCACAACATGTATACTTGCACTCTCATCTCCCGAGGGGACCTTGCCTTTGGAGCCCCTGGTCCCCGGCCTCCCTCTCCCTTTGATGATCCTGCCGATGACCCAGAGCACAAGGAGGCTGAAGGCAGCAGCAGCAGCAAGCTGGAAGTGAGTGGGCTTTTCCTTGCACTAGATCGTTTCTTCTGACATTTCCATCTTCATGGCTCCCAGGGGCCTCTAAGAGCCTCTTTTGCCTGGGGGAGGGGGGTAGTATTTTTCTTAGCACTTGGTGATTGACCAAGCACTCTCACATCAATTGTTTCATTGGTTCCTCCCATCAGCCTTGTGAGGTACTCTTATCCCCATTTTCAAACTGAAGAAAACAGAGGCCTATACTGGTTAAGTGATTGGATGAGGCTTGACTCCAGATCCTGTGCTTTCCCCAATCTGGTCTTCTCTCTCCACTTCCCCAATGAAGTTTTACAGATGGTGGGAGCCACTCCCTAGGGCTAAAGCAACTTCGCTTATGTTCTATGCCCTCAGGATCCAGGGCTCTCAGAATCTATGGACATTGACCCTAGTTCCAGTGTTCTCTTTGAGGACATGGAGAAGCCTGATTTCTCAGTAAGTTCAATCCTGAGCGTGGCAGAATCTGGATCCTTGGATCTTCCCATTATGCCTGCTTTTGGCATGTTTTTTTGCCCCCTCATCCACTTTCCTTCTTCTCATGTTCTGCTTTCTCACCTTTCTCTCAGTTGTTCTCCCCTACTATGCCCTGTGAGGGGAAGGGCAGTCCATCCCCTGAGAAGCCAGATGTCGAGAAGGAGGTGAAGCCCCCACCCAAGGAGAAGATTGAAGGGACCCTTGGGGTTCTTTACGACCAGCCACGACACGTGCAGTACGCCACCCATTTTCCCATCCCCCAGGTACTATTCCCCAGCACCTTGTGATGATCTGTTTTGAACCCAGATTGCTGTCAAAGGAATTTGCTGAGGGGTTGGAGCTGTTCTGAGGATGTGGGTTGGGAAAGGGAAGGGCTTTAGCATGTGGATGCTGAGGGGTGTGGAGCATGCTTTCAAGAGGAGGGAAGGAGATCGGTGCTGGAGTCTGATGGTGCTGCTGGGATGCAGGAGGAGTCATGCAGCCATGAGTGCAACCAGCGGTTGGTCGTACTGTTTGGGGTGGGAAAGCAGCGAGATGATGCCCGCCATGCCATCAAGAAAATCACCAAGGATATCTTGAAGGTTCTGAACCGCAAAGGGACAGCAGAAACTGGTGGGTTTGAGGCTCCTTAAACAGATCTCCCCCAAAGAATGCCCTAGTCAGTCTTCCCTTCCCCAGTATAGGGAACTCCCCAGTCATGTCCCAATGTCCTGTCTCTTGGAGTCTCCTGAGAGCTCTAGTCCTTTTGAAACTTCCCCCCTCATTCCCCCCCTCTACAGACCAGCTTGCTCCTATTGTGCCTCTGAATCCTGGAGACCTGACATTCTTAGGTACCTCACAGTAAGCCCCATACTGCCCTCCCTCCCTCTCCCTTCCCTCCCTGAACCTAGCACCTCCCTGTACATATTCCTTTAAGGTCCACATAGTCTGTGGTCCTCTAAACCTTTGCTTCACTGTCCCCTTCCCTTCATTCCTCCCCCATCCCTTCCTTGACCCTCCCTTCCCTGTTTCCCTCTTCCTTCCTTCCCTCCCTCCCTCCTTCCATCTCTCCCTCCCTCCCTCCCATAGCCTTCTCTCCATACCCCACTCCCCACCCCTAGTCAACTAGTTATCTTCCCTGTCTTGACTGGTCCCTTTCAACTGTCCCCTCAGGTGGGGAGGATGGGCAGAAGCGGCGACGCAACCGGCCTGAAGCCTTCCCCACTGCTGAAGATATCTTTGCTAAGTTCCAGCACCTTTCACATTATGACCAACACCAGGTCACGGCTCAGGTGTGGGCCTAAGCCCAGCCCCTTTCCCACATTCTGGCCTCCTGTTCTGTTTTCCTTTTCTTCCCTATCTTCTCCCTGCTAGGCAGGCTAAGCCTCCTGGTCTCATCCCCTTCCAGTGTCATCCTTTCCTCCTTCCCTGGTTCTTTCCTCTCTCCACTCCCATCTCACTCCCACTGCCCTTATCAGGTCTCCCGGAATGTTCTGGAGCAGATCACGAGCTTTGCCCTTGGCATGTCATACCACTTGCCTCTGGTGCAGCATGTGCAGTTCATCTTCGACCTCATGGAATATTCACTCAGCATCAGTGGCCTCATCGACTTTGCCATTCAGGTGGGGAAGTTGGGGAGATGAGGGTGGAGGCAGGAGTTCATGCCATATAGCGGCTACGGAGGGTCATAAGGACAGGCGTAGAGGCTCCAGCCAGTTTCCCAAGCTATTTGAAGGGGCAGAAAGACTAGCATGGGGGGAGTGGAACATGAGCTAAGACTGCAGGAATAGAGACTTAAGTGCTCCCTGGGGAGGCCAAGAGGCAGATTAGAGCATTGGGCACAGACCATCCTCCCACTGTGGAGTTCATAGAACTGTATCCTGGACACTGGTTAGAGGTGTTGTTGATAGAATAAACTATCAACAATAAACTATCAATAGAGGTGTTGTTGATAGACTGTGGCATAGGGTAACGAGCCCTTCTATCCTGTGGTGGCTCCAGCAGGAAGGGGCTCAGGCCCAGCCTTGCCAGCGTCCCCACAGGAAGGTGGTTTCTATGTAACACAAGGGGCCTCTTTGCATTTCTCACCCCCGTTTACTCTGCTAGCTGCTGAATGAACTGAGTGTAGTTGAGGCTGAGCTGCTTCTCAAATCCTCGGATCTGGTGGGCAGCTACACTACTAGCCTGTGCCTGTGCATCGTGGCTGTCCTGCGGCACTATCATGCCTGCCTCATCCTCAACCAGGACCAGATGGCACAGGTCTTTGAGGGGTAAGCAGAGCTTCGGAATAACTGAAACAAAGCTCTGGCGAATGCCGGTGGAAGTGGCCTGGGAAGAGCATGCACTTCCTCACACTCTGGGGAAGCACCTGCTGCTCAGGTGGGAAAAGAATGGTATTTCCCAGAGGCTTGAATCTGTTTGGAGGAGCCCGCATACCATCTGCTGACCCTCCCAACCTTGCTTCTTCATGCAGGCTGTGTGGCGTCGTGAAGCATGGGATGAACCGGTCCGATGGCTCCTCTGCAGAGCGCTGTATCCTTGCTTATCTCTATGATCTGTACACCTCCTGTAGCCATTTAAAGAACAAATTTGGGGAGCTCTTCAGGTAAGAGAGGTGGAAGGTAAGGGGTAGCGAGTGGGACCTACTCCCTTCTTCCCATGACCACCCAACTCAGGAGGAGAGGATGGCCCGGGACCCTGCTGCCTGTCTAGGGTCATTTGTGGACTGTGTCCTCCACATACTGTTGTGTTACCAAGAGTGGGCCCTCTTCCTCAGCAGGCTTGCTCCCCGCCTATATCTGTGGGGCCCACCCTCTTCCCCCTTTTCCTCACTGCCTTCAGAGGCCCCAGTTCCTTATTCCCATGTGGTTCCTTTCCTGCCCAGTCTGTTTTGTCCCATCTCCCTTTTCTTGTCTCAAGATCCTTCATCCCTCACTTTCTCCTTTTTTTCTTTTCTCCCCTTTCCTGACCATCCCTCGACCTCAGCAGGCCTTCTTCAACACTACTATCTCCTTTCCTCCATCCCTGCAGCGACTTTTGCTCAAAGGTGAAGAACACCATCTACTGCAACGTGGAGCCATCGGAATCAAATATGCGCTGGGCACCTGAGTTCATGATCGACACTCTAGAGAACCCTGCAGCTCACACCTTCACCTACACGGGGCTAGGCAAGAGTCTTAGTGAGAACCCTGCTAACCGCTACAGCTTTGTCTGCAATGCCCTTATGCACGTCTGTGTGGGGCACCATGATCCCGATAGGTATGGGGTGTACTGAGTGAGGAAGGGCACCATGCCCCCATCTGAGATAGGGAGGGCTGAGGTACCCGGGAGGTACTACAACCTTGATTATTTAGTGGGGCAGAGATGAGAAGTTAATGGGTCTGAGGTTTTGTGGAGCAAGGTTTTTCCTGAGGGCATTTGTACTTTTCCCTAGGGTGAATGACATCGCAATCCTGTGTGCAGAGCTGACCGGCTATTGCAAGTCACTGAGTGCAGAATGGCTAGGAGTGCTTAAGGCCTTGTGCTGCTCCTCTAACAATGGCACTTGTGGTTTCAACGATCTCCTCTGCAATGTTGATGTGAGACTTGGGGTGGGGTTTTGCTAGTGGGGCAGTGACCAGGGCAGGGGGCTGGTTGTGATCCTCTGACCAGGGACAGAGTTCCGTAGAGTGGAGGCACACCGCTTTGAGTGGGCCTCCACACTGAGTCATGGTGTCTGTCTGTTTTTTCCTCCAGGTCAGTGACCTATCTTTTCATGACTCGCTGGCTACTTTTGTTGCCATCCTCATCGCTCGGCAGTGTTTGCTCCTGGAAGATCTGATTCGCTGTGCTGCCATCCCTTCACTCCTTAATGCTGGTGAACTACCAATCTGTAACCCCTAGCATTTCTAGACCTCAAATTTCAATACACACTGGACGGCCATCCTCTCATTGTTCACTGTGGGAGACCTTGCTGCGGCTCCCTGGCCTTCCTCAGAAGGCCAGTCCTTTGGTATGCTGAAGGCTAGAAGAAACCTGTTTTTTAGCCCTGGATTTGCAGCCCTGACCTTTCCAATTTCTGACCCTTCAACTGCGTAACAGTTCTCTGCTCTACCTCGCTTTCAATATTATCTTGCTTTTTCTCCTTTCACTTTACCTCATCTTCTCTCCCATGCCCCTGCCATACACTTGCATGCATGCAGGCACGCACACACATAAACCCACATACAGTTTAACTTCATCCCTTCCAGATCTGTTTTGTCTTCCTTTTAGCTTGTAGTGAACAGGACTCTGAGCCAGGGGCCCGGCTTACCTGCCGCATCCTCCTTCACCTTTTCAAGACACCGCAGCTCAATCCTTGCCAGTCTGATGGAAGTAAGTGACCCTGATCTGAACCAGCCAACAGTAGAAAGTGTGGTTCCCCTGCCTCCGTGGATTCTACTTTTGCTTCCCCTGACTTCATCGCCTTCCCCAGACAAGCCTACAGTAGGAATCCGCTCCTCCTGCGACCGCCACCTGCTGGCTGCCTCCCAGAACCGCATCGTGGATGGAGCCGTGTTTGCTGTTCTCAAGGCTGTGTTTGTACTTGGTACGGGGGTAGGAAGGGAGTGGTGCCAGAAGTGTGTATAGGGTGGAGTGCCAGCTAAACTACAAGGGACAGTCTTTCTCCCTTCTGAAGGTGGTCTCTCTGACCTTTGGGGAGGAGGGGAGGGAGAGAAGTATATTTCTGTCCCATAGGGCAGGATTTGGGGTGTTTCTACCTCTGTGGGCCCAGGGTGGGTCTCCACACGTGTTCCAATCTCACTCTGCCCTCCCTATCTCCCACCCGTGAACCACAGGGGATGCGGAACTGAAAGGTTCAGGCTTCACTGTGACAGGAGGAACAGAAGAACTTCCAGAGGAGGAGGGAGGAGGTGGCAGTGGTGGTCGGAGGCAGGGTGGCCGCAACATCTCTGTGGAGACAGCCAGTCTGGATGTCTATGCCAAGTACGTGCTGCGCAGCATCTGCCAACAGGTCAGTTTCACCTTCCTCCCACACCTCCTAAATGCCTCTGTGTAATATAGTTCTGTTTCCAGCCCATGATCACACCAGCTCCCTACTATACATTGTGTTCCTTAACAACTCCAGCCCATCCCCCATATTCCTAACCCCCTCACTGGTTGTTCCCAGTCCCTGATTGTCAGCTTCCTCAGGAATGGGTAGGAGAACGTTGCCTTAAGTCTCTGTGTGAGGACAGCAATGACCTGCAAGACCCAGTGTTGAGTAGTGCCCAGGCGCAGCGCCTCATGCAGCTCATTTGCTATCCACATCGACTGCTGGACAATGAGGATGGGGAAAACCCCCAGCGGCAGCGCATAAAGCGCATTCTCCAGGTAGGCCAAGGCCGTGGGGGCTGTGGAGGAAGCAGTGGGCCCAATCTGGGGAGAAACAATAGGAACCTTGAGAAAAGGAGAGGGGCAGTTAAGTAGAGAGGAAGACAAACAAGGATATAGGGGAGGGGAGAGGTAGCGAGAGAAACAGCTCCAGCATGGGCTGAGGAGTAAGTCCAGTAGGGTCTAGACTCCAGTGTAAGAGTATTAGGTGAGGGCATAGCTATCTGGAGTGAATCTAGCTTATCAATGGGAAGCATAGCATCTGGGAGGCCTAGGTGTGGGCCGTGTATATTTGGCATTTTGGCCATGGCTCAGGAACTGAATAGTAATAGCTACTACTTGCTGAGCATGTGCTTTGTGCCAGGTACTGTGCTAGGCACTCTGCACACATTTCCTCATTTAATCTTTATGACCCTATGAAGTAGGTGAGCCTCCCTGTTTGACCGATGAGGAAACTGAGGCTTGAAGAGGTTAAGTAACTTGTCTAACGTCACATAGCCCATAAGTTTAGAGTCAATATGTGAACCCAGACATGTCTGTGCACTTTCCTCTTCACATTGCTTCACACCTTCAGATGACCAGAGAGTGGAAAAATAAAGCCGTTGAGGAAAAGCTAAAGGAATAAGGTCTCTTCAGCCCAGAAGAGATAGTGTTGAAGAGAGATTAGCTAACAGTAGCCTTCTGGTCTCTACAGGACTTTGAGAGATTGTCTTATAAAGGTTCTGTCAGGGACTTTGAGCAGCTGGTCTAAAACAAGAGAAGCAGGCTTCAACTTTAACATCAAGGGTTTCAAGGTTAAGCATTAAGCAGAACTTCCTGATACGAAGGGATGGGAAAGATGTGAAATCTTTCCTGAACTATTTTAAAAATTGGAAAGATTTTCAACTAGTTTGGACTATTTAAATGTAGTCTTTTTTTTTTTTTTTTTTTTGAGACGGAGTCTCGCTCTTGTCGCTCAGGCTGGAGTACAGTGGTGCGATCTCGGCTCACTGCAACCTCTGCCTCCCAAGTTCAAACAATTCTCCTGCCTCAGCCTCCTGAGTAACTGGGATTACAGGTCGCCCATCACCACGCCCAGCTAATTTTTGTATTTTTAGTAGAGATGGGGTTTTGCCATGTTGGCCAGGCTGGTCTTGAACTCCTGACCTCAGGTGATCCGCCTGTCTCAGCCTCCCTAAATGTAGTCTTTCTTAAAGATGGGGACATAGAGGTCCCTTTCAGACCTCCAGGAGTCTGTGATTCAATGTTGCAGGAGATCAGGAATTGGCCTCAGATTGTTGGGTAGCTGGGGGTAACACGATGATGACTAGCCTGGGTGTGGGGCCTCTATCACAGAACTTGGACCAGTGGACCATGCGCCAGTCTTCCTTGGAGCTGCAGCTCATGATCAAGCAGACCCCTAACAATGTGAGTAGTGCCTGGACCCTCCCTTTCCTGTGCTCACGTTCAGCTCCATGTGTCAGGGAGGCGGTCCACCACAGAAGAACC
Organism: Homo sapiens; assembly: GCF_000001405.40. Taxonomy (NCBI): domain Eukaryota; kingdom Metazoa; phylum Chordata; class Mammalia; order Primates; family Hominidae; genus Homo; species Homo sapiens. Next base: position 71,131,703 of record NC_000023.11, read on the forward strand.
TAGATCCTACCCTTGGGCTCTTGAGCTGAGAGATAAGAGGGGATGGGAAAATGGTGAACAAGTGGAGCTGATGATAAGGGAAATGGGTTGAGAGTGTTGGAGCTCTGAGCTGTGGGGAAGCTTGGTGGTGGTGGTGGAGCCTGTTTCTCTGGCCATAGATGTAAGGAGGTATGTAAAGGAGAAGACAGTGAGGAATTGGAGAAATATGGAGGTACTAGAGGGCATGATTCCCAACAGAGTTGCGTTCCTATCTCCCCATCAATCTCCGCCAGTGTTGTCCTTCTCCGTCATCTCCGATCTCTCCTACCATCTGCTTTCCTTCACCCTTAGCTACCTATTTTAGCACTTCTGTGCCTTTCATCCTCCCCAGGAGATGAACTCCCTCTTGGAGAACATCGCCAAGGCCACAATCGAGGTTTTCCAACAGTCAGCAGAGACAGGGTCATCTTCTGGAAGTACTGCAAGCAACATGCCCAGCAGCAGCAAGACCAAGCCTGTGCTCAGGTCGGATAGAAACATGTTAGGACCCATCCCCTTAGGAGTTTATCTGCTGGTAGCGTGAGTGATATCAGATGCGTGGAGATGCCAGCATGTCCATCAGGGAAAGGAGAGGATAGATTGTTCCAGCCTTGCCTGGCTCCCCTGTGACCCTGTGTCCTCTGTCTGTTCTCCAGCTCTCTAGAGCGCTCTGGTGTATGGCTGGTGGCCCCCCTCATTGCTAAACTGCCCACCTCAGTCCAGGGACATGTGTTAAAGGCTGCTGGGGAAGAATTGGAGAAGGGTCAGCACCTGGGTTCCTCTTCACGCAAAGAACGTGATCGACAAAAGCAGAAGAGGTAAAGGGGCTTAGGGAGTGGACCAAGATTGAGGGGTAGAAAGGAGAAGAGGCAGGCCCGGGGAAGAATAAAATGGGCCAAGGAGAAGCATCATAGGAAAGTGGAAAATCAGAGGATAAGAGTGGGCATGGCTGAGCAAGAGGCTAGATCTTAAGAGAGTAGTCTGGAGAATGAGGTTGGAAGTTGACTCCCAACCCACAGTCTCCCTTTTCTCCTCTCCTCTTCTCTCCTCTTCTCTTCTCTTCTCTTCTCTTCTCTTCTCTTCTCTTCTCTTCTCTTCTCTTCTCTTCTTTCTCTTGTCTCTAGCATGTCCCTATTGAGCCAGCAGCCCTTCTTATCGCTGGTGCTAACATGTCTGAAAGGGCAGGATGAACAACGCGAGGGACTCCTTACCTCCCTCTACAGCCAGGTGCACCAGGTACAGATCTCTGGGCCATGGAGGTGGGCAGGAGGTCAGGGAAGGATGCACCTAAGGGGTTACTCTGTACTTGGAAACTTCAGTACTTTCTGATAAACATATTGGCTGCTGTGGGATGGAAACACGAAGATCCCTGAGCTGCATATTTTATTTGTTTCTATTCTAGATTGTGAATAATTGGCGAGATGACCAGTACTTAGATGATTGCAAACCAAAGCAGCTTATGCATGAGGCACTCAAACTGCGGCTCAACCTGGTGAGAAGGCCAGCTGGGGAGAAGAAGGAAGAGGGTAGGGCTGGAAATGCGGAGTGCAAAAGCCTCAGGTTGGGGAGAATGGGGGTAAGGATAGAGGCCCCAGGTTATTCTGAGTCTTGAAGGGTTTTTTTTTTTTTTGGAGTCAGAGTCTCACTCTGTCACCCAAGCTGGAGTGCAGTGGCGCCATCTCAGCTCACTGCAACCTCCACCTCCTGGGTTCAAGTGATTCTCGTGCCTCAACCTCCTGAGTAGCTGGGATTACAGGTGTGTACCACCACACCTGGCTAATTTTTGTATTTTTCATAGAGATGGGGTTTGACCATGCTGGTCAGGCTGGTCTTGAACTCCTTACCTCAAATGATCCGTCTGTCTCGGCCTCCCAAAGTGCTGGGATTACAGGCATGAGCCACCGTGCCCAGCCTGAGTCTTGAAGTATTAACCTTGTTCTCTGAAAGTATGCAGGGACTGAAAGTGGTTAAGGGGGCTGGATCACTGTGGTCATGGTCCAATAGGTTATGTACCCTGGATCCTTGCAGGGCCTCTGCCTCAGTATCCTAGATTCTGACTGGGCCCTAGAAGCACTGGAAACCCACTGTGGAATGTTGAATGGAATCCTGGAAATCATTCTGTCCAATTCCCATCACTTTCTAAGTATGGAAACAGAGGCCTAGAGACGTCAAGAATTCCGTCATTGTCTTGAGATCATGTAGCAAATCATAGGCTCAACTCAAGCATGGCCGGGCGCGGTGGCTCACGCCTGTAATCCCAGCACTTTGGGAGGCCGAGGTGGGCGGATCACGAGGTCAGGAGATCGAGACCATCCTGGTTAACACGATGAAACCCCGTCTCTACTAAAAATACAAAAAAAATTAGCTGGGCGTGGTGGCAGGCGCCTGTAGTCCCAGCTACTCGGGAGGCTGAGGCAGGAGAATGGCGTGAACCCGGGAGGCGGAGTTTGCAGTAAGCCGAGGTCGCGCCACTGCACTCTAGCCTGGGTGACAGAGCGAGACTCCGTCTCAAAAAAAAAAAAAAAAAAAAACTCAAGCATGAACTCAGGCGTCCCAACTCAGATTGGAACTAAGCTTTCCTGAAACTCTGGCCTTTGTCCCTGAGCCATCTGACTGACTTGTTGTGGCCCTGGCAGGTGGGGGGCATGTTTGACACGGTGCAGCGCAGCACCCAGCAGACCACGGAGTGGGCCATGCTCCTCCTGGAGATCATCATCAGCGGCACTGTCGACATGCAGTCCAACAAGTAAAGCATCCCCACCCGCTCCCTGCAGTTTCATACCCAAGAAGCTCCCCCTACTCCCATGCCAGGTGCACCCACTGAGATTGGTGTGGCTGTTACTGTGGACTCCGTGGCCCTGGGCTCCCCATACAGTTTTGGTGCCCTTGGGATGACATATTAAGCACCTCTCCCTGCTTGTGTCCTCTGCTGAGGCCTTTTTCTATCTTCACCTCTTTCTTCTTTGGTTTTCTCTCTGGCTTCCTGTCTCAGTGAGCTCTTCACTACTGTGTTGGACATGCTGAGCGTGCTCATCAATGGGACATTGGCTGCAGACATGTCTAGCATCTCGCAAGGTAGCATGGAGGAAAACAAGCGTGCATACATGAACCTGGCGAAGAAGTTGCAGGTAAGCAGAGGAAGCGGGGGCAAGGTTTGCGGTTACTGGAATCTGCTGTCCAGCCTCAGGAACTTGCTTCTGGCTGGAGCCCTCTACCTTTCCTTCTCACGTCTGCCTTTTCTTTGTTACTCATGCCGTGAGCATTTACTGAGTGGGGGTCTTCTCTGTGCCAGGTTCTGTGCTGTCCCCTGAGACTTCCCATCCCTGTTTTCTGTATCTCTGAACTCTTGTCCCATCTTCCTGTGCCTGCAGAAGGAGTTGGGGGAGCGCCAGTCAGACAGTCTGGAAAAGGTTCGCCAGCTGCTGCCACTGCCCAAGCAGACCCGAGATGTCATCACGTGTGAGCCACAGGGCTCCCTTATCGATACCAAGGGCAACAAGATTGCTGGCTTCGATTCCATCTTCAAGAAGGAGGCATGTTCCATTGTCTGCCCGTGTCCCTTGCCTTTTTTCCCCTTTGGGCAAGAACTTTGCCTGCATCAGCTTTGTAGCTCCAACAGACTCATCAGATTCAGGAGCCCATCAGTCTCTGCCGGTGAACACCATCTCTGGGGTTTTGAGCAAATCACTTAACTTTCCTTACATTTCATCTCCATCTTTGAAGTCCCACCCTCTTTCCTTCACCCTGCCCTCACCTTTTAACATACCACCCATTTTTCAATACCCTACCCTCCTCTTTCCTCTGCTCCACCTGCCCCATGTCCTACCCCACCCATCTATCTGGCCGACAGCCTGTATCTCTTTTATTTCTGTGTTTCCCTACACCCACCCATCTCTGCACACTTTTATCTTTTCCCTCTCTGTCAGTTGCGGTATTTGTTGAGTAACCATAATTATTGTGTATAGTTTAAAACCCAAAGTCTAACTCCTTCATATATACATTCTCTTCATCTGTCTTCCTAGTCCATCTGTCTCTTTTCCTCCGTCTCTGTCTCTCTCCCTGTCTGACTCGTTTGCCTTTCTTTGTCTCTCCACCTTTTTGTCTCTCTCTTCCTGTTTCTTTCTCTCTCTGACTCTTTCTCGGCCTGCCTAAAGGCAGAGTCTCTCCCTGCCTTCCTCTCTCTCTTTCTCTGCCTTCCTTTTTCTGTCTTCCTCTGAATGTCAATCCCTCTCCCTCCCCGCTCCCTCTCTGGCTTTCTCCCCAACCCCTTTCTCTCCCGATCTTCTCTCCCCACACGCCCCCCGCCCCGTTAGTTCATCTCCTCTCCTGGTCTGGGCTGGCTTCATCTTGTGCCTCCACACCTCTCCCTGTGCCCCACCCTTCACTCTCTCCCCGCATAACTCTCTTCCGCATGTATATGTGTATCCATGTCTGTCTGTCTGCTTCTTACCATCTCTCCTGAATCTGCCTATGACTTTCTTTCTACCCATTCCTACAAATGCTTGCAGTCTTCTGTTTTCTAAGTCCCAACAGCTTATTGTTTTTCATTTTCTGGAGCAGGGTCTACAGGTTTCCACCAAACAGAAGATCTCGCCCTGGGATCTTTTTGAGGGGTTGAAGCCGTCAGCACCACTCTCTTGGGGCTGGTTTGGAACAGTCCGAGTGGACCGGCGAGTGGCTCGAGGAGAGGAGCAGCAGCGGTTGCTGCTCTACCACACACACCTGAGGCCCCGGCCCCGCGCCTATTACCTGGAGCCACTGCCACTGCCCCCAGAAGATGAGGAGCCGCCTGCTCCTACCCTGCTAGAGCCTGAGAAAAAGGCTCCAGAGCCCCCCAAAACTGACAAACCGGGGGCTGCTCCACCCAGTACTGAGGAACGCAAGAAGAAGTCCACCAAGGGCAAGAAACGCAGCCAGCCAGCTACCAAGACAGAGGTGAGCGCCTCCCCCGTGACAGTTCTCCCACAGCCTCTCACTTCATGACGCTCCGGTTTCTGGTTTGTGGGAGGGGTGGGGGCGCATAAGGAAGGGGTGCCATTAGAATCATAATAAAAATTAACCATATACGAATTCAGCTCCTCTTTACCTCATTCTCCCCCAGCTCCCCGACCCCATTCAGCTACAACCCACTCACCCTCTTCCTCTGCCACTCACACAGGACTATGGAATGGGCCCGGGTCGGAGCGGCCCTTATGGTGTGACAGTGCCTCCGGACCTCCTGCACCACCCAAACCCTGGTTCTATAACACACCTTAACTACAGGCAAGGCTCCATAGGCCTGTACACCCAGAACCAGCCACTACCTGCAGGTGAGTGCCAGCCACTAGGAATGCTGGAGGGACCTACCTGTACACTCCCCCTGCCCAAAGGATGATGCCATTCCCCTGAGGAGCTATGGATGTCAAGGACACTGAGCAAGAGACAGAGGGATGAGGAGCCTAGAGGTCAGCCCACTCTCCTTTTCAGGTGGCCCTCGTGTGGACCCATACCGTCCTGTGCGCTTACCAATGCAGAAGCTGCCCACCCGACCAACTTACCCTGGAGTGCTGCCCACAACCATGACTGGCGTCATGGGTTTAGAACCCTCCTCTTATAAGACCTCTGTGTACCGGCAGCAGCAACCTGCGGTGCCCCAAGGACAGCGCCTTCGCCAACAGCTCCAGGCAAAGATAGTGAGAGGGGCAGTAGGGAGGGCTGTCAGGGAGAGGGGCTTTTGAGGGTCACAGGACGGAGGAGACACTTGGGATCTTCACAAGGACACTCAGGGTGGGAGACACAAGAGATGAGATGGCAGCAAGCATTTCCTGAGTTTGAGTTGTTCTCTTTTCTCCCTTTAGCAGAGTCAGGGCATGTTGGGACAGTCATCTGTCCATCAGATGACTCCCAGCTCTTCCTACGGTTTGCAGACTTCCCAGGTAAGAGCCTGGGATTGTGAGACTAGGGGGATGAGGCAAGCTGCTCTGCATACTCTCGGCCCTGATTCCCTCTCTCCTTCTTCCCTCCAGGGCTATACTCCTTATGTTTCTCATGTGGGATTGCAGCAACACACAGGCCCTGCAGGTACCATGGTGCCCCCCAGCTACTCCAGCCAGCCTTACCAGAGCACCCACCCTTCTACCAATCCTACTCTTGTAGATCCTACCCGCCACCTGCAACAGCGGCCCAGTGGCTATGTGCACCAGCAGGCCCCCACCTATGGACATGGACTGACCTCCACTCAAAGGTACCCAAAGTAGTGGTGAGCTAGGAAGAGATGCAGAGGTATAAGGGAGCATTTGACTTGGGAAAGCCTGTGCCTGAAAGTGGTGGGACTGGTCAGAACTTTCGGAGACATCAAGAATACTTATCTGGCCACATAGCCCATAACCACAGAAGTCTCGAGCTGGAAGGGACCCTGGAGACCAATAGTTTCATGACTACTTCCTTAACAGTTCTTTGAGGCCCAGAGAGGGGAAATTGTTTATCTGACTCAAGGAAAAATCTGGGCTGGGTGTGGTAGCTCACACTGGTAGTCCCAGCACTTGGGGGCCCAAGGTGGGAGAATCAGTTGATTCCAGGAATTCGAGGCCAGCCTGGGCAACATAGGGAGATCCCATCTCTACAAAAAAAATACATATTTTTTTGAAACAGAGTCGCACTCCATTTGCCCAGGCTGGAGTGTCGTGGCATGATCATGGCTCACTGCAGCCTCGACCTCTGAGGCTCAGGTGATCCTCCTACCTCAGCCTCCCAAGTAGCTAGAACTACAGGCACACACCACCACGCCCAGCTAATTTTTTGGATTTTTAGTTGAGATGGGGTTTCGCCATGTTGCCCAGGCTGGTCTTGAACTGAGCCACCACACCTGGCCAAAAAAAAATTTTTTTTTAATTAGACAGGCGTGTTGGTGCATGCCTGTAGTCCCAGCTACTCAGGAGGCTGAGGTGGGAAGATTGCTTGAGCTTGGGAGTTTGAGGCTGCAGTGAGCTGTAATCGCACAATGAGCCGAGATTGTGCCACAGCACTCCAGTGGTGACAGAGTGAGACCCTGTCTCAAAAAAAAAAGAAGAAAGAAAAGAAAAAGAAAAAAATATCTGGAGTTCATAGATGAACTACATGATAAGGAGTCGTAAAGCCAGTACCGGCTTTGAATACCAGGTTAAATACCAGGATGGACAAATGAATGAATCCTCCCACCATGGTTAACGTTAGTCAAGCCTTAGTTGAGGCCTTGTAACCATGTATAGAGACTCTGAAGCTTAGGATTAAGAACACTGGGGAGTGGGCTAACTGCCCATTGTGTGGCCAGCACTATACCAGGACTGGGTGAGGTGAAGAAAGATAGCAAAAAAAACCCCCACGATACATAGTTCCTCACTACAAAGAATCTTTACTATAGCTGGGGAGATGAGACTTATAGAAGAATATTGAGAGAACACTCTGAGCAAAGATATAATCAGGTATGCAGTTGTATGCTATGAGGTAAAATGTGGATTGAGAAAAAGTACGTGGTAATATCTGTGGGCCTGACTCATCAGAGAATGTTTCATGAAGGAGGTCAGACTTGAGTTGGCCTCTGAAGAATAGCTGTGATTGGGATTTGTGGAGAAGAGGAAAAGAAAGGGCATTCCAGGTAGAGGATGTAACGTGAACAAAGACATGGGGACCAGAATGAGGATGGTGCCTGGGGAGAAGGGCCTGGATGGAGTGTAAAATCTGTGCTGGGGAAGTCACTGGGGCTAGGCTAGGAGGGGGCAGGCTGAGAGATGGCCTTGAATGCTCAGCCGAAGAATTGAGACGCAGTCCCAGAAAGGGCTCTTTTGATCAGAAGAGTGATAGGAGGAGTTGGGTATGTTGCAAGGTTCCTTGGAATGAATGGATAGGATGTGTACTGGAAGGTGCAAGAAGAAGACTTCAGGCCAGGCACGGTGGCTCATGCCTGTAATCCCAGTACTTTGGGAGGCCCAGGCAGGCAGATCACCTAAGATCAGGAGTTCGAGACCAGCCTGGTCAACATGGTGAAATCCCGTCTCTACTAAAAATACAAAAATTATCTGGGTGTGGTGGCATGTGCCTGTAATCCCAGCTACTTGGGGGGCTGAGGCAAGAGAATCACTTGAACCTGAGAGGTGGAGGTTGCAGTGAGCCGAGATCGCATCATTGCACTCCAGCCTGGGCAACAGAGTGAGACTCTGTCTCAAAAAAAAAAGAAGACTTGAGACGGGGAGCCTGGCCAGTAGACTCTTGAAGTGATATACACATGTGGTAGAACAACTTGAAATGTTATTTGGGAACAACAACAGCAACAGCAAAAAACCTCAATGAGTGTTTATAGAATGCCTATCTTGTGCTAAGACTATTTTTTTCTTTTCTTTTCTTTCTTTTTTTTTTTTTTTTTGAGATGGAGTCTCGCTCTGTCATCCAGGCTGGAGTGCAGTGGTGCAATCTTGGCTCACTGCAACTTCCACCTCCCAGGTTCAAGCAATTCTCCTGCCTCAGCCTCCTGAGTAGCTGGGATTACAGGCATCCACTACCACGCTCAGCTATTTTTTTTTGTATTTTTGCTAGAGATGGGGTTTCACCATGTTGCCAGGCTGGTCTAGAACTCCTGACCTCAAGTGATCCACCCACCTTAGCCTCCCAAAGTGCTGGGATTACAGGTGTGAGCCACCGCACCCAGCCCTATTTTTCATTTTTGTAACAGAAAAATAGCTAATGCAGAATTGAAAAATTCCTAACCATTAAGGTTATGAGACACTAAAATAGAGTATCATCTTATGCAACTTATTCCCCAGACTGGAAGTCTGGTTAGTGACACGAGGAATGAATGAAATAACCTGCTAACGTTTCTTTCAGGTCAGGGACCCAAGGTTTATACTGACCCCCTCTCCTCACCTCCCTCATGCCTTGACCTCTGACCCTCTTATCTTTGGAGGTTTTCACACCAGACACTGCAGCAGACACCCATGATAAGTACCATGACTCCAATGAGTGCCCAGGGCGTCCAGGCAGGCGTCCGTTCAACAGCCATCCTACCTGAGCAGCAGCAGCAGCAGCAACAGCAGCAACAGCAACAGCAGCAGCAGCAGCAACAGCAACAGCAGCAGCAGCAGCAGCAGTACCACATCCGGCAGCAGCAGCAGCAGCAGATCCTGCGGGTAAGGCACTGGGATTTCATCTGGGACCTGGGAGCCCAGGGAGGAAGAGAGGCACAAGTTCTTCCCACACAGTTACCGAGACTAAACAAGGCAGTGTACCAAAACACCTAGCAGAGCGGCTGGCCTCTAGTGGTGCTGGAGAAGTTTTCTACCCTCCCCCTTTTTGTTTTCTGGGGATCATAGTGGGAGAGAGTTGGACATTGTCTGCTGGGTACCCTAGATTTGGTTTCTTTCTGTGCAGCTGTCTAAAAAGGGAAGGCAGTAGACCCCGAGCTCCCACCCTGCTTCCTCATCCCCTGCCCTCAGCCCTTTAGTTCTGAGGCTTAGCTTCCTCCCTCTGCTCCTTCTGAAGTATCTTTTGTGTTCTTATAGCAGCAGCAGCAACAGCAACAGCAGCAGCAGCAGCAGCAGCAACAGCAACAGCAGCAGCAGCAACAGCAACAACAGCAACACCAGCAGCAACAGCAGCAACAGGCGGCTCCTCCCCAACCCCAGCCCCAGTCCCAGCCCCAGGTAGCTGCTGGACTACAGCCCCAGGCTCAGGGACAGCTGCCCAGGTTGGGCACGCAGCCAGTGAACTGGGTTGGGGACAGTATGGAATAGGGTAGAGGTGGGAGGCAGGGCATGGCACCCTAAAAATGGATTGGGAGGCCAGGCGCAGTGGCTCACGCCTGTAATCCCAGCACTTTGGGAGGCCAAGGCAGGTGGATCACTTGAGGTCAGGAGTTCAAGACCAGCCTGGCCAAGATGGTGAAACCCCGTCTCTACTAAAAATACAAAAAATAATAATAATAAATAAGCCGGGCATGGTGGCAGGTGCCTGTTATCTCAGCTACTCAAGAGGCTGAGGCAGAGAATTGCTTGAACTTGGGAGGCAGAGGTTGCAGTGAGCCAAGATCATGCCACTGCACTCCAGCCTGGGGGACAGAGCGAGACTCCATCTCAAAAAAAAAAACGGATTGGGAAAGGAGGTTGAAGAAGGAGAAAAGTTCGACTTCAGTCTTCCACTTCCTATTTCCACCCAGTTCCAGCGCCAGGGGCTTCAGCAGACCCAGCAGCAGCAACAGACAGCAGCTTTGGTCCGGCAACTTCAACAACAGCTCTCTAGTAAGCCTGCCTGCCTTCCCAAGGAGAACCCCATGGAATAAATTTAGGGGGCGGGGTGGGCCAAAGTAGCTGAAACGATAGCTTCAGGCCCAGGTTATGAGAGGAGGCATTCCATTCCATCCCCTTCCCTCGATACCTGAACAGCTTTCCTCGTGCATACCCACACCCCTGCCTGGTCTTCCATCCCTGATAATCTCTGGTTTTTCACAGATACCCAGCCACAGCCCAGTACCAACATATTTGGACGCTACTGAGCCACCTGGAGGAACTGCTTGTGCACTGGATGTGGCCCCACCCTTTCCTCTTAATTCCCAATCCCATTCCTGGGCTAGCACCAGTAGTGGTTGGGGCCCTCCCCTCAGGCTCCATTTTTAATAAGTTTTTAGTATTTTTGTTAATGTGAGGCATTGAGCTGTTGGGTTTTGTATATTATTTATATAGAGACCCCAGAGCTGTTGCACCCAATACACAGAGCTTCTTTGCAAAGGGAGTGTGCGAGTTCTGCATGTCTGGGAAGGGTGGTCTCTTGGGAGAATGCAGGGGGTTGGACCAACAAGTCAGAGTCTTCATTCTATTCTGATCATCTCCCCTGTTTACCTTACACTCTAAAATTTCTTTTTTTCTTTTTTTTTGAGACGGAGTCTTGCTCTGTCGCCCAGGCTGGAGTGCAGTGGCGCGATCTCGGCTCACTGCAACCTCTGCCTCCCGGGTTCCAGCGATTCTCCTCCCTCAGCCTCCCGAGCAGCTGGGATTACAGTTATGTGCCATCACGCCCGGCTAATTTTTGTGTTTTTTTTGGTAGAGACAGGGTTCCACCATGTTGGCCAGGCTTGTCTCGAACTCCTGACCTCATGATCTACCTGCCTCAGCCTCCCAAAGTGCTGGGACTACAAGCGTGAGCCACCGCGCCCGGCCTAAATTTCTTAATTCTAATTGGATTGCTACCCTCTCTTCCTCTTCTTCAACATGGCAACACATTAAGGTATAGGCCCTTAGTCTCTTTTTATTTATTTTTGAGATGGAGTTTTGCTCTTGTCGCCCAGGCTAGAGTTCAGTGGCACAGTCTCAGCTCACTGCAACCTCCACCTCCTGGGTTCAAGTGATTATCCTGCCTCAGAGCCTCTCGAGTAGCTGGGATTACAGGCATATGCCACCAGGCCTGGCTAATTTTTGTATTTTTAGTAGAGACGGGGTTTCACCATGTTGGCCAGGCTGGTCTCGAACTCCTGACCGCAGGTGATCTGCCCGCCTTGGCCTCCCAAAGTGCTGGGATTACAGGCATGAGCCACCACACCCGTCCCCTTAGTCTTTTAAGAAGGGGCAATGAACATTCTCAACTAAATGTTGGAGCTTCTTTACAGCTTTCCTCCATGGGGGATATACCGCTGGGATTGAGGAGGGGCCATTAGGCCAGGGGAAACATCAATAGAACCTGATTCTTCTTCCACAACACCCCAGATGTTGGGCCTCAAACAAGCTGGGGAGGGTGGAGATGACAGACACTGCCTACCCTTCTTGTCATCTTGTGTGGTCCCCATCATGCACCAAGTGGCATACCTTTCATAGGACAGAGAACTTCCCTGAGAGTCACATTCCTGGATGAAAAATTGCCCTCCATTGGCATGTGCCATCATAGAATAGGTCGTGGAAGGACCGTTTGGTTCTAGGAGGAAGAGAGACCAGTAAAAATAAGCACCCTTTCTCTCTCTGCCCTACTGCCAGAACTGCCTGTTCTCACGTGACCCACCTTGGCAGTTACCCAGGATGACTTGCTCGCTCCCATTTTACAGTAGAGAAAACTCAAAACTGTTGCCCCAGAGTCACATTTGGAGCTGCGGCAGGGCCATTCTCGCCCTCTTGCTTTCCAGTTTGAGTTCTAGATCCAAGGCTGTCCAGGAGAGCCAACTGGTTTACTACAATGGAGTCTTGGAGTCTTCTGCCCTGCCTAGCTAGGGCTGGAAGAGGATCAGCCTCAGCCTTGTGAGTGGGTGGTACAGGATGATTTGACAACTTAAGGATAACATGCAAGCCATAGTTGCACCCTATTACTGGGAAGTGTCTAGTGTGCTGGCAAAACCAGGAGCACCAATCAGTACCCAAGTTATAAAAAATAAAATAGCCCTCTTTGAGGCCCACGAAGCCCTTGCTTATATGGGACTTACCAAGTTTAAGAGTTGCGTGCACAAGGAATGGAACTCCCCAACAGTGTAAAGGCAAACATGACTGAAGCTTTCTTCTCACTTATTCTATCCTGACATAAACATTCTGAGGAGCCACAGGAGTACAGGCTTGGCTGGGATGAGGGACATTCAGAGGGGCTTGGGGGTTGCTAAACAAATGGCAGGTGCGCCACATACAAAAACACAAGACACAAAGACACTGAACCTGGAGGGGAGAGACTGAAATGGTCAGACAACTGGCATGCTGACAGTCTGACATGCCCCAGCAGAAGCAGCAGAAGGGAACAGCATTGACCTTTGGGAGAGTGACAGGATGAGAGCAGAGTGGCCCCACTGGTTGCTGCTTGGGTAGTGCTGGCGCTGAGAAATAAGGGATGCTGATTGAGGTGGAGGTGTGTTTTTGTGTAGTATGACTGAGGGTTCCTGCAGGCAGTGCCTCAGTTTCTCCCTTTGGGACAAAGTCTCAAGCTTTGCGGGTAAAGTTTGGGCTAGCTGCCCTGGAAGATCACCTGTCTGATAGCTTGCAATCTGAGGTGTGTGTGCGCGCCCGCGTGAGAGAGAGGGAGCGGAACGTGCCTGAGCATGGGGGGAATTGGGCCATGCCCCAGGACTTGAGCCATCTCTGGCACAAAAGGAGTTAATGGCAGGGACCGCGCCCCCCCGTGTCCGGGAACGCGCAGCGCGCCCCCTCGGTGCGCGGGCACAGCAGCCAGGCTGCCGGAGAGCTGATCTCGGGGATTCGGGTGCGGAGCCCTTGGCCTGGAGGCGATATGGGTGGTCCGTGGCCCGGTTCAGTCGCTTGCAGCAGCCCGGGGAACAGGTGAGGCCGCCTGCCCCGGTCTCTCATCCTCTAGCTGCCCATACCTTGCCCCCATCCTAACCCCTCCCAATCCCAGGCTCCTCCACTCCCCAGCCAGTGGCCCCCATCCCTCTCAACCCCATGTTCTCCATCGGTACCCCTGACCCCCGATCCTCCCCCGCTTCTGTTCTCCCTTCTACCTCCTCCCTAAATCCCGCATCCCTAACATCCTCCCGCCCATGGTCCCTCTATTTCCACAGCCCATCCCGCATGCTCATCAAAATACCCCTATTGAGGGCCCCCAGCCCCATCCCGGGATTGCACATTGCCAGTCCCCCCTCCCCTGCAGTGCAGCCCCATCCCCCTTCCATCATAGCATCTCATAGCCAGGCTCCCTCCCCCACTATCTGCAGCCCCCCCACCCAATGGAGGCCTTTATCCTATCCTCCCCCATTCCAGTGCAACTCCATCCCCCAATCCATTCCAAGCCCTCGTAGCCCCCAATACTGCAGTTCTCAATATTGGTCCATTCCTGCACAATGCCCCGCGCCCAGCACCGCTGCAGCCCCAAAAGTACCCCGAGATGCCATTCTCATCCCCGGCATTGCTGCCTCCCCTTGTCTTCTCCCAAATTGCAAGTTGGACCAGGATGGAGATCTTGGCCTTGGGGATTCACAGTGGGTCCTAGGGTACAGAGGGCGTTTGGGGGTCGGTCCGATTGTCTAGGTGTTCACGGGGGAGGGGCTGCAGGGAATTGACTCAAAGGAGAATTTGGCATTTGGCGCCGAAGGGTTACTGGAGAGGAGGGCATCCCGAAAGGGTTAATGGAATTTGTGGGTTGGGGGCAGCACCGAGGGGGTTAATGTGGGGGGGTTGCTGGTGGGGAAGCTGTGTGAATGAGCGGTCTGTGCCCTGGAGTTGCCATGGAGACGGTGAATGGGGGGATTGTGTGAACTCAGCTGCGGACTATGCCCCCCCCAATACACACACCCACCCACTCCCTCCTGCCCCACCTCCCTACTCCTACCCCTTCCTTCCCCTTCCCCTCCTCCCCACACCCGGGTGCATTCTGGGCAGTGTCTGGGATCTTACCCCCCATACTTTGCTCCCCATTTCCTCATTTCCTCTGAGCCCCCACCCCTTTAGCCACTTTACCCGCCCTCCCTCCTCTTCCTTTTTCTTCTCTCTCTCTCTCTCTCTCTCTCTCTCTCACACACACACACACACAGACACACACACACACACACACACACACACACACACACACACACACACACATTCTCATTCCCCTCTCGTGGTGGCTGATTGCCGGGCGTTCCCAATCTCCCTCCCCCACCCCTTCAGCCAGTTCTTAAAGGAGCAGGCCTGCAATCTGGGAAGGCGGGAGAAATGGAGGAAAACTAAATGTGCATGTGGCGTGGGTGTGCGTGTGTGTGCGTGTGTGTGCGGGAGCATGCGGGAGTATCTGTGTGTGCCTGTGTCTATGTGTTGACTGTGTAACTGTGTCAGAAGGCCTATGTGTCTGAGTGTGTTGCTATTTCTGTTTCTGTCTCCACCTATGTGTCACCATTATGCTGCATGTGTCTGGATATTTACCTATGCGGGTATGTGTGATTATATTTCAGTAAGTCTCTATGTGTGTCTCTGAATGTATCATTCTGTGAGGCTCTGGCTGTGTGAGGTGCTCTGTCTCAGAATGTGGGACTATATGAGGGGATCTCTGTGGGTTTGGAATATATGTCTCTGTGAGTGAATATCGCAGTGTCTGTGATCCTGGCTTGGTCTCTCTCATTCCCTCTTTGAGTCTTTGTGAGTTTATTTCTATGAGTCTCTGAATATGTGTTCCCCATGCTCCGTTGTTTATTTTATAATACACCGGAAGAGCATCCACAATGCCTAGGGTGCTAGGCAGAACTCTTTCTGCCTCACTTCTGGAATTCGGTGTGAATTAAGAGAGAGCCAACCGAAAGGACCAAGGCTTAAGGATTTGGGAGCAGTGAGGGCTGAGGAGAAATGTACAGGAGGGGCGCAGGAGGGTCCGAGGAGGACTCCCGTGAATGGCTGTCCCGCCCTCTGCCCTGCCTGAGGGTGAGGGAGTCTCTCTGTGGGACTCTGCCGATTTGCTGCTTTCTGTTCTTGTGTCTTAGTGTCCCGGAGTGAGGTTGACAATCCCACCCTGTCCTGAAGTGGAGGTCCCTGTGTGGGCTTACCAGGTCCCAAGGGCTACACAGCTCTGTTCAAGCAGCATGCCCAGGGACCTGAGCTCCATTTTTGTTTCTCCCCACCCCCTGGCTGTCACATGCTATTCTGGCTCCAGCCGACCCTGATGAACCCCTTTGGCTGTAGAATTGAAGTTGGGCACCGGGAACTTGCAGTGGCAACAACTGTCACTGTCAAACCCCTTGGATTTTCCAGCCATGGCCAGGCACATAGAATGGTTCTGATTGGCAGTGGATCATCTGTGGGATCACAGTCCCTGGGCCCCTGGGCATGTGAAACCTCTCCTACCTATAAGAGAATAGCCCAAGCCCAGCAGGGCCCCCAAAGACCAACTCTGTTGCCCTCCCAGACCATCTTGGATGACGCATACTTCCCTCTTTCCACAGGCCTGTCTGGCCCTGAGGGAGTCCCCTTTCTGAAGCTGTGGTGCTTGGACGACCTGCTCTCTACATTGCTGGGCACCTGTAGGTGTCCCTCGAGAGCTCAGTTTTGAGGTTCAAGTCAGTGTGGCCATGAAGGGGCTGCCTATTGGGCTGATGCTGTGACCCTGGAGTCTGCCTCTCCTGCCAGTCCCCCTGCCCGGAACATGTGGCTGCGGCTTGGCCCGCCCTCGCTGTCCCTGAGCCCCAAGCCCACGGTTGGCAGGAGCCTGTGCCTCACCCTGTGGTTCCTCAGTTTGGCGCTGAGGGCCAGTACCCAGGCCCCAGCACCCACAGTCAACACTCACTTTGGGAAGCTAAGGGGTGCCCGAGTACCACTGCCCAGTGAGATCCTGGGGCCTGTGGACCAATACCTGGGGGTGCCCTACGCAGCTCCCCCGATCGGCGAGAAACGTTTCCTGCCCCCTGAACCACCCCCATCCTGGTCGGGCATCCGGAACGCCACACACTTTCCCCCAGTGTGCCCCCAGAACATCCACACAGCTGTGCCCGAAGTCATGCTGCCGGTCTGGTTCACTGCCAACTTGGATATCGTCGCTACTTACATCCAGGAGCCCAACGAAGACTGTCTCTACCTGAACGTCTATGTGCCGACGGAGGATGGTGAGTGCTGCGGCCAGGCACTGTGCCCTCCCTGCCTCCCGCCTGCCCTGCTGTGTTTGTGGCTTGCATGTGGTTGTGTGCCCTGCAGCATGCATCTGTCTGTCTGTGAAAATGCTTCTAACCATCACTCTGCTTGGCCTCCCACCCCCCTCCCTGTTCTTCCCTCTCCCAGCATTGTCCGAGCTCCCATGTGTGAGTGACACTGTTGCCAGGAGGGGCCTGGCCCGGCCTGAGAGCTCTGACGGGTCTCGGTCCAGTGCTGGATGGGGGTCCCCTGGGGGAGTATGGGTCACGGCTGGCAGCTACCCGCGGGAGGATGCTGGCTCCACCAGGCCCCCCTGTTGCCATTCCACCTGCTTCGAAAGGTGGTAGGTGTGTGTGGCCAAGGGCACTGGGTGTGTGGGGGGTGGGGCAGCAAGCCTGGTGGGTGATGCTTAGGTGCCTCCTCTTTCACTAGCTGATGCCTCCTCCCGCGGGGGTCACACTAAGGTAAGTGACAGAAACAAGGAGATGGTGGGACAGGCTCTCTGCCATGTGCCGCCTGCAGAGCAGCTCAGCTCTTGGGGCCTGGGGGGTGGGGGGTGCATGCCCCTGGGCAGAGGCCTCCTGTTATTTTTTAGTTTTTTATTCATTTTACAGTAAAGCGGATTTCCAAGGAATGCGCCCGAAAGCCCAACAAGAAAATTTGTAGGAAAGGAGGTAGGTAGCGAGCCGGCGGGGAGGGAGAGAGAGAGAGAGGGAGGGCTGCCTGCCCACCTGCCCTTGCCCCCAGGACCCAGCCTTCCTCCAAGTAGCCCAGGCTCAGGGGGCAGTAAGCAGGCATAAGCGCCACCTCATCTGAGGGCCCTGGCTGCCTTGCAGGGAGGATTTGGTGGCCTAAGGCAGGCTCAGAGCAGAAGCAGCAACCCTATTTCTTCCAATCTTCCCAGCCCCAAATTCCACCCTAAAGTGTGTGCCAAAGGCAGAGCCAGTGGCTCTCTCGGTGACACCTCAGGAGAAACTCTAGGAAGCCAAGATGGAGCCAGAGGCTCCACCCTTTTCCTAGTGGGTGGAGCCAGAAGACCATCCCTTCTGTGTTCTTTCTCCTGGATTGAAAGTCTAGACTCAATTTTCCCACCCTGAAGCTTAGACCAAACGTGTACACAGGTTTAGTAACTCCTGCCATACACACCTCTGTCTCCCACCCCACTACCTCTGGCCAGAGTGTAGCTGATAGACCCAGGCTGCTCTGGTGGCAGAACTTGGGGGTCTCTGGGAACTATGGACTTTAAAGGAGGCAAAAGATCCTGAATTTTAAATTTACCCTCATGCTGAGAGGAGTTTCTCCCCCTGTATAATAATTCTTCCTGTTGGAATATCACTTCATGTTTTCTGTAAAGTGCCTTGGCATTTACCTTAGAGAATCCTCCCTGTATCTCTGGAAGCGTCTAAGGCAGGAATCAGTATCCCAATTTTACAGATGAGGAAACAGGCCCAGGGGAGTGACTTGCTGCTGCTCAAGGCCCCTGTCGCTGGTCTGTGGCAGAGCTGGGACCAAAACCTGGGTCTCTTGACCTTCAGGGCGTGTTCTTTCCACTGTAGCACACAGAAGCAACTCCCATCTGCTCATTCCCATCTCCCCAACTCAAAAAAAATGGTGAGATGTGGCTGGGCTGGGGAGAATTGGAACAGTAACAGCCTAAGGAACAGGTGGAAAAATCACAGCTTGATCCCTACAACCCTCTGGCAAGCTGGGAGTTTGTTTTCCTTTGATGTCCTAGGGCAGAGTTTCTCAGAATGGGGTTGCCAGGATTTCTGGGATGGGGTGCTCCTTACTGAATAAGAATTTCTGGGGGCAGAGCCTGGAAATCTATATGTTGAACATGAGCCCTGAGCGCTTCTAATGCACACCCGAGCATGGAATGAGACCCGCTGCTGTAGGGATAGTATTTCACCACAGCCCCATACCCCACCCAGGACCTCACACACCATAGGCAATTGATGTTTTTTGTGTAATTCAGAAGCATCATGGTGCTGCAGAAAGAGTACAGGTCTGGGAAGCACAAGGCCTGAGTCCCAGCTCTGCTGCCAACTCACAGTGAGACCTTAGGCAAGTCTTGTCCTTCAAGAACCTCTGTTTCCACATCTGAGGTTGGTAGGGTACAGTTCTGGCCTTAGCATTCCATTAGCCTGTAAATGAATTCAGGAGGAAGGTCTCTTAAACCTGCAGGAGAGGCCGGGCGTGGTGGCTCACGCCTGTAATCCCAGCACTTTGGGAGGCCGAGGCAGGTGGATCACGAGGTCAGGAGATCGAGACCATCCTGGCTAATACGGCAAAACCCCGTCTCTACTAAAAAATACAAAAAATTAGCTGGGCGTGGTGGCGGGTGCCTGTAGTTCCGGCTACTCGGGAGGTTGAGGCAGGAGAATGGCATGAACCCAGGAGGCAGAGCTTGCAGTGAGCCGAGATCGTGCCACTGCACTCCAGCCTGGGCGACAGAGCGAGACTCCATCTCAAAAAAAAAAAAAAAAAAAAAGAAAGAAAAGAAAAGAAAAAAACCTGAAGGAGAGATGGCATTCACATTAACCATTTCTTAGGAAGAATGATCGCCCAGTAAGAGCCTTGGGCTGTCCAGTCCAGCCCTGAGAGTGTGGCCAGAGAGCAGACTGGAAGCCCCGGCTCAAACATGCACATTTACCAATCGTGATTGTTGACTGTGGGCAAGGCCATGTGCTAGGTGTTGTTGGGATGTGGAGGGATGTGAGGTAGAGGAAAGATTTAGAAATGACTAAAGGCCTAATCACTGCTCTGAAGAAGCTCTTAGCCTTGTATTAAAACTCAGCTGGTTTGGCCGGGCGCGGTGGCTTATGCCTATAATTGCAGCACTTTGAGAGGCCAAGACGGGTGGGTCACTTGAGTTCAGGAATTCGAGACCAGCCTGGCCAATATGGTGAAACCCCATCCCTACTAAAAATACAGGTGCATGGTGGCACACACCTGTAGTCCCAGCTACTTGGGAGGCTGGGGCAGGAGAATCGCTTGAACCCAGGAGGTGGAGGTTGCAGTGAGCCGAGGTGGTGCCATCGCACTCCAGCCTGGGCAACAAGGCTGAAACTCCATCTAAAAAAAGAAAAAAAAAAAACTCAGCTGGTTTCCCTAAGTCCCATGGGCCAATCAGGAAGTGGGTTCCAGACAGTGCAAGGGAAGGCATTTGGTCATTTCACTGTTCAAATTAGTTCCCTACCCAGGACCTGGTGGCCATTTGGAAGAGTGACAAATCCCGCCTCTTGAGGGAGACCCATCCTCGGAGGTCGTTAGGGTTGTGGTGTGCAGAGGTCTGGGGACCAGCCTGGCTGGGATCCCTCAGCGGCGCAGGGTCTGGGAATGGTGGTCGGCAGTCAGGCTGGCCTGGGTGAGAGGCATGGCGGCTAGGAGCTGCTCAGGAAGTGCCAGGCTGAAGGAGCAAAGGCATCTGTGTGAAGGAGGCTGAGACAATGCAGCAACCCAGGAACACTTTCAGAGGGATTCACAAGGGACTTATCTTCTAAGTCAGGGATGATGGGAAATGAAGGGTTTCCTGGGGAAGACCTGCCCCATCTCCCCAACACCCCACCCCATCAAGTTGGAAGGAATTCGTGTCTGGGGATGAGCAATTCCTTCCCGTTTGGTAGGCTGTCCGCAGTGTGAGGGATGATGCCCATGTCCCATTAAGGTTTCTGAGGACAGCACTGGCAGGTGTTGAGCTAATGTGTTAAGACGGTAGGTGCCACCGGAAGTTCAGGGAGCCAGAGGCAATTTCTCCCCTAGAGCTGTGCTCTTGTCCTGGTTGAAAAGCCATTTTGTAGGATGAGGGCAGTTCCTGTTTTGATGAATGGCTGTAAGGAAATCTAGTCATCAGAGTCCAGACCGGCTGGGAAAGAGGGCTCTTTACTCCCTCCAGGCTGAGGGTATCTGATGTCATAGATGCCTGGGTTGGCAGCACAGCCCCCTCTGTTTCCACACACTGACCAGCATCCAGACAGCCGGTCCTCTCCCTCCACAGCCATCGCCAGGATGCACTTCTAGCCTCCTTAGAACAGGAAGGAGAATCTGTGCCAGCTTAGCCCCAGATCCTAAATGTCTCCCTTCTCACCTCTAGTCTCTTCTTTTTTCTCTTCCCCTCCTTGCCCCTTCTCTCCCCCTACATGCCCCACTGCTTTTCTCATCTATTTCTTCCCTTCCTTCCCCTTTCCCCCACCCCAGAAAGGTGGCATGATGCAGTGGAAAGACCATGGGCTTTGGAGTCAAGCAGACCTGGGTGTGAATCGCACCTCTAGCACTTCCTAGCTGTGTGATCTTGAGCAAGTCACTTTACCCCTCTGAACCTCAGTTTCCCCATCAGTGAAACAATAATAAGGATAGGACCTATCTCACTGGGGTGTAAGGATCAAACAATATGGCAGAAGCAGAGTGTCTGGCACATGGTGAATATTCAGTACATGGTTGGAGCTGTGACCATTATTCCTATCTCTTTGTTTCTCTTCTATTTTTTTTCTCTCTCTCTCACCATCCCTCTCTCCTCTTCCCCTTTCTTCTGTCCCTCTCTCCCTCTCTGGCTCTCTCTACATCTCAGAGCAATGCTTGCTGCTCTCAACACTGGTTCCTGTGGGCAGGAACCCCATTTGCCATTAACCAGAGCAGGGGCTCCAACAAGGAAGACCAGAGGGAAAGCTTCATCTCCCATTTTCTCCTGTGGGAATCAGGGTCAGCTGAGGCCCAGCTTGAGCCTGCCCACTGGGCCCCAGGAGCTCAGGCCTGGGGTCCCTCTACACGTCTCTGCCCTAAGTACCTCGTATCCACAACCTCCACACTTGCTGGCAGTGTCACCCCTCACCCTTGGTACCTGACCCTGCTCTCCAGCTCGACCTGCCTGTGTACACACAAGCAGCCCCTTCCACCCAGAATGAATCCTTCCCCTGAGAGGGTCTCTGGCTCTGTGCCCTGGCCCACTTGCTGCTACCTCCTTCCTCACTGGAAAGGTAGTTGGTTGAGATGGGCTGTTGGGGACAAGGAGGCGGGGCAAGGCGGTGCAGAGAGGCCAGCACAGCAGGGGCCTGCAACACCATCATCCTGATGAAGGTCTGGGCCTCAGCCCACCCATTCCCTCAGTTCTTGCCATCCCTCCTGCCTGTCCTGGGCCCAGGCCCGGAGCTGGCTTGCTGGGCCACACTGCAGTCATGCTGTTTTTGAATTCTCTCTCTGTTTTGTTCTCTGTTCTGTGCTGTTGTGTCTCCCCGTGTCTGGTCCCCAGGATCCGGCGCTAAGAAACAGGGCGAGGACTTAGCGGATAATGACGGGGATGAAGATGAAGGTATTTGGGGGCTGCAGGGCGCGGCGGCTGGTGCATGGCACAGAGCCCCTCCCCTTCTCGATGGGGAGAAGCCCCGTCTGTCTGTCTGTCTGTCCGTTGGTGTGTTTCTGTTCCTGTACAAGGCCGTTGGGCTGTTCATCTGTCTTTGGCCCTGTTGGCCACTGGGAGTTCCGGGGTGATGGACATGGCTGGCAGGAGCAGGGGACCACAAGCAGAGCCATGGGGAGGACATCCTCCTTGCCTGGGTCTCCCGCCCCTTCCCCATCTTCTGTGGTTCAGAGGCACCTGCCCCTACTGAGCAGCAGGGAGAGTGGAGAGAAAGCAGGACCACTGAGGGCGGGGAGAGGACAAAGACAACGGAACGGCAAGGAGATTACCTGTGTTTCAGTGAAGAGACCCCTGTGTCTCACAGGGAGCCTGGCTTCTGGGAGAGGGGCCCCGCAGGATGGTGAACTGGGAAGTGAGGCAGTGACAACCAAAGGGGCTGGAAAAGCAGCACCAGAACCTCCCCAGCCTTCTAGAAAAGAGAGAGATGGTCTCGGGGCTAGGGGCTGCAGTAGGTACAAGACAAGGCCAGAAAGACTGGGCTAAAATGCCAGGCTGAGGCCAGGACACCACAGCCATCAATAGATGGCATAAGATCCTTGGGCAATGATCGGACCAGCCTTCCTCCTTGGAGAAACAAGTTCTGTTTGCTCCGCAGCAGAGAGCATTCCCTTCCTCCTCCATGCCCTGGCCCTGCCCCTCTGCCCCGAAGGGGCCAGGCAGCTCAGGGGGGCCCAGTGGTGATGGGTAGGGCTGTGCTGGCATGGCAGAGAGTATTGGTCCAGTTCACGGACTGACAGGCTACAGGCAGAGGTGATCAGGCCTGGAGCCTTCTCTTGACTGCCCCAGCCCTGATGCCGTGCCGCCTGGGCTCGGGAGCAGCCGCTTGATGGTCCCTTGTTGAATGGCCTCTGGGGAGGCTCCATCTTCATCTTGGTGCTGACTGGGAGCAGGCTCTGTCATTCTTAGTTCTTCCCCATCCCCAATGCTTCTGGTTAAGTCTGCCCAGGGAGAATGGGGAAATGGGCACATGGCTAAGAAACCATGTCAACAAGGTTCCCCCCACCCTATCTCTGCCATTCACTCCCCTTTCCCACATCCTTCCTTGTTCTCTCCCTGTGCCACCCCTTATTCCCACACCTCTTGTCTCTGTCTGCACTGGGGGGCCAGCTGCTGCCAATGGCCGTTTTTCCATGTAACTGGTCTAGTCTTGGGGGTTTCAGGGCTCCCCAGCTCCTGCTCTCTAAAGCCATGTCAGGTCCCAGGACTCCTGGGTGCCCAGGGCAGCGACTCACTTGATGTGGCTAAAGGACCAGCCCTTCCTCTTTCTGCTGCCCCCCGCCCCCAGGGCCCAGCCATGGCCCACTGAGGCCTGGCTGTATCACATGCCTGGCTGCCTTCAGCTGGGAGGCACTTGAAACCAGAGCCTTTAAAAATATCACTGAAGCCCCACTGTCTCGGGCTGATGCTTGAGCTCCAGGTTGAGCAACCCCATGAGTCCTGCCCTCAGGGATGGCGGTGGTGTCCTGGCACCTGGGATAGCTTTGCTGCCCGCACCCACCCCCTGGGCTGGCAGGGGTGGGGGAGCAAGGGCATCCCACCCAGCCTGTGTCTCACCCCTTCTCCTTGCAGACATCCGGGACAGTGGTGCTAAACCCGTCATGGTCTACATCCACGGAGGCTCTTACATGGAAGGGACAGGCAACATGATTGATGGCAGCATCCTCGCCAGTTATGGCAATGTCATCGTCATCACCCTCAACTATCGGGTTGGAGTGCTAGGTATGGTTCCCTGCCTGGTGCCTGGAAGGAAGACTGGCTTCGCAAGGGGGGAGGAAAGAATGCTGGAGAATTTAAAAACAGATAGCCTTGCTTCTCTAGCTGGTGCTAATAACCACAGTCAAAATGGTGTTATCCTCTGGCCCCTACCCAAATGCTAGGGGCTTCCCCATATCCCCAGGCCCTTTCTTGGAAGGTTTAGATGCCACCAGAAATTCAATTCAAACTTCACACCTTCTCTCAGGTCCCAAGCCAGGTCTCTGCTTCCAGACTTTGACTTGGCTGAGTTTTGTAGGATGCTTCAATTTTCCACTGTCCTGTCTTCACCTCTACCCACCCGCCCCACATCTCTAAACACCCCACACATGCACAGATATTCCTTCCAGTCCACTCCATGGCCACACACCTATTTACCTTCATGTGTTTACACATCCACCCCGCCATGCACCTGCAGGAAGACGGTGATTTCTCACTCACCCCCATAAAGTACACACACCTAGCCCCACATTCACATCTCCAGGCCCCTCACATGTAAACACATTCTCCTAGCACTCCAGGTAACTCCATTCACATGGTCTCTCCAGAACACATATCCACATACCCACACGGTCTGTGTACTCCACGTCTGCACCCCGCAGATGGCTCTCACCCTCCGCATGTACACACACACATGCTCATATACTTCTCCCCATGTCTCTGTAGCCACATCTACACCGATACCCACGATGCATACACACCCACACTCACACTTTACCCCCATATTTACAGCCCACACAAAAACCTACACCCTGCACATCCATGTCCACACCAAACTCCACACATATACACCTTAAATGTACATAAATATTCCTTCCACCCACCCCCCACAAATACCTACACACGCCCGTATCCCCCTGCACACCCTACTTCCACATCCACTTTACACATCCACCTACCACACACACCTGTCCCTCACTATCTCCTCAGAAACACAAACAAATATTCCCCTTCCCTACACACATATACTCTTACCTGTTTGTCCACACTGTCCCACCCCACACATACACAGATACTACACACACACCATATCCACATCTATATACATCCCACACACTGCCCTTATGTCATTCCCCTACACATACATTCCCCCACACACACATCCACATATGCATGCACGCGTATACATGCGCACACTCTTCCATATACAGCCTGTATATGTACACCCAGCACACACCCATGCACTTCTCCCCTCACCCCACCCCACAAATATATACACATCCGTGTACATGGGGCTGCATCTGTATCCATACATGCACACACACCTCTACCCAGGCCCAACCGCATCCCCCAAGTCTCCCCACACTTCCTTACCCCGTATATGCACACGTACACACTCTTTGTACTCTAAGCATGTCCCCTGCACACTCCCACCCATCACACACATACTCCCATGCATATGCACTCATTGCCGAAATGCCTCCTCATATGCACCCATACACCTCCCCACCCCCGCATTCTCTGCTGTGCACAAGCTTGTGTCAGTCATTTAGGCTGCCCTTGAACCCTGTACCTTCCTTGGTGACCACCCATGCCTATCTATGGCCAAGGTCTTGAGGTAAACGAGTGCCTCAGAGAGGGTGACTAAGCACACAGGGCCCTGCTCATGCTCCCCCAAGCCCCGCATCCCTGTAGTGGCATGAAGAAGCCAACTTCTTCCTGGAGGAAGAGTTTCAGCGGGAGTGTAGGCTCTTGGTCAGGTCTGTAGGCATATGGGTGCTAAACCAGCAGTTAGGCGTGGCTTATTCCATGGCTAACTAGGGGACACGACCATATTTGATTTTATTTTCATTTAATTTTTGAGACAGGGTCTCACTCTTGCCCAGGCCAGTTTTGAACTCCTGAGCTCAAGTGATCATCCTCCCACCTCAAGGGCCTTATTTTAATTTGCTTATTTATTTATTTATTTATTTATTTATTTATTTATTATTTTTATTTTGTTTTTGAGGCAGAGTCTCACTCTGTCGCCCAGGCTGGAGTGCAATGGCACCATCTTGGCTCACTGCAACCTCCGCCTCCCGGGTTCAACTGATTCTCCTGCCTCAGCCTCCTGAGTAGCTGGGATTACAGGCACCTGCTACCATGCCAGGCTAATTTTTGTATTTTTAGTAGAGACAGGGTTTCACCATGTTGGCCAGGCTGGTCTCGAACTCCTGACCTTAGGTGATCTGCCTGCCTCAGCCTCCCAAAGTGCTGGGATTACAGGCATGAGCCACCACGCCTGGCCCTTAATTTTCTCTTGACTATATTGCTTTGTCAGTTCCAATCTCAGAGGCTCCGGGGCTGCATTTCACTTCTGGGTGCAGTTGTATGCCCAGAACGGCAATCTTCTCTTGGTTTACAATTAATACTATGTGAGATAGGAAGATACTCTTTTGGGGTTCAAACTGCAGAAATGATGCTCCTTTAAAAAAGCAAAGTCGGTGTCCCCTTCATTGGCGCCCGGGAGACTGAATATGGAGCATGCAGGCCATTCACGCTGGCCTCCCCACGGTCTGGTAGGCTTGGGATGTTGGGATGTCATGGTTCTGCTCCTGCCCCTCTGTCTTTCTGCATCACCTCAGACACCATGGTGAGGCTCTTGTAAGCTGTTCTGTCCTGTTGAATCTCATGGTACCATGAAGGTGGCTGGAAACCCACACACTAGGGCTGCACACTTTCTTTTTTTAATTAATTAATTAATTAATTAATTAATTTTTGAGACAGAGTCTCACTCTGTCACCCAGGCTGGAGTGCAGTGGTGCAATCATGGCTCATCGCAGCCTCGACCTCCCAGGCTCAAGTGATCCTCCCACCTCAGCCTCCCGAGCAGCTGGGATTATGGATTACAGGTGTGCACCACCACACCCAGCTAATTTTTGTATTTTTAGTAGAGACAAGGTCTCACTATGTTGGCCAGGCTGGTCTGGAACTCCTGATCTCAAGTGATCCACTTGCCTTGGCCTCCCAAAGTGCTGGGATTACAGGCGTGAGCCACCGCGCCCGGCTGGGCTGCACAGTTTCTAGAGAGGAATGAACGCGCAAATGTGATCACAAACAGATATGCAGACACATGTACACGGTAGTTCAAAGCCAAAAGTAATTTTGCTACTTTCTTTTCTTAGAGTGACAGAAAACACTCAGCTCAGCTGCTTAAAAAAATATAAACACAATGCTCCATTCTATAAGGTTTATTGGAAAATACAAAGAATACTAAAAATATGCTTCAGAGCAGCTAGGAATGAAGAAAGAGAGCATGGAAAAGAGGGAGAGAAAGAGGAGAAAGCAAGGAAGAGAAGAAAATGAGAGGATAATAGAGAGTCAGGGAGAGGAAGCAGAGAGGAGACAGAAGGAGAGACTTAGGATCTGGGGAGAGACTCGGCATTTCACGTAGGATGTGAAGTCTCCACAGTGTCAGTTGGGAACTGTGGGCCGCACAGAAGGCTGTCGCTGGTGAGCATTCCGTATGATATCCTGATTTGCTGATTACTTCACAATCCTTCAGCTGCTCTAATCCTTAAGCTTCTACACCAGAAGTTCTTAACCTTTTGGGGCATCTTGGACCCTTTTGAGATTCTGATGAAAGCTATGGACTCTCCCCTGGAACAATGCACACATGCGTGTGTGCACACACATGCATGTGCGCACACACACACTTAATTTTACAGGGCCGGGTGTGGTGGCTCACGCCTGTAATCCCAGCACTTTGGAAGGATGAGGTGGGTGGATCACCTGAGGTCAGGAGTTCAAGACCAGCCTGGGCAACTAAACCCTGTCTCTACTAAAAATACAAAAGTGAGCTGGGCATGGTGGCATGCGCCCGTAGTCCCAGCTACTCAAGAGGCTGAGGCAGGAGAATTGCTTGAACCTGGGAGGCGGAAGTTGCAATGAGCCAAGATCGTGCCACTGCACTCTAGCCTGGGCAACAGAGTGAGACTCCATCTCAAAAAAAAAAGAAAAGGAAAAAGAAAAAGAAAAGAAAAGAAAGAAAGAAAAAACAATTTTACAGATCCCCCTTAAGTTCATCCATGAAAGTCAGGTTAAGAACTCGCACTTGACAGCCCCGTCATTTGGATAACCAGAACAGCACATCTAGGGGGCAGGAACATTCTTCTTTGGGCTTAAGCAGTTGATGATCAAATATCACCGAAAACTCAGAAGGAGTCCTACACTGAGATTTGCTCAGAAGTTCCTCACCACTTCCTGCACACCCTTCAGTTCCTGTTCTGGAACACAAATATAATCAATAAGCCCGTATTGGATGCCGGGTACATATAAGATGTTTGTTTTTGTCTCTTGACACCAGATGTAGAACATGGGTTTGTCCCTGATGCTTGGGAATTTTCTTTTCTTTTTTTTTTTTAATTGAGACAGAGTCTTGCTCTGTCACCCAGGCTGGAGTGCAGTGGCACAATCTCAGCTCACTGCCAACCTCTGCCGCCGGGTTCAAGCGATTCTCGTGCCTCAGCCTCTGGAGTATCTGGGATTACAGGCGCGCACCACCACGCCCAGCTATTTTTTTTTTTTTTTTTTTTTTTTAGTAGAGGCGGGGGTTTCGCCATGTTGGCCAGGCTGGTCTCGAACTCCCGATCTCAGGTGATCCGCCCTCCTCAGCCTTCCAAAGTGCTGGGATTACAGGTGTGAGCCACTGCACCCGGCGGGGAATTTTCCTGTGTAGTGGGGCCTTTGTTGTTTTGTTGCCCAAAGCATCCCAGAACAGGTGGTTTGTTTTGGACCCCAGTCACAGGCATTCATTCACTCTCCTTCCCATCAGCTTTCCTGAGCACTGAACCCATCAGGCGGTTCACTCTAAGGTGCTTATCTTTTTTCTTTCTTTCTTTTTTTTTTTTTTTCTTTTTGAGACAGAGTCTCGCTCTGTCGCTCAGGCTGGAGTGCAATGGCATGATCTCGGCTCACTACAACCTCCGCCTCCCCGGTTAAAGCAATTCTCCTGCCTCAGCCTCCCAAGTAGCTGGGATTACAGGCGCCTGCCACCACACCCGGCATATTTTTGTATTTTTAGTAGAGACGGGGTTTCACCATGTTGGCCAGGCTGGTCTTGAACTCCTGACCTCAGGTGATCCACCTGCCTCGGCCTCCCAAAGTGCTGGGATTACAGGCATGAGCCATCACGCCCAGCCTCTAAGGTGCTTTTCTAGATATCTTGGGTGATTCATGAATGTTGAGAATGTCACAGGCTAATCCATGGATCCTCTCCAAGGCAGAGGGGTAGCTATTATTTGAGAAGGCCCCACTGGGCTTGAAGCCAACAAAGAAAGGGACTCCAGCAGGATATAGGATGTGGAAATCCCTGAGGCTGAGGAAGCAGGCACTTGCCAAGTTTTACTCCAGGTTCCAGAATTGAATCCTACATGCTTGCTCAGGTACCCTCCAGGCAAACCGAAAACCCAGTAAACATCAAGCCTTGAGTGACACAAATATCTGGTTTTGTTACAATCTGCCAGATTCCCCATCTTCTGTTGACGAGCAGTTTACCATGAACTGCAGTATAAACTTGGGCCCAGGGAGACTGGCTCCGATTTATTCTGACAGTTTATGGAGTTTAGTATTTCAGCCTTCATTCTCACATGGTTTCTGTGGATGGTTGAGTTACTGGGGAACTAGCAGTGAGTGACCTCTCCCAGAATGCCAGATATTGTGTGCTTGTGGTTGGTCAGGTTTGCTGTCATCTTCCTGAGCCTGTTGGAGATAGCATTTCTTTTTTCTTTTCTTTTCTTTCTTTTTTTTTTTTTTTTGAGATGGAGTTTCACTCTTGTTGCCCAGGCTGCAGTGCAATGGCGCTATCTCGGCTCACCGCAACCTCCGCCTCCCAGGTTCAAGTGATTCTCCTGCCTCAGCCTCCCTAGTAGCTGGGATTACAGTCACATGCCACCAAGCCCGGCTAATTTTGTATTTTTAGTAGAGATGGGGTTTCTCCATGTTGGCCAGGCTGGTCTCGAACTCCAGACCTCAGGTGATCTGCCCGCCTTGGCCTCCCAAAGTGCTGGGATTACAGGCATGAGCCACCACGCCTGGCCTGGAGATAGCATTTCAAGCAGGACTCTTCATGGAGTAGGGATCATTGACATGGCATCATCCACATGCTTCAGGGCCCCTTAACCAGAGACTCATAGGATCTGAGAGAGCAGAGAGTGATGGTCAAATCCTCCATCCAATCACCTGAGGTCAGGAGTTCAAGACCAGCCTGGCCAACATGGCGAAACCCCATCTCTATTAAAAATATAAAAATTAGCCAGGCATGGTGGCAGGCACCTGTAATCCCAGCTACTCGCAAGGCTGAGACAGAAGAATCACTTGAACCTGGGAGGCGGAGGTTGCAGCGAGCCGAGATCATGCCATTGCATTCCAGCCTGGGCGACAAGAGTGAAACTCCTTCTAAAAAAAAATAAATAAATAATAAATAAATCCTCCATCCAGCCCTTTCAGGCCTTTGTTCCTAACCCAGGAAATTGGTACATTGGAGAAATCTGCTCTACTACATCCAAATGCAGGCTTTGCCTGCTGATTAGGCCAGGCATGTTTGACACATTTCAGTAAATGATGCCTTGGCAAAGGCTGAAGCCAAGACCACTATTGCCTAAATGAAAGAAAAGGAAAAGAGAATACAGGGGAAGGAGAGAGGAGGGAGGACTAAAAGAAGGACAGTGATTTCTGCCAGAGGGTCCCAAGGCTTGGGCAGCTGGGTTGGATCATGGTCAACAGAGTTGGGGTTTTGAGGGATTTTTTTTTTTTGGTTGCTTTTTTAGAGATGGAGTCTCATTCTGTCCCCCAGGCTGGAGTGCAGTGGGGTAATAACAGCTCACTGCAGCCTTCACACCTAGGCTCAAGTGATCCTCCAGCCCCAGCCTCCTGAGTGGCTGGGACCACAGGCATGCACCACCACAACTGGCTAATTTGTTTTGTTTTAAAAACAAAAAGGGACAGGGTCTTGCTACACTGGCCAGGTTGGTCTCAAACTTCTGACCTCAAGTGATCCTCCCACCTCAGCCTCCTAAAGTGCTGGGATTACAGGTGTGAGCCACCATGCCTGGCCAAGTTTTTAAGACTCAAAGGAGCAGCTTCAATTTCTGAATGGGCCACGCAAAGGAAAAGCTGATTTCCTTGTCTGGAAGAGCAAGGGTTCCTTCTTCATCCTCATGCAGGCTTTCTCTAATTCATTCTCATTTCCTCCTCTGGAACCTGGGGCTAAAGAGGACTTGTGACTAGGGCCCGGGAGAAATAACTAAGTACTTTACATACTTAATTGTACCAGAGGTAAATTAATAACACACTTGAAGAGGATGAGATGAGCTCTTTTGCAGAAGCTAGGTACAGAAGGACTTGAGAAAGACAGTGGTGAGGTCTTGTGACTGTTTGAGTCTATTTGAATTCAGCCTCTGCCTATGGACTGCAAGGACGCCAGAGAACTCCCCATGAGCTCTGGGAGTCTTCTCCAACATGGCCTCTCACAAAGTTGATTCCAGGTGCTGTGAATGAGCTTTTAACTGGGGAGTAAAAAATACTGATCCAAGTGTGGGTTTCCAATGTGTAGGAGCTTCACAATTACCCACCTCCAAAGACTTCTTCCAAAAGCCTAGGGCAGGAGAAGACAGAGCCTTCCAAGGGACCCAAGGATTCAGGGAAGAGAGATGAAATAAGGCCGCAGGCTCAGTCTAAAATGGAAGCAGAGTAGGGGGGAATATAGGACATCTCTGTGGGATAGCCAGCAGGTGGGCAGGAAGGTAGTCTCCATGGCAACAAGTCTCCACAGCAGCAAATCCCAGCAGGTGGGTGGGAAGGTAGTCTCCATGGTGACATGTCTCCTCAGCAGCAAATTCCAGTGGGGGGGCGGGAAGACCTGTTTCTGTGGTAACGCACTGCGCTACTTCCCCATTTCTCCACCAGATGAAAAAGATGGTCTGACCCAGTGGTTTCTCAACTTTGGCAGGTATCAGCATCACCTGGAGAGCTTGTTAAAAACACAGATTGCTGGGCCCCACCCCAGAGTTTCTGATTCCTTAGGCCTCCAAGGGAGGGAAATGAGGACCTGCCCTGAAAATGAGGGGAAGGGGGCCATCAAGGCCCCGGAAGGAAGTGGAGAGGGACTGATTTGAACAGGAAGGGCAAGGAGAGCTTAGGGATTGTTGCCTCTTGGGATCATCTACACTTCCTTTGGAGAGAGAAGAAAGGGGAAAGAGAAGTAACTATAGAGCTGCAATGTGCCCAGCATGTTATAGATGCTTATGTTCATTTTATCCTTGTTACAACCCTGTGAGGTATTTTTATCCCCATTTTACAGAAGAGGACACTATGGCCCAGAGATTTTAAATTAAGTGCCCAAGGCTACATGACTAAGATGTGATAGAGCCAGGATTCAAATCAAGGACCGTCTGACTCCAGGGTTTCCATTCTATCTTGCCAGATGTTAGGGTAAGGTCCCCAATAGTACATCAGGGCAGAGAATGCTGAGTTCTGGACATTTGCAGTTTCTGCAGTTTGTCTCCCACCTGGAGGCATGCACTTCAAATGGTCTGCAGACCCCTCCTTCCAAGCTGGATAACAGGTGGGAGGCAGGGAGCTGACCCCTCCTCTGTTGACGATGCTGGACATTGCAGAAAGGAGCACTGCTTTAAGTTAACTATGTGGGAAGAACTACACTGCGTGCTCATTCTCTATTCCCACCTCCCCTGTTGACCCTGCCTGCCGTCATCACCCAAATCCTCCATCCCTCTGCCTTCATTGTCTTCATGCCCTTTGTTGAATCCAGGTTTCCTGAGTACTGGAGATCAGGCTGCCAAGGGCAACTATGGGCTCCTTGACCAGATCCAGGCCCTCCGCTGGGTGAGCGAGAATATTGCCTTCTTCGGGGGAGACCCCCGCCGGATCACTGTCTTTGGCTCGGGCATTGGTGCATCCTGCGTCAGCCTCCTCACGTTGTCACATCACTCAGAGGGTGAGTAACTCGTGGGGCAAAACATGAACTAGCCAAGTGCCGGCTGTCCCAGCATGCCCCATCCATGCCCCAGGGCATCCAAGGGAATCGGCCAGCTCTCTTCTACCAGCTTGGTATCCCTTTGGCAAGAAGTGGAAGAGAAATGTTTCTCTGGGAGAAGTACTTCTCCCAAAGCTGGAGAGGGAAGGAAGAGAATCCCATTTATGTCCTGGGAAAGCAAGATTCTCCTTCTGATGTGGGAGTCTTATTTTGGGGAGTGGGAATAGAACAATTGTCCCCTCAGAGGACAATAGTTTGACAGGGGTTGGGGAGGATCTTTCAGTATGGGAAGGACATGTTACTTCACAGTAGAGATATAGGGTGGAAATTGGTTTCTAGGTCTAAGAAACATCCATTCTCTGCCTTTCTCTCTGAAGAACAAGTCTGTACAAGAGGGGAAACATCCTAGAGGGGGAAGTGGGTCTGAAATGAGAGTCACTAACCCACGAGGTGGGCTTCTTCCATAGGACGATGGTCTATTATCAGACTCCAGACCTCTCCCCGACTGTGCAAGCTGCCGGGGAGATTCTCATTTTTGGCCTCTCTCCTTGTGGTGGGTCCCTTTGCCAGTGACCCTTCCAAGAGAGCAGAATAGGTCCTTTTTGCTCGGCAGGAAATGTTTTCTCCACCTCTGGACTACTGGGAACATTCTATCTCTGAGAGGCAAAGCTGAGCTTCTCATGAAGAAAAGATCTTCCTGAAATAGGTGCCCTTTTCTGAAGTAAGGAAATCTGTGAGCGAGGATGCTTTTTTTCTTTTTTAATTGAACACTAACCCCCTGAGTTAGGGACATTCTCACAGGAAGACTTTCCATCTCTTGAAGAAGTTCTGTCTCTCTGAGAGAGAAGAACCACCTTCTTTGACCTAGAAATTCTGTCTTTGCCCCTCCAGGGACTACCCTGGTGAGGGAAGACTTAGGTGGGATCTGCCTCTCTAAAGAGAGAGACTGTGTTCCTAGGTGACCATAGTGGGAACAGGAATCTTCCCTTTTTCCCCAAAGGAGGGCGAAATGACGGGCTGCAAGGGTGCCTTGGCCTGAAAAGACGTTCTGTGCCTCCTCTGACTGGGGACTCCTCCCCTAGGAGAAGAAAGCCTTTCCTGGAGTGGTGCTATGCTTTGTCTCATAGGGGGCCTGTGTCTCTGGAGGTTTGACTTTTTTTTTTTCTTTGAGACAAGATCTCGCTCTGTTCCCCAGGCTCTGTCCCCCAGTGCAGTGGTGTGATCACAGCTCACTGCAACCTGTTCCTCCCAGGCTCAAGTGATCCTCCTGCCTCAGCCCCCAGAGTAGCTGGGGACTACAGGTGCATGCTACCATGCCCGGCTAATTTTGGGGATAAATTTTTTTTTGTAGAGACAGGTTTTCGCCATGTTGCCCAGGCTGGTCTCAAACTCCTGAGCTCAAGCGATCTGCCTACCTCGGCCTCCCAAAGTGCTGGGATTACAGGCGTGAGCCACTGTGCCTGGCCGAGGTTTGACTTCTTTAAAGATCTGTTCTCTCTGTTTTTCTGTAATTGATGCATGGAGAATAATCTTTGGGAAAATGAGGCTGTCTTTTAAGTAGTAATCTATCATTTCTTTCCCTCTCTTTCCACTCATGCAAACTGGCTTTCTCTTAAAGGAATGGAATTATGTGCCTGAGGGACAAATTCTCCCTTGGGAATGTTGGGGCCAGGGAGAGAATGATATCCTTTTTTTTTTTCTAGAGGGGAAAATTATTTTCTTTTTGAGTTTGGGGGACTGGCTCCCTCTCTGCTAGGGGAAAATCTGAATTTGAAGTATCGGTAGCTTCAGATAAAAGGAAAGTCTCTGCCAGGCGCGGTGGCTCACGCCTGTAACCCCAGTACTTTGGGAGGCCAAGGCGGGTGGATCACCTGAAGTCGGAAGTTCAAGACCAGCCTGACCAACATGGTGAAACCCCGTCTCTACTAAAAATACAAAATTAGCCGGGCGTGGTGGCGGGTGCCTGTAATCCCAGCTACTCGGGAGGCTGAGGCAAGAGAAACGCTTGAACCTGGGAGGCAGAGGTTGCAGTTAGCCGAGATCCCACCATTGCACTCCAGCCTGGGCAACAAGAGCAAAACTCCATCTCCAAAAAAAAAAAAAAACAAAGTATCAGTGGAGACCACAGACGGGGAGCACAGGTTCCCTGGAGACTTTCAGACCCGAAGGCCTTTGCCCTTGGGCTCCTTCCCCAAGCCCTCAGAATGTGGGGCTCTTGCCTGCCTGCATTTCTCATCTCTCATGAAAAAGACTCCTTTGTGGTGCAAGTGCCAGCTCCCTGGTGGTGCGCTGGCACGGAGCTGGGCCCAGCTGGGCAGGAAGCAAGAGGGGAAGACAAGGAGAGATAAAGAGAGGCGGCATAAGGGGGCTGATGTCTGGGATTCAAGGGGTTAATTCTTCCTGACATTGCCTTAACCCCTAAGTTACCAGCCATCGCACCAGGACAGGGAAGGGATGGTGGAAGCCATCAAGGAAGGGGTTCAGCAACCCCTCCTTTGGCCCTACATCATCCCCTGCCAAAAGAGTTGTTCCCCCTTCCTAGCCCATTTAAACCATGGGGCAGCCTCAGTGACAAAGGAATGAAGAGATTTATGGCTATGTGTGACACGACAGATCTGACCTGGTGCTACCTGTCTTCTGTAGGACTTTTCCAGAGAGCCATCATCCAAAGTGGCTCTGCTCTGTCCAGCTGGGCTGTGAACTACCAACCAGTGAAGTACACCAGCCTGCTGGCAGACAAAGTGGGCTGTAATGTGCTGGACACCGTGGATATGGTGGACTGTCTTCGGCAAAAGAGTGCCAAGGAGCTGGTAGAGCAGGACATCCAGCCAGCCCGCTACCACGTGGCCTTTGGCCCTGTGATTGATGGTGATGTCATTCCTGATGACCCTGAGATCCTCATGGAGCAGGGCGAGTTCCTCAACTATGACATCATGCTAGGTGTCAACCAGGGCGAGGGTCTCAAGTTTGTGGAAGGGGTGGTGGACCCTGAGGATGGTGTCTCTGGCACTGACTTTGACTATTCCGTCTCCAATTTTGTGGACAATCTGTATGGCTATCCTGAGGGTAAGGACACCCTGCGAGAGACCATCAAGTTCATGTATACAGACTGGGCAGACCGTGACAACCCTGAGACCCGCCGTAAAACACTGGTGGCACTCTTCACTGACCACCAGTGGGTGGAGCCCTCAGTGGTGACAGCCGATCTGCATGCCCGCTACGGCTCGCCTACCTACTTCTACGCCTTCTATCATCACTGCCAGAGCCTCATGAAGCCTGCTTGGTCAGATGCAGCTCATGGGGATGAAGTACCCTATGTTTTTGGGGTTCCTATGGTAGGCCCCACTGACCTTTTCCCCTGCAACTTCTCCAAGAATGATGTTATGCTCAGTGCTGTCGTCATGACCTATTGGACCAACTTTGCCAAGACTGGGTAAGGAGAAAATAGGGTTTTTTTCCTCTTTGAGACCCCAGCATGCCCTCCCCTCTGCTCCTCTAGCTAAACCTCTTCCATCATATCCCTTCCTAAGATATTCCCAAAATCTTGCTTGGTACCCCTTCACTCATCTTCCTATCTCCCCTTCCTGAGTCTTTCATGCCATTTTTCCTTCCTTCAAAAATGTTGTTGAGGCTTAGAACTCAGTTAGCATCGGGACTAGGAAGGAATGAGGGTTACTGGAAGAACTATGGGATTTAGCCAGGCCCAGTGGCTCACGGCTGTAATCCCAGCACTTTGGGAGGCAAAGGCAGGCAGATCACTTGAGCCCAGGAGTTCAAGACCAGCCACGGCAACATAGAAAGACCCTGTCTCTAAAAGAAAAAGCATTAGCCAGGCATGGTAGTGCATGCCTGTAGTCCCAGGTATTTGGGAGGCTGAGGTGGGAGGATCGCTTGAGCCCCGGAGGGTGAGGCTACACTGAGCTGTGATCACGCCACTGTACTCTAGCCTGGGTGACAGAGCGAAACCTTATCTTAAACACACACACACACACACATATACACACACACACTATGGGATTCAAGGTTAGCTGGTCACAGGCTATGTGAAATAGGAATGCAGTGCTTCAGAAAGAGCCTTCAGGGCCAGGCGCGGAGGCTTATGCCTGTAATCCCAGCACTTTGGGAGGCCAAGGCAGGTGGATTGCCTGAGCTCAGGAGTTCGAAACCAGCCTGGCCAACATGGTGAAACACCGTCTCTACTATAATACAAAAAATTTGCCAGGCGTGGTGGCGGGTGCCTGTAGTCCCGGCTACCTAGGCAGGAGAATTGCTTGAACCCAGGAGGCAGAGGTTGCAGTGAGCCGAGGTTGCCCCACCGCACTCCAGCCTGTGCGACAGAGCGAGACTCTGTCTCAAAAAAAAAAAAAGAAAAAAAAAGAGAGAAAGAAAGAGAGAGAGAGAAAGAAAAAGGGAAGAAAGAAAGAAAGAGAGAGAAAGAAAGAAAGAGAAAAAAAAAAGAAAGAAAGAAAGAAAGAAAGAAAGAAAGAAAGAAAGAAAGAAAGAGAAAGAAAAGAAAGAGAAAGAAAGAAAGAAAGAAAAAGAGACTTCGGGTTCAGCAACTTCTGCTTGCTTAATAAAAGAAAGAGGCTTTATTAGGGGGCTCCTGGCAAAATTGGGCAGCTGAAAAGATTGATAAATGCTCAGTAGCATGTGCAAAGAAAAAGCATCTATAGCCTTAATCTTAAAGGATGAGCGCCGGGAAGGAGGATATAGGAGTTCAAGCCCTGGGGAAGAAGCAGGTGTGGGCAGAGCAGGGGACCCTGAAAAAGATGGAAATGGTGGGAAGTTCTAAACTGGGAAAGAGGTTTGGCTGTCAGAGGAAAAATGCTGGGCCTTTTCCTCATCCAGATAGAGTGGTGACCCCAGATTTCCATGTGGTATTTCAGGGATCCCAACAAGCCGGTCCCCCAGGACACCAAGTTCATTCACACCAAGGCCAACCGCTTTGAGGAAGTGGCCTGGTCCAAATACAATCCCCGAGACCAGCTCTACCTTCACATCGGGCTGAAACCAAGGGTCCGAGATCATTACCGGGCCACTAAGGTGGCCTTTTGGAAACATCTGGTGCCCCACCTATACAACCTGCATGACATGTTCCACTATACGTCCACCACCACCAAAGTGCCGCCTCCGGATACCACCCACAGCTCCCACATCACCCGCAGGCCCAATGGCAAGACCTGGAGCACCAAGCGGCCAGCCATCTCACCTGCCTACAGCAACGAGAATGCCCAGGGGTCCTGGAACGGGGACCAGGATGCAGGGCCACTCCTGGTGGAGAACCCTCGTGACTACTCCACTGAATTAAGTGTCACCATCGCCGTGGGGGCCTCCCTCCTGTTCCTTAACGTTCTGGCCTTCGCTGCCCTCTACTACCGTAAGGACAAACGGCGCCAGGAGCCCCTGCGGCAGCCTAGCCCTCAGCGGGGAGCCGGGGCCCCGGAGTTGGGAGCTGCTCCAGAGGAGGAGCTGGCAGCATTACAACTGGGCCCCACCCACCACGAGTGTGAGGCCGGTCCCCCCCATGACACGCTGCGCCTCACTGCATTGCCCGACTACACCCTGACCCTGCGGCGCTCCCCGGATGACATCCCACTCATGACCCCCAACACCATCACTATGATCCCCAACTCCCTGGTAGGGCTGCAGACATTGCACCCCTATAACACCTTTGCCGCAGGGTTCAACAGTACCGGGCTGCCCCACTCACACTCCACTACCCGGGTATAGCTCCAACTCAGAGCACAGCCAATCTCCAGGCTCCCTCCCTCCCAGATCCAGGAACACATGCACACACACACACACACACACGCAGACACACACACACACACACATATATGTATACGCACGCACCCACACCCTACAGCAGATCCACCTGCACAAACATAGACAGATGTGGACATGCACCCGCATGTACAAAAACACAAATACGGAAGTAAACCTGAACAAACCCTTTAAATGGGGACGCAGATGAGTCCTCGGTAAACCGAGGACCCATGAAACAGCAGCTGAAGCCAGCTCCCTGAATCTGACCACAGACACTCCTGGGGGGCCTGAAAGCAACAGCTGGACACCCCCTTGGTGCTCGCCTTCGGCCTCTCTTGGAACTGCACCACCGACCAACTCCAGACTTGGGAGCTTTAAAGAGCAGGATAGCTCTTCCTCCCCAGGACTTGGTCTTTTTTCTGGGTCTTGTTTTGTTGATTTTTCTTTTTTAATTTTGGAACAAATGCTTTTCCAACCCATGAGTGCTAAGAGCCTCTGGAAGGGAGGGCTTCAGGCCCGAAGGTCTCTCTGGCTCTAGGACCCCCAGTGCTCACACAATCAGACCAAGGAACAAGACCCCCAGGAAGGAAACAGATTTAAGCAAGACCATGGGGTGGAAGGAGAAAGGGGCTAGCACTGGATGGAGCTGGAGGGTCGTAGGGGAGAGATCTCCAACTCTCTCTGTGTCCGTGTGGAGGGCTGCAGAGCCTGCAGGGTGACCTGCTTCCCCAAAGGCCAACAGCATTGGCCTGGCCAGACCAGGTGACCTTAGATTTGGTGAACAACGTACTATGGAAGCCACATCACTATTGGGCCCCCAGGTCTGATC
Source organism: Homo sapiens (assembly GCF_000001405.40). Lineage (NCBI taxonomy): Eukaryota > Metazoa > Chordata > Mammalia > Primates > Hominidae > Homo > Homo sapiens. The sequence goes on from NC_000023.11 coordinate 71,170,963, forward strand.
TGGGTTTTGCCTCTGCCCTTGGGGAAATGCTATCAGAAATTCGCCCCATTTTCTTTACAGTCTTTTGTGTCTGTCATTTCTCTTTCAAAAAGGCGGTGTTTTTTGTTGTTGTTGGTTTTTTTTTTTTTTTAAAGAAAAGTTCTTAAAACACTAACGGAAACCCATGGAGTTTGTCCTTTGTAAAAATTTTAAACACAGTGTCTTGATATAAAAATAAAAAATCCAGTTAGCACTCCCAACCTGCCTCCCTTGCACAGGCCTTGCCCCAACAGACCTCCGAACAGGGTGCCTCTGCGGGCTGGGAATCAGGCAATCAGGCAGCCTCCCCCTGCCTCCTGTATCTTTAAGCTGAGTCTGGGCTGCACTGTGCGGGGTTGGGGGTTGGGGGTTGGGGGTTGGGGGTTGGGGGCCCCTGCATGAAGGCCTCTCCAATCTTAATCAGGTTGCTCTTCCCATCCCCCTGCCCCCAGCGCGCTGGGTTCCTGCAGCTGAAGCCTCCTCTCAGCACTTCAGGCCTCCTAATGAAATGGCAAAAATACTTCCTTCCTTCTCTGCACCGCTGCGGCCTCCTCCTCCTCTTACTTCTCCTCCTCCTCCTCTGCTGCAACCACCCTGCCCTCACCTTGGACTGGGGGCTGGGAGGAGGTTTGACCTCTAACGTGCTGAAATTCTTTCTCCTATCTGAATCCAGTGCAGCGTCAGACGTGGACTCCCTGGCCTTGAGTGACTGACAGAGCAGAGGCCCTCTCCTTCCCCAGGGATACTTGTTTGCTGCTCTGTGAATTAGAACTGGAGAAGTCCTTGGGGCCCTGGGAGCGATTTTTCTACAGGATTGTGATCAGTGACTCCCTATCAACCCTGGGGCATGGATTCAGTGGGGCCTCACAGGGTTAGCATTATGGGATTTCATATTATTCTCAGTGACTTGAAAGACTGAACTGGGAGTGTGCTCGGCAAGTATGATAGTTGGGTGGGGTTGCTGATACCTCAGAAAGCAGGAATAGAATTCTTCAAATGACCCTGATAAAATGAGGGAGATGAACCATCACAAGGAGGACCATGTTCAGAGAGGACGAACACAGGTAGTGTGTACAAAGACCAAAACCTAGAACTAATACACTAATATGGTACACTGGAGATGGGCAGTGATTGACTTGACACAAGTATAGTTAAAAAGAAGAAGAACTGGGGAGATGGTGTAAGGGTACATCACAAGTGAGTCCATGGTGTAAAACTGGTTTTTCCCCCTCCTTTCCTCACACCCTTCTTTCCTTTCTTTTTTCCAAAACTAATGTGGATCCTGCATATAGTAACAAAAACACAGCATGGAGGATCTGAGAAGTCATCCAAGTGTGAGTTTTAGAACCAGAAGTCACCCGAGAGTCATCTAGTCCAACCCATTTATTTTATAGTTGAGGAAATGGGCCCAGAAAAGCCCGTCACAGTTAGTATTAGAAACAGACCTAGAATGCCACCCAGCACTACACGACCCTTGCCATAGTCCCACTCAACTCGTTCCACTCTACCTGCCATTGGTCATACCTTTCAAAGCATGATGGGTCTACCCTTGGCCAACACATTTTTAGCAAAAGTGGAAAGCTAGAGAGGGTCTGGAGAAGAGCATAAATAATGCCACGGGACTAGGTGCTGTGTGTGTGTGCATGCGTGTGTGTGTGTGTGTGTGTGTGTGTGTGAGATCTAGAAAGGAAAAAGCTGATGAGGTAACATTCAATGGTTGTAGGGCACCTACCATGTGAAAAGTGTGCTATACCCATCTTCAAAATTTAACTCCTAAATAAGGACAGAGCTGATGACCTGTTCTCCGTTTCTTTTGAGAATGATAGAGGGGAAAATGAGATCAAGTGAAATACAAGGAATAACTTTGCTATGAATAGGAAATGATCACAAGCACCTAGTGAGTTCTCAATCGCAGTTGCCAAATTGAGTGAATGGCTACTAAGGGAAGCACTGGTATTTCTCATCTTCCTGAAAGCAGAGAGCTAGATTATATGACTTTTTTTTTTTTTTTAACAGAGATGGGGTTTCACCATGTTGCCCAGGCTGGTCTCAAACTCCTGGGCTCAAGCAATCCTCCCACCTCGGCCTCCCAATTGACCTTTTGAGGTCAATTCAGAGTCTTTGTTCTTATGTTCCATCCTTTGATTGCTCCATTTGAGATATTACGTGGCCTCCTATTTGAGACCATACCTGGCCTCCTGTTCTTTAGTGGGGAGTGTACCTCCAAGTTAGGAGTGCTCTCTATTTTGGGAAGATTTAGACACTGCCTCTCCTCTAAGAACTCAAGGCGCCATAGCAAAACCAGCTCCAATCCTATTAGGGACCCATCAGTGAGAGATTACAATTGGTCTTCACACCTTTGAAAGGTCTAGGTGGAAGAGGTGACCTCCAAGACAGGCATGATTTCAATCTAATTGACAGTCAATTCTGTGCCCCTGTAGCCTCAGGTTCTCAGCCCTGTTGCTGATGGCCAGCCCTGGGTCCAGCTAAAATGCCCAGCTCCTTGTTTGAAGTGAAGCTGAGGATATACTTGGATTTATTTAACATTGCAAAAAGCATTAGTGCCTAGATTCGGTCAGTCCACATCCCTAGATTTATCTGGTTTCTATTTTAGTCCTTTAAGGAGTTGGACACAGCTATCATATGATCTGAATTTGTAGTGTGTGTGAAGGGTCAGAGGTTGGTCACTGTGGAAATCTCCATAGCTTGAAGTATGGTTATCAGGACTGTAGGCTTGGCCTTGTGCTAGTTTACATACTGTGGGGGATAGAAGACACCTATTTTGGGTTGTGTACTGTCAGGAAGACAAAACGGAACCACAATCCAATGAATGAAATGCATGTGCTTCAATTGTATGGTAAAGGTTAAATGGATTGGAGAAACTGTAAGAAAGGCTATGATGGGATTGGGGTGGGTGGGTAGAGTAGTGGGCATTCCAAATTGGAGGGAAACCTCAGCCAAATCATGGAGATGAGAAGGTCTAGGTGTGCTTGAGGGGATGGGCCAAAATGGTGGGAAATTAGCTTGGTAAGGCAGCTCATGAAGATCTTCACAACAGAAGAGTTTGGCAATTATTGATTGAGCAACTGGACACCCTGACTGAACTCTTTTGCCAATAGTTTTATGGTGGAAAAACAAAACCTCCTCAGCTCCTCTTTCACTCCTTCTCTTCTGCAAGGAAAACGATTTTCAGACTAGAAAGGACAAGGTGAACACCAGAGAGAAACTCCTGAAGGCAGTCTAGTTCAAGAGAGCCGTAAGCTGCCTTGAGTAACTGCATCTCATTGTCTGAGTCAGTAGCATCCCAGGGCACTTAAGGACTTGCAGCTCAAATTGCAGGACAACTGGTGGTGGCCCTGAAAACCCCATGAAGAAGGGAAGAGATACGTGCTGCAGCCTAGAGATGGGTAAACATGGCCCCACTTTGACAGATGGGAAAAGGTAAACTCCACAAATTATAGATCAATACATTTGATATTGATTGAGGGCAAGATTCTAGGACAAATGATTAAAAGGATGGTTGGTGAGCACTTACAAAAGGAAGCGACGATCACTCAGTCCCCACATGGATTCAGGAAAAACAAATCATGCCCCACTGGGTTCATTTCCCTTGACAGAGTGACTGGACAGGTAGAGGAGGGAAAAGTTATCACCCACAGCGTATCTAGAGTTCAACCAAACATTCTCTCAATGCTTTTGGGAAAACATGTATACATGTGGGGTGGGTAAAGGTAAACCTAGGCGAATTCTTAACTGGTTGAATGACTACATACAAAATAGTTCTGTTTTAATGTCACTAGATCAAATTTGCGAATTACACAAAGTTGGTAAAGTCCCTTATTTGAACTTCAAAATGTGGCAGTACAAATGTAAGATGTGAGAGATGTGGCTTAGAGGCATTTTAGAGTGAATGAAAGCTCATGAGTTGAAAGTGTGGTTTGGTTGCTGTAAAAAGTATTGTGACCTTGGGCCATATTACTAAGAGTACAACTTTCAGAACAAAGGAGGTGATCATCTTGTGCTACTTTGCACTGATCAGACCACATCTGATGCCCAGTGTTCAGTTATGAGCACCAGACTTCAAGGGAGATGTTAACAAAAGTATATCCAGAGAAGAGTGAGAAGACTGAAGAATCCCAGGAGAAATTTGTCTACTGTCAGTGAGTAATTACTGGGCTCACAGTAGATTTGTTCTGCGTGACTTCAGGGCTCCAAGATCTAATGGATGGAAATTATAGGAAAGCAGATTTGGGTTCAACATGAGGAAGATGCTCCTTTTCCTTCCTTTTTTATGATGAAAAATTATAATAAAAGTTTCAGCTCCTGATTCCAGCCTCTTGAAGTCCTTTAAAATGTATTACCAACAGTTTCAAAAACAGAAGAAAAATGTCCTAATCCCAACATCTAAACATAAGCATTTTGCTATGTTTGGGAAGAACTTTCTAGTATTAGTAGTACTCTCTGCAATTAAAATGGACTGCCCCTAAAAGTAGGCAGTTCTCCATCACCAGAAATATTCAAGCAGGGACTCCATGTGGATGATGCAGACAATGAAAGCATCTGATAAAAGACTGAACCAGATGACCTTTAGGGTTACTGAGATTCTATCATACTTGAGCTGGAAGGTCTCATGGTAGAGTATTCAAGAAAATATTTCTAGAGCCTACGTGCAAGGTGAATTAGAGGAGGAAAGACTGGAAGCAGAGATAATAACTAGTTCAGAGGTACCTACTCTGAGGGCTAAAACTATTTTCGCCTCCAACCACCCCCCCAACTTGAATTTCAAAATTATAGTGTCAGAAGTAGCTTTAGGCTAGGTGCGGTGGCTCACACCTATAATCTCGGCACTTTGGAAGGCCGAGGTGGGAGGATCTTGAGCCCAGGTGTTTGAGACCAGCATAGGCAACATAGGAACACTCTGTCTCTAAAAAAAAAAAAAACAAAAAAATTAACCAGGCGTGGTGGTACATGCCTGTGGTCCCAGCTATTCAGGAGGCTGAGGTGGGAGAATCACTTGAACCCAGGAGGTCGGGACTGCAGTGAGCTGTGATCGAGCCACTGCACTCCAGCCTGGGTGACATAGAGAGACCTTGACTCAAAAAAAAAAAAAAAAAAAAAGAGGAAAAAGAAAAAGCAGCCTTAATGGTTACCTAGTTCCCCTCCCTTATGATCTGGTGCTTGATTCCCTTCTGCAATCTCTTTGCCAAGTAGTTATTTTGCCTCTGCTTAAATATTAAATACTTCCATTGATAGGAAATTCTTGTCCTCCCCAAAAAGACTAGTGCATATTATAGCATCTCAAACCATTATGAAGTTCTACCTTATGTTGATTCAAAATCAGCTTTCCCACGGTACCCACCCATTGCTCCTGATTGCACGCTGTTACAAAGCAAAACAAGGTGAATCCCCCTTCTATATGAGGACTCTTCCAATACTTGTATTGTTTTCTCTTTTTAAATTTTTTTTATTTTTTTAAAATTATTATTATTTTTAGATGGAGTTTTGCTCTGTCACCCAAGCTGGAGTGCAGTGGTGTGATCTCGGCTCACTGCAAGCTCCGCCTACTGGGTTCAGGCAATTCTCCTGCCTCAGCCTCCCGAGTAGCTGGGACTACAGGCACACACCACCACACGCGGCTAATGTTTGTATTTTTAGTAGAGACGGGGTTTTGTCATGTCGGCCAGGATGGTCTTGATCTCTTGACCTTGTGATCCACCCACCTCGGCCTTCCAAAGTGCTGGGATTACAGGCGTGTGCCATCACACCCAGCCAAAATTTTTTAAAAATATTTTTCTAGAGAAGGGGTCTCACTATGTTGCCCAGGCTGGTCTCCAACTCCTGGGCTCTTGTGATCCTCCCACCTTGGCCTCCTGAAGTGCTGGAACTACAGGCGTGAATCACCTTGCCCTACCCCAATAGTTTGAACCTGTATTTGAAAACTGGATCCTGAACCACCATCATCACCCTGTTGATCCCCACTCCAGGTTAAAGAGCTCCAGTCATTCATACACAATGATTTTCAAGTCTTCCCACACTCCTGGTCTCTTGCTTTTTGTACACGCTCCAGGCTGCTAACATCCCTGTTCATATATGGTAATCCAAGGCTAAAGACAGTCATCCAGTGTGGTCTAATGAGCAGAGAGGAAAGCAGAACTGTAATCTCCCCCATTCCAGACCCTAACATATTAGCATTCGGGGCAGCTAGTGTCAAAAATAATGAGGTTACAATCACCCCAAACACTTAAAACCTTTTCACACATGTCTCTCTTACCTTGCACTTAAGCATTTGGTTTTAAAAACTTAATTATGAAACTTTACATTTCATCTTCCTGGTTCATTATGGACTCTTGGGATCTTTCTGAAGCCAGCTTCATGTCATTTGCAAATTTGATCAGCACGTCATCAATGTCCTCATCCAAGTCATTAATTAAATTATTGGCTAGGCAAAGGACCTCCCTCCAGGCTGACAAAGATCCATTAGTCACCAGCTGTGAATACACCCAACTGTCCTGTCTTCACCCCACATTTTTCCTTCTTATCTACAAGGACATCTCACGCCAGGGCATTCTTCAACAAAACAAGACTGCATTCTGAAATTCTTTTTGGAAACAGGGAGTGGGGAGGAGAAGGGAGTGGGAACGAAAGGAGAGGAGTTTGACCTTTAGATCTTCTCCTCCCTTCTCCCCAGCCCCCAGGATGAGCCCTGTGGCTTCAGTCTCCAAGAAGGAATTTTCCAACCAACAGCTCAGATGTAGAAAGTTGAAATAACTGGACTATAGGGTCAGAAAACCTGCATTCAGATCCATCTCTGCCTCTTCCTAGCTGGATGACCTTGGTTGAAGGGTTTAACATCTCCGAGTCTGTTTGCTCATCTGTAAAATAGGGACAGGACGATTACACCTACCTCACAGAGTTGTTGTAAGGATTAAATGAGAAGATGTATGTGAATGTGCTTCGGAAACTGTAAGCATTATACAAATGTCAGATATTATTATTATGACTGAGTGCCTACTGTGTTCCTCAGTATAGGCTATAAAAAGATAAATACGACATAGTCTTTGCCTTCAGGGAGCTCACAGTTCTGTAGCAGAGATATGTTCACAAATAGCCGTGGTATAAAGTATAACAGGGCAAAATGGCCCAAGTTATTACAGTAATTCAGAAGAGGGAGCAGGCCCTTCAGACTGGGGGGAACCAAAAGAGAGGCTTCAAAGAGTTTGATCTGTACCCTGACAAATGGGATGGATCTGACAGATGGACACGGCTGAGAGAGGACAGCATTCCAGGTGGAGGAGTCTAGGGATGGGTATTTATGGAACGCGTCTGCGGTGCTGGAAGCAGGCCTGTTTGATTGTAAGAAGTAATGAGGCTGGTCAGCCACATCACAACTTTTTTAGACACGGTCATTTTCAGCATGCCCAGGGTAGAGCATTCAGTCCTTCAGAAGGAGGACTAGAATTTAAGCAGAGCCTCTGAGGTCTCATGTCTGTTGTTCAACTGACCTCCTTGGAGAAAAACAACTCTTCTGGAGGGTGGTGGCATCCAGAAAGGTTCTAGGAAAATCACCTTTTTCCTTTTCTGAAGCTGAAAAATAGGTCTCTGGGAAGAACAGGGACTAATGCCACATTTAAATCCTAAAAATCGGCCAGGCGCGGTGGCTCACACCTGTAATCCCAGCACTTTGGGAGGCCAAGGCGGGTGGATCACCTGAGGTCAGGAGTTCTAGACCAGCCTGGCCAACGTGGTGAAACCCTGTCTCTACTAAAAATACAAAAATTAGCTGGGTGTGGTGGCGGGCACCTGTAATCCTAGCTACTCAGGAGGCTGAGGCAGGAGAATCGCTTGAACCCAGAGGCAGAGGTTGCAGTGAGCCAAGATCACGCCATTGCACTCCAGCCTGGGCCACAAGAGTGAAACTCCTTCTCAAAAAATAATAATAATAAATCCTAAAAATCTTCAGCTGGAAGTGGCTCTGGCTTAAGAATTCAAGAGTTTTCATTGAAGGAGGGTCATCTGCCATATCTGAAAGGCTTCATATTCTTCAATTTCATGTGGGGAGTGGGGAGGGAGAGGAAAATAGTTCAAGGGCTCTCAAGGTCCATTTCCTGATGGTTTCTTCGGACCTATGGTTATGATTTGGTGCCACCTGGTGTCCGAGACAGAATATAGCGCCCTTGTGTAGAAGCCGCCTTCCCCCTCCTTCCTAAATCAAGAGCATTGAACTGCTTCCCAGCATCTAGGGATGGGGCTATCTTCCTTCCAGTAGGATAGAACCAGCCATTCAGAGGCACTCTGGGGTCTGTGTAAATGGAAAAGAAGAGGAGGAAAGGGAAAGTCCTGAACCAGGCCTCATAGCCATCCTTTCCTATGTTACCAAAGTTTATATTTTTCCCTAGAGTACCCCTGGGGTAAATAGAGTATCTTCCCCCAGAGTACTTTCCCCAGAATACTACAGGACTGGGTTTGCCATGTCCCTCTCTCTCTACCCCCACACATTCTCTTATGATGACTTGAGTATCCACAAAAGATTATTACAACACCTCTCTCTCAGACGTGACCAAGAGAAATTGTCATGATTGTCTAGGGTGGCCAAGGGAGGAGCAGTAAATGAGTCTTGTTCCCCCTGAGCTCAAGTTTAAATGTTGTTTCTTCCTGAGTGGGCTATACTATTCTAGAACGACTGAGCTAGAATAGCTCCTCCATAAGAAACCTGTTTATTGAAACTACACTTAGAATTCCTACAGCCCCTCTTAAAGGTTAGGGGAGGGAGAAACGGTGCCTCAGATAACAGAACAGATGGTGGCCCCCTTTTCCCTCAAGCCCCATTCCTAAATAGATTCAAAAGGATCAATAAAACTGACACTGAGGCTGGGTGCGGTGGCTCACACCTGTAATCCCAGCACTTTGGGAGGCCGAGGTGGGCGGATCACTTGAGGTCAGGAATTTTTGAGACCAGCCTGGCCAACGTGGTGAAAACCCGTCTCTACAAAAAATACAAAAATTAGCTAGGTATGGTGGCGGGTGCCTGTAATCCCAGCTACTCTGGAGGGTAAGGCAGGAGAATCACTTCAACCTGGGAGGCGGAGGTTGCAGTGAACCGAGACCGCGCCACTGCACTCCAGCCTGGGCGACAGCCTGAGACTCTGTCTCAACAACAACAACAACAAACAAACAAACAAAAACTGGAGTGGTCTGATGATAACTTATAAAGGAGTATTAGTAGAGCATAGTTTGAGGGGATGGCTTGAACTGGGATGGCCAGAGCTGAGCAAGGACAAGACTGAGCTAATGAAAAGGTTAATCCTTCTGCTACTACTTCCATTCCTAGGTACCCTTAAAGTCTGAGTTTCTGTTGTGCCCACTCAGGCTCTTCTGGGTGCTGGAGAATCCTGGACCAGCTCTCAGTTTGGATTGTCAATTGCAGGTGAGGGGCATGAAAATGGCAGAAGTGCAAAAGAAAGAAACCATCAGCTAGATTTGAATGCTTCGATTCATGGATCACTACTTTTATTTGCCTCAGTTCTTCCCTGGTCCCTATATTACAGGGCTGCCAGAGTGCATGCCCTCTAACTGTACCGGCTAAGAAGTAAACAAATTCCTTTTTATCTTTTAGTTAAGACAAGGCTGCAATTTTTGAAAAGTAACATTTGCTAGGACACTAATGAATAAGAAAGTAACCAAAAGAGGTAACAAGAGAACACACAAACAAATGGGCTTACAGTGTTCACATTTCTTATCTTGTATCAACTAAAGTTTAACCATAGTTGGCCGGGCCTGATGGCTCACACCTGTAATCCCAGGACTTACGGAGGCCGAGATGGGCAGATCACCTAAGGTCAGGAGTTTGAGACTAGCCTGGCCAACATGGTGAAACCCTGCCTCTACTAAATAAAAATAAAATAAACCCCATCTCTACTAAAATACAAAAATTAGCTGGGCATGGTGGCACACTCCTGTAACCCCAGCTACTCGGGAGGCTGAGGCTGGAGAATAGCTTGAACCCGGGAGGTGGAAGTTGCACTGAGCTGAACCACTGCACTCCAGCCTGGATGACAGAGCGAAATTCCATCTCAAAATAAATAAATAAATAAATAAATAAATAAATAAATAAATAAATAAAGCTTAACCACAGAGGAGGCCAGGCGCAGTGACTCACGCCTGTAATCCAAGCACTTTGGGAAGCTGAGGCAGGTGGATCACCTGAGGTCAGGAGTTCGAGACCAGCTGGGCCAACATGGTGAAACCCCATCTCCACTAAAAGTACAAAAAATTAGCCAGATGTGGTGGCAGGTACCTGTAATCCCAGCTACTTCGAAGGCTGAGGCAGCAGAATCACTTGAACCCGGGAGGCGGAGGTTGCAAGGAGCCGAGATCGTGCCATTGCACTCCAGCCTGGGCAACAAGAGTGAAAACTCCATCTCAAAAAAAAAAAAAAAAATCATAGAGGAAGTTATCTGGTACAATGTATAGGGCACCTAAGCAAATCCTTTTTTGCCAGGGTAACCTTTCCCAACTCATGAGAGGTCAGAGGTTAGACAAAGCTGCGTAGACCCGAACCTGAAGGTTGGTGCAAAAGTAATGGCGGTTTTTGCAATTACCTTTAACGGCAAAAACCGCCATTACTTTTGCACCAGCCTAACAGATCTAGTGAGTTTCACAGTCCCTGGTGGAATCGGTTTCCCATACTGCTCTCAGTGCAGAGACCCTAGTGGGTGCCTTCTGTCCTGGCACGTGCTGCTTTCCGGTTCTGCGGTTACCCTGGCCCTTGGGTTTCCCCCACCCTCCTCCCATCCTTTTCAGGCTCCCGGAAAGAGAAGACCCCCAGTGAAACTCCACCCCTTCACATAGTTTTGATGACTTAGGACATGTGTTCGGACAAATACAAAAAAATGTGCTTACGATTCTAATTAGAAAAAGACACTTAGAATTGAGACTGCTTCTGAAAATCTGATCCTGTGCTGGCAGTTCCTGTTGTTCTCAGCTAGTATTTCGTTTTAGTCCCCTAAAGTGGCCATGTGACCTTGATAGCAAACGCCATCTTTCTGCGGAGCCCGCCTGAGCTGCGGCAAGCTGCTCTGACGGCTCGCTAGCAATCTGCCTTTTCCGATTTCAAAATCTTTAGACCGCCCACCAAAACCCTTTTTCCGGTCGGAGAGGCCCGGCAGGCTCTCAGGTCATTTGCGGAGCAAACGTGATTGACACGATCTGCGTCTAATGAATGTTCGTCTGCTTCCCAGCTCGGATTACTAGTTCCGCTCCCTTTCCCAGTTTGTTTTTGATGACTCATCCCTCAAATTCTTCACACACTCGCCTGATTCCCGCCCCTCCCGTCCTCTCTCTCCTCGCTCCCACTCGACGCCCACCCCCCACCTCCGCCGCCTCGCCCTAGGGAAGTGGATTTGGTGAATCCTATCGAGGATCGTTTTTTTACAGTGTATTTTGAACATATAGAAGCAAAAAGCACAATTTCCGTACAGGAAAGAGGAGGTTCATTTCCTTATAAGGAGCTTAACCCCTCACTGTTCTTTGAGCTTTTTCTCGTCCACAAGATCGGGGTGGGAGCAGGGGCAGGAGAAACGACAGCGGGGCTTTTGCCACTCAATTTCCAGTTCAATTCCAGAACCCCCGCAGCTCTGAGTCCCTAGCAAAGGTCAGCTGCCTTGCCCCAACAGCCGGCCCCACTGAGGGAGGAGTCCGGGGGAGTACAGTCAGGGTTGAAAGTTTACAAACATTTCTCTGGGTCTCGGGCATCTGCAGTGGGCACCTGCGGTGGGCACGTATGACAGTTTTGCCGGGGGCTGCAAATGCAAAATTGCAGCCCTAAAGAGGAAACAGACCTTCAGTCGTTAATAGGAGGAGGGGGAAAGGAAGGGGGAGTAAGAAAAGTAGGGAGCTGAGACTGAACTAACAAGCTCTTCTGGACCCAGACCCCTGAAATAGGCGAATGAATGGACTTCCACCTGCACAAGAAATCCTAGCTTTCCTGGATAGGGTCAAATGAAGCCAATAGAACATCCATAGTGAGAAGTTGGCAAGAGACTGGCTAAATTTGCCCCCTTTGGGCTGCTTCTTGTAGTCTCATTTGCTCTTTGATGCTCACACAACCATCACCACTTCTCTGCTGTGTCTCTTTATCCCACAGCTAAAGCATGTGATTGAAAACTTGCAGTTTGACCTAAGTTTAACACTGCCTTGTATAGGGCTTTGTGAATAATGGGTGCAGGATCAATTCCCCGGAGCCTGAGTATCATACCAAAGGCTAGAGACTCAGGGGCCTCCCAGTCTGCAAAGTGCTCTCAGACTCAGGCACATATTCTGAGGGAGCTTTTGCATTTTGGTCTTGGATCTCCAGGAGAGGACAGGAGTTTGCCGATTGGGAAAACAAAGAAGGTGCTAAGAAATAGGTGACCACCTTATTTTTTTATTCCCTCCTAAGCAGCCCCGCTGCTCTCCCTTTGGAGGCCCCTTGGCTAAGTCTCATCCAAAGTTCATTTGCATTGTCCAGCTTGCCCCTCTGGCCTCAGAGAGGAATGTAGCCAATGAACAGGAAAGAGGAGGCATGCTTTCTGTCCCTGCTGGGGTGGAGAGTAAGTGGAGACACGAATCCTACCCCCTCCCCAGTTTCTGCTTCCAGCGCCTCTCCTTCATCTTCATCACAAAACATTTCTGAGGCATTTCTCTGTCCAAGACTCTGTCCACATTACTTTACACGTAGTCGTTGCCTTGACAATCAGAGACAACAAGGGTTGAGTGACACTAAAAATGCAGAAAGCGGCCAGGCACGGTGGCTCATGCCTGTAATCCCAGCACTTTAGGAGGCCGAGGCAGACGGATCACTTGAGGTCAGGAGTTCCAGACCAGCCTGGTCAACATGGTGAAACCCTGTCTCTACTAAAATCACAAAAATTAGCTGGGCATGATGGTTCATACCTGTAATGCCAGCTACTCAGGAGGCTGAGGCAGGAGAATCGCTTGGACCTGGGAGGCGGAGGTTGCAGTGAGCCAAGATCGTGCCGCTGCACTCAGTGAGACCCTGTCTTAAAAAAATAAAATAAAAAAAGAAAATGCAGAAAGCACATACATGCAGGGTGGGGAGAAGTAGGTTCATGTGTAAAATGTGTAATCCACAAATGTTCACACCAGCCACACATCTGGGGTCAGTGCAATTTCAGGGGGAAGGAATCAGGATAAATGCATGTAACTGAGATGAAAAGTGGGAGTGGGCAATCGTGAGAGTTTTTTGTTTATCTAGGCAGATTGGGACCAGGAAAGCTATTGGCTCTCAACTGCAAAGGATTCCTAGAGGACATGGGATTGCAGAAATAGCTGAGTGACAGAACCAAATGGAGATAAGGTATTTGCCTCCCGAGGTGGGAGTGGGATTAGCAAATGGAATCGACTTTGATCAGGAAATGGAATAACCAGTGATTGTTATTTCTTTTCCTCCTCCCCTCTCAACACACGTTTGTTGAGTGCCAATTCTGTCGTAGATACTGGAAACATAAAAACAATAACGATAGAAAATAGTTCTTGGATATTTACTTAGGTGCCAGGTATATATTAAGCATGTTATCTTCTTTAAATCTCACAGTGACCTTCTGATGTAGGTATCATTATCATGCCCATTTTGCAGATGAGCCAGCTGTGGTTCAAAGAGATGAAGTGACTTACCCCAACACCACACAACTAGCTGTAAGTGAAAGAAGTGGGATTTGAATCTAGGAAATTAAAGTCTAGAGCCTGTGCATTTAATCAGTATGCTCTACCTTATCTTTTAGAAGGACAGTGATAGAAGTTGGATTCCTTTGGTGACAGGGGATGCTAGAACAGGGAGGGTCAGGACTTTGAGAGCAGACAGATGGTCCAGGGTAAAGCAGAAGATCCCAGAAGTAGAAGCAGAGCCTCAGCCAGCTATTTAGACAGGCAGGTAGAGCAAGCATCTGGGTAACCAGGATGCAGCAGAAGCCAGGAGGAAGCCCAGACAGGCAGGTGGTTGGCAGCCAGAGTGTCTGGCAGCCAGTGACAGAGGCCCTGCCATGGGGCCTGGGCTTCCAGGGAAGGATGCCAGGTGTCAAAAGGTCTGGCAAGAGCTAGACAAGCACTATCCCTGTGAAGATGAAGGTGCCAGATAGGGCACTAAGGTAGGACGCAGGAGCTGGGGGCACCAGAACAGGTGCTTCAGGAAGGGGCTTCTGTACAACAAAGCAGGAAACAGTCTACGAGAGCAGGGACCAACTTCACTTATTCACCCTTCCATCTACTCTTTCAACAGCATTTTTTGAGCTCTTGCCATGTTCCAAGTACCATGCTAGGCTCTGAGGTAACACACAGTCCGGTAGGGGAGCCAGACCTGTTTTACAGGTATCTCCAATACTGTGTGATAAGTTCTATATTAGAGGCACAGACAAACTGTGTGGGGATGGGGGTAGGGAATACTAACTTATCCTGACAGAGTTCGCAAATAATTTTTTCTTTTTAGATGGAGTCTCACTCTGTTGCCCAGGCTGGAGTGCAGTGTTGCGATCTCGGCTCACTGCAACCTTTGCCACCCAGGTTCAAGCGATTCTCCTTCCTCAGCCTCCCAAGTAGCTGGGATTACAGGCATGGGCCACCATGCCCAGCTAATTTTTGTATTTTTAGTAGAGACGAGGTTTCTCCATGTTGGCCAGGCTGGTCTTGAACTCCTGGCCTCAAGTGATCCGCCCACCTCAGCCTCCCAAAGTGCTGGGATTACAGCCATGAGCCACTGGGCCTGGCCCACAAAGAATATTAACTCTGAGCTGGGTCTTTAAAGAAGAAGAGAAATTTTGGCCGGGCGCGGTGGCTCACACCTGTAATCCCAGCACTTTGGGAGGCCGAGGTGGGTGGATCACGAGGTCAGGAGATCATCATGAGGTCAGGAGATCAAGACCATCCTGGCTAACACAGTGAAACCCTGTCTCTACTAAAAATACAAAAAAATTAGCCGGGCGAGGTGGCAGGCGCCTGTAGTCCCAGCTACTCGGGAGGCAGAGGCAGGAGAATGGCGTGAACCCGGGAGGTGGAGCTTGCAGTGAGCCGAGATCGTACCACTGCACTGCAGCCTGGGTGACAGAGCAAGACTCCGTCTCAAAAAAAAAAAAAAAGAAGAAGTAGAGAAATTTTCCAGGCTCAGAGTGGTGAGGAGGATTTCAGGCAGAGGGAATAAAGTTTTTAAAGAGTAAGGCACATTTGGGGGACAGTAAGCAATTCATACAGGACAATGGGTACATGGTAGGGAGGGGTGGGGAACATGAATCTGAAGAAGACCTAAGGCCAAATTATAAAGGCTTTTCTGAGAGCTGCTGAAGATCTTGGATACTCTCCCATAGGTAAAGGGGAGCCAACTGTGGTCTTTATGTCAGCAAGTACCTGTATTGCACTGGGGTGTTTTAGAAAGACCACAGGGGACAGTATCTGGTTGCACTGGAGGCAGGCAGATAACTCAAGATGTTCTTGCAACTGTGCAGGCAAAAAAAAAAAAAATGATACGAGCGGCCGGGCGCGGTGGCTCATGCCTGTAATCCCAGCACTTTGGGAGGCCGAGGCAGGCAGATCACAAGGTCAAGAGATCGAAACCATCCTGGCCAACATGGTGAAACCCCATCTCTACTAAAAATACAAAAACTAGCTGGGCATGGTGGCACATGCCTGTAATCCCAGCTACTCAGGAGGCTGAGGCAGGAGAATCACTTGAACCCAGGAGGCGGAGGTTGCAGTGAGCCGAGATTGCGCCACTGCACTCCAGCCTGGCAATAGAGCAAGACTCCGTCTCGAAAAAAAAAAAAAATGATAAGAGCTTGAACTAAGATAGTGACAGAGAGGATTAGTTCGGGAAAACATTTCTGAAGGAGAATTGACAAGACTAAGTGATTGATGTGGTCAGTGAGGGGGGAAAAAGGAGTCAGAAACAACTCAAAAAAATTTTTGCTTGAGAAACTGGGCCTGTGGTGACATCATTCATATAGGGACTGGGAATCTAGGATGGGGAGCAGGTTTTATGGAGGGAGATAAGTGATTCAGTTTGGCATATGTTGAGTTGGAGGTACCCAGTGATGTGCTCGAAGACATTTAACTACTGGTTCTAGATGGTGGGAAAAGGCTTGATGAACCAATTTCTGTGGTAAATACTCCCACCCCTAATTTCAAGCCACCCCTAATGTGACATCAATCACTCGAAAAATTCCTAAAATTTTAACAATTGGTCTCAGAGACCCATGGAAAGAACTATACCAGATACTCTGAGAGCACAGGCTTCTGATGGCATTGCTTAAATAACTTTGAGACTGTACCACTGGACTAAGTCGAGATTTCCAGAACTCCAGTGGAGAAGCCAATGGGATCACAAAACTGCTAACCCAATATCTTAACAGAACAAGAATTAATTACATAGGACTGAATAAACTGATGAAAGATTATTATGGTTTTTATTTAGAATATTGCTGCTGGATTTAAGAAAGCCCTTTTTTCTTTTCAGTTATCTATACTCATAACAACTAGTAGATTATACTTTTATTTATTTATTTATTTGAGACAGAGTCTCGCTCTGTCGCCCAGGCTGGAGTGCAGTGGCACAATCTCAGCTCACTGCAAGCTCCGCCTCCCGGGTTTACGCCATTCTCCTGCCTCAGCCTTCTGAGTAGCTGGGACTACAGGCACCCACCACCACGCCCGGCTAATTTTTTTGTATTTTTAGTAGAGACGGGGTCTCACCGTGTTAGCCAGGATGGTGTCGATCTCCTGACCTCGTGATCTGCCCACCTCGGCCTCCCAAAGTGCTGGGATTACAGTCATGAGCCACTGCGCCTGGCCTATTTATTTATTTATTTATTTATTTATTTATTTATTTATTTTTGAGATGGAATCACACTCTGTTGCCCAGGCTGGAGTGCAGTGGCGCGATCTTGGCTCACTGCAACCTCCGCCTCCCAGATTCAAGTGATTCTCCTGCCTCAGCCTCCCTAGTAGCTGGGATCACAGGCAGTACCACCACACCTGGCTAACTTTTGTATTTTTTAGTAGAGACAGGGTTTTGCCATGTTGGCCAGACTGGTCTCGAACTCCTGACCTCAGGTAATCCACTCACCTCAGCCTCCCAAACTGCTGCGATTACAGGCATAAGCCACCGTGCCCGACTTTTATAAACAGAAATGAGATATTTATCTTCTCTCTCTGACTGATTCCTGTGGAATTTGGGAACTCTTATTGAGTATTCTTATTTTCATAGCAATATAATTATCTGCATAAATCCAATAAGAATCTGTCCTCCTTCTAACAGGACATAACTGAAAACATTGGTTCTATAACCAAGACTCTGACTGGAATGTCATATTCGAGAATAGTATGCATAGAATGAGATATAACCAAACAGTTTTAAGGAGCTAAGGTTGACTTTATGGACCAAAAGATTACAAAGCCCTCATGAGAAAAATGACCTGGTACCTGGCTTATAGGGATCCCAGCCTTATTCTTGTTTACAAAAGAAGCCTGGTCTCATTAGATTCAGTGTTATTTCCCGGGCACGGTGGCTCATGCCTGTAATCCCAGCACTTTGGGAGGCCGAGGCGGTGGATCATTTCCCCAGGTAAGATACAAGGTCACTTCATGGCAGGCAGGCTCAGGAATCTTAGGATATTTATGGGACCTTGAGAAGAGAGGAATTCACCCAAATTTATAAGTACTGCAGGTGAAATCTGGTCACAAGTTCTTGGCTTGGCTTCCTAGCCTCCAGAAGGCTTTTAAAAATCTAATATGAGACTCCAGGCCAGGCACCGTGGCTCATTCCTATGATCCCAGCACTGTGAGAGGTCAAGGTGAATGGATTGCTTGAGCCCAGGAGTTTGAGACCAGCCTGGGCAACATGACAAAACCTCATCTCTACTAAAAATATAAAAAATTAGCCAGGGATGGTGGCATGCACCTGTAGTCCCAGCTACTAGGGAGGCTGAAGTGGGAGGATCATCTGAGTCCGGGAGGTCGAGGCTGCAGTGAGCCTAGATTGCGCCACTACACTGTAGCTAGGGCAACAAAGTGAGACCCTATCTCAAATAAAAAGAAAAGAAAAGAAAAAACTAGTATGAGTTTCCTTATTAAAAGTTACAGCAAAGCAGACTGAAAAAGGCCTATGTGGCCACATACCATTCTTGCCGCTCTTATGTAAACAATAACACCAAATTATTTTATTCATTTATTTATTATTTATTCATTTATTTATTTTTGAGACAGGGTCTCACTCTGTCACCCAGGCTGCAGTGCAGTGGCGTGATCTCGGCTCATTGCCACCTCTGCTTCCCAGGTTCAAGCGATTCTCCTGCCTCAGCCTCCCAAGTAGTTGGGATTACAGGCATGTGCCACCACACCTGGCTAACTTTTGTATTTTTTAGTAGAAACAGGGTTCAGCATGTTGGCTGAGCTGGTCTCAAACTCCTGACCTCAAGTGATCCACCTGCCTCCGCCTCCCAAAGTGCTGGGGTTACACGCATGAGCCACCATGCCCAGACAATAACACCAAATCTAATGAAACCAGACTTGGTTTGTAAACAAGAATAACCTTACTGGCCGGGTGTGGTGGCTGGCTCACGCCTATAATGCCAGCACTTTGGGAGGCCAAGGCAGGTGGATCACCTGACGTCAGGAGTTCGAGACCAGCCTGACCAACACGGAGAAACCCCGTCTCTACTAAAAATACAAAATTAGCTGGGCGTGGTGGTGCATGCCTGTAATCCCAGCTACTTGGTAGGCTGAGGCAGGAGAATCGCTTGAACCTGGGAGGTGGAGGTTGCAGTGAGCTGAGATCATGCCATTGCACTCCAGCCTGGGCAATAAGAGTGAAACTCCCTCTCAAAAACAAAAACAAAAAAGAATAACCTTACTTTGATTATCTTTTTTGTTTGTTTGTTTGTTTTGTTTGTTTTTGTTTTTGTTTTTGAGATGGAGTCTCGCTCTGTCACCCAGGCTGGAGTGCAGTGGCGCCATCTTGGCTCACTGCAAGCTCCGCCTCCCAGGTTCACGCCATTCTCCTGCCTCAGCCTCCCAAATAGCTGGGACTACAGGCGCCCGCCACCATGCCCAGCTAATTTGTGTGTGTGTGTGTATTTTTTAGTAGAGATGGGGTTTCACCATGTTAGCCAGGATGGTCTCGATCTCCTGACCTCGTGATCCACCCGCCTCGGCCTCCCAAAGTGCTGGGATTACAGGTGTGAGCCACCGCACCTGGCCTGTTTTTGTTTTTAATTGAGACAGAGTCTCCCTCTGTCACCCAGGCTGGAATACAGTGGCATGATCTCGGCTCACTGCAACCTCTGTCTCCCGGATTCAAGCGATTCTCCTGCCTCAGCCTCCTGGATAGCTGAGATTACAGGCACATGCCACTATGCCAAGCTAATTTTTGTATTTTTAGTCGAGACGGGGTTTCACCATGTTAGCCAGGCTGGTCTCGAACTCCTGACCTCAGGTGATTCCCCTGCCTCGGCTTCTCAAAGTGCTGGGATTATAGGCGTGAGCCACACCATGCCCGGCCTTGTTTGTTTGTTTTTAATCCCCCCTTCTGCACACTGATTTTGATTGCCATTGATCAAAAAGGGGGGGTGACTGTAGAAAGAAATTTTATGTTTCAATAGAAAACTTTAGCACATCCTTGTGGGTTACTAGACTCTAGTCCTGTTCATTGTCTTTGAAATATTTTTCACCACTTGGCAATCTGCATTTTACGTTCTACTTTGTTATCTACCTGTAAATTGGACTAGATTCTGCTGTCTTGTGCATTTTGTTAGTCCTCAACAAGTTCACAATTCTTCCAGTTTCCTTCAATATCTAGCTACAACTCTCTAAATTGGTCTTTCCAATTTTTTTCCCACCCCCCTGACTTGGTGACACTGGGAACTAAAACCTGACTGCCTAGATCCTTATTGGGACTCTAGGTTGTCTTGTAGTTGACTTTCTTTCTCCCCAGGATCTAAAGAAGCCCTACAAGCTAAAGCAAGACACCTTGATAATAAACCTTCAAAGGAGTCGTCACCAAAGCAGATCATGTATGAACAACCTTCGTGCCTGCTGCTGTGTGGGCCACTCAGGAAGTTCAGTGGAACTTCCATGCTCTTCCATGCTTTGCTCCAGGAAATAACCACCCAAACTGCAAACCAGAAAATCCCTTGGCTTGCCACTGCTGTCCTCACTCCACCATCTAAAGATGCTTCAAGCCCAGTGTATAGAAATCTTCTCAACTGGTTGCCCTCTGGACTCATGAATTTATAGTCTGCTCCAACCATCAGTCTTTTTTTTTTCTTTTGTTTTCACAGAAACCACCCTCATTAAATACCTGATTGCAAATATCCTCTACTACCAAGTCTTAACACATGGTTCAGCTGGTCCTTAATGAACAAAAGGCTACTGAATGAGAAATGACTTAAACTGTTCACAGGAAAGAAGAATGTCACTTCCTGCCTTGAACAAAAGGAGGGAATGACAAAGAATCTCTCACTGACCAAACTTTATTTAGGCTCCTCTGAGCTCTCTTTTTGACTAGACCTCTACTTTGGCCCTTGTCCTGTCTTTGTCCTGCTCAGTCAAGTCTTAGCAGGGAATCCTGCTAAGTTATCCCCCTACCATTGATATCTGATCAAGTTCTTCATTGCCCCACTTTTTGTTTTGTTTTGGTTGGATTGTTTGTTTGTTTGTTTGTTTGTTTTGAGACAGAGTCTCGCTCTGTCGCCCAGACTGGAAAGCGGTGGCGCGATTTTGGCTCACTGCAACCTCTGCCTCCTGGGTTCAAGCGATTCTCATGCCTCAGCCCCCAAAGTAGCTGGGATTACAGGTGCCCGTCACTACGCCTGGCTAATTGTTGTACTTTTATTTTATTTTATTATTTTATTTATTTTTTGAGACAGAGTCTTGCTCTGTCGCCCAGGCTAGAGTACAGTGGCGTGATCTCGGCTCACTGCAACCTCCACCTCCCAGGTTCAAGCGATTCTCCTGCCTCAGCCTCCTGAGTAGCTGAGACTACAGGTTCCCACCACCAAGCCCGGCTAATTTTTGTACTTTTAGTGGAGATGGGGTTTCACTGTATTGGCCAGGCTGGTCTCGAACTCCTGACCTTGTGATCCGCCCGCTTCAGCTTCCCAAAGTGCTGGGATTGCAGGCATGAGCCACGGCACCTGGCCTTATTTTTTATTTTATTTTATTTTATTTTATTTTATTTTATTTTATTTTATTTGTGGTGACAGAGTCTCACTCTGTCGCCCAGGCTGGAGTGCAGTGGCACGATTTCAGCTCACTGCAACCTCTGTCTCCCGGGTGCAAGCGATTCTCCTGCCTCAGCCTCCCAAGTAGCTGTGATTACAGGCAACTGCCACCACACCCAGCTACTATTTTTGTACTTTTAGTAGAGACGGGGTTTTGCCATGTTGCCCACACAGGTCTCAAACTCCTGACCTCGTGATCCACCTGCCTCGGCCTCCCAAAGCTCTGGGATTACAGGCATGAGCCACCACGCCCGGCCATTCCCCTACTTTTGATCTCTAAATCCTTGGCCCTACTCTTGATGTCTCCTCTCAGTAATTGTCCATCCACTGACCCCTTACCCCACTCCTCGGCTATAAATAAATCCCCATGTGTCCTTACTGTATTTGTACTGTATTTGGAGTTGAACTCCATCTTTCTCCCCTATTGGAATAGAATAGTCTTTTCTCTCTTTCTTTCTTTCTCTTTCTTTCTTTCTTTCTTTTCTTTTCTAGAGACAGGTTCTCACTCTGTCACCAAGCTAGAGTGCAGTGATGTGATCATAGCTCACTGCAGCCTTGAGCTCCTGGGCCCAAGTGATCCTCCTGCCTCAGCCTCCCAAGTAGCTAGGACCACACCAGGCTAATTTTCTATTTTTTAATTTTTATCTATTTATTTCATTATTTATTTATTTATTTAGAGATGGAGTCTCACCCTGTCACCCAGTCTGGAGTCCAGTGGCATGATCTTAGCTCACTGCAACCTCCGCCTGCTGGGTTCAAGCAATTCTCCTGCCTCAGTCTCCTGAGTAGCTGGGACTACAGCCGCGCTCCACCATGCCCGGCTAGTTTTTTGTATTATTAGTAGAGATGGGGTTTCGCCATGCCAGCCAGGCTGGTCTCAAACTCCTGACCTTGTGATCCACCTGCCTCGGCCTCCCAAAGTGCTGGGATTACCAGGTGTGAGCCACTGCGCCCAGCCTATTTTTAAATTTTTATTTATTTTTCTTAATTTTTAAAGTATTTTGTAGAGATGAGGACTTGCTGTGTTGCCCACCCTACTACTCGGGAGGCTGAGGCAGAAGAATTGCTTGAACTTGGGAGGCGGAGGTTGCAGTGAGCCAAAATCGCACCACTGTACTCCAGCATGGGTGACAGAGTGAGACTCCATCTCAAAAAATAAAATAAAGTAAAATAAAAAATAACAATTGGCTGCCAGTACAAGCTGACTTCAGCACATCAGTAGAGGTGCCTGAGGAACATCCAAGAGATGTTTGGAAGACCACTGGAAACACAGATCTAGAGCCAGCAAGTTTGGGGCTGCTCTGCCTTTGTCCTCATCCTTGCCCTGCCCCAGCTGTTCCTGCCCATGATGAGCTGATGAGTCCAGCTGATGAGCCTGCCCATGCACCTGTACTCTTAGGCTATGCTCCCCTCAGCCTTGCCTTAGAGTCCAGCAGGTCAGGATGAGGAATCTGTCCCCTGCATACCAACTGGATTGGTAATTTAACCTTTTTTGCAGTTAAATGCAAGAGTATCTTGCTAGACTCTCCCAGGACACAGTTTAGCTTAGTTCTCACCTGAATATTCTGGCAATATTTCCCAAACTTTAGTTATTCAAGTATCACATTCACGATTTTTGCTCTATTTGCATGACTACTTGTACTATTATTTACTTAACATTTTTCTTTAAATTGCCTTTAAATCAACTCCTTCCCTCTTTTTGTAATATTGCCTTTTCCGAAGCAACAATAATCTAACTCATCCTAAATAAAAAAAAAAATCCATGAGGAATATGTCACACTAGAGACCAACATTCTTTCTCTCAAGAAATTCAACAGTCATCTTGTGACAGATTTGTTTCTTTTTTTTTTCTTTCTTTTTTTTTGAGACAGAGTCTCACCCTGTCGCCCAGGCTGGAGTGCAGTGGCGCGATCTCAGCTCACTGCAAGCTCTGCCTCCCAGGTTCACACCATTCTCCTGCCTCAGCCTCCCTAGTAGCTGGGACCACAGGCGCCCACCACCACGCCTGGCTAATTTTTTGTATTTTTTAGTAGAGATGGGGTTTCACCATGTTAGCAAGGATGGTCTCAATCTCCTGACCTCATGATCCACCCACCTCGGCCTCCCAAAGTGCTGGGATTACAGGCGTGAGCCACCATGCCTGGAGTTTTTTTTCCTTTTTTGAGATGGAGTCTCGCTCTGTCGCCCAGGCTGGAGTGCAGTGGCGCGATCTTGGCTCACTTCAACCTCTGCCTCCCAGATTCAAGCAATGCTCCTGCTTCCGCCTCCCACTTAGCTGGGATTACAGGCATGTGCCACCATGCTGGCTAATTTTGTATTTTTAGTAGAAACAGGGTTTCATCGTGTTGGTCAGGCTGGTCTCGAACTCCTGTCCTCAAGTGATCCACCCGCCCTGGCCTCCCAAAGTGCTGGGATTACAGGCGCAAGCCACCGCGCCCAGCCTTATTTTCTTTTTTTTTTTCTTTTTTTGCTTTTCTTTTTTTGAGACAGAGTCTTGTTCTGTGGCCAAGCTGGAGTGCTGGAGTGCGGTGGCATGACCTCAGCTCACTGCAACCTCCACCTCCCAGGTCCAAGGGATTCTCCTGCCTCAGCCTCCGGAGTAGCTGGGACTACAGGCCCATGACACCACGCCCAGCTAATTTTTGTATTTTTAGTAGAGACGGGGTTTCACCATGTTGGCCAGGATGGTCTCCATCTCCTGACCTTGTGATCCTCCCGCCTTGGCGTCCCAAAGTGCTGAGATTACAGGCGTGAGCCACCACGCCTGGCCCATTTTCTTTTTTTTTTTTTTTTTTTTTTTGAGATAGGGTCTCGTCCTGTCACCCCTGCTGCAGTGTAGTGGCGCAATCTAGGCTCACAGCAGCCTTGACCTCCCAGACTCAGATGATCCTCCCACCTCAGCCTCCCTAGTAGCTGGGACTACAGGTGCATGCCACCATCCCTGGCTAATTTTTTATATTTTTAGTAGAGATGGGTTTTTGTCATGTTGCCCAGGCTGGTCTCAAATTCCTGGGCTCAAGCAATCCACTCACCTTGGCCTCCCACAGTGCTGGGATCATAGGCATGAGTCACGGTGCCCAGCCTGGAATCTCATATTAGATTTGTTTGTTTGTTTGTTTTTGTTTTTTTTTGTTTGTTTGTTTTTTGAGACAGAGTCTCACTCTGTCGCCAGGCTGGAGTGCAATGGAATGATCTCGGCTCACTGCAGCCTCCTCCTCCCAGGTTCAAGAAATTCTCCTGCCTCAGCCTCCTGAGTAGCTGGGACTACAGGCATGCGCCGCCACACCCGGCTAATTTTTGTATTTTTAGTAGAGACAGGGTTTCACCATGTTGGCCAGGATGGTCTTGATCTCCTGACCTCGTGATCTACCCACCTCAGCCTCCCAAAGTGCTGGGATTACAGGCGTGAGCCACCGCGCCTGGCCTCATATTAGATTTTTAAAAGCCTTCTGGAGGCTAGGAAGCCAAGCCAAGAACTTGTGACCAGATTTCACCTGTGGTATCTATAAATCTGGGTGAATTCCTCTCTTCTCAAAGTCCCATAAATATCTTAAGGTTTCTGCCAAGAAGTGACCTTGTGACTTACCTGGGCAAGTAATCCGCCTGCCTCAGCCTCCCAAAGTGCTGGGATTACAGGCATGAGCCACTGCACCCACCCAGGCAATAATACTGACTCTAATGAGACTAGGCTTGTTTTGTAAACAATAATAAGGCTGGGATCCCTGTAAGCCAGGTACCAGGCCAGTTTTCTCATGAGGGCTTTGTTAGCATTTGGTACCTAAAGTCAACCTTAGCTCCTTAAAACTGTTTGGTCATATCTCATTCTCTGTCTCAAAAAAAAAAAAGAAAAAAAGAAAAAAAAAGAACAGGATGTGGTCATCACCCCCAAGGTCTCATAGTGTAGTAAGAGACAGACATCGAGATCCAGGAGCACAAGAAGGGAACATAATTTCTATCAGAAGAAGGGGTTGGGAATCTGAGAAATCTTCACAGAGAAGATGACGTTGGGATTTGAAAGATGAGTAGAAGTTATCCCAGTGAAGAGTGGGGAGGGCACTCCAGGTAGAGGGACACATGAGGAAAGGCATTCAGATGTAAATGTCTGTGACATGGTTGGGGATGACTAACAGTTCAGTGCAGCTAAACTGCAGGCTGCTAGGGGCTAGACTGTGAAGGGACTCCTTTAGCCATGTTCAGGAGTTTGGACTTTATTCTGTAATCTAGATAATGGGAGCCTTCAGAGGTTTTTTTAAGCCGGATTGATCACATGTCCGGAATTGGAAGGGTAAAACTGCAAGTGGGGAGACCATTTGAGACACTTTCATAATTGTCTGAGCAGGAGGGGATGAGGGCCTGTTCTAAGCCAATGAAAAGATACTGGGGGAGAGTGAAGTAGAAGTAGAAATAGAGAAGTAAGGGAGGTGATCTGATTTGGGAAATAAATATAATGACTTGATTTTTAGATCGATTATAGTGAAGCTATTAAGCTCTCAGGCTGTGGAATCAGGAAGAATCTTGACTACGTGACACCCCAGTTATGTGACCTTAGACATTATTTAACATCTCTGGGCTGGGTGCTGTGGCTCATGCCTGTACTCCCAGCATTCTGGGAGGCCGAGGTGGGTGGATCATTTGAGCCCAGGAGTTCGAGACCAGCTATAGGCAACATGGTGAAACCCTGTCTCTACAAACAATAGAAAAATTAGCCATGCATGGTGGCAGGCACCTGTAGTCCCAGCTACTCAGAAGGCTAAGATGGGTGGATCACTTGAGTCCAGGAGATGGAGGTTGCAGTGAGCCAAGCTTACGCCACTGCATTCCAGCCTGGGCAACAGAGCAAGACTCTGTTTCAAAAAAAGAAAAAATCTCTGACCCTCAGCTTCCTCATCGACAAAGTGGGGATAATAAAATACCTACCTTGTAGGATTGTTATAGGATGTAAAGGAGATAACATATGTGATATGCTTAGTACAGGACCCAAAATTAAGTACTGAGTGTTAGCTA
Source organism: Homo sapiens (assembly GCF_000001405.40). Classification (NCBI taxonomy): domain Eukaryota; kingdom Metazoa; phylum Chordata; class Mammalia; order Primates; family Hominidae; genus Homo; species Homo sapiens. The sequence goes on from NC_000023.11 coordinate 71,197,242, forward strand.
TTATCATTAGTATTATTAATTTTACTGCAAGCTAAATTTAATAATTTAAATAATACTATTTAATTTAATACTATTTAAATTTAAATAATGCTATTATCATTAGTATTATTAATTTTACTGCAAGCTAAATTTCAGTGACTGGTGGAAATGTCCAATAGACAGTTGGAAATGTGAATTGAGGTGCGAAAGGAAGGTATGAACCAGAGATTTCTGATCTACCTTGTAGAGATAACAGTTGCTATGGGAGTGTGGCTAAGTCTCCCTGGAGGGCAGAGAACGAAATTTTTTTTTTTTTGAGACAGAGTTTTGCTCTTGTTGCCCAGGCTGGAGTGCAATGGTACGATCTCAGCTCACAGCAACCTCCACCTCCCCGGTTCAAGTGGTTCTCCTGCCTCAGCCTCCCAAGTAGCTGGAATTGCAGGCATGCGCCACCACGCCCGGCTAATTTTGTATTTTTAGTGGAGATGGGGTTTCTCCATGTTGGTCAGGCTGATCTTAAACTCCCGACCTCAGGTGCTCCGCTCGCCTCGGCCTCCCAAACTGCTAGGATTACAGGCGTGAGCCACGGCGCCCAGCCAGAGAACGGAATTTTACAGAATGTTCACATTTAGAGATGGTAGGAGAAAGGTCATAGAAAAGTAGTGGCTTGAGAGGGAGGGGTCCTTACCTTGGAGAGGATCTTTAAATTGCTAATCAGTGGCTTCATTTAAGTCCTCAGTCTCTGACACTTCTGCAGCATTGGATGCAAGTGACCTCTTAAAGCCTCCTTTCAGAATCTCTCTTCAGTTTCCATGGTGTTCTGTACACTTCGATCTTCTGTGATTATGCATAGATGTCACAGCTGAGAGCCTTATAGAGCTTACTTACTCCAGCCCCCTCATTTTACAAATGAGGAGACTAAAGAGCCAGAAAATGGAAGTAGCTTGTTCAAGGCTCACAGGCAGTTGTTCCTTCCTTGTCTTCCCCCCACCAGCTTTTCTCACTTCCCATGGTTCTTCGCTCTTTGCTCTCATATACTCATTTCCTCTTTCGATAAACTCATCTGTCTGCATAGCTTCTAGTGTTGCTTTCAGGCTTTTGGTTGCCAAATCCGAAATCTCTCCCACCCTTGCCTGCTTCAGAGCTGCTATCCCACCCTTTGTACAGTCAGCTAGGTGTTCCACTAACACCTCACACCCAGCATGTCTGCACATCATCTTTCCCCATACTACTAGCTTCCCTCTTTGACTCCACTATCCTATTCATGGCACCTCCATTTTCCTAGTTAGTTAATCCTTTACCAAGTCTGGTCAGTTAGTCCTACATAAAGCCCCATGCAGTACAGTCGTTAAGCATATTCCAGCTGTAGGAAACCTTAAAGGTACTTATTTCTCCAGCTTCGCCTTTTTCTTTTTCTTTTCTTTTTCTTTCTTTTTTTTTTTTTTTTTCTGAGACGGAATTTTACTCTCGTTGTCCAGGCTGGAGTGCAATGGCGCGATCTCGACTCACTGCAACCTCTGCCTCCCGGGTTCAAGCAATTCTTCTGCCTCAGCCTCCTGAGTAGCTGGGACTACAGGCGCGTGCCACCAGGCCCGGCTAATTTTTGTGTTTTTAGTAGAGATGGGGGTGTGCCATGTTGGCCAGGCTGGTCTTAAACTCCTGACCTCAGGTGATCCGCATACCTCGGCCTCTCAAAGTGCTGGGATTAAAGGCGTGAGCCACCACGCCCAGCCAGCTTCGCCTTTTTCAAAAGAAAAAATTGAGTCTGTGGGAGGCAAGGCAATACAGCCTGTGAATGGAAGTCAAGACTAGAACCCAGGGGCCAGGCGCAGTGGCTTACGCCTGTAATCCCAACACTTTGGGAGGCCGAGGCGGGCAGATCATCTGACGTCAGGAGTTCGAGACCAGCCTGGCCAACATGGCAAAACCCCGTCTCTACTAAAAATACAAAAATTAGCCGGGCGTGGTGGTGGGGGCCTGTAGTCCCAGCTACTTAGGAGGCAGAGGCAGGAGAATTGCTTGAACCCGGAATGTGGAGGTTGCAGTGAGCGGAGGTCACGCCACTGCACTCCAGCCTGGGCGATAGAGTGAGACTCTGTCTCAAAAAAAAAAAAAAAAAGACTAGAACTCAGGGATATTGGAAACCCCATCCAATGTACTTTGTACCACACAACATTGCCTCTTGCAATCTTATTATATTCGTCACTTCCTTTTCATCACTATTGCCACCTCCCTAGATTAAACCTTCATAATCTCATGCCTAGATTGTTGACACAGCCTCCTACCTACCTTTGCAGCCTCTAGCCTACTTAGTCCCCAGTGCACCCCGTCACGTTAATCACCCTAAAGCACTGTTTCTACCTTGTCATTCTCACTGAAAAGCTTTTAGTGGTTCCTCACTGCCTACCAAATAAAAAATAAAATTCAAATTTCCAAGCCAGGCACTAAAACTCCTCCAAAATCTGGTGCCAGCCCACCTTTCCATGCCTCATTACCCACACTACCCTTTTATACCCTATGGCCCAGCCATATCCAATATCCTGTGTTCCTTGAACAGCTTATGCACTTTCATGCCCTGTTGCCTTTTTACACAATGTCCTCTCAACTTCAAGCATTCTTCCTTTGATTTTTTCCTGATCCAATGTCTACTACTCCCTTCCAAGGCCCAACTCAAACGTCCTAGTCCATGAAATCATTTCAGATTCCCCTAGTCAGAATTAATCTCTGTGAAAACATGTGTGACAAGACTTGCTGTCATAGGTGTTCAGTAAACATGACTTCCCATCCCCCTTCCCCTTTTTACCTGTGTTCCCACAACATATTGCTAATACCTCTGTTTAACACTGATTTCACTTACCTTGTAGTAGAGCTACTTATTTAAACAACCAATGAGACTCATCTCATTCATTTTGCATCCTCCACAGCCCCTAACAGAGTTCCTGGTACACAGTAGGTACCAGGAACTTAACAAATATTTATTGAAATGAAACCTGTGGTGCCAAGTTTCGTTAGTAATTCAGCAGTACCCACTCCTGTTTCCAAACATGAAGTGATATGTTGAGAGAAGAGAATCTGGGAAACCTTGTTGGAAAATCGCCAACAATTTGCTTCAGAGCAGCCTCAGTAACTTTCAACCTGACAGTTCGCTTGAGGATGATGAGGTATGAGGTAGGAAGGGTGACAACTCAGATAAGTTTCTTGTCCACGCATTCTTTTTTTTTTTTTTTTTTTTTGAGACGGAGTTTCTCTCTTGTTGCCCAGGCTAGAGTGCAATGGTGCAATCTCAGCTCACCACAACCTCCACCTCTGGTTCAAGCGATTCTCCTGCCTCAGCCTCCCGAGTAGCTAAAATTACAGGCATGTGCCACCATGCCCAGATAATTTTGTATTTTTAGTAGAGATGGGGTTTCTCCATGTTGGTCAGGCTGGTCTCAAACTCTCAACCTCAGGTGATCCACCCTCCTTGGCCTCCCAAAGTGCTGGGATTACAAGTGTGAGCCACCAAGCCTGGCCTGTCCATGCTTTATTTATTTATTTATTTATTTATTTATTTATTTATTTTATTTTTATTATTATTTTATTTTTTTGAGACAGAGTCTCACTCTGTTGTCCAGGCTGGAGTTCAGTGGCATGATCTTGGCTCACTGCAACCTCCATTTCCCATGCTCAGGCAATTCTCCTGCCTCAGCCTCCCAAGTAGCTGGGATTACAGGCATGTGCCACCAGGCCTGTCTAATTTTTGTGTTTTTAGTAGAGATAGGGTTTCACCTTGTTAGCCAAGCTGGTCTCGAACTCCTGACCTCAGGTAATCTGCCCGCCTCGGCCTCCCAAAGTGCTGGGATTACAGGCGTGAGCCACCAAGCATGGCCTGTCCATGCATTCTTTAAAATCAGCTGAGGTCCAGCCAAGCACGGTGGCTCACGCCTATAATATCAGCACTTTGGGAGGCCAAAGCGGGCGGAACATGATGTCAGGAGATCGAGACCATCCTGGCCAACATAATGAAACCCCATCTGTACTAAAAATACAAAAATTAGCTGGGCGTGGTGGTGTGCACCTGTAGTCCCAGCTACTAGGGAGGCTGAGGCAGAAGAATCGCTTGAACCTGGGAAGCGGAGGTTGCAGTGAGCTGAGATTGTGCCACTGCACTCCAGCCTGGCGACAGAGTAAGACTCCATCTCAAAATAAATAGGTAAATAAAATAAAATAAAATCAGCCTTAGGTCAATGTAGGCCCATCATCCCAAGCCAGTGGGTTACAAGTAGCTGGAGAGAGCAGTGACTGGTGCTAAAGAGGTGAGGAAGTGGAAGCAGAAGCTCTTTGGAGCCATTTGGAAAAAGAGGCTACCACGATCCAGAAGTTAATCTTTCCCTGAAAAGGAATTCTTGACCTTGGAAGAGTGGGTAACCATGATGGATGATGCAGGCCAAATAGGTTGGCATGTGTGACACACCTTTATGGTCTCTCCAGGCCATACTGGACACAGCTTTTATAATAGCTAAGGCTGCTGTGCAGATCATTCCAATTCTGGAAGTGCTGCCTGAAATGTGGCCAAGATAAAAAGATGACTGGATTCTCATGCTGACAGCTGAAGGACAGCTTGAAGGCCTCAAGTCATTTATTTGTTGATCACTTTCATTCATTTATTCATTCATTCATTCAATCATCATCAAACATATTCTAAACACCTACTATGTGCCAGGCACATAGGTGCTAATACAGAGATGAATGGTTCCCTGTCCTAAAAAGTATTTTGTCTAGGCCAGGTGCGGGAGCTCATTCCTGTAATCCCAGCACTTTGGGAGGCTGAGGTGGATGGATCACTTGAGGTCAGGAGTTTGAGACCAGCCTGGCCAACATGTTGAAACCCTGTCTCTACTAAAAATACAAAAATTAGCCAGGTTTGCTGGCACATGCCTGTAATCCCAGCTACTGGGGACGCTGAGGCAGGAGAACTGCTTGAGCCCGGGAGGTGGAGGTTGCAGTGAGCCAAGATTGCGCCACTGCACTCCAGCCTGAGTGACAGAGCCAGACCCTGTCAAAAGAAAGAAAGAAAGAAAAAAAGAAGGGAAGGGAAGGGAGGGGAGGGGAGGGGAGGGGAGAGAAGGGAGAAAAGCCGGGTGCGGTTGCTCATGCCTGTAATCCAGCACTTTGGGAGGCCGAGGCGGGTGGATCATGAGGTCAGGAGATCGAGACCATCCTGGCTGACACGGTGAAACCCCGTCTCTACTAAAAACACAAAAAATTAGCTGGATTTGGTGGTGGGCGCCTGTAGTCCCAGCTACTCGGGAGGCTGAGGCAGGAGAATGGTGTGAACCTGGGAGGCGGAGCTTGCAGTGAGCTGAGATCGCGCCACTGCACTCCAGCCTGGGCGACAGAGCGAGACTCCGTCTCAAAAAAAAAAAAAAAAAAGAAAAAAGAAAAGAAAAGAGAAAAGAAAGAAAGAAAGAAAGAAAAGAAAAGTAAACAGAGAAAGGAACTCTGAGTAACAACATTTAAGGGGCACAATAAGAAGAAAGCATGGAGCAGTCACAGATACAAGAGAGAGACCAGTAGAGAAAATTATAACAAAAATCAAAGGAGAGCTGGAGGCAGCACTCCTGTAGTCCCTGTAGTCTCAGCTACTTGTGAGGCTGAGGCAGGAGGATCGCTTGAGCCCAGGAATTCAAGACTGCAGTGAGCTATGCTGGTGCCTGTGAAAAGCCACTACACTCCAGCCTGGACAAAACCTCATCTCAAAAAAAAAAAAAAAAAAAAAAAAAAGGTGAAAGGATTGGGAGGCCGAGGCGGGTGGATCACCTGAGGTCAGGAGTTCGAGACCAGCCTGGCCAACATGGTGAAACCCCTTCTCTACTAAAAATACAAAGAAAAAAAAAATAGCCAGGTGTGGTGGTAGACGCCTGTAATCCCAGCTACTTGGGAGGCTGAGGCAGGAGAATCACTTGAACGTTGGAGGTGGAGGTTACAGTGAGCCAAGATCACGCCATTGCACTCCACTCCAGCCTGGGCAACAAGAGCAAAACTCCGTCTCAAAAAAAAAAAAAAATCAAAGGAGACTATGCAGCCACTAAAAACCATGTTTTAGAGGCATACTGAATGACATTACAAAATGGTCATCAAAAAAGTGAAAAAAGCAGGATGCAAAACAATATATCTCAGTCGGGCACGGTGGCTCGTGCCTATATTCCCAGCACTTTGGGAGGCTGAGGCAGGTGGATCACCTGAGATCAGGAGTTTGAGACCAGCCTGGCCAACATAGTGAAATCCCGTCTCTACTAAAAATACAAAAATTAGCCGGGTATGTTGGTGTGCGCCTGTAATCCCAGCTACTCGGGGGGCTGAGGTAGGAGAATCGCTTGAGCCCGGGAGGCGGAGGTTGCAGTGAGCGGAGATGGCGCCACTGCACTCCAGCCTGGGCGACAAAGCAAGACTCTGTCTCAAAATAATAATAATAATAATAATAATAATAATAATGTCTCATATGATGACAATTTTATTTAAAAAGCATATGTATATATTTCTTATTGAAAAATGAATTTAAGGGGCTGGGCACAGTGGCTCACTCCTGTAATCCCCAGCACTTTGGGAGGTCAGGGTAGAAGGATTACTTGAGCCCAGGAATTTGAGACAAGCCTGGGCAACAAGGTGAGGCTCTATCTCTACAAAAAATTTAAAAATTACCTGGGTATGGTGGTGCATGCCTGTGGTCTCAGGTACTCAGGAGGCTGAGATAGGAGGATCACTTAAGCCAAGGAGGTTGAGGCTGTAGTGAGCTGTGATCATGCCACTGCACTCCAGGGGACAGAGCGAGACTCTGTCTCAAAAAAAAAAAGAAAAAAAAGAAAAATGACTTTAAGGTTTCACATCTGTTAGCAATGATTTTTGTTTTTTGGGGATTTTTTTTTGAGATGAAGTCTTGGTCTGTCTCCCAGGCTGGAGTGCAGTGGCGCGATCTCAGCTCACTACAACCTCTGCCTCCCGGGTTCGAGCGATTGTTTTTCTTTCTTTCTTTCTTTCTTTCTTTTTTTTTTTGAGACGGAATCTTGCTCTGTTGCCCAGGCTGGAGTGCAGTGGCGCGATCTTGACTCACTGAAAGTTCCGCCTCCCAGGTTCACGCCATTCTTCTGCCTCAACCTCCCGAGTAGCTGGGACTACAGGCACCCGCTACCACGCCCAGCTAATTTGTGTGTGTGTGTGTGTGTGTGTGTGTGTGTGTGTGTGTGTGTGTGTGTGTGTGTTTAGTAGAGATGGGATTTCACCGTGTTAGCCAGGATGGTCTCGATCTCCTGACCTCATGATCTGCCCGCCTTGGCCTCCCAAAGTGCTGGGATTACAGACGTGAACCAGTGCGCCCGGCTGCTCAAGTGATTCTTGTGGCTCAGCCTCCAGAGTAGCTGGGATTACATGCATGCACCACCATGCCCAGCTAATTTCTGTATTTTTAGTGGAGACAGGGTTTCATCATGTTGGCCAGGCTGGTCTCAAACTCCTGGCCTCAAGTGATCCGCCCGCCTCAGCTTCCCAAAGTGCAGGGATTACAGGCTTGAGCCACCGTGCCTGGTGACTATTTTTATTTTCACCCTTATGATTTTCTTTTTTCTTTTTCTTTTTTTTTCTTTTTTTTTAAGACAGAGTCTCACTCTGTTGCCCAGGCTGGGGTGCAGTGGCAGAATCTTGGCTCACTGCAACCTCCACCTCCTGGGTTCAAGCGATTCTCCTGCCTCAGCCTCCAGTGTAGCTAGAATTACAGGTGCGTGCCACCACGCCCAGCTAATTTTTGTATTTTTAGTAGAGACCGGGGTTTCACCATGCTGGCCAGGCTGGTCTCAAACCCCTGACCTCAGGTGATCTGCCTGCCTCAGCCTCCCAAAGTGCTGGGATTACAAGCATGAGCCACCATGCCCGGCTGATTTTCCTTTTTTAATTTTCAATTTCTTATTTTATTATAAACCATTATTTCTTCTTTATTTTCTTTATGTTTTAATTTTCATTTTTAAGTGCAGGGGTACATGTGCAGGTTGTTACATAAGTAAACTTGTGTTATGGGGGTTTGCTGTACACATTAAACCTAGTACCCAATCGTTATTGCTCCTGATCCTTTCCCTCCTCCCACTCTCTGCCCTCTAATAGGCCGCAGTATGTGTTTTTCCCCTCTCTGTGTCCATGTGATTTTCTTTGTACTTCTCAGTTTTTCTGTAAAGAACAGGCATTACAGCCAGGCACAGTGGCTCACGCCTGTAATCCTAGCACTTTGGGAGACCGAGGCAGGTGGATTGCTTGAGCTCAGGAGTTCAAGACCAGCCTGGGCAACACAGTGAAACCCTGTCTCTACCAAAACACAAAAAATTAGTCGGGCGTGGTGGCGTGTGCCTGTAGTCCCAGCTACTTGGGAGGCTGAGGCAGGAGAATTGCTAGAACCCAGGAGGCTGAGGTTGCAGTGAGCTGAGATCACACCACTGCACTCTAGCCTGGATGACAGGGCGAGACTCTGTCTCTGAAAAAAAGAAAAAAAAAAGGAGAAAAATAAAAGGATGAATTGTTTGATGAAGGTGGGAGCGGTCAACTGTATCAAACACCTCAGAGAGGTGCAGTGATGCTAGTCCTGAAGGGTGTCCATTGGATTTAGCAACAAGGTGACCTTGGCAAAAACTATTTAAATGAAATGGGGAGTGGTGGAGGAAGCCAGGTTGGAGGGGAATTGAAGAGTAAATAGGAAATGAAGAAGTGTAGACAGCAAATACAGAGGTGTCGTTGAGGCCAGGTGCAGTGGCTTATGCCTGTAATCCCAGAATTTTGGAAGGCCAAGATGGGAAGATCATCTGAGGTCAGGAGTTCAAGACAAGCCTGGTCAACACGGCAAAACCCCATCTCTACTAAAAAATAAAAATAAAAATAAAAAATTAGCCAGGCGGGCCAGGCACAGTGGCTCACACCTGTAATCCTAGCACTTTGGGAGGCCGAGGCGGACGGATCACGAGGTCAGGAGATCGAGACCATCCTGGCTAACACAGTGAAACCCCGTCTCTACTAAAATACAAAAAAAAAAAAAAATAAAAAATAGCCAAGCGTGGTGGCGGGAGCCTGTAGTCCCAGCTACTTGGGAGGCTGAGGCAGGAGGATGGCGTGAACCTGGGAGGCAGAGCTTGCAGTGAGCTGAGATCATGCCACTGCACTCCAGCCTGGGCAACAGAGCGAGACTCCGTCTCAAAAAAAAAAAATTAGCCAGGCGTGGTGGCGTGGGCCTGTAGGCCCAGCTACTTGGGAGGCTGAGGCAGGAGAATCACTTGAACCCGAGAGGCAGAGGTTGCGATGAATCAAGATTGCGCCACTGCACTCCAGCCACAACCAAGCGAGACTCCATCTAAAAAAAAAAAAAAGTGTCTCTCAAAATATGTGGTTAAGAAGGAAAAGAGAGAGGGCAGAAACCCAGTTTAAGATATCTTCCAGTTTGGGGGCCAGGCACTGTGGCTCCCGCCTGTAATCCCAGCACTTTGGGAGGCCGAGGCAGGTGGATCACTTGAGGTCGGGAGTTCAAGACCAGCTTGGCCAACATGGCGAAACCCCGTCTCTACTAAAAATACAAACAAATTAGCCAGGCATGATGGTGCACACCTGTAATCCCAGCTACTCAGGAGGCTGAGGCACGAGAATCGCTTGAGCCTGGGAGGCAAAGGCTGCAGTGAGCCAAGATCGCGCTACTGCACTCCAGCCTCGGCAACAGAGTGAGACTCCGTCTCAAAAAAACAAAAAAGATATCTTCCAGTTTGGGAATCCCACACTATGTATGGTAGTTTTGAACATGCTGAAGGTTAGGTTATGAAGGTCATCTGACATCCAGATTTTCAATGTAAGGGGTATATACAGCACAATGCGGAATTGGAAGTGGTAGCCAGCTCAGGGTATCAACATCAGAAATTCCTCTTCAGGCTCAGAGATAAACTTATTATAATTATTATTATTATTATTATTACAGGCACCTGCCACCATGCCTGGCTAATTTTTGTATTTTTAGTAGAGACGAGGTTTCACCATGTTGGCCTGGCTGGTCTCGAAATCCTGACCTCAGATTATCCATCCACCCACCTCGGCCTCCCAAAGTGCTGGGATTACAGGCGTAAACCACCGTGCCCTGCCAATAAACTTATCATTATTAAAACTGAGCAAAACGGCTGGTTGTGGTGGTCACCCCTGTAATCCCAGCACTTTGGGAAGCCGAGGTGGGTGGATCACGAGGTCAGGAGTTCAAGCCAGCCTGGCCAATATGGTGAAACCCCGTGTCTACTAAAAATACAAAAATTACCTGGGTGTGGTGACACGTGCCTGTAATCCTAGCTACTCGGGAGGCTGAGGCAGGAGAATCGCTTGAACCCGGGAGGTGGAGGTTGCAGTGAGTCGATATCATGCCACTGCACTGCAACAGAGCAAGACTCCGTCACACACACACACACACACACACACACACACACACACACACACGCACACACACAAAAGCCTCCTCCCCGCCCCCAATCCCGCCTCCAAGGCTTGTGATGAGTATGAACTAGTTATGGAAGTTCGTATGACTCATATAACAACAATAAGGCAATAAGGGCTTTTTTTTTTTTTTTTTTGAGACGGAGTCTCTGTCTGTCGCCCAGACTGGAGTGCAATGGTGCAATCTCGGCTCACTGCAACCTCTGCCTCTCAGGTTCAAGTGATTGTCCTGCCTCAGCCTCCCAAGTAGCTGGGACTACAGGTGCCTGCCACCATGCCTGGCTAATTTTTATATTTTTAGTAGAGACAGGGTTCACCATATTGGCCAGGCTCGTCTCAAACTCCTGACCTTGTGATCCGCCCACCTCGGCCTCCCAAAGTGCTGGGATTACAGGTGTGAGCCACCGTGCCCAGCCAATAAGGGCTCCTTTATCAATATGTGTAGCTCATTTACATAGACAATATTGTTTCTCTAGGAATAAGCCAAACCCCAGTGCGTTCTATGGCTCGACCCAGCCCCAACACTGTGAAGTGGAATGTCAGCAGTGAGAAAAAGCTGTTTACGTTCATTGGAAAGCACTAGCTCAGATTCAGAAATCAGTAACTGCTTGACATTCTACAAAGTGCCCTCATGCTGGCAGATGCAATGCCACTGAACACCCATTTCCTAGGAGACAGTGAAGTAGCTCAATTATCCTTGTCTTTTGTAGGAAGAAAACAACCAAAATGGAGGCGTCTTCAGAGAGCCTTCAGAGGCATCTTCAAAGCCCTTACTTTATATCTGAAGCAGGGGATCCCAAAATTGTGGAATCCTTATTCTGGATGTGTCTGCTTCTGGAATAAGCAGAGGGAGGAGGATCCTACGGGGATCCAGCTAGAAGAGCTTTTCACCCGAGGCGGTCCAGGGTGGCAAAGCCATAGAGGAAAACCGTAGTTGTCTATCAAAGGGAAAGGCAAAGATGAAAATAAAAGGGAGACTGGGCATGGTGGCTCATGCCTGTCATCCCCGCACTTTGGGAAGCCGAGGTGAGATGATTGCTTGAGTCCAGGGATTTGAGACCAGCCTGGGCAACATGGCAAGACCCCCTCTCTACAAAAATAAAAATAAAAAATTAGCTGGACATAGTGGCATGCACTTGTGGTCCCAGCTACTCAGAAGGCTAAGGTGGGAGGATCGCTTGAGCCTAGGAGGTCAAGGCTGCAGTGAGCTGTATTCAGGCCACTGCACTCCAGCCGGGGTGACAGAGTGAGATGCCCTCTCCAAAAAAAAAAAAAAAGAAGAAGATGCCCTCTCCAAAAAAAAAAAAAAAAAAAAAGAAAGAAAGAAAGAAAAAAGAAAAAGAAAAAAAGAAAGAAAAGGAAAGAAAGAAAAGAAAAAAAAGAAAAAGTGGCTCCTGCCTGTAATCCCCAACATTTTGGGAGGCCAAGGTAGGTGGATGGCTTTGGCTCAGAAGTTTGAGACCAGCCTGGCCAACATGGTGAAACCCCATCTCTACTGAAAATACAAAAATCATCTGAGTGTGGTGGCACCCACCTGTAGCCCCAGCTACTCAGGAGGCTGAGATGGGAGTGCCGCTGAGATTGGAGTGCCACTGCACTCCAGCCTGGATGACAGAGCAAGACCCTGTCTCAAAAAGACAAAGAAAAAAAGAAATAGGAAGATAAAATATTTGGCCGGAACACTTGGGAGCAAGATTGTTCTGTTCAGGTGCAAGGCACAAATTAAGACCAGGCACACTGGCTCATGCCTGTAATCCCAGCAATTTGGGAAGCAGAGGTGGGAGGCTCACTTGAGCCAAGGAGTTTGAAACCAGCCTGGCCAGTTTGGGCGACATAGCGAGACCTCATCTTCAAACAAACAAACAAACAAACAAACAAACAAAAAACAGATTGAGGAGAATAGGTTAGTTAGAAGATGAATGTAAGGTCCTGAGTCAGGCACCAGAGGGGAGAAAAAAGATGGATGTAAAGAATGAAGGGCGGGGCGCGGTGGCTCACACCTGTAATCCCAACACTTTGGGAAGTTGAGGTGGGCAGATCACCTGAGCTCAGGAGTTCAAGAGCAGCCTGGCCAACATGGTGAAACCTCGTCTCTACAAAAATTAGCTGGGTGTGATGGTGGATGCCTGTAATCCCAGCTACTGTGGAGGCTGAGGCAGGAGAATCACTTGAACCTGGGAGGCGGAGGTTGCAGTGAGCCGTGATCATGCCATTGCACTCCAGCCTGGGTGACAGAGGGAGACTCCATCTCAAAACAAAAAAAAAGAATGAAAATGGGCCGGGCTCAGTGGCTCACGCCTGTAATCTCACCACTTTGGGAGGCCAAGGCAGGAGGATCACTTGAGCCCAAGGAGTCAAGGCTGCAGTGAGCCATGATTGCTGCACCACTGTACTCCAGCCTGGGTGACAAAATGAGACCCTGTCTCAAAAACAAAAACAAAAAAGAACGAAGATGTATTAGAGCTCCAGTTGTTTTTTTGGTTTTTTTGGCGGGGGGGGGGTTTTGGTTTTTGGTTTTTTTTGAGACGGAGTCTTGCTCTGTTGCCAGGCTGGAGTGCAGTGGTGTGATGTCGGCTCACTGCAACCTCTGCCTCCCGGGTTCAAGCGATTCTCCTGCCTCAGCCTCCTGAGTAGCTGGGACTACAGGCACCCGCCACCACGCCCAGCTAATTTTTGTATCTTTAGTAGAGACAGGGTTTCACCATATTGGCCAGGATGGTCTCGATCTCTTGACTTTGTAATCCGCCCGTCTTGGCCTCCCAAAGTGCTGGGATTACAGGCGTGAGCCACTGCGCCCGGTTTCAACTTTGCTTTTGTTCTCCACTCCAAACTGTCCTTAGAGCAAATGGCATACGTCTAACTCTCAAGTGAATTGGGGCACTATCTGGTACAATTCTTCAGAAACCTCCTTGGAAAAATACTGATAACTCCCTCTAGTTGGCTTCTTCAAAGAATATGAATTCCTGGGGCATAGATCCATTCATATAATCATGTGGCCTTTTGAAAAGGATTTGTAAAAAATAATACCAATTATGAATACAGGACCAATTCCATGTTTCCCTTGCACCTCTCGCTGGGAACAGTTTGCATGATCTTCCACAGCCTGAGCTGGCATGGGGATTTGGGAAATGTTCTGCAGCTTCTCAGGGTTAGCCATCTCCTTAAGCCTATGGACCCATTTGGGAAGAGTTTTTGCCTGTGTGTCATAAACAATATTTATATTGGAAGCTGTCCCTTTGATTTCTGAGTCATACAGCAATGCTGTCTCATTGATCAAAGCCATACAAAATGCCACATTTTGTTAGGTAATGAGGCCCAGGGATGGGCTGGATGATGGACTCCACATGTGAGGCTGTGCTGCTGCCTGCCATCCCAGAAAGCCTCAAGATTGCCGTTGCTGAGGCAGCTGCCACAACTCCCTGAAGTAATGAGCAGAGCTCTCACCAGGCTGCCAATTCTGTTTATGAGGCCTAAAGCTCTGAACTATGACAATGTCGGTGGTAAGATGCGCTTTTAAATAATGTGATCGGTTTGCTCCATCAACTCTCTTAGTCTTCGGTGGAACAGGAATGAGGAAAGCCCTTGTTTGGGCTGATGTTTGAGCCATGCTGGAGACAGCAGGCTTGTGTTTAGGGTCTCTTACCTTGTATGTCTCAAGATTTAATGAAGATTTCCTTGAGTGAATCTCAAGACATAAGCAGACTGATTTTTTTTTTTTTTTTTTTAGACAGAGTCTCTCTCTGTCACCCAGGCTGGAGTGCAATGGCGCGATCTCGGCTCATCACAACCTCTGCCTCCTGGGTTCAAGCGATTCTCCTGCCTCAGCCTCCCAAGTAGCTGGGATTACAGGCATGTACCACCACGCCTGGCTAATTTTGTATTTTTAGTAGAGACGAGGTTTCTCCATGTTGGTCAGGCTGGTCTCGAACTCCCAACCTCAGATGATCTGCTGGCTTCAGCCTCCCACAGTGCTGGAATTACAGGCGTGAGCCACTGCGCCTGGACGTAAAGTTTTTAAATATTCCCCCAAAACATTCATTGTAATGAGAAAGACTGGGTGGAGCACCTGTTATCTCAGCACTTTGGGAGTCCAAGGTGGATAGATCACTCGAGTTCAGGAGTTCGAGATCAGCCTGGTCAACATGGCGAGACCCCATCTCTACCAAAAATTTGAAAATTAGCCGGTGTGGCAGCACGCACCTGTAGTCCCAGCTACTCGGGAGACTGAGATGGGACCATCCCTTGAGCCCGAAAGGTAGAGGCTGAAGTGAGCTGTGATGGCGCCACTGCACTCCAGCCTGGGTGACAGACCAAGACCCTGTCTCAAAAAATCAAGAAGAAAGTTTGCTTAGGATTCCAGGTAGCAGCTGAATTCACCTGCATCACAGGAGCAAATGGATTTACATTGTTCGCTGTAGTAATTTTCCCTTTGTCCTCCCTCTCTTTTTTTTTTTTTTTTTTTTGAGACAGAGTCTCACTCTGTTGCCCAGGCTGGAGTGCAGTGGCATGATCTCGGCTCACTGCAAGCTCCGCCTCCCGGGTTCACGCCATTCTCCTGCTTCAGCCTCCCGGGTAGCTGGGACTACAGGCGCCCGCCACCAAACCTGGCTAATTTTTTGTATTTTTAGTAGAGACGGGGTTTCACTGTGTTAGCCAGGATGGTATTGATCTCCTGACCTCATGATCCACCTTGGCCTCCCAAAGTGCTGGGATTACAGGCGTGAGCCAAGGTGCCCAGCCTGCTCTCCCTCTTTTCCCTCCCTTCTCTTTCCTTGCCTTTCTTCTCTCTAGCAGCCGCACTCCATCCAGAAGATGGGCTCAAGTAACAGTAAATAGGCAGCAGACAGGT